>NC_000006.12:143820790-145070790 GCF_000001405.40 Homo sapiens | reverse complement strand
ATGCCTCCAGTTCCATCCAGATGCAGCTATTCTGTCTGTGACACAAGCCACCACTCCTATGTGGACCCCACCTCATTTCCCACGAGGTGATGGAGCTGATTCTGGACAGGCCTTATCTCAAAATCCTTGCCTGATTCACTCCACAATCCTTTTGACTGTGCTATAAACATTCTATGTACTCAATAAATATTTTAATGACTTGATTAATTCAAATTGATTTTGCTGTGAGAATTTTAGTCCTTTGGAAGAATTATATACCCCTTGAAATGGAACAAGGCAAGCTGAGACTGCATGTATAATACACTCTTATTTCACATATATCTCTCATATGAGCAATGTGTCAGTAAACTCCCTTTTAGATTTTAATATACAAACTTGACAAAACACATGTATCTTTCAACACACACACACACACACACACACACACAGACACACACACAAAACAATGTTTTTCTGTTAACACTGATTAGGAAAATTTTTATGTGAATGTCACCAAAACTCATTACAACATCATTAACAACATGATGTGCAGATAGAAGTCTTAAGTTATACTCAAAGTACAGCATCACCAAGAGTATAATTGTGCTGTGAGTGTCTCAGCTGTTACTGGTGCTGAGAGTAGACCCTAAGAGACGATCAAACCAGAATGAGTCATGCAGAGGCAGTGACAAACATTACGCTGAAACATATTGGTGATATGACAATATTTCTGTTTAAAACTTTTTCTTTGAAGTAAGTAAAGTTGTTTGCTTTTAGCATTTTTTCATCCTAAAGCCTGAACCAGCTCCCCTGCAGATTGATCACAACCTCCTGTTCTGGAGCTTTTCAAATAGCCTCAGGAACATGGTGCCTCTGTATCAGTTCCTCTGATTCTGAGAATTTGCCTAAATTTGTCTTGTTGTTGCTGCTGTGGTCTGAATATTTGTGTCCCCCCAAAATTCACAGGTTGAAATCCTAACCCCCAAAGTGATGGTGTTAGGAGATCGAACCTTGGGAGCTGATTCAGCCATAAGGATGGAAACCTCATGAGTAGGATTAGTATTCTTACAAAAGAGGTCCCAGAGAGCGCCCTCCCCACTTCCACCATGTGAGGACACAGTGAGAAGGCAATATCTAGGAACCGGGAAGCTGGCCTTCACCAGACACTGAATCTGGACTTGTCAGCCTCCAGAACTGTAAGCAATAAATTCCTATTGTGTATAAGCCACCCAGTCAATGGTATTCTGTTACAGCAGCCCAAGGGGACCAACACAGTCACCCAGGCACAGCAACTCCTCATACCACCTCTTTCCATAACCCTTGACAAACCACTGCTTCAATCCTTCTCCCCAGCTCCATTCTCAACTTTTTTCAAGCTGTAGATGACAAAGAATTTATTACAAGAAACTAGCTTTTTATTGTAACTTTTTGTTTTTTCCCTAACAGCTTTATTGATGTGTGTTTATTTCTATGCCTTATCATAAACATAATATTCATGATGTGGCATAAAAACTGTATATGTTACTGTATACACAGTCATTACTAACAGCCTAATTAACTGGTGATTAGAAAGTGATGTTTAAGCTTTTTATTCCTAACATGGTAGTTACTTCTACCTAGACATTTTACTAGGTTTAGTTATCTTTTAGGAAATTGGTAGGTTGTTTTGTGATGCCACACAAAAAATTGGTAGGTTGTATTATATTCTTTCTCGTCTTCAAATAGTGGGCAAGAGGCTCTGGTTAGCATTTTCATGAAAAAAATGCCTGATTTTCAGAAACACACTCTTGTAACTATCATTTCATTACATTAGACTGAACAAAACAATTTATTCAGCATTTATGAAGTTTCTATTGTATTCAAAGAACTGGACTAGGTGCTATAGAGAAACCAAGATGATCACTCTGTGATTCTCCACCCTCAAACAGCCCCAGAATAGTAGGGGAGATAAACATCTATTCACCAAATCACAATGCAGGTCTAATTGTGGAAAGCAACAAAGTCCAGGCAGAAACAAAGCTCTATGTGAGCAGAGATGCAATCATTCCAATTGCAACAAAGGGTGGAGACTTCACAATGAAGCCTAAAACCATCAAGTTGAAAAAGAAAGTGTATAAGCACTTGCAAATGTGTTGATACATATTAATGACAGCATCAGAGTTCTAAAGACAGCAGCAAATATATCAAATCCTCACTGATCCCAGCAGTAGTAGGGATGAGATACAATTCTGCAATGCTGGTGAAAAGGCAAGTTTATTTACTAAACAAATAGGTTAAATAAGAACATGAATGAAACACCTATTTCCTAAGCAAATGATGTGCTTGGATTATTTTTAAATTATATATTAGTCATATGATCTTCAGCAAGAACTTAACTATTGTTGGCTTAATTTTCCTCATCTGGAAAACTAGGACTTGAATTAAGTGGTATCATAAGGTTGAATATGCTGTAATTATATCATTTGCATACAATTCACCAAATTTTTGAGTGCCTGCCCTGTATATAATGCTGTGTACACTGGAAAATTAAAAAATACCGTAATGCATAGCCTCTGACTTCAAGAAACATAATCTTTGTGAAAAGGGCCATCAATATCAGGCAGTCTGTGTCTAAGTGTTGAAAGGAAAGGTCCAAATAATAAGCATTGTGGGAACTGAGCGCATAGGGTCTAGGAGCCAAGGAAAGCTTCCTGGAGAAGGAAAATCTTGAAATATAACTCAAAGGAAGTTAAGATTTGGATAGGATATCGGAGGTGGAAGGCAACCACCATCTTCACCCATCTGCTACCCCCGGCCGAATGCATCTCCAAGTGGGTGTGCAGGAATCAATTCAGGCTCCAAATCACTGTTTGGAAAATATTGTTATTTCATTTCAGCAGTTACCCACTAAATGTCAATATCCAGGCCATGCATTGGAGCAATTAGCAAAGACTGGTTTTCCAGGCTTTTGTAATGGATTAACTTACAAACATTACTTCTGTTGGCACTGTTCTTAGTTTTATGTAGTCATCAATTTAAACTTTGAAAACAAATCTACAATCTGTGCAATAGCAGTAGTGATGAAAACCATGTTACCTTATTCACAGAGTTTATTATTAATGATAATAATGCCTGTTCAATGATTCATCCCCCTTCCTCCCTGGAGTGCTCATGGCTGCTATTATCTCATCATCACAGGTATTGTCACTGGGCATAGTATTCTATGAAATGTAATGGTCTTGTGATTATTACACTGTGGCATATGAATAATGTACTTCATCAGTTTATAGACTATCCTTTGTGAGAATATGTTACTGTTGTTTTGACTAAGATTTCTTAGGAAACAAGAATGAAATTTTAATACCAGAGATGCTTTCAGTTAAATACAATGACTCACTCACAATACAATCATCATACATAGCCAGTTGGGAAAATTAGAAAAAATGTAAAATTATCTACATCACTTTTTGTTTAAAAGATCGATTTTAAAACATCAACCAAAAAGGAAACTAAATTATGCAAAGATTCTGTAGGCTTTATACATAGTTACAAAGATAACCTATTTTATAATACATACACTCAATGCCATATTTTTTCACTCACTGCCTGTGTGGCCAGCTCCTTTGTCACCCTTCCCAAGATGCTCTCTATACTTATGACTTATTCTTTCCTGTTAGTCTGTCTTTTTTTCTAACTTCCTAAATGATCATCATTACACATACCTCTCGAGATTTGTAAGGTAAGGTAGGTTTTTATCATTTTTAAAGTGTTCTGAGAGCATTCACCTGTTTATGTGAATATATTACAATGCACTGTTTATGTCCGGTGAAATTCATCAAATTCTACTTTGAGGGAATTTGTACCATGAGAACAATTCTGGCTGATGTCTGGATCACACTAAACATCATGACAGCTTCCCTCCAAGCCCTGAACTTAATTCAAGACTTGGTCCTGATTTTGAATCCCCAAACCATAAATCCACCTTAGGCAAGGTAGAAACTGATAACCAAGACTTCAAATGGGTATATCCCTACTCCATCCCCTTATGGCAAGGATATTAAAAAACTCCAATACATCAAGGACTTGACAGCATCCTTGGCCATACTGTCTAAGGAATCTGTGTCTCATAATTTCTCATTTGGAAAGAAGCACTAAAATCCCTTTCTGTGCTAAAAGGATGAAGCTTGAGGACTAATGAGAAATTTGGAAACAAGATGCCATTTGTCAGAAATGCAAAAGCATTGTCAATTAATGTGTGCTTCATTGAGATGGGAGGCTAAGGGGTGCATGAAAAAAAAGGGAATCATGCTTTTGTACATAATACGGCCAAATTTTTCACTTTCATAAAAAATCACAAAGAATAGTTTTTTAACAATAGGAGTAAAGAGGGGCGCGTAAACACTGAGTAAGCATTTCTTATGTAAACTAAACTTGGGAAACTTTTGAAAGAAAAAATCAGTTATCATGGTCACCATACTATTTGTGTCCAAAATTTCTAGAAAAAAATGAGACCACAGTTCTGTTATTGGGCCAAGTTTCAACAAGAGAACCTTCCATTATCTCAAACTCGTCTTTCCTACGACCAGAAGTCCCCTCCAGCCATGAGGAAACAGCACCTGTTAGAGCAGACAAAGCTCTGCTGACATCCAGTCAAGCTACCTGAAGACTAGACTGGAACTACACATGGGACTGAGCAAAGACTCTGGCGAGTTGGGTGTGTCCAGAGAGAGATGGCGGAAACACTGAATAGTGAAGGGTTAAAGAGGATTGCATGGGAGGGGCTATGAGAAGGATTGTCAGGAGAAGGCTAGCATCATGGAAGGCAGGGGCATCCACCTGAGTCATCCTCTGAAGGAAGACTGACCACAGGAGAACCTATGTTCTACCAGGACTTAATTCCAGACACTCAAACTCTGCTCTTGTTCAGGACACTTAGAAAGAAATCAGTCAAAGGACAAATTACACTTCCTTTGGAGACTAGTGTGTACTTACTGGAAGAAGATGGGAAAGGTAATAGCTCTTTGGTCCATGGTCATCTGAAGGGCACTTGCCAACTCCAAGTAAAGGAGTGTGCCAGTCTGCACCCATCTAATCAGCTTGGGAGATTTTGAATCTGATGCCCCAAACTCCTCCTCTTTTCCCTGCACAGAGGAGCTAGGAGCTACCTCCAAACCCAAAAGCCCTGCTAAGCTGAAGTAACATATCAGTCTATTTGGTGGTGTTTAAGCAAATCTTAAAACAATCATGTCTTAAAATGTTTTAGAATAAATTCACACAGTGGTAGGAGTTTTAACAGGAGAACTTATTTGAGTAACCATCTTGTAACTTTACTGGCAAAATTCAGGGTCCTCATCAGTATCTCCATTTCAGAAAAAAAAGGGGGGTTGAAAGAGGAGAATCAGGAAAAAATAAAGATAGGAAAGAGGAGAAAAACACAGCAGACAACATAAGAGTTCTTTATTCAGCCTTAAAAAACCCCAGTGTTCTAAAGCCTATAAATATTATGATTTTCTTCTCCAGACAAGATGGTATTTTGACTCTTATTTATTACACTGAGCTGGAAAAATCCAGAGTACCACGAGACAGCCAAAAGGGTTTCTCTGGGCCTTTATTTCCTATTAGATGCAGAGCCAATTAATATCCAGACAAAACTTTCACTGCTTCCCACTGCCTGAAGATTGGGTTCTGTAATTTTCCAAAACATCTTGAACCCACTTAGGGAATCTTCCCACAAATTTGATACAAGGGATAGCAAAAGCACCAGCAGTCTCTTTCCAGAAATCTTTCCTAAGTCCAGCATGTCCTGTCTTAACTGGCTTTGGTGGCTTGGAAGGAAGGATAGCAATTATTTCTTTCCTCTGTACTTCCCTCGACTGTGGTTCTGTAGATGACTGAGTCAATTTTAAAATAAATGCCACATTTGGGTGCTGTTAGGTTGTCATAAAATGGGAAATGATAGGATGTAGAAATGTCTACACCATCACACCCTCACCTTATACATTTGGAAATACCGTGTTTCCTAAGGTAAATGGCACTGGCACCCAGATTCCTCTGAGTCACTATTGGCTAGGCCTTTGTCAATGAATTAACACAAGTTTTCACACTAAAGTCTCCATGCAGGTTTCGTATGCTGCCTCCCTTCAAGGTTATGATTCTTAATCTTATGGTGACTATGACAAAGTAATCAACTTGCTATCTAGAAAAAAAATGAACAGATGCACAAATACTCAATATTTCCGAGGGTTCCTGGACCCCATGAAGCCTATACACTGATCCTTAGGGGCACATGGACATGGAGTTGCAAACTCCTACACAACTGAACCACTTCTGGACTTATACCATGAAAATCTCTGCAGTTGAGCTTTTAAAATTAGCAGCTCTAACTCATTTTAATAACTTCAATCACTTGCCTTGGTACAAATTTGGAAATGAAGAAATGACATTCCCCTAGAGAATTGAGTGAAATAGCCCAAAATGCCAGTAACCAAACTTTTAAGAGTGGCATATAGTATCACAAAGATCAAGTGACAGAACTGCAAAAGGATGCATGTCCAAATAATTGAGAATAAATTTAGATAAAGTCTATTGCCTTATGAGAAGACAGCTTCCATATACTTTACATCATTGGAATTCTCAGGAATTACAAACATTTGTCGTATTTCAGACACTGAAAATCTGTGTTTCAGAGGGTTTCTGGGTTCCCTGAAGCCCATGCACTGCTTGCCTAGGGGCCCATGAATATTTAGTTACTACATCCTCCACAAGTATATTGCCTCTGGGAATGCTAACACAATTTAATTCTCAATGTGAAAGTTATGAGTATCATACATTAAGCAGCCAGTGTAGATAAGGTTTTGACAGAACTTTTCTACTTTAACACTAATTCTCACCTTATAAGAAGAACATGATACTTAACCCCAATAGCAAAATTTTAACAATAGTTTTGTATGATATTGACATTAAGCAATAAAGTCAATAATATATTAAATAATAAGTCATTAACAGCAAGAGTACACACAAACAATAAGAAAAGATAGCACAGTGAGTCCAGAAGGAGAAAAAAGAAGCAGAAACAGAGAAGCATGGAACTCTATCTTTAGATGCTGAGAAAAATACAGAAATAAGACATGAAAGAAGATTTTAAATACAGATTTATATAAACTTAAAAAAATAGAAACTTTCAAAAAGGGAGAGCATGGAATATTCCAAAGTCAGGAAGGTATGACACACACAAGGACAACACTAGCTTGATCCCCCAAAAATAAACCCTATAGAGTCATTAAAAAGTTTGAAGAATTTTCCAGGAGAATCAATTTAACCTGAAATCTAAGGTGAAGTTTAGAATTGAAGAAAATCTGACCACCAAATTTTTTTCTGCATGTTGGTATCAAATTTCATATCTTTTTAATGAAGAGGACCATCTGGCTTTCTTTACTTATGTATACAGTCTTTGGAGATGTGGCACTATTTACTTCTGCTTAATTCTGTAATAGTCTCTTTTCTCTTTTTACAGCTTTCATTTCAAGCATGCCTTAGAGAAAAACATTCTCTAGAAGACTGCTGAATTGCATGACTTCTGAGATTCTTGAGAAAACATTTTGTTGTTCTTGCTATGAGGAAATCTTTGAGGGAAGTTATGAGTATAGTACATTAAAACAATAAATATTTATTTAGGTGTGTAGGAAGCTGTACATTTTTGTAATGTTATACAAGATGCTATGGTTCTAATGTGTATGTTAGTATTAGAGTATTATGAATTTGATTATATATTTACATTTTTCAGTGAATTTTATTCTTTCATATGTTTTCATGTTACTATTAGGCTGGTGCAAAAGTAATTGCAGTTTTGCCATTAAAAGTAATGGTGAGAATTGCAATTACTTTCGCACCAACCTAATAATTAATAGCCTCTCTTTCCAGCTTGAAGAACTCCCTTTAGCATTTTCTGTAAAGTAGGTCTAGTGATGCTGATCTCCCTCAGTTCTTGTTTCTCTGGGACAGTCTCTATTTCACCTTCCTTTCTGAAGGGTAGCTTTGTCAAGTAAAGTATTCTTCATTGGTAGTTTTTTTTTTTAATTACTTAGAACTTGGACTCTATCACTTCACTCTCTCCTGGCCTCTGAGGTTTCTGTTGAGAAATCCACTATTAGCCTTATTGGCAACCCCATGCACATGATAACACTAATATGCGTAGGTTAGAAGAGGGTTTTCCTTCTTCAAGGGGCCTGCAATTCAGCTTTCAGACAAAACATAATAGATATTAAATTGAAGGCAGTATAGAATCAGTATCAAGTAAACAGTACACACAAGTATACAGTGAAAGCAGGGGATCATGTGAGGTTGGGTGATCATGAAAAGTTTGAAGGACTGGGTAGAAATGGACTGTTTGCTGCATGGACACCTGAATAAGATGGAGCTGAATGAAATATGCTGATTATGATGACAGAGACCTTGAACCTCATTTCTTACTCATTTTCCTGGTCAAAACAACATGTACTCTTAGTGGCCAGCTCTATGTGTACAGAGAACCAACTGCTAATCAAATTTTTGGAACTGAGAAATCATATTTAGATTAAAATCAACCATATACCTAGTTGCTCACTAGAATGAACACAACTTTAAAGAAAAGTGGGAAAAACCTAAAGGATTTGATAGTATATATTTAATTGTATTCTATTAGCCATTTTTCTCTTCTTAAGTGATGTTAAGTGGCTTTGGGAATAAAAGATTATAATAACATAGGTTTTTTAAATTATTCAATTAATGTCGGTGATTAATTAACATGCTATCTTACTATTAGTGTGTTAGTACTTTGAGACTCAATGAAGACATAATAGTTTTCACCTTTACAATATTATTATGTGACAGATGCATGTGTTTTAATGCCCGTGTTTCTCACACAATGGCAGATTACCTAACAAATGAGTAATGACTAGAAATCGCTCTGGATAGAGAATATTTTTAAAACTTCAAAATATTTATGAAGACCAAGAAAATGGGAGAAGAAGCAGATACATTTTCTGTGCCCTGCTCTATTTCCTTTCAGAATTTAAATTCTTTTGGGTAATTTTTGATCCAGATTGTATGCAGCTGGTCTAATTAGCAGAAGAAAATGGATTTAGACCACTCAGTAAGTCAGGAGATATCTGTAGTCTCCTTGTACCAGGTATATATTCTAGTTAATTTCCAATAGAAATATGTCTATAAAAAATGTTTTGGTTAAAAGACCAAAATTTTGATTACATGTGATTAAATGTGATTAACATATTTGTCCCAGAAAGGTTTTTTTAATCATTCTTATCACAAAAAAATTCACTAAGTTTCAAGAGGATGCATGGACAAACAAAGTGCAATCGTTTAAAGCAAGATCCTAACTTGCATTTCCAACCCCACATCTCCTTTCCTATCTTCTACCATCCGGCCCCTGGGTAGAAACCCAGCAGTGTAAACCTCAACTGATACCATGAACTACAAACTAACTGTAGCTGAGGCAAAGAGGCTCCAGTTTTCTGGAATCCACAGGCACTGAACACATATAATCTATATTCACAAGATCTGAGGCAATAGTTCTTCTCACAACACTATAACAATCTGCAAAAAGAAAAATAAGAAACTTTAGAATCTGACAGCCTAAGTCAATGGGATTCATAGGACAGTATTTTGGGGAGGTTAGGGTTTGGGGCATGTAGGCCAGGTCCAGGTGGGGCAGTGGGGCATTTCTAACAAGTTGTCAGACGCTGCTGCTGTTGCTTCTCTAGGGGCTTCACTTTGAAAACCACTGGTTCATTGATAAACTCCTTCCTTCCTGTCATCCCTACCTATGTGGCAGTTTCTGGGCACACTGAATCATGCAGAATGCCACTGCTCCCTGTCTGCAAGAATGGACTTTTAAATGGTGGCACAACATCTAAAATAACTTCCCTTATTTATTTTTGAAATGATGCAATACCCTTCCTCAAATATCACTAACATTTTTTCTATGAAGACTAATTTTTGAAATCAGAAGTGACAAATTTATCAGAATTCTAACTATACATTTTTTCATATTAAATGGCATTAGTATGATTTCATTCTTATTCCCTCTCTGCCCCTTACTCCCCATCTTGCCCATTTGTAAAATGGCTCAGTAGGGAAAATGAAGCAGCTTTTTTATTCTCATGGACTTCTTGCTCTAAAGACATTTAACGAAAGAAAAATAATGTGAATGTTAATTCTGTCCTAGTTCTATTTTCCTTGCTAGGCCAAAATTTAGACAACACAGTATTGGAGTATTCTCCATGGGGCACCATCTGACTAATACAAATTTCAATTAACTTCCATTCTATGCATCTAAAACATCAGCTCAGAGTAGTTTTTATATGAATACAAAAACACATGTAAAAACAGTTTCAAAAACTAAAGATACTATACAATCATTCTAGTCAAGAATCTTGGTTGCAACCAACTCCAGCTAACTAAAATACAGCAATGTGTTTGTATACATCTGGGAGAAGTGGGTCTCTAATTCAGTGGAATATTAAGGAAGAACACTTGGGACAGTTCACTAACTACAGATGGAAAGCAGAAACTGGGAAGGCCAAGGATGCTCTCAATCTCTCTTTCTCTCTGTCTCATGGCTTCTTGTCATAAATGATGCATTTTTCCCCTCTATCTCCCTGTCTCTAATTCCACCAACCTTAACCTCATTCTAACCAAAAACATGCTCTTCACAACCTCTCATCTTGGTTCCCCATGGCTTAACTCCCCCAGCTCCTCACAGTCCAAACTTTACATTTACAGGAAAGAAGGGAAAAAAGATCTCAACTACTTCAACTTTTTTACACAGGCTGGATTTTCTTCCCTTGGCAGTGGGGTTTGATCACACATAGCAAACCTGCTAGCCTAGGCCCAGTCTTGCACAGGAATTGGGAGCAACACCAGTGTAAGAGGAGGCATGACACAGGATTACACAGAAGGAGAAGCAGAACCCAATGCAAGCCCACCCTTAGCCTCAGTCAGCCCACAGCAACCATCCAGAATTGTTGTTTCCAGTTGGGACAAGGGGCAGGTTCATTATACCCCTTAATTGACGGTCACTGGACCTGACCGAAGCTGTCCCTGAAAAAAAGAAAGTGACCTTGAGTGAGTCAGTTTCCTTCAGCTAAAGCAACTCTCAAAGAGGGCTGACCACTGAGCACCATCTTGGGGCAGCACTCTCAGCAGCTGGGGAGCAAATCTTTCATTCCTGAAAAGACATCGGGGCAGCACACAACACCATTAACTCAGCTACCCTAGCACCATGTGGATCAATTCTTCCTGTAGGTTCTGGGAGCAGCTTCTCCAGAATTCCAGGGTACCTCCCTTCCTAGGTGAAGCTAAGAAGAAGGCCAGTGAGAACCATGCCCACCAGGGCTGGAGTTGATCTCAGGGCCACAGCTGACCCATTGTGTCCCTCCTTTACTGACCAGTCTGGATTCTTCCCACCCACAGCTCAATAATTTACCTGATGTTGTGACTCACATCCTCATCCCTGGGATCTAATCACCTTGACTTCTCTGACTGGGGTGGTTACGCTTGTCTATTTACAGCCAATGTAGGGCAAAAGAGTACCAAGAAGTATGTATGTGGATTGCTGGGGTGCAAGATGTACTCCTCCATGTCCCCATGTGTAACAGCAGTCCTATCTCCTCCACCTGATGAGAATCACTTACCTCTGCTAGAATGAAAATGCATCTTCTTGTTTGCTATTCTTTGGTACAAGTAGCCCAAAGTGCCCAGAGAGCAGCTTTAGCTTATAGTTTGGCTGTGTCACCTGAAAGAAATGCTCCCCCTTTGAGAACAAGGATCTCTAAACTCACAGGGATGGGAAGCACAAATTTCCCAAGTAGATCAATATGAGTAATGGCTAGCAAGGTTAACACCTTCTTCCTCCACACTTGTTTCCTGAAACTATATGTTCCACCTGTTGGGAACACAGCACCATTAAGAGATTTTTTTATTTAAAATAATTTTTGGCTGGGTGCGGTGGCTCAAGTCTGTAATCCCAGCACTCTGGAAGGCCAAGGCTGGCGGATCACGAGGTCAGGAGATTGAGGCCATCCTGGCTAATACGGTGAAACCCCGTCTCTACTAAAAATACAAACATAAAATTAGCCAGGCATGGTGGCGGATGCTTGTAGTCCCAGCTACTCGGGAGGCTGAGGTAGGAGAATGGCGTGACCCCGGGAGGCAGAGCTTGCCGTGAGCCAAGATCACGCCACTGCACTCCAGCCTGGGCAACAGAGAGAGGCTCTATCTCAAAATAAATAAATAAATAAATAAATAAATAAAATAATTTTCATTCCAGAAAATGGGGCCCCATCCCAGTAAAGTATTACCTTTGAATTACTCTTTCAACTGTGTCTTCAATAAACTGTTCTTCCATTCTATTGTCTGGCATTACTGGGTATTGTAACACACAAACAGTGAATTCTGCAGTCCTGGATTCCCATCTGTACCTCCTTTGCTGGAAAGTGTGTCCATTGGTCTGATGCAGTGTGATTTTTGCTTGGGAATCAAACACTCTCTTGGTCCTTGCTAGTGATGCTGGTGGGAGCCCTGCAGGCAAGAAAGGCAAACCACCCATACATGGAATATATGTCTATTTCCATAAAAAGGAATCACTCTTCCTTCCAGGGTAGAAGTATTCAAACATACTCAACATGCCACAAGTAGATATTGGTCTTCCCAAGGGATGCTATTGGTGTCTCAACTGTATTGGTGGCTCAACATTGGTCTCTGCCACTGGCAGTTTGAGAATGCATTGTCAGCTCAGTCAGCCTTCTTGGGCTATTGGGCCCATGCAGAACTTCCACAACTGCAGTCATGACTATTCATTTCATGCATCTGTGTGATAGCACTGGAGTAAATAGAACAGAAGCTGGCTGATTTCAACTCTCTATTTGCTTGTCCTGTGCCTCCTCCAGGGCATATACTATTTGGTGTTTATATCAAAGGTCCACCCACATGCCTCTCCTCCCAGTTCTCTTGTTTCCCGGTCTTCTAATCTTTCTCCTTTCAGGACCCAGGCCAGTCAACCAAAGCATGAACCTCCACTCATGTGTTTGTATATGTTTCATCCTTGAGCCACAAGGAATACCGGATGCACTGCCTGAAGCTCTACCCAGGAACATACCTGAATTGTACTGTAGTGCAGCCACTGTCCATTTTCAGCTAAGCCTCCTATGAACTTTGCTTGGGCTTTTTCCTCTTCTATCAGCTTGTATAAAGGTTTTCCCATGTTACCACCAATGCAGGCTGAGAGAGAAGCACTGAGCCAATAGTGGTGGAGAAGTGGATGTCCAACCCACATGCTCATCTAGCTTGCTCATGCTCCTGGTTATGTCTATGGGTTATCCCAGATGAACATCCCCTATCCTTTGAAAAGTTAGCTGCTGGATGTGCCTGACCTGGACTTAGTGGGTCTGCACAAACCTAACTGATAATGGATAATACTGTCCACATGAGCACTTGGTGCCCATGGTCAGGTGTTCTGTTCTACTAAGGCCCAGGGGTATCACGAAGTGTTTTTCAAAAATTGTGTTTCTCTTCTTTGTTGCTCCAAAGCCCTGCTCACGTGCACTGCAGTTTCCCCAGCAGGGGCTTACCATAATACTCCCTGTGGTATGTACCCTCCACCAGTATCTCTCACACCACAGGGCCTGCCCACTCACCTAGCCCATGTTGCAGAGCAGCCTCACCCACTTTTGGCTGTCAAAGCTTTGCACTTTCTGCATTTAATGGTGTTTTCAGACAGAAGCCTGTTCAATGATTGTTAATGAATCCTTTCTTGCCCTGAGCCTAATTCAAATTTGGCAGCCTTTTGTGTCACCCACTATATAGACATGTCAGAGCAGTGTTCCCAAGTGTGGAATATGCTGCAGCTACAGTCCAAACAGGCCTGCCACGCACTGGCCTTTCTTCTTTATGGTAGAAGCTGCAAAATGAATAATTTGTCCTTCATTTTTGGGGAGATGTGCTGGTGTGGAGAATGTGTAGGCTCGCTAAATGTTTGCAGGCTTGATTGCTCATTCTCTGGAGAATGAATCCTTACAGAGTTCTCCATGCTAGCAATTTCTTGCTTATCCATTCTCTTTAGCATGATATTATCATTACAGAGACCAGTGTGATGTTCTACAGGACGTTCATCTGGTCAATATTTGACAGCTGGAGGAGGAGGTGACATAACATTGGAACAAAATGGCAAATACTAACTTCCACTTAAAGTAAACACAAACTCTTTCTGTTCCTCTTTTTGGATGAAGATGAAAATAATAGGAATACATGTAACTGATCAGTGGTCAGATATCATGTATTTGAAGCTGTGTTAGTCTAATCTTGCAAAGATATGTCTTCCAGCACAGTATATGCGACCGATCAACTGCTGAGTTGAATTTGCAATAATCTGCCATCACCCTGTAGGACCAATCTGGTAGTTGCAGGGTCCAAACTGGTAAGTTAAATGGAGGTGTGGTGGGATCAAGACAACTTTAGGGCTTTAAGAAAGGCACTCATTTCTCCCCTATACCCCAAGATAAGATTTTTTTCACAGTATTTATTATTGTTAAGGAGGGTAGGAGAACATTTTAGGGATTTTCACCTGACTATCCCTACTATAATAGTTTTACCCCATAGGCCAAAGATGAAGTTGGGTTGAGTGGAGGATTATGACAATTACCCAGTGTGTCTATTGTACCTTTGGGTTCCAGGAAAATAAATAACAGGTTCATCCAAGGACCCACTGAACCTATCATAAGCTGCACCAGATACACATAATGCTCACACTCTAACAGGTTTCAAGTCTGCAGGAAGCAACTCAGATCCTTGTCCATCAGGCCTCAAAAGGTTTGGGTGTTGCTCTTTCCTCAGTACACAATTACTCCCACAAATGGCAGTAAGTACCATTGGGGAAGGATTAGGAAAATCATGACTAGGTACATTTGGCCAGTATTGCATGGTCTGTCCCTCAGGGGACCTAGCCTTTCTTTCAGTCAATAAATTCTGGGTTCAAAAACTGTTTCAGGTCCAGAAACCTGGTAAGGAATTGCAACATTTTATTGAATTAGCTGCTCATAGCTTCCTGATTACCCAATTTGATTTCCATTGACTGTACAAGTTCAAGTACACTTGTTGGCTGCCCGTCTATTTTGCCTGTAGGTGTGTTTAACCATCTTGATAACTCTCTTTGAGTCAGGCCCCTTTGCTGCCACTAATTGTGATAATTGGGTCCACTTGGCTTGAGAGGGTGACATGCTGCTATCTGAATTCGTTTTTTTTTTTCAGGATTCTGTGGTTCCCATTGCCATTTCTGAGCCCAAATCTGTAATGGAATCTCCCATTACAGATGGAATACATGACCCGTAATGATGTCAGCCCTGAGCTTCTCGGTGATGTTGCCTCCATTCTCACCAGTGCGTTCCTCATGGCTACGGCCAATGACGTGTCCCTCAGGCACATCCACAGAATATAGTCATCGGTGGAATTTCCAGAACTACATATTATAGCCTCTCCAGCAAGCCTATTTTTCTGAACCTTTTAATCCCTTCTTTCATTGTCTGCTGTAGGAATTCTGGCATTTCCCTCTCTCTCTGTGCAGACCACAGCATTTTCTGTACTTCTTGGAGCCATCTGAGAAGAACATTCGGGGCATCTCCAGATGCTTTCAAGGTGCTAAATTCTGTATCCTGAGAGAGTGCTCTCTAATGATAAGTTCTCTTTTATCTAAATTTCTGTTGTGCCACCTCTTGGGCTATCGCCCTCAGCATACAGTCGCACATGTGCTTTTCTAGCTCCTGCTAGTACGTATTGTCCAGGAATCCCATTTTCTTCAGGGATTACTCCCTTTCCTCTACTAGAGGACCCTGCATAGCCCTGTCTTTGACCTAATTATTGCTCTAGTAGCCGGGAAGGGAAGATCCTGAGGGAGCAGATGATGTCTTCCAAAAGACAGGCCTCCAAATGCTCTTCAAACAAGAAAGGAGTCCCAGCCTTTCACTTGTGTAGGCTCAGGGGAACTTAGGGATACAAGATTTACACGCACATTCAACACGTAAGTTTCCATCCTAAATGCAGGGTCCTATTCTCTTCTGATCAGGGCTTTTACTTTGACATAGCAGACCAGTCTTTTTTATTATGATTATTATTTTTTGAGACAGAGTTTCACTCTGTCGCCCAGGCTGGAGTTCAGTAGCATGATCTCGCCTCACTGCAACCTCCGCCTCCTGGGTTCAAGAGATTCTCCTGCCTCAGCCTCCTGAGTAGCTGGGATTACAGGCATGCACCACCATACCTGGATAATTTATTTTTAGTAAAGATTTATTTATTTTAATTTATTTTTAGTAGAGATGGAGTTTTGCCATGTTGGTCAGGCTGGTCTCGAACCCCTGACCTCAGGTGATCTGCCTGCCTCGGCCTCCCAAAGTGCTGGGATTACGGGCATGAGCCACCATGCCCGGCCAGACCCCCTCTGTTTTTTTGAGACAGAGTCTCGCTCTGTCACCAGGCTGGAGTGCAGTGGTGTGATCTTGGCTCTCTGCAACCTCCACCTCCCAGGTTCAAGCGATTCCCCTGCCTCAGCCTCCTGAGTAGCTGGGATTACAGGTGTGTGCCACCACATCTGGCTAATTTTTGTATTTTTTTAGTAGAGACGGGGTTTCACCATGTTGGTCATGCTGGTCTCGAACTCCTGACCTCATGATCCGCCCACCTCGGCCTCCCAAAGTGTTGGGATTACAGGCGTGAGCCACTGCACCCGGCCCAGACCCCCCTTCTTTTAGAGTTCAACTTTTTTTGAACTTTATGAGAAGACAGGGGTTGGCCTTCTGCTTTCTCTGCTGTTCCACTGAAGGAAATGAGAACCTCTTTATATGCTGCTAAGGAGGCCCTTTCGCTTTCAAATTTGGCTTTTTTCAACAATTAATCACTCTTAGCTTTGAATTATCTTTTTTCAGAGTACAATATTATCAATAGCTGCCTGATTTAACCATCCATATAGTTCCCAAATTCCTGACACATGGCACCAACTAATGGTATAATTAACTTTCATCAGTATAGCATCCCATTTCATCACCAGTAAACATTTAAATAATTTCACTGTTAGTGCCAAGAGCTATCTGTGTTCCACACACCAATAGTTCCATGTTCCAACTGGACAGTAGGCCATCCAACTCTAAAATCCCTTCTCAGCATCCACTTTCATCAATCTGGTACTCAGCTTTGTAGTTTTGAGTTCTCTGGAACATAGACTTTGGCAGGAAGATGGATGTGCACAATGTTAACTAAGGAGGTGTCTTGGAGCCAACACCTGTGCAAAGGAGTAGAAGAAAACAGGATTCGCAGAGGAAGAGAGTGAGCTGTGACGAAGTCCCAGTGAATGTTTTAGCTGACCTCCCATGAAGCTCTAGAATTTGGATAGCCCTTTAGGGGTGTCCCAGGTTGAGGCTAGGGGATCAAGCCTTTATATTACTGGGTTAATTACTCATCGATGTGGGCTGTCCCTGGAAAGAGGTATGACCTTGAGTAGGGTATGACATTAACTGAGACAACTCCCAAGTAAGAGTGACAGCTGAGTGTCATCTTGTGTCCGTCCTTCCAGCAGCTGCAAATAAGCACTCTAATCCTACAGGAGGAATCTGGGCAGCACCACAAAACATGTCTATGAAATAAAAATTAAGTATTCTAAGAATTATGGATACAAAAAAAAGAGAGAATAAGACCTACTATTTGATAGCACAATAGGGTGACTATACTCAATAATAACTTAATTTTATATTTTTAAATAACTTAAAGAATGTAACTGGATTGTTTATAACTCAAAGTATAAATGCTTGAGGGGATGGATATCCCATTCTCCATGATGTACTTATTTCATATTGTATGCCTGTATCAAAACATCTCATGTTCCACATAAATATATACACCTACTATGTACCCACAAAAATGTAAGTATTCTAAAAATTATGATTGTAAAAATTATTATCAAAGTCATATGACTATGGGACACATTACTAATCATGAAATATTTTGACTAATTATATTTTTCCTCCCCAAAACCCTGTGAGGTTATCAGGTTTGGGTATCATTATCTTTAATATACAGATTTTTAAAAAATTTTTAATTTTTAATTTTAATTCCTTATATTAGCAAAACTGTCACTCACTTATGTTTGACATTTGCACATTTGATATTTATATAACTATAAAAGGATGAAAAAACAATGTAATTGGACTTCACGTTAAGAATGCTTTCCACTATACCACTGAGGATCCTTATATGATAAATAAAAGATCCAATAATAAGAGCATAACATCAAACTTCCCCTCTAGAGTATGTGAGTGAAATTTCTGAAACTTTTCATTCCAGCTCTGATCTTTTATACCAAGGAATAATTATAAGAACCGACACTTGAGAAACAGGTTAATCAGTGAATAAGAAAAGAGATTATTTTTAAAAATAAGAGTTCTTAGCAGTTCTTGTGGGCTGTAGGGAGGCATCTCTCCAAACTCTGAAATAAATTTCTTCCCTGAGAGTTAAACTTAAAAATCAGGGCTTAAAGATTAGAAAAGAATAAAGCAAATTCATCTTGAAAAGACACACCTAGGCCCACAAATTTTAACTACAATTGAAATATAAATACACTTATATTTAAAGAAGAATAATGTGCCATTTTAAAGGGGCTTAGTCATAGCAGGAGAGAATCAGCAGCTTTGGCAGCAACATTGGCATATTCAGGCTAACCTTGCCACTAGAAAATTGTGTCCAGCGTAGGAACTGCCTGCCCAGGTCTGGTGGGAGGAATATGCAAAAAGTAAGGAAAAGTAAGGTAGATGCATTAGATCACCTTAGCTTGCAATCATCAAACGTCTTTACAAAAATGAACACTGGGCTATTAAAATTCTATTACCAGGGCTCTTTGCACTCCCTCCTCCCCACAAAGGGATTATTGCATCATCATGCCCTTTTTGCATGGCAGTCAAAACATTTGATGGAAATTCCCCAGCCACTGAATTTTTTTAGACTCTCAGTTTTTACACTCAGTTTGTTCTTGGCACCTAGATAGGAGAAGCAATAACTATCATGAGGCCCATATGGCAGGAGAAGGCCATTTGCTTTGCATGGACTGATGGATGGGCTTATTCCAGAAAGCTTCAATTTCTAGGAGAAGTGACAAGCCAAAGTCTGTATCATTCTTTTCTGAGGAAGCCAGAATTTCTTTAACAATACCCAACCTTTACAAAAACCCTATTGTAGGAAGACCATGTGCTCACCACTGGACTGCCCCCAGAAACAGTGAAGTCTGCAGAGACAGCTCTTCCTCAGAAGGCTCTCCTTCCATCACAGCCCTGTCTATGATTCTCCTATTTAAAGCTGACAATAGTGAATTTTTCTTTTCATCAGGGAAATTTCTATTAAAAGAGAATAATCAACTCAAAGAAAAACTGTTCTTAAAACTGCTGAATGAATATACAAATATACTGATACATGGTCTGGCTGTGTCCCCACTCGAATATCATCTTGAGTTATAGTTCCCATAATTCCCACGCGTCGTGGGAGGCACCAGGTGGAGATAATCAAATCATGGGGGCAGTTTTCCCCATTCCGTTCTTGTGATAGTGAGTGAGTTCTCATAAGATCTGATGGTTTTATAAGGGGCCTCCCCCTTCACTGGGCACTCATTCTTCTTCTTGCTGCTGCCATGTGAAGAAGGACGTGTTTGCCTCCCCTTCCACCATGATTGTACGTTTCCTGAGGCCTTGCCAGCCCTGTAGAACTGTGAGTCAATTAAACTTCTTTACTTTATAAATTACCCATTCTCAGGTGTTTCTTCAGAGCAGCATGAGAATGGACTAATACATATATGCATATTAATAAAACGTTTTGCCTTTGCAACTCATTTAAAGGAGTCTGTAATGCCACTCCCATGAACTGGAGGTGGCATATCCAGAAGTAGCAAGTCTTTCTCTTGGAAATGGAGGGAAAGGAAGAAGAAGAAAAGGCCACAGACATCTTCATGACTGTAGCATCCTTTATTGCTTTTTAGATGTAGGTTGAGCAGTGTCAAAGGATGCACTCCAGAGGCAGTCACTCTATCTAATGAGGCTTCGATGCTCTCCACAGTCCTTGGCTTCTTCAGCTCCAAACTAACGTAGGTCTCCTGTGAAATGTATTAGAACCCTAAAGTCCACTCCAACATTCTTCAGCAGAAATGAAGTAAAGTAATACAATCAAATAATCAATAAAAAAGGAAATATGTATTACTCCCTTTTTTGCTGCCTCCCCTATACCTTTTATATATAACTCTACTGCTTTGTTTATCTTAGTGTATGAAAATTCTATGTTTAATACTGTTTCTCCCCACTAGGCTGTGAGATCTGTTGAACAGGTCATAATTGGGAGGCCATTAGACTCCTGCACTTTAAGTTTCTATGTAAGCAACCCAAAGCCCAACATAAGGAGTAAAATGAAACCACAGACTTTACCAATCAGACACTCAGAAACTGTCAAGTTGTAATCCTAGCACTTTGGGAGGCCAAGGCAGGCGGATCACGAGGTCAGGAGATTGAGACCATCCTGGCTAACTCTGTGAAACCCCGTCTCTACTAAAAATACAAAAGATTAGCCGGGCGTGGTGGTGGGCGCCTGTAGTCCCAGCTACTCAGGAGGCTGAGGCAGGAGAATGGTGTGAACCTGGGAGGCAGAGCTTGCAGTGAGCCGAGATGGTGCCACTGCACTCCAGCGTGGGTAACAGAGCAAGTTCCACTCTGACCAATCAAATATATTTTCTTTGTGTTGCTCTGCAAATGTCATATAAACATTTCTCTATCACCTCATCCCTGCACAGTGGAATGCTAACCTGCTTGCAGTTTGGTACAGCACAACTCATGAATCATTAACTGTTCAAATAAACTCTTTAAAATTTTAATATACCTGAGTTTACCTTTTAACAATTCTGGTGTCATAAGTGAGGACCAGGGTGCTGATGGAGACCCTCAGAGTAATGAACAAACAAACATAGGTACCTAGGAAGACCACTGTGCTTACTGTTTTTCTTGCTGCACCAGAGGTCACTCAGTAAGCACCCACCCTCAAATACAAGTTCCACAACTTGGGTCAAGCACCTGTAGTTTATCTGATCATTTTTAATCCAGACTAGATTTGAAAGTCATATTGGGTTCAACATCAGATTGGGTCTAACAAAACCTGAACTGGGTCCAGTAAGAGGCCTCAGGCAGGAAAGATCATGGAAAGATATCTAGGAAGATTCTGCGAAATAACTAAGAAGATTTAGATAATGGGTTTATCCAAATTCACAGAGTTGGGATTCCTCCATCTTGGAACCTATTATTTTCTAGAAAAATAGGTAAACCTTCCCAAAAATAATTTAGAATTTTGGTGGCCACAGTGGGGAAGTCTTAACCTAATCAAAATTGCTCATCTGTGGAGTTCACTGAAGAAAAAGGGGGATCTCAAATGCCTCAGAAACAATGAGATGTATTTTTGATTATCATGCATAGGTTTCTAAAAGATGAAATAAATTAAAAGTTGCCTTCTAAAGACTCCTTACAAAGTGCAAATAAGAAATCTTAAAGATCTCCTTTACAAATATTAGTCAAAAGTTTTAGATATTAGGACAGGTAATTTTGTTCCATCTGCCAGAAACAGAATTCACATCCAGATATTTATTTACAAACTAGTAAGTTTTGTATGACTGTACCTGGAACATACTAAAACTCCAGAATGAAAGCTGTAAGATTTCCTTCTGTTCATATGTTCATGTATGTCTATGTATGTTACACATATGTGATACATTTTTCTACCTCTGTACGCTAATGTCAAAATTAATTTATTAAAAAGCTCTATTTAATTGACTTAAAAGAAAAAGTAAGCACTTATATGTTGTATTCTTTAACCTCTTTGAAAAATAAGAACTAACCCAAAATAATTTAAATTTACATGATCTGATATAATCTTCAGTAAATAAAAGCTAAAGTATGTTGGTTTAATTAAATGTAGGAATGTCTTCAGAGTGTTGGCATTATATATAATGCAGACACACAACTTTTGTTTTACATGGATTTATTAATCAAATGCATTTATGTTATCTCTACTAGATGTTTAAGATGCTAAAACTATAAATAACTTCTATCCAAGAACAATTGTGAAAATGGATGCAATGTTTACTACTTCATATATATCCAGCACAGCTACAACAAACAAAAAAAAAACACACATATTTAACTTTTTAAGGATTCTTGCTTTCATGATAACTACTGCCTAACATGTGCACCATGTAAAAATAGTTATCAGGTAAATAACTTGAGATAATAGCCAGCTTTGTCTAATGGCTAGCTTTTGTCTCATAAATTTTAATGAGTAATCCAAGATAATTGTTAAATACAAGTGAATTAAATAACCAAAAGAGAAATAAACATTTATAAATAAACTTTTCAAGAATAATTATGTTTTTAATATGTCTGCTAAAATAATTTTCCAAATCTCTTTCATACCTTATACCCTTAGAGTTTTGCTAAGTTAAATTATGAATATTTATTAAATTATCTAGATCCTTTCCAAATAAGGTAAATTACTGAATCCTATTAATTACTGAACGTAAGTTTAACCTTATTCACATTTGGCTTATTATAGAAGAACTAAAGATATTTGAGGCAGTTAGTAAACATTTCCTGTGCCGCAATGAAAAATTGTACTATGAGGAAGCTGATACTTCTCAAAAATCATAAAAAATGATGCTAATCTACTGAATGCTAATGTGACAGAAAGTCGACAATTGCTTACTTCCCAATTTTTACTAGAAATTAAAGCTACTAGAACGTAAGAATTCTAATTAATATATTAATTAAAAATAGAATTAAGGGAAATGACTTTTGGGTCTTATTAAAATAATTAATAATTTTTGCCTTTTTCCAGTCTTTGATTACTTCAAAATAAATACTGAGTCCTCTCTATTGAAAGAGCTAAGATTTTCTACAACTAAGTAACTTTCTGTATTTGCTTTTAAGGTATTTTAATTATCAGTCTGGTTAAATGAATGACTCTAGTTTCCCACTAGCCGATGATCCTGTTTAATAAAGTATTTAAACTTTTTATTTAGTTTAAACCAAAATCAAATTCTAAATTAAGTCTTTTTGACTTTGGACTAACTTTGGGAGCTTCTAGAGGGGACCCAGAATATCTCAAAATACTTTATTCTCTCTTCTTATAAAAGGAGAGATGTTAAACTAATTTGAGTTATTTGATGTGTTAAATTGCATGGAAAGTATTGACAAAAAATAAGTGACATTTAACTCTCTTAGAGTTATATTTATATGGATGAGTTATTAATGTGTTCCAGAAATTGTGTGAAATTCCTAAAAATCTGATAGTCTTGATATAACTTTCAGTCATAATTCTAGTTATTATCTTAAAATGTTGTATGTCACTGAATTGATAAAATTTTCTTATCAATTGCATTGTAATGAACTCTTATCAGATCTTTTACCATGGCCATTTTAAATCTTGTCATTCATAGACAGTTTTGTTCTGGTATTTTACTGAAAGCTTTTGCAAGCAATTATAATTTTAAAGTGTTTTGTATTCAAGGAGATATATGAAAAGGACTGACAAGTACAAGCTTCTAACTTTAAGGATTTTGCCATTGGAATGAGTAAGAATTTCCAGACTTCTAGTGAAGAAACCGATTGGTTCATGAAACTGCTCACATCAAACAGAACAAGAATTAATTACATGGGAGTGAATGAACAGATGAAAAAAATGGGTTTCTATGGCCTTTTTGTTTGAAACGTTGCTAATTCTTTAATGTTTTCAAGATTTAAGAAAACCTTTTTCTTTTTTCTTAGGCTACCAATAGCTTACAGCAATTTGGTAAAGTATACCTTTGTGAGCAAAATTGAAGCATGTACTTTTTTCTCCCTACCTGAGCCCTCCAGAATTCAGAAACCATAAAATATTCTTATTTTCATGGCAATATAGTTATTTGCATAAGTTCAATAAGAATTAGTTGCTTTTGTAACAGGACATAATTGGAAACATAAATTATATTACCAAAGCTTTGACTGGAATGTCATATTTAAGAATATGCATAGTTTTAGATATGACCAGATAGTTTTAAAGAACTGAGATTGACTTTATGGAGGCAAGAAAGTTCTTGGAAAAAATTGGCCTACTATTTGGCTTTAAAGGTTCCCTAGTTTATGAAAGTAAGGCCCAAAAATGTAAAAAATATTTTAAAGACCTCAAGAGAGAAATTTACCTAAACGTATAGGTATTGCTGGCAAAGTTTGACGACAAGTTCTTGACATGGCTTGCTAGTCTGAAGAGGCTTTTAAAATTCGAATCTGAAAGTCTTTATTAAAAGTTCTGGCAAAGCACTCTGAAAAGGAGGCGATATGGTCAACCACTAGACTTGCTGCACTTATGTGAATAATCAGTCCACGTTTCATGACTTATTTCACAAATAAATTTGTCTTACTGTGATTTTCTTTGTTAAATACAGGGACAACTGTAGAGAGAAAAATAATGTTTCAGTAAAAAACTATGATACAACCTCATAGATATCAGATTCATCATGTTCATTGTTCTTGAAATTTTTTTAAATATGAACTTAACTTTTCACAAAACCCTACAAGCTGGAGCAAGACTGTTCGACATAAATTTCACAGGACAACTTTTGGGCCTGATGTTATGTGGCCCACTCAGGGAGTTCACCAAGATGCCTGATGCCATAACCAGTGACATTCAGACTGCAAACTAGGAAAATATGCTTTGAGCTCAAATCTTAACATTTTCTTGACTAACTGCCTTCTGAACACACAGACTGAGTTATATTCATTAACCTGGTTTTTTTTTGTTGTTGTTGTTTTATTTCCATAGAAATGTTAGCTTGTTTGGTTTCTGGAAACCTTGGCTAAGCAGTATACTCCAATCTTCTTGGATTTCTCTTCCTGATAGCCCTCATTTAATCTCCCAGGTGCACTGTGTTCTCTCAAGTATTTTAAATGCATGTTTGCAGCCATCAACAGTACAACAGATGGTCTCCCTGTGATTAGTGACAAAAAACAAGATGAACAAAAGGAATATTTCTTCAATGAGTCTGATGTCATGAGTTATGAGTTCCATGCTGAGACCAAGACAAAACAGACATGATTATGACAGAGAGGTGTGCTTATGGTCAAGTTTTGGCCAATCTCTCATAAGTGAGTGGCAGACAAAAGAAGGAAATTGTTAAAAAATTTTTTTTTAACTACGAGGCCGTTAGACTGGGGCAGTCAAGTGCTATAAGTTCCTATGTAAGCAAACTGAAGCCCACTATAAGTGGTAAGATGAAACTAGAGAATTTATCAATCAGAAACTGCCAAGTAATCTCTAAGGACTTTCTACCCTAATCAAATATGTTTTCTTTGTCTTTCTTCCACGAATATCTTATAAAAGTCTCTCTCTCTTCACTCTCACACCAACCCTCACCTCTACAGTGAAATGCTAAACCATGTGCAGTCTGGTGCTTCTCGATTCATGCATTGTTAAATGCTAAAATAAAATCTTAAAAATTTTAATATGCCTAAGTTTATCTTCTAACAGTTCCTCAAGGGGCTATGGAAATAAACAAAGACCACCACTCGAATGAGAATAAGCATGAGTTGTTTATTCAGAGCTTACTGCAGGAAGGGAGTCAGCTGCCATCACTTGCATTTAGCAGAGACACAAAGGTAGGCAAGGGAGTGGAAAGGCTTTATACTTCCAAAAATAGAAAGTGTCAGGTCTGCTCTGATTAGCAGTTATTAGCATGGGGAAGCTAGGAATGAACTAAATAGAATTGGTGCCTCTTATGTGATAGGGGTCTGGGGAGCATATTGGGTTTTCTGTTTGGTCTTGAGTTGAAAGCAGAGCCAAAAACTAGGAAAGCTGGCAGTCATAAGCAATGCTCTGAACATTCTGGGCTGACTGCTGCAGAGGTTACTGTTTGGCTTCCTGTGCTGTTTGCTACAGAGGTCGTGAGTCAGTGTCCTGTATATGCTTTCACCATTACCCATTCGTACATTCAGTCTCTTGGGGGAAATCCTACATCTTGTTTTAATCTTTCTCACTTGGTTCTAGCCCCAGGACTGGTAAAGAATAGAAGCTTAATAAGTATTTGAAGAAGAAGAAAGACAGGGAAGGAATTAAAGGGTTCAAATTGCAGTGAACCCTGATTAGATATTGTGAGCTGGTAAGGGAAGTGTTCATATAAGAAGTGTAATGAAGTTCCTCCAGAAAGCCAGGTGCAGTGGCTCACGCCTGTAATCCTAGCAACTGGGGAGGCTGAGGCAGGCAGATCACTTGAGCTCAGGAATTTGAGACCAGTCTAGGCAATATGGCAAAACCCTGTCTCTACAAAAAAATCACAAAACTTAGCTGGGCATGGTGGCAGCTACTCAGGAGGCTGAGGTCCCAGCTACTCAGGAGGCTGAATGGGAGGATGGCTTGAGCCTACAAGGTCGAGGCTGCTGTGAGCCATGATCCTACCACTGCACTCCAGCCTGGGCAATAGAGCAAGACCCTGTCTCAAAAAAGAAAAGAGTTCCTCCACAAGATCTCAGGAAGCACTCCTTCAGGTAGTGTTGCTTTGCTTAGCTATTGCTTGATCAGAAACACAAGCAGACCACTTATGGATGTGGTATGCAGCAATCTAAAAGGAGGTCACTTAATCAGGGCGAAGCTACGTGGCAGCCACATGCAAATGAAAAGAGTCACAATGACTGGCCGACAATATCGTCCTCCCCCAACCCCAGCAAAAGTTATAATCTTTGAGGTAGTCCCCTGTGGGACCAAGTGCTCCAGTGTCTTTTAAACCAACTTTCCCTGAATAGTGAGCCCTGTCAGAAACTTCTGAAATTCAATGAAAGATGGAGAGATTATCTTCTGTTTAGACTGCTTCTGGATGAGTACTTTCTACTGCTTTTACAAGCACTTAACCTAAAGAGGACATTGCAGATCTGTTTGTCCAATTCCTTTGCTTTTTATATACACCTGCACGCATGCACACAACCACTACCCCACACACACGTTAAGAGCCAGAGAGAATTTAAATATGTTCAATGTGATCTGAAGGAAAGAGTGGTAGGTTCTTTAAAAAGGAAGCAAATGCGTGCGTGAGGTATTTGTGAGAGCCCTACTTAAGAAGTGAGAAATAAGCCAAGGGAGGTTAGCAAAGACATAAATTGTTTGTTAATTTCAAATTAGCATTTACACCAGTTTAAGGCTTCAAAGGGCAAGAATCTAAGGAAAAGGTAGAAGTCTGTGTAGGAAAATTATTTGTCCTCGTTGAAAAAAAAACAGTCTTCAGGGATTCACAGTAGGGAGTCAGGTACTTGGGATCATTGTCATCTGTCTGCTGTTTTTAGCTGAGTTGCATGTAGCAAAAAGCCATTTCCTTTGGCGTGAAACTGAGAAGCAGGGAGGCACTGCAGAGCAGGTGATGGTCAAGGACATCAGAGACTTGAGGTCATAACTCAGAGCCAAAAGAAAATTATGAAAGTTTTGATACCTGATATCAAGAGCTGTCTTCAAGGCACTAGAGCTATGGAGATAACCACAAAAGTCTAGAAAGATATGGAGTGAGAAATTCTGTAGGTCTTGTACTGGGTTAAATAATTTCCCCCTTCTTATAAAGATACCAATCATTCTTTTAGAGCAGGCAGATAGCTAGACATGAGCAGGGGTGGGGAGCCCCTGAGAAAAGTGAGGTCTGGAAAATGTCACACCCCAGAGATCACCAGAAACATGCATGTTAGAAATGAGCTGAGATGAGGGGAAGGATATATGCAGAAGGAAATGCTTCTTTAAATGCACCAATAATCATTCGCTCTGCAGTTAAAATGTCAGAATGTTGTTAGGTACATGCTAATAAGAAAGGAAAGAGAGCAAAAGGGAAAATTCCTGAGAAATATGCTGGCACCATAAGTACAGGTTAGGGCAAACGGGAAAATCCTAAGAGATAAGAGATACTCAGGTGCAATAAGTATAGATTTGACCACCATACAACCTTCCTGGGGTGGCGGTAGTGAGCAATGTAGCCATTAGGTAGAATTCAGCTCCAACACCGGGCCCACGTGTGTGCACCAACTAATAGTAAGTGAGGGTCCCACAAGCCTGGAGTGGAAACTAGGCAGGGAAAAGGCAGGGACTTAAGGAAGAAGAGGGAAAACTAGATAAAGAAAAAAGACAGAGACTTAAGACGGAGGTGGGAACTTGAAGAAAAAAATCTGACATCATAATACCCAAAGCAGAACTGTTGGGCAGCTGCGGGTTCATACTCTTTATCAGCAGCCTGCTCTGCCTCATCTTTCAAAGTGTGCTGTCTCTCTCTAAATAAACTCTCTGCTCCCTATTTTCCTTCAATAAATTCTCTTTCATGGAGGCTAAATTGTCTCTTGGTAGAATTCTTTCTCCCAAGTAAGACTAAGAACTTCCCGGTAACAATTCAATCAGGGCCCACCCAAACTGGTGTGACTTCATCCTAACTTGAGTACTTCTGCAGAGGCCCTATTTACAAATAAGGCCACATCCACAGATCTTGGGTAGACATGATGATATGGTTTGGCTGTGTCCCCACCCAAATCTCACCTTGAACTGTAATAATCCCCATGTGTCCAGGGCAGGGTCAGGTGGAGATAATTGAATCACGGGGGCAGTTTCCCCCATACTGTTCTCATGGTAGTGAATAAGTCTCACGAGATCTGATGGTTTTATAAGTGGGAGTTCCCCCACACAAGCTCTCTTACTTGCCTCCATGTAAGACATGACTCTGCTTCTCATTCGCCTTCTGCCATGATTGTGAGGCCTCCCCAGCCATGTGGAACTGTGAGTCAATTAAACCTCTTTCCTTTATAAATTACCCCATCTCAGGTATGTCTTTATTAGCAGCATGAGAACAGACTAATACACATGAGTTTTAGGTGGGTCCTAATCAAATGACTGGTATCTTTATAGGAAGATGACAGACACATAGGAGAAGGCCATGAGAAGGCAAAGGCAGAGATTGGGGTGAGGCAAGAGTGGCCAGCAACCCCCAGAAGCTAGGAAGAGGTGAGGGAGCATGGCCCTGCCAACAGCTTGATTTTAGACCTCTAAGCCTTTACAAATGTGAGAAAATAAATTTCTTATGCTTTAAGTTACCCAGTTTGTGGTAATTTTTTACAGCAGCCACAGGAAACTATTGCAGGACTGAGGAAAAAAATTACATGAAAAGTTCAAAAATGGATGCCAAATAACCTCAGTAGCTATTTATTGTGTACTTGCTATGCCCCAGACTGCAGGTGCAGAAAATATAAGGATATCTATGAACCTATTCTGCTTTTGAGGAGCTTAGAATCAGGTAGGTTTGCAAAACAATTTAAAAACACAATTATTTTATGATAATGAAATAGCCTTTTTTACCCATCAAATTGGTGAAAGTTTTAAATATTGTAATATACAGTGTGGTAAGCACATAGAGAAATGGGTGATGACAGGAATGTAAAATGGTACAGCTGATTTTGAGAACAACTTGGCAGCATCTTCAAAATTTTTAATCTAGCTTCAGAAGTTTATACTACTTACATAAGTGGACAACAATATTTTATTCATTGGCCACATGCCTTTCATTATGCTAGGAGCTGGAATGACTACGATGAAAAAGAAAAATACAGTATCTGACATCAGAGCACTTATATTCCAGTAGGAAGATGAGAAAACAACAAATGAATAGACAAATATTTAAATCAACGAAGGGCTGAAAGATAAAATTGAAGCATTATTTGTACTGGTGAACCAACCTGAATAGTATTGGAAGAATAATTGTATAAACCATATAGAGTCAGGCATTGATTAATGACAGGAATACATTCTGAGAATGCCCCATTAGGCATTTTGTGGTTGTGTGAACGTCATAATATGTATTTGCACAAACCTAGATGATCAAGCCTACCTCATACCTAGACTATGGTACAGCCTATTGTTCCTAGGCTACAAACCTGTGCAGCATGTTACTCTACTAAATACTGTAGGCAATTGGAACACAATGATAGGTATTTGTGTATCTAAACAGATTTAAACATAGAAAAGGTACAGTTATAGGGTCTTATAATGTTACAGGACCACCATTGTATATGTGGTCTGTTATTGCCTGAAATGTCATTATGCAGCACATGACTGTACATTCCTACTATGAAATATTATGCAAGTGTTAAAAAAGATGAGGTGTACTTTCTGTTATGGATTGAATTCCCCCCCCCACCCCCCCCCCAAAGATTTCTTGAATTTATTTGGAAATAGGGTCTTTGCAGATATAATTAAGATGAGGTCATATTGGCATAGGGTGGGCCCTTAAACCAATATAACGGGTGTTTTTATTAGAAGATGAGAAGGAAAACAAAGATAGACATACACAGAGAGGAAAGCTCCATGTGAAGACACAAACACGCAGAGGTGCACGATCATGTGATGACGCGGGCAGAGGTTAGAATTATGCAGCTGCAAGCCAGGGGATGCCAGTGAACACTGCCAACCACTGGAAGCTAAGAAGAGAGAGCATGGCCCTGCTGGACCTTGATTTTGGACTTCCAGCCCCTAGAAGAGTAAGATAATACATTTCTGCTGTTTGACTCCATTTGTGGTGCTTTGTGACGGCTGCCCTACAAAATGAATACACTGGTAGAAACATTCTGGTATCTAAACATCCTCAACATATGTAAGCAGAGAACCAAGACAGGAATCTTTATTCAAACTATATTTTTAAGAACTCTCTTTTCCACGGGTATTGATAACTAGCATTTCTTTTTTTCTTTTTTTTTTTTTTTTTTGAGATGGAGTCTCGCTCTGTTGCCCAGGCTGGAGTACAGTGGCAAGATCTCCACCCACTGCAAGCTCCGCCTCCCAGGTTCACGCCATTCTCCTGCCTCAGCCTCCTGAGTAGCTGGGACTACAGACACCCGCCACCACGCCCGGCTAATTTTTTGTATTTTTTTTTTTTAGCAGAGACAGGGTTTCACCATGTTAGCCAGGATGGTCTCGATCTCCTGACCTCGTGATCCGCTCACCTCGGCCTCCCAAAGCGCTGGGATTACAAGCGTGAGCCACCGCGCCCGGCCGATAACTAGCATTTCCACTAACATGAATAGTGTGTTTTATTAAATATTGGGGCTTTTATATGAAAAACCATTGACCGGATCTTGTTCAACAATAAAACACTCAGATTTGGCCCCCAACTTGAAAGGGAGAGGACGGCCAAGAAAGGAGTTCATTGTTCAGACCATAGAATTAGAACCCAGGCTCCGCTGAGATTCGTCTGAGGCCAATTTACCCAAATGCAGGCACAGTGCTGCCAACTGCAAAAATAAGCCCCACCACAAATCATCGTGATATCATTTGCAATGTTTCTGTTTTTCATACATCTGACTGATTTACCTCTACTTCCCCAGTTCTCAGACTTCACTTTACCTAAGAGTTGGAGAATCCTTAAAGAAGTCTTTCAGGTTCTTCTTTTCCAGTATTACTGAAAATGGTCCTGCAAACGAGGCAGAAAGCCATCTAAGTCTGATCGCACAACGAGCAGCTTGGGAGGCCTCTGCTCGCATGAGCACACTGGATTGATTGAACTGACTGCCTCATCCCCAAATGTTCTCATGGTTACAAAGCTTCCACTGACTTTGAAAAATATTTTTTTCTCTTCCTTTAAATAACCCTGTCAGGTTAGCAACCTAAGCCACAGAATGAGACAAGAGGATCCAAGCTGTATGTGGCATGCAATATTTTGAAAAGACCTGTAAACCACGGCAGAAAAATACATGCAACTTTATGACAGAAAGGTACAATGCAACTCTAGAAAAGTGAACTTTCTGAACCACTTTTCCTACCTAATGCCCATTCCTTTCTCTTCAGTAATAAAGAAGGCCAAATTTGAAGTAGCAGGAAAGTAAAAAGTTGGGGAGAGTTAATGACTAATAGCAATATCAATGCTGACAGGTGCTGGAGGAAACTTCCAACCTCTAGCATTTCTACCCATAACAAACCTGTCATCAGTGAAGGCACTCAAGGAAGGCTCCTTGCTAGTCTTCTGAGCACTAGAAAAATAATTATGGTAATGTAAATGATCTAATAAACATTTCACGAATGAAAAAAAAAATGACCCTTCTTCTGAAAATCCCCTTCCAAAATGATAGTTTATCCCTTAGGGGTGGAAATTGACTTCTCTCTTCCCCCAGGTAATAGGATTAGAACAATTCCACCTGATATTGGTCCCTGAAATTTAAAAAAAAATTAATTTATAAACTCTGGAGCTGATGGTTCCTGAGGTTAATTCTTCACACGGCCTTTCACATTCTCCCAGGAAGACCTCTTTCCGATATGGTGTGGGTTTGGGCTATGGCAAAGAAAAACTGCACTGCACAGAGTTAAACAAACAAGGAAGACTTTATTTAAGACGATTACAATAGGGGTCAAGTCTGTTGCCAGAGGGAACACAATTCTGGGTACAGACGAAGCAGCTGGGGGTTTATAGCCAATGGGAAGGGTAAGGGAGTGAATGAAAAATTACTAAAGGAACTTGGTTAGATATCAGTGGTTGGGGGTGACGGGGCTTCTGCTCATCTGGCTTGGCAGGATTCTTACTGAACAGGGCTAGAAGGCCAAGGACAGCAGGCCAGGGATGAAGACCAGTCAAGAAGAGAGCTCAGAGAATCCCGAATCAGTTGACACACCCAGGGTCTGAGGAATAGACTGCATTGACTCCGTGGTTTTTGCTTTGGTGTTTGTTTGCTTGTTTTTAAGATGGAGTCTCACTCTGTCACCTAGGCTGGAGTGCAGTGGTGCTATCTCGGCTCACTGCAACCTCCACCTCCGGGGTTCAAGCAATTCTTCTGCCTTAGCCTCTGGGGTAGCAAGGGTTACAGGCAGGCACCCCCACACTCAGCTAATTTTTGTGGTTTTTTTAATAGAGATGGGGTTCACCATGTCGGCCAGCCTGGTTTCAAACTCCTGACCCCAAGTGATGTGCCTGCCTTGGCCTCCCAATATGCTGGAATTACAGGCATGAACTGCCATTCCTGGCACTTATTTTGTTTTTGTTTGGTTTATTTACTAACTGTTTAAAACATTATAGAGCCTGATATTTAAATCGCTCAAGTCATTTTTACTAATTGGTATTTGTAAGTGTATAGAAAGGCTACACTTCAAATAACCAATATGATTATATCAATAAAAAAACAAAATACTTAAAAATAACTTTCATGGTGAAGTTGCTTATTTCTTGCTGTTGGTGATAAGTTATACATAAAGGACAAAAGGAAGACAGAGCAGACAGGAATGAAAGACACACTCTGTCACCCTTATGCACAGCACCTGGTAGGCACTCCCTCCCTTGGGGAAGCCTCAGACCCGTCCTATGACTCACTCAATGTCAAGTGTAGAAGCCAGGATTTGAAGCCAGATCTGTCTGACTCCAGAGATAATATTCTTTCCATTACACCAGTTCTTCCCAAACACCAGGCACTGGACATGGGCCAATTCAAAATTAAGTTATAAGCTGTCAGAGGCAAAGTGAAAAATATAAGGACAATGCAGTGAGTTTTTTGTAAAACAAAGTAAATTCAATTTAAGGCACTGTTCCTTCTGAGAGTATGGCCTACTTGAGGTGTCAAAAATGTTTTATTTTATAAAATGATAGTGATTATAACAGTTACTATTTGTTTTGGTTGTTTAGGGTTTTTGTTTGCTTGTTTGTTTTTCAATTGTGCTTACTTGGCAAAATTTAAAATTCAGCAAAGTTGTATTAGCACTGGAGTATATTCAGTATATCATTACATTCTGATATTTTATCATTTGGAGAATTTCAGAGCCTGGGAGCCAGGACTCCAAAAGGGAACATTCCCATGAAGCGTGGATGGTGATAGAGCCAGGAAAGGCAACATTGTGGCTTCATTCAGTCGTTCTCCACCTTCACGTTCACCTCCACATTCACCTCCACCTCTGAAATTTGGAGAAAAGCGACTCCAGTTTAAAGAAAAGTTAACATCTCTCATTGTGATCAAGCCAAGAAGGAACCAAGTACAGACACCAAGGCACAGCAGAGGGGAGTGAGAATCAAGACAGTTCTAAAGAGGAGAAGAAAAACAGCTGTCGGAGAACTAATGACATGGAGGAGGAGCCACAGGACGGTGATCAAACGGAGGAGAATATGTGCAGCATGGCTCCTGAGTGCAGGGCAAGCAGGATCAGTGTCCTCTGTTGGCTCCATCATGTTTTCATATCTGGGATTTTGTGCACTGGAGGGATGCTTGCTTTTGCTGCTTCCTGTGTGAACAAGCAGCATATTTGTATGCGCAGAAGGGTATTATTTCTCAGATGTCTCATGAGCCATTTTTTAAAGATGACTAGACATACATCTGTAGTATGTCTAGTCACCTTTAGTAATAACAGGAAGTATTCTAGTTTTTACTTTTTCTCACTTACTTATATGAATAAGAAAAAAAGGAAAAAAGACCTTGTTTCCTACCTAACCTAAAGGAAGCAGAGTAACGTCATGTTTCAGAGTCGTAGAATTAAAACAATTAATGTGTGTACTATCCATTTATGTGTGTAACTCAAGGCAGCTCTCTGAACTCTGGACCTTTCTACTTCCACCCCATCCCAACCCACTCCAGAGACTCAACCTTTCAGAGTCCCACAGGGCTTGTACATGGAAGTGAGTGTGTGCCATGTGCAATGTTGGCTCTCTGCCTCATGAGGTCAAGGCATGTTGGTTTACTTTAGACAGCGAAAAGCACTGCCCAAAGGGTACTCACTCTTGTTAACAACTAACTGTTGGTAGATTGATTAACACTGAGAGAGGAAATATGATGGCAAAATGAGGACATGAGTGTTATTCTGAAGACCAATAGTTGCCATTCATCTACTTTGAGGGAATCCATTTTTGAAAGCGTTTCGAATTCTTGATAGCTTTTCCAAGTTTATTTCTAGGCATCAGTGACCTTTTTTTTTTTTTTTGAGACAGAGTCTTGCTCTGTCACCCAGGCTGGAGTGCAGTGGTGTGACTTTGGCTCACTGCAAGCTCCACCTCCCGGGTTCACACCATTCTTCTGCCTCAGTCTCCCGAGTAGCTGGGACTACAGGCACCTGCCACCATGCCGGGCTAATTTTTTGTATTTTTAGTAGAGACAGGGTTTTACCATGTTAGCCAGGATGGTCTCGATCTCCTCACTTTGTGATCTGCCCTCTAAGGCATCGGTGTCCTTTGTTATTGCTTCGGAATGGTCTTATACACAATCTTTATTTCTTTGTAGTTTATCATCAGAGTTCATTTTTAAACCAAATGATATGGTTTGGCTGTGTCCCCACCCAAATCTCATCTTGAATTGTAGCTCCCACAATTCCCATGTCTCTTGGGAGGGACCCTGCAGGAGGCAATTGAATCATGGGGGTGGGTCTTTCCTGTGCTGTTCTTGTGATAGTGAATAAGTCTCATGAGATCTGATGGTTTTATAAAGGGGAATTTCCTGCACAAGCTCTCTCTTGCCTTCCGCCATGCAAGACATGACTTTGCTTTTCCTTTGCCTTCCGCCATGATTGTGAGGGCTCCCCAGCCATGTGGAACTGTGTGCCCATTAAACTCTTTCCTGTATAAATCACCCAGTCTTGGGTATGTCTTTATTAGTAACATGAGAACACACTAATACACCAAGTTTTACTTTTTACTGAATTTTTTTCACTGTAAAGTTGATAATCCTACTAGGGTTTAGAGATTTCTGAAACAAAGTGGGATTACTACTGGAGGTCACCTAAAGCCACATTCCTTAAGTGAGGTGTCAGCAAACTATGACCAGCAGGCTAAATGGGTCAGCTGCCTGTTTTTGTAAATAAACTTTTATTGGAACACATCCATACTCCTGCATTTACATATTTTCTGTGGCTGCTTTCACACTGCAAAGGCAGATTAAATAGTCATGACAGAGACTGTATGGCCAGCCAAGCTGAAAATCTTTCCTCTATGGCCCCTTACAGAAAACAAACTGCTGACCTCCACCTAATTGAGTCAGACCACACTGAGACAAGTTACTAACATCATAATTAAGTAATCAGTTCTGCCCAAAAGAGTTTCCACTTATATGGCAGCATGCCATAAGATCTGATGCTTGAAACTCTTTTCTGTTTTGATGGTTCAAAATGAGACAAAAATTACTATCTTCCAATGGGAATTAACCATTGGAAGTTCTATGTTAGGAATCCTCTCCCCAAAAACGCCTTCTGTTAATCAGAGTTGAACACCTAAAAAAAACTACATTGGGATAATTTTGGTGGGAAAATAAGAAGATGGAAACTTAGTCTAAGCCTCGATTACATTTAATAACTGAGACAAAACTCCAGATTTGGAAATTTTTGTAACTAAATCTAAACAACAGTTTAGTTGAAAAAAAAAATACAGTTCCTGTCTCTTTTTACCACACTAGAAGGAAGCTATGTATTGCAGTACAGTCAACAGCAATATTTTTTCCTCCTGCCCTCTTTATTTATGTTTTTGTGGTAAAAGCACTCTTATAAGATCTACCATCTTAGCAAATTTTTAAGTATACAATGCAATATTTTTACCTATAGGCACCATGCTGTAGACGATAACTCTAGGATTTAATCATTTTGTGTAACTGAAATTTTGTACTTTTTGGCCAATACCTCCCAAATTCCTCCTCCCGCTAGCGCTGGGCAACTATCATTTTACCCTCTGTTTCTGTGTCTGGCTTTTTTCACTTAGCGTAATGCCCTCCAGGCTCATTTGTGTTTTCCTAAGTAACAGAATTTCCTTCCCTTTTTAAAGGCTGAATAACATTCCATTATATATATTTCTCACATTTTCTTTATCCATTTGTCTGTTGATGAGCACTTATGTTGTATTCATTTCTTGACTATTGTGAGTAATGCTGCAATGAACATGGGAATGCAGATATAGCCTTAAGACATTAATTTTATTTCCTTTGGATATATACACAGAAGTAGGATTACTGCATCAAATGGTAATTCTATTTCTAATTATTTTTAGGAACTTCCATCCTGTTTTCCACAGTGGCTGTACCAATTTATATTCCCACCAACAGTGTACAGGGTTGCCTTTTCTCCACATCTTCTCCAACACTTCATTTTTTAAATAATGGCCATCCTAACAGGTGTGAGGTGATTACTCACTGTTATCTCAGTTTTCTGATGACTGTTGATGTTCAGCACCCTTTCACATACCTGCTGGCTATTTATGTGTCTTCTTCAGAGAAATGTCTATTCAGTTCCTTTGCCAATTCTTTAATCTGGATATTTCTGACTTTTTGCAATAGGGTTGTAGGAGTTGCTTATATATTTTGGATATTAACAGCAATATTTCTGAGCCAAATCTGAAACCAAATAATAAGTACTTAGTGTTAATATGTGTTAATCAAAGTAATTATTCTTAATGGTTTGCTCCATTTGTGGAATAAGAAACAAAGGATGGAAAAATGAGACTATGAGATGTTAGGCCAGAAAAGCTACTCCTGGTTCCTCACACAAAGACATTTTTAAAAACTAAAATAAACAAAATATATTTCCTCTAAAGAATAAGAGAGAATGGTGTTCTGTTAAAAAGACAGCTTTCTCATATTGTTTTTTATTTGTTCATAGTCCCTGCCACAAGTTCCATGCATTTTTCTTCTGTGTGTTGGGGGATTGTATACTGCTAGGTTGCATACATTCTGAATGATGTTAAGCTTTCACTGACTTCCCTTAATTCAGGCATCAATAAAATTTTCCACCCAGTTAAAATTGTCACATTCCCTATGGAAAGCAGCTTGGAAAAACATTTTAAGATACACAGAGCGTTCAATAGTCTTTGACCCAATTATCTCATTGCTGGGAGTTTATCTTAAGAAAATAATTCAGAAAGAAATTATGCAGGAGAATAAAAATTCTTATTAACTACAAAATTATTTATAGTGGCTAAAACTCTTGACATCCAGAAATAAGGGAATTATGATATGTCAACTATAAGAGCTGTTATACAGCCATTAAAAAAATTATGAAAACTAAGTAAACACAGAAAGTATTTATGGCATGTTAAGAGAGAAAAGTAGAATGTAAAATTTTTATCTGCTTTGTGATTACCATATGAAAAATGACATCTGCGTATGAACTAAGACTGAAAGAATCACAAAAATGATTTATTGGATAAGTCAAAGTATAAAATTATTTATGGTGGTCTGATGAATACTATATATTTTTCTTTAAGAAATGTTCATTTTTATGGTATTGTTTATAAGATTAAAAATGAAGGAGAACATCTCATTTTGTTCTCTTTTCTTTACTATTTAAAATAATTTAGTAATGATATCGGTTATGGTCTAGTCACAGAGAAGATAAAACTTTTCCAAATACTTTAAGCAGAACAGAATTTGTTACAGGATCAAGACAATTTATTATAGAATCAAGACCAAAAAAATTAGACTCTCAGCTGAGTTTGTAGGGATGATCCTCAAGGATGTACCACATATATTTGGACCACTGAAATAATTGATTCTCCCGCCATGACCAAGAAGCAGCTTATGAAACAGGAAAGTTGTGCTTACAATCTGTTAGCTCCGGAAGAACATTGCCTTTGTAAGGTCTGCACCAGTAAGATGGAGTTTCATGTCCTCTTTTGCTATGTAACCCAGTTCTGAATTTGAGTCTTGAACAAGCACATCAGACTGACCATACTTAAATCACATGCAAAATGCCCTACACCTTTCCATGTCTAGGAATACACCAGAAGGAGGTTGAATAGTGAACGAGCCAGTTTGTAGTACCTGCCACGTAGGATTGCCAGATAAAACCAAAGATACTCAGTCAAATTTGAATTTCAGGTTAACAACAAATAATTCTTTGTATAAGTATTTCCCAAATATTGCAAGGGACATACTTATACTAAAAAACTATTCACTGTTTACTTGAAATTCAGACTTAGCTGAGTATCTTGTATTTTTATTTGCTAAATATGGCAACCCTACTTCCATGAAAACTAGCAGAAATTGAATTATTCCCAATTCATACAAAGCTTTAGTGATATTTATTCTCAGATAAGGATTCCTGCAATAGAGTGGCCCCAAATATCTAATGGAAGCATTGTTGTTTTTTTAAACCAATAAATATTCTCTGATTATTTTAAGGTTTCTCCCAAAATAGGAAGCAGACAGGTATATGTGGGTTACAGTCTTATAGCTGATCAGAGGGTATCTATGCTGGATGAGACCCTAGAGAGAATGTATTCCTTAGAGATAATCACTTTTATCCCTTTCATTTAACAAACAAGAAGTCAAGTTTGTATGCAGTCTCAGCGTTAGAACCCAGGACTCCCAGACTTAACCTTTTCTAGTTGAGTGCCTCCAAAAAGATAAAACTTCCTATTTCAGTTGTGGATTTAATTCAAATTTAAGTTGCTATTACCAAAATGTAGTGTCTTTATTAACTTCTCACGATTATTGAGTGCTAAAGAAAAATGTGAGTTCAACAATTGCAGTCGAAAAATCTCTGGGCCAGGGATGGGCTGGATTTTAGCTCTGGAAGTGTTACTAATACACTCAATGAATTTGGATATGTGATAATTCTTCTGAGTCATAGTTCCTTTGTCTCTAAAATGAGATCATTAGTACTTTTCCTGTCTCCCTTATGAATTTGCCATAAGGATCAAATAAGTTCAAATATGCAAAGTTTTCTAAAATACAAGAAGTGCTATTTAAGAAGCTTTGTACAATCTCATAATTGAAAATTTCTAAAGCTTTAAATATTCACTATTTCAGCTGTTGTCCCTTCCAGGGGTGGGGTGGAAGGGCTTATTTGTGATAACTTTAATTCTTGCTTATTTTACTCTTGAGCAGAACAAACTTAAAGTAGTGATGGAAAGCCCAAAGTAGAAATGGTTTAAATAAGATAAACATATTTCTTGCACAAGTAAATGAATTCTAGAGGGAAGTGACCATGGGATTAAATGATCCTTAAAGGCACTGGTTTCTTCTGTGTTGTTCTTCTGCCATCCTTATCACATAGATTCTACCTCATTACCTAACATGGCTGATCAAACTCCAGTCATCACTTCTGCATCCCAGGCATTGGGGTAGCAGGATGGAGGTAGTTTTGAAGAGAGTATCCATCCTTCTTTTGCACTGTACGTGCTTCCTGGAATATAAATACCATTTTCACTTATATCTTGTTGCCATCACTTCATCAGGTGGCCACACTTCACTACAAAAAGTAGAGAAATGAAGTTGTAATTTCAGGTAGCCATGTGTTCCTCTACAAATCAAGACCTATATGGCTAAGTCGGTTGGCAGTCTCTGCCACGGTAGGTAAACTCCAAATATCTTCTCATATGAATTAGCTGGTAATTGAATTAAAAATAATCTTTTTTAAAAATGAAGACACAGCTGGAAAAGCTAAATGAGGGTTGCTTTAATCATATAATTAAATCACTGCTAGCTAGATTATAAATGCGATGTAGCAATAGCACAGTATCTGCCACATATTGATAGTTTATAAATAGTTGAAGAATGAATTGAATAAACATCTGTTTAAGAAGGAAGAATCTCCCATCCTGGATAACACGGTGAAACCCCGTCTCTACTAAAAATACAGCAAAATTAGCCAGGCGTGGTGCCGGGCACCGTAGTCCCAGCTACTCGGGAGGCTGAGGCAGAAGAATGGCGTGAAGCCTGGATGCGGAGCCTACAGTGAGCCGAGATCGCGCCACTGCACTCCAGCCTGGGCGACAGAGCGAGACTCCGTCTCAAAAAAATAAATAAATAAATAAATAATAATTAAAGAAAAAAAAAGAAGGAAGAATCTCATATTTTATCTCTGCAGAATAAAACTTCCAACAATAAAATTATTCTGCTATTGAGAACTGACATAGAATCGACTTGCAAAACTGTCCTCTGGCTCACAAAACAGGTAAAGTATCCTAAATCATTAAATGGAAGCAAATTATCTGAGATCACAATTTTCATTCCATTCAGACATACGTTCCAAGATAAAACCACAGATAAACCGATCTAACTTTTCCCAGATTCATAAGCCTTCTGATTGTTCAAAAACCCCCGAGTTTACAAATTCTGACCAGTATCTCAGAAGACCTGCCTGTGATTAGCTCCAGCCTACAAGTAATACTGTCGCCTAACTCCCTCTTTTCTGAAATACCCTACGGTAGCCTTGGTATGTGTTAATTACACTAATGAATTTAACTTTGATACGCCTGTGTTCCTGGTGTTGCTTGGCTAGTAGTCACAGTATTAATTACCTTAACAAAAGATAATGAACATAATTTCCAGGCAATTTTTTATTAAATGCTATGCTCATTGTTAATGTCTGATTTCACAGAATATTTAAGGAACCGACATGTCTTCAGGATGTATATTGGACATTTCAAATCCTTTCTGCTAAAAGGTAGTAGAAATATAGATAGATAATCAGTGTGAGAACTGAAGAAGTTTTTTTCCAACACAAATTATGTGTTATCTAAATTATCCCTGGTAAAAGAGAGAAGAAATTGGCTGAGACATGGTATCTGTTGAAAAAAATGTCATGAGAGGCAGCAGGTACAAGAAAGAAATATTTTTGAATCACTGTCAACAAAATAGAAAATCACTAGTGAACAAAATAGAAAAATTTTCCATACTGAAAAATATAAGTCAGATACATTTATCTTACAGAAAGTTATTGCATTCCCCTGCTTTTTGTCTTTTCTACAAGCCTTAAAGGCTAATAACTAGGCAGAAATTGACACCAGCTTTGGATTCAGAATATATTATTATACATTTTAATTTTGCTTCTTATATGACTTGGGGCACCCATCTGAGTTTTAATAATCTCTTTTGTAAAGTAGAGATATTATATTACATTTAACATTATATGTTTAGCCATATGGCTGCCTTTTATGTAATTAGAAAACACTGTACATTTTATTTTACATGTAGACACTATATTATTATATAGTCATCTGCATGCATCATGTACTGCTGATGTTCATAGTTCTGTACTACGTATGATTCTATACACAAAATCATGTTTATTATACCTTATGAGCAATTCTAATAATTTTTCATAGATAGTTCTGAAATGTCTGGAAATGAATTGTAAAATAGTTTTTTATTCCACTGTAAAAACTATAACACAGATGAGTGGTTATGAACATTAAAAGAAAGTGGTAAAAATGTCGACACATGATAAGTTCTCCTTTTTGTGGGCCAAATCTGAGTTTTTATTCCCTAAGCCTAAGACAAGCATATTTTAATGATATAAACAGCAGAAGGGTAACATCTTATAGCAAAGACAATGACTGTATTAACGATAGTCACCTAACTACACTGAAGGCCACCAGAAGATGGCAGTCTCATTTCTTCAAGGAATAGAATGACTCTAAGACAAATGAATACAAAGATGACAGATAGCACGGGAGACAAAATTGTCAGGTCAGTAATGGATACTGCCTGTCAGCATAATTCTTTCTCCAGGTAAAGCCAACAAACTTGCTTTACAGGAAGTGCCAGAAACTAAAAAGCATGACCATCAATGTTATAGATTTTGCCAAAACATCATATATATGGAGAGTGAAAAAGAGTTCACAATTCATCTGAAACTTTTTCACCAATGGTTTTTTCTCATCCATCTTGGCACATTCCTCCTCCATGCTATGTCAGAGTACGTGAATCCTGAGCTAAAACGGAGGGCACTCCTTTGTAGTTTCTTCTAGATACATTTATTTAAAGAGAAAACACATTTACTGTGGTCAAGAGGTGACACTGAGACCAATTATCTAGTCATTCCCATGTCCTTTAAAAAAGATATTCCAACCTAAAATACATTTAAATCCAAAAATATATATTGTCTGGCCTCTTTCCCAACCCTGAGAACTTAGGCATTAAGGAACTGGACATAAGCAACACACTGGACCGTCAGGCTGCGTGCCTCCTAAAACCCCCTCCTATTGATCTTTGTGACTTTCAGATGTACCACAAAAGAGATACGCTGGGCACAAAAATTCAAACATTCTAAATTGAAGTTCTATAATGGTTACCCTGCTGTTTTATTTCCCGTCTTTTTGATAAGCTGCGTCTCTCCAACCTATGCATATAGAACAGAAACAATTTAGTTTGCCTTTCAAGAATCCCTCCCCTCAACAAAAAAGAACACTGACGATATTCACATTTTCCAAATGTAGATTCACGTAATGCCATTTTTTTCAATTCAGTTTTGAAAGCTTGAAGAGTGGTGAAAGCTCACATTAATAAGCATAACCATTTAATTTCCAAAATTAATAAGTGCAGCTCAACATATTGAGTGCATTACACTGGAATATTTGATGCCTTTGGAATTGCTGTGAAACAAAGAGAGATTATGATGACCAAATGGTGCTAAACTAATGATGTTTTCATAGTAGGATAGAAAGAGAGAGACATAAATATTGTAGCATGCTTACACAATATTGTTTCAATTTGTTGATGACAAAACACATTTCATCTCAATTAGCAAGTAAACTTTGTTATGCAGTGCTAGTCAGATTGCTAATAATTAAAAACCCAATGTGTCTTCAGTCATTATAACAGCACAATGATGAAAGGTTGTGAAAAGTATTTGAATTCTGTTTGCCATCCTTATTTGGGGAAAGAAAAAATTCCCTATCTTCCTAATGAATTAGTTAATAGTCCCTATGATTATTCTGGGTCTTCTGGAAAAGTTAAGATATCATTTCTCAGCGTTTTCCAATGATGATACCTCAATATAGAAATTGCGTCCAGAGAATCCCAGGATAGTTCAAATAACCACCCACCCCCCAGGAACTAATTTCCTGGCACTTACTCCACATACCTGTGTCCCCAATATCTTTGATAATACTCACTTTTTAAAGTTAGTAATTAACAGTTTACTCTGATATGTATGCTTTCTCCTACTTGGGGTTATACTCCTTCTGGGTAACTGGCCTACATGGCCAGTTTTATTTTTGTTTGTTTGTTTGTTTTGACTTGGGCCACATAATTGCTTTAGCATTTTGTGTTGATTACTTTAGCTACCCATTTTCTCCTTCCTTTACCTGCACCTTAGGCTCTAGACATAATTTTCTGCATTCAAATTATCACCAGCATCCATTTTTTAAACCCAAACCAGCTTAGGGTCCAAAGATGTCAGTTTCCAATATATTTTATGTTTATGCCAATTGCTAATCAGCTTCAATATTTACTAAGGACCTCTTTCACCCTAAAATTTTAAAATAGTGAGCTCATGCCCTGTAGCAATATTTGCCGTTTCAAAGTCCATGTGGTCCTGTGGTGCTGTGGTGCTTCCGTTCTTGCCTGGACTTTAATTCACCAGTATCAGTGGCAACAGAGACAGTGAACTGGACCTGCACATGGTACCCACAATGCCAGATGCTGTGCACATAAAGCTAAAAAAAAGGTGCTTTTTGTCCCCTGGGAACTTTCTTTTTGAGATTAATTTGATCTCAAGTAGGATTACAATATGATTATTCCTGTCTGAAAAATGCAGACTGAAATTTCTGGCACAAATATGCCTTAAATTTATTTTGTTTTATGCTGATCCAGAGCCTCATCTACTTACCAAAAAATTGAAGCGTTCAGCAAATGTTAAGGATTTTTTTTTAATCAGAGTTAGCCATTCTATTTAGCCATTATATTTAATTTTCTTTTACATTATAGGCACTGCCTTAACCATTTTATCCCAAATACAGACGGTTTGCCAATAAGTGATTCTTCTTGACAAGAATGGTCAGACACTAGATTTTCTATCCTTATGCTTATATTTAATACAAATGAGTGAATAACTCATTCAGATCATAAAATTTGAAATTGTAATAATCATCACAGTTCAATTCCCATGGAATTTTCATTTAAAGAATCCAAAGTATTTTCCTGTGTTTTGCTTTATTTTCTCTAGTCTCCTAAAATGTAATAAGAAAAAAAATGCATTTTATTTTGATTTTCATTTTTCTGACTGGACTTGTATGGTACAATTTGGTTTAGTTGACTTGCAGTGGTCATTCATTCACAACGCAGTATTCAATCAATATTTACTGAGCACTTATTTCATGCCAGGGATTGTGCTACATGCCGGAAATAGAACACTCAGGCAAAACAAACACAATCTCTACCCTTGAGCTTTCAGATACTTTTATAGCCAATTTGAAGTAGACCCTAGAGATTCAACATCTCAATTTCCTGTTTATTTCTTTAACCAGTAAGATATGATTACCCAACAGATTTAGTTTTTAAATTTAATTTAATTATCTCATATTTCCTCAACTCTCAGTAGAATGTTTTGGCAGAAATTTTTCAGATATCATTAATTTAGTAGCAAAAATGCTATGAAATGTGATGATATTATGAAAGTATAGTTCTACTCATAACATTTTCTTAGCTTTCTTTATGGAATCTTCTTAACTGAACAAATAAAAATAAGAAATTTCTTAAAGAAAAATTAAGAAATCATTATTGACTCAAAATTGTCTTTTTTTTTTTGAAAGTGCAGGTCTTTTTTAAGAAATATCTTGCACATGACAGCCAGTTAGTGAATGACTTTTTGAATGAATGTAAGCTCCATGACAACAGACTTGGCCACTTTTGTTCACTTCTCTATTTCCAGCACATTAAACAATACCTGGACCATAGTAAGCACTCAATAAATGTTTCTTTAATGGATGAATGTGGCCTAATTGGTAGCAAAATACCAATTCTTACTATTGAACTGAAAAAGAAAAAAAAAATCACATGAAATTCCTCTGTAAAGAACGTTTTTGCAATAGTTTTGGTCTACTAACGATGTGTGACAATATTTACAGGAGGATTTCTTTTTAAAAAATGTATATTGCTTAGGACTTAAGTCTTGTTTTGCAGATTCATATCTGTTTTCAATTCTGGAAAATTCTCACTTATCTCTTTAAATATTACCTCTCATTTTCTCTATTTTTCTATTTCTGAATACATGTTAAATGTATGTGAGAGCTTCTTTTTTTTTTTTTTTTTTGAGACAGAGTCTCACTCTGTCGCCCAGGCTCAAGTGCAATGGCACTATCTCAGTTCACTGCAACCTCTGCCTCCCAGATTCAATCGATTCTCCTGCCTAAGCCTCCTGAGTAACTGGAATTACAGGCGCCCGCCATCATACCCAACTAATTTTTTGTGTTTTTAGTAGAGACAGGGTTTCACCATGTTGGCAAGGCTGGTCTCAAACTCCAGACCTCAGGTGATCCACCCACCTCAGCCTCCCCAAGTGCTGGGATTACAGGCGTGAGCCACCATGCCCGACTGAGAGCTTCTTATTCAGTTTTCTATCATTTAATCTCTCTGTCATGTGTTTTATTATTTTTATCTCTTTCTGCTGTATTGTGTTAGATTTCATTGTTTCTAGCTTTTAGTTCACAATTTCTTTACTGTGTCTAATCTGCTCTTTAACCTATAAAGTGTTTAATTACAGCAATTATATTTTTCATCTTCAGAAATTGTATTTTTATTCTTTTCCAAATCTATCTGTTTCACTCCATAGTATCTTATAAATTGATAATATTTTTATTTCATCTTTTATTTGTCACTGTTTGTATTATGTCTCTAAAGAAAATGTGAACCTCAGGAATCTATTATTTGAAGTTCTGGGGAAACATAAATTCGTATTTTGCAACTTCCAAAAACACTTATTCATGGCCTGTGTAGAGAGCATGGCCCTGCTGAAATAATTTCCATTCGTTTCTGCTTACTGCCTCCAGGTGACTACGCTAATGGGCATTATCACCTCAAGTTTTCCCAGTAGGTAAACATTATCTTTTCAAAATACTTAATGAAATGAGGCCAGGCCTATGGTTACAAATTCTTGGAGGTGAGTTTTTTCTTCCATTCACCAACAAGGTCATGACAGATAGTTTTACCTTTGCTGGTAACTATATATATATATTTTTTTTTTTTTTTTCTCAGTCCATCTTTTCACTGTTATGATTGTGGTTTTCTATGCAGTTAGTTGATTTCCCATTTTATGGAGTCCAGGTTTTTGTCTCCCCCAAGGGCAATGAAAACCTGGTCACCAAATCTAGCTAATGCCCCTAAGAGAGCTCAGCAATGACTTGCAGCTTCCCAGTTGCGTAGATTTTCCCTTTCTATCTTTGAAACTCAGCCATGCAATCAAAGTGTCTTGTTCAATTTTGCCTAGCGACTTTTTTTTTTTTTTTTTTGGAAGAGAGGGTAGTGGAATACCTGGTAGGTCATATTACTAAAAATAAAAGTCTTACAAGTTATTTTTAGCTCTCCTTTATTATTTTGCTCTTGGTCCTGGCACACATAATTAAAAGCTGCCATTTCCATCTGAGTTGAAGGTAAAGAAAAGATGACAGATACACTCTCCTTTTCCCAGGGTGCTGGGACATCTGCAGTCCTGCCAGAAAATACTTCAGCTTCCAGAAACTTCCTTTGAAAAGCTGCTGATGCCTGTGCTGGAGGGTATGACTGAAGTGTAATCTCTTCCTAAGTGTAAATGAATGCTGCCCATCAGTCTGGGCGAAGGTTACTGAATCTTTATTTCTTCTCTCTTTTCACATTGCAGTCTGCTTTCCTGATGTCCCCTTGACTTGGATCCCTCTGTGAGTCAAGGACTTTCTTCTTGAGAAAAGAATCATAACTCATCTGATCCTAGCAGCATAGAAATACCCATTATGAGGCTACACCCACAAATGAGGACAGACTCCTAAATCTTAAAAAAAAAAAAAAAAAAGACAATGCATCCTTGTTTTCAAGCACTTATTTCCCCTCCCCCCCACCCAATCAATTTCCAGTTAAAAGCATGTGGCGTTTTTTTTTTGGTGGTGGTTAAATGGAAACTATGTGTGTTAAAGATAGGAATAGAAGTGAAAATGAGAAAAATCAGTCCTTAAAACATCTTCCTGACTGGAAGGCTCCCACAGCATTCAGAAGCCGTTCAGTGGTCCTGACAAGTTAAATCAGTGGCATAATTATTCTTGCAGAGGAAAGATAAGTCGTGATTTCAAAAGAATATGAAGAATGCTTACAGAAATCTGCATATTTATCTTATTCTTAAACCTACTCTTTTCAACTCCCACTCTCATCATATTTATGGACAAAGGAAAGGGTGAAGAGACAATTTAAAAGGCCACATGATGTGCAGGCTGATTAAAAATGAAAGCCAGATCTGCTGACAATTGACAAAAGATCAGGTCATCATTTATTTAATTGGACTCTGAGTGACAAGAAGAGGAGATGATTATCGAAGAGATGACTCCTTTGTTCCAGCCTCACAGTTTAAGTCATTTCAAATAGACAGGGAACTTTTTCAATTTCTCTAGGACATCAGCCTGAAGAGGTTTTTCAGTGTTAATCCAGGTAATCAGGATCAAGAATACTATTTGCCTCCCTTACAGAAAGAAAAGATTATGGGCCACTGAAATGGAAAGGCTAGGAATGAGAAGGTATTAACTCCGCTGCATGTCAATGAGACACAGGGAAGTGAATAATCAGTCTGTGCAGTTTGACTCTTCCATTTTTATTCAGTGGTATAAAATTATGGCTCAAAAGAGAAACACTCAACTTCCATCCTATTGCCAGTGTAACCTATGGAAGAATTGGAATTTACAGTTTACAACTGCTAGAATTCTGACCCAGGAGTATGACTTCTGGTACAGAAATCTGGATAATGGGGGCAAATGTTTTATTTTCTTTGCATTAGATATATGAGAAAGAAAGAGAAAAGAGTTAAAATTTGCTGATTATCTAATATGTGAATATGTGTGAAGCAGTGTGCAAGCCACATTAAATATTTTATTATATTACTTCTCACAATAACCCTGTTTTAAGAAGAAAATATCTTAAATCTTCGTAAGGCTGAAACACTTTGAAAAAAATGATTATTTACATCTCCAATACTTTTGTGTTTGATTTAAAGGTAAAAATGAAATAGTCAGTTTCATGACAGAATGTTGCTATATTCTCTGTTTAAATCTCAAGTATTGGCCTCTCCAAGGGAAAATGGCCTCCCTCAAGAGAATATCAAAATGTCCTTAAAGCAGACTGTATCACTAGTAATTCCCAGCAGCTAAGGGGTACTTTCTGAAAAGGAGGAAGCAGTGACCTATATGGTAACCCCTCCTTGTTTGTGATAGGTGGCACTTCCCACCATGCTAGGGGAATTCATTTCCATAGTTGTAGGGTTGGATTTGATCTGGATAGGCTGGAATCAGGATAAAAGCAAATGGAGAATTTGAAGATTGCTGCTGGTGTCAGATTAAATTTTACTTACACAAGTAATGCATGAATACAGGGTACTCTGGAGAAGTGGGTAAGAATGCCGTCAACAAGCCTTGGGAGATGACAGTGGTATTGTGCAGGCTGAATGGAAGCAGCTGGTGTCTGGAAGGCCACCTCCTATTCACTAATTTTCCCTTCCCCTGCCGTTCCAGATGAGTATAGCTCTGGAAAGACGTGAGCCCGTGAGGTCACCTCAAGACCAATGTCAGCAGGAGAGAGGAGAATTCTCAGATGGTGGCCACATTAAGGCAAAGGCACATAAGAGCTCTCCATAGATGAAGCTTCTCTACAAGTAGCCCATTAGAGCATCTGCAGAAAGTGGAGGGCCAGGTGGAACTGCACTGCAGTCTGTGCCTGTCACTCAAAGAATCTTATGTTAGACTCAGAAAGGGAGAATATCCACTGTGCAGGATCCAATGGCTAGGGACCCACTGGGCAGGGAGATAGACTCTAAGCACAAATTCCAGAGACATCTTTCTCTTGATTTGAAAGAACCTCTTGCTATGCAGTATATTGATATGTGATTCCTAGAAGGAAGGAATAAAACCAGCAAGCTACATTTGAGAAAAAAATTACAAGTGTGTGCAAGGATTTTCCAGCAGACAGCAATCTTACCAGGATGAACCTTGAAGAACACAGGAAACCTTTGGGGTGAAGTATAGGCAACATGTCAGACCAGCAAGGAGCAGAGCAGAGCATTGATGAGTTATTTCTCTATTCATGCCCAGAATGGAGAGGCCTTTGCTGAAACTGAAAGCAACTTTACACAAAAGTCTACCAATGCCAAAAGACTGGGAATACAACCTACAACCTGTCCTGGTAATTTCATCCTTCAGCGCTTTCCTGAGACCATCTTTGAATCAGATCCAGGCAAACTAACTCTTGCTGACTGCTAAATTATATTGAAAAGCTCTCTGATCTCTCACTTTATAGGTTTCACCTGATAACAAAGTAAGCAAGCATTTTCCAAACTATATCCCATGGAGTTTCAAGTGTTTCCTGAAAGAAAAATTTCTACATCAAAATAATTTTCAGAATTCTGAACACAGTATCTCCCTCATAGAGAGTCACATGTATTTTAGGATATTAAAAGTTCTGAGGAATCCAGCAATAAGGGAATCCAGTTACATTTGTTTAATTCAATGATTGCTAAACTTATCTGACCATTGGACCCTGACCGAATCGACTAATAAAATCTCTTGGAACTTCATTCATCATAATTGAATAGACAGTGATCCAGCAGATGAGATCATCATTAAAATTCTGTAGACCAATCAGAACAATCAACTTTATTTCATTTTCTCATGGGTTCTGCTTATCTGTTCATTTATAAAGTATTTATTCAGAGCAATTTATATGACCCATATAGTAATGTTACCGGATAATATGTAAATAAATAGAAAATACACGCATCCAGCCATTTGGGGAGGAAGGGAAATTAGACAAGAAATAAATACTACAATTACTAATAGTAGCAAGTGCTATGATGAAAATGAAGAGTAAAAAAACATGGTCAGAAAAGACCTGAATTGGGGCCTAGCCTTGAAGAATTAAATGATGTCAACCATGAGAAAGCTAGGATCAAAGGCTCATAGCAAAACAACTAAAGCTGTGTGCCCTTGGAATACTACTTTTGTTTTTCACACAATAATGAAAGAAACTTCTTAAATTCAAGAAAGTGCCTTCTTCTTATTCTACCATTCTAAAAATAAAACGTGGGATATTACCTTCAATATAAGTTCCTTACATTATCCTGCATTTTTTTTTCTCATACTGGTCATTAAGTATATTTCCTGTTCCATAAGCATCTACTTTGATTGTCTATGGTAAATGAGGGCAAAGACCACGTCTGTCCTATTCCCTATCCTGCCATATATTAGACACTAAAAAACTATTTGTTCCATGAATAAAATATTTACCTAGCCAGGTACAGTAGCTCACGACTGTAATCCCAGCACTTTGGGAAGCCAAGGTGGGAGGATCACGAGGTCAAGAGATGAGAATATCCTGGCCAACATGGTGAAACCCCGTCTCTACTAAAAATACAAAAATTAGCTGGGCGTGCTGGCGCACACCTGTAGTTCCAGCTAGTAGGGAGGCTGAGGCAGGAAAACTGCTTGAACCCAGGAGGCTGAGGTTGCAGTGAGCCAAGATAGCACCACTGCACTCCAACCAGGTGACAGAGCGAGACTCTGTCTCAAAAAATAAATAAATAAATAAATAAATAAATATTAAAAATAAAAATAAATTAAAGTAAAAAATGTACAAATAATTGCCTTGTTCCTCAAGAAGGAATCAGGGCAACCCATCACAGAACCTACTACAAATATCTTCCTTTGGGTAATATAATCTTTATGTCCAGAGTATTTATTGTACTTTGTTTTTAACTACAAAAACTTTTAGGTGTCATTAATTTGGCACACACAGTCTGAATAGATACAAAGGTTCTTTACATTATTCTGTATCTAATAATAGTGGGTTGGAGAGTAGGGAGATGTTGATCAAAACATACAAAATTTTAGTTAGACAGAAGGAATAAATTTAAGAGATCTATTGTACAAAATGGCAACTTTATTAATAACAATTCACTGTATTCTTGATAATTGCTAACAGTAGACTTTAACTGTTCTTACCAAGAAAAAGTATGTGACTGTGTGAGGTAATGCATATGTTAATTAGCTTGATTTTACAATGTATACATATTTTAAAACAACATGTTGTATACAATAAATGTATACTTTTTTTACCTGTTGATTAAAATAAATAAAAACTGAACAGAAAATAGATATATATCTAGCAATATTTCAGAAGCTGAGGTGATACTCTTTTATTTAATTAGAAAAAAATTTAAGGTGATTAATATGCATCAACAATCATTAGCATAAAATTATACCTGCATTTATGTTATGGCCTAAGTTCTCTCTACATAAGACTATAACATTATTCAAAGAAGGACCACAGGGGAGGCAACACCTTTTTTTCGACCCATCTTAGGTTCAGGCCAGGGCTCTGTAACTCTGACTGCCAAAAGACAGATGAACAGGAGAAAGGCATACACACTTTACTTAGTAATTTTCACATATGCTTGGGAGCCCTCACAAGAGAAATGAAGACCCAAAGAAGCAGTTAGAGTCAAAAGCTTACATACCAGGCAGGACAAAGGGTAGTAAATTGTGAAAACACAGACTAGAAAAGGGTTTGGGCTGGGGCAGTTAATTGTGGAAAAGTAACTAGAAAGATAATGGTTGGTTTAGCAAGAGTTGTTTGTATGGATTTCTCTCACCTTGACCCCCCATCTCCGATGATAAGAATACCTTCCTTCTTCCTGGCACAGAGGGGACACACCTTTCACAGGAGAGTTTTGTCTCCTGCTTTCAGGAAGAAAACGGAAAGTCAGAATGCCCTTTTTGAATCTGCTATTTTTTTTTTAATGCCATTAACTCAAAATACTTCTTACGTCAAAGTAGCATATTTTGGGATGGCATTTCTGCTGCCCTATGGAACCAATGATGGAACAAGACTCATGTTTTGGAGAGAAAGGAGGGATAATCATAAAAATAATGTAACTCTGAGTAATTTTAAAATTGTAATTTCAAGGAAAACAAAGACGAACATTAAAAAAAATAGAAGAGGAAACTTAATAAGAAAACCAGATGACTTTAAGCTAAGAAAACTCTAAAGAGACCATTTGGGCCCTTTTGTTGAACGGTTCTCCTGACACAGTGAGTGCTTCTGAGCCATGGTCTGAGGTTGCAGCAACTCTGTTGGTAAAGACTTTTTTAGACTAATTTGCTTGACTCACACTTCACAGGAAGGAGCCCTCTCAGATCCTCTGAATAAAAGAAACCTGATAATGTCTTGACTCTGTTAAACAGACTGCCATCTCCCCAGAATGGGGTTTTGTAACACAACTGTCATCTCTAAATCTTCAACAGCCTTCCGGATAAGGAGGGCTTGGGAAACCGAGGCAGAGATGTGATGCATGTAAGGATGGCTCTGACTAGGATGTGACCAGGAGAGGCTGAAGCAGTGTGGTGGGTTTGGTGTTTTGTCATTGCTGTCTTCTTTTTTAGATTTCCACAAAATTCACTGTAACTCACAGGGTAGGAAAGCAAATAGGGACATGGGGTCATAAATAAAGTATTTGCAAACTGCTAAAGCCATGCATGAGCAGATGCTTGATTGAGGCACAGACACAGACAGGGCAAGGAGAATATTGACTGTGTTTATGTTGCCTTGAAAACTAACCTAAGGTATTCACAGCCAATTTCTGCAACATTTCTCCTCAGCCAAGTAACCAAGTGAATAATCAAAGAATGAATGAATGCTTTGTGGAAATGATGTCTAATAATTAGCAAATCACTCAGCCATATTATAATTAAACTATACTAACTGATTTAAATGCTGTCATTTTGTAAAATCTAACAAAAGTAAAGCAAACATGTTTGTGAAACCAGCCCAATTATCCCATAGAAATGATATTTAGATTTTTGAATAAACATAGTGATTGACCCTCCTGGTCTCAAAGTTTGAAATTCATGTGTGTGACATCTGAGTTCCTCCCTCAGGAAACTGATCCTCAGGCCAGGGACTAAACCTCACCAGATCACCACATCCAGACAATGATACACCAGACCTCATTCCCTATGATTGCTTCCTTACCCCTCCTTAATTCTTATTTTACATTCCTTCCTCACTATATAAACTCCCCAATTTTAGTTGGTTGGGGTGATGGATTTGAGACTGATTTGTTCTCCTCAGCTGCAGCACCTGGTTAAAGTCTTCTTTCCTGGCAATACTTATTGTCTCAGTGATTGGCTTTTTGTGAGGCAAGCAATGGGCCCTAAACCAAATCCCTGACATTTGGGTAACATTTGGGATTTTTTTTAAGTTGCTATAAAATAGACAGAAATAATTCTGACAAATATCCTAGGCCCAGAGCTACTTTTTTGGTTGTGTGAATGTGTGTATATATGTGTATATTTGTATATTTTATATGTATAATTGTATATATTATATATGTGTATGTGCATATATGTGTGTATGTTTGTATAATTTAATGATCCCTCAGACACTGTTGTGGCATTCTACGTGGCTAAAATGACATATGATTTGTGCATTCTTTTGCCTTCACCTGTACCACATGTTGTGGTCACCATCTTATCCCTGAATACCATGAGATCCACAGTTGGAGTGCAGATGTAAGATTTCAAGTGCATTTAGATAGCAATATGTCCTGGAAACCCAGAAATGAACAAGTGCATTCTTAAAAATCATCTGCCCTCCTGACATGCCTCTTTAGGGAAGTCTATATAAGAAACTAAATCTGACTCAAAGTATGACTCAGTCATTCCAGTAGCTGAGTCAGTAACTCCCAGTAGTTGTCCCCCACACAGCAAGGCTGGCTGTTAACAACTGTGCTGAGCACACAGCTTAGACCCTGAAGACTAAGTGTGGTCATTCACTACCTCCTTCTAAACCTGACTCTTAGAGTTTACCAAGGGCATTTATTTCTGCAAAGAGAGAGATAATGGCTGACCTGCCCAAGGTGAGCCAGTCCGGCCCTGACTAGTCCTCTCACCTGTGACAGCTTAAAGAGAGAAAGCAGGAGAGACAGGCCTTGGAGAGAACTAGAAAACCTCCTTGCATTATTTAACATATAACAACTCCAATAGCCAGTTTTAAAAGTGGCTTGGAATACCCACTTTGGGCCTAACATTTTTCTCCATTAGGAAAGCTGGTAAAATGCATGTGCTTGCACAGGAAAAGGACAGGAAAGATTTACAAATAAAATATTTAAAGTGGCTCTCTTTTGGTGTTGGGGTTATGTTTACATTTCATATGTTTTGTACTTTTCTGTATTTTCCCAGTGGACATATATCATTTTTATAATCAGAAAAAAAACTTTTAAAAAATGCTGCCTTTTAATATTGGTTTTGGCTTTTAGTCCATGGTCATGTGAAAATGATAGTCTACAAATTTCAGGAAACATATTATGGCTTTTTTACTGGAGTTTTTACTTTTGATTTGGCAAGAAAAAATTAATTCTTTAGTTCAGTATTGTTAATGTAAATCACTCATAGGTACATGAGTTCAAATTTTTTAGTCATATCAGTAGTTCCTGGTTATGTTAACAAAAAGTAGTCTAATTTTAAAATATTTTCCTGGAAATAAGAAAAAGAATTCAAAATTCATTTTTTTTATTCATTCCAGCATTGAACTTATTTATTGGCTACTATACGCAGAGTTTACAGAAATGAGCAAAACACAGTCCCAAACTCAAGGCATTCACAATCTAGTGGGAAAGACCCACAAATTGACAATCATAAATAATTACAAACATATACATCTACACACACACATAACGTTAGAGAAAAACTAAAAATAACTCTTTCCAGGGGAGATAGTGTTTGAGTCTTGAAAACCAAACAAGAGGTAAGTCAGCATTCCAGAAGGGAACACAGGGAAAGAGCTGCAGAGTGCAAGTAATAGTATTTGCAAAGTCATGAATCTGTGAAATACTTAGGGCATTCACTACATTTCCACTAACTCAGACTGGTTGGAATATGGAATATATGAGTATGACAGAAGGTGAGCATGGGATGTGGATCACATAGGTTTTATAAATTCACTTCGAAGAGATACAATTTAACTCTTTGAGCAATGGGAAGCCAGTAAACATTTTAAAACTTACAAATGTCAAAGTCACTTTCAACTCAATATATCCAAACCCAGTACATCTAGTTTCCCTCCAAACCTAGCTCTCACCTGGTGCTGCATATTCTGGTGACTGTTGCCATCATCTGTGGTATTTCATAAACCAGAAATATATGCAGCATTTTTGACATGAAATCTCAATCCCCATACTTACTCTGTCAACAGATCACTACTAAAATATCTCTCCAGTCCCTCAGTTTACCTCCTTTTCAACAGTCACCACCCCAGTCCAAGTTTCTAGTACTTCTCATCTAGATTATGTTGATAAAGTACTAGCTGGTCTTCCCACATCTCTGGTTTTCCTCCAAGCTGATATTCACATTGAAGCAAAAGCTAGTAAAAAGTGCAAATCTTATTCCTTCTTTACCGTATTTAAAACCTGTTACTTTGCAATGCTCTTATGATGAAAACTAAGGACCTTAAAAAGTGCCTGTAATAATTTGCATAACTTGGCCCTTGCTGGCTTTCCCAACTCTTCTCCCCTCACTCTCTGGGCTACGGCCATGCTGGTCTTGTCTCAGCTCCTCAAATATATGCTGGGCCCCCACCCCAACGCTGTTGCACTTGCTGCCTTCTCTATCTAGATTAACCTATCTACCCTCCATAGTTTCCACCTCTCTCCTCCATTGTCACTTCCTCAGGCTAACCTTTTCTGACATCTCCAGTAGGTCACATACTTTTGTTACATATTTACGTGTTCTTCAGTGTAATTATTAGTACTTGACTGTGTGTCTTTGCCATTGAACTTTCTTTTTATCATTATTGTATTTCTGGCATCTAATGATGCTCAACAAATCTTTTTGAGTAAATGAAGATGACATTAACAATTTGTGTTTTAAAAAGTTATTTTTGATAGGAATATGAAAAAAACGAATTTGCGTGAACATGATTAAAAGTAAGGATCGAATTAAGAGATAAGTTTGATAATCAGACTTGAGATGGTGGAGGTTTGAACAAAACATGGAAGTAAGATTAGAGAGAAGAAGGCAGATCTGAGCCCTATCAAATAGAAGCATCATCTTACGTAACTAAGATTTCCTTCTGAAATCAGAAAATAACCTATCAGTTTATAGAAATTGCTGGATGGCTGTCACAGTATTTAGATGCTTCTAGGTCTTTGGGCCAGGAACTTTTCTTTATAGCAGAAAGTTTAATTGATTGTTGATGCATAGGTTATTTTAAACAAGTACAAAGAGGTATCCTAAGATAAATATAAGTCGTTTCTATTTTAGGAAGGGGTCAGTGGGGAAGTGAGAGAGATCCCAGAATACATGTATTTCAAAAAGTTTCCTATGTGAAATTGACATAACCTTTACTTCTACTTCCACCCTTGTTATTGGCCCCTGATATAAGCTCTTTGCCTTGACTCCATTAGGGATGGGAGATGAGTAGTACCATGATGCTACCCTACAGCTTCAAAAGCCTGTCAACTCTGAGCAATCAGAGCTTTTTATGTTGTAAAGAGCTTATGCTAGATGAATAGAATACAATTTTGGCTCATCTATGCATGAGATGCCTTAGAAAAAACTTAGTCACTGTGGTGTAGTCTTAGGCCACAATGAATTTCTGAGAGAATACGGCAGTGCCATAATCTATTTCAAAGCACTTGGAACGGAAAAGTCCTCTTTCTAATTTTCAAGGAAGAATTTGAAGAGTTGAATGTGGCAATGCCATGTTTGCTCTTTCAACCTCCAAATGTATCCATTCAGCTCCTACACATAAAACTCTAGGAATCTTCAGTGTGCTTTGTCACCCATGAATGTGCCTATTAAAAGACATTTGCAGAAATTTCTCTTTCAGTTAGTGTGCTTCCCTGTGAATGGGCTCATCTTTTTAAATGTGGAAAAACATTAGGGCCATTCAGCGTCCTCTGCAAGATGTCTATTAGGGATGCAAATGTGCAGATATGGACAAAAATAGTAGTCCCACTTGTAAAACATCGAGTTTGGGAAATTTAACTTAGAGAGAAAGCACTGCTACTTTCCATTTGAGCAAAATTTTTTAATTCTTTGTATCTACATATTCTCAGACTTCATTTCCTCTCCACTCCTCAGATATGGTCATACATTTAGTCCTTGGCATTCTAACTTTCTTGTTCTACATTTTTTTATCACAAAATTCTCATACAAATTCTTAGCTTCACTATTTACATCTGCTACTCTGAGATTTAGTCCAACACCTCCAACTGCCTGCTAGACAATTCTACTTAAACTTAAGATGTCATAAGCCAAGCTCATCATCTTTCACCTACCCCACCCACAGAGACATTATCAGTGCAATAGACTAGATGTCAGCCTTCACTTAACACTTTCTGTGTTGACTGGTTCAAATGGTAATCGAGTGCTGTTGGCCCTTACCATGCCTACTATTTCACAAACCTATCCTTATCCATCAACATTCCTTTAATCTTACCCACCAATTGTGTCTCTGCTGACACCACAGTTCATGGATTTTTTTGCTCTTTAACCTGAACCAGGCTCTCAGTACTGCTCATCAACATTTTGTTTATTTGTAGTTGAATTGCTCTTTAAATCCTCACCGCAGCTGTTGCTCACATCCTCCCGTGGCCCGACACCCTCATCTCCACAGTCAAGCCAGGCTACATATCACAAGCTCTCTAAGCTTGCGTATGCTCCTTCTCCAATGTATGTTGTTATATTTGTATCTGTTACTTTTTATTTCCAAACACATATTTTACATTTTGCCCAGTATAACCATTTCCCAGTGTCCTGAACCCAGTTTTATTCATTTTCCCTGGCAATTTATTTCATCATTCATCCTCCATAGTTCCTTCATTTCTGTTCACATAATATCCATTGGCATTTTTTCTCTCATCTACCAATATATATAGTTATAACATTTTCTTAAAAATAAATTTAGAAATACCTGTGTTTCCTCTTCTAGCTGCTGTACTAGCTCTATCTTCCATTTCTTGGGAAATGTCTATAATCAAATTATTTCTGTATACTTTTAATCCTGATTTCTTCTCTACCTACTTAATGATTTGGCAGTGCATGATCAGCCATTACACTGCTAATAAAATCACACTTTCAGGGTCATCAGTAACCTCCTTATTACCAAACTCAGTAACCCTTTTCAGTCTTCCTCTTCCCTGACTACCCTGCATTATCTAACATTTAACTCTTTTCTCTTCATTATCTCTCTTGCCTAATTTCCATGAGATTACACTTACCACTAAGCAGATACTCTCCTTAACTTTGTGACAAATCTTTTTAGTCCTTTATTGGCTCCTCAATAGTCTACCTCCACAGCTCCTCAGGCTTCTCTCCATGTCCTTTTATTTTCCTTCATCTTCAATACATTCTTCCTTGTTATTTTTATTATTATTATTATTATTATTTTTGAGACAGAATCTCACTCTGTCACCAGGCTGGAGTGCAGTGGCATGATCTCAGCTCACTGCAACCTCTGCCTCCCAGGCTCAAGGGATTATCCTGCCTCAGCCTCCCGAGTAGCTGGGATTACAGGTGCAGGCCACCACGCCCAGCTAATTTTTTGTATTTTTTTTTTTTTTTTTTTTTTTTTGAGACGGAGTCTCGCTCTGTCGCCCAGGCTGGAGTGCAGTGGCGCAATCTCGGCTTACTGCAAGCTCCACCTCCTGGGTTCACGCCATTCTCCTCCCTCAGCCTCCCGAGTAGCTGGGACTACAGGCACTCACCACCACGCCCAGCTAATTTTTTTTGTATTTTTAGTAGAGACAGGGTTTCACCATGTTAGCCAGGATGGTCTCAATCTCCTGACCTTGTGATCCACTCTCCTTGGCCTCCCAAAGTGCTGGGATTACAGGTGTGAGCCACTGCGCCTGGCCAATTTTTTGTATCTTTAGTAGAGACAGGGTTTCACTATGTTGGCCAGGCTGGTCTTGAACTCCTGACCTCAGGCGATCCACCAGCCTCAGCCTCCCAAAGTGCTGGGATTACAGGCGAGAGCCACCACGCCCAGACCCTTATTAATTTTTTCTGTTGCTATTGCCTTTGCTTCAGTGCTCATTTCTTAGAAATGGATCTCAAATTTTGTATTTCCAGTTTCAATGCCCAACCCTCTTCCTACACTTGAGGCAATTATTCATTACCACCATATTTTCCCAAATTCTACACTTAAATAAATCTCATTGTCTTCAACTAAATGCCTCTACCTCCTGCATTCCTTTTGTTTTTCATTTTTTTCAGTTCTCCATATACTAAGTGTATTCATTCCACATTTATTCTGCTCATGCTGTGTCAGTTTAAGGATTCAAACAGAAAACTAGAAACCACTAAAAATACTTTAAACAGAAAGAACTTTCTGCAGGAAATTGGTTCACAGGTGATGGAAGACCTGAAAAGCAAGACAGGATGTCTCAGTCTATTTCTGCTGCTATAATGAAATTCAGCAGAATGGGTAATTTGTAAATAATAGAAATTTATTTTCCACTTTTCCTAAGGCTGGGAAATCTAAGATCAAGGCAAGTTCAGTGTCTGGTGAGGGCTGGGTCTCTCTGTTTCCAAGATGGTATCTTGGAAACACTTTGTCCTCCAGAGGTGAAAAACGCAGTGTCCCTACATGGTGGAAGGTGGAAGGTAGAAGGTCAAAGGGGGCCTAAGCTAGTTCCCTCCAGCCCTTTTATAAGGCACTAATCCCTTGCTCAGAGCAGAGCCCTCAGGACTTAATCACATCCCAAAAGATCCCATCTCTTTGACCACCACAGTGGTGATCAAGTTCCAATACATGAATTTTGGGGGGACATTTAGATCATAGCACAAGGGATGGTGAGGCAACACATAGATTAGCAAATGCTAATCTTAGCTAGAAGGATGAGGAGAGGAAGTTTTGTAGAAAGCTCAAGATTTAAGTTCACTCAGAAGAAACTGGAACTATGCCAGAAGCTATAGCAACAGGAAAGATGCAGCTGTTCCCAGAGAAGCTGTTCAAGTCAGGAAGAGAGGGTGAGAAGTACCCTAGATTCTTACTTCTTCTTGTCCACCAGTCTCCCCTGGTGCCTCCTACTGACCAAACCAATCTGGAAGCCAGTGGTGATCATAACCTGGGAAATGCAATCTACAGAATTCATCCCTCCCTTCCTCCCTACCCAACTCTGCTATATGGACCAGAGTCAGAGGAGAGTGAAGACAGGATGTGACAGCAAAATAGGCCAAAAATGGATTATTCTGTATCCATTTTTACTATTCAGCCATCTTTTCCTCTCATGCAATACCACCAAGCTTCCACCTAATACGTTGTAAGTATTCTTTGTAGAAAGTTCTTCCCGTGTGCTCCTAAAGAAAGGAGATACAAACCTCTGTGTCTGTCCCTATGTCTATCTCAATAACTCAGGGACTCCTCATGATATGCAGTTATCTACATCTATTTCAGATGTAATTTCTCATTGGCCTAGCGACTGTGAAACTCAACTGTAAAGTTAAGCACAGCCAACATCCCTTTTATTAAAAAGTAGAGGAAAGAAAAAGAGGAAAACATAATGTCCTTAGCAGCCTCAGTCCCCATTTATGTAACTGATGCCAAGACCATAGCTAATATTTTTTAATATAAAAGCTTTTCTGAGATGTAATTCATATACTGTACAATTCATCAATTCAAAATATGTAATTCAATGGCTTTTATTATAGTCAGAGTTGTGCAGCTATCACCATAGTTTTAGAAGATGTTCATCACCCCCAAAACAAACTCTGTGCTCATTAACAGTCACACTCCATTGTTGAAGATCCCCCGTCTCATTTCTTTGAAGATCAGTTCAAGACTTAGCCACCTAGGCTTTCGGGCTCTTCTCCAGATTCTGAAATCTGTAGCATTTACTGTCTGGACAATTCATTTGGATTCCCCCTAGAGCCATTCATCTTTTTATGTATGTGCTCTGTCTCTCCAATTAGATTATAAGCTCTTAAGAAAAAGACCCTTGTCTTGATTGAAGAGATAGAAAAAATATTTAGAAATGTAGCTCCTTCATCGAATTTAATCCTTTTTCATTTGTGTTTGATTAATTCATATTACTGCACACTCTTCTCCTAACAGAGATTTTCTTGCTTAATCATTTTCCCAGAGAAAATAATTCAAAACTGCCGGAACAGACTTAAACAGAAAATTTAAGGTGTTCATTAAAATGCAAAAATGGAACAGATTAGAAAAAAAAACATCAGAAATCACTTGTTATTCTCATCTACTGTGAATATGCATTTAAGATGTGCTGGAAATGCTGGTTTTTCTTTTATTCCAGTATTAAAATAGTGCCCATTCACTGTCGTATATAACAAAGCATGATATTAACTAATGGGGAAATAAAACACATTCATTTCTTCTAATAAATACTAAATTTGCAAGTTAAAGTTGGTGTTAGATCTAGCACACTTGTAATCAATTCTTTCAAATGTATAAATATTTATATATGTTTTTAAATATGTGTAAGGATATCTTGAAGTGTTTCTTATGAACTGGAACACATGTACCTGTTGTTTATGGTTTTCTTTTTCCTCTCCTCTCTTCCCTTCCTTCATTGTTTTCTCATCCTTTTCTTTTTTTTTTTTTTTCTTATATCCTCTTGCTTCTTCCATTTCTCTTAGGAAGACATTGGTACAACTTCTTATACTTGTTAGGAGCAATCTTGAAAAGCTAAGAAAATTAAAATAACTGAGTAAGAGGAAGTTCTTATAAAATTAGTGTGAAGTTTTTTTCCCTCTCTAAATCTTATGGTCACCATGAAAATAGCAACAGGTCATGTATCCTTTATATTACACTCTAAAATGAATACTTACCTTGAAAACTATTTTGAAATATACCAAAAATTTTACATTAGACTGCATCAGGTAACATTTTTATAGTGCTTATTTTGTGTGTGGAATTGCATAAATGGTTGAGAATGTTTTATAATGTACTAGAGAAAGACATAAAAAGAAAATAATCACAAGGCAGTGAGGAAAAGATGTATAAAATGTGATAGGAGCACTGAGCCTGGTCATTCAGTTTACAAGTAATTATGAATGCCCAGTTTGTGCAAGGTACTGCTCTAGGTGCTGGGGATACCAAGTATTTTCCTTCAAGCAATTCATGGTTAATACATAGTGACCTTACAGTGTGATAATCCACCTGAAATTTAAAGGTGAATACAGACTGTTATGTGGAAACCAGAGAAGGAAGTCAGGACAGGGAAAGGAATTTCAGGAGTGTCAAGAAAACTTTTGAAAAGAATTTACTTCAGACTGGGATCTTGCACAATGAATAGAAGTAGAACATACTCTACCTTGTAGAAAAAACAAAACAAAACAAAAAAAACACAAAAAAACGGTGCGTGGAGATGAAAAGGACAAGAAAAGGGCATCCCATGCAGAAGGGACGGCACAAGATTGTCTTCATCTACTGAGGCTGCTTTAACAAAGTACCATGAACTGGGTCACAACAGAAATTTATTTCTCACAGTTCTGGAGGCTGGGAAGTTCAAGATCAAGGTGATGATAGACTGGGAGTCTGGGAAGGTCCTCTTGCTAGTTCAAAGATGGCCATCTTCTCACCGCGTCCTCACATGGTGGAAAGAGTGAATAAGCTCCCTTGGACTTCTTTTATAAAGGGACTAATACCATTCATGAGGGCTCTACCGTCCCGACCTCATCACCTCCCTAAGGCCCCCAGCTCCTAATTCATAGGATTTTAACATATGAATGGGGGGCAGGCACAAACATTCAGACCATAGCAATGACCCGTATAAAGAACCAAGTATTGTCTTTCAATGACCACAGATTGGTATCTCTGAATTTCCAGGTGCTCCTGAGGAATTCGCAGGAGACAAGACTGGGAGGCAAGCAAGCAAGAACCAAGCCATTGAACTTTTTGTGCCATGCTAAAGTCATCAGATTTCATTCTGAACACAATAGGAAGCCATTAAGAAATTGTTAAGTAACATTACTATCAGGTTTACGTTTTAGAAAAATTAGTCTACTCCAGTGACAGGATATGCTGGCCAGCTGAATGTTGGAAGAAAAGTATTGAGGATAGAAGGAGATTCGTGAAGAATCCCCATTGCCGTTCTACAGGTGGGAAAGTATAAGGGTCTGAACTGAGGCTCTGGCAGTGGGGATGCAGAAGAGAGTAAGAAGAATAGAGAAAGTTAGTTTAGAAACAATAGTACTTATTACTTTTTTATTGTATAGAGAGGAGAGAAGAGGAAAAATTATTGTGGCTTGTGCAGCTTATAAGGAACTAGGCAGAGGAATATTTGAAGAGGAAGAAATGAGTTAAATTTTGAACATACTGTGCTTACCATTCTAAGATAACATTAAAATATTCAGGAGGCAAGCCAGGCACAGTGGCTCACACCTGTAATCCCAGCCTTTGGAAGATCAAGGCAAGCGGATCACCTGAGACCAGGAGTTTGAGAGCAGCCTGGCCAACATGGTGAAACCCCATCTCTACTAAAAATACAAAAAATCAGTTGGGTGTGGTGGCAGGCACCTGTAATCCCAGCTACTCGGGAGGCTGAGGCAGAAGAATCTCTTGAACCTGGGAGGTGGAGGTTGCAGTGAGCCGAGATTGTGCCATTGCACTCCAGCCTAGGTGACAAGAGTGAAACTCTATCTCAAGAAAAAAAAAAAAATTCAGGAGGCAATTGGAGGTATGAGTTGATGTTTGAGGAAAGAGGTCAGTGTTGGCTGTGTGTATGTGCGACACAGAAAGGGTGTGAGGGGAGAGATACAAAGTTAGGAGGGAAGAGAAGTCTTGGACCAAAAGGAACTCCAGTACTTAAGCATCCTGCAGATGAAGAGAGAAGTCATAAATGGCAGACAAGCAGCTGGAAGGAAAACCAGAGAGTGCTAGAACCACAAGAGCAGTTTTGAAAAGGAGTAGGCAACCGTGTCAAATACAACAAAGATATATGCACATTTATTTCTTTATACTTTTCCATTGTCTAAAAGTTTTCTAACCTTAGTTTTTATTTTAATAGATAGAAAATCTCATACATAACCAACATCACTCCATCTTTACTCCAGCCTGAAAATTACTTCATTAGAAAAAATTTCTATTTTTAAAGCCCTGCGGGATGACCAAATTTGTGTTTCAGAAGGTCATTCTAACTGAAAGTAGTTTAGAGGCTCTAGTAATAGTTTCAGAGATGACAGAGAGAAAGGGATGAATTCAGGCAATATATTTATTATTGAATTGATGGAATTCTATATTTAAATCAGAAAGGAAAAGTGAAGGAGATGAGAGAGTCATGGTTAATTTAGAGGTATCAGGGCTGAGCATCTAGACAAAAGATGGCCCTATCCGAGAGGTTTTAAAAACTAGGTACTGAATCGGGAAAGGTGTATTAGCCAGGGTTCTGCAGAAAACAGAATCAATGGAGTTTAAAGAGATATATAAGAGGAAATTCATTATGGAAATTGTCTCACAAGATTATGGAGACCCTGAAGTCCTACAATATACAAGCTGGAGAACAAAAAAAGCCAGTGGAGTAATTGAGTCTGAGACTAAAAGCCTGAGAACCAGTGAGTGTGGTGAGTGTTAGGGGATGCTGGTATAGGTTTTGAAGCCTGAAGACCCAAAAACCAGGAGTTCTGATGTTCAAAGTCAGGAGAATATGGAAGCCCTGGTTTAAGAAGACTGAGTAAATTCACCCTTTCTCCACTTTTTCATTCTATTTGGGCCATCAAAAGATTTGACAATGCCTACCCACATTGGTGAGGGTGATCTTCTTTTCTCAGTCTACTGATTCAAATGCTAATTTTTTCTAGAATTACCCTCCTAGACACACCCATAAATAATGTTTACCAGCCGTCGTGTCATCCCACAGCCTGCTCAAGCTGATACATAAAATTAACCATTATGGAAGGGACAAGTAGTAGATAACAAAAGGCAATCCAATGTATTCTCCTAAGTAGTGTATTCTTTTTGCTTCCATTCTAGACAAAACTCTGGTGGTGATTGGTGCTACTTATTAAATATTTCCTGCTCTCCATCTCCCTGACATGCAGTTGAATTGCACTTCTTCTCCTACTTCTAAATGAGTGCACCTTGTGATGAGTTTTAGCCAACAAATTGTGAGCAAAAGGAACTTGGGCCACTTGAACACCAGAGCACTTTCTTGCTAATATGAGGCCCTCCACAGCTGTCTTCCCTGTGACACTGTAACTGTCCTTGTTTGAGTTGATAGCTGGACAGGGAGCCTGGGTTCTTGAACGAGGACAATGAGCAGAATTCCTCTTCCTGACCCACAATGGACACATTTCATGAGCACGAATTAAACTTTTGTTGTTTAAAACCGTGAAAACTTGGAGAAGTTATCTCAGCATAACCTAGTCTTTCCTGACAAATATATGCTCCCTGGATAATTTCATAATCTCCCTTATCTTCAGTTGCTATTTATGCACTGATGAATCCAGATCCACTGCTCCAGCTCTCACTCCTGAAATCCAGACCCTTATTTCTAGAACTACCTGTAGAATGTCACAAATGTTTCAAATTGACCAGTCTAAAATAAACTCATCAGTAGTGACTGCATTTTTCCTGAGCACTAACTCTGTCCCAGGTACTTGTCATAACTTTTATATAAATTATATCGTTTCATTCACAGGATAACCCCAAGAGCCAGATACTATCTGTATTCCTGTTTCCAACCCTAAATCCCAAGGGGAATAGGAGGTGGTAAAGAAGATGGTGAAAGTACAGCCAGAGAGGTGGAAGGAGAACCAAGACAGGCGAGCAAAGAAGAGAATCACAACTAATAATTAGTAATACAGAGAAGTCAAAGGAGGCAAAATAAAATCATTTTACTGCTTTGGAATTAGGAAATCACTAAAACCTTAGGAAAAACACCCATGATGCAGTGAGGTAAGGTGGAGAGAGTGAATATGGAAAACTCCAGAACTTTGGTGATAATTAGGAGAAGGAAGGAGACAAGATATTAGCTGGAAGTGGGCTCAGGATTTAAAGATTTAGTTTGGGAATTGTTTTTAAAGAGACACAAGCATGTTTATAGGCTAAGATGAGAATGTAAACATAAAAAAGAATGTGAGAATTGTTAATGAGGTAAGCTCCAGAAAGAGCTAGACAGAAATGGAACCATGACACAGTTGTAGGATTTAGAGTTAGGCAAGAAAAGAGCTTTCTATTCTTCTAAAGTTGTTTAAGAAACGGTTATGGTACAGACAGGCTTAGAGGTGCAGTTAGGATTTAAACCAGTTCATGTCTGATGTTCTCAAGAATCTTTGTAAATATGTCAAGGCCATCTGCCCAGAGCTCAAGGAGGATTGGTCACAGGGCATGTTTAAAATGTTTATTTGAACTTATAAAAACAATGAGCTTAAAAAATTCAATACTAAAAATGCAAATTGGAAAACACTTTTTAGAAAATAATAAATCCCATAATGAGTGAAGAGTGAGTGCTGATTCTTTGTCACAGCTAACTTCTATTTAATCATTCGTGAAGCTCTGTGTAGTGTGATGATTGCCGCTTACAAGTAATCTCAAATTTCATTGTTATCCATCATTTTAATTTCCTCTAGGACTAAGCTTTTTACTAGAGCAGTTGACTCTTATTCCTAAAGTGTGATTTAAGTGGCTTTTCTTTTCTTTTTTTTTGACAGAGTCTCACTCTGTAGCCAGGCTGGAGTGCAGTGGCACAATCTTGGCTCACTGCAACTTCCGCCTCCCGGGTTCTAGCGATTCTCCTGCCTCAGCCTCCTGAGTAGCTGGGACTACAGGCCCATGCCACCACGCCCAGCTAATTTTTGTATTTTTAGTAGAGATGGGGTTTCACCATGTTGGCCAGGCTGGTCTCGATCTCCTGACCTCATGATCTGCCAGCCTCAGCCTCCCAAAGTGCTGGGATTACAGGCGTGAGCCACTGTGCCTGGCCTTAAGTGGCTTTTCAAATTAGGAAGAAGACCTGTAAGACAGAAAGAAAATTGACCAGGGAATTAGCAGGCCCTGCCTCCAAACCTAATTCTACTACCAGCTCACTGACACCTCCGAAAACTGCCTCTCTTCTCCACGTATGTAATTACGCATGAATCCACTCCCGGTTCTAATATCCCAGTTCACTCTAATATGGTTTGGCTTTGTGCCCCCACCCAATCTCATCTCGAACTGTAATCCCCACATATCGAGGAAGGGACCCAGTGGGAGGTGATTGCATCATGGAGGTGGTTTCCCTCATGCTGTTCTCATGATAGCAAGTGAGTTCTCATGAGATCTGATGGTTTTGTAAGTGGTGGTTTCCCCTGCTGTCTCTCTCACCTGCCACCATGTAAGACATGCCTGCTTTTCCTTCCACCATAATTGTACATTTCCTGAGGCCTCCCCAGCTGTGCAGAACTGTGAGTCAATTAAACCTCTTTTTTGTATAAATTACCCAGTCTCAGGATGTCTTTATAGCCAGGTGAAAATGAGCTAGTACAACCTCCTTCTATTTCAACTCCTCATCCACCCATATTCATGTATAGCAAGAGGGCTCTTGACCTTTACAAAGAAAGAAGATTCAAGAGAGCAAAGTATTTTGAACAAATCCCAAACTGCAATATCAGTCTGTTAATCAATAACTTGTTCTCTTAAGTATAACTATCCCCTCAATGATCCAGAGCATCATGGATATAAGGACCTTCTGGTGCATGTATTGGCACAGCATAGAAGTCCCTGAGGCTCCCAGTGAGGCATAATAAAATACGTGTGTTTTATGTATGTGTATGTGGCTGTGAGTAGTATGTGGTGTGTGTGTGTGTATAGGTGGTATGTGCATATGATATATGCATTAGTGTGATATTAATGCTATAATAATGCTAATGCTATAATATACTAATACTAATATACTAATGCTATAATAAATAAATCCTACAATATAGTAGCTTAATAAAAAAGATGTTTCTTTCTCTTGTGTCATAGCCCAATGTGAGTGTTGCTGGGTGGTGGAAGTTTGCCTCTTGTGCAGTAATTCAGGGACCCTCACTCCTGCCATCTCATGGCTCTGTATTTCCTCAGATCTCAGGTTTACTGCATCCAGTCAGAAGGATAAAGAGACGGCAGAGAAGGCATGCTCACTTCTAAAACCAGAAATGATACACATCTCTTCCTTTCACATTTTCTTGGTGAGTACTGATCACATGACCACAACTTGAAACAGCTGAGACTGGTAATGGTGGCCCCTGGCAAGGCACCATCTCCAAGCTACAGTATGGAAAGGGAAGTACAAGTATTCATTGGCATCCAGCTATCTCGGCCACAGCCTGCCTCTCTGATATAGCCTTCTTCCCACACATAAAGCACCCACTTTATGCCTCACTGCCTCTCCAAGGATGTTGACCTAAAGTCCCATCCAATCACTGTGCCTGGCGGTGTAGAACATTCTCCATCAGGGACAGATGTGTGTGTTGTCTCATGGGCCACTGACCTATATTCCAATTAAAATTTCTTTTGGGTAGAGGGAAGAATGGGAGCTACTTAGCAGCCGTGGTCTGCAGCCATAAGAAATCTTCGCAGGAAGAAACAATATAGACCCCTTGCCTTAGCAATGGAAGACATCCATTGCTTTGATTCTGCTTTGGCTTTATTTATCTTGTCAATAGTTCTCTGTGGCCCCTGGTTCTGTTCCCTGGGAGTTTTCTATTATCTTTATATTTGAACTAAGCATTGAGAAGTGTTCTCTTTGAAGCCTACATTGCTTTTTCAACCCGTGTTCTGCTGGTGTCATTTGGGAGCCTTCAGGCTGATTTATAAATGCCAGTTTTTAAAAATCTCAGCTTGTGATGACTTTATCAATACAATTTACTAAAAATCTTAATAGATTTCTGATTCAGTTGATTCTATTCACCTCCACGTGCCAGGATCCTTTGACGAACAATTCAGCACTGCTTAATTTCACGGCTTTCTCGCCCTTATGACTCTTTTTCATCTTTTTGGTGGCTCCTTTGTGGCCATCTAAAAATTAGACCAGAGTGGGGAGGAAACATCCTTTATGTGTTCTTTGCTGCAAGAGTAAGGTTCCTGTTTAACTAAAAATTTCAAATGGGTCTTTGTTGTTTGAACTTCTTTCTATTATTATTAATGTCTCAAGTTCAAAAACGTCTGCTTTTTCCAATTCTAAAAGTTCTCAGATTTCAAGATTCTTCAAGTTTCTTTCCAATTATTTCTGCTCCAAGTCTCCAACTCTTGCCTAAGCTTACCTAAACTTTGAGACGCCTGCTCAAAGAACCCAGCTCTTCCTCTAGTTTCCAATGGCTGCCAGGATTCCTTGGCTTCTGGTCCCATGACTCTGGTATCTTTCTCTTCAGCCACATTACCTCCTCCTCGTGTATGTGTGTGTTCCCTCCCTCTCCTTCCTCTTATAAAGATACATGTAGTTGCATTTAGGGCCCACCCAAATAATTCAGTATAGTCTTCCCCATCTCAAGTACCTTAAAGTAATCACATCTGCAAGAACATTTCTCCAGATAAGGTAACATTTACAGGTTCCAGGATTTAGGATCTGACATCCTTTTTTTTTTTTTTTTTTTTCCCTTGAGACAGAGTCTCGCTCTGTCACCCAGGCTGGAGTGCAGTGGCACTATCTCAGCTGACTGCAACCTCCACCTCCTAGGTTCAAGTAATTCTCCTGCCTCAGCCTCCCAAGTAGCTGGGATTACAGGCGCCCTCCACCACACCTGGCTAATTTTTTGTATTTTTAGTACAGATGGAGTTTTGCCATGTTGGCCAGGCTGGTCTCGAACTCCTAGCCTCAAGTGATCCACCCACCTCAGCCTCTCAAAGTGCTGGGATTACAGGCATAAGCCACTGCGCCTGGCTGGACCTGACATCTTGAGGGCCTATTCACCCTACCACCATTAGGGTAGTGGATCATGAGCCACATCTGACACAGGCTATGGGTGGTTGTGTAAGTGTTATGTATGATATGGTATGTTGGGAGGTGTATTATGGAATATGTATTGTGGGGAATGTGTAGGAGATAACCACATTGTGGTACATAGTGGAGTGGGTATCTTTGTGTGTGTGTCATATGTGTGGCATAGAGGTATGTTTGGGCATGTGATATGTGTGCCTGATATTATGCAATGTGTATATTTGTAGCATATTCGAGTGTACTGTGTGGGGGTGTGAATCGTTGTGAATGTGTATGTTTGCTATGTGCCTTGTGTTTGTGCACATGGGTAATGCGTGTATTTGTAATATTGTGTAGCATAAGTGTGTTTGCACCTATGTGAATGCATGCATTTGTGTTTTTGTGTTTTGTGGATGGTTTATGTATACGTGGTATGGCTCTACATGCAGATAGTGTGTGTGAGATGTACATGTGCATAGTATGTGTGTATATGTATTTGTGTGTGTGTGTGTGTGTGTAAGATTCCTTAGAGCCTCACATCAGCATTTGTTTCACTCCCATTATGACTAATATTTGATCATAAAAGCCTAGGAAATGCAGATTTGGCAACAACCAAAACTCATAACTTAAAATGCTGAAAGGAAAGGGAGACTTGGAGCTTCCAACTATGAGGCTCCCAGTCCTAGAATTCCTCTTAAACACAGTTTCCTATTTTCTTCTGCTGCATAAGGGATCTTCTAGCACTCCATGCCTTGGTGCCCCCTTGAGGGCCTTGAGGAATCCATCAGACAAAATTGCTCGCCTCAGCCTCCTACTAAGAACTCTGAGTAAGTGGAGTTGGGGGGATGAAGTATAAACTGTGTCCTAGAGTGAAATAGACAATGTCATCCCAAACTTGTGGCTATCTTATTAAGAGCAATGTGAAGGAGGGGGTTGGAGCTCTGGAGGGAGGGGAATGGGGAAGACACTTGTTCCTTGCTCTGTCAACTCTACTTTGGCAAAGCAAGGAAGAGCCAGGATTTTCATATACATGAGGTTGTCTTTGTTGTAGCATCTTGTCAAATAAATTGAGTCTTTAATGTGCAGTGTGTTTCCCACCCCCTCCCAAACGTTCACTTTCAAGGAGACACAGTATCAAAGGATGGCACGCACTCAATTTCACGAACCAATAAACACAGCTTTTGCATTAATTACCATTTTCAGCTCCTTGGAAAACCGTGATGAGAGTTATCAGGAAGATGTTCATTATTGCCAGCCTTTATCTGATGGAAATAGAAATCCGGCTTGTCACAAAGTGAAGATCCCCAAATGAAAACCAGCTATCACTTGTGGGAACAGGTCTGGCTGCCCTCAGATAGTTTTTCAACATTTTATTAGCAACACTGGGCTACAGGTAAAACTTCTTTCTGCAGCCCTCTCTTCACTGACTGCCTGGCTCAAAAGGATGTCAGCATTTCCAGTTCTAGCCTTGCTACTCTGTTCAACCCTCTGCTGGTCAAGACCATACTATGTGACTCTGTGTCTTGGTCCATCAGTGGACAATCCAGGCAAGGTATCCATCTTGCCCAGGCTGGATCAGTCAGAGTCTCTCTCCTATACCTTATTGTGAGGCCTGGGGACTGATTTTTACCAGAACTGAGTTGAGTTCATGAGTTGGACTACAGAAGACATTAATTTCTGCTGCTGAAACCCCAGAGTTGTACAAGGACCTTTTCTTCCACCCGGAGTTTGGAAGGAACTCCAAATTCTCCCTGTACTTTAACAAATTTCCGTAGTATCTTTCCAATGAATTCCTTTTTTCTTTAAGCTCAGAAGGGTTGGTTTATGTTTCTTGCAACCCAAAGAATTCAAATTAATATTTCCTTTGGGATGCAGCTTAGAAACCAACGAGCTAATCATATTTTCAGCATGTTGCTGAAAATGAACCCTAAATCCTCCTGGAGAACAGCCTCAACATTTTTAGTAGCTATATTTCCTCCCTCACTCTCTCCTCACTTCCCCCAGATTCTAAAAAAATCTTTAAGGGACTTGAGAATTTGTCACACTCTACCCAGGGACTTGACCTGCTTCTTACCAAAGTGTGGTTAGAACTAGGGACATTCTGGAAGGGAAACTAGAAAGCGGGATTAGAGAGACTCCATTTTTAAGTACCCAGAAGCTTCCCCTGATACCCTTTCAGGCAGCTTTATAGAAAATTCCCCTGGAACCTCAGGCAGTGGATTCCAGCAAGTTCTGCAAGCTTGGCACCGCAGTGAGCTCTTTGCCATCCGGTGAGCCACAGCCCTGAAGGGCTCCTTTTCAATGGCATCTAGAGCTCAGCCCTGTAGAGGTCATTTCTTTGGGCTGTCTATCTCAGCCCTAGGGGCAGTGGCTGATCTTCACATCTATTATTCCTGCGTTCTACAGAGTTCTCTTCATATCCTATTAGCCAATCCCTCATTGCATCAATCCCCTGTCATAGTTTATAATTTTATACTAAACTTCTCCTTTAAAAATTCCTGCATAGCTTCTGTCTCCTAGATAGACCCTGACTGGCTGATATAGTTAGTATCCCCATTTTAGAGATAAGGAAGCTGGGGTTAATGAGGTTAGTAAGACACCTGTGGACAAGAAGCTACCAAAGGGAAGAGAAAGAACTAATATACCATTTCTGTCTAATGACAAAGGCTGTTCTCCATGACCTGGAGATTCCCACAGCCTACATGATTCCTGGAGACATTCAGTAGTTTAATAGGGTGATTGCAGGCAAAGCCTTTAAGCATAATGTCTTTTAAACCAGTGCTATTTCATCTGATCTTCAGACTTATACCACTTTGCAAACTGCTTGTTACTGATGTGCAATGAGATAAGCACAAAAATTGAAAGGGTACAAAATCTCAATTGGAAGGAAAAAACTTTTTTATTGAATGTTTATTGCACAGCATGGTGATTTATACAATAATAGTGTATTATACATTTCAAAACTGCTAAGAGTACATTTCATATGCTCTCATCACAAAAAAAATGATAAGTAAGAGAGGCCAAGTGGGGGCTGTGGAGAAAAAAAGCAGAAAGAAAAATAAGTGATAAGTATTTGAGGTGATGAATATGTAAATTAGCTTGATTTAATTATTTCATATTATATTCATAGATCTAGCATCACTTCGTATCCCATAAACATATGCAAATATAAATTGTCAACTTACAATAAAATCTTTTAAAAGGAAATTTCACATTATGACAACATTCAAATTCATTTTTATTATATTTTACAAAAGTAGTACAGATCCACAATAATTTAAAAAGAAAAGACAATACTAATTCCTGTACTATGGACAATTTTCTAAACCTTAGGACAAGATTAAGCATAAATATACCTCTGCAGTTGTTGCTGCTTTTTGAATTATAAGTGGAGAATCACTTGAGTCTGGGAGGTGGAGGTTGCAGTGAGCCAAGATTGTGCCATTGCACTCCAGTCTGGGCAACAAGAGTGAAACTTTGTCTCAAAAAAAGGAAAACCTATTATCAGGGTGGAGATGAGAAGAGATTATAAGTAGTATAATTATCACAGGACATAGATGTACTGTAAAGAACGTATAAAATTAATCATCTTTCCCTGGTGTTGAAAGTATACAGATCTATAGAGACTTTATAGAACCCTTTTTAAACTTCACAATGTTTTACCCATGTTAGTGTGAGCACCAATGTAGTTCTTGACATCTCTGTTAATAATCAGTTAGGGAAATTTCAAGTAAGCAGTCTAGATAAAAAGTAAATTGATATATTTAACCATATTAAGTTATTTTTTATTCAAGGTATGGTATAATATGTAAATTTATTCAAATATGATAATGTGAATATCATATATGTCTTTAGTTCTCCATACATTTCCTTATTTGGTTCCCTCTTAAACTTACATTGTAATACATTAACTGGTGATCATACATTTACTGATTAGTAACTGTGTGCACAGATCTGAGCTAGTCTTTGTGGGTGATTCAGAAGTATTGTGAGTTACCCTTGTGTTGGTTAAAATGAGCCAATCTCAGTGCTATGAATAGGAGAATGGAAAAGCTACAGTGGAATCCAGTGGCTAACAATGAATTAAGTTCTGTAGCATAAATTACAAATATTCCAGAAGATAAAAAATGCATATGTCATTATGAGTGAAATAACCAAGTCATGGAAAAAGAGGCTTTGAGTTGGTCCCTGACACCCAAGCCTCCTTATGCTGTAGCTAAGATGACCTGATTTGAGAAACAGTAAAAAAGTAGCACAAAGCCATCGAGATGTAGAAATACTACAAACCAGGAAAATGCCTGAGAAAACATATTGGGGTAGCTCATGCATAGTGCAATTTAGGAAATAAACGGTAGTGTCTGCTTTGATCAGTACCCATAGCACATAAATCCTGCCTTTCTTTTAGATTCTAAAGGATGTCACCATGGAAAGAAGAATGAATATTCTACACTTTCTTCCTTGGAAAATATGAAACAGGCCTGCAGCTTTAGTCTGGTAACTTTTTCTTTGGCTGCTTCTCCTTGACTCCTAAGTAGAGGCGTGATTATAGAAGAGAAAAGGAGAAGATTTTGGGGAGAGAGCTGTGATAAATTTATCTATAATCCTATGTCTCTTACAAACATATTTCACTTAACAGAACTCCCCAGCAGAAGCAAAGAACTACCCATATAATGACAGTTTCTTCTTAAATTTCGTTTTAAACATGTTTAAAAGAAAAAAAAATTGACACGTTACACACATCTTGTCTTCTTAATAAAAAGGTGCTAGATATAATGTTACATTTATGGAGAAGAGAATCAAACAACAGTAAGGTTTATGCCTCTACACTTAGTAGAATGAATGAGATTATTTTTTTAATGTTTGCAATTTAGAATATTTTGCCACTTTTCTTGCATCAGTCTCCATTTTTTCTTAAGTTATAATTGGAGCCTTTGCTTTTACAACTGCACGTTCTTTACCCTCTCTGCCTACTCCTTTTCTAGTGAAATGGGCTGACAAAACAAATAATTCAATGCACTAAAATGGTGTCTAGAGTAAAGGTAAGTAGATTTTGAGTGAAAATATGTATTGCTCTTTAAGAACTAGGTTTTTGTTGTTGTTGTTGTTGTTGTTGTTGTTTTCCCTGAGATGGAGTTTCCCTCTTGTTGCCCAGGCAGGAGCGAAGTGCAACAGTGTGATCTCGGCTCACTGCAACCTCTGCCTCCGGGTTCAAGCGATTCTCCTGCCTCAGCCTCCCAAGTAGTTGGGATTACAGGCATGCACCACCACACCCAGTGAATTTTGTATTTTCTTTTTCTTTTTATTTTTTTAGTAGAGACAGGGTTTCACCATGTTGGTCAGGCTGGTCTCAAACTCCTGACCTCAAGTGATCCACCCTCGTTGTTCTCCCAAAGTGCTGGGATTAGGATTACAGGCATGAGCCACCATCCCCAGCTGAACTAGGTCTTTGACATATATTCCTGATCTTGACCTTTTAATTATAAAAAGGATACAATTTTTTCTTCCATTTTTAAAAATTTTTAATTATCATGGATACATAATAGTTGTACATTTTCATGAAGTACATGTGATAGTTTGATTCAAGAACTCAATGCATAATGATCAAACAGGGTAATTGGGCTATTCATAACCTCAAGCATTTACTATTTCTTTGTGTTAGGGATGTTCCAGAAATTATAAAAATATTTTCATAATAGGAGAGTTGGAAAAAAAGTAGAAAGTTTAAATAATTGTAATGCCATTTGATTGAAGACAATTTGATTTCTGTGTCTCAAAGAAGCTGAGGTTGTCAAACTGGTGGACTTCGGTAGTATGGTCATCTGGATCGGTCACTGCTCACTTAAGACAGACTTTAAGAAGGAACTCTCTTACTCACAGGAAATCCGACTCCCTATTCCTGCAGTCTGCAACTTGACCTCTTCCTCACAGATTCTATGCTATTCATAAGTCAGCTTCTCCTAGCCCCAGAAAGTCCAAGTTTATAAGGACAGTCATAGGTAGAGAGGTACACCCTTTTCCTTTGCTGATCCCACACTAATTTGCTGTTCTTCAAATTTTGGTACTTTTCAAAAGCAAACAGTCACCCTCAGTTTACATAAACATATGTAAAGAAATGTCGTTACTTTCAACCTTAAGAAATCAGTTGGATTACAACCATTTTCTGGTCAGTGGTTCCAGTGGAAATCAAATGATTTAGAAAAAAATTATTCAGCCTTGGTTAAAGTTGAGAAAAAATGTAGCATCCGGTAGTATCTAATAAGCCTTGAAAGGAAGCATCCTGCTGACATAAATCTGTTATAACTGGGTTCTAGAAAGATAAAGAATAAAAGATGAGAAAATAGGAACATTCCTTGAAAACCAGATCACAGTGAACAAAGGGCAATGATAAAAGATTATCCCGGTGAATAAAAGGTCTCTCAATTTACACCTGTATGGTTATGTCTTATTATCTTTACTGAGAGCGAGCAGTGTGCTTTCTGAGATTTTTTAACTGTTAACCACAAAGCTTCTATTTAAAGTCTCAGGAATATAACCCTCAACCACAAAGCATATAAAAATCAGAACACTCATAAAAATTTTGATTTATGAAATAAAATTCATTCCCATAATTTGTAAAAGAACACTCTAAGCCTTCTCTCCAATAACCTTTTTTATTTGGCCATCAATCACCACCACCTGTTAATTGGATAAACTTACACCTTTCTGTCCAGTTTTTTTCCTTGAAGATGCATGAAGTAAAAGATGTCTGTAGATTCTAACCCAAATGCACAACTGGAAGCCCATTTTCTCCCAACCTCCTAAATATTGGTCTGCAAGTAAAGTTTCTTTGGTCTGCAAAATCCTGGGGAAAATGGGGAAATGGCATGTTTGTTCAACAGATTATTATTGAGCACTATCATGGGCAGGTAAACACAGTCAACTCTTGTTCCCAACATAAATTTACTTTACTTTACAGACTCATTTATTCTGGTATTATGTTTTTCTTGCTGTTTGGGGGTTAAAATATGGTGATACCAAATGATAATTGGTTGTTTTTAACATCCTTACTTGGAAAAATAAAATGTTGGTGGTCTGATATCAATCCCCACATTTATTTTTGCAATTTTACTCTCCATGAAATCCTCAAAGGCTACAACCACTGATTTTGCTCCTTCCTTCACTCAAGCTGTCTATCCCTTACTATATATCCAGCACCAAAACCCATGGCTCCCAATTTATGATTACTGAATAAATAACTACTGGATGTATGGATGGATGAATAAACGAATATGTCCATCTCTCTGAGACAATTTACTGATTAGAAAGAGCCACAGTTGTACTAAATCAGGAAGCCAAGATGTGCCAAATGTGCCTGAATGTGCTACCATTCTTTACTGGTAATATTAGTGTGTACTATCACAGCTCTAAGAACTTTGTATTTGCCAACTCATTTAGACCCCAAAATGAATCCCTAAAGAAAATAGTTTTGTAACATCATTTTACAGGGGGAAACTGGGTCACAAAGAAAATTTTAAAAACTGCTTAAATGGAGACATCCCAGACTCTGTTCTTAATGACGACGTTATGCTGCCTCTTGTTTACAAGGAGAGCAGTAAGAAAATGAACCAGAAAGGAGTATAGAAAATTCACCTGTGACTTCCAGTCCACACACACCAACCTTACTCTCATGTAGCGTGTGCTACAAATTCTAACTCATAGTAAGGCTATTCCATATTAATCATAATATCAAGTAATGCCTATATCTGCTTTAAAAATGTAGCTGCTATGGTTTTAGGCACGTGTGTTCGTGTCCATTCTGTCTTCTGCAGGGCCTAGAGTTGCGTCGTGCTCATAGTAGGCACTCAAAAATATTTGTTGGTGATATAGTTTGGCTCTCTCTCTCCACCCAAATCTCATGTTGAATTATAAATCCCCAATGCTGGAGGTGGGACCTGGTGGGAAGTGTTTGAGTTATGGGGATAGTGAGTTACTGTGAAATCTGGTCATTTAAAAGTGTGTGGGCTGGGCGCGGTGGCTCACGCCTGTAATCCCAGTAGTTTGGGAGGCCGAGGAGGGTGGATCACAAGGTCAGAAGATCAAGACCAGCCTGGTCAACATCGTGAAACCCCATCTCTACTAAAAATACAAAAATTAGCTGGGTGTGGTTGCACATGCCTATAATCCCAGCTACTCGGGAGGCTGAGGCAGGAGAATTGCTTGAACCCAGTAGGTGGAGGTTGCAGTGAGCCAAGATCATGCCGCTGCACTCCAGCCTGGCAACAAAGCGAGACTCCATCTCAAAAAAAAAAAAAAAAGAAAAAAAAGAAAAGAAAAAAGTGTGTGACACTTCCTCCCTCCCTCGTTCTCTCTCTAACTCCTGCATTCCTCATATGATGTGCCTGCTCCTGCTGCACCTTTTGCCATGACTGTAAGCCTCCTGAGGGCTCCTCAGAAGCAGATGCCACTCTGCTTCCTGTACAGCCTACAGACCTGTGAGCTAGTTAGACTTTTTTTCTTATAAATTATCTAGACTCAGGCATTTCTTTATAGCAATGTGAGTATGAAGTAGTACAGTTGGATTCAGTAAAATTATTTCAGAGGTGCTAAGATTTGAATCTCACAGGTGCAAACTGCCAACCCATACGACTGAAGGCATTGAGCATGAGCTTAAAGCACAAAGTAGCAAATGAACAATTTCTGACATAAGGAACATCTTAAGGGCTTTAAATAAATACCTATAGAAATCACCTGAAGTTGTGAAGACTCAATCAATTATGTCACAAAAACCAGAGAAATACACCACCTCCAACAAAGCATTGTGCAGAATCCTCATCAGGCAGTGCTTTCTTGGTGCATTGAAAGCTCACCATTCACAGTACTTACCCAATGGCTGTTCAAAGTCATACAAATTATTGCCATGACAACTACTTCTTCAGCAATAAAATTATGAAAACCACAATTTCCCTGGCAGGCAGAAGGAGCTTATCATTTTCTATTCAGAATGAGTTTAATGTTTACCCCTCAGCAGTCATCACAGATAAGACACCTGTCTAGTAATGCAGGCACTCACCAACGTAAAAACGGGTGCACCAGAAGAGTATGGACAGTGTTTGGATTTCAGGAGGAATTATCCCCTAGAAGAAAACACAGAAATGATGTCAGAGTTCCACACTAGCCCACAGAGGCCTAAATAGCCCGTATGATGGCAAAAATGCATTACATTTGAGGAGGGGGAAGGAAAACATACCATTGCTATATTCATAATTAACAACAAAAGCAAAATAGAAAAGAAAGTTAATCTGGAGAAGAACCTCTGGAGAGTGTTAAGGACTTCAAGGCTGACAGGATGGCTTGGTTGCTTTGCTCTGTTGAGGAACCTTGTCTCCTGCCACTTTCTCTACCCCTCTCTGCTTCTGCCTCACAGACTTCTTGTCTTCCTCAACCTTTTCAGGCTCTTCTGAGCTCAGGGTTTCTGGACACACTTCTTCATCAGTCTCTAAATCTCCCCCTCCTACACCCAGCTTCTCCACATTACCCAGGCCCCCTTATTCATCTTCACAACTTCAGACCAGAGGGCTCTCCTCTTTGAGTAGCATAGTGCCCTGAGCATTCATGCATTTACCTCAATCCTAATTCTTGGTCATAGTAGGGTCACTTGTCTGGATAGCCCTTTATTCCTGTCTCCCCAACTAGACTATAGGCTTCGTGATGTCAGGGATGTTCTCTGTCCTGGTCACCTCTATGACCCCATTACCTACCTCTGCCTGTACTAAATATTTGTTGCATAAAAGTATTTTCAAACCAACCTTCTCTTATCTTGATAAAAATGTAGCCTTTACATGATTCTTAAGCCATGCAGTATTTTGAGGATATCATCTCAGAAACACAACAAAGGAAGAGAAAAGGGACTGATCTAAGACACCTGAAAAGAAGGAAGGTTAGATTTTCCACAGCAAAATAAGTGCTGGGGAAAAATCATTAAAAAGAAATAGGCAAATACATCCTCTGCATGCTCTCATTTCAAAGGATAAAAGGAATTGGTAGCAAAGAACTATTACATCATACAATTCCCAGAACTGAGCAGAAGAGAATATCATGTGGATAGGCAAAGGCTGTCTGAATCAGGTAGGGGCAGAAGAGAATAAAGGCAAAACACAGCTCACAATTCATCTGTTTAGTACCAACACAACTTAGGGGTTTGTAACTCAAGAAATGCCTTTTCAGGGAAGTATGACTTTAACTTGATAAATATCGTTTAGTTTAGCTTCACTTATTTTTTATCTTTTCTTCATTCATTTAATTCTTTTGAGCCCCTGCTGTATATTAAATCCCAAGCTATGTCCCAATGATACAAGATTAACAGGACAAGAGCTGATGAAAAACTCATAATTAGGAAACTGGATGAACAACTATGAGACAATGTCAGAGCCCTGTGCCAAAATTGATTCAAATAAATAAATCATTGCATGGGCTTGCCAAGGGAAAGAGGAAAGAGGAAATGTGAATGGGGCACTGGGCAGAGGCAGCGTTTAAGCTGAGACTTAGGGTGAAAGGAGTTTGTCTCTCCAACAAGGGAAGAAAACGCACTCGTAGAGAAGGAAGAGCATGTGCAAGGCAGAAGGGAGAGAGTGTGGCATGTTTGAGAACAGAGGAGCAGTTTTCGGTGGCTGGAATAGAGGATGCATATTGTGGGCTGGCAACAGTGAGCCTGGGACAGAAGTTGGGCTAGATCTTAAGAAGCCTTGGAAGTCATGAGTTTAAAATGTTTTTAAGATTAATGATTTTCCAAATCCTTAACACTAGCAGCTTCTTTCAGGCAATCTTATATCATATCAAAGTCTAGCATATAAAGTAGAAAAAGACATAGGTTTTCCAGGGGCCACCTGAGCCCCCACCTCCAACCTCCACATTTAGCCTAAGGTTCATCTTTAAAGCTAAGACCTTTGAAATCTACACTTGTGGACAGCACAGTGTTGTGCAGGCAGAGCAGGGACCCAGTAAATAAATCAGCAAGTCACATGACCAAGTAAGACATTCATTTAGCCGTTTAATTTTTGCTTTAGAGATTACTCTGACTGTCATGGCGAATGAATAGGAGATCAGGGAGCTGGTAGAGCAAAGGGCAGGCACCTGAGTGTGGCACAATGCAAGATGGAAGTACATTTTCCCCTCACGAATATTCTCACAATATTTTCTACTCCCTTCCTTGCATTCCCCCCAATCTTTTGGTCTCCAATGCTCTAGGGGACAAAAGTATCATTACCCCTATAACAGAAGTTGCCTTCTGGCCTTCTGTCATCGGCTCCAGGCAAGAAGGAAAAGATCCAAAGAGGGAAAATGAAAAGACCGTCCCAAACCGAAAGGAAGCCTAAGATTAGAGCAGGGACAAACCAAAGGTTTCATGGGTCTGAATTGCATACCATTTAAGGAATCTTTTTTAAAAAAAATACAAAGTTGTGAATACAAAATTAAGGAGAAAATTGATTTAGAAGGAGAAAAAAACACAACAAATTATGCATTTTAAAGACATTTAAAAATAGAAAGCATCATAAATCCATAAATAAATTATAAATATTTTATTTATGAAAGGCCTTACCCACCTATATGATAGTATTTTTGCTTACGTTTATTATCTGCGCACTCTTTGACAGCCTTTTCATATGACAATTGTTAATTTTCTATAGCAAAGGTAGAAAATCTTTCTTCTAGCAGAGTTCATTGAATTTTGATATATTATTGTCTTTAGTTGTTATTTAAACTTTGAAAAATTTTCTTTCAGTTCTATAAATCATTTTGGTAGTATCATGCAAATATTTTGAATTGTCAGATTCAGGAAAACTTCTATCAAGTTTCTTTTTTATGTGAGCTGTAAGATATCAGGTCATTTCAAGTTTTCTTTGGCTGCGATCAATCTTAAATACCATTTCAGTTAATAACACTCATTGACCAGTTTGTCATTTATGTCGTCATTGTAGTATTGTATTATGCATTTATAATATGATCATTAAAGTCACTATTTCATCTTAAAGTGGCAAGAAATTTAAATCTTTTTCTAATTTGTTCATATGAGTCACTTCTCGTCATTAATTGGATTATTAAATAATCCAGAAGCATATTCAGTAATTCCACTTATCACTTTTACATACAGAGAATTTTTGGCTGGTGAAATATTTAAAAGTCATTCATGAGGTTTCAGTGAAAACAGTAGCACATGATAATAACCAGCGAATCACATTTGTTGTAGATGCTATAATAATACAGTAATTTTTGGTGTCTGGTTTACCTGATTTAATACTTTATATGTTTTCCCATTATTTAGTTCTAGTGAATAATTTGGGATAATTAAGGCACATTTGGCTATTCATTTTGAAATTTTTTCTAAGTGTTCATACAAAAACAAATCAAATGTAGCATTTATTTAGTAACTCCCATTATTTCAATAATTATCATTACTTGAAGAACACCATTTTTCATTGTGTTCTCTGAAGGGGAAAGGCCTTCACTTAAAAATTTGATAGGAAGAATGACATCAGAAAAATGGCAGAATAAGATGTCTCAAGCTCCACACCCTCTACAGAAAGTTTATCTAGCAAGTATCTATAGCCTAGAGCATCCTTTTGAAAACCCCAACATTTGGCAACAAGCCTGAGACACCCATGTTTTCCACAGAATTGAATGAAATTTTAATTAGAAGGATAAGAAGAACAGTCTCATACTGATTGTGCTGCCCCATCCTTCTTCCAAGTCTAGATGGTGCCAGATTGAGAGGATTTTCTTGGGCCTACAATTTCTACAAGGGGAAAAGAGACCCTGAGGAAGTCATCCAGTTTTCCTTGCGTTCCAAGATGCTTTCTGGGCAGCTCACTCTAGTCTCATTTTATGGGGAACACTAGGAAAAATGGCATGAGTAGACAAGGTGGAGTTAGGTAGAAACAAAGAAAGAAGGCAGAGGTCATAGTGACCAGTGCACAGATCTTGGTAGTACCTCTGTGTTCCTGCCAGCTATTCTTGCCAAATCAGAGATATCTGTAAACCGCATAGCCCACCTACAAAGCCGACCTGATCCCCTTCAGAAGCATGGTGGGAAGTACCACCTAGCTTGAGTTCCTATACTGCTAGTCTCCCTGTCTGGTCTCAGAACCCTTCCTGATGACCACACCCAGGCAGGGAGATTTCTACTTTCCCATATCTCAGATAAGTGTATGAGATAGACCAGCTTTACTTTAGAAGTCGAGCTGTGGCTCCACCCATCCAAAAAGCCTGGCAAACACCCTGCCCAGGCAGAGAGACTCCCACTTTTGTGGAATTCAGGAAAGCAAAGGGGCTAAATCTGTTTGACTCAGGAAGTCAGGCAGTAGCTCCGCTCAGCCAAAAAGCACTCCCAATACTCTTCCCAGGCAAAAAGACTTTCACCTCACTGATCTTAGAGAAGCAGAAGGGTTAAACCTGCTTGACCCAGTAGGTCAAACAGCCAGTTAACTCAGCTGAAAGCTCACCACACACATCTCCACCCTAGCAGTGAGACAATCCTCAATCATGCATTTCTAAGGAGCATAGCCTCTGATACTACCTATTCTGAGCAACAATTCTACCTAACCTCCAAGCCTAGCCTGCAGACCTGCACAACTGTACATCTCAAAGAGCAGAATTACCCAGCCTGGAAATACATCTTGTGACCAACCCGATAAGAATCCCTCACAATTCCCAGCCAGCAGCTCCACTTGATAGCAATACCCAGCCAGTAATCTCAACATACAGTGGAGCACAGTCAGCAGCCCACCCAACCTCAGAACAAAGGCAGTGGGCCAGTCAACTAGAGAATTCACAACAAGCTCTGTCCGCCTGGTGTCATTACCACCTGACCCTTCCAGAATCACAATCTGAACTAAATAGCGAAAGTATATCCTCATCGTAGAACACCTGTAAAGGCTGGAAAAGGAGGCAGTCTCCTCAAATATACAGACAACAACACAAGGACACAAGGATCACAAAATTGAGGGAATCCTGACACCTCCAAAAGAAACTAATTAAGCTCCAATAACAGACTCCAAAAAAATGAGGAGCTATGAATAATATTCATAAAGAGTTCAGTGAACTACAAGAATATGCAGATACAAAATTTAAATGAAATTTGAAGAAAAAACAAGAAAAACAGTGAGAAGTTTGACAAAGAACTAGAAACAATTAAAAAAGAACCAGATAGATATCCTGGCAATGAAAAATACAGAGGCTAAACTGAAACATTTAGTTGAAAGCTTCAATGAAGGCTTGATCAAGCAGAAGTAAGAGTCAGTGAGCTGGAAGACAGACACTTGAAATTACCTAGTCAGAGGAACAAAAAGACAAAAGAATGAAAGAGAATGGAGAAAGCCTATGAGAAATATGAGACACCATCAGGACACCAAATCTTCACATACTAAAAATCGCAGAAGAAGAAGAATGGGAAAGGGAGCAAGAAAATATATCAAAAGAAATAATGGCCAAAAACCTTCCTAATCTGGGGATAGATGCCAACACCCAGGCACAGGAAGTGTAAAGGTCTCTAATCAATTGCAACCCAAAGAGGAGTACACCACAACACATAATAATCAAACTATCAAAAATCAAAGACAAGCTGGGCATGGTGGCTCATGCCTGTAATCCCAGCATTTTGGGAGGCTGAGGAGGGTGGATCAGGAGGTCAGGAGTTCAAGACCAGTCTGACCAACATGGTAAAACCCCATCTCTACTAAAAATATAAAAATTAGCCAGGTGTGGTGTTGCATGCCTGTAATCCCAGCTACTCAGGAGGCTGAGGTAGGAGAATCGCTTGAACCTGGGAGGCAGAGGTTGCCGTGAGCTGAAATCGCACCACCATACTCCAGCCTGGGTGACAGAGCAAGGCTCCATCTCAAAAAAAAAAAAAAACAAAAAACAAAAAACAAACAAACAAAAAAAAAAACAAGAAAATATTCTGAAATTAGTACATAATAAGAAACACATCACATACAAAGGAATTTGAATATAACTACCAGCAGATTTCTCAGCAAAACTCTGCATAACAATGAAGAGTGAAATGACATATTCAAAGTGGTGAAAACAAATCCTGCCAAGCAAGAATACTTTATTCCTCAACTCTGTCTCTCAGAAACTAGGGAGAAATAAAAATTTTCCCAGACAAACAAAAGCTAAGGGAGTTTATCACCTTAAACCTGCGTAATAGGAATTACTAAAAGGAGTTCTTCAAACTAAAACAAAAAGCTGGTAATTGATAATGTGAAACATGAAAGCACAAAATTCAATGATATAAGTAAAACAGAGCCATATTCAGAATACTCTAGAACTTTAAAGATATCATGTAAGGCAATTGTGTCTCTAGTACAATGGTTACAAAACAAAACCATTAACAATAAACATATCTAAAATAAATTATCAAAGTATGCATATTGCAAAAAGGTGTAAATTATGACATAAAAACATAAAATGGAGGGATGTAGAGCTGTATGCAGTCAAATTCATTGTTATAAGCTTTAAATAAGCTGATATAACTACAATATGGTCTATGCATGCCTCATGGTAACCACAAAATGAAATCTTTTGTGGAAGTACAGAACAAAAATAAAAAGGATTCAAAGCATACCACTAAAGAAAGTCATCAAACAATAAAGGAAGATGGCATGACAGGAAGAAAGAAAGTGTCTGCAAACAATTAGAAAGTAATTTTCAAAAAGTAGTAAGTTCTTACCTATCAATAATTACTTAAATGTAAATGGATTAAATTCTCAATATAAAGATACAGAGTGACTTAATGTATAAAAAAGTAAGATCCAACTATATGCTGCCTGCAGGTAAACTCACCTAACTTTCATGGATACACATAGACTGAAAGTGAAGGGATAGAAAAAGACATCCCACACAAATGGAAACCAAATAGAACAGGGAGAGCTATACTTATATCAGACAAAATAGACTTTAAGTGAAAAACTGTAAAAAGAAACAAAGGAGGACATTATATAATGATAAAAGGGTCAATTCATCAAGAAGATATAACAATTTTAAATATATACACTTAACATTGAAGCACGCAAATATGTAAAGCAAACATTAAAGGATCTGAAAGTAGAGATAAATTGCAATACTTTAATAGTGGAAAATTTTAATACCCCACTTTAAGCAAAAGACTGTTCATTCCAACAAAAACGCTAATAAGGAAAGATTGGACTTTAATTATAGTTTAGACCAATAGACCTAAAAAACTTATAAAGAACATTCTATCCAATAGCATCAGAATATGCATTCTTCTCAAATGCACATGGAATATTCACCAGAATAGATCACATATTAGGGCACAAAACAAGCCTCAGCAAATTTAAAGAGATTAAAATTACATCAAATATTTTCCAAACAAAATGATATAAAATTAGAAATCAATAAAAGGAGGAATTTTAGAAAATTCACATATAGGTGGAAATTAAACAACATAATCCTGAACAATCATGGAGTAAATAAAGAAATTAAAAGGGAAATTTAAAAATATCTGGAGGCCAATGAAAATGGAAACACAACATACCAAAGCTTATGTGATAGATCAAAAGAAATACTAAGAGGAATTTCTATAATAATAAATGTCTACTTCAATAAAGAAGAAAGATCTCAAATAAACAACCTAACATAACACCTCAAGGAACTAGAAAATAAAGAACAAACTAAGCCAAAAATTAGCAAGAGAAAGGAAATAATGAAGACCAGAGCAGAAATACAGTTGAGATGAGAAAAACAATACAAAAGATAAATCAAACTAAGAGGTGGTTATTTGAGAAGATCAAAAAAATCAAATCTTTAACTAGACTAAGAAAAAAATGGTAAGAAGAATACAATCAGAAATGAAAGAGGAGACATTATCATCAATATCATAGAAATACAAAGGATCATGGGACTTCTATGAACAATTATAGGCCAACAAATTGGATAACCTAGGAAAAATTGATAAATTCCTAGAAACATACAACCTACCAAGACTGAGTCATGAAAAAAAAAAAAATATGAATAGACAAATAACAAGTGAAGTGCTTGAATCAGTAATAAAATGTTTCCCATCAAAGAAAAGCCCAGGACCTGGTGGCTTCATGGCTAAATTCTACCAAGCATTCAAAGGAGGATACCAATATTTTGCAAACTCTTGCAAAAAATTGAAGAAGAGGGAACACTGAACTCCTTTTACAAGGCCAGTATTAATTAACCTAATACCAATGCCAAAGACATTACAAGAAAAGAAAACTACACACAAATATCCTTGATAAACATAGATGAAAAAAATCTCAACAAAAGCTAGCAGACCAACTTCAACAACACATTAGAAGAATCATCTATCACAATCAAATGAGATTTGGCCCTGGGATACAAAGATGGTTTGACATCTGCAAGTCAATAAATGTATTATATCACATTAACAGAATCAATGAAAGAAATCAACTTATCTAATTAGATGCAGAAAAAGCAATTGAAAAAAATGCACATCTTTTTATGAAAAAGCTCTCACCAAATTAGGTATAGAAGGAATGTATTACAACATAGTAAAAGTTACATATGAGAATCACCAGAGCTAACATTATACTCAACGGTGAAAATTTGAAAACCTTTTTTCTAAGACCTAGAACAAGACAAGGATGTCTACTCTCACCATTTCTATTCAACATAGTATTGGAAGTCTAGAATAGACTTCTAATAGCAAAATAAACAAACCAAAAGCATCCAAATAAGAAAAAAGTGAAATTGTCTCTGCTTGCTGATTAGATGATCTTACAGAGAGAACCCTACTCAATACACCAAAAAGCTACTAGAACTAATAAACAAATACAGAAAAGTTGCAGGACACAAAATCAACATGCAAAATCAGTAGCATTTCTGTATGCTAATGCCAAATTATCTGATAAAAGAATCAAGAGAACAATTTCATTCACAATAGCTACAAAAATTAAAATTCTTAGGAATAAATTTAAGCAATTAGGTGAAAGACCTGTACACTGAAAACTATAAAACACTGATGAAAGAAATTGATACGATTTGGCTGTGTCCCCATCCAAATCTCATCTTCTCATTGTAGCTCCCATAATTCCCATGTGTCATGGGAAGGGCCTGGTAGAAGGTAATTGAATTATGGGGGTGGGTCTTTCCCATGCTGTTCTCATGATAGTGAATAAGTCTCACAAGATCTGACAGTTTTACAAAGGGGAGTTCCCCTGCACACTGCACACACTCTCTTGCCTGCCACCATGTAAGACATGCCTCTGCTCCTCCTCTGCCTTCTACCATGATTGTGAGGCCTCCCCAGTCATGTGGAATTGTGAATCAATTAAACATCTTTACTTTATAAATTACCCAGGCTTTTGTATGTCTTTATTAGCAGCATGAGAATGGACTAATACAGAAATTAAAGACACAAATATGTAGGAAGATATTTCATGTTAATGGATTAGAAGAATTAATATTTCTAAAACATTTATACTACAAAGCAGATCTACAAATTCAATGCAATACCTATCAAAATTTAAATGTCATTTTTCATAGAAATATAAAAAAATCCTAACATTTATATGGAGCCACAAAAAAAATAAACAAAATACAGATAGCCAAGGCAATCATGAGAAAAAAATAAACAAAGCTGGAGGTATCACACTACCTGATTTCAAACCATACTACAGGCTATGGTAATTAAAGCATCATTACTGGGAAAAAAAAAAAAAAAAAAATAGACACATTGACAAATGGAACAGAATATAGGGCCCAGAAATGAACCCATGCATTTGTGAACAATTGTATTTTGACAAAGGTGCCAAGAATATGCAACAGGAAAATTATAATCTCTTTAATAAATGGTGATGAGAAAGCTGGATATCCATGTGAAGAAGAATGAAATTGAACCATTATCTCACACCATTTACAAAATTAAACTAAAAATGGATTAAAGACATAAACATAAGACCAGAAACTATAAACCTACTAGAAGAAGACAGAAAGGAAAAACTACATGACATACATCTGTGTGATGATTTTTTCGAGTGTGACCCCAAAAGCACCAGAAATAAAAGCAAAAATAGATAAATGGGATTTCATCACACTAAAAAACTTCTGCATAGTAATGGAAACAATTATCAGTGTGCAGAGATAGCCTATGGAATGAGAGAAAATATTTTCAAGCCATACCTTTGATAGGGAGTTAATATTCAAAATATGTAAGGAGCTCAAACAACTCAACAGCAAGAAAAAAAATTCAATGAAAAGATTGATACAAGGGACTTGAATAGACATTTTATGAGGGACCTCCATACAGTTTTGTATAATGCCTGTACTAATTTACATCCCCACCAACAGGGTACAAGCGTTGCTCTTTCTCTACCTCCTTGCCAACGATATGGAGGTCTCTCAGTAAACTAAAAATAGAATTACCCTATGATCCAGCAATTCCACTTCTGGGTATTTGCACAAAATGTTTGAAATCAATTTGTTGAAGATATGTGTGCACTCCATGTTAATTGCAGCATTGTTCAAGTTATGGATTCAACCTAAGTGGCCATCAACGATGAATGAATAAAGAAAATGTGGCATATACACACAATGGTATACTATTCAACCTTAAAAAAGAAGCAAATTCTGTCATCTGTGACAACATGGATAGAATTGGAGAATATTATGATGAGTAAAATCAACCAGGCACAGAAAGACAAATACCAGATGATCTCACTTGCATATGGAATCTAAAAGGATCAAATTTATAGAAGCAAAGAGTAGGATGGTGGCTACAGAGGCTGTTGGGTGCATGAAATAAGGAGATGATGATCAAAGGGTACAAAATCTCAGACAGGAGGAAATTTTTTATAATTCTATTTCACACCATGGTAGATATAGTTAATACTAGAGAATTGTACGTTTGAAAATGCTAAGATAATAAATTTCAAATGTCCTCACCACAAATAAGTGTTATAATGTATGTGATGTTATGAATATGTTAACTAGCTTGATCTAATTATTCTACATTATGTTTATAATTCATAACATCCCTTTGTACCTTATAACATTGATACAATTATAAATTGCCAATTACAATAAAAAAGGCATAACCACTCTTTTAAATGTTTAAAAAGAATACTAAACATTAATAATAAAACTGACTCTTCTCTGTTCTTCAAGGTGGTGTCTAGTGCATTTGTTTTTGATTGATATGTATTCCAGTACCCGCTTGTCTGTGGAGTATTCCTGACTTTCAGGAAGTTATGTCTGCCTATTAAAACACTTTCTCAATTATACAATATATACATCTTATCTTGGACTCACTAGCTGGGATCTCAAAACAGTTTGAACATTTTTCTTTTGGTGTTGTTCATAACACCAACTTTAAAGATATTTCTATTGTCCATTGTATATTTGTTAAACTCTCTAATTATTACTGGCATCATAATTTGAAGAGGGACACAAATTTCTTTGATAAAACAATGCTGGAGTACATTTATCAGGACAAACATGCTACTTATCAAAGTCAATTAATTTTCCCAATAAAGCTGTTATTGAAATTCCTTCATGCACTGGTAACTATACAAATTATGTTTTTCTTTGCTGTTACTTTCATTTTCCTTCTACTTTTTGTTCACAGGGTGGGAGTCTATTCATTTATTTATCTCTTCTGTTGTCATCCCTATTATCTGTTCATGTTTTTGCTTGTCTATCATGATTTTTTTTTATGATTTTGACCATCAGAATTTTTAGTTTCAGTTACAGTAAAAGAGTTTTTGACATGTTGCCAAATTTTGTCTTTTTGTGCCAAATTATCTTTTGCCAAGATTGTCTTTATATTACATTTCCTAGCTTCCATTAGAATCTTCTCTTCCCATAGAATCTGGCTTTTTTTGTAGTTAATAATTTGGATAACAATGTACATAATTAATTTGAATTTAAGGTATGTACAAAAACAGTTCAAATTTATTTTTAGCCTACTGCCATATTGTCATGAGCTCCATAGTTGTGTAATAATAATTTTCTAATATTAAGTATATTAACATAATAATAAATACATATAGCATATCATTGGACCACTTATTTTTTCAGGGTGTTTTGAAATGTTGGTGGTAATTTTGAATGTCAATTCATCTGGGACTCCAAATTACTTCAGGACATATGCCTCAGATATACTAAGATTTGAGCTAATTTTTTGGGATGCATAAAACATGATTTCGCACTTAGAGGTACTTAATATTTATGGCACTGCTATGTGGAAAGTGTTTGTATTGTGCTACAAATACAAATATTCTGAGTAAAAATATTCTCATGCTTTTAGCTTAAAAATAAAAACGTAAGTGATATTCAAATAATTGTATATAATGTATTAACAAGTATATTCCTTATAGAGGATTTCTTGACTAATTATCAGCAAGAATTGCTTCAGTGCTAAACATCTGATAACTGGAAGAATTTCCCATAGACTAGCTTCTGGCTCCAAACTTTTCAAACCTCATTTTTTCTTCATTACCCACATACTTCCAGTGCCTTAGGATCTGTTTATATCACAATCAACCTCTGGTCCTGCACCACTGTTTTCAATACTGAGCTAGTCATGGGAGCATTTCTGAAAACCATTCCTATAATCATATGAAGAGCAATAATGTAATCACACACAGAAGGCACCCAGCATGACCTCAGCAAACTAAATATTTCCTTGATTCAACTTCCATTTAGTATGATTTCCATAACACCAGCAAACACTCCAAAGCCATCTAACATGAAAAGAAATCAGCATACATGTGCATGTGTCTTTATAATAGGATGATTTATATTTCTTTGGGTATATACCAGGTAATGGGATTGCTGGGTTGAATGGTATTTCTGTCTTCAGGTTTTTGAAGAAACACCACACTGTCTTCCACAATGGTTGAATTAATTAACACTCTCACCAACAGTGTAGAAGCATTTCTTTTTCTCCACAACCTTGCCAGCATCTCTTATTTTTGACTTTTTATTAGTAGCCATTCTGACTGGTGTGAGATGGTATATCATTGTGGTTTTGATTTGCATTTCTCTAATGATCAGTGATGTTGAGCTTTTTTTCATATACTTGTTGGCCACATGTATGTCTTCTTTTAAGAAATGTCTGCCAAGATGGCCAAATAGGAACAGCTCCAGTCTGCAGCTCCCAGCAAGATCGACACAGAATAAGGATGATTTCTGCTTTTCCAACTGAGGTACCTTGTTCATCTCATTAGGAGTGGTTGGACAGTGGGTGCAGCTCACGGAGGGTGAGCCAAAGCAGGGCAAGGCGTTGTCTCACCCAGGAAGCACAAGGGGTCAGGGGATTTCCCTTTCCTAGCCAAGGGAAGCTGTGACAGACTGCACCTGGAGAAATGGTACACTCCTGACCAAATACTGCACTTTTCCCACAGTCTTAGCAACCGGCAGACCAGGAGATACCCTCCTGCACCTGGCTTGGCAGGTCCCATGCCCACGGAGCCTTGCTCGCTGCTAGCATAGCAGTCTGAGATCAACCTGCCACACTGAAGCTTGATGGGGGGAGGGGCGTCCACCATTGCTGAGGCTTGAGTAGCTCACAGTATAAACAAAGAGACCGGGAAGCAGAAACTGGGTGGAGCCCACTGCAGCTCAGCACAGTCTACTGCTTCTATAGATTTTACCTCTGGGGGCAGGGCATAGTAGAACAAAAGGCAGCAGACAGCTTCTGCAAACTTAAATGTCCCTGTCTGACAGCTCTGAAGAGAGAGGTGGTTCTCTCAGCATGGTGTTCGAACTCAGAGAATGGACAGACAGTCTCCTCAAGTGGGTCCCTGACCCCAGTGTCGCCTAACTGGGAAACACCTCCCAGTAGGGGCCAACAGACACCTCAAACAGGCAGGTGCCCCTCTGAGACGAAGCTTCCAGAGGAAGGATCAGGCAGCAATATTTGCTGTTCTGCAGCCTCCGCTTGTCAAATCCAGGCAAACAGGGTCTGGAGTGGATGTCCAGCAAACTCCAACAGACCTGCAGCTGAGGGGTCTGACTGTTTGAAGCAAAACTAACAAACAGAAAGGAATAGCATCAACATCAACAAAAAAGACATCCACACCAAAACCCCATCTGTAGATCACCAATATCAAAGACTAAAGGTGGATAAAATCACAAAGATGGGGAGAAACCAGAGCAGAAAAGCTGAAAATTCCAAAAAACAGAGCACCTCTTCTCCTCCAAAGGATCACAGCTCCTTGCCAGCAAGGGAACAAAACTGGACAGAGAATGAGTTTGATGAACTGACAGAAGTAGGCTTCAGAAGATCAGTAATAACAAACTAATCCGAGCTAAAGGAGCATGTTCTAACCCATTGCAAGGAAGGTAAAAACCTTGAAAAAAGATTAGATGAATGGCTAACTAGAATAAACAGTGTAGAGAAGACCTTAAATGACCTGACGGAGCTGAAAAAAATGGCACAAGAACTTCGTGATGCATGCACAAGCTTCAATAGCCAATTTGATCAAGTGGAAGAAAGGATATCAGTGATTGAAGAGCAAATTAATGAAATAAAGTGAGAAGACAAGATTAGAGGAAAAAGAGTGAAAAGAAATGAACAGATCCTCCAAGAAATATGCGACTATGTGAAAAGACCAAATATACATTTGATTGGTGTACTGGAAAGTGACGGGGAGAATGGAACCAAGTTAGAAAACACACTTCAGGATATTATCCAGGATAACTTCCCCAACCTAGCAAGGCAGGCCAACATTCAAATTCAGGAAATACGGAGAACACCACAAAGATACTCCTCGAGAAGAGCAACTCCAAGACACATAATTCACCAAGGCTGAAATGAAGGAAAAAGTGTTAAGGGCAGCCAGAGAAAGGTAGGGTTACCCACAAAGGGAAGCTCATCAGACTAACAGCAGATTTCTTGGCAGAAACCCAACAAGCCAGAAGAGAGTGAAGGCCAATATACAACATTCTTAAAGAAAAGAATTTTCAACCCAGAATCTCATATTCAGACAAACTAAGCTTCGTAAGTGAAGGAAAAATAAAACCCTTTACAGACAAGCAAATGCTGAGAGATTTTGTCACTACCAGGCCTGACTTACAAAAGCTCCTGTAGGAAGCACTAAACATGGAAAGGAACAACCAGTACCAGCCACTGCAAAAACATGCCAAATTGTAAAGACCATTGATGCTATGAAGAAACTGCATCAATTAACGGGCAAAATAACCAGCTAACATCAAAATGACAGGATCAAATTCAAACATAACAATATTAACCTTAAATGTAAATGGGCTAAATGCCCCAATTAAAAGACACAGACTGGCAAATTGGATAAAGAGTCAAGATCCATCATTGTGCTGTATTCAGGAGACCCATCTCACGTGCAAAGACACACGTAGGCTCAAAATAAAGGGAGGGAGGAAGATCTACCAAGTAAATGGAAAGCAAAAAAAAGGCAGGGGTTGCAATCCTAGTCTCTGATAAAACAGACTTTAAACCAATAAAGATCAAAAGAGACAAAGAAGGCCACTACATAATGGTAAAGGGATCAATTCAACAAGAAGAGCTAACTATCCTAAATATAAATGCACCCAATACAGGAGCACCCAAATTCATAAAGCAAGTTCTTACAGACCTACAAAGAGACTTAGACTCCCACACAATAATAATGGGAGACTTTAAAACCTGACTTAATATTAGACAGATCAACAAGACAGAAGGCTAACAAGGATATCCAGGACTTGAACTCATCTCTGGACCAAGCAGACCTAATAGACATCTACAGAACTCTACACCCCAAATCAACAGAATATACATTCTTCTCAGCACCACATCACACTTATTCTAAAAATGACCACATAATTGGTAGTAAAACACTCTTCAGCAAATGTAAAAGAACAGAAATCCCAACAAACTGTGTCTCACACCACAGTGCAATCAAACTAGAACTCAGAATTGAGAAACTCACTCAAAACCACTCAACAACATGGAAACTGAACAACCTGCTCCTGAATGACTACTGGGTAAATAACGGAATGAAGGCAGAAATAAAGATGCTCTTTGAAACCAATGAGAAGAAAGACACAATGTACCAGAATCTCTGGTACACATTTAAAGCAATGTATAAAGGGAAATTTATAGCACTAAATGCCCCCAAGACAAAACAGGAAAGATCCAAAATTGACACCCTAACATCACAATTAAAAGAACTAGAGAAGCAAGAGCAAACAAATTCAAAAGCTAGCAGAAGGCAAGACATAACTAAGATCAGAGCAGAAATGAAGGAGATAGAGACACAAAAAACCCTTCAAAATATCAACGAATCCAGGAGCTGTTTTTTGAAAAGATCAACGAAATAGATAGACTGCTAGCAAGACTAATAAAGAAGAAAAGAGAAAAGAATCAAATAGACGCAATTAAAAATGATAAAGGGGATATCACCACTGATCCCACAAAAATACAAACTACCATCAGAGAATACTATAAACACCTCTATGCAAATAAACTAGAAAATCTAGAAGAAATGGATAAATTCCTGGACACATATATCCTCCCAAGACTAAACCAGGAAGAAGTTGAATATCTGAATAGACCAATAACAGGTTCTGAAATTGAGACAATAATTAATAGCCTACCAACCACAAAAAGTCCAGGACCAGACGGATTCACAGCCAAATTCTACCAGAGGTACAAAGAGGAGCTGGTACCATTCCTTCTGAAATGATTCCAATCAATAGAAAAAGAGGAAATCCTCCCTACCCTACTTTATGAGGCCAGCATCATCCTGATACCAAGGCCTGGCAGAGACACAACAAAAAAGTTGAATTTTAGGCCAATATCCCTGATGAACATCGATGCAAAAAATCCTCAATAAAATACTGGCAAACTGAATCCAGCAGCACATCAAAAAGCTTATCCACCACGATCAAGTCGGCTTCATCCCTGGGATGCAAGTCTGGTTCTACATATGCAAATCAATAAACATAACCCATCACATAAACAGAAGCAATGACAAAAACCACATGATTATCTCAATAGATGCAGAAAAGGCCATCGACAAAATTCAACAGGCCTTCAACAAAACTCAACAGCCCTTCATACTAAAAACTCTCAATAAGCTAGGTATTGATGGAACATATCTCAAAATAATAAGAGCTATTTATGACAAACCCACAGCCAACATCATACTGAATGGGAAAAACTGGAAGCATTCCCTTTGTAAACTGGCACGAGACAAGGATGCCCTCTCTCACCTCTCCTATTCAACATAGTGTTGGATGTTCTGGCTAGGGCAATCAGGCAAGAGAAATAAATGAAGAGTATTGGATTAGGAAAAGAAGAAGTCAAATTGTCTCTGTTTGCAGATGACATGGCTGTATATTTAGAAAATCCCATCATCTCAGCCCAAAATCCCCTTAAGCTGATAAGCAACTTCTGCAAAGTCTCAGGATACAAAATCAATGTGCAAAAGTCGAAAGCATTCCTATACACCAATACTAGACAAACAGAGAGCCAAATCATGAACTCCCATTCACAATTACTAGAAAGAGAATAAAATACCTAGGAATCCAACTTACAAAGGATTGAAGGACCTTGTCAAGGAGAACTATAAACCACTGCTCAACGAAATAAAAGAATACACAAATAAATGGAAGAACATTCCATGCTCACGGATAGGAAGAATCAATATTGTGAAAATGGCCAAACTGTCCAAGGTAATTTCTAGATTCAATGCTATCCCCATCAAGCTACCAGTGACTTTCTTTACAGAATTGTAAAAAACTACTTTAAAGTTCATATGGAACCCAAAAAGAGCCTGCATTAGCCAAGACAATTCTAAGCAAAAAGAACAAAGCTGGAGGCATCACACTACCTGACTTCAAACTATACTACAAGGCTACAGTAACCAAAACAGCATGGGACTGGTACCAAAACAAATATATAGACCAATGGAACAAAACATAGGCCTCAGAAATAACACCACACATCTACAACCATCTGATCTTTGACAAACCTGACAAAAACAAGCAATGGGGGAAGAATTCCCTATTTAATAAATGGTGCTGGGAAAACTGGCTAGCCATGTGTAGAGAAAACTGAAACTGAATCCTTTCCTTACACCGTATACAAAAATTAACTCAAGGTGCATTAAAGACTTAAATGTAAGACCTAACACCATAAAAACTGTAGAAGAAAACCTAGGCAATACCATTCAGGACATAGGTATGGGCAAAGACTTCATGACTAAAATGCCAAAAGCAATGGCAACAAAAGCCAAAATTGACAAATGGGATCTAATTAAACTAAAGAGCTTCTGCACAGCAAAAGAAGCTATCATCAGAGTGAACAGACAACCTACAGAATGGGAGAAAATCTTTGAAATCTACCCACCTGACAAAGGGCTAATATTCAGAATCTACAAAGAACTTAAACAAATTTGCAAGAAAAAAAAAAACCCATCAAAAAGTGGGCAAAGGATATGAACAGACACTTCTCAAAAGAAGACGTGTATCCAGCGAACAGACAGATGAAAAAACACTCATTATCACTGGTCATCAGAGAAATGCAAATCAAAACCACAATTAGATACCATTTCATGCCAGTTAGACTGGTGATCATTAAAACATCAGGAAACAACAGATGCTGGAGAGGATGTGGAGAAATAGGAACGCTTTTACACTGTTGGTGGGAGTGTAAATTAGTTCAACCATTGTGGAAGACAGTGTGGCGTTTCCTCTAGGATCTAGAACTAGAAATACCATTTGACCCAGTGATCCCATTACTGGGTATATACCCAAAAGACTATAAATCATGCTACTATAAGGACACATGCACACATATGTTTACTGTGACACTATTCACAATAGCAAACACTTAGAACCAACACAAATGTCCATCAATGATAGACTGGATTAAGAAAATGTGGCACATATACACCATGGAATACTATGCAGCCATAAAAAAGGATGCGTTCATGTTCTTTGCAGGGACATGGATGAAGCTGGAAACCATCATTCTAAGCAAACTATCACAAGGACAGAAAAGCAAACACCACGTGTTCTCACTCATAGTTGGGCGTTGAACAATGAGAACACATGAACACAGGGTGGGGAACATCACACACCGGGGCCTGTTGAGGAGTGGGGGGCTGGAGGAGGGATAGCATTAGGAGAAACACCTAATGTAAATGACAAGTTGGTGCGTGCAGCAAACAAACATGGCATATGTATACCTATGTAACAAGCCTGCATGTTGTGCACATGTACCCTAGAACTTAAAGTATAATAATAGTAATAATAAAAGAAATGTCTGTTCATGCCCTTTGCCCACTTTTTGTTTTTTCTTGTAAGTTTAAAGTTCCTTATAGATGCTGGATAGTAGACCTTTGTCAGATGCATAGTTTGCAAAAATTTTCTCTCATTCTGTAGATTGTCTGTTTCTGTTTACTCTGTTCATAGTTTCTTTTGCTGTGCAGAAGCTCTTTAATTAAATTAGATCCTATTTGTAAATTTGCTTTTGTTGCCATTACTTTTGTTGTCTTCATCTGATGAAATCTTTGCCTGTGCAGCACTATTCACAATAGCAAAGACATGGAATCAATGTAAAAGTCCGTCAATGGCAGACTGGATAAAGAAAATGTGGTACATAGACCCCATGAAATACTTCGCAGTCAAAAAAAAGAATGAGATCATGTCCTTTGCAGGGACATGGATGTCATTACTACTGCTATTGCTACTGTTTTCTAATTAACTGGGAACTTCCTAGTCCCCTGTAATGACCAGCTTCTCTCTCATTAGCCTGACAAGAGGTGGATTCAGAGTACACTATCGACAACAAAGAAATGTAACACATCTTGCATGGCCAGATTTGAGTTTGTGATTACAAATTCATGCCCATTATAATGTCAGTATTCCATATGAAATACTTGTTATTTCTGAATGCCACCCCAATAAGCAGAGAGGGTAATAATAAATATATATCATTATAGACAAAGGCATGACACTAGCTAAGGAAGGTATTAAGGACATTATTTTCATTGAGAATACTTTTTTTTTTTTTTTGAGACAGAGTTTCACTCTTTCACCCAGGCTGGAGTGCAGTCGTGTGATCTCGGCTCACTGCAACCTCCACCTCCTGGGTTCAAGCGATTCTCCTGCCTCAGCCTCCTGAGTAGCTGGGATTATAGACACTCACCACCACAACCAGCTAATTTTTGTATTTTTTAGTAGAAATAGTGTTTCACCATACTGGCCAGGCTGGTCTCAAACCCCTGACCTCAGGTGATCCACCCGCCTCAGCCTCCCAAAGTGCTAGGATTACACACATGAGCCACCACGCCTGGCCCATTGAGAATACTTTCAAAGGATAGTCCATAACACCCCTCAATATATTTATGCATATTCTTCTTTTCATAACACTATAAAAAGTGATTTGCTTCTAGTTAAGTAGTTTCATTTTGTTTTCATCATTGTTAAAGCCAAAAATCTGAGTGGAAATACTTTAATGAAAAAGAATAGTGTTCTGTCTTGCACTTGGGTTTTTTTAATGCCTCCTTCTGCACCATAATCAGAAACCCATGGTTACTCTTGTACCTCCATGAAAATTTCTGGATAGAATCGTCATGTTTAAAATACTCCCCAGGTCTCCGACAAGCACTCAGAGAACAGTGAACATTGCACTCACAGCTTTTGCAAAGAACACTGGAAACTACTGTTACAGAAACTGCTGCCTGACAAATAATCAAGGATCTCATGAATTTAGCTCCTGGCACTAAATAAAAGAGAGATTCTGTGTTTACTGACCAATCTGAAACACAAAATACTTTGTGTTTTTGCAGCACTTGTGGAATCATTTCGATCTGCCACTAGTTTGACACTATGTGTTAATAAGTGTAACATTGGGTGAGAGGATGACGTGTACACATCACTCCAAATTCCTGGAGGAAAAACAAATTCTAGGTGCCTGAACAAAAATTGATGGCACATAGAACAAGATGTCAGCAATGATCATTTTGAAATGTAAGTCCCAGTTCTATTCTGCCACAGGGTAAAACGTGTTGATTTTCCCTTCAGGTTAAAAGAAAAGCATGAGTGCCCTGTTATCATTTAAAGGACGATGACATTGTAATCTTTTCATCTCCCAGGGAGACCTGCCTCTAGCAGCTTTAAGAAGTCTGGGTCCTTACAAATGTTTTAGTCACTCTGAGCCTGTAATATTATGCGCATAAACAGGGGTCTAGAATTAACTGTCGATGCCCAGCAGCTGAGGTAAGAGATAGCATGGGGTGGATCACTCTGCTCATCCTCACCTGGTATCACAGATGCCTTGGGCTGAAAAAGTGCTGCACAACTGGAACAATTTTTCTCAAAAAAAGAATGGTACTCACTTCTCTTTCAGGCTCATTAACTTGAGGTCAAGCTCCTCCACCAGGAAGGTATGAGTGTGCACAGTTGAAGCTGGGTCACCTTGAAATTATGGTGCTATTCCAGTGCTTAAAGTGCACCATTTCTCAAGAACTAGGCAAAGTGGTTAAGAATGGCTTAGTCTGAGCTCAACTTGAGTACTGTCTCCCTGTGATTTTGTAAAAATGACTTGTCCTCCTGAGTCTCAACTTCTTCCTCCGTCCTATAGAGATAATGCCAGTACTTTCTTCTGACGTTAGGCAAGATAATATATGTAAAGTGCCTGACTCATAATAAACATTCAAACACAAGGGGGCTAATATTTTCTTCAAACTCCAGATAGAAGTCGATTCAGTTTTCAGTTTTGAGTCATCCATTCAGTCATTCTAAATAATAATTACAACATATTCACTAAATATGCATTGAGCACCAACTCTGTGTGAGGTGCTAAAATGGGCAATGGGGATATAGCAATGGGCAAGACACAGTCCCTGCTCACTACTCTGCCCCAAAAGGCCAACTCAAGGCATGTCTGAGCAGGAGAAACTCTTGACATGGTGTGTGCCTCGCTCTCAGTCATAGTGACTTCCTCAAGGAGACTAAAAGGCAATCATCAGAAACAAAGCACACACTTGAAATTATTCAGAGCCAAATAGATCAAACTGCTTTACTGATTTTTAAACACTGAAGACCATAAAGATCATACTGCACATCAATAAATAAACACACCTTTTGAAGTCTTAACGCATTTCCTCAAGGGTCTTCATTGTAAGGCCAGGTCCTGCCTCTGAACGCTATTTCAGAAGCACTGCAGACGTGCATTCCACGATGATGCCATTAAATATGCAACTCATCAAATCACTCTGGATTCTGAATCTGTGACCCTCATTGTCATTCACTTTCCCAAGAACTTAACTACAGACAGAGAATCCATTCCCCATGCAGGCCCGCATGCTGCCCATAGCTTGGACATCTTTCCCTCAATTGACAAGTTTTCCTGAATGCCTACAATGTGTTAACTGATGTTCTAGATGTTAGAAATACGAGAGAGTGAATAAGACAGGTTAATTTTAAATCCTCTAGGAGCTTACATTCTGATTATCGAAACAGTAGTTTTTCCATTCTTCAAGGAGCTGGCTATGGGACTCAGATGGTGGTATGAAAACAAAAGAAAAAAAAAACCGAAATATTGAATTATCCTATTTTATCAACTCTAAGAAGCACTTTTTTTTTTTTTTTTTTTTTTGCTTTGTAACCTCTCTGAAATCCAGGTACAATTTATAATCAATTAATTCTGCAGTCATTGTTATTTGTGTCATAGTTTTATAAGGGAAAAAGTACCTTGGTTATTCTAACAATAAGAAGCAAGCCCTCGCACAGCAACTGCTGTTAACAGGTAAACCTCAAGTTTTGCAAGCAACTCAAAATAATAAGTCTGTTTCTCTCGCAGCCCAATGCTAGTGTTCCTTTTTGAGTAGCTCTCCCTCGAGTCCTAATTCAGGGACTAGGTTCTCAAGGAATACCCTCCAATCAGGGACTGTCAGAGTTTCTCTGTGGGTCTTTTCCTTTGTCCAGGCAGAAGGGAAAGCATGTGTAAGGTCCTATACAGGAAGTTTCTGTGGGCCAGGCCAGGAGGTGGTCCACAGGACATCTGCCAACATTCCATTGGCCAGAACCCTGTTGCATGGCCACACCTACATGCAAAGGAGTCTGGGAAATAAGGTTTAGCTACAGGTACAGGAGGAAAGGAGAAGAGTCTGTGGACCAGTGAGCCGATCTTTTCCACTGGCACTTAAAATGATTCTTCAGAAGAAGCAGCTTTGTCTCTTCCATGTCTTCAGGAGCGTGAAGTGCTTGGTGAAGTGTTTGCTGATATTATTTCAGCATTCTTTCCCTCTTTTTAAGGAGTGGAAGCTATCAGATTGTTTTTACAGCACGACAGCAACAAGGGTAGTATCAGCATTAGCAGGACAGCCCCACTATGTGATCTTATCAAATTAGAAAGGGTCTTATTTTCCCTCCAAACATAACATTTAAACCTGCAACTCAATCATTCGACCAATAACTATTAATTATCTAGTAGAAGCCATGTTTATCCTAGATTTTCTCAAAGATGCTGAAGACCTGAAGAATTAACCAGTGATGTTCGGGAGCTGGCAATATGGCCGCAATTTAAAAACTGACCTACATGAAACAACCAAGAAACAATTCATTAAACTGTGCAATGTTACCTCTAAGTTAAAATGGTGTTTGAAGAAGAGAATGATTAGTGTAGGATGAAAGAAATTATCTTCATTATTTCTAATGTGGGAAGGCTTGAGGTCACCTTCTAAGCAGCAGGCTCAGTCAGCTTTGAAGGCCATCTCTCTTCATTCCTCTCTTCTTTTTGCTCTTTCTCACACATGGCACACCTAAGAATGTAAGTTTCAAGATCTAGATCTGGGCTAGGAAATAGAATTCTCCACTCCAGCGTCTTGCTATTCCAGCCATTATCAGAGCTCTGGATGGTTACATGTGCTTTCCCAAACAAATAAAGTGATGCTTCCATTCCTATTTATTGTTTTTTTGTGGGTTTTTTTTTTTTTATTTTTGGTACCTAAACTTAATTGGCCAGAATCTTCACAGGGAGGAGTTATAGATGGCACCTTCAAGCCCCTAATCATACTCACAGAAGTCTTCTTTCAAAAGATGTGATTTGAGATGGGATTTTAGCTAAGAATACAGAAAGTGAGAGTGGCAAAGAGAAGCTAGATATTCCACAAGGTGGGTAGAACACGCAGAAAGATTTGGAAGCAGGAATGAGTGTGGTGTGGATGAAAGGTAGTGGAGAGCTTAGCCAGAGGAAAAGGAAAAAAATGTCTTGCCCATTTTCTTGGCTGAACCTTTAATAGAAAGTGCAATATCTGCAGCTGAGAGCAAGAATCAGGGTCAGCTGTAAGAAGTCCACAAATCCTTGTATCTTTCAGACACAGAGCAGGAGGATGAAAAATAGGAAGCTTGTCTAATAGGTTACACTTGCTAGTATGTTTTAAAGCTCTTGTGTTTTCCCTCTCATTCACTCCTCAAAATAGCTTTCTGAGATGGGTAATTTTTTTGCAAATGAGGGATGGAAACACAAAGACTTAGTGATTTGCCTGATTCTATATGGCTGATAATTAGGGTGACCACATTATTTATCTTCTAAACCAGGATATTTTTGAGAATGAAAGGGGGCAGTCTTAATAACTACACTGGAGAGCAGGTGTAAATTGGGCCAATCCTGGGCCACGTACTGGTGGGATGTATTTTCCACCAGTACATGGGACAGAGTATGAACTGAAGCATAGAACTCCAGCCCACAAATTTGATGTTCTTCCAACTATACTGGATCTGGTCTTTCAGTCCAGCTGAAACTAAGAAATTCATGTGGAAAACAGTTCTTAGTCCATCCAAGAGTACTGTATTTAAAATAAGCCTTTAATGATTGCAAATAATATGTTTGCAAAATTTTAACGAATCTCAGAAAATGTTCAGTAAAAGTCACAGGCATTGAATCCATACAAATAAGATAAACTGGGCTTTAATTGCAGGTAATTTAGTTTTATAGTGAAAACCAAGGGGAATATAGATTCGATCAATTCTGTTTTGCACAGGAGGAATGAAATTAGGTATAGGACTCCATGCTATGACCTGTGATTCATGTGAACAAAGGGAATCTGCCACCAAGGGGATATGTGTGAGGGACAGAGCTTTTCCCCTGGACTTGTGAATAAGAGGGACCATGTAATTTATCGTCTAAACACTTTAGAGAGTGAAGGGGGATTCTACTTACAGATATTTCAGGAAAGCAAGTATAAATGTGTACTGCCACCTCGAGCAAACTGAGATGTATGATCATCGCCTATAAGGGGAGAAGAAGATTCTTTTTCTTATCCACCCACAGCAAATCATACTTAGGGAGAAATCAAGAGTCATGTCTACTTCACTGGTCCACGTTTATGTTTAGAAGAAAGTTTCAGTTAATGAGGATTTTCCCAGAAGATGCAATATTTTATCTTCGCTAAATTAACATGCTATCCAGAAACTTCTCTGATTTCTGTAATTGTAGGAAGAACTCTAAAGCAATCATAATTCCTGGAAAGGTTTTTTATTGTAAATAATGCAAATGTTTAATTTATTTATTAGTAAACGTTTGCTTATTTATATTATTAATAATGTATCTGCCCTAGACTATAACAATGTTACATGAAACTGGCTCCTTCCTTCAATAATAGCGCTGAATAATTCTTTAGAAATAAGTAACCAACTACTGAGGAAAATGACCAGTTGTTGTATTAAACCAGTATGCAGCAGGCCTATTTATCCCAGAGGTTAATCCAAACAACCTTGTATGTAACCAAGCCCACATCAGTACCTACTTTCCTAGTCTTTCAGTTCCTTAAAAAAAAAAGTGAAATTTTATTCAAAAGCCACTCAATAAAATATCAGCAGAGAACCGCTTGTAGAAAAGACAATTAATTTTGATATTGTTACAACTGTAGAAACTGGGCATCCTTTGCACATTTTTCTCAATACATAGTTCATAGTTCACTTTGTTTTTTGTTTGTTTTGTTTTGTGTTTTGTTTTGTTTTGAGATGGCGTCTCGCACTGTCAGGCTGGAATGCAGTGGCGTGATCTTGGGTCACTGCAACCTCTGCCTCCCACCCAGCTACTTTTTGTCTTTTTAGTAGAGGTGGGGTTTCACCATGTTGGCCAGGTTGGTCTCAAATTCCTGACCTCAAGTGATCTGCCCACCTTGGCATCCCAAAGTGCTGGGATTACCGGTATGAGCTACTGTGCCCAGCCTACATAGTTCACTTTGGTCAGATCATCCTGGAAGCCTGAAAATAGAAACCCCCTACCCGCAGAATGATTTTCAACCACAGTTGCTCTAACACAATTTCCTGGGTCTGATCATCCCAGGAAGAGGAACAAAGATTATGTGGGTCTCACTAATCACATTTCTAGTGTTCTCTGGGGAGCAATCAGAGAGATGAGCCCTTTGACTCCGTATGTGATCTGGGCCAAGTGTGATCATTGCCTGTGTTTCACATTGCCATTGGGCACACAAAAATGCTACTCTGAATGCCTGCTACCATTACGTACCCCAGACACGCAGAGACTCAAATGCAGATAGGATAAGAAGATACAGAAATAACCCCAAAACACTCAGTCTCAAGTGTTTGTAGCATAGCAAGATAGAAAAATAAGCCCAAATCAACACAACAGTAAAAATAGGAGCCTAGGACCTTTATTATAAGGATTATAGTAATAACAGGGACCATCTTCATTCTTTGTGTTGATGTTTCTTGTAGCAACTGTAACTAGAAACGTTAGGCCATTGCTGGTTTTCTAAGAGGTTGACTCTCACTCATGGATCTACCACTTCTCCTCCACAAGCCAAGAACCCAAGCAATTCTTCCCTCTGAATATACAGAGCAAGGATGTGATAGTGATTTTGCATATACCAAAGGCACTCAAATGTTTATATTTGCAGAGATGCTTCTTTGGTATGTATTCCAGTTATGTATGTCTTAAAACAAACCCTTGTTAATTTAGTAACATACAACTACGACAGTTTTATTATGCTCACAGATTTTGTAGGCAAGGACTTAGGAAAGTGCATAGCAGGGACAGCTTTTTTTTTTTTGCCCTACATTGTCTGGAGCCTCAGTCAGAAAGACTTCTGAGGCCGAGAAGTGGAGCAGCGAGGGTGAGGGGAGCCACTTCCAAAGTGGTGTCTTCATTTGCATGTCTGATGCATGGGCTAGGGTGAGTTGAAGGCTGGCTTGACTGGGACTGTGGACAGAACACCAACAAGTCATTTCTCCATGTGGTTTGAGTTTCTTGTGGCATAGAGACTGGGTTTTGAGTGGGAGTGTCCAAAAAAGAGAGCTCCAAGAGGACAGGTAAAAGCCACACAGCCTTTTCTGACCTAGCATCAGGGATCACCACCTGACCCACGGCAGCAGGGGTCAGAGAAGTTACAAATCCAACCAGATCCACAGGGAAGGGATGTGGACGCCATCTGCTAGTAGGAGGAGTGGCAAAGAATTTTTAGGCCATGTTTAAAACTGGCATGTATGATAGTAGCAAGCGGCTCTTTTTCCTTCATCTTTTTCATCAGAATTGCATTTGGAAGCTATTAAAATCACAATAGTAACAGCTATAATGAGCTGTATTTTTAAAATATGAAACAAGCTAAAAGATAATTTGTAAAATAAAAATAATATTATTGCCAGTAGTCTTGACACTTTGAATGTGGCAGTGGGGCTGAGAGTGCAAACAAGGAGTAGAGAAAAATACTAAATTCAAATTACTTACTCAGGACAACAGTCAAGGCAAACCCATGCAGGACATACTATGGGCCATTGCTAGACAGGTTTGTACTCTTTTTCTTGTCCACTCTGCTAATAGTGGAGGTTCAGGTGGTCAGAGCCTGACCTGCTGAGACATTACTCCACGTACAGCTACAGACACTCCTCAGCTTCTCAACTAAACCCTATCTTTAGTCTTACAGTCAGCAGTCATTTGTCTCTGTTTCTCTCATACTGGTTTTTGGGTAAAAATATGTTCTATAAAGATAGATAGTTATGTGGTTCCAGGAGACTGGATTGAGGGAACTGTGATTAGAGTCTTCAGTCTTGGTGTCTGGGCCCCTGGAGTTGATAACCCTTTTGTAATTCATAGTACTTTGTTATTGCTGGAGGCAGTGGTTGTCTTAGTAAGTTGCTATAACAAATTATTATTGACCTAACAAACGTTTGGTTGGGTGGCTTAAACAGCAAACATTTATTTCCCACATTTCTGAAGGCTGGGAAGTCCAAGATCAAGCACTGTAGGCTGTCTGGTAAGGACACTCTTCTTGTTTGCAGAGGGCATCTTCTTGTATCCTCCCATGGTAGAAAACAGGGGGACACTCCTTTTTCATAAGGGCACAAATTGCATCATAAGTTCCTCCCTTTTTGATTGAATTAAACTTAACCACCTCCGGATACCATCACATTGGGGGTTAGGGTTTCACCGTATATATTTTGAGGGGACACAAATATTCAATCCATAGGAGTGGTGATGGTGGTATTTAGCCCAGTGTTTTAATGGTGGTAGAAATGGTGGATCTGATCCCCTTTTTCATGCTGGTTATAGATAAATATTCCAGAGAACTAAGGACCACTCTCTTACCCACCCCACCCACTTTGCCTTTCTACCCTCCTCTAACCAGGAAAACTCAATGCTGTTCTTGGTCCCAATACATGGGGACCTAATGGAAGGAATCATAACTGTGTATATTCATGATTCAAAAGTTTATGATTTCTATGAATTCTAGCTCTGGGCTTTGCTTTGTGTATTACCTTGTACAACAGTTTTCCTATCTCAACCTGTTTCCCTATTGTTTTCCTTTGTGAAAATTGGTGAGAAAAGTATTTTATATGGTGGTTGTGTAGTTTAAGTGAAATTATACATGTAAAGTGCTTAGCATATTATAAATATGCAGGAAGTCAGTACATATTAACTTTTCTTAGCTACTATGACTCCAGTCCCAGCTGGAATTGATGATTTTAACTTTTCCCTCTCCCATTTTATATAATCACAAGTTTGAATCTTTATTTCTCCCCTAGAGCTATATCATTTCATTGCTTCATCTCTGATTGCCTCTGAATTTACAGAGAATATTTTTCTCTGAGGGTTACTCAGACATTCCCAAAGCTCACAATTGCCTTAGAGTCTTAGAGTCCTGAGTTGCGGGATGTAACTTCTCAATGTCCTTTCTTCTCCGCCCAACTTCCACTCCCTACATACACATAACACAGAGTGTGGCACATGAGAAGAGACGCTGGCCTGGCATCTTATCCTCCTAACAGCCCTCATCAAGAGCTACCACTCCCCTGCCACCATTCCCCTCAAAAAAAAGGGCCCATGTATGGTAGAGATGCTTTCTCAGTGATTCACACCACGGGCACCTGGGAACCAGATCAGAACTTACTCTGCTGATACAGTCTCCTATTCAAACAGCAACACATCAGAGTCCACACTTAGCAAGGACAAGTAATGAACAAGATGATCCCTCAGAGCCATGCCGGCTCGAATTTCCTGTGATGACAACATTTTTAATACTCATGAGCTATGGCCAGTGGTGCACCGGAGCCCACTTGCACTGGTTTACAAGCGCCAGTTATTAACTTTTCAGGATTTTCGTGAGTCAGTCATTAAATAAAGCCAGTATCGAAAGTTAAATTATATATACTTATAATCAAATGAATTATTAAAAATAACTATAACAATGTACAACTATTGTGTATCCACAATAATTTAAAATAAAAAATTAAAAAGCAAAGATAAATACCTCCAAATTCATCACATCCTAATTATTTAACTACATTTTCCTATTGTCTATGCCTTAGAGGTTCCTTATGTCTAGTATATCTGTATGGAATGAATAATATATGCTGATGTGCTATTGTGTATCTCTTCACAACTCTGCAATCAGTGATGTTATGTCGGTAGCTTTAAATTGGACATGGTGGCTACCAATCAGAGCTTGATTTACTCTTTTTCTGATAGTCTAGACATGAGAACGTGATGACAAACATGTTAATAATGCAGATTAAACTTATATGTCTGGTGCCATTACAATGTGAAGAGCACAAAAATATTGAGGACTATTCTCCCTGTATTTGAAGCAAAGGAGTTGCTCACATCATTGACACACTAAAAATTCTGGCACACATATTTATTTTTTCATTTCACTTTTGTCTTACTCATTAATGCCTATAAAAATATTAAACAACATTCATATGAGAATTACCTTCACTTATCAATTGCAGCCACAGGTTGGCTACATAAGGATAACAATTTCAGCAAATATCAACTACAGCATTCTATGAAAATCAATTTACAATGAAGAATATGTGTATTTTATTATTTTTTGTCAGTTGTGTGCTATGCACACAAATAAATAAAATATACATATAAATAAATAAAATTTGTGATAAACTTTTGTACATATATGTATGCATAGTTTTGTTTGTTTGTTTTTTCAGAAAGCCTGTTGTGAAACATTTACTAGACACCAGTGATGCAGTGACACTTTCTACTAGTTCCTTATAGAAGGGTCAGACAAAGCTTAGAGAATGTGTAAAGGATTCCAGAATTCCCAAGGTATAGATCTTGACTTCTTCAAATACTTGTGATGGCTTCTTTGCCTTATAGCATGACTATGATGTAATGAAGCTGATTTGATAACAACAGCCCACAGTTCTTGCTTACCCTAAGGAAGAAGCCCTGGTTTCAGGATACAACCAAAGCTCCAGGAGGCACCAGTTTCTCAGCATCTGCCTTTTTGCTTGCTTGTTGGTGAAGCATTAGGAAAAAGCAGCAAAGATTCTTTGCAAGATGTCCTAGGGAAAGAAGGTGCTGGATCTTCTGTCTCCCAATAACTTGTTAGGCCAGAGCCAGTGACACAAGCAGCTATTCTTGCTCCCAATATGAGGAGGCAAAGAACCTAGTAAGTTCCATCTGATCTGAGATCGTGTCTGATGTAAGCCCAAGGTGTAAGAGGAGACAGGGCTACAAGTGAGTGCAAAAAGGTCCTCAGGTGCACCTGATCTCCCCAGTAACCTGGCCAATGTGAGTAATAACAACCCCCTGGAGATGCAAAGGAAAGCGCAGAATGATCCAGCAGTCAAATGAGATGGCAAACAAAGAGCCCAGGAAAGCTAAATTTATGCCGTAAAAAGAGGAGACCCAGAAGGACATGGCACCTTCTTTCAAGGTACCAATAAAATTACAAAAAGAGAATTGTTGGTAGCATGGGTTAGTGGGAAAAAATGGAGATAGCATTTGATGCAAAGAAAGAAAACCTTTGCCTTTGATTATGGAAAATACTTTAGGAAAAAGTAATTCATAAGCTGTCTTCTAAGGTAAATAAGTTGAGTCTTTTTTAATGAATATTAAATAATGGGTTAAAGGATTACATCACACTAGGAAAATTATAATGCGGAACTTTCAAAATGAATGATGCTTTTACAAGAGAAGTTTTAATGATTCTATGCCAATAAGTTCTATAAATATGTTAGCTAATATTAAAACTATACCTTTATTTCATAGATTCATTGGTCTGTGATCATATTTTTCCTAAGGACATTGTTTGCACAATAGAAATCCGCATTTCCAGTTTCCTGTTTCTCATGATGACAAGCTCCTCATGTATGATATCATTGAATCACCTAACTGGGACTACAGACTGGATTTCATTATGATTGTTTGGGTTGTAGGATATTAGATTTTTACTCAGTAACTACACATCTTAAAAGGAGCACCATATTTAATGGCATGTACATTTACGATTTCTAAAAGTCTGGGCTCCAGAAGACTCTCTGAAAGAGTATACCTATTTCTAAGACTTGCAAATAGGCACCTTGTTCCCAAATGGAAATGAGTAAAACATTTAATGATTTTTAAATAATTTGTTACAAATTAGCCCCTTGATTTTAATTTTGAATGTGCAAGTTATCATGAATTTATTTAGGAAACATGGTTCAGATTGAAAACATTTAAACCCAGGTTCCACTTTCAGCCAAAATGAGAGTTTTGTTTAATTCTCTCAACATACACAAGTGGAAGGTGATGGAGGAGCAAGCCAGCATTTCACAGACCTTTCTACACCACAAACTGGAATGTTTGCAGAATATCAGTACTGTCCCTGCTGTAGTGGATGTAGGGGAGCTTGTCGGATGAACTTCCAGAGCCCATTCATTTGCCCTTTGTGACTTATATGCCAACATCAAAACCAGAGTGCTGCCTTTGCTGTACAACTAGTCCTGGCATGAGAGACTTGACACTCTTTCTTAGCAATCCTTATTTAAATGTGTTCTTATTTTGTCTAATCTAAATCTTAGATGCCATATTTTATACTTAATTATTTGGCCTTATCCATATGAGATATGAAAAGAAAAAGAAAATTATTTATTCTTTGCTTAACATTTCTTCCTGTATTTGAACTTCACCAATCAGTCTCTTCTGAATAGGCATAGTGTGATGGTTAATTTCATGTGTCAACTTGAGTAGGTGGTGGGAGCGGGGATAGAGGGGTATTGTTTCTGGGTGTGCCTGTGAGAGTGTTTCTGGATGAGACTAGCATTTGAACGGGTAGACTCAGTAAAGTACTTTCATAATGACATTTCAGTCAAGGATGGACAACATATACAATGGTGGTCCCATAAGATTATAATGGAGCTGAAAATTTCCTATTGCCTAGTGACATTGTAGCCATCGTAAGGTCGTAGCACAATTGCTTTTCTAAAAACTTATTAAAAATAAAGTTGAATGTGAAACACCCTCAGGCAGGTCCTTCAGGAGGTTTTCCAGAAAAAGGCTTTGTTATAGGAGGTGACAGCTCCAAGTCTGTTATTGCCCTTGAAAACCTTCCAGTGGGGTAAGATGTGGAGGTGGAAGACAATGATATTGATGATTCTGAATCTGTGCATGCCTAGGCAAATGTGTGTGCTTGTGTTTCAGTTTTTAACCAAAAATTTTAAAAGTAAAAAAAAAATTTAAAAATTTAAAAATAGAAAAAAATAAGAATAAAAAATAGAAAAAAGAGAATAGGATATAAAGAAAGAAAATACATACAGCTATACAATGTGTTCATATTTTAAACTAAGTGTTATTACAAAAGAGTAAGAAAGTTAACAAAATTTGGAAAGTAAAAATGTTACAGTAAGCTAAGTTTAATTTATTATTGAAGAAAGAAAACTTTTTTTCTTTTAGAAATGTAGTGTAGTTTAAGTGTACTGTATTTATACAGTCCACATTAGTGTACAGTAACATCCTAGGCCTTCACACTCACTCACTGACTCACCCAAAGCAACTTTCAGTCTTTCAAGCTCTATTTATTTTAAGTGTTCTATAAGATATACTATTTTTATCTTTTATAACTTTTTTCCCTGTATCTTTTCTATATTTAGATATGTTTAGATACATAAATACTTACCATTGTGCCACAACTGCCTACAAAATTCAGTACAGTAACATGCTATACAGGTTTGCAGCTTAGGAGCAATAGGCTATCCCATATAGCCTAGATTTGTAGTAGGCTCTGCCATCTAAGTTTGTGTAAGTACACTCTATGATGTTTGCACAATGACAAAATTGTCTAACAATTCATTTCTCAGTATCCTCATGGTTAAGCAATGCATGACTATAGATCATCCTCCCAAATCTGCGTGGGCATTATCCAGTTCACTGAGGGCCTGAATACAGCAAATGGTAGAGGGTGAGGAATTTGCTCCTTTTTTCCTACCTGTCTGCTTGAGCTGGAACATCTCTTCTTCTCCTGCCTTTCAACTGTGATTTCCCATGGTTAGTTTCCCAGATTCTCAGGACTTGGAACTCAGACTGAATTACACCACCAGCTTGCGTGGATCTCCTGCTTGCAGATGGCAGACCGTGAGATTTCTCAGCCTCCATAATGATGTGAGCCAATTCCTCATAATAACTCTATATACATAGATGGATAGATAGATGATAGATAGATAGATAGATAGATAGATAGATAGATAGATAGATGATAGATAGATAGATACATAGATACATAGATGATAGATGGATAGATGATAGACAGATAGATGATAGATGGATAGATAGATGATAGATGGATAGATAGATGATAGATGGATAGATGATGGATAGATAGATGATAGATGAATAGATAGATGATAGACAGATGGAAAGATAGATGATAGACAGACAGATGATAGATGGATAGATAGATGATAGATGGACAGATAGATGATAGATGGATAGATAGATGATAGACAGATGAATAGATAGATGATAGACAGATGGATAGATAGATGATAGATGGATAGATAGATGACAGACAGATGGATAGATAGGTGATAGACAGAGGTCTTCTTGACAATTGCCTGGTGTAGGCCTAACATTCTCAGTGTGTGTACAGAGGACCATTTACAAAGCCTTCACTTCAGACAGTTCCATGTTTCACAGAAGCCCTAAAGTTTAGTTGCTTAGGGACTTAATTTATTTCATGTGAGCCTAATATTAGTTGTGCCACTGTAGATTAGAGCTTTACACAACTTCAGAACCAGTCTCCAGTGAATGTCAAAATTCTCTTTTAATTGTGAGATGTGGAATATCAACTCCCAATAAATTATTCAACTTACCACAGTTAAATTTTCTTTAAGCCCATGGGTGTTATCTACATGCAGGCACATGGCCAAGCCAAAGTTGAACTATTAGGTTGGTGCAAAAGTAATTGCAGTAATTGAAGGTTTTGCCATTACTTTCAATGACAAAAACTGCAATTCCTTTTGCACCAATCTAATAGATTAAGAGATCACTGAAAGCGACCTAAGATAAAACTTGAAATAAATAATTCCCCTGCACTCCTATTCACAGGAAGATAATGAACTTCTTCACAACTCCCAACAATGTGTAGTGATATGTAAAGTAAAATTCTAGCAAGGACCAAGGCCATGAGTCATTGTCTGAATTCCCCCAAGCTGTATTTGCAGTCTCAGAGAGCATTTTTACTTGAGATACCATACCGCTTAACCAAAAGGAACTGGTGAGCATCTTAGGCAAATGCTAGAAAAGTTTGTAGTGGGTATTCAAATCGTCCTTATTTAAACCAGCAACAATCCCTTCCCACCTAAGCCATTCAGAATGCCTTTTGTTTATTTAAGGTGTAACATGCTGAAGGGAGTCTGGTCATGAGGGCTTCTCAACAGAAATAAAATAAATTGATGTAAAGTTCTTTTCAAAAACTTATTGGAAGAACATGTAACAATACCTGTTGAATACAAAAGGCACAGTTGAGGGTACAGAGGAAAAAAAAAGGAATCTTTATTGTTTCTCATGTTGGCCTTTCCTTCTATTTCTTGGGCAGATTTCATAGTTTCTCTGGTGTCTTTCACCTAATAATAAACAGTATCATCTTTTAAGATAAACAGACTAGTTCTGTCTAATGTCAAACTTCACTCTCAACCGATTTAAAGTTTTTCTGCCTCCTGACCTGAGCCTGCAGAAAGGAAGGGACAGGCCCTGCCTCACTTCGGAACTATTTCTTCACTGCCATCCTTCCCTCCTCCTTCCATCTCACTGTGCTACCTCTGGTGTCTGGGAGGAGGGGAAACAAAAGAGGAAAGAAGGAAGGAGGGCCAGATGTGGTGGCTCATGCCTGTAATCCCAACACTTTGGGAGGCCAAGGAGGGCAGATCACTTGAGGTCAGGAGTTCGAGACCAGCCTGGCCAACTTGGTGAAAACCCGTCTCTACAAAAAATATTTTAAAACTTAGCCAGATGTGGTGGTGTGCGCCTGTAATCCCAGCGACTCAGAAGGCTGAGGCACAAGAATCACTTGAACCCAGGAGGCAGAGGTTGCAGTGAGCTGAGATCGTGCCATTGCACTCCAGCCTGGGCAACAGAGTGACACTCTGTCTCAAAAAAATAAAAAAATTAAAAAAAAAAAGAAGGAGGGAAATGGCTCCCTTAACTAGTATCATGACAAACTATCCCCACAAAGTCCTCTGTTACACAGTTGGTTCTTTCTTTCCTGGGCCAATTCCAAAAACCTTTGGCCCCCTCTTTACAGAGACCTCTCACAGCTAGTCTCTGTGACCTATGTAGTCTCTGGCTAGACCCCTAGCCAAACCCCTCATTCCTGCCACCAGTGTGTGCCCCATGTAGGCTCTCTCTGCTGGGGTCCTTCCTGGGATCAGGCAGCCCATTGGAGTGGGACCCGTTTCAGGTCTGACCCTTGCTTTGTTCTTCTTCTGGCTCTCAGGAAAATACCCAGCCCCTTTGCCTGCCAAATCAGAAAATGCAGGTGGCCCTCTCCTTTCATGTTGCCATCAGGGGCAATGTCAGCCAGCTTCTCACCTTTGCCCTTTCCAGATAAGGACCAGACACAATCTCTGAAACTCTAGCTTAGGAGGCACAAGGAGAACAGAACTCAAGTTCTCCAAGAACCTTCTCTCCATTCTTTGCTCTGATCCTAAGGTCATCCCCGAATGGCATGGGGCCCCCATGTTTTGCATCTTAACGTACAGGGCATGAGAAGAAGACTGAGATGGCAGTCTCCTCCCTGGAAGACATCCCTCCCAACTCAGAGAGCATCTCTGTAGGCCCTCAGCTCCCTTCTTGGTGGACTAGCAAGCAATCCAATACCATCCTCTCCCAGTGAGGGCAATACAGCCAGCCATTCACTTATCTCAAGGAAATCCTCATCTTCTGCGTACATCAAGCACCCTCTTTAGAATGTAGGGTATTTGCCACTTACTGCTCTTAGCTCTGAGGCCTCAACCACAAGTAAACCAGCAAGAATAGTCTCATTTACCATCCTGTTACAAACGTTTGCTCGATTCAGGCCCGCCTTCCATTGTCTATCCCTCCGGAGGATCTGCTCAGAGTCTGCATTCTTATTATGTGGCTCACCCTCATCTCCAATGACCTGAGGTTGAAAGCAATGCCTTTGAATGCCAGCCACATTCTTTCATGGCTGCTAGAAAGACACCACAGGTCATAGCCAGCCTGTGGCACACTTACCAATCTGATTAAAAAAAAAAAAAAAATGGGTGGGGGAGTGTCCACTACCCTTAGCTCAAAAACAGCGCTGCTTTCCTTAAACATCTGGAAATATGCCCCAGCAATGCTGAGGCTGCTGGCAGAGGTAAAAAGACCAATTCCCAAAACATAAAATGGTGGGTAAAACAAACTTATCAAGCATTAGCCAAGGGAAATTCTACTTTTTGTAGGTGTATAATAAATACAAGAGGGAGGGAGAAAGAGACATACACAATGGGGGAGGAAAGAGATTGGGCAATAGTGAAATGAGACTTTTGGAGGGAGGCAAAGTGAGAACTTTTAAAAAAAAAACACAACCATCCTTAGACTTGATCAGAAAAGCTGAGTGAGGTAGGAAGGTGTGTGCACACCTGCTTAGGCAAGGCAATACTTTGAAAATAATGAGCCAGTATTTTTTTTGGCCAGAAAAGGAACTCACCAAAAATAAAGTGGGAAATGTTTTAAATCTTGTTAATTCTGATAAACACATTCACTTTCACATGACTTGATTTTTTAAAAATAATTTCAAAGGCAGAGCAGAATTGATTGATGGTGAGCTGGCCTAGCCTGAATACTATAGGTAAGGGTCTGACTTCTGGGATGATTTTACTCAAACATTCTCAATGAAATCATTTATCGAATTCTCCAGTTGAGTTCCTACCATGTGCAAAGCACAGTGCCAATAGAGGAAATAATTAAGCAAAATACAAATGCTATAAACATCAGCTATGGGGAACTTGTAAAAAAAAGCTATTATATTAGGAATATTTAATATTTGCCTTATCATCTTCAGCAATTTCCAGTTTGCTATTTAAGAAAAATTTCCAGCTTGCAACCTTACCTCCTGATCATTCTAAATCAAGAGCTTTTGAATATATTTAACACTTTTTATTTTAAAGGGAGCTGGAAAGGAAATAGAGAAATGAGATCAACAGATAGATTCAGTAATTTACCATCAGAAGTTTCCCCAGAGCTGCCAGTAAATCCCTTGCAAAGTACACAATTAATATTTATGAGGGAGACATGTAGGTCTTACATCTGCCATTGCTTGGTAATTCACTTAATTTCTTTATGGTTCTGTTTTCTTAGCACTACGATAGAATCAATCTACCCCACTCCCTTGAGTGAGGGGGATGGGATTTGGTGTAAAAAAAGGTAAAGACTTGAAATTTTAAAAAAATAATCTGGGTTGGGTCATCCTTCCTGGATGGCAAAGATAAACCAGTTTGCACCTAGTAGAGGTTCTTGTAACTTGATCCAAGCTCAGGAAAGAGTCAAAGCCTCTTACAATAATGACAGAGTTTATTATTCTTCAAGGGCAGGGTGACTATTCTTTCTCCATATGATATTTGACTGTACAGTCAGTCGCCATATCCACGGGTTCCACATCCACAGATTCAACCAACCACAGAGAGAAAAAGAGAGAGAGAGAGAAACAAAGAAGGAAATAAGGAAAGGAAAGGAAAGTGGGAGGGAGGAAGGAAGGAAGAAAGGAAGGAAGGAAGGAAGGAAGGAAGGAAGGAAGGAAGGAAGGAAGAAAATACAGTAATTTAAAAGAATACAAACAAAAAATACAATATAACAATTATTTACATAGTATTTATGTTGTATTAGGTATTATAAGTCATCTAGAAATGACTTAAAATATGCAGAAGAATGTGCATAGGTTATATAAGTTGACAAAAAAAGCCAGAATCTGTAAAATATTTGAAGAGACTTATTCTGTGCCAAATATGAGTGATCACTGCCCAGGACACAGCCTCAGGAGATCCTGAGAACATGTGCCCCAAGTGGTTGGGTTACAGATTGGTTTTATACATTTTAGGGAGACAAAAGTTAGAAGCAAAGACATAAATCCATACATGTAAGGTACACATTGGCCTGGAAGGATGGGACACGTCAAAGTGGTGTGGCAGATGAGGGCTTCTAGGTCATAGGTGGATTCAAAGATTTTCTGATTTGCAATTGGTGAAAGTTAACCTTTGCCTAGAGAGTTGAAGTCGGCTTAAATAAATGCTTGAATTAAGATAAGGGGAGCTGTGGAAGCCAAGGTTCTTGTTATGTAGATGAAGCCTGCAGGTAGCAGGTTTCAGAGAGAATAGATGGTAAATGTCTCTTTTTGAAACTTAAATGTGTCAGACTCTCAGTTAAACCTCCTGGATCAGGAAAAGACCTAGAAAGGGAAGGAGATTCTCTACAGAATGCAAATTTCCCCCGCAAGAGATGACTTAACAGGGGCATTTCAAAAGATGTCAAAGAAAATATATTTTGGGGTAAAATAATTTCCTCCAAAACCTGCTATCTTTCACATGATGCTATATCAGAGTCAGGCTGGAGTTGGTTATCTTATTGCTACAAAAAGTCTGTTTTTCTTATGATCTTTATCTTAATGTTAGTGCTGGTCAGTTGTGCCTAAACTCCAAAGGGAAGAGGGTATAACAGGCAAGTCCAACCCTGTCTTCCAGTCATGGCCTGAACTAGTTTTTCAGATTTTCTTTAGGATCCTGTTGCCCAGGGGGTGGAGGAGTCCATTCAGTTGATTAGGAGCTTACAATTTTATTTTTTATTTATGTATACAAATACTGTGCCATTTAATATCAGGAAATTGAGCATATGGGGATTTTTATATCCATGAGCTGTGGATACTGAGGGATGATGGTATTATCCAGGAGAAAGTAATTTTGACTGTGACAGTGTGTTCTGGCATCCCAGGAAAACTTGTGAGGAAATTTCCCTGCCTATATCTGGTGGGGAGACTAAAGAGGATTTGAAATTCCCGTGTCCATCATCACTTGCAAGACTATAACTTACAGTCTCCCTCCTCAAAAGCTAATTAGTGTTGTGCTAAAGTTTCAAGAGGGAGAAATGGTGGTAGAAGAATCTCCACGTGGAGACTAATGGAGATTCTCAAGGAAAGGTGTTGGGGATGCTAGAAAAGTTGTTGAAGGGGGAGGTGGCCAAGAAAGGAGAGGGGACTGAGATGAAAGAGTGCAGGAGAAGGGTTTCATGTGCGTCACCCTACTCTGGAAGGCCAAGTTTTCAGGTAAAGCTACAATCTCCTCTGAAGTCTGAGCTTCTAGCAAAATTTGTTTCCAACTCCATCCTGATTGAGTATGTGTTGGGTTGGAGAAGACTCAGAAGGAATGGAAGGAGGAGGTGGCGCCCAGGGGAAAGACGATCACCTGTCATTCCTATTGCAGAGGTTTGATCACAGATAGTGAAACCACTTTTGCAAAATTATGACTGAGACAGTGAAAAAGATCTAATTTAGTGGACTCCATCTTGCTTCTAACCTCCAAGCTGTCCTTGTTCATTCCTGGGTGTAGGCTGAACTCACTTTGGGAGAAATATGGTTTATACTTTATAGTTTAAAACAAAGATGATAACAGCCCTTTCCCAAAGCAGACCTCCTTCTTGCCTGAGGACTAGATCGCCTTTGTAGAACTAACATTAGCCACAAGTTTAGAAATTATGGTTTAGGAGTCATGCAGCTGGAGGCTACAAGATTCTCATCCTCCCTAAACTGCTCCTAAGATCAGTGCTTGAGATATTTTGCAGACCCTGCACTTGATGGATCAGCTGGCACCACCCAGATTGATAAACTGGCTCATCTGATCTTGTGGTCCCCACCCAGGAACTGACTGAGCACAAGACAGCTTCAACTCCCTATGATTTTATCTCTGACCAATCAGCACTCCTGGCTCACAGGCTTTCCCCCAGCCACCAAGTTGTCCTTAAAAACTCTGCTCCCCGAATAGTCAGGGAGACTGATTTGAGTAATAATTAAACTCCAGTCTCCCACATAGCTGGCTCTGCATGAATTACTCTTTCTCTATTGCAATTCCCCTGTCTTGAGAAATCGGCTGTGTCTAGGCCGCGGACAAAGTGAACCCATTGGGAGGTTACAATAGAATGAAGAAGGACCTCCTCCATCTCTACCCCTACCTCACCCCTGTCCTGGGGATTTCTAGGCAGAGCTGTCAGTGACCTGTGGAGTAGGGAGATACACAGGCCTGCAACAGCAGAGAGACCTCACTGGCCCACATGGCTGCCTGCCTTGAGTAAGGAACAGTCTTTAAGACTGGGAACAATAAATCTTCAAAATACACTGTGAGTATCAAATTTGACAATTTAAATGAAAATACTTTTCTATCTATAAAGTACTATACAAATAAAAGTATTATTTTTAAGTATGTGCTATTAACTCAATTACATAGATCTTGACCCAAAGTGTTTGGTCTGTCCTTCTGTCTCTAATATCAAAGTAATTTTTTTAATGCCTACATATTAGCATTCTGGGTTGAAAGCCACCTTGAATCCAGTATAACCTCTCTATTGACTCTATTTACCACTTGGCTTATTCCCAAGGTAGTCTGGAACAGAGTGTGAATACACCTCTGTAGCCTGGAGTACAAATAAGAAGGCATTGAATTAATTCACTGAACTGTTTTGGAACATCTACTTTGTCCTAGGCAGTGTGGGAGATACCAAAGAGAAAAAATAAAAAGCAATTTGTACTCTAAGGAGATCTAAATCTAGGGGAAGAGCTAGACAACAATTCAGTGGAATTTAGGACAAGATGTCCTATAATAGGAGCATCACTCTTCTTAGAGACAAATCAAAGAGAAGCATTATATTCTAAGGAGCTGGCCTGGTACATTAACAGTGGGGTTAGCAAAACACCTTTTACAATATGCCTACAAAAAGGGAGTTTAAATTGATTGCCTAGTGATTCACACTGGTAGATCTCTAGATTTGTTATGAACTCTGGGTGTTGCCAAGAATATAAACAAGAATATGGTGGGCTGTGGGGTGTGAGCAGTAGAATAATAATAAACATGGAAATGCAGAGGACACATCTTAACCTTATAAAGGTAGTATCCCATGATCAACTAGAGTCTGGGCTCTAAATCATTCTACCACATTTGAATTCCAAGGTCTACTCCCTAATCACTATGTGATCTCCAGCAAGTTAATTTAACATTTCTTGCTTCCATTTTCTCATTTGTAAACTAAGATTAATAAAAGTACCTACTTCAAAGAATAGTTTCACAAATGAAAAAGAATATCCTGGAAAAACACTTAAAACAACTCTGGCAAAAAGTGAGGGCTCAGTAAATCCATTATCAGTGTTATGTTTTTCAGCTCCAGGAAAAGTTAAATGGCAAGAATTATTGGGAAGAAAATCAATTTCAGACAGGCAGGCCTCATGAAGTTTGCAATATCATGAACTGGTAAGTCATTGAGAATCTGAATAGCGCTAATGCTGTTTTTTGTTTCCAGGCCTCTCTCCCATGGGCTAATCCTTCCTCAGCTATAGATCTGTTTGCTTTCACCCAGCCTTTGCCACTACTGTGCCTCAGCTCTTCTCCCCAATTCTGGGTCTATGGCTTCTTTCTTGATTTCACTGCTGCTGGCTTTCCAGTTTCTGTGGGCTCATGCTGCTTCCTCCCTGTGTGGCACTTAATTTCTGCTACCATCACCTATGTATTGGTCTATTTTCACACTGCTATAAAGAAATACCTGAGACTGGGTAATTTATGAAGAAAAGAGGTTTAATTGACTCAGGGTTCTGCTGGCTTAACAGGAAGCATGGCTAGGAGGCCTCAGGAAACTTACAATCATGGCAGAAGGCAATGGAGAAGGAGGGCAAAAGTCAAGTCATCTGAAAATATCTAGATTTTGTTTATGTATGTGAAGTAATATATTTTACACACAATTGAATTCCTGTATCATGCCTAAATGTAAAATGAAAGAAAGAATACCTTTAAGTTTAAACCCATGGAGGCTGCCCCAGGACAACAAATCCATTTATCATAGAATGAACTTAAATTAAGAGAGCCAAGAGAGCAAAAATATGCTGTCTTCCCGTTAGAATATTTCAATACAACATGAAAATTCAACTGAGTCCAACTTCACAAGCACACATACAAAAAAGGTGGAGTATTCATTCTTCTCCCTTATGGTATGGACTATTATTGAATTTCTATTTTCTAAACTAAATAATGGAATTTTTACTTTCTAAAAGAATATATGGAAGGAAAAACGCTACCCATTTTTAAAAGAAAAATTTACATCTGCTAAAGCCACCCTTGGTAAAAGAAAACAAAATTTTTGTCTAACTGCCAGAGCTATTGACAGTAATTTTGAAATCTCAGAGAAGTTCTGCAAATGGCAAGTTTACTGTGTTTTCTGGGTGACACACAGGTGATCTCTGTACTTGCCAGCCCATGCGACCACTCACCTCAGCAGTCACTAAGGGACCTTTGCCAGTGAGCTTGGTTTTCTCTATATGAATTGCCAACCCCCTCCTCAAACAACCAGTAAACTAAACCTTTAATCTTGGGATTGCTGAGAAAGATTTGATAAAATGTGTTTGATAAATATTTACTCAGTGTCTACTTTATGATAAGCAGTATTCTGGCTCTGAGAATAAAGCAGAGAAGGAAACAGGCAAAATCTCTACCCTTGTGGAGTTTACATTCTAGTTACGGGACACAGAGAATAATAAAATAAGTAAGTAAAATATATGGAATGTTAGATGGGATAAGTGATATGAAGAGAATAAAGCAGGGAAGGAGGATAGAAAACGTTGAGTGAGAATGGTTGCAATTCTTCATAAGGCAATCAGGGAAGGACCTACTTAGATAATATTATACTTGTGTAAAGACCTACCTGAAGTTGATAAGAAAATGAGATGTGCATATTTGTGGAGAGAGTATTCCAGGCAGAGAGAAAAACAAGTACAAAGGACCTTTATAAATTATTAATAAAATGAAAGCTATTCTTCCATAAGGAGTTGCTTGGGATGAAAGAATCACATGCATACACAAAACGAAAATCTGTTTACAAACCTACTTCTCAAACCCTATAAAAATTTTTGCATCCTAAACATCAAAATACTAGGTGAATTTGGTTTTGGAATTTTTTTTATCCTGTGTCTACGTTTAACTAAAGAAAACTCAACTTGATAGAATACAGTAGGAGGCATAGTTGAAGAGTTAGTTACTGTATCTGTTAAATTTATGACAAGATTTCCCACCTCAAAAAAATAGACCTCAAATTGGATGACTTACTCAGTTGGAATTTTCTGGCTTTTAATTTTAGAGGGAAGAAAAAAATTAGGAGAAATAAGCTCATATTAATTATTAAAGGGGCAAAACTAAACTTTCAGATTATGCCCTTGGGTCTTTAATATTTATTCCTGTCTTTTGCAGTTTCTGTATTTGCAATTATAATTCTAGAAAATCAAAACTAATACTCATATGGAGGCATGGGAAAATTTCCAATGTTCAAGAAAACATAAATTATCTTCATAGTACTGAATTTACTAAACAAGAAGTATATACATGTTGATATCAGAAAGATCTCTATCTAATGTTGATACATTAATAAACACTAGTATATTGTATATTTATAAGCATGTAAAATATCATAATCTGTATCATGTCTCTTCATGAGTCTCAGAAGAGCTAATCACAGATATTACTAAGGGTCTTAGTCAGTTTGGCTGCTATTATGATTACCATAGACTGGGTGGCTTAAACAACAGAAATGTATTTCTCACTGTTATGGAGGATGGAAGTTCAAGATCAGGGTGTTCTAATGATCTTGACCTAGCATGGTCAGGTTCTGGTGAGGGCCCTTTTCCAGGTTTGCAGACAATCACTTTCTCGCTGTATCTCCACATAGCAAAGAGAAAGATCATCTCTTTCTCACATCTCTTCTTCTAAGAACACTAAGCCCATTCTGAGAGCTTCATTCTCATGACCTAATTACCTACCAAAGGTTCCACCTCTCATACCATAGCATTGGGGGTGAGGATATCAACAGGTGACACACAAACATTCAGTCCATGGCACTGAGATCCTGAATTCTAAGATGATAACAGCCTTTTCTTCCTCCTCACAAAGACAGACTTGGGTCTCCAAGTGGTGGGATGAGGAAGCATCTCTGATGTTTGCCTCCTTCAGCAGATGGAAGAGTTCTACCTTTATCAAATTTAGGAACAGAAACTCTTCTCCTCAGAACTCCAAGAGGCTTAGCAAACAAAACACTAGGATATGAACCTAAAAGTATTAGCTATTCAGAAGGTGGCACATTCTGGATATCTACCCTTCATACTAAATTATGAACATAGAACAGCCCTGCTTTTGGAATATGATGGTGCCCCCTTTTTTATGGTGTCACTTAGAAGGATACTAGACCACATCCAAGATCCTTTGGAGGGAGAGAAATGAATTCATAATTATAATACACTGATGGATGAGGCAAGAGGGAAACGTCTTTCAGCTTGCTCTGAAATGGTGAGTTTCTTACTCTCCGAAGCATGAGGACCTAATTCTCCTTTCAATTTTATTTTGCTAAAGTTTTACTATTGCCTGTTTCCATTAAAAAAAATCATAAAGTCCCTTTGTTAAGCTCAAAATACCTTCAGAGAATCTTCCAGCAATGCATGTTTGGTATACCATTCCCATAGGAAACTAAAATGACTAAGGTCATGGTTACAAATAATTCAATCTTCAGAAAGTATTTCTTAACCACCTACTTTGTGCCAGAGCCTCTGCTAGGAAAAAAAGCTAGAGCAGAGTCTAGGATAGAAACAGCTCCTACCCTCATGGAGTCTGTAGGCTCATCTAGGAGGATCTAGCAGAATGATTACAACTGAGATGATGGGTTTGAAAATGCAAAGGGTGCAATAATTACAAAACTTCAGGCACCTGACTTTCAGGGATATCAGGCAAGGAGTTTCCTCTCAAAGTGCCAATTAACCTGATAGGTGAAGAATGAGCAGAAATTAATCTTGGTCTTAGGAGAATGAGGGGAGGAGTGTGCCAGGGAAAGAGGCTTCCAACAGAGGGATGAGCAGTTAGTGCCATTCAAGCACCAAAGAGAATGTCTTTTGTGACTTGAACGCTGTAAGAAGGGCAGCAGTCAGGTCCTGTAGGACTTCAGAGGCCCATGGAAGATTCTGAACATTACTGTAAGAGTGCTGGGAGGCTTTAAGGGTTTTAAGCAGGAGAATTAAATGACCAGGTTTTAAAAGTTTGAAAGATTGCTCTGTGTGTGCATTAGTCCGTTTTCATGCTGCAGATAAAGACATGCCTGAGACTGGGTAATTTATAAAGAAAAAGAGGTTTAATGGACTCACAGTTCCATGTGGCTGGGGATGCTTCACAATCATGGTGGAAGCCAAAAGGCACGTCTTACATGGTGGCAGACAAGAGAGAATGAGAACCAAACCAAAGGGGTTTCCTCTTATAAAACCATCAGATCTCGTGAGACTTATTCACTACCATGAGAACAGTATGGGGGAAACCATCCCCATGATTCAGTTATCTCCCACCAGGTCCCTCCTACAACACGTGGGAATTATGGGAACTACAATTCAAGATGAGATTTTGGTGGGGATATAGCCAAACCATATCAGTGTGCAATCTGAAATTTGTCATTAAAGCTTAGAGAAAACAAACAAGCATAAAATGCAGTCTCACCCCAGCCTGCATATGAGAGATTGGGTACATATGGGTGCTCATGACAGGGCAGCCTTTCCTAGCTGTTAGGAAAGCAACTTCTAAACATACGCTCTTGTAACTGCCCACAGAGTCATGGCCGGGCACGGCTCAATGTCTCACAAGAACAGAAATCTTACGTGACCTTCATTGACATTGACTGGCAGTGTGGATGTAATAAAATTCTCCTCAGAGGTTTTAATGGTCTGTTATATAGCTCAGGTCATAGTCCATCTTGCTAATAACTTTGTCAAAAAGCAAGCACCAATATATCATCAAAAAGACTGTTTTCCTTTCCTTCAGTATTTGAAGAGTGCTGATTTCCTCCAAGCTCAGAGGCTAATGATTGGTTGTGGCATTAATTAGAGAGCATGTTTGGGAACTTCATGTTGCACTCTGGTTAATATACTGTCTGAGGGAAGAGGTAATATTCTTTTTTTTCCATTAACCCCTAATGCCTTCTTGTCTCACCCCTACTCCTGGATTCAGCAGGATACCAAAAAGCCTCGGGCTATTCCAGATTTAGTAATAATCCCAAAATTCAGCCAATAGTCTCTGACATGTGGCCTCAATCTGCATTTCCCAGATTCAAACTTGCTTAACTCCATCTAGAACTCACCAGCCCACCTTTCAGAACACCTGAGAAAAAGGTCTGTGTTTTGTCTTCCAAGATATAAATGTCCTAGGAAGGTGTTCACCAAGCTTGAGTTCTACATGTTCTCTTGGGGCCCAAGGTCAGGATGAGGCAGAGGTTTGCTGAGTCCTTCCTTCATGGAGCATGCGTCTGCACAGTCAGGGATCATGACAAAGACAGATCAAGTTTAAAGTCTTTTTTGGCTCTGGGACTCCATTTCACCTAGCCAGCCTCCCACCTTAAACATTTTTATGTTATCAGATCAGAGAGAAGAACTCTGAGTGGATAGCTTTGAGATATCAAGACTTTCCAAAATGATCTTCACAGGGGTCTGCTATACCGGATAAATGAAAAATCAACTCAAGAATAGGCTTCTCCCCAGGAGGATGAGAGCCAAGGCCATTTAATATATGAAGGTTGAAATGACACTTTGCAGTCACTTCTAAATTCACATCTTCATTCCACTCTTTTCTTCCCTTTATCCATCCACGACCTTACATTAGAAGAATGCACTGCCTTTGCAAAAGACCTCTGTTTTTTAAAAAAAAATGTATAGTTTCTTAAAGAGTAATTTTAGATTTATAGAAAAATTGAACAGAAAAAAAAACGCCAGAGACTTCCCATATTATCCTAAGCTACCCGCCTTCACCAATTTCCCCTATTGTTAACATCTTGCATTAGTATGGTTCATTTGTTACTTTCAGGAAATAATATTGATACATTATTATTAATTAAAGTTCATAGATTACATTAGGATTTACTCTGTGTAGTAGAGTTCTATGGGTTTTGGCAAATGCGTAATGTCATGTATCTACCATTATACTATGATATGAAATACTTTCACTGCTCTAAATATCCCCTGTGCTTCATCAATCCTTCCCTCCATCCATTATGGCTGAAGTAGAGACAACACAGAGGAGAGCAGTAGGGGACGAAGAGAGAGTTAGTGAGGAGCCAGGCTATCCCAGCCCTCAGAGGCCATTGAAAGGACTTTGGCTTTGAAATAAGGAGCCATTGCAAGCTCTTGAGCAGAGGAGTGACATCATCCGGATTATGTCTTCACAAGATCTGCCACCTGTGGAGAATAGACTGAAAGGGGGCAAAGGACAGAGGCAAGGCCCAGTTAGAAACAATCAAAATAACCCAGGTGAGAATTGATGGTGAGCTGGTCTAGAGTGATGAGTATAAAGATAGTGAGAAGTAGTTAAATATTTTTCAGGCATTCTGTATTTGCCATCTGTGCTATCACTTCACATTAGCAAATAACAAAATTAATTAATAAACAAATAAATATATTGAAATGTTGCTAATAGGCCCGATTATGATACACAACTGCTGGATAACATAGTAGTAGGCTCACCCAAGGAATGTCCAAGGTTTCCAAACTCAATAGTATGACAACCTGCCAGAACCTCTGACACCCCTGCCTGGGGGAGTTAAGAGTTTTAGGAGTTTGGGTTTGGCCACAGAAGGCACCAGAGAGATAGACAGAGAATGTGGAAGTTGTGAGACTGCTGTGAAAGTGTCTATGGGGCCATTCTCTCTCCAAAGTTTGATTATGCTTTCAGATCATCAAGCCCTCTCCTGGGCCATTGTGAGGTGATTGCTATGAGTGCAATTCGGAGACAGGTCAAAGGCTGCAGGTATCACATAGATACTGTCAGTTTGGGCTTGGAGGCTGGAATCTTGGGAGAAAATGTAGGATGTGGAAAACACAGTACCTTATTCTACTCCCTATTAAAGTGCATTATCTGGCCTTCTGGGAGAGTCACGCACATCGTTTCTCATTTCTGTTTCTTTAATATGACGAAGGTCTTTGCTCTGTGTGAAGTCCATTTCTTTTATGTCTTTTTCTCCTAAAACACATTGTTTCAATCATCAACACTTTTAAAATGTCTCTTCTCAAAGTCAAAAGGTGTTTTTCAGCTATCTCAGACAGAGAGTTTCCACGCCCTGCAGCTCTTATGAGATGGGAGAACTTTCTTCCATGTGTTGGGTCACCGAATACTCTCCCTGGCAGACCTAATCTAATCCAGTCCACTGAGGCCCTAAACTAACCAGCCAGTTGTCATCACTAATTAAAGAGATCATTTTAAAGTCATCTCATGAATGATTCACAGACACATCTCAGTGTCCTTCGTATTTCTGATGGCATTGGATCACAGAAGTAAATGTACTTGAAAAATATCCCAGGGCTAACCAGTAACTACTTCAACCAATATTTCCTATTTAATTGTCTTTGGCCCTGTCAGGGGCCTTGAATTCTTGAAGATTTTTCCCCCATTTCAAACAGTTTGCTTCTTAATAGATCATCCCTTCACCATTTTTTCCCTAAATCCCATGATTTCTGCTTTATTATTTCTATGTTCCTGAATTCTATGGTACATCTTTCCAAACCTTTTACCTAAGATTAACATGTCATAATTGGCCATCATTAAAGACTTTTACAAAATAGTTTCTAAAAGTATTTTTTAAACCTCATCATCAATTCTAAGGTCAATGAACCAAGCCCATAAGGGGTTATTAGACAACTGAAGAGAAATTCCTGAAAATCATGATCCACTGGGTTTCCATAATTTTTTCTTAGTCATAATCCAGAAGGTAAAACAATCATTTGGCATCAAGGCTGACAGTTTAATTTCAGCACTTTCTTCCAAGAATAACCTCAAGATTCCAGCCTGTTTATTTCTAATGCTGGAAGACAGCAGCGACTAGAAAGACCCTTCCTTTACTTGTTTTGAATTCCGTACTTCTCAAAAAGCAACTCTACAATGAAAGTAAGAGTGCCATCAGCTGCTGTTTGTCAGGCTTCAGCTTGACTCAGCCTGGGCTGACAGAGGGGTTAGCACTCCGGGTAATCCCTTCCAGCTTACCTGATTTCCAGTGCTAAAAGGAATCACTACAGGCCTTTGGTATACTCTGCCTCAAATAAAAGTAAACATTTGCTTCCTGAACTAAGTCTTTTTGATTTGGTCCTTGATGTCTCGGGTGGATGCCAGGGCCAGAGACAGAACAGACCATGCTAGGGAAGCTCAGGTGCTTTGCTCAGCAGTCTTTCCTCATCAGCACTGTCTGTGTTGTGATTCTAGAATGTGTATTTGACAGTTTTTACAGGCATGGCAGGACAAGCAAGAAATAAATGAAAAAAGAAGGATACAATTTTATTAATATGCATTAAATACATAAACTATCTTGAATTATCAATACTGATAGTATTCGTCAGCCCTTCTTTAGGGTATAGTTATGTCAAATCTACAAAGAGCGTGAGATGGAACAAAATAATAACAAATGGCTTTTTTTCCTCAAGTCAGCCAGCCAGGGATTTTTTGTCCCAGAATTAGATCTCTGGAATTATGGAGCTTTGGGCTGTAACTTTATCAACTAGACCAACGAGCTTTCCAGATTCTATAGAAGTAGCTGGTAGAAAATAAGCCTGCATGACAGGCTAATAGTTTGTGAAAAATAAGCACCCAACAAAGGGCTTCAGTTGCAGGAGGACAGCCACCACAGAGAGAGGCAATGGAGAAAAGCAGGTAAGGATAGGAAGAGATTTAGTTAAAGAGCGCAATTTCTTCTACCATTGCTGAACCAAAAAGACCATTTGAATCTGTTAAAATAAAATTAATGGTTCCTTAATCAAAACCTAAAGCAATGTTTTTAGGTTTCAGCTGAACTTTTCAAATGCTTTGCTCACTCTTCTGACTCATCCCCTTCTCCTGCACTCAAACATGCTTCTAATATGGAACTACAGTCTGGGGATGGTTTCTTTATGCTGTGGCACTCTTAGTCTGGAGATTATTATGCACATGTGTCTGGTTAAAGAACAAATATTTGGGGTCAAAGTCAATCATATCTTTTTATACTCCCTCCAAATGAGTTCAACTGATGAGAAACTGAGACTTAGGGGAGTTAAGTGATTGGTCTAAGTTTACACAGCCACTAAGAGCCAGGATCAAACTTAAGGCTAGCTCTAGTTGAGTTCAAGTCTCAGATGTAGCAGTGTGTCTTTTGCAAAGTCTGGTCAATCAATATCCTCTGGGTGATAAGAGAGTAAATAAAGTAAAAAAATGATTATAATAACTCTAAAACACTAGAACTTTGAAAAGAGCCTTTCCAGAATACCCAATTTCATTTTCCCATTTTTTAAAAAAGATATGGGGATGGGGTCCAGGATTGGATAGAAGAAGAATAAGCATTTCTTTTTATTTCACCAACAGCTAAGAGATCTCCTTTGGCAAGTCACTTAATCTCACGCGTTTTGGTTTCTCTAAAGAAAATGAAGACACAGTACTGAACATTCTGTTACATTTCCCAATTAGTTTAAGAACCTCAGATGACCTGCACTGCATGAGAATGGTGACTAGAATTGAAAACAAGGCATTCCAAAATTCTTATTTGTTTTTAAAATACATGAATAAGTAGAAAAAGCAATCACAGGGCGTCACCTTTCCCACTTGAACTGATGCCTCAATACTCACTGAAGGGTCTTAGCACAGAGACCCAGGGAAAGATCTAGAAGTTCACCTATACCCTGACTCCTTTCCCAGTTTCCTCAAGAGATGAAATTTGGGGCCTGTTGAAAGGCAGGCTGTCAGTCCTGACCCCTACACAAAATCTGAGTGAAAATGGCTGATGAGAGGAGAAAGACGCTTGCTATCTAGACACAGAGCAATTTATGACCATTAATTCAATTATACTAAAGAAATATTGATTGAGTGCCTCCTAAGTGGTGGGTACTGTGCTCTGTGCTACGTATACAGTTATGAACAAGATGAGGTTTTCCCCCAGGAACCTTACAGAAAGGCCGACTGAATTCCAAATTGACACAATGATGTCAACAGAATAGAGTGAGGGCAAAAGGAGGAAGAAAAGAGTTCTGCTGGCTGGGCACGGTGGCTCATACCTGTAATCCTAGCACTTTGGGAGGCTGAGGCGGGTAGATCACCTGAGGTCAGGAGCTTGAGACCAGTCTGGTCAACATGGCGAAACCCTGTTGCTACTAAAAATACAAAAATTAACTGGGCATGGTAGCACGTGCCTGTAATCCCAGCTACTCTGGCAGCTGAGGCAAGAGAATCACTTGAACCCGGGGGGTGGAGGTTGCAGTGAGCCAAGATCACACCACTTCACTCCAGCCTGGGTGTAAGAGTGAAAGTCTCTCAAAAAAAAAAAAAAAAATTCTGCTAGAGAAGAGAACATCCTGAGACTTGAAAGGTGAGCAGTGAGTAGGGAAAAGACAGAGAAGCAGTGGGGACAACATGCACAAACGGTCAAGAGCATGAAACACACCGTAGATTTGAGGAAAAAGAAATAATTCCATGACAATAAAAAGAGCTGGGTAGTATTGAGGAGAAAGGACACAAAGCAGTGTCTGAAGAGGTAACTCTGAGGAGGGGCATAGAGATGATATCATGAAAGACTTACCAGCCTGGCAAGAAATGTAAGCTTTAATGTGAAAGCCATAGGAATTAAAGATATTTCATCAGGAAAGGGCATACAAAAACATTTGGCCTGGCAGAGTTGTGGAAACAAATAGAGTGTAGCAATTGTCCATGCAGGTTTTGGGGGTCAAGACTGAGACTATAATAGAAGGGATTGAAAAGTGTGGGCTAGACATCAAGATGTTAAAATTTACATGATTTAGAAATCAATTGAATGTGGGTAGATGGAGGAGAAGTAAATTAGATAGGTGCGAGTTCATGTCAGGTGCCCGGCTTGGATAGCAAAATGATAGATGATGCCAGTCACCAAGCTAGGCAAGACATTTGTCTATCAGCTTATATGCATGTGTGCTGGGATGAGACAATGAGCGTTAGACACATCGTGTGTGTGGTGCTAGTGGAATGGAAATCTGAGTGAAGATGTCCAGGGTCTTGAACACACAGAGGCCCAGGTTATTATGGGTCTGCAGTTAAAACTTTGAGATTAAGTGATATCATTTAGGGAGAAAATATAGAATAAAAGGATCAAAATCCGAAGACGAAATGCTCAGAAATAAACAGAAACAAAGTATCAAAAAAGAAGAAAGATATCCAGGGGAGAAGGGTGATATGGTTTGGCTGTGTCCTCACCGAGATCTCATCTTGAATTGTAACTCCCACAATTCCCATGTGTCATGGGAGGTACCCAGTGGGAGGTAATTGAATCATGGGGGCAGGTCTTTCTTGTGCTGTTCTTGTGATAGTGAATAAGTCTCATGAGATCTGATGGTTTTATAAAGAGGAGGTCCCCTACACAAGCTCTCTCTCTCTCTCTGTTTGTGTGCTACCATCCATGTAAGACGTGACTTCCTCCTCCTTGCCTTCCACCATGGTTGTAAGGCCTCCCCAGCCACATGGAACTGTAACTCCATTAAACCTCTTTCTTTTGTAAATTGCCCAGTCTTGGGTATGTCTTTATCAGCAGCATGAAAACTGACAAATACAAAGGGTATCCTAGAAGTCAAAGGAGAAAAGGATCTACAGGAGGAAGGGGCCATCAACAGTATCAAATCTCACAAAGCAGATGAGAAAACATCAATGTGTCTGTCAATTAGAAGGCGTGAACATCCATTTCTAGGAATGTAAGGAGTTGATGGGCTCTGAATAAATGAAGGCAGAAAGTGCGGACTGCTTTTTCAATATTCTTGGTTGTAATGGGGTGCCTTGCTACAGGGCTTTGGCTGAAGAAATATAGAGGCCTAGCAGAGGAGTTCATTTACAATGAGCTTTCTTATGTTCACAAGGTGTTGAGAAGTCAGTGAAGAGGAAAAAGTTTAAAAATACTAAAGAGGAGTAAATATAGAAGTGATAGGAGAGGATGAATGAACTTGAGATCATCTGTAAATTGAAGCTTCTTTCTCTAAGGCTACAGAGGAAGAAGTGAAGATGTGAGTCAGCCTGGAGTTCATCCCACTTCAACTTCAATTATCTTTGGGACGTGGACAACAGCCTCGGCAGCTAAAAGAAGAAAGTGCAGGGGTGGAATAAGAAACTTGATCAGAGCAGTTAAAATCCATGATCCTTCTGGGGTGAATGGCAGAGGAAACTGACCAGAGGCAGACAAAGGTCTTGTTGAGTAGTTTAAATGGCCCATCTGAAGCCAAAGACCATTAAAATGATCCTGGTACCAAGAATCCAAATGTGTTATTTTCTCTACTATTCGTTAATTCATCTGTAGAAGGAGAAAGAAAACCAGTTAGATTAGAATGATTACAAGATTTGTGTGGTAGAAAAATGGAGGAAACCATTGAAAACAGGGAAGAATTGATTGAAGTAACTAATTGTGAAGTCTGCTCTGAAGTGGGAAGAATGTTAAATCATAAAAAGAACAAACAAGGAGAAAAAAGAAAGGATTAAGGAACTAGAAATCTCAATGATGGTGAAGAACAGGCAAGTGTACTGGACATGTAACATGCAGGAGGAATAGAATGAGTTCATAAAAGGAACTTTACTTTTGGCTCCCACTTACCCTTTAACCTTGCTGGGTAGGGGCAGAGGGTAGAATGTCTTCTGTTTCTGAATGAGCGGGTTCTCAACTCCCCCTCTGACCCTTTTCAGGTAGCAAAAATTTCTTCAGATCCTTTAATTCACAAACAATTCAGTAATAAAAAATATCTGGTTCAACATTAACCCACAATTCAATCCAGCTTGGAAGGTAAGCCCTATCACCCTATCCCCTCCTCACCCTAGGTTAGGGCCAGGCATAGGTAGGCTGCCTGCCACTTGGGGAGGAGGATGGTTTCTTCTCCCCACTGAACTGACTGCTATTTCAGACTTTGCCAGAATGGAAGCAGAGGGTGGGAGGAGAGGTAAGGGATACTCGAAAGTTCTTGACTACTTCTACTTTAGCTTGCCTTTATTGTCTCTGAATCTAGCAAATATTTAAAGCTCATTCTTATCTCCAAGGGCTGTTTTGTGCCTTTGTTAGAGACTCCCCTTCAGGAACCCCCTGACTGCAATTATCTTGATTCACAGAGTCCTCTTCTCTAGCTAACCACCCCTGATTCACTCTGAGTTTCTGTCCCTGCTTTTTGTTGCTTGGCCCCTTATCTGGCAGGCCAGAGTCATCTTTAGAGAAGAAAAGAGAGAGAAAATGTGTGTGTGTATGTGTATATATACACATGCATACACACACACACATATGTGTGTGTATATGTAATAAATATATATGTATATCTGTTTTATGCATATACACTTGCATATTTAATTTCTTCCTATGGATTTCAGTCACTGTCCAGTATCAGTTCTTTCAGCCTGAAAGAGTTTCTTAAGTACTTCAAGTAGGACAGATCTGCCAGCAACTAATTCCCTCAGTTTTTGCTTATCTTGTAATGTCTTTGTTTCACCTTCAATTTTAAAAAAGGAGAATGAACAGGGAGAAAAAACATCATTGAATACATCATTGGGTATAGGATCCTTGGTGAATAGTTTTGCTACATTCAGCACTTTGAATACATCATTCCACTGCCTTCTGGACCCCATTGTTTTGAAGGAGAAGTCAATCATTCATTGTTTGTCATTCCCTTGTATATAATGAGTCACTTTTTTCTTTTTTTTTTTTTTTTTTTTTTTTGCTGTTTTCAGTATTTTCTCTTTGTTTTTAACATTCATCAATTTCACTATGATGTCTAGAAGTGGGTCTTTTTTGTTTATTTTACTTGGTATTTGTTCAGCTTCTTGGATTTGTAAATTGTTTTCATTAAATTTGAGAAGTTTCAAGGCATTTACTTTTTCTTTTACTTTTCTTTTTTTTTTTTTTTTTTTTTTGAGACAGGGTCTGACTTTGTCTCCCAGGCTTCAGTGCACAATCTTGGCTCAGTACAACCTCCATCTGTGGGGCTCAAGCAATCCTCCTACCTCAGCTTCCTGAGTAGCTGGGACTATAGGCACATGACACTATGCCTGGCTAATTTTTGCAGGGTGTTTTGTTTTTGTTTTTTTCTTTTTTTTGGTATAGACAGGGTTTCATCATGTTGCCCAAGCTGGTCTCAAACTCCTGGGCTCAAGTAATCCACCCACCTCAATCTTCTAAAGTGCTGAGATTACAGGCATGAGCCAGTGTGCCTGGCCGCCATTATTTCTGAAAACATTTTTTCTTTATTTTCTCTCTTTCTGTGAGACCTATTATATATATAGATACACTTGATGTTGCCCCTCAGGACTCTAATACTCTGTTAATTTGTCTTCTCTCTTTTTTCCCTCTGTTCTTCAGATATATCCAACTTCAAGTTTGCTATTGTTTCTTTTGCCATCTCAAATCTGCTCTTGAGTCCATCTAGTGAATTTCTTATTTCAGTTATTGATCTTTTTAACTCTAGAATTTTTATTTGGCCTTTTTAGAGCCTCTATTTCTCTCATGAGGTTCCCTATTTTTTGAGTTATTGTCACAATATTTTTCTTTACTTCTTTGAGCATATCTGTGAGAGATGCCTTGAAGCATTTTTCTACTAAAGCTTACACTTAGACCTATTCTGAGTCTGTTTTTATAAACTGGGTTTTGGGTTTTATTTTAGTATGAATCACACTTCTCTGTTTCTGTGCATGTCTTATAATTGTAGCAAGTATAGATTCTGTTTTATTTTTCCAAGTGTTACTTTTTTATTAATTTGCTTGGACATAAACTCCAATGTCTGTCTCCCCAAAAATATGTACCTACTGATGTCTCCATTCTGTATTCTTTTCTTTTTATTTTTCTATTTTACCCTGGCTTCCTAGGTGTTATTCCTATAACTGCACAGTTTAGTAATCAGACAATAATGTAGATTGAGGTTGTGTTCAAACCCCTCAAGCCCATAAGTTTTCCTCCTTCTGTTCATTGATCTGTACATGGGCTGGGAAGTACATTCCAAGTTGCAGCAAGTTTTCAAGTGTCCCTTAACTTATACTTTACGCTAGGATAAAGCTAGGATAAATGTAGTTTCCCAGTAGGCCGAGGATATATGAAAAGTATATCTTAGGACTTTCATAGCTCTTTCTCTTCCAAGATCTTCTTATTAAATTTTTACTAGTTCACTGCTCACCCTAACCAGGACCACAAACCTAGATAAGCAAAGCTACAGGTCCTCCCCATTTATTTTCTACCAAGTTCTTTAGTTTTAGCTGACACAGCTATGGGGTTTTGTCTTTTTTCTCAAATTGATTCTGTCCCCTCTGGCAATAAAGCTGCTGGGTTTTTTAGACAGCACCACACTGGTAAAACTATACTTCTTGTCAACTGTGCTGGGGCAGGAGGGAGGATGGGAGCAGCCCAAGCAAAAGGGCATAGATGTCTGCCTTTCCTTCCCAAAGCACTCCAGGTTTTTAAGAATACATGATTCTAAAATTGTGGTTTACACACTCTGGGCTCTATGGTCAGTCCAGTGCCTGGAAATATTTCATCCTTTTGACAATTTTGTTCAGTTTGGCTAAAAGGATTCACCAATGTTTTTATGCTACCATAACTGAAAATCCCTCCAAGACAGTCACTTTTAAAATGAGTTCAGGCTGACATTACTAGTGTGGTTCCCATACCTGGTCCTTAGGAATCATGCCCACTGGTCTGCAGTTGGAAGGAAGGCAATGCTATCACAGACAGTTCACTCCTAAACCACAAGCTACTGCAGCCTTCTCAAGCATGAGCCAAGCCCCATTAATCTGATTCAAAACCTACAGAGATTGCATATCAATTTCTCAATGTAATCCCATTGGAGTTTTTCATGCTAGACTTGGGATTAGGGGCAATTGCCCCCTTTACACACACTCTCTCGTTTCATAGGTTGAACTCAACAAGATAGCTCACTGCAAAGAAGTCCTCTCCAAATTCTACTTATCACGCCCAATAATAGCCACTTTTTAGATCGTTAAAAAGATCTAAAAAAATCGTGTGGCTTGAGAGTCATTCAATCAGTGAACTGACTTACAATTCATTTTAGAAGGTGTCATCTAGTGTCTTTGGCCTCAATTGAAAGACAGGACAAGTCCCATTTTAATGTCCTGTTATAGGAATAACCTAATGAAATATTTGTACATACACAGGTTGAGGTTAGATGGCAACAAGAGTGTTGTAACATAGGAGCTGCAATATTGACAGCTTGCTTAATCCAAATAGAAAGTGATTCTGCTAATACAGGCACCTTCAATTTAGCTCACCCTTAGAAATGAATTGACATTATTCTTTGCTGTGTAAGAAAACAACTGCCTTCATGCACTGCTCATACAGACAGCTAATTAAATGAAACAAAAGTTGCTACAAACAGAAAGTTTCATTAAGAGGCCCCTGTGGATGATTCAAGTAATTATGTCTGTCAAGGGAAGATATTATAGGAAGGATGTTGTGTTTGGAGAGCACACAGTATTATTAGTGTTATATTTTGGCAGTCTGAGACATCATAGCATCCTTTAATGTATCAGTGCCCTTAAGAAGATCAAAGGAGAAGAAACCTCTCTGCCTGCCTTTTTAAGAGTTAAAAGAGATTTAAGAATGGCAGAGCTTGGCTGTAATAAGTAAGCAAACAACAACCTGCAGGTATCTAGTGATTCCTGTTTATAATTAATTAAGTAAAAGACAAAAGTCATTTCTCTCAGAAGGCAGTGTTTCAATACTGCCAATGTTAGTTAAGAAAGATTTTTTGGTGTCTCCAGCCTCCTTAGGGGTATCTTCAATCAGAAAAAAAAAAGATTTCAAATGAACAATCATGTATATATGTGTGGTGAGGTGTGAAGGTATATGCACATTTATAATAAGTACATTCATTTTCCATATATAGAAATGCAGCTTCCTGCTTAGGTATTTTTGGCATTCACTAAAAACAGTAAGCATGCTGTTAGACAAATTACCTCTCAAGGTCTCAGTTTCTCCATCTGTATAATGAAAGGAATCACAGATGGCAAATAAAATTTTCCTGCTGAAACAAAATGGTAGAGGCTCTATACCATAAAGAAAATGATTTCGAGGCTATTGAGGGCTTAGTAGACAAATGTGCTCTGGTAAATAAGTAATGTCTTTCATGGCCAAAAGATAGGAGAGTGGTAATTTAATTTGCAATTTTGCCATCTCTGGACAATATATCTAAGGGTTCTTTAACATCTTACAAATCTCTAACTCTATGTTATAGTCTGTATTATATCTTCTAGAGCAAGTCAATCTAGTTCATAAACAGAAATAGAACTGAGGTAGGAGACCAGCAGGACTGGTTTTCTGGACACAACCCTGCTAACCAAATCAGGGTCTGGTCCAGACAGGATAAAGTGAAGAAACCAGCAGGAACCAGCAGATGGCGATGAAAGCAATCTCTAGTGCCATGACTATTTACAAATGCCACGACAGCAACCCAAAAGTTACCCCCTCTTTCCATTCTAACAACCCCTAAGTTACTGTCTCTTTCTTAGAAAGTTCCAAATAATCCTTCCCTCAATTTGCATTGACCTGCCTCTTAATTCACATGTAACTGAAAGTGGGTTTAAGTGAGTACAAATACAGTTGCCAAGAGCCCATACATTGATAAATCTGGGTGCACTGCCTATGATTAGAACTTCTCTGCAAGGAGCAGTACTGTTCAACAGAAGATTACTGTCTTACTGGTGATCCGGCTTGCCCTTAAATTCTATCCTGGGTAAAGCCAAGGACCATCCCAGATTAACGCTAAATTTTGGAACCCATCCGTCCTGCAACAGGTTCACTCCATAGAAAATTGAGGATGAAACTGATTTCATTGGTAGGTAGACTGGTCACTCATTTATATGAAGAGATTTGGGGAAGTAGAGTAGACAGAAGTTCCCTTGCATCATTAACAATGGAAGTGTTTTTCGTGGGTCTAGTATTTTCTCTACAGTTTATATGCAATCACTCCTAGGAAATTAACTCATCACACTAAAATGTCATTGAATAATATCAATAAACACGTTTTTATTGCGATATTCACTTTATAAAATGCTTTTATACTCATTTTTTTCTCATGCATAGTTGTTATTTCATAATAAGCCTGTAAGGTAAATATCTTTATTCATATTTCAGGTGAAGAAGTTGATGCCAGTGAGGTTAAGTGAATCAGTTGCTCAAGACTCCCCGGCTATACAGATAGTAAGGGTTAGAGATGGGACCTGAACCCAGAGTACTTAACACTAAGTCCAAAGAGGTTTTTTTGATTGTTTGTTTGTTTGTTTTTGAGACGGAGTCTCGCTCTGTTGCCCAGGCTGCTGTACAGTGGCGCGATCCACATACAATAAAAATGTATGTGTTTATTGATATTATTCAGTGACATTTTAGTGTAGTGAGTTAATTCGCTGCAAGCTCCACCTCCCGGGTTCACGCCATTCTCCTGCCTCATCCTCCTGAGTAGCTGGGACTACAGGCACCTGCCACCACACCCGGCTAATTATTATTATTATTATTTGTACTTTTAGTAGAGAGATGAGGTTTCACCATGTTAGACAGATGGCCTCGATCTCCCGACCTCGTGATCTGCCTGCCTCAGTCTCCCAAAATGCTGGGATTGCAGGCTTGAGCCACCATACCTGGCCTAAGTCCAAAGAGTTTTACACCACATCACAGCTAATCCTTCACAGAAAGTAGTGTTCAATAGGAAGAAGAGAAATGGCGTAATAGAAATAGTTATTCAAGAAGGCAGGAATGGAGGAGGCTAGTGGTGGTAGAGTCAGATGTTTAGGAAAGAAAAGAAAAATCCAAGCCTCAAAGCCACACATTACTGACTCTCTCCTTTATATCTCAACATCCTTCACTCTGACTTTAAAACTCATATAATCCACAACCATTTCCACAAGGAGAACTGTTTATTTTTACCCCCACGCTCCCACCCTGCCCAAATCTACTCTTTCCACAGTTTTCTACATACTATTACATGGTATATTAATTTGCTAGAGATGCCATAAAACATTACCACAGACTGCATGGCTTAAACAATGGAAATTTATTTTTTCACAGTTCCAGATGCCAGAAGTTAAGATCTAGGTGCCATCAGTGTTGGTTTCAGGGCTGTCTTCCAGGAATGTAGTTGGCTGCCCTCTTGCTGTATCCTCATATAGCTTTTCCTTAGTCTGTGAATAGAAAGAAAGAGATGTCTGGTGTCCCTTCTTCTTATAAGGACACCAGTGCTACTAAACTAGAATCCTATCCTATGACCCCATATATCCTTAATTTTACCTTTCTGGAGGCCTTGTATCCAAATATAGTCACACTGGGATATAGGCTTCAATATATGAATTTTGGGAGAACACACACAGTCCATAACAACATGGAATAGCTTTTCAATCAGTTATTCCGGTCAAAATACTAGGAGTTATATTTTGAAGGTAGATAGTTTGAATGTGAGATGTTTGGGAAAAGAGGAGTCAAGGATAACTCCTAGTACACCACTGACTTCTCATCACCTCCATTGCTATGACCAAAGACCAAGCCACCTGCCCTCTCCTGGACTACTACAAAAGCCTCCTAACTGGTCTTCCTGCCAAAGTGGTCATTTAACCCTCTAAATCAGATAACTCCTCTTTTTAAAACCATCAGTGACTTCCCATATCCCTTAGAATTCAATCCAAACTCTTCCTAGTGTTGGGAAGGTATTGACTAATCTCCAAGTAACCTCCCCCTTGCTCAATGGTTTCCCCAGCCATCCTGCTTCTCTTGCTAGTCCTCCAACACTCAAAATCCTTCCCATGCCAAGGGATTTGCCCTGACTCTTCTCTCTGGCTAGAATGCTGAATTTCCTAGAACTGCTCACAGCTCACCCTTCACAACAGTCAGACCTCTACTAAGGTTTCATCAACTAGGAGGCCTTCCCTGACCACACCAACTGAAATAGCCCCCAGCATTCAAACTATCTCAACCACACAGCTCACTGTCTGCAGCTACAGGGCATCACTCTTCCAGAAAACCCTGGCTCAGGAAGATAAAGTTGCAGATCACGTGATTGTTTCAGGAACTTCCCAATGTCCATTTATCCAAACAACACTAGCTTTCATTCAAGTAAACTCCTTTTCTCAGATCAACAGATTGCTCATCTGGGTTCATCAAACATGGTTTATTTCATGCACATCCGTGTGAAGAGACCACCAAACAGGATTTGTGTGAGCAATAAAGCTGTTTATTTCACCTGGGTGCAGGTGAGCTGAGTCCGAAAAGAGAGTCAGCGAAGGGAGATACGGGTGGGGCCCTTTTATAGGATTTGGGAAGGTAAAGGAAAATTACAGTCAAAGGGGGTTGTTCTCTGGTGGGCAGGGGCGGGGGTCACAAGGTGCTCAGTGGGAGAGCTTCTGAGCCAGGGGAAGGAAATTCACAGGGTTAATCACTCAGTTAAGGTGGGGCAGGAACAAATCACAATGGTGGAATGTCATCAGTTAAGGCCGGGCAGGGCCTTTTCACTTCTTTTGTGATTCTTCAGTTACTTCAGGCCATCTGGGCGTATACGTGCAAGTCACAGGGGATGCGATGGCTTGGCTTGGGCTCAGAGGCCTGACATTCCTGCCTTCTTGTACTAATAAGAAAAATAAAACAAAATAGTGTTGAAGTATTGGGGCGGCGAAAATTTTGGGGAGTGGTATGGAGAGAGAATGGGCAATGTTTCTCAGGGCTGCTTCAAGCGGGATCAGGGGCGGCGTGGGAACCTAGAGTGGGAGAGATTAAGCTGAAGGGAGATCTTGTGGTAAGGGGTGATATTGTGGGGTTGTTAGAAGCAACATTTGTCGTGTAGAATTATTGGTGATGGCCTGGATATGGTTTTGTATGAATTGAAAAACTAAATGGAATAAGAAAAGGAGAAAAACAGGTATAAAAGGACTAAGAATTGGGAGGACCTAGGACATCTGATTAGAGAGTGCCTAAGGAGGTTCAGCATAGTCCTGCCAGCAAAGATTATTTATTTACTTCAAGAGTTTAGAGTGGCAGTTTGGGGATAGCACGAGGAGATATCAGCTGTGATGGCTTGGAGAAACAGTGTAAACCGGCAGTGTAAACAAGAGCAGGGCATGTATGAGTAGTTGAGAACGGCAAATAGGAGTATGACTAGACAGAAGATAGTAGGGATGACAAGTTATTTGGGGGCACAGTCTAAGTTGGTCGGGTGTCTGGAATGAGAATGGGACCTAATAAAAAGAAGCGTCTATACAGGAGCTTAAATGGGCTGTACCTTGTAGCATTCTGAGGACAGGTCTGACTTCTGAGGAGGGAAAGTGGTAAAAGTATTGTCCAGTCCTTTTTAAGTTGGTGGCTGAGCTTGTTGAGGTGTGTTTTTAATAGACCATTAGTCTGTCACTGAATACTAAGAGCCTGAAAAACTGCTTGGCTGATTTGACTAATAAAGGCTGGTCTGTTATCAGACTGTATAGAGGTGGGAAGGCTAAACTGAGGAATTATGTCTGACAGAAGGGAAGAAATGACTGCAGTGGCCTTCTCAGACCCTGTAGGAAAGGCCTCTACCTATCTAGTGAAAGTGTCTACTTAGACTAAGAGGTATTTTAGTTTTTGTGACTCGGGGCATGTTGAGTAAAGCTAATTTGCCAGTCCTGGGCGGGGGCAAATCCTCAAGCTTGATGTGTAGGGAAGGGAGGGGGCCTGAATAATCCTTGAGGAGTAGTAGAATAGCAGATGGAACACTGAGAAGTTATTTCCTTGAGGATAGATTTCCACAATTGAAAGGAAATGGGAGGTTCTAAGAGGCGGGCTAGTGGCTTGTACTATAGCATAGCCTGCCTTTGCTGATGTGTGGCGATTAGGCCTGGTGGAACTGCCATCAATAAATCAAGCGTGATCAGGGTGAGGAACAGGGAAGAAGGAAATGTGGGGAAATGGGATGAACATCAGGTGGATCAGAGAGAGGCAGTCATGAGGGTCAGGTGTGGTATCTGGAATAATGTGGGAGGCTGGATTGAAGTCCGGGCCAGGAACAATGGTAATTGTGGGACTTAACAAAGAGTGAGTACAGCTGAAGGAGCCAGGGAGCAGAAAGTATATGCATCAGGTATGAGGAAGAAAATAGATTCTGGAAGTTATGAGAAATGTAGAGAGTGAGTTGAGCATAGTTTGTGATTTTGAGGGCCTCTAAAAGTATTAAAGCAGTGGCAGCCACTGCACGCGGACATGAGGGCTAGGCTAAAACGGTAAGGTCAAGTTGTTTGGACAGAAAGGCTACAGGGTGCGGTCCTGGCTCTTGTGTAAGAATTCTGACCGCACGAACCATGCCTAGGAAGGAAAGGAGTTGTTTTGTAAGGGACTGAGGTTTCAGAGATTAATCGGACACGATCAGCAGGGAGAGCAGAGCACGTGTGTTTTTACGAGAATTATGCTGAGATAGGTAACAGATGAGGATGAAATTTGGGCTTGACTGAAGTAATGGGGTCTGTCTGTGAAGCCTTGCGGAAGTACAGCCCAGGTAATTTGCTGAGCCTGATGGGTGTCAGGGTCAGTCCAAGTGAAAGCGAAGAGAGGCTGGGATGAAGGGTGCAAAGGAATAGTAAAGAAAGCATGTTTGAGATCCAGAACAGAATAATGGATTGTGGAGGGAGGTATTGAGGATAGGAGACTATATGAGTTTGGCACCATGGGGTGGATAGGTAAAACAATTTGGTTGATAAGGCATAGATCCTGAACTAACTTGTAAGGCTTGTCTGATTTTAGGACAGGTAAAATGGGGGAATTGTAAGGAGAGTTTATAGGCTTTAAAAGGCCATGCTGTAGCAGGTGAGTGATAACAGGCTTTAATCCTTTCAAAGCATGTAGTGGGATGGGATATTGGCATTGAGCGGGGTAAGGGTGATTAGGTTTTAATGAGATGGTAAGGGGTGCATGATCGGTCGCCAAGGAGGGAGTAGAGGTATCTTATACTTGTGGGTTAAGGTGGGGGGATACAAGAGGAGGACTCAAAGGAGGCTTTGGATTTGGAAGAAGGGCAGCAATGAGATGCAGCTGTAATACAGGAATAGTCAGGGAAGCAGATAATTGGTTAAAATATCTCGGCCTAATAAGGGAACTGGGCAGGTGGGGATAACTAAAAAGGAGTGCTTAAAAGAGTATTGTCTAAGTTGGCACCAGAGTTGGGGAGTTTTAAGAGGTTTAGAAGCCTGGCTATCAATACCCACAACAGTTACAGAGGCAAGGGAAACAGGCCCTTGAAAAGAAGGTAATGTGGAGTGGGTAGCCTCCATATTGATTAAGAAGGGGACGGGCTTACCTTCCACTGTGAGAGTTACCTAAAGCTCAGCATCCGTGATGGTCTATAGGGCTTCCGAGGCAACCGAGCAGCAGTCTTCAGCCGCTAAGCCGAGAAGATCTGGGAAGGAGTCAGTCAGAGAGCCTTGGGCCGGAGTTCCAGGGGCTCTGGGAGTGGCTGCCAGGTGAGTTGAACAGTCTGATTTTCAGTGGGGTCCCACACAGATGGGACGTGGCTTAGGAAGAATCCCGGGCTGCAGGCATTCCTTGGCCCAGTGGCCAGATTTCCGGCATGTGTAGCAAGCCCCTGGGGGAGGAGGTTCTGGAGGAACGCCTGGCTGCTGCAGTTCAGGCGTTTGGAAGTTCTTGTGTGCTGGAGATGTGGCTGGGGTTTGTCTCACAGTGGAGGCAAGGAATTGCAACTTTTTTCTGTTATTGTACACCTTGAAGATGGGGTTAATTAAATCCCGTTGTGGGGTTTGAGGGCCAGAATTTAATTTTTGGAGTTTTATTTAATGTTGGGAACAGATTGGGTAATAAAATGTATTTTGAGACTAAGACGGCCTTTTGACCTTTTAGGATCTAGGGCTGTAAAGCGTCTCAGGGTTGCCGAATGAGCCATGAACTGGGCTGGGTTTTTATATTTGATGAAAAAGAGCCTAAACGCTTCTGATTTGGGATAAAGAAAAAGGAGCATTAACCTTGACTATGCCTTTGGCTCCAGCCACCTTTTTGAGTAAATTGCTGGGCAGGTGGGGGAGGGCTAGTCACGGAACAAAACTGTAAGCCAGACCAGGTGTGAGAAGGGGAGGTGATACAAAGATTATAGGGTGGAGGAATGGAGGCTGAGGAAGAATTGGGATCTAGCTTGGCCTGGCAAGGAAGGGAGAGGTCAGATGGGTCTGTAGAAAAGGAAGATTAGAAAGACTCAGCGACGCTTGGGGTTGGGACTGAGGGGACAGGCGGGAGGGAAAGAAGGAAAATTTGGGACAAGTTGCACTGAGCACAGAGACTAGGAAGGGACTGATATGTAAAAGAATGCCTGGACATCAGGCACCTCAGACCATTTGCCTATTTTACAACAAGAATTATTTAGATCTTGTAGGATGGAAAAATTGAAAGTGCTGTTTTCCGGCTATTTGGAACTACTGTCAAGTTTGTATTTTGGTCAAGTGGCATTGCAGAAGAAAATAGGACGCTTAGATTTTAGGTCAGGTGAGAGTTGAAGAGGTTTTAAGTTCTTAAGAACACAGGCTAAGGGAGAAGGAGGAATGGAAGGTTGCCCATAGTGAAGGAGGCAAGCCCAGAGAAAAGAGTAGAGACATGGAGAAGGGCTGGGGGTTTCTTGCCCTCCAGAAAAGCAGAGAAAGGGTTGGGGCATGGAAATAAGGTATTGGGGGTTCTTGCACCCTAGAAAAGTGGGACTTGCCACTAACGGTGAAGGAGAAGGGGTTGAGGGGTTCTTGCCCCTGCCCCAGAAGAGCAGAGAAGGGGTAGAGACACAGAGAGAAGGGGTTGGGGTACTTGCCCCTCCCCCAGAGAAGAGGGACTTGCCACTAAGGCTGAAGGAGAAGGGGTTGAGGGGTACTTGCCCCTGCCCCAGAAAATCAGAGAAGGGGTAGAGACATGGAGAGAAGGGGTTGGGGTACTTACCCCTCCCCCAGAAAAGCAGGACTTGCCGCCAAGGGTGAAGGACCAAGGCAGGCATCCCTGTGTGGTCTGACACCTTTGAAACGTGGGTGAATAATCAGAGAGGCATCCCTGCAATGATTAAACACCAAGGGAAGGCTGCCTTCCCAGTCCGTGACCGGCGCCGGAGTTTTGGGTCCATGGATAAAATGTGTCTCCTTTGTCTCTACCAGAAAATGAAAGGAATTGAAATCAAGAGAAGGGAGAGATTGAAGTGTGGCGCCAAGATTGAAAGGAGAAAGAGGTTGAGGGATAGTGAGGGAGGTTGGAGAAGAGAGTAAAAAGAGGCCACTTACCGGATTTGAAATTGGTGAGATGTTTCTTGGGCTGGTCAGTCTGAGGACCTGAGGTCATAGGTGGATCTTTCTCACGGAGCAAAGAGCAGGAGGATGGGGGATTGATCTCCAAAGGGAGGTCCCCCGATCCAAGTCATGGCAACAAATTTCATGCACGTCAGTGTGAAGAGACCACGAAACAGGCTTTGTGTGAGCAATAAAGCTGTTTATTTCACCTGGGTGCAGGTGGGCTGAGTCTGAAAAGAGAGTCAGTGAAGGGAGATAGGGGTGGGGCCGTTTTATAGGATTTGGGAAGGTAATGGAAAATTACAGTCAAAGGGGGTTGTTCTCTGGTGGGTAGGGGCGGGGGTCACAAGGTGCTCAGTGGGGAAGCTTCTGAGCCAGGAGAAGGAAATTCACAGGGTTAATCACTCAGTTAAGGTGGGGCAGGAACAAATCACAATGGTGGAATGTCATCAGTTAAGGCGGGGCAGGGCCTTTTCACTTCTTTTGTGATTCTTCAGTTACTTCAGGCCATCTGGGCATATATGTGCAAGTCACAGGGGATGCGATAGCTTGGCTTGGGCTCAGAGGCCTGACAGTTTACTCTTCCAAACCCAAGCCTCTCTGTGTCCATTCTCAATCAGCCCTGACATTTAAAAGACCTGTCTTAAACCAGATTTCAAGAACTCAGTAATATTCTACTTTTTCTCTTCCACTCTAAGACTCTCCTAAGACTTTGTCAAGATAGTAGTCATCTTCCTGCATTAGTGATAAACTCAGTTTTGCTTTATCAGCAGGTCATTTTAATGATTTGGAGGAGGAATTGGCATTTGAGTTTATTCATTTTCCACTTACCCTGCTTATGTTTTATTCATACTATTTATTATTACCAGGTACCTATATAATCATTTATTTGTTACTCATTTATTATCTTTCCCTCAGACTAGAATATAAGCTCTTTCGTGTCAGGGATCTTATCTATCTTATTCTCAGCAAAATTCCTAGAAACTAGAGCAATGCCTGGCACAGTAAAATCTCATTAAATGTAAATTTAAAAGAGTGAGCTCTGCAGTTGTGCTGAGATGGGATCAAGGAGACAAGGCAGAAATAGAAGCCTATCCACATTCATCAAGATCGAATGCATTTCTGGGTGCCTGGAAGGATTAGAGAGGCTGTAGAAAATCCCTCCGAGTCCTGCACAACAGCACTGCACCACCAGAGCACAGATGCCATGGGGCCCATAGGGCTGTGTCCAGGGGATTCTGTGTGTTCCAGCACCCCTACCTCTCTGTAGCAAATGCAAAGCTTACCAGTGCTCTGTTCTGCCTTCCTCTCCTACCTCTCCTGTTTGCTGAAAGAAAGAGAGGCACGGTGGTGAAGCAACATGTCTGGGAACACTTCTGGTTCTGTTGGCTCTTCCTCCTGAGATGTCTGCCCTACATAAAAGCTGGCCAGAGTGAGGCTGCATGAGAAGCAGATGTTGGGCACACTCTCAGCCACAGCAGCTACTGGAGACACAGTCATGCTTTGGGAGGAGCATCTATACCAGGGCAGCCAGATAAAAGACAGAATGCCAAGTTAAATTTGAATTTTAGATACACAATGAATTGATTGTGGCATAATAGGACAAATAATTCATGAGATATATGTACACCAAAAATTAATGTGTTGTTTATCTGAAATTCTAATTTAACTGAGTGTCCTGTATTTTTATTTGCTAAATCTGGCAACTCTAATTTATACACTTACAAATGGGCACATGTAATAAATACAAGGGGACTACTGAATGTACATATCCCCAAATATTAATCAAGGATAACTTGTGTTTTTGTCAATTTTTAAAAATATATAAATCCCTATGACATAGTGGTTTCCCATTCAGATACCATAAAAATACAGCACTGACGGGCATGTGCCAAAACAATTAAGTAACACATACAGGCATAAACAGAATTCACTAACTAAATCAATACTATGTGGAAATTAAATATTAACCAAATGGAAACAAGCAAAGGAGTCAGCCACCGTTGCTCATGTTTTGGCAGAGACTCAGAGGCAGACAAAGGGGTGGAAAAGCTTGGAATAGAGAAAAGGGGGTTCAAACGTGCCCTGATCAGAGACTGCAGGCTTGGAGCAGGCTAACTCATCATGGAGCACGTCATATGGGTGCATATTTGGCTTTCTCTGGTTGGTCCTAAATGAGAAGTGGCGACAAAAAATAGGGGAGCTGTCAAGTATTATTGAAGTCCTGGTCTTTTTTTGCTAAATGTTACAGGGGTGATTGGCTTTCTGGATTGTTCTTAGAGGTCTGACTTCATGCAAACCTGACTTGGCTTTTTCCTGGGCAGGTCGCTGTCTGTAATGGGTCAGAGTTCTGTTTTTATCTACAGTGTGGCCATGGTCTGGATATTCAGTCCATCAGCTGTGAAGCTGCACTATCCAACCTGGTAGCCACTAGCCACATGTGGCTATTTGAATGTGAATTAATTAAAATTAAATTTAATTAAAAACTTATTCCCTCTATCAAATTAGTCACATTCCAAGCATTCAGTAGCCACATGTGGCTAATGCACTCTTAAATTGGATAGTGCAGATATAGAATCTTCCTGGCATTGCAGGAAGTTATATTTGACAGCACATGAGAGGACAAAATGCTTTTAAAACTTTGTTCATTAGACTTTCAAACACCTCTAGGAAAACACAAGCACCATTATTACCCCACTGGAAAAGCTCTACCTTCTCCATTTTCCCTCTGAGTCTCATTTCTTCTGTTTTTCCACAACTTTACATTTCTTATTCTCCTTCTTCATTACCAGACTGTGCCTTTGCCCTGTTTTGTGCTTTCCTAGTTTGCTGAGTTGATGGTCTCTTTTTTTCACAAATAGTTTTTAAAAGTTACTCTAGTGAACACTTATTGTCTAATGCTGCTTTTCTAGAAATGACTTCCTTTTCTGCTACCCACAAGCTTACCCCAGAAGCTGACACATTTCTACAGTGTGTCACCCCACCCTCAAACACCATGGTCTCATTGATTCAATGCCTGAGACAGCAATCAGTCCTGGGAATTGGGAAAGCAATTCTTTAGCTTGAGAGAGCAAGAAATCTGCTTCCCACTGGGTCACTAGTCTGCGATAAGTAACTGTTATCTGGAAGCACGAGGTACCAGCTCTTTTATACAAGGCCATAGAGCCTGTGAGAAAGCAATGAGAGAGAGTCATGAAAGAGATGTACAGAAGACGCGGAAATGTGAGATGGAGGAGGACTCTGGCTTCCTTGCAGCATTGCAATCTTTACTTTGGTTCCTAAGGTCTAGTTGCTTCATTGCCCTCAAATTCAATGACATGGTCCATGATCTGTCCAATAAATTTTCTTTTCTTTTTTTTGCTTAGAGTAGTTTGAATTGATTTTTGTTATTTGCAAGCAAAAGAGTCCTAATCAATATAAACTACAATCAAGGGAATTTGGAAGTTGCCTATTTAGACCCTTTTTCTTTCTCAAAGTGTCACATGTGATCATCAAGCCCTTCTTTACTGCTGGTTGGCAGAAGATGTGTCATATCTGAAGCTAATCTCATGAAAAGAAATGAAGAGACACAGGATACACCTGTTTTTAGAATAAAGTAGTTTAATTAATAATGCTTACTTCCCAAGTTCTACCAATAAAAAATAGAAAAAAAAAGAGGTGATATTTTCTGTAATATTATTTAAATCATTAAGGTTCCATAATCATTTCTGACAATACAAAAAAACTAATTCTTACCTTTTTATTCACTTATTTATTTATTCAATAAATATTTATTGAACATTTTTATGTGCTGGGTACTAAGAACATTGGGGTTTCTAAAAAAATAACTTCTGAAGTCTGAAATTCTGACTTTTGCATAATTACAAAATGAATACATGTTAAAGATTCTATTCAACTTATTAATAAGAGAACTGTCGGAAGGTAATCCTCTCTCTGTTACTTAGTATTCCTGCACCGTATGTGTCTCCTTAGCATAACAATTGATATGCTATAATGACAGAGAATGCCTCCTCTTTTCCCTCCCCCAAGCATTTGCTTTTCACATATTAAGGGTGTCCTTCATGGAGCTGTTTGTCTTCTTTATGATGAAGACACTTGCTCCCATTCCAAGATGAATACAATATTTTTTATCTCTCCCAGAACCAAATATTTATTTTCCAGAGTAAAGACCTTCCCCTCTTCCATGACAGGACTTGTTTACATTCTGAGTAAGATAACCAGGTAAAAACTAATATCTCTCTCCTTCTCTAGAGGGGAAGAGGGAGTAGATGTTTCAGCTTCTGTATAAGCTCCAAGCTGCTTCATAATTTTGCAGTTTCTCTCCTGTGGTACAACCCCTGTACTCAGAGGTATAACCATGTGGCTGTCATTGCAGCATCCAATATGATGCTGGGCATGAGAAACCAGTGTTACACTGTTATTGCTGTGAATAGCAAAGGTCTAATATCCTACCTAGCATCTGATGTTTCTGCAAGTAAGGTAACATCTCAGGTTCTTCACACTTTCTGACTTGGGAAGTAGTAAAACATTAAAAACTGGTTCAAAGGAGAATTTGAAGAACAGATACACAAACACACACCCACACACAAAATCAGAAATGCTGAAATAAATTTGTTAATAAATATAAAGCTGGTTAATACCCTTTATGGCAATAAAATGTAATGTTTTGACCATTATCTCTTTGATGAAACATAAGCTACAAGATAAGACCTTGTCTTTGCATTCCTATGCATGGCTATCTGTTTTCTGTAACTTCTATGCATATAAAACTATAAGATAGCTTAGTCAGTAGAAAAATAATCAAAGATGCAAACTCTTAGAACGTTGATAATGCTAAGATAGATACTTAGAGAGTGGAGCTGCAAAGGGTCCACTAGACCAGTGGTCCCCAACCTTTTTGGCAATAGGGACTGGTTTCATGGAAGACCATTTTTCCATAGACAGGGAGGCAGGGGATGGTTTCAGGATGATTCAAGTGCATTACTTTTTTTGTGCACTTTATTTCTATTATCATTACATTGTAATACATAATGAAATAATTATACAACTCACCATTATTATCATAATTCTACAACTCAGCATTATTAACTGAGCTACTTTATTCTAAAAACAAGTGTATCTCACTTTCCACATTTTATCCTGTGTTTCTTCATTTCTTTTAATGAGATTAGCTTCAGCTATGACACATCTTGTGCCAGCCAGCAGTAAAGAATCTGTGGGAGCCCTGAGCTTGTTTTTCTGCAACTAGATGGTCCCATGTGGGGGCGATGGGAAACAGTGACAGATCATCAGGCATTATATTCACATAAGGAGCGTGCAACCTAGATTCCTCACATGCACAGTTCACAATAGGGTTTATGCTCCTATGAGGATCTAAAGCCACCACTGATCTGACAGGAGGCAGAGCTCAGGTGGTAATGCGAGTGATGGGGAGCAGCTATAAATACAGATGAAGCTTCAGCCACGTGAGTGCTCCTCACTGCCTGCTGTGCGGCCCAGTTCCTAACAGGTCATGACCAGTACTGGCCCCTGGCCTGGGGCTTTGGGAACTCTGCACTAGGCAGTGCCCAGTACTCTAATGAAAGGATACCCAGAAACCTCTTGCCTATTTTTAAGGCTTGGACAATTTTTTTCTGGTAAGATAAAAAGAGTAAAATACATATGGTCCTGACATTATGGATCTTATAGTCTTGTGAAAGAGATTGATATTAATTAAATAATCATAAGGATATGTTTCTATTTTTAACTTTTTTATTTCCCTGTTCTGAGTCTCCGATGTTTATTATACCACTCTGCATGCCTTTGCATACCTATAGCTTAGCTCCCAGTTATAAATGAGGAGACAGTGTTTGGTTTTCTATTCCAGAAGTTACTTCACTTAGGTTAACGGCCTCTAGTTCCATTCAAGTACCTGCAAAAGACATTATTTCATTCTTTTTTTATGGAAGAATAGTATATAATGTATAAGCTATTATATAGTATGTATATATTATAGAACTATTACATAGTATATGTATATATCTCCATATACAATAATGTCGTGCTATTCTGTTTACTATAGCCTTGTAGTGTAACTTTAAGTCAGATAAAATGATGTCTTCAGGTTTCTTCTTTTTGCTTAGGATTGCTCTGGCTAGTTGGGATCTTTTTGGTTCCACATGAATTTTAAGATTTTTTTCTAATTATATGAAAAAATGACATTGGCGTTTTGGTAGGAATAGCATTGAATCTGTAGGTTGCTTTGGACAGTATAGTCATTTCCACAATATTGATTCTTCCAATCCATAAGCGTGAGATGTATTTCCATTTGTTTGTGTCATCTATGATTTTTTTAAGGAGTATTTTGTAGTTCACCTTGTAGAGATCTTTCACTTCCTTGGTTAAGTATTTCCTAGGGTTTTTTAAAATAACTATTGTAAAAGGGACTGCATTCTTGATTTGATTCTTAGCTTGGCCGTTGGTGTATAGCAGTGCTACTGATTTTTGTATATTGATTTTGTAACCTGTGACCTTACTGAATCCATTCATCAAATCTAGGAGTTTTTTGGAAGAGTCTTTAGGGTTTTCTAAGCATAAGGTCATATCATTGGCAAAGAGAGATAGGTTGACTTCTTCTCCAATAGGTTGACTTCTTCTGCTCCAATTTGGATGTCTTTTTATTTCTTTCTCTTCCCTGATTGCTCTAAGACTTCTAGTACTAAGTTGAACAGAAGTGGTGAAAGTGGTCATCTTTGTCTTGTTCCAGTTCTTAGGGGGAATGCTTTCAACTTTTCCCCATTCACTATGATGTTGGCTGTGGGCTTGTCCATATGTGGATTTTATTATTTTGAAGTATCTTCCTTCTATGCCTACTTTGTGGAAGTTTTTTTTCATAAAGAGATGCTGGATTTTGTCAAATGCTTTTTCTGCATATATTAAGATGATCATATGGTTCTGGCTTTTAATTCTGTTTATGTGATGAATCACATTTATTGACTTGTGTATGTTGAACCATCCTTACATCCCTGGGATGAAACCCACTTGATCATGGTAAATTATTTTTTTGATATGCTGTTGGATTCAGTTTGCTAGTGTTTTGTTGAGGATTTTTGCATCTATGTTCATCAGGGACATTGATCTGTACTTTTCTTTTTTTGTTATGTCCTTTTCTGGCTTTGGTATCAGGGTGATACTGGCTTCATAGAATGAGTTGTGTAGGATTCTTTCTTTCTCAGTCTTTTGAAATAGTTTCAGTAGGATTGGTACCGATTCTTCTTTGAATGTCTAGTAGAATTCAGCTATGAATCTGTCTGGCCCTGGACTTGTTTTTGTTGGCAGATTTTTTTTTATTACTGATTCAATTCACTGCTTGTTATTAGTCTGTTTAGTATTTCTATTTCTTCCAGATTCAAACTGGGAAGATTGTACATTTCCAGGAATTTTTCCATTTCCTCTAGATTTTCTAGTTTATGTGCATACAGGTGCTCATAGTAGTCTGGAATGATCTTTTGTATTTCTGTGGTGTCAACTGTAATGTCTCCATTTTCAATTCTAACTGCACTCATTTGAGTCTTCTCTCTTCGTTTCTTGGTTAATCTAGCTAGTGGTCTATCAATTTTGTTTATCCTTTCAAAAAGCCAACTTTTCATAGCATTGATATTTTGCATTTCTTTTTTGTTTCAATTTCTGCTCTGATTTTTGTTATTTCTCTTCTTCTGTGAGTTTAGGGTTTGATTTGTTCTTGTTTCTCCAGTTCCTTGAGGTGTGACATTGGGTTGTCAATTTATGATCTTTCTGACTTTTTGACGAAGGCGTTCAGTGCCATAAACTTTCCTCTTAGCATCTCTTTTGCTGAATCCTAGAGATTTTGATAACTTGTGTCACTGTTATTATTCATTTCAAAAAACTGTTTTAATATCAATCCTGATTTCATTGTTAACCCAAAAATCATTTAGGGGCAGATTGTTTAATTTCCATGTATTTGTGTAGTTTTGAAGGTTCCTTTGGGAATTGATTTCTAGCTTTATTCTGCTGTGGTCTGAGAACATACTTGATATGATTTCAATTTATTAAAGTTTTTTGAGACTTGTTTTGTGGCTTATCATATGGACAATCTTGAAAAATGTGTTATGTGCTGATCAGAACAATGTATATTCTTCGGTTCTTGGGTAGAATGTTCTGTAAATATTTGTTAGGTTCATTTGTTCTAGAGTGCAGTTTAATCCAGTGTTTCTTTGTTGACTTTCTGCCTCAATGATCTGTCTAGTGCTGATCACTGAGTGGAGTGTTGAAGACCTGAACTATTATTGCCTTGCTGTCTACATGTTTTCCTAGTTGTAGTTGTAATTATTTTATAAACCTAGGAGGTCTGGAGTTCGGTGCATATATACTTAGGATTGTTATATCCTCTTGTTGAATTGATCCTTTTATCATTATATAATGAAAAAACAAAAACTTTTAAAATCACAAAAATACTTGAATAATTGAAAATTAATGAATAAAGATATGATAAACAATGACAGGAGAACATATGGGGAACCTGGTATGGTTGACGGTCAGAAAATAGTCCTTAGCAAAACATTGTCATAGACCAAATTTTTCTATAAAATAATTACTTTTTGTGACTTTTTTGTGATTAAATGCAGATGGTACAAAATTTCAAAGGCAACAAATGATATACAGTGAAAAAAAAATTTTCCCTCTAACTTCTAATCCCCAGTCACCCTGTTCCCCTCCTGGAAGAAATTAGTGTCCAACAGTTTTTGGCTTATTTATTCCATCATACTCTAGACACAATCATATGCATTCATGCATACACACATACATACATTTTACACAAATAATAGCACTATTCTGATTTGCTTTTTAAAACTGAATAGTATGTCTTTGAAATTATTTTATATCAGTATAGAGAGAGTGCTTAATTCTATTTAATGATTACAAAACTGCCCATTAAATGTATGTACATACATACACAATTTACTTAAAAAGTTGGACAAATTTTTAATTGAAGAAAAATATTTATGAGTATAATAACTTTAACTAAACTGTATATATGTTACTCATGTCATATGTGAGATTCAGTTCTGTCCAGGCTATAATTATCTATCGTGTATGTGAAAGAGTATTGAGTTTGTTTGATGAGGTGTCAGCCCCCATCTTGGCTCTGGTACTTATCACGTGTAAGAGTTTAAACAAATTGCTTAAATTCAGTTGTCTGAAAAACTTGAATTAAAAATGCCTGCCCTATGTAGTTTGAAGTGTAGTGGTAAAAGTATATGTCAGTGGCTTTGAAGTTTGATGTATGCAGCTAGAAGTGGCAGAGCCCTTAGTCCACTGAGACATAATTTCCTTCCCACACTCTACCATACACACATGTTAACCTGCGCATCTCAGCTCTTTAATCCATTTATTTATTTTAAGCTTCTGTATTAGTTCGTTTTCACACTACTGAAAAAGGCATACCTGAGACTGGGTAATTTATAAAGAATAAGAGTTTTAATGGAATCACAGTTCCACATGACTGGGAGGCCTCACAGTCAAGGTGGAAAGCAAAAGGCACATTTTACATGGCAGCAGACAAGAGAGAATGAAAGCCACACAAAAAGGGTTTCCTCTTATAAAACCCTCAGATCTTATCTACCATGAGAACAGTATGGGAGAAACCACCCCGTGACTCAATTATCTCCCACCGGCTCCCTTCCACAACACATGGGAATTATGGGAGCTACAAATCAAAATGAGATTTGGGTGGGGACACAGCCAAAGTGTATCAACTTCCAAGTAAGATGTTATTTGAAGGCAAAAAAGAAAAAAGTGATTTTTAAAATTTTCAAGTATATGGAAAATTATAAGCTATAAAACAATGTATAAACATAATATGTTATTGTTACTATCCTATTAGAATAAAAAAAGAAACATAAAGAAAAAAGGGAATGAATTAAGGTACCAGCAAATCTATAGGGCAAGTAGTGTAGCAAAACTCAACTCCCTTGAAGTATCCCTTTTTGAGAGTAAGTCATTTTGGAAAAGGCAATCTTCTATTAGAAGCAACTGAAAGGGATCATTTAAGGAAGAAAACAGCATTAGGAAACTCAATCTCAGTTTGGTGACTTCAGAACAAAAGCTTGAGAGAAGGCTCCAAATGAATGACTAAGTATGCAGTTCACATTCAAAGCATTAAAGGCCTACACAGAATCCATGAGTAGGTACATTTTCAGTAGCCTGTAGGCCTGATGTTATTTTGAAGTACCCATCTACTCAGCCTTTTCCAGAGAAAAGTACATTTCATCACAAACACAAACCCAGTATCCTTGGCTTAAAGCTTCTGCAGAGAAGTAGTCTCCTGAGTATTATAAGTTACCTTATTTTTAGAGACAAAATCCCAATGTGTGACTCTTCACATATATACAGCACCACAAAAAACACTTTTTTTTTGAGACAGAGTCTCACTCTGTCACCCAGGTTGGAGTGTGAAGTGGTGCAACCTTGGCTCACTGCACCTCCGCCTCCCGGGTTCAAGCAATCCTCCCACCTCAGCCTCCTGAGTAGCTGGAACTATAGGCATGTGCCACCATGCCTGCCTAATTTTTGTATTTTTAGTGGAGACAGGGTTTTGCCATGTTGCCCAAGCTGGTCTCGAACTCCTGACTTCAGGTGATCCACATGCCTAGGCCTCCCAGAGTGCTGGGATTACAGACATGAGCCACTGTGCCTGGCCACAAAACACTTTCAATATATTGAGTAAAGTGACCAAATACACAAACATAAAAACAAGTACACAAAAAGTCTTCCTCTTCTGAGCATCAGACAGTCAACAAAGAAAGATATGACAAGCTTTCTCCTATGTGCCCAACATTGTGCTGTGTTAAACACTAAAGCTACATAGATCAATGAGATACAGCAAGAGCTTCCAAAAACTGGAAGAGCTGTCTTTGTGGGAGATAACTAAGCAGATACTAGGGAGGGCATTCCAATCAGAAGGATCTGCTGGTGTGAGTTATTAGAATTAACATGACTAAGCTCCTGCTTCAAGAAAAGGAGTCTAAATGCAAACCAATCATAGAATAAGTAATTGAAAACATTCCAGTGTTTGACTCTCTCTTCTGGTTTCACTTTTCCCCTTGTGGTGAAGTTAATCTTTTTAAACCCTCAGCTTTGCCGCAGTTTAGCTCCTGAAAATGACTCATGTATTTTTTATAGTATTGTTTTTTCATTATATTTTTTACTTATTTATGGTATAAAGAAACGTTATTGAAGTTTGTATATTGTTGAGCTCTCTTTTAGCCCAAAGAATTTTCCCATTTATTCTCTTAGTTTGTTGCTTAAGAGATGACAAAATTTTCAAGCAATGACAGTTTTACCTCTTTCTTTCCAATCTTCATACATTTCATTTTATTTCCTTTTCTTATTGAAAGGACTAGGACCTATACTTTAATAATAGGAAAAGCAGACCTCTTGTTTTATTCCTAAATTTAATGGAAATACATTCTAAGAGTTTACCATTAGGCATCACATTTACTTTTGATACTTGATATATCCTTTAGCAAATTAAGGAAGTTTCACCCTGCTCTTAGTTTGCTAAAAGTTTTTATTGCTAACAGATTCATCATAAATTGGTGTTGAACTTTATCAAATGCTTTTTCCTGCATATGGCTCTTCTTTGTTAATCTCCAAGTAATATGCAACATTATATTGACAGCTATTCTAAAGTTGAACTATCATTTCATAAAGCAATATATCACCTTGGTTATGATGATTATTTGTAATACATTGTTATATTCAATTTCCTGGCCCACAATTTTATTTTCTTGTACTTTTTCAAGTTTTTATAACAGGGTAATAAAAATGCGTCAGAAAGCTTTAGCTCTTTTTAAATTTTTAGGAACTTTTAAAATAAGATGTGGTTTAACTGTTCTTTGAAAATTTGCAAAATATTGCCTATAAACAGCCTACTGTATTTTTTGGGTGGGTGAGTAGGTGAGGAAGAAATTTTTGTTACTATTTGATTTCTCTGATGGTCATTGGTCTATGCAGGTTTTCTATTTGTTCTTTTCAACTCAATTATGCTACTCCATAATTTTCCTTTAAAAAAGTTCATTTCATATAAGTTTTCAATTTTTTGATGAAGAATCTGGTCCATGAAGAATCTGGCCCTTGTCTTAACATTTTACTCCCAAGTGCTTAGCAGATGTTGAACTGAAACAATTAACCATTTCAGTTCTCTTTTTGCCTAGGCCTAACGTTAACTAGCATGGCCTCACTGCCTTCTAAGGGTGGTATGGCACATTGATTCCTTCCAAGCCTGTCAACGAATACTGTGTAACTCAACAATTGTGCTGTGATTTGTAACTGTAGCAAGAGAGCTTTTTTGGGGTGATTTCTAGTCTTCTACTACCAAAAGAACCAGTGTGGCTTTAGCACAAAAAGGAAAATTATTTTTTCCCATTTCTGTGTGTTGTATTTGCAGTTACTTATTGATTCTTGTGAGACAGGACAAAGGGAAAGTCACACATCTTACCAATAAAATGCAGATATGCAGCCAAGCTCTTCTTTACATGCTTTACTTTGAATTTTATTTTGGATTTTTTAAAGAATAGGGAGGTTTTAGCTACTTTTGGGTCTCTCATTTGTATGACACAGTTAAAAAGAATTGTGGCCTTAAAGGAATTATAATCAATGAGAAGACCATATAAACGTTTTAAACAGACCCAAAAAGAAGCATTTCATTTAGAATATTTAGTTCATGGAAGCATCCAACCAAAACAAACAATAAATATGTGCCTAGATGTTGTAAGGCAGGAGGTCCTTTTTCCTTTCTGGAAACAAACCACCAAAATAAAACAAAAATTATTTCACCTGCCCCTTTGAACCGCATGTCGGCTGACTTCAAAACCCCTGATCACTCCTATTTGCCTCATACATGGTCTCCTGATCTTTCCCCCTTGCTTCGGCACTTGCTTTGCTGCCTAACTCTCCACCATTCATCTTGGCATAATTTCTTGTGCAACATCCATTTTCAACATTTTTTCAGGTTCTTGATGTTTCTCAGCCCCAATTATTCTTCTCTCTGCCCTGCCTCAGCCATGCAACTCATGGCCATATCTTGTCATCATGAAGGACTACATATTTATAAACTATCTTTTGACTCCCCTCTCTCTGAGACTCAATTTCAGTATTTCCAGTGTACCCTAGTAATTCCATTCCAGTAAGGTTCTGACCTCACTGCAACCCCCAATCATATTTTTTTCCCTGAATAATATGCCTTTAGTGTACGCATTTCTCTCTGAAGTTATTTGGGATTCAAAGTAGAGCAAATACTCTTAATTTCCTTGCCCTTCTTTCTCTCCTTTTAACCCCCTTAGCAACACCTAGTTCTGATAGTACCTAAGTAACCACTCATTCTTCACCTTTGCCAAATCAGCTGAATGCTTCTGGAGAAAATCAGATTCCTGTGCTGACTAGACTCACCTTAATCTTTTTAAACTACAAATAGAAATTTGACAATTAATTTGGCAAAATAGTGCTACTATAGACCCTTAATAAATTTTATCTGCCTCTCTTCAAAATGATTATTTAATAGCTTCTCCTCTCCCTTGACAAAGCCTCTCCTTGACCAAAGTTTAGTGAGTCGCCCCTAAGCCATTTTCTCAACTAGGCCTTGTCCTTGGGCTTTGTCTTCAGGCCTGCATAGCCCAGTTTCAGCAAGAATCATACAAAGTCAGTTGAGTAAGAATCATTCACTCTTGATATCTGTTACCTTTGGTATCTGATCAAATCCTCACTTCCTTACTATCGGCCAAGTGATATCTGATCACCCTGGCATGACTTCATCAAGGATCCTGTTAGATCAGTTTAGCAAGAATTCCTCCTACTCTTCCAACCCCTGAGGTCTCTGTTTTTTTTTTTTTTTGTTTTTTTTTTTTAACCCAAGACAAAGTCTTGCTCTGTCACCCAGTCTGGAGTGCAGTGGCACAGTCTCGGCTCACTGCAACTTTGGCTTCCCAGGTTCAAGCTATTCTCCTGCCTCAGCCTCCCGAGTAGCTGGGATTACGGGTGCATGCCACCACGCCTGGCTAATTTTTGTATTTTTAGTAGAGATAGTGTTTCACCATGTTGGCCAGGCTGGTCTTGAACTCCTGACCTCGTGATCCACCCACCTCGGCTTCCCAAAGTGCTAGGATTACAGGCGTGAGCCACCGCACCCAGCCAATATCTCCTCTTAGTAATTTTTCATCCACCAACCTTGCCCAACTGCCACCCCAACTTGCTCCTTGGCTATAAATTCCCACTTATATTTGGAATTGAGTCCAGATCAATCCTGAGGTCTCTTTTTTTTCTCCTATTACAATATTTCCTACATAAAATCGTTTTTCATTCTTTCTTTCTTTCTTTCTTTTTTTTTTTTTTTTTTTGAAACAGGGTCTCACTCTGTCACCCAGGCTGGAGTACAATGCTGTGATATTGGCTCATTGCAACCTCTGCCTCCTGGGCTCAAGTGATCCTTCCACCTCAGCCTCCTGAGTAGCTGGGACCACAGGCACATGCCACCATGCCCAGCTAATTTTTTTTTTTTTTTGGTTGGTTGGGGGAGAGATAGGGTTTCATCACTTTTCCCAGGCTTGTCTTGAACTCCTGAGCTCAAGTAATCTGCCCACCTTAGCCTCCCAAAGTATTGGGATTACAGGTGTGAGCCAACGCACCCAGCCTAATAAAATCTTTTTACCACTTTAACTATCTGGCTCTGATTTTCTGTAACATCCCTCCAATTTTAACATCTTATCCCCCCTCCACGCTTTCAGCTGACAATGGCTCTGGTTCACACATAATGGAAAAGACAGTAGCCATCAGTGTAGAACAGGGTCTGCAAATTATAGTTTTAACAATTGGGGAAAAATTATTTTGCAACACATGAAAATTCAAATTTCAATGTCTATAAAATAGTTTTTGGAACACAGCTACATACTTTTGTCTATGTCCTGTCTGTGACTGCTTTCATGCACCAATGGCAGTTGAATAGTTGCAATGAAGGAAGCATGGCCCACAAAGCCTAAAATAGTTACTGTCTAACCCCTTAGAGAAAACATTTGCCAATATCTGGCCTAAGACAACCTCATCCCTGCACAAAGGTCTTTGTGCGTGGCCCATGCTTTGACTGCTTTTCTGTTACAATGAAAGAACCTCCCTTCTCTAGCTCAGGCTCTCGCTCCATTTACTTCATGCACTCTTACTTTCTCAAGAATTTCACTTGTACAATTAACCTTTTTTATCCTTCATTATCAATATATTCTTCTCTACTGGATTATTTCCATAGACATAAAATCATGCCTTAATATGACCCAATTCTTTAAAAACCTCTATGATGTCGTGTCCCCCTCTAGCCACTATCTATTTCTCTATTCTTCATGACAAAATTTCCCAAAAGGGTTTCTGGCCACACTGTTCCCAACTCCTCCCATCTTTTTCTCTCTTTCATCCACTCCAATAAAGGCTTTTCTATTTACCATTTGCCTGGAGTAGTTCCTGTTAAAGTCAGCAGGGACCTACCTCTTGCCAAAGCCAAGGCGAGGTCTGTGTTTTTTTCCCATGGATGTGTCACTGTCAATCTGTCAAACAATACATTTTTGCACTTGCATTTTATTCTATTCTGTGGCCAGTTGTGGGCTTGACATAGCAACAGTGTTTCATAAATATTTATATTTGAATCTAGAAATAGAAATTAGGGAATGTATTTAATGTCCTTTATTACAGATGGCATGTAATAAATTTCCTGAGTAATAGTATTGTTGTAATTTTGGAAAATGTCTTTAGGAGAGGCGTGCTAAAATATATAGAAGTGTAACATGGTTATAAATTACTTTCAAATGGTTGAGAAAAGATACAGCCAGGAATGGTGGTGTGTGTCTGTAGTCCCAGCTACTCAGAAGGCTGAGATGGGAAGGTCACTTGAGCCGAGGAGGTTGAGGCTGCAGTTAGCCGTGATTGTGCCGCTGCACTCCAGCCTGGGCAACACAGCGAAACACTGTTCCAAATATAGATAGATAGATAGATAGATAGATAGATAGATAGATAGATAGATAGATAGATAGATGTGTGTGTATGTGTGTGTGTGTTTATGCAGAGAGAGAAAGACATCAAATATGACAAAAAGTTCACAAATCTGCATGAAAGGTATATGGTTGCTCACTGTACTACTGATTTTAACTTTTCTATAGGTTTGAATTTTTTAAAGTAAAAACTTGGAGGGAAAATGAGGGAAAATTATGCCATAGTCAATTTGGGTTCATCCCAAAAATCAAAATATCATTCAGCTTTAGAAAAACTATCAATGTTTTGATGGTTTAGAAAAACTATTAACTTTAGAAAATCCAAAGTTTAATGGAGAAAAAAGTAGTGATTTTAACACATACAGGAAAATCATGTAATAAATTCAAACCCATTTGTGATTTAAAAAGAGCTTTTAGGAAATTGAGTTTAGAAGATAACTTTCTTCATTTGATTAAAGAAATTTACCCAAAATCTATAACCAATCTTATTCTGAATGATGAAATTACCATTAATTTCAAGACTGGAGTTTCTGGCAAATTAAACAAGGAGAAAAAATACACATATCCTTGAAAGGAAGAAATAAAAGTGTCTTTCAATGCAGAAAATAAGATTATCTATATAGAAAACCCAATAGACTCATTCATTTCTGGCAATGCAGTATGCTACCAATAACTGGAAATACTCTCTTCCCTTACAAAACACTAGAAATTCTGGAAAACATAATAAATTTCTCCCAAGAACAGTAATTTCCCATGGGCCAGAACAAAGAAGACACTTAAAAGCAAGCAGCAAGCAGAAGTTGATGTCTTGGCTGCACGGCGTGAAGGTGCATTGTCTGGTTATCAGGGGGCTTGGGCTCCAACAGCCACACAGGAATAGGAATTAAGGCCTTGAGCTCATGTGAGGCAAAGAATTGGAACCAAAGACCTTCTCATGAAGCCACGACTCTTGATGGGCTCTAGCTCCTATAAAAGGGTGGATTAGAAAAACCTTATCCATCAGCCCAGAGAGATGACAAGATCTCTTGTTTGCCTAAAGTTAGTATTTTGGTGAAGAAAAAAATTCTCCCCTGAGAGCTCATGCCTGTGTTCATACAGTTTAGAGTTTGAATTTACACTACTAATATCATCTGATAACCCAGAGGGAGAGAAATCAGCATACAAATAGTTCCAAGATGGTGATAATTCATACATAAGGAGATGGATATATTCTCTGGAAGAATATACCATCTTCAAAGTACACAAGGTCTCACAAATCATGCACAACAAAACATGAGCTCCCAATTCTGAAATAGAAGACACACAAGGAAAGAATTATTTATAAGTCAAATCTAACAGACACAATCAAAAGTCGACTTAATGCCCTAAGAACCTGAGAAAATAAAATTAGGAAATATAGGTTCAAAAGTTAAAATTATTAAATACTTATGGAAGAAATGTAAATTCATCTATAAAATTAAAATCTAAGTTGATAAGCCAAAGGATAATTAGGTACAGCTAAATAGATAAGTAATAAAAGCAAAATCAAGCTCAAGAATGTAGCCAAATTCATCAAAAGAATTGAATAAGTAGAAAATATAAACGGGAAATAATGAGACAGAAAGGCTATGAGAAGATGCAACATACATCTTTTTAATTTTTAAACACTGTTTCAGTAGGAAAGAATAGAGACATTGGGAAGGGGTACTATTTTAAGATACAACTGAGAATTTTCCAAAATTGATGAAAGATATGAACCACCAGAATAAGGAATCTTTGAATTTGTTAATCCAAGACAAGGTAGATAAAATAGATCCACAGCTAACATAATTAGTAAGTGGAATACTGAAAATCTTAGAAGAAAGTAGACATAAAATACTGTTTGTTAACGTGGAGGGAATAAGACTAACCACGCATATATCAATGTCAACAATTAAAGTAGAGAAGAATGAATAATATCTTCAAATCACTGAAAGAAAACTGTATATCTAAGATCATATACTAACCAGCAAAGAATGAAGATAGAGTAAAAACTTTTCTGATAGACATAATCTAAAAGAACTTTCTTTAACAGACCTCACTTGAGGATGTACTCCAACAAAAAAAGAACATAAACCCAGAGCAGCGGCCATTAAAAAAGGTCTTCGCTATATCTGTGATTGTTTTTTTCTATTTAAAGGAAACAAATACAATAAAATAGTAACCACTGCTAATGCTGGGTGGCAGTAATGTAGGTATTTGTTGTATTTTTTTAGTTTAAAAATTTTTAAATTAAGCAAAATTTATATATAGTGAAGAACCATCAATAAACTCTCATGTGACTCTCCCACAGTGAAGCTGACAATGTTTCTTTGTGAAATTTTTAGGAAATGAAATATTTTTGAACTTCCATTTATTTAAATATATAGTACAAGTGTCTACCATTTGTCAGACATGCTACCAGACATGAGAGACAAAGGTAACTATTGTCATGGCCCTGCCTCAAAGAGCTTAAAATATGGTAGGGAGATGAAAGTAGCAGACAGATAACTCTCATTCTACAATTATAATTTAAATTAAATGCCTGACAAAGACAAAATCAATAAGCAAAAGAAATAGCAAAGAAACCATTATTACTTTCTCTATATTTACATTATTACTAGAAGTTTTAATGTTTGTAATTTTCAAATTTGATTTATTGTCTATCGCCAAAATATAACTTATTAGTCCCAGAAAATCACAGGTAAATTATGAAAATGAAGCAACTTTGCCATTTAGAGACTGCTAGGAATAACTCAATGTGCCTTTTTTATAGGAAGAAAAATAACTTCTCTTTTTTTTCAGGTATATTTCTAAGATAACTGGAGATGAGCCACTGACAAAAGATAGGAGCTAATATGACCATCAACTAGAAAAATAGGGAGAAAAAAGCATTTTTTGAATAGGATCTCCAAATCTCATACTGCAAGTGATTTGCAGGCAGACTCAATTTGTTTTCTGTACCTGCAATGCTTTCTTTCAATTCAGACAATTGAAAGTGTTTTCAAACTACATCTTACTATTCTCACATCATATTCCAAGTTATAGGCAAGATTGTATTAACCCTTAGAATAGCTATATGGACATAGGTTTAAACAGTCTTTATTTAATTATTATATTAACAAAAGACACAATTTTGACATTAGATATAATGTTAGTGAGTATGATTATTGACCTGATTATTTTAAAATTTGAGTGTAGCAAGATGTAAAATATATATAGACTTTTTATGCTGAAGCTGGAATCCCCACTGTTTTTCTAGGAGGAGTCTCCGTGTTGCTCCTGTAAGTCATTGCTCAGGAGCTATGGCATGAGAATGGAGGCCTTACAGGAGTATTTGGGACCAGAACAGGAGGAAGTCTCAGGAGGCATAAAGCAAACTATGCTAAGACGTGAGACTCCTTTTGTGTGAGCATCCTATCAGAGCCTTCAATAATAGAATCAAATAACAGTATCTGTACAATAGGAAACTCTTGCTGAGAGAAGAGTGATGGCTTTTCCTCCACAAAGTGCAAAACAGGAGATAAACAAGAGCCCATGGTTTTGTTCCCTTTTCAGAATTTGCTGGTATCAATATGACATAGTGGAAAGAACAGCACTTCTGAGCATATCTGATAGGAGTTTAAATTCTGCCCCTTCTTGTCACTTAGCCTGGGACCTCAGCAATACTTTATCTCACTATTCCTGCCTCAGTAAAATGGAAATTTGACTGTTTCCCTCTTAGTATGGTTATTGGGATTAGAAATATTACATATATAGTACCTACCACATAGCAGGCACACAATATATGGTAGTTGTGATAATTAATTTTTGTTAATAATGTCCTTCCAATTCCTTTGAGATTATAGTTTATCATTCATTCTACATGCTGTGTATTAAATCAAATTACATATGGTGCTCCCTGGATAGACAGACACATGAAATATGAGTAAGAGCAATAAGATAATGATTATGAAGGGTTAACTGTTGGCGATGGTGGTGTCTCTTGGAACACTTGGGGACAATACCTGCTCTTTGTAGGCAGGAGGAATGGAAGCTAATGTGTTGTCAAACGGACTGACTTAAGTGTGGGATAGTGCATTCTCTCCTACACTTTTAGGACTCAGATCCTCAGACAAATCATTGAATTTTTGCATTTGTTTGATGCAGTTCTTTAAGTCAAATATTCTCTTCTTCCTACTAGAAATCTCTAAAGTCATGGAGACAGAGCTCTTGATTTATCAATTTCAGAGGCAAGTAACCATTTAGAGACATCTATACTAAAGAAATTAGTTAAAAGCTGAAGCCAAACTATTACTCACGCACTAAGTAAAGAAAGTAGTAGGAGAGTTGTGCTTCTGGCCATGATGGAGTAACTAGTAACAAAATTTCTTACCCACTTAAACTACTTAAAACCTGGATAAAACATATGAAACAATTACCTTCAGGTACTAACAAACAGTATAAGACTGTGATGCCAGAGAAAAGGAATCAAACAAGGTGAGTGCTACATTCACTCTGGAGTTCTGCTTGGAGGCACTTCATGGATTGACACACAGGGAGAGAAAACAAAGAAAGCAGCAGTCTCGTTACATTGAGCAGATGAAGAGGTTTAGAAAAAAACAAAATCAGTGACTTGAAAACATGGCAATAGAAACTATGCAAACTAAAGCACACAGAGAAAAAAGAAAAAATAATTTTTTAAAAAATAGCTCCTTAGTGACTCTGGAACAATGTCATCGTCTGATACATGTGCAACTAAAGTCCCACAGGAAGGGAATGGGTGTAGGAAATTATTTGAATAAATTATGAACAAAAACTTTCCAAATGTAATGGAAACTATAAGTCCACAAATCCAAGAAAATGAACAAACCTCAAGTAGAAGAAACAAACAAAAATCACACCAAGACACATCATAATAAACCTGCTGAAGACCAGAAAATTACAAAGCAGACAGAGGAAAAAAGAATGACTATAGACTTTACATCAGGGGAATAAAAGCACATTTGAAAACAATGGTATAATATTCTCAATTTATGCAAGAAAACACAGCCAACTTGGAATTCTACAGCTAGCAAAAATATCCTTCAAAAGTAAAGGTAAATCATGTGGAATTAATCTCAGGAAAGCAAGGATGGTTCAACATATAAAAATCAATCCATGTAATATATTGTATTAAAGGAATGAAGGAAAATAAATAAGATTATCTTAAATGATACACAAAAGCATTTGACACATGATAAAACCACTTAACAAACTTGAAATGAAAGAGAACTTCCTCAACATGATAAAGGACATCTATGAAAAACCCATAGCTAATATACTCAATGGTAAAAGACTGAAAGCTTTGTTCCTAAGATCAAGAAAAAGATAAGGATGCCTACTTTTGCATTTGTATTCAGTATTAGATTGGGAGTTCTAACCAGAGCAATTAAGCAAGTACAAGAAATGAAAGACATTCACTGGAAAGGAAAAAAATCCATTGAGAACAGCATCAAAAAGAATAAAATAATTAGGAATACATTTAATCAAGGAGGTACAAGACATGTACACTGAAAACTACAAAATATTGCTGCTGAAAGAAATTAAAGAAGACCTAAAATGAAAAAACATCTATGTTCATGAGTTGAAGTACTTAGTTGTCAAGATGGCAATATTCCCCAAAGCAAACTACAGATTGAATGCAATCCCTCCCATAATGCCAGTAGCCCTTTTCAGTCATTAAGGAAATGCAAATCAAACACAACAGGATATACCACTTAGCACCCCCTAGGATGGGTATGATAAAAAGAATTTTTAAATCCCACCAAGTGCCAACACTGCAAGAAAACACTGTCAACTTGGAATTCAAGTGCCAACATTTGTTGGGATTTAAAAGGATATGGAAATATTGGAACCCTCATACATTCCTGGTAAAAATGTAAAATTGTGCAGCCACTGTGGAAGACAATTTGGTGGTTGTTCAAAAAGTTAAACATAGAATTACCATATGGCCCAGCAATATACTTCTAAAATAATTGAAAACAGATATTCAAACAGATGTACACAAATATTCATAGCAGCACTATTTACAACAGCCAAAAGGTAGAAACAACCCAAATGCCCATCAATGGATAAATGAATGAATAAATAAATTGCGGTATATCCATACAATGGAATGTTATTTAGCCAGAAAAATGAATGAAGTACTGATATGTGCCATAAAGTGAATCAACCTCAAAAACATTATGCTAAGTTAGAGAAGGCAGACATGGAAAGTCATATATTGTATATTCCACTTACATGAATTATCTAGAATAGTTAAGTCCAATTAGTGTTTGCCAGGGACTGGGGGTATGAGAGAATTGGGAGTTGCCTATAATTGCTTAATAGGTACAGGGTCTCCTTTGGGAGTGATGAAAATATTTTGGAATTAGATAGAGGTGATGGTTGAATGACATTGTGAATGTACTGTCTCACCAAACTGTACACTTTAAAATGGTTAATTTTATGTTACATGAATTTCATCTCAATATAAACACATAAATAAACAAGTAAATTTGATTTTACTCAATTGCCAAAGAAAATGAAGGCAAAATAGACATTTTAGCAAATCGAATCTGAGAGAATTATAAAAACTAACCTAAGAAATACCAAACCTCTGTGTGTGTGGGTGTGGGTGTGTGTGTGCATCAAAGAAACCTACAGTTAGCTTCATACTTAATGAAGACTAAATTCTTTTCACCTAAAATCAGGAATGAAGCAAGGATTCTATTCTCACTACTTCCTATTCAAAATAGCACTAAACAGCCTAGTCAATGCAATGAGGCAAGAAAAGAAATAAAAAGCATATGGATTGAGAAGAAAAAAATAAAATTATCTTCAGATGACATAATCACAGATATAGAAAATCCTTCAGAAACCACAAGTTACAAAGAACTAATAAGTGAATTTAGTAAGATCCCAGGATATAAGATAAATATACAAACAATCAATTGTATTTCTAAATACTATGGAAAAACAATTGAAAAGTGAAATTTTTAAAAATATGAAAGTTTATTTCAGAAAAGTATCAATAACATGACCTACTTGTGGATAAATTTAACAAAATATGTGCAAAGCCCACATAATAAAAATGTTAAAACATTACTGAAAAAATTACTAATAACATAAATGGAGCACTATACCATGCTTATGAACCAGAAGATTCAATATTGCTAAGCTATTCATTCTCCCCAAATTAATCTACAGATTCATCACAACTGCATTCCAAACCCCAGCAGGCTCTTTTATCATAGAAGTTAGTAATGGTATTCTACAATTTTTATAGAAATACGAAGGCTGAAAATTTAAAAAAATAAAAAATAAAAGAACAAAGTTGTAGGATTTATCCTACTTGGTTTTGAAGACATGTAATAAAAAATCAACAAAAATATATTTTTGGAGTAAAGATACAAATATAGGTCAGAGTAATAGAAGAGGGTCCAAAAATAGGCATATACACATACACAGTCAACTGATTTCTGAAAAAGTGTCAGTTGGGAAAGAACAGCCCTTTCAAAAAATATTGTTTGCAAAAGTAGACAATTTTTTTTTAATGTCAAAGAACTTCACCCCCACTTCATATTACACACAAAATTAATTTGAAGTGTTAACCTAAACATAAAAGCTTAATTATAGGCTGGGCGCAGTGGCTCACGCCTGTAATCCCAGCACTTTGGGAGGTGAAGGCAGGCGGATCACCTGAGGTCAGGAGTTTGAGACCAGCTTGGCCAACATGGTGAAACCCTGTCTCTACTAAAAATACAAAAATTAGCTGGGTGTGGTGGTGGGCACCTGAAATCCCAGCTAGTCAGGAGGCTGAGGCAGGAGAACCACTTGAACTCAGGAGCCAGAGGTTGCAGTGAGCTGAAATCACGCCATTGCACTCCAGCCTGGGCGACAGAGCAAGACTCTATCTCAAAAAAAAAAAAAAAAAAAAAAAAAGCTAAATGATAATACTTGTAAAAGAAAAACTAAACTCTTAGAAAATAATGTAGGAAAATATCTTTGTAACCATGATAGGTAAAAATGTCTTAGATAGAACACAAGAAGCACAAAGGATAAAAGAAAAATTGATAAATTGGACTTCATTAAAATTAAAAACCTCTGTTCTTTGAGAGATAACATTAAAAAAAAATAAGGTAAGCTACACACTGGCAGAAAAGTTTCACAATACATGTATCTGACAACTTATACCTAGAATTTATTTTTTAAATGTTGTAAATGCAATTAAAAGAAAAATAACCTAATAGAAATGGGAAAAATGTTGAAACAAACATTTAAAAATGACTAAAAAGCACATGAAAAGATACCCAACATCATTAGTCATCAAGAAAATCAAAATTACAACTGCAATGGGATAATAATATAAACCCACAGCAATGACTGGAATTAAAAAGACGGACAATATCATGTGTCAGAATACAGGCCAACTGGAACTCTCATATACTATTGATGGGAATGTAAAATGGCACAACCACATTGGGAAATAGTTTGATGGTTTCCTGTAAGTTAAATTACTCTTGCCACACAACCCAGTAATTTCACTCCTAAATATTAACTCAAGAAAATAGAATAAATTACATACCAAGTAATTACCAATATCACATATCAAGTAATTATTTTGCAAAAAAATTAATAGAAGTGTAAATAGATAAACAGATGGTGTTACCTTTGTACAATGTAATATTACTCAGTGATAAAAAGGAATAAATGTCTGTTACACATAAGACATGGATGAATCACCAAATAAAATTTTTAAATGCTGAGCAAAAGAATCCAGACCCCAAAGATTCCAGAACCCCTGCTTTATTTCATTTACATAAACTTCTAAACAAGCAGAACTATAATTGCAGAAAGCAGATTCATTCTTGCCTAAAGCTGAGGTTGGGTGTGGCCATTAATTGCAAAGCATGAGAAGGAAATTTAGGGAATAATGGTCAGACTTTCTACCTTGACTGCGGTGATGTTTACATCTTTACATTTGACAAAACTCATTAAACTTTTTCCTTAAAATTACGCATTGTATCTTATCTTAATTATACCTCCATAAAATTGCTTTAAAAAATAAATGCATAAGGAGATACATATTTAATATTATTTATGATATAGGGCTCTCAAGAATGTGTATTTAACAAATATAGAGAAAGAAAACTTGTTTTTCCATGGTGAGTCTGTTGCTTTTCAGAGAACTCAAGGCACATTTCCTCCTGGCAGACAAATAGGAGTAGAAAGGCAGGTAAACTTTCCTTGTCATAAAAGCCATATATTGGCTGATTCCTAGTTAACTCATCAATTAGAAGAAACTTTCAGGAAACTACCAAGAGCAGAGATCAAAGTCAGATCCAAGAGCAACTTCTAATTCATCATGAAAGAAAACCTCAGAAAATCTGTTTTGGCTATGACAAGAAGTAGTGCACAAGGCCCTGAATCATAGATTTAAGAATCAGAGACACTAAGAGCATCTTTTTTGAATATTTTAAATCAAAGGTGAGGCTATGGCAATTCATGAAGAAAACCTCTGACTCACCCACGGAAATAAGAGGTGCTGACCACAAAGGGCTTTGACCTTCACAGAGCCTCAGAAATTTCATGACTGATCCGTAAGGGCTTTGAAACACACCATTTAATTAATGGAATCATAATGGTATCAGGATGAAAATACGGAATTCCTCCTCTATGCTTCTTCCTAAAGGAGGTGAGAAATTTATGTCACCAGAAAAAGAAGAAATTATTCTATCCTCAATTGACAAATCAGTTGATTTAATACACTTAGGACCGATGAGGCTACTTTCTCAAAATATGTTTTTTAAAGGTCTGATGTGAGCCTTCGGGATGCTAAGCCAGAGGTGTTATTGATTCCAACTGATTCTATAGTTGACTATGGGCTACGTGGGGTAAAGAAAGGAAGGCTGGGCTGAGTAAGAGGTCTGAATCATGGCTCTGTCACTTGCTGGAATGTGAGCTTGGGAAAGTCACTTGATCTTTATTGTTTCATTTTTCTCATCTGCAAACCAAATCTTCCTGGGCTGGGCTCTATGGAGAAGGAACTGGAGCTCTGCAGGCCACAGGAGGCCCATCATGCAGGAAGTTCAGCTTTAAAAGCCAAGTTCATGGGTGAAGGCAAAACCAGCCCAATTGCCCCATAGAAATTACGTTTACGAGGTTTTGAATAAACACAGACATTGTCCCTTCTGGTCTTAAAACTTGTAGTTTACATTTGTCTCATCTGAGTTCCCCCTCAGGCAAGGGACTGAAACTCATCAGACCCTGCATTCAATGAGATGCCAGACCCCTCTTTCTTCGTAATTGCTTCCTTACCCCTCCTTAATTCCTGTTTTACATTCCTTTCCCACTGTATAAACCTCCCAATTCAGTTGGTCGGGGAGATGGATTTGAGACTGACCTTCCAAAATTCATATGTTAAAAGTGCTAATCCCTCTAATACCTTAGATTGTGACTATATTTGGAGATAGATAGAGCTTTTAATGAGATGACTAATTAAAATAAAGCCATTAGGGTAAACCCTAACCCAAAATGACTGGTGTCCTTATAAGAAGAAGAAATTTGGACACACAGAGACACTAGGGATGCACACACATAGAGAAAAGACCACATGAGGATATAATGAGAAGGTGGCTGGCTGGCTGCAAGCCAAAGAGAGAGGCCTCAGAAGAAACCAAACCTGGAACAACTTGACCTTGGACTTTCAGCCCCTTGAACTATGAGAAATAAATTTCTGTTGTGTAAGCCACCCAGTCTATGGTAGCTTGTTATCACAGCCCTAGCAAAACTAATACAGTGTTCAATTTCAATTTAATTAGTTGAAATTGATTAATTACACTTAAGCTACATATTCAAGCAGTGAGGAGTATGTATTTGCAAGAAATGGGAGGTACCAGAAAAGCAACTTTCTAATTGGCTTTGTGGATTCTCTAACAACAAACACATGAAGGAACATTGACTGATGTTCCTATCAATAATATGCTGAAAGACATGTAAAATATCATATTCCTTAGAGTGTTTACAAGTAATACCCTAAAGTTAACCTTTCTGGAAGTAGTCTGAGTTGCAAAAGACAAGAATGGAGAATGAGATCCAGATATTTTTTCATGATATGCTCATGATGTCCTAGAACTCTCTAGAAGCAGTCAGGGTAAACCTGAACTAATCGCCTATGTTCCAATGCACTTCCAGGCCCAGAGCTGTGACCAGATTTGTCTAGTGGCCCAAAACAGATGCTGGATGGCTTTAGGCCAGCAACAGAGCAAGAGAAGCTTAAGTGTTCTTTCCATCCTCATTGATGGAACAGTGAACACGGGGAGTTCTGCCTGAAGAATCAAGAAAATAGAGGGAGATATCAGAGGAACGCAAAATAAAATGCCCTGCTTTTATTTAGAGAAAGAAATAAAATGAAATGTGAAACTCAAAAGCAGGTAGATTTCGTGTTGCTTCCTGGCAATCTCTTAAAACAGAATTAGTTCTACTTTGAATGCCAGGCTTTTAAAAGAGAACAGGAAGAGTAAACAGGGCAATTAGGCAGAGAAAGACCCCGCTGAGAAAAGTCAAAATAACAGACTGGAAGCCTCTTTGCTCCAAGGTTGCAGCTCTGCCAGGTTTCTCTCCAGGAGGGTGGGGAGCAGAAAGGACATCACAGATCCCAGCATGATGGCAGTCTTGGGTCACTGGAGACAGCTCCCTTGAGGGAGAAACGTCTGCTTTTTGTACTCCTGCTCTGAGCATGCCCCTGGCTTTTTAATCATGTGCATCAACACATCGGTGGAATAGTGAAGGCATCTGGCATTTTCCAAACCTAGCTGGGCTGGTGAAAAAGCCACCTATTCATCATCCATCCAGCCTATGGGATAACTAATTTCTGTGAACCCGAGGGATGTTCCTTCAGTGTAATGCAGGTGACAGAAGAATATAAATTACATGTTTACAGATGTCAGTACCTAGCACAGTAGCCAGCTTGGTGGACAGCATAGAAACATTGACAGATTTTAATATAATGCTGTCTAGCCATGGGAATGTGTACACAGACTCACAGAATCATCCATGACCTTGGAGGGGTGTCTCCTTTGTTCTTCAGTCTTCAAACAAAATAAACTTTAGCTATGTAGAACAGAACTTATCCATCATTTTTTTTCCATTCTTCTGCAACAGTGTTTGCAGGGAGCCAACTGTGTGCCAGGCACTGAGCCACGTGCAAGGGGTTAGAGTGTGAATAATTCCAGCTACTCCCCACGTGGTGCCTGAGAAACCACCAACTTATCTGATGACCATAGCGTCTTAGGGACAATGCAGGAGCATCTTCCCTTGATAGGAAAGGGAATGAGGCAGATTTATGAAATCTGAGAGGTCTCATTTTAAAACTTCTGGAGAGGGAGAAATCGTGTAATCTTCATGAATGCTATAGAAAACCTGATCATCTGGGGGAAGTAATCCATTTCCTTTCATTCTCTCTTCAGTGGGGCCATCATGAGGCTCAAAACCATCCTCTTATTGGCACCTCTCAACAAGCATGGTATTTCCCTGATGGGTAAGCCAGTGCATCTCTCTTTTCACCCCATCCTGCATGATACCTTCTGGGAAAGGAGAGGGGGTAGTGTTGACGATGAGATAGGGAGAGGCTTACCCTTCCCAGCCCTGCAGAACAGAACAGTGAAGACAGGAAAGAAGCAGAAGCGGTGGGGTATGAGAGACAGTGATGCCACAGAGCCAGTGTCACTGCTCCAGGTGTTGGGCAAGAGCATAGAAGGTGGTACAGACACGTTGAGGGGAATGACTTGAGCAGTGGACTTTTGAATAGAAATTCAAATCCTATTGGATTCTGAAACAGATCATCTAGAAGCTGTCCTCTCTTCATGGACAGGTAGCAGAACTTCTTCCTGCTCTCTGGTGTCATGGGAAAAAAGCTCAAGCAGCATCACAGGGCCTGCATTCAGCCTATCTTGAGGTAAAAGAGCCAAAGAAAGAATGTGCCAGAGACTCAGAAGGGTCAGGAGCTCAGGGGAGCCCAATTAAACAAGGACTCTGGCCAAGGCAGGGAAGATGTAACCATGAATTACACAAGCCTCCAACTTCAGCTATGAATGGTAGCAGGAACTAGGGGTAAGAAACCATGCTGCAGAGACTAGAGGAGGCAGATCTGAGGCCCCCTTCCCTCTGCTGGGAGGAAGTCCCAGGAAGTCTCTTTGTGCACCCAGATAGCATCGCTTTGAAGAGAAACAGGGGCAACAAGATCTGAATTCAAGCATTCAACCCAGAGAGACTGTCCAAATTACTGAATCAGCAAAAGGATGGTCAGCAACATGTGCTTGGTGGCTGCTGAAGAATGGCAGAATTTCAAGTGATTTTTACTTTCTTCTTTACTCTTATGTATCATTTGGATTTCCTACCATGAGCCTGAATTATTTATATAATCAGAGAAATACGCTATCTTTAGCATACTAAGACTGCTGGATTGGATTAAATCAATCCTCCCCCCTTACACACACACATCTTATCCCTCCTGCTATTTAGTGAGCAAGGGGTCTAAAAATGATCACTAATGCAGGGAGAATAAGAATTACATTTTCCCTGAAGTCTCAGCTTAAGGCAAAGAAATTTGCAACCAACTCCTACATGCCACCCCCACAGCCATGTCTGGAACTTCAGACTCCATGCCTCTCTTTGTTGACACACCATATCTTTTGTCTCTCAGAAGCAAACTATTCTGTGATTCTTGATTTCCCATAGCCCTGACATGCTCTTATATTTAGTTATTTATCTTTCCCACCCTTTGCCGGTCCTCCTTGTTGAGATAAGGATTCATAATGTCTATAAAAAGAGAGAGAGAGAGAGCAGATTCAACAATTGTTTCTTTTGTTTGTTTGTTTTTTTGTAATATTTGTGTGTACTCAAAGACATAGTTCTTACTCAACATCCCAAGTAACCTTTAACTAAATTGCCCGTGCCATTCAACAAGCACAAGACAGGACTCCAGACAAAGAGGTTGAGCAAATTAAACATAAGGGTCCAATTCAATACCCTCTACATAGACTTAACAGGAGTAAGTCAGCCCCTGAATGTGAGCAAAATGATCAGGAGAAAGGAACAAAGATGAAATGGGCCAAAGTGAATTTTCAATGTACAAATAATAATGACAAATGGAAGAAAAAGAAGAACTTCCCCCCCGAGAGGTGGGGTGGAAGGAGTAGAGACCAGAAACCCTCTCAGCCAGTGGGCCCTGTTTTCTCCAGGCTGAATTTAGCGATCCATCCAAATCAGGCAATCTCAGTCCCCTCTTCTCTAGCTCGAGGAGCCTACCTTCTCAGCTCCAGTGTGACAATATTTCAATCACTTCCCCTAGGTCTCTAGGGCTGGGGTAGCAGAGGCCTGTTCAGCACAGGCTCATGACCAGGATGCAGCCAGTTTAGACCCACAGAGAACCTTCCAATTTGCCATTAAAAATGACCTCTTCCACACCCCAAATCATGATTGCCTCTTTGCCACTTGTTTTTTGCAGTTGAATCTGTTCTTCTCTGATACGCCATGCTCTTACCCTGCACCGTCACACTCAGGTGTGTGTTCCCCATTCTAAGGGAGTGCACTTTGTTTTTCCTAAGTGCCCTATCTTTGGCTGGACCTTATTGAACACCAGGCTGTTTGCTTCTGACCACTCTCCCTAAGTCCCCAAGATCCTTTGTGATCTTGTTTTTTAAGATGCCACTACCACCTGCCTCATTGCTTCCTTGACAGCATCCCCACGCTGAACACTCCTCTCCATCACTAAGCCTCTAGAAGTTCTCAAGTGGGAATGATTTTGCCTCCCAGGGGACATTGACTTTGTCTGGAAATATTTTGGGCTGTTACAAAACTGGGGATGGGAGAGTTGTTACTAGTATAGAGTAGGTAGAGACCAGAGATGCTACCGAGCATCCTACAATGCCCAAGGCAACCCTCACAGCAAAGAATTATCCAGCTCAAAATGTCATAGTGCCAAGGTCAAGGGACCACTACCTGGAGGATGATTCAGCCTTCAAGGACCCTGGTAGATCTCTCCAGTGGGGTGGCGGGGGGGAATTCTTTATCCCACCACCCCCAGCCCATCAGCCAGACATCTTTCTTCCCCATCCCCCGCCTTTTTTTAAGTTATGGAATTGAAGAACACAAATGTTGAAATTGTCTCATTTCACAGATGAGGAAGTTGAGGGCCCAAGGGAACATGAACCTCTACCAAGGTCAAACAGTGAAGCTGGACTGTCTGGAATGTTCAGTTATGGTAAATTCCCCATTAATCTATCTGGCAGGCATTTTATTCAGAAATGCAAGCTAGGTCAGTCTGACAGGACCCACTCTTGACAATTCTACTCTGTGTTCTTCTGTTGTCTCCAAAGGACATTACAATGTCATTCTTCAGGCAGGCTTCTGAATTATTCTTAAATTATTTGACGTCTCTGTTTCCCTGTATTATGTATTTAAAAAACACATTGGTGTAATATCCGGTGTGTCTGCATTGCTCTTAGTTTACTTATTGCACATTACCTTCCAAAGCTACACTTTCCCTGGACTGACGTTTGCATACGAAGACATTCGGTAAGACAGTGTGTCACCATGATTATGAGATTCCATCCTGTAGTGACACAAATTCAGATTCAGCATTTTATGAATCTTCTTTTCATTGTGGTGACGGAAGCTCGATTCAGACTATCTTAAGCCTAAAAGGGGAATTTTGGAGTTCATTTATTCGGGAAATTCAAGGTAATGGCTGGCTTCAGGAATGGCTGAATCTGGGGATTCAAACAATGTCAGGGGGATTTATTTTCCCTTTGCCCTCTGTTTCCCCCTGCTTTTTTCCATGGGTTTTCTTTAAACCAACACTCTCTACGTGGCAAAGAGGACCCTCAATGCCTCAACAGCACTAGGCTCTCAAGAGCTGGGCTCTCTTCCTTCCAACATCAGAATCAATCTACAAAAAGCTCTCTGTGGCCAGGCGCGGTGGCTCACGCCTGTAATCCCAGAACTTTGGGAGGCCGAGAAGTGATCTCCTGATCACGAGGTCAGGAGATCCAGACCATCTGGCTAACACGATGAAACCCCATCTCTACTAAAAATACAAAACAAAATTAGCCGGGCATGGTGGCAGGCGCCTGTAGTCCCAGCTACTTGGGAGGCTGAGGCAGGAGAATGGCATGAACCTGGGAGGTGGAGCTTGCAGTGAGCCGAGTTCACACCACTGCACTCCAGCCTGGGCAACAGAGCAAGACTCTGTCTCAAAAAAAAAAAAAAAAAGAAAAAAAGGTCTCTAGTGAGCCTCACTTGGCAGAGAGGTTGAGGTGTCCCTTTGATTGTCAGGCTTATCAGAATCCTATGAAATGGGAAGGAGAAACTTTACCAAAAGGAAGCATTTAGAAGCAGAGAAAATATTAACAACCATATATACTGACAAATATATGTGCCAGGAAACCATCACCACAGTCAAAATCATGAACATATTCTTTTCCGCCAGAGAAGTTTGCTCCATAGTCCCAGCAATGCTTGGTACAGTCAGTCTTTTTAAGTTTTGCTATTTGAATAGATTTGTAATGGTATCTTATTAGGGTTTCAGTTTATATTGTTCTAACAACTAATGATGTTAAGCTACTTTTCACACCCTTGTTTGTCATCCATATACCTATTTTGGTAAAGTACTGTTTCAAATCTTTTGCACATCTTTATTGGGTTTTGTTTTGTTTGTTCCTATTACTGTGTTCCTAGGATGCTTTTGTTTTTGTTTTTTTGAGACAAGTCTTGCTCTGTCACCCAGGCTGGAGTGCAGTGGCACCATCTCGGCTCACTGCAACCTCCACCTCCCGAGTTAAAGTGGTTCTCGTGCCTCAGCCTCCCGAGTAGCTGGGATTACAGACATGATCCACCACACCCAGTTAATTTTTGTATTTTTAGTAAAGATGGGGTTTCACCATGTTGATCAGCCTGGTCTCAAACTCCTGGCCTCAAGTGATCTGTCCATCGTGGCTTCCCAAAGTACTGGGATTATAGGCATAGCCACCGTGCCTGGCCAACTAATTGTTTAACTAATATGAGAATCAGTTTACTTGCGCCGGGCCAGGATTCTTTATATATTCTGGATACAAGTGTTTTTTGTTTGTTTGTTTTTAATCAAACAGGTTATTTGAAAATACTTTTTTTCTCTTTATCACTAATGTTTTCATCCTCTTAACAGTATGTTTATAACAGCAGAAGTGTTAATTTTGATAAAGACTATATTATCAATTTTTTCTTTTATTGATTGTGTTATTAGTGCCATATCTAATAAACGAATTGCCTAACCCAAGGTTACCAATATTTCTTGCATGCTTTTTTATAGAAGTTTCTAGCTTATGGTTTTACATTAAGAATTATAATTTATTTTGTGTTAATTTTTATTTACAGTGTTAATTTTTTTTGCATCTTCATATCCAATTGTCCCATCATCAGTTCTTGAAAAGACTATCCTTTCTCCATTGGATTGTCTTTGCAATTTTGTCAAAAGTCAATTGCCGGCTGGGCATGGTGGATCACACCTATAATCCCAGCACTTTAGGAGGCTGAGGCATGTGGGTCACTTGAGGTCAAGAGTTCGAGACCAGCCTGACCAACATAGTGAAACCCTGTCTCTACTAAAAATACAAAATTAGCTGGGTGTGGTAGCATATGCCTGTAATCTCAGCTACTCGGGAGGCTGAGGCAGGAGAATCACTTGAATCCAGGAGGCAGAGGTTGCAGTGATCTGAGATGGGCCCACTGCACTCTAGCCTGGGCAAGAGTGAAACTCCATCTCAGAAAAAAAAAGTCAATTGCCCCCATATGTTTGAGTCTATTTCTTGAATGGATCCAGTTCCATCAATCTATTGAGCTATCATTATGCCAATACACACTTTCTTGATTATTATAGATTTTACTTTAAGATTTGAAATCAGGTAGAAGTCCTCCAACTTTGTTCTTCCTTTTCAAAGACTATTCTGTATACTTGGCATTGTGTTTCCACATTAATATTAGAATCAGCTTATCAATTTCTACAGAAAAATTGTGCTGGTATTTTGACTGGGATTGTATTTAATCTGCAAATTAACTTGAGGACAATGGACATCAGAAGAAAATTGTCTTCTGATTTATGAACATGGTATATCACTTAAATTGTTTAGGTGTTCTGTAGTTTCTCTCAGCAATGTCTCATTCTGTACACGGTTTCTTGCACAACTTTTGTCAACTTGATACCTAGGCATTTTATATTTGTTATGCAATGTAAAATGATACTGCTTATAAATTTTTTCAAATTTGTTTTAAAATTGTTTTCAATTGTTTGTTACTTGTTTATAGAAATATAGTTAATCTTTGTATGTTGATCTTGTATACTACAACCTAGCAAGGGTCACTTTTTATTTCCGGCTGCTTTTTGTAGGTTTTATATATACTTCAAGAGGATCATGCCATTGGTGAATTTTTTAAAAATCAGTTATCATCTGGAGATTCAACTGGGGAAGAATTTGCTTTTGAACTCATTCAGACTGTTGGTAGAATTCACTTAGAGGTCATTCTTATTTCTAAGAAGTCAACTGCGATTCCTTGCTATGTGGTCTTCCTTGGCATGTCTGCTTATTTCATTATGTCCACAAGGAGAATCTCTGGATACAGTCTTCTTGAAAAACAAAGTCTTAAGGTAATAGAACCACAGAAGTGATATCTTGCAACCTTTGCTATAGCCAAGTAGTTAGAAACAAGTTACAGGTCTTGCCACATGCAAGGGGAGGGATTATACAAGGATGTGAATACTAGAAAGTGATCATTGGAAATCACTTAGTGTCTGTCCACCATAAATTCTGACATAGGGTAGCAATATTCTGGCTTCCAAGTGTTCTGTGCTTAGGAATAAGAACAGGTGTGTGTGGGCGGGGGTGTGTGTGTGGCTTTTTGTTGGCAGAGAGAGAACAATCAGCCCCTTTTGAGCTTCAGTCACTTCCATTTACAGTTTTCATTTCCCTGCTTCATCAGTCATTATATGTGATTAGTTTTATGTGTCAAGTTAGCTAGGCTACAGAACCCATCATTTAACCCATTTATTACTACAGTCTAGGTGTTGCTATGAAAGAATTTCATAATGTGGTTAACATGTACAATCAGTTAGCTTTATTTTATTTTATTTATATATATTTTTTGAGACAGAGTCTCGCTCTGTCACCCAGGCTGGAGTGCAGTGGCACAATCTCAGTTCACTGTAACCTCCGCCTCCCAGGTTCAAGCCATTCTCCTGCCTCAGCCTCCTGAGTAGATGGGATTACAGGCACCCGCCACCACTCCCAGCTTGTATTTTTAGTAGAGACGGGGTTTCACCATGTTGGCCAGGCTGGTCTTGAACTCCTGACCTCAGGTGATCCGCCTGCCTTGGCCTCCCAAAGTGCTGCGATCACAGGTGTGAGCCACTGCCCCTGGCCAATTTAAATAAAGGAGATTACCCTTGATAAAGTGGGTCAACTTCATTCAATCTGTTGAAGGCATTAAGAGCAAAAACTGAGGTTTCCCAAAGAAAAAGAAATTCTTCCTCAAGACTGCAGCATCAGTTTCTCCCTGAGTTTCCAGGCAGCTGGCCTGCCCCATGGATTTCGGACCCATTCCCTCTCAATTACATGAGCCAATTCCCTAAAATAAATCTCATAACATATACATAGGTATCCTGCTGGTTGTGTTACTCTGGAGAATCCTGGTGAATAAACCATACATTTGTTGAAATATTGCATCGGCTGGTAGCTTTCTTTCCATTCTTTTTACCTTGTGGGTTTATAGCTCTTTAAAATCCCTTTAATAATATTTTAATGGAGTCTTTCAAGGGAAACTGTACAACGCTGTGCTCAATCTGAAAGCAGATGTCAAGATAAAGATTACTTGGCTGAGTAAGACTTGATCCTCTAATTGCAAATGTGTTACTCTCATGGGTTTATTTTTAATTTGGAAGTTTCTTTAAAAGTGTCTTAAAAATCATACTATTTATGTGGAAGATGTAAAAGAGAAAAGCTAAGGAAAAATACGATTAGAGGCAGCATCCAATTTCCAAAAAAATTTCTTGAATATCTACTTAGGACCACAATTCATTCTGAGTGGCCATCTATCATCAGGGAGAAGCAGATGGCCACTTCAGCTAGATTTGATGTGCTGCCTAAGGAAATCTCTTTTTATTGACTTTTTAATACAAAAATCCAAGGATTTTTCACCAGCTTTTCCGTATATCTAATGTATTCACAAGTGAGCATGAATGTGTTAAAAAGCAAGGCATCAACTGGACTAAGCAATTAATTGCTAGTGAGCAAGCAGGGACAAGAAAGCATTTGATAGTCACCATGGAAAAGTGGACATGATGGAATAATGGCAGGAAGACTTTAATGTTTCAATTGTATGTGTTTTTTCTCTACCTGCTGAAAAATAAAAATGTATATGTAAGTCTTTTCACTGCATTAACAGAGAGAAAAGACAGCATTTTTTATTACATAAGACTTCCCTAGGCAATCATAATAGCTGTAATAGGCATATTTGCAGCATAGAAAAAGTCATGCATCTATTTCAGGATTACACAGATATGCACAGTAGCCAATAGGAAAAGAAATAGCTACCTAAGTACATGGGTACATGTTCACAAAAAAATTAAAGGCTAAAAGTCTGGTAATTACTGAGATACTGACAATTTAGTGCAATATTGATAATAACTAATATTATTATGTTCTCCCTAGATGCAAGACACTGTGCCACATGATTTTCATGTATTGTGGTGTCTCCTTATCTCTGACGTTTTTTGCTTCAGACTGTCTCTAGCACAAGTGGTCTCAATAGACTATGCTTATCAGACCACACCAGGCCCCCTTCACTGGTCTGGCTTCATTTCTGCCACATCATGATATGACTCTCATTCTCCCACTGAGCTTTTCTTTATCTTAAGCTTTGATGAACTCTGTCCACTTGAGTTCACACTTCTCTTTTGCTCATTCAGCTTCAGACTTTTCTAGCCTTCATTCCAATCATTTTCTGACTGATCCCCTAAACGTCAACTTAAGTTTTCATTTATTACTACAAAACAATCACTCTTAATCATTGCCATTGAACTTATAATTACAGCAGTAGCCCTTATAACTCGACTCATGGTGGCTCACACCTATTCCTCTGTTGATTAAGGATTTCTTGATTGTCTGCTCCGTGTCCAGAATATTCCTCTTCTCTGCAGTGAGTAAACATGTGTAAGACCTGTCTCTGTCTGTGCTGAGTTTAACATAATTTTCCCCTTTGAAAATCTTCCACTGCCACGTCTACTGACACCTGCTCCTGAATTTCAACAGATGATTTTTCTCCTCCTGCTCCATTCTTGCATTTGTGGATTTTTCTGCTGGTGCCTTCCTCATCTTGCATTTATTCTCTCCAGTTAGGCAAGATATGAAATCTTGTCAAAGTAAGCATTTTAGTGGCTCTGCACAGTAACAAACTCTCAGTAAATGTCTTGAGAAGGATTTGAGGTACAATAATGATGGAGTTGCATCCTTAGTTCCCATTTATCTCTTTCGATTTTTCTTGAGGTCATAGAACAAGGGGGAGAGAGAGAGGAAGAGAGAGAAGCTAAAGCTCATTCGTGGTAAGCCCACTTGAGTGGTGGCTGAGGATTCTGCAGGAACAGTATATGGACCAGGATTTTTTACATTATTGCATCATTATTCCCTTTTTCTGCACTTCATGATGATGTTTGAAAGAACAGCACTTAGATAACAGTGAACATGAAGGGCTTGGAGACTTAGTTAATATCCTTAAATACACCAATATGCTTTAGTAGTACAGTAACTGAAAATCTAATGAAAGTCTAATAGGTAAAATGTAAGCACGAACAATTATTGTCCCTGCCCTTTCACATTTCTCCCTCCTTACACACTGAAATGAACATGCCACATTACTTAAGATAATGACATTAGACTTGTATTTAATTTTTATTTGGACCATAACACCCTTTCCTTTTTTGGTGTTAATCGCATTTAAGAGAATTTAAATACAGACTTGCTCTTAGCATAAGGGAGATGTGTAATAACTATACTAAATATGCCAATATTCTTGCTCTGCCCTCAGACCTCTTCTGAAGAGGGAGAGGTGAAGACTGATGGGGTCAGAGTGGACCCTTGACCTAAGGGCTACCTGGCTATAGGCTAGGCAGGAGCAGTTCAGAGATAAAGAGCAAAAGGTGCTGCTTAGGCAGGTCACACAGACTGTTTCTACATAGAATTGGCGTGGGGAAGTAAGAGAGAATTAACTAGTGGGTGGGTAGTGAGAGAAATAAAAATAAAATACACAAAGACAAGCAGAGAACAAAAAGAAGCATAGTCACCAAGGTGGAATAAACTGGGCTAGCTGGATCGTGGACCTGCCTTGGGTCTTCAAGTAAAACTCTTGTGTTTTTCTGGTAGTTCAATCTCTCTTTATGCCATTGGTCTCATGGTAACTCCTTTGCTGGAGGTAGCTATAAGCTCTTGAACCACCAAATGGCCTAACCCAATACACCATTTCCTATTATCCTTTATTGTTCTGCTTGATTCTCAAATATGGTAATAACTGAGAAGTAGAGGACAAGGTAGTGCATATTATTAGTCACTACCTGGCATCCATTTCCTCCTGCAGCCTTCTTTATTTACAGAAACTGACATGCAGTGGAAAATCCTCCAGGAAACTTCTAAGAAGTTTTCTTGTTCCTAAGAAAAAGCTACAGGAAATCACACTCTCCTTTTCTTCTGGTTGCTGCTAGAATGAAGTTGTTGCTGAAGAAAGCGAAAGAGAGGGAGAACAGCCGGAGTCATGAAATCAACCTGAAGTTTCCTCCACTCCTGGACTTGCCATTATTCACATTTTTGATGTCTTTTATATTTCAAACTGCCTGAGTCGAGGTTCCTTGGACCTTGAAATGCATCATTTCCTTTATTTTCTGCTGAAGATTCCTTGTAATGAAGATGAGGGGAGAGATTGGGGGCCACTGGAGTTTTTCAACAATAGGGGAAGATTTTAAATAAGGGCTCTGGCATCCCACATCCAGGCCTGGTACTTCATTCATAGTGTGCCAGGAAACACAGGTCAGTTTCCCAGTGCATGCCTGGACCTCTAGCCTAAGGCTCCAGGGCAAACCAGAGGCGGAGAGCTGATGTTGAGGGTCTGCTTACTATGGAGCAGCATCCACTGCATCTTTCTTGGTGCCTGGCCACTCACTTACATCTTCTTCACTCCTGAGCATCATGGCAGGGATTGTTTTAATTTAATTCAAGCAGCATAGCTCAGGGAAAGGGGACATTTCAAGATGATTTATAATTTAGTATAAGCAAATTTGAGATATTTTCTTTAAATTGTATCCTCATACGGAAGACAATAAACAGAAGGGAGAAAGAGAAGGAAATAAAGGCTCTTAAAAAGAGAATGTGTTAGTTTGCCAGGGCTGCCGTAGAAAGTATCACAGACTGGTGATTCTGATGATTTAGACAACAGAAATTTGTTTTCTCACAGTTCAAGAGGCTGGAAGTCCAAGATCAAAGTGCCAGCAGGGCTGGTGTCCCCTGAGGCCTCTCTCCTTGGCTTGCAGGTGGCTGCCCTTGGGCCATCTCTGCACATGGCCATCCCTGTGTGCACACACAACCCCAGTGGCTCTCTATTAATCCAATTTCCTCCTCTTAGGGCACTTGTCAGGTTGCATTGGAGCCCATTTGAACGGCCTAATTTTAACTTAATCCTCTCTATGAAGGCCCTATCTCAAATACAATCACATCCTCAGGTCCTAGGAGTCAGGGCTCCAACACTTTAATTCTGGGGAGACACAATTCAGCCTCTAACAGAGAAGGAAGGGGATGTGGTACCAGTGAAAACTATCCTTTCCTGGGCACAGGACGACCGCTGAGTTCCAACAGCATGTGGGAAATTACATGTTTCGTAGGTGAGGTGCAGAGGGCCCCTCTAAGGAAGGCCCTGGGCCCTGGTGAGCTCTGCTTTCCTCACTGCCTGCCTTGTTCACAGCACACCCCACCTTCCTGATTCTCCTGAAGGTCAGGCTGTGGCTCTTCCTGGGCAGTTGCTGGCCCATGCAACCACATTCACGACTTGGACCCTTCAACAGATGTCCTGGGTGGATGTTCTTGAGCTTGGCAGCCCAGCATCCACTGGCTGCTTTGAGCAACACTGCCTTCGCTCTCAGCCCTTCCTGCCAGCAGTCAGCCCATTTTCTCAGAACTACCTGAATTATTTTTAACTCATGATTTTGAGCCCAGGTGTGGTGGCTCATGCCTATAATCCCAGCACTTTGGGAGGCCAAGGCAGGAGGATCACTTAAGGCCAGGAGTTTGAGACCAGTGTGAGCAACATAGCAAGACCCTCATCTCTATAAATAAATAAATAAACCCATGATTTTTAAAAATAGCCACCAACAAGGCTTTCTGGATTTCTGTGCCCATGGGTTTATTCTCTGACTGACCTGGCTAAGATGCTGAACTACTTTAAAAATGTCAAACGCTGAGGACTCCAATGGTAAAAGTCAAGCAGGCTTTATTTCTACATGCTGGGCAATGTTGTTTTCCTGAATGTCTATCAAAGTAGATGAGCAATGCCCAGTTGCATGTCTCCTTCTCGTTTGAAAATGTCTGTCTTTTGTGTCAGCTAACAAGCAGGGATTTCTACCAAGCGTTCTTTCAAGCACAACAGGCCGACCTTGAACTCCGTGAGTTTTAGGAAAACAGTGGGGTGTTTCTTGTTGGCAAACCACAGTAAATATTTCCAAAAGCTGTCACCTTCCATCTCAGTGACACTCCTGGTGCTGTCTCATGTCATCTGTATCAGGCAAAACTGGTTATTGGTCATGTATGAAACCAGTGAAGGAGGAGTACTATGTTTCTATGGATTATTTTCCTACATCTGAACATTTGATTTTGTTTTATCCACATTATATTTGCTATGCTTTATTATATTTGTTATGCTTTATTTTCCCTTTCGTATTTCCAATAAAGTGTTTACTTCCCAGCATGGCTGGTTTTTACTCAGTCCGGAAATCCTGGTCCTATCAGTCTCCAGTGGTGGAGTAGAGGAGAGATCAAGAGCATCAGAGGTCAAGGGAAGGGAAGTCATTGTGGGCTTCCTCCAGTCTCTGGATTCTGCCTCCCCGATCCTGTTTTGGGTCTCTCTGACATTGTGCCTGTGAGCCACATATAGCCCTCATCCATAGTCTCCCTTCTTTTTGCCGTGATGAGATGTTTGATAGCTGGTGACCAATTTCACTATGAAGCCAGGCTTTCAACATGATCACAACTTCAATAGAAAGAAGCCAGTTGCCAGAATGTTTCTGTCTGCCTAGCTCCATATTAATACCTCCGGAGGTTTCTGCATATATTCCCAGTGCCTGTGTCTGTCGGAAAGATAAAACCCTAATGTATTCGTTCGCCTCCAGGGAAGCATTGTCTCTCTCCTAGCCCCTTCCATCTTTCTGTAAGGGGACACTGTGATAAATATATACTAGGTGATGGCCCTAAAGGGGAAAGAAAAATCCTTTTCCTCATAATTTCAATTCTAATTTCCAATTAAGTAAACTTAGTGAAGGGTGGAGATAAGACTATAACGAAACAAGAAGACTCCCTGGGTACCTCTTGTCTCCTGAAATGGAATCATAACACTTGTGTGCCAATGAACCTGAATTGCTTGATATCAATTTCTGTCACAACTAGCCTTAGGTTTCTGCCTCCAAGGGAGTGTGTTCATTATAGTTAAGAGAAATGTGAAAGAGAGGTGAGGAAGTGACATTTGTATTCAACCCCAAGTCTTGCTCCATCAAGTTTTCACTTTTTTTTTTTCATATCTATCTTCTTATGGAAAAATTGATAGGAGCTGTAATTACTCTTGGAAAGAAAGAGGTCAAACTTTTTTGCTTGCAGAGAGGTCTGCAGAGATGAGAGGTGAAAGAGAAGCATCTAAACAGAGACACTGCTTGCCTTTCTGTACTCCTGTATTGGATTAAAAGCTGGTCGGGACCATCTACCAGGAGAGGCACAAAAAATAAATGTCAGGAGTCAGAAAGATTGTCTCTGTCCTTATTGGTAGCTCAGTGCAAGACTACCAGCCCTACACCATCTCAATCCTTCCTAATTCTATTTTTCCAAAGTTTAGAATGATACCACCATTTAAAAATCATGTCATATTATTATACATAGGAAGAAGCTGCACCGAAGCCTCAGAAAATTGCTGTCAGCAAAGACTGAAGGGAGGATGAAAAGATCTAGGAAAGTGATGCATCATCTCAGACCAATAGCCAGTTGGCTCCATATGTCTGAATATGGTGGATGATTTTGTGTGTGCTGTGGCTGCAGGGCAGATGAGGGATTTCTTTTTCTTTCTTTTTTTTTTTTTTTGAGATAGAGTTTCACTCTTGTCGCCCAGGTTGGAGTGCAATGACGTGATCTCGGCTCACTGCAACCTCCGCCATCTGGGTTCAAGCAATTCTCCTGCCTCAGCCTCCCGAGTAGCTGGGATTACAGGTGCACACCATCACTCCCTGCTAATTTTTGAATTTTTAGTAAAGATGGGGTTTCACCATGTTGTCTAGGCTGGTCTTGAACTCCTGACCTCAGGCGATCCACACGCCTCAGCCTCCCAAAGTGCTGGGATTAGAGGTGTGAGCCACTGTGCCCAGCCCAGATGAGTGATTCCTTAGCTCTGAATGCAGAAACCAGTTGGAGCTTTGAGAGACTATTTTACCTGACAAATGATGGTCACCCCTGCCAGCTTTATGGCTGCCTACTATAAGTCAGGCTTCCTGCGTCATTATTTTCTGCATCTCTGTGGCTTTCTTAGTGTCCCTTTCTGCAGCCTAACATGGTTCTCATCTCTCACTTTGCCTCTAATGGACTCAAACTTCCTGGAAAAAACAACCGGGTAGATGCATAAAGCTCAGGATGAGAGATGGGGTTTGGTTGAAAATATTTTAGTAGGGACATTCCTCCACACTCCATTCAAATGTTTGAAAAATGTGGGACCATCTGGCTCTCTTCTATTCCTGTGGTTTGAATGTCAGCAAAGGTCCTTGCAAGTCAATTTGATGTAGGTACTAAATTTTTAAAGACCTGTGGCAACCTGGCCCCCTCACCACGAATTCTCCTGATTCTTGATGGCTAACTTGCCTCGGGCACCTTCTGTCTCCACCACCACGACAACATGAGCTACCTCAGTCACTGCCCAGGCATAAGCCTCACCTTTCACCTGAGTTCATAACAGATGCACTCACACCATACACATGGGGATGTTAACTTTGCTGGACATACGAGGAGTCTTAGGGAAGGGTCCTATCGCACCACATGCAGCCATCGGCAAAACCTCTCATCCGTCTTCTTCGCCTTCGTCTCTTCTTCTATCTGTCACCACCCTTCCCACCCCCTTTCCAGAATAAAGGACATATTTGTCTCCTTGTCTCCCACTGAACAGCTGTACTCCAGGAGCTCATGACATGTCACTGGCTATGGCCAAACCCTGATGGGGTATTTTTCTGAACACAAAACCAATTTCCTTCTTAAGGGGAATTCTGGTGTCAGACGCTTATCTGGTAATATTGGCTATTTTTTATCAATTATATTGGCAGCTCCAGAAATGATATTTGTGTCCACTCACGCTAAAGGAGTTATTGAACCATGAGACATCAAAGGGGGAACAAGGACCTTAGTGAATTCACTGCCTGCCACCCAAACCAACCTTTCTCAGTTCTTATGTTTTCCTGTTCTAGGTGTTAGAAAGAGCAACAAATAGATTTTTCAGAATTTTGTTGCTGTGGAGGACATCCTAGGAGGAACAAGTGTTGAGACATTGGGTCTGGTGAGAGCTCCCCTCTCTTTAATGTTTCACCACTCTGCTGTCACATGCAGCAGAACCGGCAGCCCTGATTTGTGGCTCTCTTCCAAAAGTGCCATCTAGCACACATTAAGTAAAATGCAAATTAATTTCATAGTGGGAATGTCTTATCACTCCAGAACATTCCAGGGTTAGGAATCATACTTTTATTGGTGTTTACTTTTGGTACAAATGATACATTGCAGAGGAGGGTCTGCACTTTCATCTGCTTGGGCTGCCATAACAAAATACCATAGCCTGAGTGGCATATTTTCTCATAGTTCTGAAGGCCAAAAGTCTAAGATGAAGGCACCCTCAGGGTTAGTTTCTGGTGAGGGCTCTCTTCCTGGCTTGCAGACAGCTTCCTTCTTACTGTGTCCTTACGCGGCTTCTTCTCTGTGAGCACATGGAGAGAGTGAGCTCTTATGTTGCTTCCTTTTCTTATAAGAATGTCAGTTGTATCAGATTAGAACTCTGTAATCTCATTTAGCATTTATTACCTCCTTATAGACCCCATCTTTAAATGCAGTCCCATTGTGGGTTAAAGCTTCAAAATATGAATTTTCAGAGGACTCAGCTCAGTCCATGGCAGCCTGAAATCAGACTTCTACATGGAATATCTTCAAAAAGTGGCCACATCAAAACAGCCATCACTTTTTATAGCACAGATGATTCCTGAGACAAAACCACACGTGAGCTTTATAGCTTTCACTATTTTATGAGCGGCAAGACAAGTAGCATTATCCTCGTTTTTAGATGAAGGGATAGGCTCACAGAGAATAGCTGGCTTTGAAAATGTCTTGGCTGGGGAGGAGCAAAGCCACGACTGGAGTCCCCATTCCTTACCCCAAAGGGGTTCTAGTGCAGGGTTTATGCCTCACAGTGAGCCCTCAGCATCCTCACACTTGCACAGAAACCACAGTAAGCATTTTCAAGAACACATAAAATAAAAGGCTGACATCAGACTTGCCTTAGTGGTAGGGGGAGGAGAAGGAAAGTGGATAATGGCAAAAAAAAGGGAATTATCAGACAGATAACAACAGGAGAGGAGTCTGGCGCCAAGCCGGGAAACAGTGTGACATGAACCAGAGGCTATGATTAACTCAGCCCTCTACACCTGTGGAACAGAGAAAAGTAATGGCTCGATGCCCAGAACGTCCCTGATGTGAAAGAGTCGGGGACAGTGATAGAAATACTCATCCTGGCTTATCTAAATCTGAACCACCTTCTTGTAACAAGTATGAAGGAAAGTATGGAGCTCTCCTAAAACACTTATTCCCAAAACATACTTCGTGATGTCCTTGCCTCACTGGAGTTTTAACTTGATTGATGTTAGTTAGACTATCTGTGGCATACTTGCTCCTTTGAGAGGCTGGTTTTTGAGGTGAGAACACAACTTTGGAGTGAGATATATTTGGGTTTAAAGCCCAGGTTAGCCTGTTACCTGCTTAGGAAGTAGCCTTGCTGAGCAGGTTCTCTCATCTGCAAAATGGCCGTAATAGCCATCCTGCAGGATTTTATGAGAAGTGGAGTAAGGTATGTAATGGGTCTAGAACAAGTGTCTAAGAACATGGTAAGTGTTGAGTAAAGACAAGGTTTATTACTTTTATTTCTAGTAAAGTGCCAGGGAAGAACACATTGAGGAATCTGGAAGTGATAAAATGCATCTCCCCCGTGTTTAGACGGCCACCAGGCAATTAATAAACAACCAAATTTACGGACAGATTCTACCTTGGGAAAGTCATATATGAAAGTATAAAAGAATGAAATTTCTTAGTTATTAAATATCAGCTATAATTAAATATATTTGTAAGAATTAAATAGTAATAGGTATGTGTACTTTTTAAAACGTTTTCAGAAATTATGTTGTTAAATGAATTATCGCATGATTCCCTGAAGAAAACACCTAGTTTTTGCTAATCACCGAGGGAATGGTGACCCTAGACCAGGCAACAGTGAAATATTGTAGTCCTGTACTGCGCAGTGGTATTTTACTAGATGTTTTAAAAATTGATAACAGGAAAGTTTATTGTTTGTAGGATCACAGGGTGTTCTTTGTTAGGAATGGAAAAACTCCTTCCTACGTTTAAAACAAAATTACTTTCTCAGCATTAAAAATCATCACTCTTCCCTCCTGTTTTGCGTGAAGCTTAGTGTTAAATGATGACCAAGTTTGTGTGATTGCAGGCAAATAAGTGTTGTAATTTTTATGTGGCTTTAAAAAAATGTTTGGTCAATTAGACAATTAGATCCATCTCCCCTTTGTCCTTGAGTTTTGAGTGTGTGTGTGTGTGTGTGTGTGTGTGAGAGAGAGAGAGAAAGAGAGAGAGAGAGACAGAGACAGAGAGAGAGAGAGAAGGAGACAGAGAGAGAGAGAGAGAGAGAAGGAGACAGAGAGAGAGAGAGAGAGACCAAGATTGAGGCAGAAACAAGGAAAGACTATTAATGGTGGACTGGATATAGGTCAACTATCAGAAGAGAAACTTCGAGTTTTCAAAGTGAAGTTTCACAGAAGCTTCCCCCTTTGTTAATTGCCAAGTAAGCAGATACTGAACTTTCTTAAATTCTGTGTTCTTCTTGGGTATCATGTGGATTGATGGAAAGAGAATATTAAGATTCCAAATGCAGTCTTTCTTGCTTTTAGGTTCACTTCTTCTCCCTTATCTTGGCACTTTCACCCTGCAGGTCAGAACCTTCTGTGATATAGACCACTGCATTTAAAGGGACATTGCATACCTCCATGGCTTGTTCCACATTCCCTTTCACTCTCACAGTTATACTTCTCATGAGTTGATACAGATAATACTAACTAACCTCTTTATTCAATTAGTCTCTTGTGATCTGCATCGCCCCCAGTACTCTACTAAAAAATGTACTTTCACAATAGTTAAAAGGTGGAAATAACCTAAATATCTATTGAAGTATGAATGGATAAGCAAAATGTGTCATAAACATATGATGTCATATAATTCAGCCTTAATAAGGAATAAAATTGTCATACATGTTACAACATGGATGAACTTTGAAGACAAAGTGAAATAAACCAGACACGAAAGGGCAAATGTTTATGATTCCACTTACAAGAAGTACCTGGAATAAGCAAATTCATAGACACAGAGTAGAATAGTGGTTTCCAGGGTCATGGGGGAATGCAGGATAAGGAGTTAGTGTTTAAAGGGTACCAAGTTTCATAGTTTCAATTTGGGATGATGAAAATGCTTTGGAAATGAATGTGAATGTATTTAATACTACTAATCGTACACTTAAAAATAGTTAAAATGATACATTTTGCAATATGGATTTTACCACAATGAATTTGAAATACTTTTCCAATACTTTTGTAAGTTTCTAATGATTTCCTAATCAATTCTTATGCTTTATCTTGGCCTGCAAGTTCCATAGAAGGATTGAATACCTATCTACTCTTTTGTGTCTATGCTTTTGCCTTCAGAAAGCTCATGTGTCCGAATGTTTAACAATTGCAAATCTCATCTTGACCTTGTTACTTTTGCTCCAATCTGACAAACACAACTATATGGTTTTTAACATCTTACTGGTACTTTAACTAATTTAAGGAGTAAATCTTTAAATGTTCATTTATATTTGTAGGTGAGTCATGATTTTACCTTTTAAAAAGTATTCTTATCACAATAGTTTTCTAAAGTGTATGGGGTCTCAATTAAAAATATTTGTATAGTTAATTTGATAAAATAGCACAAACTCTCTCAGCCTCCATTGACTAATTGGTTTCCTCAGTTCCTGTAATCTTTGAGGCCCAAAATATTCAAAAGAATATTCAAAAGAAGGTTGTTATCTGTGTATCAGAGCAATTGGATTCTACCCTAACATTAGGAGATTCTCAAACTGGACCCTATACCAGGGCTATTAAAGCAAGATTGTTGGGCCAATCCAAGAGTTTTTGAGTCAGTAGCTCTGAAGTGGGGCCCAAGAATTTGTAGATCAACAAGTTTTCAGGTGATGCTAATGCCGATGGTCCCAGAAACACACTTGGATAATCAATATCTGAAAGTAAGCAAAACTTACTGACTATATTGCTGAGCAGGATGATCCGATTTTGGTCTGAAGATTCCACTTTACTGAGACTAGCTCTCTTATCTCATAAAATTTGACAACCATTTTCTCAGTCGATTAATGATTATTAGGATTTTTCTTAAATATATTAAAACACTCCTCCCCCCCTTCACCAAAATTCTTTTTATCTGAAAGTAACTCAAACAAATGTGTGCACTGCATTTTCAGTTTCAGTTGCTAGCATAATACAATACCCCCAACCCTTGCTAAATAAATTGGCCGTGACATGAAGCTTCCTTAGACTCATAAATATCACAAAGTAATTTTCAATGAAAATTTGTGATGTACAAGGTGAAGTTATAATGAAGATAATTATTATTTAAATCATAGTAATTGCATGTTTGCAAGTAGATTTTAATATTGACATATCTAAATTTGCAGTCTATTTTCATCAATAATATGACAATTGCATATGCAATACTAGGATAATTACATTTTGTGTATATGCAATGCTCCAAAGGAGATAAAATATATAAATATGTGTATATAAATCTACCTACACACAGCTGTCAATGTTAACATGATTTTACTAACATTACTTTAGCATTTTACTGTCTTTGTCTACATGATTTTACTATCTGATAATCTCTTGCCCAGGAAGAAAAAAGTTGCAAGTAACTTCATTGTTTATTCCAGGAACTTCCCAAAACCCAATTTAAAGGAACATCAAATTGTTCAACTTTACCGTTGATATAGCATCACACATCTGTTCACTCTTCATAGTCTTAAGATTTTGCCTCGGAATTCTTGCCTTGCTAAGCCTATAAATTCTAAACTATTATAGTATGACCCTCACGCACTCCTAATATTGAAAGATCCTGTATTGAAAGACCTATCTTAAACCAGAATCCAAACCCTTATATGTATACATCCTGTCTTTGCTCTCCTCATTCAAGACTGTCAAGCAGTACTTTATTACCAGCTTCATCTTATCAATAGGTTATTTTGGTGCTTTGTTTTGTTTTTAGGAAATCAGTATTTGACACGCTTAGAGCTCCCACTAGGATTCCTGCTCAAGATCCTTGACTTAATAATAGATACTTGGTGGCTTCTTGAGCCCTGGGAGAACTTGTTAGAAATGCAAATTCTTGGAGGGGTCGGGGGTGGGGGAAGAGCATCAGGATAAATAGCTAATGCATGTTGGGCTTAATACCTAGGTGATGGGTTGATAGGTGCAGCAAAGCACTGTGGCACACATTTTCCTATGTAACAAACCTGCGTGTCCTGCACAAGTATCCCAGACCTTAAAATATAATAAAATAAAATATTAAAAAAAGAAAGAAATGCAAATTCTTAACACCTCTCCACCACTGTCTCAGAAACCAGTGGTGAGTTTTCTATATGCTAAGTTTAACTCTTAGGAATAAAGAATCCATTTTAGGAATTATTTGTTCTCTGATCAGATTTGGAAAACTTTTATTTATGGTGCAAACTGCCTTAGTATTAACAACACAACCACTTGTTTCTGTCTCTCCTTGTCACTTTTTGTTGTGTATTTATAAGAGGGAAGTTCACAGGAAAGAGGACAAGCAGAGGTCCCACATTCCTTCACAAACTGGCTCTTTGAATTGGAAAGGTCAAAAGGTTTCTTCTCAGAATTTGTAATCACCCAAGGGGTTCTTCCTGCCTGCTGCACAGATAAACCCAATTCACTAAAACAGCATTATTGCAGTAAAGAAAGAATTTAACTAACATAAGGCTGGGCAAGCCAAAGGACTGGAGTTATTGCTCAAATCAGTCTCCCCAGGAGCTCAGAGACCAGGGCTTTTATGGATAATTTGGTGGGCAGGGGGCTAGAGAATAGGCGCTGCTGATTGGTTGGGGATGAACCATAAGGGTGTGGAAAATGTCCTTGCACTCTGAGTTGACCTCTGGTTGGTGGTTGGGGGTGGGGACAGGAACCATGAAGTCATGAGTCACAAGTCCTGATGGGGTCAGTCAGTTGCCAGAATGCAAAAGTCTGAAATACATCTCAAAATACCAGTATTAGGTTCTACAATCATGATGTTATATGTAGGATCAACTGGCAAAGTCACAAATCTTGTGACCTCTGCCCACATGACTCTGAGCAGTAAGGGATTGTAGAAAAGCAAGTTAGGAGACAAAGGCTAGTTATCATTTAACTACACCTACATTTTAACAGAATTCAGGCCTCTTCCATAACCCTAATCTTGTGGCCTTTCATTAGTTTTACGAAGGGAAATTCAGTCCCTGAACAAGGAGGGTATCAGTTTTAGGGAAGGACTATTATCATCCCTGCTGTACAGTTAAACTAGCAACTAAATTCCTCCCGTAGTTAGCTTGGCCTATGCCCAGGGATGAACAAGGACAGCCAGCCTATGAGGCTGGAAGCAAGGTGCAGTCAGCCACACTAAACTTCTCTCACTGTCATCATCTTTGCAAAGGTGTTTTCAGTTTTGTTGTTTGAACAAACTTTGTCCCAGATCACTACACAAACCTTATGAGAACTTTCCCTAGTCTCATCTTGTTTTGTCCACAGAAGTCTAATTCTGGAAAAGTTCTTTTCTCCAAGCCTTTCTGTATTCCCTAATTAGTCAGGTTTGCAGTCAAGACAGTCTGGCCTTTAGGCTGGGAGGCTTGAGCCATGAGATACACAAACTACACTTTGACCAACAGTTCCAAGATTCCCAGGGTTTGTCTCAGTCACATAACTGTCTGTCCGCATCTCATCTGTGTCAGAGGCATGTGAACCAGAGCAACTCCATCTTGAATAGGAGCTGGGTAAAATAAGGCTGAGACCTACTGGGCTGCATTCCCAGGAGATTAGGGATTATTATTTATTTATTTATTTATTTATTTATTTTTGGCAGAATCTCACTCTGTCACTCAGGCTGGATTGCAGTGCTAAGATCTTGGTTCACTGCAGCCTCTGCCTCCCAGGTTCAAATGATTCTCATGTCTCAGCCTCCCAAGTAGCTGGGACTACAGGTGTGCATCATCACATCTGGCTAAATATTTTTGTGTTTTTAGTACAGAAGGGGTTTCACCATGTTGGCCAGGATGGTCTTGAACTCCTGACCTCAAGTGATCTGCCTGCCTCAGCCTCCTGAAGAGCTGTGATTACAGACGTGAGCCACTGTGCCTGGCCTAGGTAAGGCATTCTTAGTCGCAAGATGGGATAGGAGGTCAGCACAATTTACAAGTCACAAAAACCCTGCTGATAAAACAGGACATGGTAAAGAAGTCAACCAAAACCAAGATAGTGATGAAAGTGACCTCTGGTCATTCTCACTCCTTGTTATATGCTAATTATAATATATTAGCATGCTAAAAGACACTCCCACCAGTGCCATGACAGTTTACAAATGCCATGGCAACATCCAGAAGTTACCCTGTATGATCTAAAAGGGGGAGGAACCCTCAGTTCTGGGAATTGCCCACCTCTTTCCCAGAAAACTCATGAATAATCCACCCCTTGTTTAGCATATCATCAAGAAATAACTGTAAGTATAGTCAGTTGAGAAGACCATGCCGCCACTCTGCCTATGGAGTAGCTATTCTTTTATTCATTTTACTCTATAGCCTGGCCCCAAATTATTTCTTGCACAAGGTCCAAGAACCTTCTCTTGAGTTCTGGATTGGGACCCTTTCTGGTAACATCTGGGCCAATTCTGTAGTTTGAGTGTAAGAAATCTGCCTCAGATTTCTTACATTCCAACTTCAGATCATGAGTTTAGTTTTCAAAATGTCATATTCCCCAAGGATAATTTATCATTATATTTGTTCCTTGGTCTGTGGTGGTTGATTCCAGGACCCTGCAGATAAAAAAATCCACAGATGCTCAAGTACCTTATTTAAAAGGGTCTACTATTTCATATAGCCAATGCACATCCTCCTGTAAAATTTTAATCTCTAAACTACTTATAATACCTAATACAATGTAAATGCTATGTAAATAGTTTTTATACTACCCACCTCCCAGGTTCAAGTGATCCCCCCACCTCAGCTTCCACAGTAGCTGAGACTACAGATGCACACCACCATGCCCAGCCAATTTTTGTACTTTTTGTAGAAACAGGATTTCACCATGTTACCCAGGCTGGTCTCAAACTCCTCAGCTCAAGCGATCCTCCCACCTCAGCCTCCCAAAGTGTTGATATTACAAGTGTGAGCCACCACACCTGGACTATATTAATTTTATTGTACTTTTTAATGCTATATTTTTCAGATATTTTCTCCCTGTGGTTGGCTGGATCCACAGATGTGGAACCAACAGTCTTGAAACCTGTGGGTATGGGGGGCAGACTGTACAATGGTCATTTTGGGAGAAGTTTGATATAATCAAAATTGTTCATTTACAAGCAACCTTAGAATTAATGGGAACCAAAATTTCAAACATCCAATTGTCTGTAAATTTTTATTGGTATAAGGAAGCATTTAAAAGGAATTCCAATTTCAAAATTGTTTGCCTAAGAACATTCTTGGCCAAAACATAAGAAAATGTGAAAAACATAAAACAATCTCCCTTTTCGATACTCTCAAATCACATGATGAACCTAATGCCTTTATCGTGCCATTGCTTTTCCACTGCACTACACACCCCCATTTCCCTCTGCTCCTATCTCTCTGTCTGACACACTGCCCTTCCCTCCCAAGTAGCCAGAAACCCCCAAAGCTCAACCAGCTCTTAAATTTTTCCACAGAAAAGGGAAAGCTTCTGTAGCGGCCAAGGGAAAACTTCTCCTTCACCCTCTGAAGGCTGGCTGAAAATCAACTAACAAAAGGCAGATTAAAAGGAGAAAAGGCATGCAAATATATTAACATGCATAGGGGAGGACCACGGAGTGATTACCAACCACATATTCCAGTGGGACCCAGATACTTATATAGCCTTTTACTAGAGGGCAGGGTGTAGGAAGGGAATAAAAGTAATGCTGATGAGGGTCAATGAATGATTACTAGGGAGAATGAATGGGTTGGGGAACAGAGGTTAATTTATAAATGGTTCTCTTTGAAAATTGAATGAGCCTGAGAGACAGACATTATCTTGTGAAAGAGTCTGTCCAGGTGTGGTTACATTCTTCAGTCTCTTTTTCTGCGGGAAATAATGAGATGAAATAACAAGGAGGGGAAGAAAAATAATTGTCCTCCTTGGTTCGACCCTCTGGTCTTTATATAGATGGGCAGAAGTCTCTTCTGGCATCTGTTGAACTTGAAGGGTCTTTATTTATTTATTTTTGAGATGAAGTCTCACTCTGTCACCCAGGCTGCAGTGCAGTGGCATGATCTCAGCTCACTACAATCTCTGCCACCTGGGTTCAAGTGATTCTCCTGCCTTGGCCTCCTGAGTAGTTGGAACTACAGGCATGCACCACCACGCCCAGCTAATTTTTTTGTATTTTTAGTGGAGATGAGGTTTCAACATGTTGGTCAGGCTGGTCTTAAACTCCTGACCTCAAATGATCTGCACACCTGGGCCTCCCAAAGTGCTGGGATTACAGGCATGAGCCACCACTCTTGTCCTTTAATGACCTTTAATCCTGTCTGGCCTCTGAGCCCAAGATAAGCCATCATATCCCCTGTGACCTGCACATACACATCCAGATGGCCGGTTCCTGCCTTAACTGATGACATTCCACCACAAAAGAAGTGAAAATGGCCTGTTCCTGCCTTAACTGATGACATTGTCTTGTGAAATTCCTTCTCCTGGCTCATCCTGGCTCAAAAGCTCTGCCACTGAGTACCTTGTGACCCCCACTCTGCCCGCCAGAGAACAACCCCCTTTGACTGTAATTTTCCTTTACCTACCCAAATCCTATAAAATGGCCCCACCCCTATCTCCCTTCGCTGACTCTCTTTTCGGACTCAACCCACCTGCCCCCAGGTGAAATAAACAGCTTTATTGCTCACACAAAGCCTGTTTGGTGGTCTCTTCACATGGACACGCATGAAAAATCCAAATACACATTATACCAGGAAGCCACATTTTGGGGTGAAATACTTTGGTTTCCTTCACTTCTTATGGTTGATTTTGAGTTCTGGTCTCAGTCTGAGCTGACAGCCATTTTCAGAAAGTTTCTAAAGCCTAGAAATTTGCAGAGGAATGTAGAATAGTTTTAGAAACAAACAAGCCAGTGTGTCCAGTTCTGTACCAATTAACTAAGTGATTAGTGGAAATTCAGATGCAGAAAATTAAAAGAATAGGCAGAACAGGAAGATCTCAAGGGTAACCCCAAAATAGCCTCAATTGCATAGGAATCTAGAGGGTTTTTTAAAAAGCTAGAGGTGTTGAACACAGTCTTTTGGAGGCTATCCCCAAAAGCTTTCTTGTGAAAATAGGCTGGACTCTGATAGAACTGTAGGCAGAGAAAGGATGAGTTTATTTTATACTTCAATGGCAGGTTCTTTACCACCTTTAGACAGAATGCAGGGGTATATCCCAAGGTAGATGTCCATCAGCTTTGTGACTGTAGGTGGCCAGAAAATGCCACCCTGAAGTATGACTGTAGGAGATTAGAATATACCACCCCCAATGCAGACAGTCCCTGACTTACATTGGTTCTACTTATGATTTTTGGACTTTACAATGGTGCAAAAGTGATACACATTCAATAGATACTGTACTTCTAGTACCCATACAGCCATTCTGTTTTTCCCTTTCAGTACAATATTCAATAAATTACAGAAGGTATTCAACACTTTATTATAAAATAGGCTTTGTGTTAGATAATTTTACTCAACTCTAGGCTAATGTAAGTGTTATGAGCACGTTTAGGTAGGCCAGGCTAATCTATGATGTTCAGTAGGTGAGGTGTATTAGATGGATTTTTGACTTAGGACACTTTCAACTTACAATGAGTTTAACGAGATGAACCCCTATTGTAAATCAAAGATCATCTGTATGCCTCTTGACCATAAGGGTTATTTTGAGCTGATATTTTTAGAAAAGTTAGACACAGGAGAAGCTCTGAAAATAGAATTACCAGTTACCCTTTGAAAGGAAGATTTACATATATAGGTAAAATCTCCATATCTAAGCGTGTTTCCCTCTCTGTACCAGGAAGAGAAGTATAACCTACATCACAAGAGACTGTCAGACTGTCACCAATGGAGAAGTCTGGGAATTAAATCTGCATAACAAATCTTACTCGTGTTTACCATGCCATTTCTGGTCATCGTTCCAAAACTTGCCTCCCTCAAACCCATCTTTCTTTGTTTTAGCTAAAGAAGATATTAAAGCCCAAGTTCTAAACACCTGTTAGAATTAGTCTTCCCAGACTTTGTCCCATGTATGTATGAAATATACATGTAAACAAACCTTGCTTGGTTTTTCTCTTGTTAATCTGTCTTTTGTAACAAAATGCCCAGCTGAGAACTGAAAAATGTAGAAGGAAAGATTTTTCCTCCCCTACACTCCCCACTTTTTGTCAATAGTCTTAAACTAGAGTAAATCAAAAATAAAATTCTAAGCCCCCCAACCAGCTTGAATGGACCCCTCCTCTCAGCCAAGGGCATCCTAAAGTAAACCTGAACAGTACTTCAGGCCATGATGGGAAAGAGAGCGTCAGATATGTCTCATTACATCCTTCGCCTGTTGGAATTCAGGCACAGCTGATTAGCATTAACATTAAAAGAGACCTTAAGACTGGCAAAACAGACTCTTTGTAGCAGTAAAATACCAATACGACAGATAGCAGGCCCTGATAGAAATCAAAGTATTTTAACCCCAAATATATTTCTTTGACATATTTTGAAATTGCCCTGCAAAGCTGTCTCTTGTGGGGAAATTTTATGTGCTGTAGAGAATTCCTTTCCCTTTCCAAGTCTTTTTCCTGATCCAGGCGAGAATTAACTAAGAGTCTGGCATCTTTTCAAGTCTGATAAGAAATTTTTACAATCTATTCTCTCTGGAGACTTCATCTGTATAATAAGAACCATGGTCTCTATAACCACTCATCTTAACCCCAACAATCCCTTCTATTGGTTCTAGGTCTTTAGATAAACTTTTTCAACCAACTGCCCATCAGAAAATCTTTGAATCCACCTATGACCTGGAAGGCCCTGCTTCCAGTTGTGCTACCTTTCTGGAACGAAACAATGTACATCTTACATGTATTGATTGATGTCTTATGTCTCCCTAAAATGTGTAAAACCAATCTGTTGCCTGACTACCTTGAGCACATGTTTTCAGGATCTCCGGGGGCTGTGTCACAGGCTGTGGTCACTCATATTTGGGTCAGAATAAATCTCTACAAATATTTTACAGAGTTTGACTCTTTTCATCAACACTAGAAATAGGGGATCTAATCTGAAAGTGAAAGTGGGACTGGGAAATAGTTCTTTTATCAGGCTTTCAATCCCTCATTGAACATTTTGAAAAAGGCTTACTCCAAAAACAGAATAATACTCAGGATAAATTTATGGCTTTACAGGAAAAAAAAAAATACATCTAGAAGCTCCCATACCCATCATTTTATATGGGCAAAGGGAGCTTCTGATGAAGTCATGGGTAGTTACTGTAAGCAGAAAGACATTGGAAAAAGAATAGTTTTGTGTTTGCTAAGAAACTACAGGAGAAAAATAAAGTGGATGATCAATGAGGGTACTCCAAGGAGGAAGCAAACACTGAATTTCCTGTTTTACCCTGAAACTCACAAGGAGAAATTTCTCTAAACATTAAAGGGAAACCTTGCAATTTGTTGTATTGATAGAGATGCTGCTATTAAACTGAAACTCTGTCTCTGTTATGCAACCTCACTTTTGATGTGAACAAACTACTCAGGTGGTGGGTGTCTCTAACAATTGTCAGACATTCCTTGTGTTCCAGTCCATAAATGTCACCCTCGGATGTGTATATACACATAGGTGTGTTTGTGTGCATGTGTGTGTGTGTGGCGGTGGGGGCTGTGTGTGTCTTCTGGGTTTTTAACAGGGATGATAAGAATATTATAAGGAATGCTGCAATGTACGATGAGTCCTTTCTCAGGCTTTTGACTATTGGTTATAATCGTTCTTTAACCTCTGGTTAAGAGGATATTGTACAAGTTTGAGTTGAGGTTTAAATGGCACAGCCTTAACCTTGATGGGCTCAGCCCCAATAATGCTGTCTACAAATGCTAGAACATTTGTTGGTTAAACGCTGATACCTCCTTCAGATCTGCAATGTGGGCTTCATTGAGATACACAGACATTGGTAAATCAATATTCAAATTAGCTATGCAATTATTATGAATAGGAGGACCCTTGGGGATATATATATACACACACACATATATTTATACACACATATATATACACACACATATATATATACCCGCATACACACACACACACACACACACACACACACATATATATACACACACACAAATATATATACACATATTTGTTGAAGATATCGGGATAGTTATTCCCTGTTACCTTGTAGTGGCAAACTCAGATACTATTTTATTTTATGTGGCTTCTGAGGCTAACAATTTTACAGTAGCAAGTCTGCATTCTGTTTGTTTTAGTGTCCCTTTAGGTCAAAATAGTCAGTACCTGTTTGGTTTCTCCTGGAAAAAACAACAATACTCTAACTATTGTGGCCAAGGAAGTTATTGAGACACTCTCCTACTCTTCACAAGTCTTCAATCGCAACCTCAATGACTTTAAATGTTCCTGTCATTTTGTTCTTATCCAACATGTAATCACCTGATGGATTCTTCTCACCCAGTACACAGAGAAAACCAATTGACCAATATCATGGTGTTGCAGTAGAGAAAGAGTTTAATTGATGCGTGACTGGCCTACATGGGAGAACTGGAGTTATCACTCAAACCAGTCTCTCTGAAGGATCAAAAGTTAGGGTATCTTTGGACAAGTTGGTGGACAGAGGGCTAGGGAATGGCTGCTGCTTGTCGGTTTGGGATGAAATAGGGGTATGGCAAACAGTCCTCATGCACTAAGTGCACCTCTGAGTGGGGCCACAGGACCAGCTGAGTCATAAGTCATGAGTCCAGTGGGATCAGTCTGAAAAAGATGTCAAGAAAATCAATCTCTGGTTTTCAGATGTTATCTACAGGAGCAATTCAGAAAGCCACAAATCTTGTAGCCTCTGGACGTACGACTCCTAAGCAGTAAGGGGTTATAGAAGCTACACTTACATCTTATCAGAATTTAGGCCCCTCTCATAATCCTAATATTGTGGCCTTTCCTTAATTTTTACAAGACAGTTTAGTTTTGGTAAGAACTGTTATCATCCCTGCTTTAAGGTTAAACTATAAACTAAATTCCTCCCAAAGTTAGCTTGGTCTACACCCAGGAATGATTAAGAACAGCTTGGAGGTCAGAACCAAGATGGAGCCAATGATATCAGATTTCTCTTACTGTCACAATTTTGCAAAAGTGGTTTCAAATATGTGGTTGACCTTTTGTTTTTTTCTAAGGATGAGGTGGGCTCTAAGATTGATTCCATGTATCTGCTTGCTGTTTTCAGAGAGGGCATAAGTTTTCCAAAGAGAAGTTACAATTTTGTCAAAGTAAAGTTCATTACCTCGAATATGACTTTTCTCAAGTCCTCTCTTAACAGACTTGGCCTTTCAAAACTTTTCCAGATAAGTAACTAAGAAACAAGAGGATTCCTGGATCTCACTGGATACAGGAGTTACCAGCTTTCCTAAAATCCCACTTCATTGTATGGCTTAACCAAATCCCTGATGTATTAGTCTGTTTTTACAGTGCTATAAAGAACTAGCTGAGACTGGGTAATTTATAAAGGAAAGAGGTTTAATTGACTCACAGTTACACATGGCTGCGGAGACTTCAGGAAACTTACAATTATGGTGGAAGGTGAAGGAGAAGTGAGGCATGTCTTACATGGCAGCAGAGAAGAGAGAAAGAGAGAGGTGAACTGCCAAATACCTTTAAACCATCGGATCTCATAAGAACTCACTTACTATCATGAGGACAGCATGGGGGAGACCATCCCCATGATCCAATCACCTCCCACCAGATTCCTCCCTCAACACATGAAGATTAAAATTTGAAATGACATTTGGGTGGGAACACAGAGTCAAACAGTAACATTCCACCCTGGGCCCCTCCCAAATCTCATATCCTCACATTTCAAGAGGAAATCATGCCTCCTCAGCAGTCCCCCAAAGTCTAAACTCATTCCAGAATTAACACCAATGTCCAAGTCCAAAGTCTTCTCTGAGACAAGGCAAGTTCCTTCCACCTATGTGCCTGTAAGATCCAAAGCAAGTTAGTTACTTTCAAGATACAATGGGGGTATAGGCATTGGGTAAATGTTTCTATTCCAATTAAGAAAACTTGGCCAAAACAAAGGGGCTACAGGCCCATGCAAGTCTGAAATCCAGCAGGGTAGTCATTAGATCTTAAAGCTCCAAAATGATCTCCTTTGACTTTATGTCTCACATCCAGGGCACACTGATGCAAGGGGTGGGCTCCCAAGGCCTTGGACAGCTCTGCTCTGCAGCTCTGCAGGGTACAGCCCCTACAGCTGCCTTCATGGGCTGCTATTGAGTGCCTGCAGCTTGTCCAAGCACACAGTGCAAGCTGTCAGTTGATCTACCATTCTGGGGTCTGGAGAATGGTGGCCCTCTTCTCACAGCTCCACTATGCAGTGCCTCAGTGGGGACTCTGCATGGGGGCTCCAACTCCATATTTTTCCTCCACACTGCCCTAGGAGAGGTTCTCCATAAGGGCTCCATCCCTGCACAGACTTCTGTCTGGACATCCAGGCATTTCTGTACATCCTCTGAAATCTAGGTGAAGGTTCCCAAACCTCAACTCTTAGCTTCTGCACACCCACAGGCCCAAGACTACATGGAAGCCACCAAGACTTTGGGCTTGAATCCTCTGAAGCAATGGTCTGAGGTGTACCTTGGCCCCTTTAGGTCATGGCTGAGCTAGAGCACCTGGGACACAGGGCACCATGTCCTGAGGCTGCACAGAGCAGTGGGGCCCTGAGCCCAGCCCATGAAACCATTTTTCCTTCCTATGCCTCTGGACCTGTGATGGGAGGAGCTGCTGAGAAGATCTCTAACATGCCCTGGAGACATTTTCCCCATTATTTTGGCAATTAACATTCAGCTCCTTGTTACTTATGCAAATTTTTGCAGTGGCTAGAATTTTTCCCTGGAAAATGGATTTTTCTTTTCTACCACATGGTCAGGCTGCAAATTTTCCAAACGTCTATGTTCTGCTTCCCTTTTAAATACAAGTTCCAATTTCAGATCATCTCTTTGTGAACACATATGATTGTACGCTTCAGAAAAAGCCAAATCATTTCTTGAATGCTTTGCTGCTTAGAAATTTATTCTGCCAGATACCCTAAATCATTTTTTTTCAATTCAAATTCCACAGATCTCTAGGGCAGGGGCAAAATGCCGTCAGTCTGTTTCCTAAAGCATAGCAAGAGTGAGGTTTACTCCAGTTCCTAATAAGTTCCTCATCTCCATATAAGACTGCCTCGGCCTGGACTTCATTGTATGTATCACTATCAGCATTTTGGTCACAACCATTCAACAAGTCTCTAGGAAGTTTCAAACTTTCCTCATCTTCCTAAGCCTTCCAAACTGTTTCAGCCTCTGCCTGTTACCCAGTTCCAAAGTCACTTCCACATTTTCAGGTATCTTTATAACAGTGACCCACTCTGCTGGTAAACATTTTCTGTATTAGTTTATTTTCATACTGCTATAAAAAGCTATCTAAGACTGTGTAATTTATAAAGGAAAGAGGTTTAATGGACTCACAGGTCTGCATGGCTGGGGAGGCTTCAGAAAACTTACAATCATGGCTGAAGATGAAGGGGAAGCAAGGCACGTCTTACAGGGCAGCAGGAGAGACAGGGAGGAAGTGCCAAACACTTTTAAGCCATCAGATCTCATGAGAACTTACTCACTATAATGAGAACAGCATGGGGGAAATCTTCTCCATGATCCATCACCTCCAACCAGGTCCCTCCCTCCACATATGGGGATTACAATTCAAGACGAGATTTGGGTGGGGACACAGAGCCAAACTATATCCCTTGGTAACCAAAGCTCTTCTCTGAGAACCCCAACACAAACACTCCTTTCAAAAGTTAAAATTAACTCTTCAATAACATCTCATTCTATGCCAACCTAATTATCATAAACTTGTCTATTCATATATAATGTGAGAGATTTGAATAAGCCCTGTGTGTTCTAATTCAACTTCTTGTGAATAATCAGAGACCAAAAGCTCACTACAGTTTCTCTCTTATCTCAGTGGCAAAAGTCTACTCACCTTGCCTAAGGGTGATAGCCACAGCAGCTAAACTAGGGAGACTCTGTTCACTTGATTTTTAGAAAGTTCTTTAAACTTGATGGTCCCTCCCAATATCTGGTCTTTGTCTCTCACTGAAAATAAACGATAACTATCAGTAAGTAAGCTTACCTCCTAGAAGTTCTATTTCTCTCTCTTTATTTGCATATCTCTATTAATTACTGAATTTTGCAACTCTTCTTTCATTTTCTTTAAAACAGGGACACCTATGACTCTCTAACCTCTCTTTTCAAACTATCTATTCCCTGAATAGATATGCGAGAAACTACACTAGGAAATCAAGATTTAGTTTTGTTTGTTGATGGACCATATCTTAAGACTAAACAGAAAAATATAATTTTAGGTAAAACCTACTGTATCAGGTCTCATATTGTTCCTAAAATATGACTCCTTATAGAAGCAAAATCTACCAGGTGCTAAAACTTAATGCTCTCATCAGAGCTTGTCAGTTAGCTAAAGATAAATGAGCTAAAATACACACTGAGAGTGGACAAGCTTTAGGAGTAGTTCACAATTTTGGAAGGCTTTGCAAACCAACAGGGGTTCTTGACTTTTGTAGAAATCTCAAATAAAAATGTTTAGCAAATTAAAGGAATTTTCAGTGTGCTAATGCTTCTTAAGGCAGTAGCTATAATAAGGTAGGAACTTGTACAAAAGGAGTTCAGGCAGCCTTCACAAGGATCCTACCCTAAGAAGCCAAATCTTTGGGTATGTTCAAAGAAGCTATTTCAGAAGGCTAGGATTTGACTCCAGCATAAAGAAAGGATACTGGGAAATATGTAGTTGCAAACTTCCCAGGGGTGATTTCAGGCACTTTAAGGATGGCCCTCAGTAGCAAAGAAAGTTTGCAAAATTTTACATGGAACTATCCACCCTAGCAAGGACATATTTGCCTCTACACTCAGTCAACATCAGCAGCAAAACTTTACCAAAATGGTCAAGGGTCCTCTGATACATGAATCATATGTCAACAGCACAATTCTAATAAAAGCTATAAAGATGGGACGTGGACAAGAGCCAAGCCTCAGAACCCTTCCAAATTGATTTCATATATATGCATTCTGTGATGACTTTTGAATATGTCCTGATCAATATCTGTTAATTTGTAGTTGGATTGAAGCCTTTCATCAGACATTTACAGCTCTAACAGTAGCCAAAAATATATATTTTTTTATTTTGTGTTCCCAAACCTGGGAATTATTTATCTATCACTTTAGTGATGGAAAACCCATTTTACTGGGGCTTAGCAAGAGCTTTGAAAAGCTCTGCCACTTATTCAGGAGTGTATGTGTCCATCTGGACTTAGGAATATGTCCACACGATTGCAAGCAGCCATGGCCAAAGAATGCTGGGGATTCAGGCAATACACTTAGTCCTACCGTGAACAGGTGGGAGCTGTCTTTCTGCCTCTTAAGTTATCTTTACATGAACTGAAACCTAGAGAATGGGTCTTCTAGAAATTATATCAGAGAAAGACAGCCCTGAAACCCTGATGCACAGTACCCCTTGAGGTACTGTTAACAATTAGCAGGACAGTAAAAATCCAAGGGGTTTATTCTTGGAGCTATGTCTTTCAGTCAAGCATAAACCATCCTAGAAATGGAAGATGAAGTCCTCTGTGAAGACCTCAAGTTAACCTCTATAAACAGACTTTGGGAGGAAATAGCTTCCACCAAGACTTCTGAATTCACCTTGGATTTATGAAACAAAGCCACAGACTATCATGCTTTAAAATGAATTATTTTGTTATTTTCCTAGCTATCTTGTTTCCTCTTTTGCTTGTTTCAGTTTGCCTTTAACTATGTTATCTATAAGGCACCTCTTTCTAATATATTTTTTTTGCATTCTTAGTCACTCCTACGTCTAAATTCAATGTCTATCTAGAATTTCCTTGAGAACTGGCATACAACCAAATGTACGGTTTCGTTTGTGCACCATCCCTTTGAGAAATATTCTGCTTCTCTTCCTATCATTTCTTTGTAATGAGTTAGTTGACTTCTTAGGTACTTGGATTCAACAATGAGATAACTTTTTAAATGCAAATATCACAAAAGGACTGATCACTGGAAATCTAAAACCCTTATCACATTTGTATTAGTCAGGGTTCTCTAGAGTGACAGAACTAATAGGATAGATGTATATATGAAAGGGAGTTTGTTAGGAGAATTGACTCACATGATCACAAAGTGAAGTCCCACATTAGGCCATCTGCAAGCTGGGGAGCCGGGGAGCCAGTCCAAGTCCCAAAACCTCAAAGGTAGGGAATTCGATAATGCAGCCTTCGGTCTGTGGTCAAGGGCCCAAGAGCCCCTGGCAAATCACTGGTGTAAGTCCAAGAATCCAAAAGGTGAAGAACTTGGAGTCTGTGGTTCAAGGGCAGAAAGCATCCAGCACAGGAGAAAGATGGAGGCCAGAAGACTTAGCCAGTCTACTCTTTCCATTCCTGCTTTTATGCTGGCAGCTGATTAAATGGTGCCCACCTAGGATGAGGGTGGGTCTGCCTCTCCCAGTCCACTGACTCAAATGTTAATCTTCTTTGGCCACACCCTCACAGACACATCCAGGAAAAATACTTTGCATAATTCAATCCAATCAAGTTGACACTTTAACAGTAGACATCTGGCGAGGCTGCGTGTGGCCCTTTCTTTGCAGGTCAGCCACTCACATGATAAGAGCTTGTGTCTGATTTTCCACAATTTCAGCTCTTTCTCTACAGGAGATAAGACTCTAACTCAGGGCAATCTTAGCAGATTTGAGGTTCAGTATGTGCTTCTGGAACAGGGAGTTAGAATCCCTGAGTTCATTGTTTTCCTTCATCATTTTGCCTAGCGAACTTAGGAGCAACCAACCAACTTCATTATATTCCTTGGTTCTCCACATATAGTCAAAAGTGTTATGTATAGAGTCACTAAACTCCTTGCCTCTCACAAGCAGTGAATTAGGAGTATTGAATGCATTTATTTTGCATAACCCTTGAAACAGTTCTTGCCAAGAAGTATGAGTGTTCTCCATACTATTAGAAGTCGAGTCCTTAGCATTTTGGGGTCTAATAATATTAAGCATCCACCTCCAGAAACCCCAAAACCAACTAAATAAATTCATCCTTAGAATTCTGTTCCTCTACAACTACTCCTGGTACCAATTCACTGTATTAGCCTGTTCTCATTCTGCTGATAAAGACATACCCGAAACTGAGTAATTTATAAAGGAAAGAGGTTTAATGGACTCACAGTTCCACATTGGCTGGGCGAGGTCTCACAATCATGGAAGAAGGTAAAGGAGAGGCAAAGTCACAAGAAACATGGTCGTAGGCAAGAGAGCTTGTGCAGGGGAACTTCTATTTGTAAAAACCATTAGATCTCATGAGACTTATTCACTATAATGAGAACAGTGTGGGGGAAACCATCTTCATGAGTCAATTATCTCCACCTGGCCCTGCCCTTGACATGTGGGGATTATTACAATTCAAAGTGAGATTTGGGTGGGGACATAGAGCCAAAACATATCAACATCTTACCTAGAAAGGTTGGTTCCTACCCCTGCCAAGACTATATTCGGGGAACTTTCATGAAAGCTAGTCTTTGGCACTGAACTTTCACAGAAATAGAACTTGGAAACAGAGGGTATATATTTGACGGCTGTCTTAAACTTTTGCAGCTCTTAAAAGGCACACTTTCCCTTTTCTTTATCTCCATCTAATGATATCAATACTACAAATTTCATTGTCTGGTGTCATGCCACTTTTGATGAATTGTATGAAAATTGTTCAAAATTTCTTGGCAAGGGTTCACCATTGTTTCATAGGGATATTTTGGCTAAAAAAGAAAGAAAGAAAGATTATTGGATGGTTCCCCAGTGACAAGTATTGGATTTTTGGCTACTGCCTGGATTAGGGGCTCCTTGTGTTGTTAAACTGATGCCCACTTTCTGGATAATCTCTGACATCAATCAGAATATATTTTGGCCAATCAGTTTTTTTCTTAGACAAAGAGATTGTTTGATAACATTTCAAGAAGGATAAAAATTTTGACTTGATTTGGAGCCATAACTATTCAAGGAGCATTCTGGGTTACTTTCTTCTCTTTTCAAGAGAGAAGTCCAAAAAATTAAAAGAATCATACATACTACATTTCATATACTAGCAGGGGAGTTAGACAATATCACCAAGACTATAGAAGTCCTGGCCTGCGACGTTCATGAAATTGAGCAAGTGGTGGTTGAGAATAGAGCTGCTTTAATCAGCAGCTCATTTTTACAGCAGCTCTTCTTCTAGGTTGCAGAACTTGAATTTGTGATCTCCAGCATTTTGCATACTCTGTGCAGCCATTGTCCCATGTAACGGTCCAACAAATGATCATCCAACAAAAGGAACAGGAAAACCTGACACTTACAGTGGTTGAAAAGACCATCCTGGGAATATAATACATAATCATGACACTCCAAATTGCGGTGAAGGTGTGGCTTGATCCTGCCTCCAGATATTAATGATTTATCCTTTAACTCTGGCTGAAGAAGCTGAGAACCAAAAGCATCTTACACCCATGCAGCTTTCTCTACATTGACATGACTTTATGCGTTCATTATCTTCACTAACATAGCTTTGATATTCCTCTGTCTTCAAGATCATGACTATATTGTAACTTATCTGTTCCAAAAATTTTCTAAAACTTCACTTGTATGAACATCAAACTGTTAAATTATTTAATAGCATCAAACAGCTGTTTTCCCCAAGATTCTTCAAAATCTTTGCCTCAAAACCTTTGCCTTGCTACGTCTCCCAATCTTCAACTATTACAGCATTCTCCTTATGCAATCCCATTCAAGATGTTTCCCCTCTGAGATGCCACAAAAACTGTCAAGGACTGTTCTCTTATGGCTTTTAAAAATAGCACAGCTTTGTACCATCAATAGCTTATTTTGGTGGCATTTGTCTGAAACCGGCAGACATATATAACACAGATTCCTGAGCATGGTCTGTGGAGCTTCATATTCAGTATTTTTGGGGAGAGTCTACCGAGACTCCAGATGATTCTGAGGAGGGTGCTATGAGGACCACAATTTACTGCTCTAATATAAAGTTGTGTTTAAACTTGCAAAACCAGTTAAAGTTAAAATGACTAAACAATTCGTCTCTGAGGCTAGGACAAATACAGTGACATATACTCTGGTGTCCTTATATGTATGGGTTTGGTCCTAAGCTGTTCTGATTCAGGAACTCCACTTAATTTATCTACGGGTGGTGATAAAACTAAAGAGAACTGATACTTGATGATTAATCTCAAGAGAATTAGTTTATATTCACAGGGCACATTTCCAGTAATTGCTATATAGAATTCCTTTTGTTATCAATATTATGAGAAATAAATTTAAGAATTAGTACATGCTTTCTCAAAACACTAAAGGAATAGAGTTATAAAATATTTCAAATAGGCTGTGACGATCTACAGCATTGTTCTTCTTAAAAAAAGAAAAAAAGATCTGAAGAGAAATATGAGTAAGCTTTTACCTGTATGCAAAAGAGCCAGACCTTCAAAATAAAGGAGAGGTTGGAAGAGAGAAACTAAATGGTCCTTACAGTTGTATTTATTACATGGCAGTCACATTCCAACTGGATAATATATTTTTTTTTTTTAGAGATAGGATCTTGCTGTGTCACCCAGGCTAGAGTGCAGTGGTGTGATCACAGTTCACTGTAACCTCAAACTACTGGGCTCAAGTAATCCTCCCACCTCAGCCTCCTGAGTAGCTAGGACTATAGGCACGTATCACTATACCTGCCTAATTAAAACAAATCGTTTTTTTTTTGTAGCGACAGGGGCTTCACTATGTTGCACAGGTTTGGTCTGGAACTCCCAGCCTCAAGTGGTCCTCCTGCCTCAGCCTCTCAAAGTGCTGAGATTACAGGCACGAGCCACCATGCTTGGCCTTGGATGTTTTAGTCAGTTATAGGAGAAGCCAGGAAATTCCTATTCTTAATTAGGCAAAGAAACAAACAAAACATTTAAAAATCAATATTTTAATATTTTTGAAAAATGGCCCTAGAAAAAATAATATCAAGGACTAAGCGTAATTACATCCCATGGCAACCTGGAAACTCTTCTCATTTAATTATGATGATGTTGACTTTATGTGTCATCTTGACTGGGGTAAGGGATGCCCAGATAGCTGGTAAAATGTTATTTCTGGGTATGTCTGTGAGGCTGTTTGTGTAAGAGATTAGCATTTGAATTGGTACACTGAGTAAAGAAGATTGCCCTAACCAATGTGAAAGCATCATCCAGTCCACTGAAGGCTGGAATAGAACAAAAAGGTGGGGGGAAGGGCAGATTTGGTCTTCCTGTGCAAGCCTGGAAGCCCATCTTCTGCCTTCAGACATCAGCACTCTGGGTTCTCAGGCCTTTGGGCTGAGATTGGGACTTACACCACTGGTTCCCCTAGTTCTCAGGTTTTTGGGTTTTGGACTGAACTTCACCACCAGCTTTCCTGGGCTTCCAGCTTGCAGACGACAGATGGTGGGACACCTCAGCCTCCACATTCATGTCAGCCAATATTTCATAGTCAATCTCTTTCTACATATCTATATCTATCCTATTGGTTCTGTTTCTCTGGAGAACTCTAATACCATTACAAATTCAAAATTTGTGATTTCTGGTCTGAGGACAGAGCTAAGCTGAAGGCAAATTGTCAGTTCATTTCTCCTAATTACCCACAAAATTCAAAACTACCAAAAAAGAAGCTGTCTCTAAAAGAATATCTGAATTTAAGCATATGTGTCAACTGCAAATACTCTAAAATATGCCACAATTTGAAGGCCTCTAAAATGAGAGATTAGAGCTAAGTTTGTAAGTTTATGCAAAGTGCAAATAAATTGCATGCTTTTAAGCATGCCCCTTGGGAGGGGCACTGTAGCACATGTGCCCTACTGATTTGGTCAAAGTGAGGAGCCTCCTACATGTTGTGTGTTCTTCCAGCTAAAATTTTTTAATGCTAAACCTGAACAAAGGTTCATCTGAGCAGTTTATTGTAGCATCTTTATTCCATTTCTCACAGTTTTTTTCCTTTCCTGTTTTTATTTTTCCTAATTTTAGTATCAGTTCTGAGGTCTTCTTCTCTTGGGACTTTAGGCACAGGCATGATAGATTTTCCTACTTGTTTTTTCTTTTGAAATTGCTTTGTTAGTTTGGAGTGAAAGGGCTGATCTTTTCGACCTTTGTTTTAAAAGAAGCCCCTGTAAAGAGGCTACTGCCTTTTCCTTCCACTGGAGCAGTGGACATGAAGCCTAAGGAAATGGATACTTTATATTCTGGCTCCAAGTTCTCCGCTTTGCCTATCTCAAGGTTTACATAATGAAACCTAATGGCCACCAGTTCATTATGCTTTCTATAGCTATACCTATCCTTTATCCTTGACTTTTGCAGTTTCTCTCAGTACAGACATGAAATGTATTCCCCATACCAAGATGTGTAATTTGCTTTGACCAACAGAATTTGGCTGAAGTAAAGATGTGCCACGTTTCAGCAAAGGCCTCCTTCTGCATGCCCACACTTCTGTCATTGCATGAGAACATCCCTAGGTTAGCCTGCTAGTGAATCAAGGAACTCATCCAAGTGTCCCCAGTCATCCTAGGTTAACCATGCCACATTGGTCAACAGCCAATCAGCTCCCAGACCTGGGTGCAACCCAGCCAGGATCAGCAGAGCCCTCAAGTGATCCAAAGCTGGCCACAAATGTGTGAGCAAGTCTAACTGAGATCAGAAGAGTCTGCCCAGAGTAGCTGAACCCCATATACCATGAGCTAAATAAATTCTTATTATTAAGATTTTATGGCTCCCATGCAGCATGACTGTGGCAATAGATAACTGATACCATAGGCAGTGGATGCGATGTAATTGTGATTATCTCCTGCTGTCTGTAGCAGCCTCATTCTGGTTACTTAATTAACCTCACAAAAACACAAGCTGACATTGTATGTCAGTGAAGCTTTTGGATCCTACTCATAGGTTTAAGTAGTAGCGTTAGTGGTGGTTTACTGTATTATCATTAAATTCTCCACTAATGAATTTAGAAAGGCCTTTGAAAAAGCTGGCATACTGAAACAGTGAATGTGGGTGGGAGAAAAGATACACAGGAGCAAACTACAAAGATTATCTGTCTGTCTATCTCTATCTATCTATCTATCTATCATCTATCTATATCTATCTATCATCTATCTATCATCTATCTATCTATCTATCTATCTATCTATCTATCTATCTATATCTATCATCTATCATCTATCTCTATGCCTTCACAGTATATATAGTATACTGTGCCTTGATTGTAACATATATATTATATATATATGTGATATATAACAACTTGAAGGCACAGTATACATCTTTATTCTATTTTGTGTTGCTATAACAGAATACCACAGATTGGGTAATTTACAAAGAAAAGAAATTTATTTCTCAGCGTTCTGGAGGTTGGGAAGTCCAATATCAAGGTGCCAGCATCTGGTAAGGCCTGTCTTGCTGCGTCATCCTATGGTGGAAGGTGACAGGGCAGAGAACATGCAAGAGAAAGTGAGAGAACCCAACGTGCTTTGGTAATAAACCCACTTGAGATAGCAAACACACTTCTGTGATGACATTAATCCATTCATGACCTCTGACCTCATGATCCAATCACTTCTTAAAGGTCCAACCCCTCAACACTATGGAATCGGGGATTAAATTTTCAACACATGAACTGTGGGTGACACATTCAAACCACAGCAGTATGAAAGCAAAACTTGTTCATTTGTTCGCACTTCTATTTTCAGCTACCTAGTCAACAAGTTGCTGGAAATCAAGTGTTTTTTCAGGAATGCTTAATGTCAGCATTACTTAGTGGTACACAGGATGTTTAAAATGTTTGTTCATCAGAATGTATCAGTTTTCTTTATTTTAACAAATTATATTTTAGATGATTTTTCTAGTTCATAGACAGCTTTTAATTTTAGAATAAAGCAACATGATTCTCAACATTGTTTCCCACTGAATGGCTTCAGAAATTGATTAAACCTACTAGAGTGGTTAAAATCCAGTGTACGGATAAAAAGCATACAGTATTTGAGAGCATGAAACTAAAAGTACATTTGAAAGGAACTTAATGTCAACAGCATCTAGTTATTAAAACACTCAACAGGTTTTATGTACACATTTTTACATCCAATATTACTTTTCTCTATCAATAAACCTTCTATCTGGAAAATAAATTGAGAATCATATAATTATATGTATGTGTAAGAGATGGGGAGAGAGAGAGAATGAGAGCAACAGGAGACTGTATTAGTGTGTATGAGAGAAACTGCAGGAAAAAATGTAGATGTATCAGGACACAGGCTATCTCTATATCTTGTTTTCATAAATGTGCATTCAAAACTCACATTCTATCAGTGAATCCAGCTGAAGAATATCAAAGTCATCTTGTGTTAAAATTACTTTTATTCAGGATGAAAAATACAATATGTAACCAGATTAGATGATAGTCTGTGATTAGTTCTTTACCACATATTTCAAAAGAACTACATACTTACTTCCCATTGTTACTGCAATATATTTCTTTTTATTTATTATTACTTAGAAGGTTACAATGTAGTGTTTTACGTAGCTTTTCTTTAATAGCAGATAGAGGACATTTTGCATACAAATACAGGCAGAAAAAAAATTAACACATGACTTTTTAAAGTAAGAACAAGGAAGACACCAAATCTACAACTTGGAGTTGAGAGCTCAGGGAATTGTTTTTTCTTTAAATAGGTGCTTTCTTGGGTATGACATGGCCTGATAAAAGCTCTAGACTTTGCAGACTGCAGCAGCATAAAGCAGTTTCCAATGCAATGGATGAAGATGGATCTGAGGTAGAAAGGTGGTCATGGCTTTCCTTTTTATATAAAACAATTTTCTTCTTTTCAAAATATCTCTGCTGCAAATAGACACCCTTGCCCCCCAACCCACCCAACCTATTCTAAAATAATAGCAATTTCTAACTTTAAGCCTCCTTCTGGCCAGATCCCAGCTAAAGAGAACCCAAAGTTAAAATGTCTTTATGTTTTTATGTCTTTAGGTTTGAATCAAAACATATTATTTTCACCTTTTTTTGGTTCCTCTACATTTGCTAATTAAGTAACATGTTTAAACTGAATCAATTAAATGTTAAATCAGAAGCTAAACCAAAATACATAATTGAATGCACTCAAAAAGATGTAGGTGGAGGTACCATCACCTAAGCATTAATTTCATTCTTCTGTAGAAGCAGTGACATAGACTTTTGATAAACATTCTTTCCAAATATATTGATCAAGTGAAGGGTATAAAAACATCTGATCTTTCACCCGAAAGGTAAAATAAGCCGTGCACTAAATGTGTGTCTGCTTTCAACAAGAAAACAACTAGGAGTTTCAAGAACTATTAAGGACTTGAAAATACAAAACAACAATAAAATTCTCTTTGAAGGGAACCAAAGACAATGATGTGTTCTGGTATCACAATAGGTAAAGGTCTGCTGTGCATGTAATGATGAAAATCAAGACATGGGAACTAGGAAAGGTTGTACTAAATTTTGTTTCTGTGTCAAAATGAAAATATGCTCAAGTGGGCAACCTTTGGTAATATGATCTTTGAGATTATTATAATGTAGTCTTCTTTATCAAATAGATTAAGACATAAAATAAATAATTAATTCCTACTTATATAAAAAGGGAATAAAATGCAGGAAAAATATCCCAAAAGAAATGCCATTTAGGCTTATAGGATTTTTATTACGGTTATCCAAGTGGTCAGCAAAGAAGTAAGTGGGCAACGTCAAATAAAGTTAAACGGCATACACAGGGCTGTAGCTTAAACCATATGTGTGTATATATAAGATATTTGATTGAAATTTATGAATTTATTAATGTGGCCAAATCACGGAAACAAATACATGGATCTATTTGGGATCTAGTTGGTTATATGGCTGATAAACATATGGCTGATAAATTATAAATAACCAAAACATTGTGGTAAAAGAGTCAAAGAAAAAATGAAGTAATTGTGCAAGGTTAATATGAACAGCAGAAGGAATGTAAAAATGTAAAGTGGTCTTCTAATTCTTATGTAAGCTTTGTCATAGTTATTAAAAAGACGGTATCATATTAGAAAGCCCCCACCCACTTTCCCAATGCTGTATACATTATACAAATCCGTGACAAATGTATTACCATTTCCAAATACCTCTCTGTTCATTAATTTACACTTGCATAGAAAGGGAAGAAGAAAACAATAATATATGGTTATTATAAAAACAAAATATCCATTTCTCTTTGGATAGTCAGTGTTTTACTCTTTCAGTAGAACACACAGTCAGCACTCAACATCGTGGGCCAAGGAGCCATGGAGCTTCTGATTTAATGGAACTTGGAATTGGCATTTGCTGAAAAGGGCAACACTGTACGTCAGGAAACATTGGTTGGCCGGATGAATACTTCACATTGCCTATGGGAAGGGAAAATAGCACTGTCAGAAATTTGCACAAAACATTACAGGAAGCAGAGATCTGTCAATTCTTCAAGAAAATAAAAGTGCTTCTTTCAAGAGTCTTAACTCTACTGTGACTTTTGCTTCCTGCAATGAGGTCCCTCCCTCTCATGCTGAAGTTACCTAGTCTGCTTTCTATCACTGCAGCTGATTTAGAGGGAAGTCTGAAAGTCTTTTCTCTTGGCCAGGCTGGAAGCAAAGTTAAAATGGAGAGGACTTCATTTCTTTCTGCTGAAGGTACCAATGGTGAGCGAATGAGGCTGGTGAAAATATCCCATGTCTTCCTGGGGGACTGTGGGAGGTCATCTGTAGAGGGGGTACCCTAACAATGCCAACCATCTTGATCCCAAGCTGGAGTCCAGAGAAGAGGAAGGCAAGGCAGGAATCATAACCCAAGGGTGTTTAGTGGTGCCAGTTAAAGTTAAATGTCCCAGGTCAGAGACAATATAAATCCAGGCCACACTCATGGAAGTGGTATCAACCTTTTGAAGGGAAGGTCAAACATTTGGTCTTCTAAAAGGATTTTGAAATTAGAAAAAAATAAAAAAAAAGTGCTAAAATGAAATCATCCAAACTGGTCCATGCCTCATAAATCATAAAAGGCCTTTCTGGACCCTCAGGAAAGATATTCCATCTGTCTTTACACCTTATTTTATGGGGGACTTTATCCTGCTCCCTGGAAGCATGTTCCTAATGAAGCCACTGGAAAAACTGCCCACGGAGCCCCTCCTTTTCCCAGGTATGCTGAAAGCAGCAAACTCATTTGACTCTGGCCTAGAGCCCATTCTCCATGACTATTCAAATTTGGATTCTTCAGACACTTGCTTCTCCATTTTGAACATTTGATTGCCATGTTAGAGGGAGCAAAAATTCAGCAAACACTGATGGGTTCCAGGCATTGTACTGAGGGGAGGCCCTCCTGTGAAGCAGGTGTGGAAGATATCTCAGCCAGGCAGCCTCATTCAATTGTAATATGAGGTAAGTGCCGGCCACAGTAAATTCAAAGAAGTGGTTTGAGGACAGAGAAGGGGAGAGATTAACCCCATATGAGAAAGGAACATTTTGTTACATATTAATATTGATAACTGAAACTCTGGCGCTGATTCATGTTAAATATAAAGCCAAGAGGATTTTTGAATTGTGCCTATATACTCCATTATCCTTGAGAATGAGATGTGTCTATTAATTGGACACACAATACTGCTCATTTTAGGTGTCAGAATTCTAAAAATTTAAGATCATGCTATGTAAATATTAGCCCAACCCTCCAGGTGAAAATATATACTTTTCATGAATTTCCATTCGACCCAAGACATGAAAAAATGAAGAAAAGAGAAGAGCAGGAAAAAACACATGGAAAGGGAAGGAAGAAAATGGGAAAGGGGCCTCTTGTATTGAGTTACATGTTTGCTCCATCCACTAAGTTGCTGTACAACTGGGAACCATTTAGCTCTTTGTAAACTCAATTTCTAAAATCTAGAAACAGAGTAGGAGGAGAAGGCCTCCTCAGATAATTTTCTGCTTTAAATTCTGAGCACTTGTATTATATCTGAGGATTTTAAAAGATTCTCTCTTCCCTCCTTGCCTTTGTCACTCACAGCCTCATTCCACCTGGGGACCATCAGGACTAACCTCTTTGTACCCTTTATCCCTAATTTTAATGGGCCACCCTAAAAAGCTCTAGACTCCTGGTTGCCCTTCCATCACCTGTATTCTAGTCATATAGAGATCTGCATACCCCTTTTTGTGACCCTATGCCTCACTCTTCCTAGCTCTTGAAACCTGTCCTATAGGTCATGTGGCCTGTGATCCGCAAAACCCATGTTCCCAAACCCTTCTCTGAATGCTGCCTGCATCTACTTGCTCTAATCAATATCTGCATCTACCTGAAGACACAGCTTCCCTCATAACCCTCTCACACAGCACTTCCCCTCCCCATTCTCCCCCATTCCTCATACACTGCATGAGTCTTCCTTGGTCCTCATTGGGGCCTCTGGGGTATCTTCTTTCTCCTCTCCCTAAAAACACCCAGCTTTGAATCTCATATCATCAGACTATATGACTCCATTATGCAGTCATCTACTGACTCCGTAGGTCATGTTCCTTCACTTCTTGAAGTAAAAAATGGCTCAAAGTCCCCTACTCTAAAGCCATTTTTAAATGTTAGTGATTTCAACACCCATGGAGATGATTCTTCCAGCACTCTGGCTTCTTGGTTCTTTAGGCTCTTTTCCTCCAATGGTCCTGTCCTCCAACCTTCTTAGCCATTCACACAAAGGTCCAAATATGGACCATTACCAATACTTGCAACCCCTCTAATTTCAGTATCATTCAACCTAGCTTCTGACAACCACCTCTACCTCCACAGCTTACTTCCCCTACAACTGCAAATTTATCCATCCTTTGACAATAGGATCCATTGATCCTCCCATCTTTATTTCTGTCTCCCACACTGGACATTTCCTCATTCCTTTCACTACTGAGCTTAAGCATCTGGTTCAATCATTATAATCACTTCTTTGCCTCTTCCCTTGAATCACTGTACTCACTTTGTCAAACCCCAACTTCAACTTTTTAAATGCCAATACTCAGCCCATTCTGGTGCCTGTGCTCATGAACGTGAATATGCCTAGAGGGCAACTTACAACCCTGCAGAATGGCCTCATGTTAAATTCATGAGTGGCACCTTTAATGCTGCTTATAGTCACACTCTATTTCCCAGGCCATCTGCTCTTCTATTCTCCAAGAAGCTATCACACATCCTCCAGTCTCTCCTCGCACTTCTGACACCTCCTCCCCAACCTCACTCCCTGCTAAAGTCCCGGCTTCCAATTCACTTAGACAACAGAAGCAAGCAGGAGAGAACACCCACAGCTCACCACACCCCTAGCCTACTTCACATACCCTTGTCTTTTAGTTAAGATCCCAGCCTCTCTTGCCAATAAGACAATCATTCAGAAGGCTCATTGTTTCAAAAAGATTAGTAAACAAGTTCATGAAAGAAAATGTTCTCCAAAGCTGCTGTGGCTTTGTGGCACATTATTACTAAAAGTATGTGATAAGAAAATGTGAATGGAAAACAAAATCTCAGGATCCCTAACTCACTATGCTAAAGGGAAAAATTAAAAGTGGGAACTGAGTCACACAAAAACTACCTTCCTAAGCAGCTACTTGCAAAGATAGAAGGCCAGTGACCTCCCTCACAAATTGCTCACAAGGAAATTTCTAAGGGTCCCCAAATCTTTACCCTAAAACAGAGTTTTGTTGAATTTCACCCTGACAATGTGAATTAACAGCTTATCTTTACAGGACAAAGGCAGGACTAGAAGTCATCTCTCCTCCCACCCTGAGAAAAATGTGTACTTGACTGCTTCTTCTACTCTAGGCATACCTTATCTTAATTATATAAAACGCAGATTTACTGAGCATAAGACAAATGCATAATTGACTGTTCCTCCACCCCCTCCTGCCTGCTCTTTCGTTTCTGTGAAGCCCTCAAAATCCTTTTTGGGAAAAAACAAAAACAAAAAACAAAACAAAACAAAAAAACAAAACAAAACAGGCTACAAATCCTAATGAAATTTATCTCTCTTTTTCCCAGGTGTGTCCTCAACCTTGGCAAAGTAAACCTGTCTCATACACTTTTTGGTTTATAGAAAATACTAAAAGGCATAAGGGTACAGCTGCCAACAGTTCTCAGCAAAATTTTTAAGTAAAAAATTGAAATATTTTCCCCTGCAAAGTAACAAAACCACCTCTGTGGTACCAGTCATTTTTTTTTTAGGTCAATGTTCTGTGATAGCCACCTTAAGTAGACATTTGAGAGAGCAGTGGTGGTCAAATCTATCTAGAGTGACTTTATGTAGCACATAAGATGCCATTAAAAAGCTGTTAGAACACAAAGGATCAAACACATGGTATTTTTGGTATCTGTGGCTTGGGAGCCACCCCCCACTCCCAGACTGACAAACTGTTGTACAGAATCAACTAACATTTAAATGTCAAGTAAGTTTACTTATTTACATGGAGAATAAAGTAGGAATAAAATCAGTCGTGGATAATCTGCTTACTCTAGGTTGGGATCAGTAACATAGAGCCAACCAAGCCATTAACTCTTACCTGTGGCCTGCTGGGAACATTTGCTGAAAGAGAAAACAAAAGAAATCACTTAATGGCAGTCCTGTTACTTTGTTGGTTCCAACTCTCAGGCATGCAAATGCGTGGAAAGTATCACTCTACATAGGGTAATAATAGCCCAGTTGTTAAATGGATGCTAATAGGAAAAACAAGAAACACATTTTTTTTTTCCTGGCTTAATGCTTCAATGAGGGCTAGTTTTCCTGGTTAGTTTCTCATATCCCATGTGATTTAAGATTTAGTGCATACACTAAAGCATTCACTGAGCACTTAGTCTTGCAAAAAATCTCATTTCCTATTTAAATCATACTGTGTATTTGGTTTATGTATCAGAACAGAGCATGTTCTACTTACTTTGCTGAGTACTAATTCTGACCAAGGGACCACTGAAGGCATAAGTCTTTGGTTTCTGCCTCTCTTGACCCACCCTTGACACACCCTGGACCCTAACGCCCAGGAAAATGGTGGCCAAGTACTTGCATCAAGGAAAGTGCTGGCCTAATCCTCAGTGTCCTTCTGGACACTTGGGATAATAATAGTCCCTTGGATGGGCCCAGTTAGGAACAACGGAGAAGTTAGAATATGGCATCTAATTCTCCTTTCCACACAGATAGCTCAATTCCTTTTTGGTTCCAGAGCCCATAACAGTGAAGACGATCTGGCGGGCTTTGCAAGGGCAGCCACTGCCATCTCTTCTCTAAGGCATCTGCTTTTCGTCCCCTCTTTTGCTACATGATCATCTCGTTCTCAATGCTGGGGGGAAAAGAGGAGATCTGTCCCCCAGTAATGGCAACAATCTGTTCTTGGTCAAATAAAAGTTGTCCCTAGTCATCTAGCATGCTGCACTCCTTCCATCTCTCACTGTTCTATGCTGAGTGGGAGAAAGGACATCAGTGACCATGTGCTGTGTGCTGGGAGCTATGTGAGAAAAAAAGAGCAGGCATGAAGAGTACCCTTCCTATAACGTCTGGAGGGAAAGTGTGAGGCCCGGTATTTGGGGGAGAAATCAGGCTAAAAGAAGCCTAGTTCTAACAGATCTGTAAGTTACATCCAGGAGAAAAGAGTGGACCTCCACAGTGTCCAAGGGATAGCTGAGTTGAATTATTATTAAGTACACCATAGGTTTACACACTCTTTTTAAAACAGACAGAGTTATGCTTCTCTTGCAAGTAACAAATATAACAAATAGCCAAACCCTAGACAGAAGTCTAATCCATTTTGCTCTAAACCAATACTTTTAACCTTACAGCCTTTTATCAAATAAAAGGCTATGGGTATTTGCCTGAACAAATCACACAAAAATATTTTAAAAAGGAAATCACTGCATTGCAGTGGGTTTTGGGTTTTTGATGAATGCCATTCAAGCTTAATAAACATAGGCAATTCATAGTAAAAATATGCCTGTGGGTCAAAAATAATTTTGAAAGCATTTCTTGGTCTATCAGCAAAAATTAGTTGGCTTACTGCCAGTATTTCATACATTTGAAGGACATAAGTAAAAAATGGACAAAAAAAATTTATACCAAAAAATAAAAATAGTTACTGCAGTCAGTGGGAATTTTAGTAAGTACACTTGTTAATTGGCAGTACATTTAAACCCCTTTCCTTAACTCCTTGCCAGGAAGTGAAGGAAATGTCTGCTTCTCTGCTCTAAGACTCAACATAAATAATTTTAAAAAGACTTTAAAAGGCCATAATTCAAGGATGCTATCAGGACCAACTGGGATATTAATTCAGACAAAGGAGTTCTAAAGTGTTATGTGCAACAATGTGTAGACACAGTTAAAAAACGGTCATGTTAAAATAGGCAATTCACACAATTAGGATTTATGAATACAGAGTTTCATTTTAATTCCAAGATTGCCAAGAGTGGAAATTCATTTGGGGCCATGCTAATTTTTAATCCACAAAGGATCAAAAGTCAAGATTAACATGAAGATCAATTCATTGTATGCTGGCGACAAGCATTTTTAAAGTTCTCATTAGTTACAGGGGCTCAAGGGATTGGCTTGGCATTGGGAGGGTGCCAATCCGATTTGTTTAGATAAATTCTCCAAAGGTGGTTGGTAAGCTTTGGGAATCACAAAGGCTTATTAAAATATTTGCTGGCTGAGCAACTTTAAAGGGACAAAAGAACAAATGAATCCTACAAAACGTTCTGAGTACTATCTAGGAATGCTACAAGGAAACCTTCCCAGCTAGAAAATGTAATCATTCACTCAAGTCAGAAACATGTATTGGGGCCGGGTGTGGTGGCTCACGCGTGTAATCCCAGCGGTTTGGGAGGCCAGGGTGGGTGGGTCACTTGAGGCCAGGAGTTTGAGACCAGCCTGGCCAACATGGTGAAACCCGATCTCTACTAAAAATACAAAAATTAGTTGGGCGTGGTGGCATGTGCCTGTAGTCCCAGCTACTTGGGAGGCTGAGGCATGAGAATTGCTTGAGCCTGGGAGGTGGAGGTTATACAGACCTGAGATCGTGCCATTGAACTCCAGCCTGGGCAACAGAGTGAGTCTCTGTCTCAGAAAAAAAAAAAAAAGAGAGAGAAAGACACATGCACTGGGCACTGAGTCTACCTCCCACGCTGATTTCTATTTTGCATCAATTTTTAAAAGGTTTAATAATTACAGGCAGAATATGAAAATATGTATCAATTTTATAAATAAGTCAATACAGCTTTTATTTTTATGGAAAGCTGTCCCTGTCTTGTATATAATACCAGAGAAAAAATATGAATAGCAGAACTTTCAGAAGCCAAAAATTAAAACATGGAGATTTCAAAGGATTCTAAAATACACTTTTCATCATTTCATACATGGATGTGCTTGAATTCTTGAAAAGAAGACATGACTAGTAATGCTCATTCAGAAAACTATGACTATTATAAATATTTGTGAATGTGCATAGTTAACACTATGAAAACATGAAGCCAGCTGCTCCAAACCAATACTTTTAAACCAACAGCTTTTTATCAGATAGAAGGCTAAGGGTATTTTACATACAAACATATTTAAAAGGAAATCATTGCATTTCAGTAGGTTTTGAGTTTTTGACGAATGTGACTCAAGCTTAATAAACATTAAGGAATCTCAGGGCTCCATAAACCACTCTCTGAACACTGAGAATGACATTGGTGAAGAGGGGACCAATGCAGGGGAGAGGATGAATCTCTGTGATGTGGGTCCCATTGAAGGTACTGTGTATACTCCTCTCAGAAACCAATATCAATGAACAGCTAACAAGATCCCCAACCAATAGGAATTTTATACTTGCCTTTAAAGTGAGGCCATAAAAAGAGATACATACATTTACCTGTTACAATTCATTTTTGCTCTAAATTATGATTATTTATTTTTAATAATGTTCTGTTTTAAAATGACATGGGTCCAGCTTTTGTAAAATCTGGATGTCAGAGTATACTTTGAGAAAAATTTAAGAGTAAATTCTTTAGGAAATGGAACTTGGAAAAAATCCCACATTTTTAGAATAAAATTTTTAATATGGAAATTATATATTTTATATATATTACAAGGTGTATATTGAAACACATTTCCCATCCTGGCTGTCACTGCCAACTGACTTTTACAATTGAAAATGTCCATGATATTTAAATAAAAACTTCTAAACAGCTTTGATGTACAGAATTTGTTTTTAACTAATTATTAAGGTTATTTAGGTATAAGCTGAACTAAAAAGTAATTTCCTTTAAGAATTTAATTCTGGCTCATAAAGACTATGATGAGATTTTATCTACTCACTAAGTAACATAACAATTGAAAATCAAAACCTCTAAATAAATTTGACCTTGAATTATAATTAATAAACTAGTTTTAATCAGTTTATCTATTACTGTGGTTACAGAGCCTAGAAAATAAGCAACAATCTGGTAGCATGTGAGCATTCAGTGATCCTCTTAAGCTTTTGTGAGACTCTAAAAGCCAAAAGTGTGTCTATATGGGTGTGCACATGCATGCATGTGCTTTGGGGGGTGGGGAGGTGGGGAGGTGGGTGTGGAGACTGATGTAGTGTAAATGTGATTCTGCAAACTTTGAGAAGCATTATAGTAGATCTACAAATGAAAACCTGGGAAACACTGGCAAAACACAAATAGATATATTCATGTGCTGGTGGAAACCATAATATAATCTTCAGGCAAATATTCCTGAAAATTCACAAAGAAATATATGTTTTATTTATTCATTTATTTTGTTGTTGTTGTTGTTTTGAGATAGAGTCTCTGTTGCCCAGGCTGAAGTGCAGTGGCATGATCTCAACTCACTGCAACTTCAGCCTCCCAGGTTCAAGCGATTCTCATGCCTCAGCCTCCCAAGTAGGTAGGACTACAACTACAGGCTTGTGCCACCATACCTGGAAAATTTTTTTGGTATTTTTAGTAGAGATAGGGTTTTGCCATGTTAATCAGGCTGGTCTCAAACTCCTGACCTCAAGTGATCCACCTGCCTCAGCCTGCCAAAATGCTGGAATTACAGGCATGAGCCACCGCACCTGGGCCAGAAATATATTTTAAATAGCTGTTTTCACATTCTGCTAATGATGGTATTTTAAAAATTACAAAGTTCTATACAGTAAATAATAATCTTTAAATGAAGTCAATATATCTTATTTACCTACACTCCTGATAATTGATAATCTCTTTTTCATCATTTCGGATGGCTTTTTTTTTTTTTTTTTTTTTTTTGGAGAGGAAGTCTCACGCTGTCTCCCAGGCTGGAGTGCGGTGGCACGATCTCGGCTCATTGCAACCTCTACCTCCCAGGTTCAAGCGATTCTCCTGCCTCAACCTCCTGAGTTGCTGGGATTACAAGTGCATGCCACCATGCCCGGCTACTTTTTGTATTTTTAGTAGCGACAGGGTTTCACCATGTTGGTCAGACTGGTCTCGAACTCCTGATCTCATGATCCACCTGCCTCGCCCTCCCAAAGTGCTGGGATTATAGGTGTGAGCCACCGTGCCCAGCCTGGGATGGCATTTTCTAAGGAGATGACAGACAAGGGTAAAATAAGAGGCTATGCTTTACATGAATTCTTATTTTAGTGACTGCCCTGGATTTAAAATCAGTTTGAGAGTAAATCTCTCTAAAATTACAAATAATGTCTTCAAATCCTGTCAAAGATTATTTAAAATATAATTATAGTACTAAGTAATTTATATGCATTTATATATTTGTATGTGTGTGTGTATATATATGTATACATATATACAGTTTACTTGTATGTATATATTCTGCTAGAAACACCAGAAGTGTTTTAGGTGAGAGCTCAGCCAAAATTGCAAGGTGGCAAGGTGCTGAAGACAAAACACTTGGAAAAAATGAATAAGTAAGAATTATTATATAATTTCCCCAGGAATTTGGTTATTTTCTGGCTCTTGGTTGTTCAGATGGAAACTTCACAGGATCCTAATCTATGATGACTTAAATTGTTTGGCCTTTATACAATGACTATTTTATTCCATGAGAAAAGAAACCAGCGGGAATAAAAAGGGAAAATCTGAAAACAATCCCTTTCTGCACTGGAGTCTGATGACATTGGAGAACAATGTTTGAAGAAAAGAGAGGGAATTACACTAGAAAGGCTGTTTCCATGCCTTGTTTGGCATGCCACTGAAAGCTCTTCTTTGAACTAAGATGTGTTCCTTATGATAGCTTGCATCGAAGAGGATAATTTCTTCTTAAAACCAGACTTATTATTTTATTTGCTTTCATTTTATCACCCATCAGGCATATTGAAAAATCTCAAAGAGCAGAATTGCGTTGCGACTGTACCCCCGTTACTTGATAGTATCTAGGTTGAGCTTCATTTTCTTATATAATGTTTGCCTTATTTTCAAATAATATTCAGTCCTGTTTGTAATAAGGTTTTTGTTATCTTAAGGAAGAAGGCGAAGGGCCGCATGCAGAAAAAGAGAAAGGGAAGGAACACGTGCAGCTGTGGTGCTGCAATCTTTCATACTCACGGCAGCAAGATGGAAACGTGCTGTGAATCTGCTCCATGACCTCCGTGAGATCCGTGCTGGTGTCGTGCGGTGGGGCCAGCAGGTCCTCTCCCGCTGTGACAGCAAATAAAGAGAACAACAAAGCTTCTCAAATTAATGTCTAGCCTTCCACTAAAACCCAAATTCAGGAGGAAATACTCCAACCAGCCTCTAAATATCAATGTGAAAAGATTTCCCATTGCAAAGGACAATTTTAGGGGAATATACCCAAAACATTTTTGCTTGAGTGTTGGTAATATAATTTTACATAATTGACACGTACTAGCTGTTTGTTTGTGTAGAAAGAATCCACACACCAGGGGACTGAAAAATATGAGACTGAAAAACAAGTAATATGGTCTTATTATTTCAGTGTTTGAATGAGAAATCTATTATTTTTGCACCACAGGTATGTTTTCATACAAAAAAAATTTCACCAATTTCTTTTTCTGTCCTCCTTTCTTTTTGGAGACTTCAGCTTAGGCCAGCTTATCCTGCCACAAAAGTAAAGGCATCTTATTTAAGATACTTTTCACTAGGATGTGTTTTTTATCCTATAATCCATAGTCAAGATAGTTCTCTTATTTAAAAAATATGAAAATAATCTTAATATTTTAATATATATATTTTTTGAGATGGAGCCTCCGTCACCAGGCTGGAGTGCATTGGTGCGATCTCGGCTCACTGCAACCTCCGCCTCCCAGGTTCCAGCAATTCTCCTGCCTCAGCCTCCCGAGTAGCTGGGACTACAGGAGTGCTCCACCACGCCTGGCTAATTTTTGTATTTTTAGTAGAGATGGGGTTTCACCATGGCCTCCCAAAGAGCTGGGATTACAGGCGGGAGCCACTGCATCCAGCTAATATTTTAATTTTTTTCTGGTTAATGTACCAAAAGATATCCCACCAAGAAATTAATTTGGTTACAATATATCGTTCTCAGTAAAATTCTAGAATTTTAATTTAATTGATAACAAAATGTCATTGGTTAACACCTAGTTTACTGAGTCCTTCCTAGCATCAGTGACAGGTCCCCATTGTGACCAAGGACAGGCTGCGTGGGACCGCTGCCTCTGATGGGACAGGCAAGACAATGTCTAAGTGGACTAGGACGAAGAAAAGTGAATAAATGAGTTTCCACACCTTGGCAGATACAACCATAATGTTTGGTGTAATATTATTAGTCCTGAATATGCACCAATGTAACATTTTAGAGACAGAAAGTGTACTAAAAAAATCATTCATAAGCAAATAATTTAATTTCTTGCTCATTCTAAAGGGCAGAGGAGGCTTTTTCATCCAAACTTCAATCCACTTCTACAGATTATATAAACAAGTGTATTATAGCTTATTTGAAAATGTTTGCTTTTTGATATTGTTGAAATGGATTTGCACCTATTTAAGACCAAATACAAAAAACTCTTTTACTTCCTAAGGCACCAGTGTGTAGGAATGTTACTTAACAGGAAACACAAACTAATGGCAAAGCACAAAGCAGACTCAGCAGAGGAGCTGTGTGCTGGGGACACCGACCTGCCTGGTGGAACTGTGGGCCGGAGGCATCTGGATCAAGCGAGTAGCTCAGTGCAGAATGCTGAGGAGAAGCCCATGGGGAAACACCATTGATTCGGGAATCAGATTCAGGCTGGAACCACATTCAGAGGTTAAAGCAGAGAAAGGATTCAAATAATCATAAGGAAAAACATTTCCTTTTTAACTTCCCCGCCCTCACCATGGATAATTAAATCATATAGAAGTCTTTGCCTTCAGATGTTTTCCATACATTTTAGCATCAGCTTGGTGGGGGCTTTGGTCCTTCTCTTTCCGCTTGGACACCTTGAAGAATCCACTTGGTTATGCTGCCAGACTCATTTATCAACACCATTTTTATCCCTCAATTTTTCTGTTGTTTTAATGTTAAGTGAATTCATAAGCATAGTTCACTCATATTTTAAACATCAGCACTGGGTTTCTAATACAGTAAATTTATCCAATTTCAAAATCAGCTCATACTCCAAGGCAATATTGAGAGAGTGATTAGAAGCATGATTATGGATTCAGATTGCCTGGATTCTAATTCCCACTCTGCCACTCATAAGCTGTGTAATTCTGGGAAAACTGTAGAACCTTCCATGCTTTCAGTTCTTTATTTGTAAAATGGGGAGGGTAATAATAGTGCTGTGTTATAGAGTTTTGTGAGGGGAGTGAAGAATGACTATTTCTAAAATGGTTAGAACAGCCTGACACTTAGTAAATACTTCGTAAAGGCACTCACGCAAATCTTCAATATGGATACGCTGACAAATATATGGTCAAATTAGAAAGTGTGAGCCATCATATAGGGAATGCAGATGTTACAAGTTTTTCATGCAGATTTTTCCATTAAATCTATATTAGTTGAAGCCTGGTAGTTCTGCTAGTTTTTACTATTAGAGTTGAATTTTCCATCTACTTCTAGCATTCATCATCCTAAATTGTTTAGAAGAGATAAGAGCTCTGCAGTCTTGGATATAGAAGCCATTTGGATATTAGCTATCTCTAAAAGCATTGCTATGTGATTCTCAAGGCACATGAGCCATCAGGCAGCACTGTCTAATGGGATGGAGGGAGTAGGGGAAGGCAAGGGTGAACAGAAAAGCCTTTTGCTCTCCTGTGGGCATCAACCAGCCATGGCAAATAAAGGTTTTGAGCACAGCTTCCTTCTGTAGCAATTCCACCTATGCACTAAGTTGTTAACACTAACACTTCATATTCTAAACAAGAGATTGCAAGAGAAAATCCATCCCTTACACAGCACCATTTGGAAACTTCAAGTTCGCGGAATGAAAAATGTAACGTTTTCAATGTATGTGGCTGGCACTAAGTAAGACTCAAACATTCCGAAGGGCTTCAAGAAACCCACGTCTTGGGTCACTCTTGGGAAACTCTTACTTTCCAAATTGTGGGATTGAGAGGCCCTGAAGTAAGCCTTCCATTGAACAGCCTCACCCAAATTCTGAAACACTGAGAGACATAGAGAAAAGTGTATGGTCAAATTATGAATTGCCTACACAAATTTCTGTGTAGGTAAGGCAGAAATGACACTGTTTTGAATTATTCTGGTAAGTTAAAAAGACTGAGAGCAACTGTGAAAAGGCAGTTTTCTAAAATTTGAGAGAATCACTGGAGAGAAAGTTGTTCCTGCTTTGAGTCAATAAATCATTTCTGGAGAAAGGCACTCCTATTATATCACATAGGAGCTCCACACAGCACAGGCTAGAGAAAAAGACTAAAGATGACATGCATGTTGATGTCAGGGATTCTTCAAGAGAGAGGAGCTCTTGGCCCCTGTGCTGGGACTCTACGCTCTCTGCACCTGCTGCAAAGGTCTCTCCATCACTACTTCTGAGACATCACTCCTATTCCTAACTACTATGTGCCATCAAGCACTTAATTCCCTACAGTGTGCTGTGTCTTCACATATGAAAGTATCTTGCTGTGATCTCTAACAAGATGGCAGGCACCAGAAAGGCAGAAACTGTATTGATGCTTCTTTTATATCTCAAAGAACAGTGTTTTTCAAAACTGAATGCAATAACCCACCGATGAGTTATAGAATCAATTTAGTAGGTCCTGACCAGCATTAAGAAAGAAAAACAGAAGGAAGAAAGGGAGGGAGGAAGAAAGGGAAAATAGAAAATAAGAGCTGGCATTTCTCTATAAAGGCAAGTATTATTTTGTATTCTCCATACATGCATGTATTCATCTTAATGTAAATTGTATTTCTTATCATCCAGAAAGCTTGCAAGCAACTCCCATAAAACATGGTCCAGTGTTAGGAAATAATAGTAGCAAATTAATAACCATCTTTAACTCAATTTCTTGAGAATAGAAAATAATGATTCTTGGAGTCAGCATTCTTGTCTCACTGGAAGAAAGCTTTAGAATGCCGATTTCAGGTCTCTTGCTGTTCCTTAATACAGATGCTTCCCATGTATAATTTAGGAAGATATATGTCATAGGATATTTTCTCTCAAACAGTTCAGAGCTGAGGCGGACTTCATTGTTAAAGAAGACTGGGAAATTCCATTGTAAGCTGGGCAAACACATTTTTGTGTGCCAATGAGGATTTATATGCTTACATGTAAAAGGAAATTTCTAAGCCAGTCTGAATTAACTACGGAGGTAAGAAATTGAAAGTGGACTTCTCTGCCTCTCCTGACACCTGGACCATCATCTCCCAGGGCAGTGGACAGATGGCCTGGGGAGGTGTGACGCTGAATTCTACACACCCTACCTGCTCCAGCAGCTGTCGGAGGCGGTGGAGCTGAGACTCCAGCTGTTTATTGTGATCTTCTAAAATCTGCATCCTAGCCTCCAGCCGACCTTTGTGCTGCCTGAGGAGTTTTGCTTCTGCTATAAGTTCTGAATCCTCAGACGTGTGATGGGGAGATATAATCGACTCTGGCGGTGAACCGACAGGGAGCCCCCTTCGGAGGTGCTGGTCCTTCAGCTGCTCATACTCCACCTGTAGATTTCTAATACAGAAAGAGGGAGAAACAGAATGACTACCACGTGCATTATCGTCTCTCCAAAATCGTCTGTGAGGTTCAAATTTAGCTCATGCTAGTTCCTCTTATATAAAAATGTGTATTAATAGCAGGATGAGCATGCAGGAATAAAATTGTAGTTTTAAGCAAGTGTCCCAGTAGACATCATCAATGAACCCCCAAATGCTGCTGTATTGCAGCCAGCATCCCAGTTTGTTAATAGCCTCTAAAATTTTCACTCCACTGAGATTTCTTAGACAATAGTCTTGAAAAAGAGAATAAATGGGGGCTACAGTGAAATTCATACAAAAGAAAGGATGACATATTTCCTTCTCCCAGGCCTAGCACACCTTTGTTCTTCCTCCAGGTCAGCAATGATCCTCTCCAGTTCTCCACGTTCTTCCCTCTCTACTGACTTCAGGATCTGAGCTGGGCTCTGCGGCTGGCTCACTGGGGACTCTCCTCCGAGTGTTTGGCAATACTGCTGGATGAGGGCGTGCTCGTCTTCCCTAGCAAGACAAAGGAAACAGACCCAGAGGCTCACATCTGGATGGTGATGTTTTTGGACATAAAGGAAGTAGAAATAATGATGGACAGGATAGTGGCTGGGCCAAGTTTGTCTTAGAGCTCAGTGTCTCCATGACCTCCCTTTTAAAACTCTAGGAAGAAGTTCATCTAGCAGAGCATGGATATTACATGAGTCAACATTTCAGGCTTCTCTTTCATCTAACAGCTCTATCTCATAAACTTCAGAAGGGATATCTTACTCAGCAGAAAAAACAAAAATAAGGAACAGCATTTAGTATAAAAGCTACTGTAGACAAAATCAATTACTCCATGCCTAAAGAGTTGATTAAAAGACTACTGAATTAAGAATCATCTGACTTCACTGTCTTTAGAATTTCGTTGAAAGTAACTTTGAAATGCTTTGTAACCCATATGACAAGGTTTATAATCCTTATGTTCTTTTATTTAAATAGCTCAGCACAAATTATAATTGTAGATATTTATAATGTCTCTACAGATATTTTACTTTATATTATTAGCAGGTCATTTTTAGGGTTGATCACTCTGCATTAGAACAAGAAACTACATTTAATGCATGTGGGTTCTCCCACTTATCTAACTACCTGTCTAATGAACTAGACATAGCAGTAACGTGGTTGAATTAGTAACTGACATAAGTGAATGTCTAACAAAGTTGATATATTTATGGCAAGAAAATGCTTTCTAGCAGACTCGGAATTTCTTATCTTCTTTCAACAAGAGAGATCCAGTGAGATCTTATAAATGTGCAAATACCAATCTCCTGGCTAATACTAGCAGGGCAGTCCATTAGCAGATGGCACGTGGTCCGTTTTGATGGCTTTTGGTAAACAAGTCCTGGAAATCGATGGCTTTACAGGATAGGGCAGCAGGAAAACCTCATGTCAGTTATGTAGCTATCAGAGTGTCAAATGGGGCTATCTCATGACTGAAGCAGCTCCTTCCTGTGTAAGCGATGGGGGCTGCGAACATCCCTTAGAGACTTCTTCTGTTACTCTGGAGTCAGACAGCATCCTGTTGCAGCCAGAAAGAACCTGGTGTGTGGTGCTGGCAGTCCTGGGCCTCTCTCAGCTTCACCAGAGCCTTGAGATTACCTGTGCCCTTGAGCTGATGAGTAACACTTGATGCTGGGGAAGACCTCTGGTACTTGTAATTCTGGTTTGAAAATTCATCTTGGTGTTACTGCAGTTTACTCTAACAAGGAAGGGACTTGAAATTGTATCAGACAGTTGGTGAATTCCTAGAAAAGGTTTATCCTAAGCATTGAGATCAGAGAGCTAGATGAAGCAATTGAGAAAACTGAACGTTCTGGTATTATGCTTGTCAAACAGCCAAAGCAAAAGTTCAGATGTGCCACTTGTTGATTTATTTTGCTTTCTTCATCAATAAACCCCCTCTCTTTTTCTCTCCCTCTAGAAATATATAGATATAGATATGAACATGTGTGTATGTGAGTATATATATATTTAAATAAAGGTCATATACTTTGGTTAAGGCCACAATATAATAATAAGTACCTAACCTGACCTTCTTGCTTTTATCAAATAAATTTTAAAAGAGGATGGGGTGGGACCCTTACAACACAGTTAGCAACTGGAAATAAGGAACACCAGTGGGTTAAGGATTGAAGTAAGCTGCGGCATTATCCTTTGATTCCCTTTCCTGAGAAAACGCAGCATCACTGGGAAATGAATGAAGGAACCTCTGCAAGAACCCCATGCTTGTTCCTGGGTTTAGAAGGACGAGAAGAAGAGAGTATGGGTACTGCACCACTGCAGAGAGCAGCATTTGAAAGCAATCCAAAAGCTCCTCAGTTTCCCATGTAGCTAAATCAAACAGACTGGCAGGGAGATATGGGTCTGTGTATGTGTATATTTTCCTCATAGGAAGTAAATGGCCAACACCCTAAACCTAGCTGTGTTATCCGGGGCAGAAGCAAGCTGTAAGACTAATGTCTCAACACCACCAGGACACCAATGAGCTGCAGTGAATTACACAATGCAAAGTCAGCGATGCCTGGAGGCACCTCACCAAGTTCATGTGAAGAGAGAGGTGATAAAACATGACAAAAGAGCAGCTCTAACATATGGATAGGACAAATGGACAAAGCGTAAAGATATAGTAGATAGATATAAAATAAAACAGCAAAATAAGAGTTCAGTAGAACATCCTGTAAATATTTCTCATTTCTCAGGATGAAAAAGATCTGAGTATAGAAACTATAAAGACAGAGTACCCAAAAATAATAATAACAAAAGAAGCACATTCATATGTATCCCTGGAAAATGTCTGTATTTTAAAGATAAAGTATCACAAGCAATCTGCCAGAAATCAAAATAAAACAGTAAATCATGTTCAGCGGTGGAAAAAGGTTTAGCTTCCTATTTTCCATAATATTAAATGTCCAAAGACAATGGAGCAATATCTACAGTCCTAACCTATCCATCCATATGACCAGGCAGGTCATTCAAGTGTACAGGCAAAGCACTTTGTCCACATAGCATATGAAAGAAAGAATGAGCAAGGATAATGCAAAATGGAACTAAAGTAGATGGTAATCTCAGGTGTTACGATAAAAATAGAGGTAAACTTATTCTAATATTAGTTAAAAAAACAATTAGTTGGCTGGGCACGGTGGCTCACGCCTGTAATCCCAGCACTTTGGGAGGTCGAGATGGGCAGATCACTTGAGGTCAGGAGCTTGAGACCAGCCTGACCAACATGGTGAAACCCCATCTCTACTAAAAATACAAAAATTAGTTGGGCTTGGTGGTGGGCACCTATAATCCCAGCTACTCGGGAGGCTGAGGCAGGAGAATCACTTGAACCCGGGAAGCCAAGGTTGCAGTGAGCTGAGATTGTGCCACTGCACTCCAGCCTGGGCGACAGAGTGAGACTCTGTCTCAAAAACAAAACAAAACAACAAACAAAACAAACAAACAAAAAATTAGTTCTATGATACCTATCAATAACATACCTAAAAGAAAATAATAAATATGGAAAGAAAAGACTTAAAATAAGAACTAATATAAGGACAACAAGAATTAAAAGAAAACTTGGATCCCTTTAAGCTATGTGGCTGATCTTGTGGCCATGATTTGACCACAGATCCTGGCGTAGAGTTCCTCCAAGATCACAAGCCACCATTATGCCCTCAGAACATTTACTACAGCACCTGACCTCATGGATTAACTTCAGTGCTTAATATTAATACCAAGTAAATTTTTGTTTTAAAGATTTGGAGACTGACTATCCATAGTGAAACCAGCCAAAATTAGATTTGAGATGTATTTTTGTTGTCAACATACATATAGATTCACTTCTCTGGGGAAGCTGATAGAGTTTAACACATTATTATAATTATCATCCCCACTATCATTGCATTCTTTCATTATGGTATCTGGAAGAGAGTTAAGGCAGTTTTCACAAAAATAAGAATTTAACAATCATTTATATAAAACATACAATTTTAGTCTTAAGTGTTTTTCACAGATTATTAGGTCTAAATGTTGAATATAAAAATAGATACATTCTAGTTCTTAATTACATATAGTAAAAACCAATAACAAACTCTTTAAATGCAGATAGAACATGAGGTACCAGATCAGGGACATTAAACATCAATCGTATGTCTTGGGCTAAAATAGAAAATGTTGCAAAAATAATAGGTTTGCACCAAGGAAATATCATTAGATGGAATATAATTATACTACAGTTAAGTCACACATAGTAAACACTATCTAGATTACAAAATTAGTACATATCAGATGACAAAAAAACTGTGATTCATTCAATGAACTTTTGAAAGTAGACAAGACATAAATAAAAATAATGATTTTCTTTCTTTTAAGGATTGTTCTGTTCTAGGTTTCAGATTTGCAAACTGCAATGCCTGTGTAAACCACAGTCAGCCTCCCCATTCTTTCTTTCCAGTGTCACCCAAGGGCAGATGGCAGATGGAGTGAGACGTCCTGATAGCCATGGCCCAAGGAATTGTCCTTGCGTTCCCACTTCTGAGATTCCCCAGAACCGTCATGAGTCCTATCCTGTCCTGAGATGTCACTGCTCAATTTTTCCTTCAAAGATATGTAGTATTCGTAACATCAATTTCCTTTTAAATTGTCCAGAGTCAATCGAACGTACTCATGTATCTAATTGTAATAGATATATGGGTGATCAGGGACATGTCATTTATCTTTCTGGATGTCAGCTTCCTTGTTTATAAAATAGGACTCATAATAATGCCCATCCTAGGGTTCATAGGAGATTATTTGTTTCCTTGCATCATCTAGCACCTTGAGGTCACCTGCATTCCTCATTTTCAAAGCCAACACAGCAGCATCTGCAGATCTCTCTCTGACCTCTGCCTCCATTGCTACGTCTCCTTCTCTGACTCTGGCTCTCCTTCCTACCCTTTATGAGGACCCTTGGGATTACACTGGGGCCATCTGGATTATCCAGGATAATCTCTCTATTTCAAGGTCCTTAATTAAAAACCTGTGGCAAAGTCCCTTTTGCCAAGTAAAGTAGTATATTCATAGGCTTCAGGGATTAGGATGTGGACATCTTTGGGGGGCCATCATTCTGTTTACCACAAATGCCTTCATCATGTTCTTCTGGTAGGACTACTTATCTATTTCCTTTCTAGCCTATAAGATTCATGGAGACAGTATCTGCATCTATAGACCTATTGCAGTATTGGGTGCATGGCGGTCGTGAGTTGGTAAATGTTTAACAGGTTCTCCAAGAGAAAAAGACCTTGATTTGTGGCATTTGCAACTTCTGTGATTTAAATACTTTTTGATCATGGCCAATTTCAAGTTCATGACTTCACTGAATGTGGAACTGGGAAAAGATACACATTTGTACACCACCTGACAGAGATAATGAATCAGGAGTATTCAATCTTTTGGCTTCCAGGAACCACATTGAAAGAATAAGAATTTTCTTGGGCCACACATTAAATACACTAACACTAATGATAGCTGATGAGCTAAAAAAGCAAAAAAAAAACAAAAAACAAAAAACAAAAAACAAATCACAGACAAATCTTATAATGTTTTCAGAAAGTTTATGAATTTGTGTTGGGCTGCATTCAAAGCTGTCCTGGGCCACATGTGGCCTGTGGGTTGCAGGATGGACAAGTTTATAATAAATAATCCCAAGGGCATAGATATTAGTGAAATGAAGTAAAATCATTAGGGTGTGATGAGTTTTGAGAATTACTTTTGTTTTTGTTTTAATCTAATTTATTTAATTGTAACTGTATATACATGTATATAAATTATTTTTAAAAAGGCTCTGTTTAACAGCTTACAAACATCCTGAAAATGTAACAATCAGCTCTCACAATTGGCTCCAGCATACCATTACATGGTAGGTATATATTAATAACAACTGTCTGTTGGATGGGTGAATGAGTTAATATATATAATGACAGTATATTAAAATGTATCTGACTGTTAATCTTCTGACTTTTTTCTTTTCTTTTTAAAAAATGTTAATCTTTTCTGAAACAGTGCTAAATCTGAAAATAGTATTTATTCCTATTTTAAGATACAATATACTAAATTTGAGCATTACCTTTACTGTGTTCACAGGGCATGACAAAACATTTTAAAGAAGTAAGATTTTGTTCTGAATTATTATCTTTTATTTCCTTTAACGCTTTGGCTATGGTCAGCCTTGAGGAAATTTGTTGATTTAGGAAAGATTCAAGATACTTAACTACTTTACATGAAATGCACACCAGTAGGTTAAATATGAAACAAACATTATGAATACACCTTTATTTTGATTTGGGAATTGTTTCACACTCATAGTACATGAATGATAATGTATAAATCTCTACTACATTACTGTCAAGTATTAAGATGCAATCTTTGAAATTTGAAATTGAAAAACCTCCTGATAACTTTTATTTATAACCATAATAAATAAAACAAGTTTTAGAAAATATGGAAAGAGAATATTCTATATTTGAGCACTTTAAGTATTTTAACCTAGCACTCTCCATAGTTTTTTTTTTTTTTTAGTGAAAACACCCAACTACTATGTTTGACAACTTTTCTGTCTACTTTACAGATTCCCATCAGATCCAAACCACAATAGAGCTTTGTTAGTCACATAAGCTTGACAGTATTAGTCTTTTAGATATTATTCAGGATTAAAAATGTGAATTCCAGGGCACAAAAAAAAGAATAAAAAGTTCCAAAAGTAAGAGTACACACAATAGTGGGATAATCAGTGATAAAATATTTGCTGAGAAAGTTCCACAACCAAGTGGAATATACACATATGGGGAAATCAGAAATAAACTAATTGGCTAGAAAGCTTTTTAGTATATAATATCTTTTTAGTATTCTAAAGTCAATGAGGCTTTTCTTAGTTGCTAATAAAATAAAATATTGGCAGAGGAGTTAACAGTTTTCAATGAAGGGTAGGAGTATATATCTAAGTATGTGTGGGTCAGAGGTGCTAAATGCAGATATTATGGAAAAAATGTTAGCTAGTGGAAGAAAGAGGATTTCACAGAAAGGGCACATATTCTGTCAAATTACCTTTGTTAAATTAATAAGAAATATAAGACAAATGGAATGAATATATACACCTGTTATCCTAAATAAAACAATCTGATTTTCGTGGGGTATATAAGTTGACAAATGTAAGATTTTTTTCATTAACTTATATGAAACAAAGTAAATAAACATATTGAGTTTATACTATCATGGTTTGAAAGCATAAAATCTACGTAGAAATTTTTGGAACCACACTTAATAATTTTGATTGGGATCAAGATTCAGAGCCACATCAGTGAAGATTGTTTCTGACAGCCATAATACAAGAACTAGCCTTCCCAGGCAGCACTAATTTCATGATTTACTTACACACTTCCTGTGGTGGAGCTGCTATCAGTGAGAAAAGACCCATTAGTCCTTTCCATCTGGGCCAGTCTGCAAAATAAAAATAAGGAGGTTAGACAACATGGCCATATAGGACATGGTCAATTGGACGTACATCCTTAATCATTTTTAAATTGTCAAAATTCTGACAAAACATAGAAAGATCCAAATCTCCTAACACGACTGTAAAACTAAAACGTTTCATGTTGAGCTACCTTTCTATCACCACTGCCTTAATGCCTGTAGGCCTTTATCTTACGCCATGTTGTAAAGTCTCCTAACTGACCTAATCTTCTAATTGAGCTCCCAGACCTAGGCTTTCCTTAACCCTCTAGTTGGTCTACATCTAAGTGAGCGTGACATTCTCAAACAAATAAAATGATGTTCCTCTCATAACAAAAACTCTCCATGACTTCCCTTCAACTAAGGACATGATCCAACTCTTCAGTGGCTGGGTTTTTCATTATCAGACCTCAACTTCTGTGTCCTTCACTTTCTCATCTATTTCTCTTTCCCCTACCTGCAGTTCAGTAAACAAACCATGCCCTTTCCCAGCTCAATGCTTTTGAGTATATTATTCCATTAGTCCAAGACTTTCCCCTAGAAATTCTAGTTGGCCTAGACCCAGTTCAAATGTTACCATTTTTATGATGCTTGAATTAACCTTTCTAGGCAAAGCTACTTACTAGAATCACAGACACCTAGTATATACCACTTTTCTGAAAGTCTGTGCACACCATCAAGACCAGCCTATATATTATTTAGAGACTCTAAAATAAACCCCTATCCTAAAGCATTAGCATAAATTTAATTACATATTGTAATTCACATGTGCACCATCTCCTGAGAATACCTGCAATCCCACTTTCATTTACTGAAACTTGGTTACACCATCTAAATCCTGCTTGTACAGTGTTTGGATTCTCATTAGCTGGAGAATCACATCCTGGTTAGGTTTACTTTTCATAGAATATATAGCAGGTGTTTGGTAAAGTGCAAACTGTGTCATGAAAATATGAGAGCCCAAATTCCAAATATAATGGAATCATAACTCCTGCAAAACTGCATTTCTTAAATCAAGGTATATTAATGATATTAGATTAATTAGACATAGATACATTCTGGGTGGCAGTGCAGTGGAGGGCTCTGATCAAAGTTTCTTACCGTGTGGCATATTGTTCTATTCTTGAATGGGTGTCATCATGAAACAGTTGAGGAGATTGTGAGGGGCTTTAAAAGAAAAAAACAAAGCAATAATTTTATGCCCAAATATTGATAGGTGTTACTATTAGAAATGTTAGGTTACTTAAGTAATGAATCTGCCATGCAAACAGACCACTAGGATTGTTACCCGGAACACAGAAGTATTATTTTAGACCAAGAGTTTAGTAAGACCCCCATGCTAGTACCACTGATCAGAACACCTCTCCTGCACGTGGGCTATGAATACTCACTCATAGTGCTCTGGCCACATACTGATGAGTGTGATAGGACTGCAAAGAGGGGAGAGGGAGACAAAAGTCACAGAACAAACACTTTAGAGCAATTTAAGACAAAAGCAGTGGGGGTGTGGGGAGATTCTCAATTATCTTCCGCTCATATATGTGGTTGCCCTGAGAGCCACCATGGGGAAATCAAAAGTAACAGAAGTCACAGTGTATTCTAGAGAAGTCGCCGTGTATTCAAGAGTCTGCAGGGGCCTTTTCACAGATATTACAGGATATTTGTTCAAGGATAGCAAACACATCTTTAAACAGTCATACTGGGGAAAAAACCAGAATGCTCAAAAATAACTCAAAATTATAGAATAATGTAAAGATACCATTCTATAATATACCAAGGGGGATGCAATCATATTTTTGTTTTTCCTAGAGAAGAAACTTGGTTAGAAAGATGAAGTTAAAAATGAAACACTACATTATATGTTGATGGCAGAGGTGCAATAAAATTAGACTTTTCTGTTCTTCATGTAATTTTAAATGTAAACATCCAAACCCAGATGTACCCAAAATACCTCAACCTCACACACACATTGAACAAACATGCAACCTAGATACCACCCCTAGATCCCACCAAAAATGTCACATCATAAATAACACTGAAGGCAACTTCCTGAGATCATGATACATTTTCTTCAAAAAAAAGTTTTTTAGAAGTTTAAACTATGAATCGATGCAAAAAAACTTGTTCTGCTTGACTCAGGGGCTTGTGTCTGGAGCCAGATCATTCAGTGTCACTCTTAATGCTGGGGATGTCATATACTGCCTAGGAAGAATTCCCAAGTCTCCATGAAATACTTTTGAAAACAACTGATCCTAATTAAAAGCTAGTTCCAACCCTAGCTTTTTGAGGAGGAAGGAGAGTAAATGAATGTAGAACATTTACAGTACAAAGAAAATTAGCTATTTAATTAAATAAAAGTCTGCAAAAGCTAACAGTGTTTGAAACAAAATTATTCCAAAACTCCTTGATTCTCCTATTTCTATTATACATACCTACTTAGACAAAGAAAGTAGGTATCTATAATGCCTACTTTTCTCTTCATCTCCTATAGTGAAGTGCAGGTTGATGCCTGCACAGCAAAGACTTTTGAACATTATCTTATTGGGATGAAAAACTAAGACTCTTCAGATCTATTTTCAGAACCAGGCATTTATTTATTTATTTATTTATTTATTTTTTCTTTTATTATTATTATACTTTAAGTTTTAGGGTACATGTGCACAACATGCAGGTTTGTTACATATGTATACATGTGCCATGTTGGTGTGCTGCACCCATTAACTCATCATTTAGCATTAGGTATATCTCCTAATGCTATCCCTCTCCCCTCCCCCCACCCCACAACAGTCTCCGGTGTGTGATGTTCCCCTTCCTGTGTCCATGTGTTCTCACTGCAGAACCAGGCATTTATCCAGACTGTTTGTCAGAATATCTATACTGTCAGTAAACTTAATTTACATATGTGTAAAATAGATACAATAACAATAAAACAACATAGTATTAGTCAATACTATTTCCACGTCACTGTTCTTCATTAACCCTGAATATGTTAAATGTCAGGTGAATGATATGCTATATACTTTCTAAAAACAGTAACTGCTTAAGAGATTATTTCCAAAATTCAAGTGTAGCAAAACATATGCCACGAACTTCAAATAGAAGAAAAGTGTGTATTTTTTTTGTCTTAATCAACCTTGGGAAAGCTCTGTCAAATTGCTTGACTGGTTCTTGCTAACTTAATCCAGTTAGCACAAAAGTGATCCATGACCTAAAAAATGAGAATGGCAAGGGTAGAGAACTGAACTGAAGGGTTTCTCAAGTTTTGTTATATATTTGAAAAATTTCTAAAAAAAGAAATAGAGATAAAAAAGTCAAACCTTGGGCTTCATTGACTTCAGAAAATTTTGATTTGTAGAAAAAAAGATTAAATGATAAGCTTTTTCATTTAATTCTGAAAGGAGAAAATAAGAAACTGCATAGTTACAACCTATCATTACAAAGCCTTGGAAATAAGAACAATGTGTGTGTTAGCCCAGGCTTCAGAACGCAGCCTATCCCTGCTCTCCAGCATGGGGGCTGAACAGGTGATTTTGTCAATCACACACTAATATTCCAGAAAGCAGACTCTGCTACAAATACTTAGATATTATATGAAATGTAACCCAGGCCAGCCTCGGTAGCTTGTGCCTGTAATCCTAGCAGTTTGGGAAGCTGAGGCAAGAGGATCACTTAGTATCATGTAAAATGTAACACAGGCCAGGCTCGGTGGCTTATACCTATAATCTCAGCACTTTGGGAGGCTGAGGCGGGAGGATCACTTGAGCCCAGGTGTCTGAGGCCAGCCTTGGTAACATAATGAGACCCCATCTCCACAAAAAATAAACACATTAGCTGTGCGTGGTGTCATGATGCCTATAGTCCCAGCTTCTTGGGAGGCTGAAAATTTCACCCAGAAGTTAATTTACAAACTGATACAAGAAAACTTGTTCTGCTTGACTCACAGGCTTATGTCTGGAGCCAGATCATTCAGCGTCATTCTTAACGCTGGGGGGACACCCCCCCCCACCACCAACTTCACATACTGCCTAGGAATTTCCAAAGAGGAACACTTGAGCCTGGGAGGTCGAGGCTGCAATGAGACAGTGAGCTGTGATTGTGCCACTGCACTCCAGCCTGGGAAACAGAACTGGACCCCGTCTCAAAAAAAAAAAAAAAAAAAAAAAGATATATATATATATATATATATATATATATATATATATATAAATAAAATGCTATATTAATATATATACATATGTATTATATTTGTGTATATATACATATATATACAATATATACATATTTATTGTATATGTGTATATATACTATATATACATATTTATTGTATATGTGTATATATATACAATGTGTGTGTGTGTATATATATATATAATGGTTTTATATATAAAACCCAGATTTTGAAGAACTTAATGACCCTTTTAGTGCCTTAAATTGTCATTAGACTCTTCCTTGTTCTTTGTCTTCTGCCTTCTTCAATCCATTTGCTCCAGAGCAGGGTAAGTGGGATCCCTGCTGCTTTTACTCAAAGACCCCCAAAGGCTCCCCACTGCTCTCAGAATAAACTCCAAACACTTTGGCATGGCTTAGAAGGCCCTTCATTATATGGTTCCATCTTCTCTCTCCACTGCCATTTCTTGCCATTGTTGATAGTTTTCCACCCCAGTTTCTGAAACTATCTTGCCTCCAAGCTTTTGAAAATGCTTCCTTGGACCAGAAACTCTCCCTCTCAACCTCCCACATCAAACACATCATACTTAGCCCTATTAATCTTTCAGGTCTCAACTTGGCTGTCATACTTCCTTCTAGTCGGATGTTAACTGCAACTGTAGTTAAACTTATAGTGTATTTGTTTCTTGCTATAGCAAAGGCTCTTAAAAAAATCTTTAAACTCATTTACTCCCCTTTAACCAATACCAGGGAGAGGTGTCTATTTTACTTTTTTTAATCTTTAGGGAAACCAACCTATCTCTTTAGCCAATAATAATTCTCACAACCCTTGAATTACTTTTGCTACTATTTTAGCTTGTTCCTCAGATTTATTTTCAATGGAGTATTCTTTAATCAAACTCTACTCATTTATTGATTTATTTTCTGGAAAATTTTGCATAGTTATAAAATTAATCGAATAAACCTTAGCATGGATTTGTTTACTCCCTTTTAGTAATAACTCATTTTCCCCATAAATCCCCTCCTCCATGCATGCATGTGTAACTACTGGGCAGAGGACAAAATGCTACATTTTGCAAGGATGAAAAAGAAAGAAGCAAAAGAAAATTCTAATTAGCTTCATAAATAACTTCAACACATTTGCCACTTCGCTGGTTTTTCTCCAATGTTCTCCTCCCACAAATAGGAGAATAAACAAAATCAAACTTTTTTATTACCCACTCACATAAATTGTTACACCAGAAGATTAAGCGGCCCTGTACTAGAAAGGGCTCAGCCGAAAAGTGAACTATATCAAATCCCGAGAGCTTGGTCTAGGATTAAAAAAAGAAAACCTGCCCACTATATCTAGTAGTTCATAAATCTGTCCAAAAAGGATCTTGGTGCATCTGATGCAAGCTTACACTTCTTCCTTTTTTTCTCTTGTTTTCCTCTCACAAAAAATGCTCATAAATTCATTTTCAATTGAATGAATTGAGGCGAGGCATTTTCAGAATTACACCCCAAAATCACAGCACAAAATTATTTGGCATGCTTTTCTGTTAATTTTTACCTAATAGAGTCACTCAGAATAGGATGACTGACACCAATGATTATTTTGACATTGAAAGGCAAATTAAAAATGTTTTAAAGGAGTATAAAATATGCATCTATCTGCATGATTCCTGTAAAGCGTGTAGATATTTGTGATGCAAAATGCCAATGGTTTAGCAAAAGATTAAAAGGCACATCGCTTAGTTCAAACCTATCAAATTATCCCGTAAATTAAAGCACCAAGTAATAATTCTGTGCCTCAGAATTATCCATTCCAAAGGTTAACTGGATGGGATACAAAAAAAGTACAATTTTGTCTTTATCCTAAGGCATCAGCACAGTTAAACATATATTAGATACTAAGACAAATAAGAATCTATTATCACACAACCTTTTGAAGGAAAGGACAAAAGCATACCCACAAATCAAAAAGAGGACCAAAAGTCTACTGTTCCTGAATGTATTCGAACAGCTCTCTTTCAATTGAAATTGCTTTATTAAAACTTTTTCTAAATTGTACTATGCAAAAGAATGTTTAGAAAGACACAGATCTTAATTGTACACAGTTTGATATCAAGTGGAAAGAATATATCTTAAGTGTACACAGTTTGATATCAAGCACAGTAATCACACAGTTGAAATTTTTTCTTACCTTTTGTATGTGTATGTGTTATACATGGACCTATCTAAATATGCATTTGCATTGTATTTCTTTCTGTTTACACACACACGACATTACCTATAGAGGGAAAAAGGTATCTCCTATGCTTTGGCTGTGTTCTTTCTTCTATTTCTTAGCCATTCCACAAATAAAAGAGATAAACTGGTACATAAATTTAGCAAAGTTTGAGGTCTACAGGGATTTAAAAAAATCTATTTTGGTCTGCAGACCAAATACTGTATTCTTCTATTTTGACATGTTTGAGACATTGACTATCACAAAGCACTAAAATATTACTACTTCCTGATTTTCTATCATGTACAAAATAAAATGAACTATGAATCTGAAGGCTAAAGTTTCATTTCACAAAAATTGCACTTGACATTTTTTATACTTCTTACTACAATTTTCTCTATTTTTTATAAAGTAGAAAACTTCACACTTTTGAGTTTCTCTTCTCTAGTCATCTGAGACGGTGTCTTTCTCTGACTAGAACTTCATTATGCTATACAACTGGGCACTCTGTTGATGATTAGTAATAAAAGTTCATTTTCCCCAAGATTCAACCACAAGAAAATGGCCTTAGCAGGAATATTTATCCTGACATATGAAAAAGCAATTCAAAGATTTAAAATCTATCTATTTGGATCTTAACACATAATTGTTTAGTATCTTAAAATTACTTCTTTGCATTTTTTCTGGGTCATTGAAAAACATTTTTTTTCTTTTCACTTCAGGCCATAAATTCTTATTCCCTTTGCTTTATAATCACATGGTAATTTCACCATCTTGAAACTTTCATGTATGCTAACCAACTCAAATTATACACTTTGAATAAATTTTTTCTATTTTATGTAATATATAAAGCTATCTCAGTTTGCTGTCTTCATTTTCAATAAAAAATAGATTAGAATCATAATGTGATACTTTAGAATTTTAGCATAAATATCTGAATCAACAGATTAAGTATTATTAATAAATTTATATTAAAGAGATGCAAAAAGAGTATAAAACATACTCTGAGAAATAGTAAAACACCCCCCATAAGGGGAAAAAAAGGAAAATAAATAATGAAAGACTATATAATGCCACACTTTAAGTGTTTTTAAAAAGAAAAGAGATGACCAACAAAAGAGATGACCAGTGTGTATTAAGGTTGACATATTAATACATATTTTTAAAATTTAAGGACATGTGCAAGGTTAAAATTGAAATTTTGGCTGTGACATTGTCAAAAGTGAATTGTAAAAATTCATGTTGTGAAGACTGATTCCAAGTTTAATTTACCTCCTCTAAAATGCAGTTGGTATTAAACAATTTCTCTTGTGTTACTAACATAAAAAAGACAACATCAGATATAAATGTTCACACTAGATTTAATATTAAAATCAAACTTACGTCTCTAAGTTGTCACCTTCAAGAACTGTCTGGACAGGCAGGTAACCAAGTCGAGGGTGTTTGGCAAAGTACTTCTTCGACCTGAACTTGTTCTTAAGTACCTTTGTGAAGTCTCGTACATCTTCCCCAGATGTTGTCTATAAGGTTGAAAACAATTACACTTCTCTCAGTAAAATGGAAGGCAATAACTATCTATAACAAAATCAGAGCCGATGTAAATTGATGCAATTAAATGTCAACAGTTTTGGTAGTTTTATGCATTTTTGAAATAAAGCAGTCTCATGAAAACACTTGGCAATAAGAACTCATCACTAAATATATCCAGTGATATGTTTATACTTTTTCATTCTCTGTTGAAAATAAACCATACCTAGTTCATTTCCCCAATATTTTAAAACTTGGGCCAAAAAGTATAATTAGTTTTGAAATTTTTCCAAACTAATTTTTCCAAACTATTGGCTGGTTCTTATCACTAAAAAAATTTTCAATTTGCTATTAATATAGTGATGACAGAGTATTGTGGTTTTAACCACAATGGTTTTAACCAAGCTGTGTTAATGGAAATTAGTCATAGAGCCGATGCTGGCTACACACAAGCCAGCATATATTCTAGTGGGGAAAAAGGTAAGACAATAAATAAGAGAGAAAGAGCAGGGCCACATTGGTGCTCTGTTTGGGAAGGAATACTGTCAATTTCTTTGTCCTTTCCCAACTATGCAGACATATAATTATTTTACCTGAACTACATTTTTAATAGTGGTATAAAATGTCACTGTTCCCTTAGGTATTTCTAAATGATTAGTTTGATAATCATTTAGGGTGATATGGACTAACACTATCCCAACCCCACCCACCCCATCATCCTATCCCATGAACTATTGTTCTCCAAGCCCCAGTTTTCTACTGTATATCACAATTCTAGTTTCTATTTACAATACAGATATCAACTGTGATCCTTCCGAAGATGCATTTAAAATATTTACATTACCTGCACAGAACTTAATGAAGCCCATGATCCTCTGGCTCCAACTTGGCTGCTCAACCTACCACTCATTATACCTCACTCCCTCCTCTTAGAGACAGAAAGAGAGAGAGAGAGAGAGAGAGGAGGAGGAGGAGGAGGAGGAGGAGGAGGAGGAGGCGGCGGAGGAGGAGAAGGGGAGAAGGAGAGAGAAACTTTCTTGTAATCACAGACACTGAATGATAAGTATATTTGCTTACCTGCTGCCTGCTCCCTGTCCCTGCCCTTCAGCTTTTCCTTCACAACATGCATGCCCAGGACTCACAGAAACTTGTTTTGCAGACAGAAACTTTTTTTATTTTTTTGAGACAGAGTCTCGCTCTGTTGCCCAAGCTGGCATGCAATGGCACGATCTCAGCTCACTGCAACCTCTGCCTCCCAAGTTCAGCCGATTCTCGTGCCTCAGCCTCCTGAGTAGCTGGGACTACAGGTGCGCACCACCACACCCAGCTAATTTTTGTATTTTTAGTAGACGGGGTTTCACCATGTTGGCCAGGCTGGTCTCAAACTCCTGACCTCAAGTGATTCACCTGCCTCAGATTCCCAAAGTGCTGGGATTACAGGTGTGAGCCACTGCACCCAACCAAAAATTGAAAAAAACAAAAACAAAAACCAAACTATTTTTGAAAACAACTAAGTTCTGAGTTAACCCTTATATAGTTTTGCCACTTTCTATCCATTCCCCTTCTATCAAAACATGTCTGCTTCTAGTCAATAATTAAGGGAACTTTTGATTCTCTTGGCTTGCAAAGCAGAGATGAGACATGATTAAGCCGCAGCTACTTATCATTTAAAATTCATCAGTTTTTACACTGACAAAACAAACAACCTGCAACAAGGTGCCAGCCCCATGCTATCACCAGGCTTTGCCATCAGATTCACAATGACCCATCTTTTCCTGAATAACTGAATATTAACTACATAATGATCTGCAGTTATATGGATATAGGGCTTCCCAAATGCAAAGCAAAAGTGCAGAAGAAAAAGGTATTCATGAAAAGAAAAAGAATTCAAGGAAACCCTGTGGAGAAAAAAGGGTTGTTATAAGATCTGACGGTTTGAGAGTATTCAGCTCTTACCAGGCAGAAAAGGAAAAAAAAAAAAACAACAGATTGTAGTTGGGAGCAAATAAGGAAACTTTTAGAGAAGCAATATCTGGGTCTCAGAATAAAGCCAAAAGGATATATCATCTACTATAAACGATTTTCACATCTTTTGCAATGGTTATCACAACTGCAGATAATTTAGTGTAGAGATATGCTTACCCTAAATGTCTTGGTAAGGAAGGAAAAAAAGAAGTTTCCATAATAGAAATGCATAAAGAGGACCCGTGTATAAGAATAAGCATTTATGACCCAATTTATTTCTTTGTCTGTTCTTAGTACACTGTTAATATAGAGAAATACTTAATAAGCAATGGACTCCAGCTTTTACTTGGGAGTAAACTCCATACCTAGCAATGTAAAAGTTTTGATCTCTTAGGCCAGTGGTTTTCAAGCCATATCCAGGTCTTCAATTCACAGCCCTGAGTGGAGTGAGTGGGTGAGAGGAAAGGCCAGGTGGGCAAGGCATCAGGCCCCTTACCCAGTGTGCCTCAGAAAGGGTAAGGTACAGTTTACACTTCAGTGGTTTTCAGTGAATTCATAAAGTTAAAAAAAATCACCACTATCTAATTACAGGTCATTTTCATCACCCCAAAGAGAAACTCTGTACCCATGACCCTTCGCCTCCCACAACCCATGGCAAGCATTAATCTATTTTCTCTATGAATCTGCTTATTCTGGACATTTCATATAAACAAATTAATATAATATATGGTCTTTTATGACTTGCTTCTTTTACTTAGCATCAGTTCTTCTAGTTTATCTATATTTGAGTTCCAACATGAACTCTTGCTTGTGAAAAAAATGACAAATTATTCAAAAGTGCCAGTTCAATTCCACAGCATACATTCTTTAGCTAAATATTTTCAAGACATGAAAGACCAAAGCAAAACCACCAATAACAAAAACAACCCCTTTCTATCCCATGCACAAAATAACAAACAACTACTTGCTGTCCCCAAAAGTTATAGTAGTTATTGAAATTAGAGTTTCTAATAATACTCATATTTACATGTTTTTAAAAGTTAGTACACACACAGAAATAGCTTATTTTTATTTCCTTGGGGAAAAGCTAGCACAAAGAGTTGTAATCTAAGAGCATTAACTCATTATTGCCATAAACTTTATGCAATATTAAAAGAAAAAGTGAAAAGTAATTCATCCCAAGGAATTAGGGATTATATTCAGGTTATCAGAATGTAATTCTTCAGCTGGGATAGAGCCAATAAAGTGAATTTAACCCATTTTTGCACCGAAATGTTAAAACATTTATATATACTTGGTCCAATTTGATTTTTATTATATAATAGTAGTACCTAATATTTCTCTATTTTAAAATGCTAAAGTAATGGTTTGGTTTGGAAAAAAAGAAAAAGAAAGAAAGAAAAAAGAGAACCACCCACTTACCATAATAAATATAATCAAACTCAACTCTGCCTTTACACTAGGTATAATACATTTTTCTTTTTTTTAAGGAAATAACTTTTGATATTATGATAGAAAGATAAAATTGAAAGGAACAATCATTACTACACAAATTACCCAACATTTTAAATGCATTTCTTGGAAGATTCGGTTTCTGTTTATTTCTGTAAGAAAAGGAGAACAGATTTTGCAGATCCCATTAGATCAAACACAAGGGTAACAGGTTAGCATAGGACCTTGTACCTTATAAATTGTTTTCCTTCAATCTCATTTAACCATCATGGCCTCTGAGGAGATTATCATCAGGTTTTTGAAGCCTAAGTAAACTCACACTAAGCCTTTGATGGACTCCAACCAAGTTCAGTAAGGAAAAAAATGTTCTTGAAAACTTGAGCCTTTTTACAAGACTATGTCACTGCTTCTAGAAAAATGGAACTGTTTTAAGTTTTGAAAGGGAAAGAATCCATAGCCATTGACTAAAATATCTAATATTGCATCCTAAATTTGTCCTTCATTTTAAATAATGTACTGATTAGATGCCATGTGGTTGGTTTTCTAAAAAATTATATTAAAATGTCATTTTATAAATAGGCTGGATGCAGTGGCTCACACCTGTAATGCCAGCACTTTGGGAGGCCAAGGAGGGCAGATTGCTTCAACTCAGGAGTTCGAGACCAGCCTGGGCAACACGGCAAAACCCCATCTCTATAAAAAAAAATTTAAAAAAAAAAAAAAAGGAAAAAAGCTAGGCATGACAGCACGTGCCTGCAGTCCCAGCTACTTAAAAAAGATTTAAATGGTGTATATAACACGTTTGGTATAAGTACAACTAGAAAGAAAAATAAAATATACATGAAGGAATAAAAATAAAATAAAAATTGCCAGCTATTTGACCATCCAGAGACAGCCATTTGTAAAATTTTGGTGACTAGACTGATTTATTTTTAGAATTCTTTTTATTTTAAAGTAAAACAAAATATATACACAAAAAAGTATGGCTTAATGAAATATTATCAGTCAGAAAATGGAACACTGCTGCACATTCGAGAAGCCGCTTCCAGGCAAAACTTTCTTCCCCTCTCCATTATTACCATCAACTTCATTTTTTGAAGTAGTACATAACTTGAATTATGTTTCAAAAATAGTTTTATCACTCCAATGTCTATCCTTAATTTGTTTTGCTTATTAAAAAAAAATCTGACATATTTTAAATCACTTTTAATTTACAGGTCCCTCCTCCACACCTGCCATTTCCCTACAGTTTGTCTGTTGGAAAACTCAGGCAATTTGACCTGCAGAGTTTTCCAGAGTCTGGATTTTACAGAATGTCTATTTTTGGTACAGCTCAGTACTTTCGTCTGTCCTCTTGATAACCTCCTACAAATCTGCAACTTGATCCAGATAATGCAGCAGACTTTTGTCAAGACAATTAGTGGTATTTGGCAGTGTTATAGGAGGCACATAATAGCTGTCACCTCTCTTAGGTGATCTTAGCAGCTGTTCATGCTAAGTGTCCGTATCCATTCATTGGGAATTGCAAAATGGTGTCATTCTATCATTCATTTTTCATTTATTACTTGGAATACTTTGTGATGGTTAATACTGTCAACTTGATTGGATTGAAGGATGCAAAGTACTGTTCCTGGGTGTGTCTGTGAGGGTGTTGCCAAAGGAGATTAATATTTTAGTCAGTGGACTAGGAGAGGCAGATACACCCTCAAACCCGGTGGGTACCATCTAATCAGTGGGCACCATCTAATCACTTGCCAGTATGGCTAGAACAAAGCAGGCAGGAGAAGATGGAAGAGCAGACTTGCTGAGTCTTCTGGCCTTCATCTTTTTCCGTGCTGGAAGCTTCCTGCCCTCGAACATAAACTCCAAGTTCTTCAACTTTTGGACTGTTAGACCAGTGGTTTGCCAGGGGCTCTTGGGCCTTCGGCCACAGACTGAAGGCTGCACTGTCGGCTTCTCTACTTTTGAGGTTTGGGTACTCAAACTGGCTTCCTTGCTCTTCAGCTTGCAGACAGCCTACTGTGGGACTTCACCTTGTGATCATGTGAGTCAATACTCCTTAATAAACTCCCATTCATATATACATCTATCCTATTAGTTCTGACCCTCTAGACAGCCCTGCCTAATACATACTTTTATAAAGAAACATCACCATGTCTAACATTTAGGTACTCTGTGGTACAGTTCATTTAGAAAAGTCAGGATAAATATTTTACTGTGTTGACTAATTTTCAGTATCATGAAATGGTTTCCTATTATTTTCCAAAGATGATCAATGCTTTTGTTCATTTTAAATATCATGAGATTTTAATGTATTTGATGGGTTTCAATCTATTGCAATTCTCATTATTGAAGGTCAAGTTCAGTTGGCAACTTTTAATGTGACTCTAACAGTCTTCAACAGCTTCCTTATTAGCTACTATTACAAGATGTTCCAAGCACACCTTTTAGGCCTTTTCAGTGTTAACAGGCTTTTTCTTTGCACAGAGCTGGGAAATATGCATTTGAAGGTAAAATTTCTCTTGAAGTTACATTGATGATTCCAATTCAAATTTCTGATTTAACTTAACTTGTTTTCTAATACACCTCTATCTCCTTTTTTCAAAACCAAAAATCTGGTTCTCAAGGACACAAGAGATGATAGACCTAGACAATCCCATAATTATTCATTTGCTTTTTATCATATTACGTACACAATAGTCTTAGAACACTAATACCAATACTACCACCCACATGATTAGTGAAAACATTAAAATATAGATTTACTTTTCCATTTTCCTCCCATTCATAAAGTAGTTACACTGGCATGCTTTATTTGTAGTGATATAATTTTGTTCCTTATCTCTTTTTCTTAAAATTCCTTTATATGAGATTTGGTCTTGATACTTTTGTTGCTCATTTTTTTGGTTGTATAATTAATTTTCCTAAACTTTTATAACAAAATGAGGTTGAGGAGAGCTTTTCTAACTTCACAGAGATTCCTCTTCTTTTGCTTTTGTGTGGTATTTACAATTACAGCATGTGTCTCAATCTATTCAGTCTGCTATAACAGAATACTATAGACTGAGTGGCTTAAATAAAACAGCAGAGATTTATCTCTCACAGTTCTGGAGACTGGCAAGTCCAAGATCAAAGGATTGGTAGATCTGTGGTCCAGTGAGTCTGCTTCCTGGGTCATACACAGCCGTCTTCTCACTGCGTCCTCCCATGGTGGAAGGGAAGAGAGAGCTCTCTGGGGTCACTTTTATGAATGTACTAATTTCATTTATGACAGCTCCATCCTCATGACCTAATCACTTCCAAGGCCCCATCTCCTAACACTATCACACTAGGGATTAGATTTCAACCCATGAATTTTTGGGGGACATAAACATTCCATTCATAGCAGTACTTGAGTTTGAGACTTCCTGGTCCTGTTCCCCCATACCCTCTACCAGCACGTAGGAACAGTTTGGACTAGGCCTTCTCCTTTCATTTCTGTTGCCTTGAGATGCTCCATATTGATTCTATTCCCAGAAGTTTTGCTCAGCATGAGACCTTCTTTCTAGAAGGAAGCCCTGATGGGTCCAGTCTGAGAGCTCACAGCAGGCAAGAGCATTCTAGAAATGTCACACCTTTTTTACCCTAGCCTCTGCGCATGGCAAAACCCTTCCAGGTTTAGCTCTGCTCTCAAGCCAGCTTTCCATTAAATATCTGTTGCCTATTTTGGGGGCTATCTGGTTCTTAGGCACCCTCACTTCCTTGTCTTTCCTCTCATACAGGCAGTGATGTCTTGTACGTTTTGTGGCTGGTGGTGGCTTATCGCCACCTGGATTTATTTTGGATCTCTCTTGTCATCTAGTTTGGTTGCAAACATTGTACGTTTTAGTTTTGCTGTCTAGTTATTCTCTTTACAAATGTCTCTTTATAAATGTAACTGCTTTACCAATGGAAGGAAAATGGCAAAGGCAAAAGACATGGAAAAACTCTGGGCCAGGTGTGGTGGCCCATGCCTGTAATCCCAGCACTTTGGGGAGGCCGAGGCGGGCGGATCACGAGGTCAGGAGATCGAGATCATCCTGGCTAACAAGGTGAAACCCCGTCTCTACTAAAAATGCAAAAATTAGCTGGGCGTGGTGGCACATGCCTGGAATCCCAGCTACTCAGGAGGCTAAGGCAGGAGAATCACTTGAACCCGGGAGGCAGAGGTTGCAGTGAGCCAAGATTGCGCCATTGCTTCCAGCTTGGACAACAAGAGCGAAACTCCATTTCAAAAAAATAAATAAATAAATAAATAAAAATAAAAATAAAAAAATAAAACAACAACAACAAAAAAACTCTGATGCCATGCTACCACCATCTTCCCCAGATGCCTCTGGACTGATTTTCAACAAGCACATAAAAATTCACATGTACAAATTAGGGCTGTCCTTGAAATTGTCATTTTTGGAAAGCTAATGACAGTGACTCACTGTGAAAAACATTTTAGAACTGAACCTACACAGATAAGTGGGCATGTGAATTCTGAAAATGTGCTTTACTCCACTGTACTGCTATTAAGTAGCCGTAAAACAATGAAAACTTACCTGTATAATAAGAATTAATCAATTTTTTACTTGTTCCCCACCAACTAATATAAATGAATAAATAAAATATGGAAAGTATCACTGAATTATAAAATGTACCCTGTGATACATCTATCTGTAGCAAAACCCTAAAGAAAAACCCTAAACAAAATCACTTTTAAGGCGAAATCAAATAATTTTTTACTTTTGAGATTGTATTTTACCAACCAAAATACAGTTAGGAAATTTTCAATTTTCTTCCATTTTATCCTTGACAGAGAACAAATATAGATACATCACATGGAACATAATTTAGAGTTACTCTATCTTTTGCTTGAGTTTGTATATCTCTATATGAATGCATGTGTATCCTTCTATATGTCCCTGTTCATATTGCAAACTGTATAATCTTACTTTATGCTGAAATCTATGCACTACTGAACTTCAAAAGCATTAATACATGGCTGAAAGTTCCCTTTTCACTAATATGTATCACAAGAAGCAGCAAGGATAAGGTATAGAAGAATCTAGAATGTAGAAAAGCTAACCCCCTTCCCCCAGTATTCATAATCAAGTGATCCTTGAATAAACGGCTTTACTAGGTCAGCTCAAAGGACTCTTATTATTATCCCCAAAGACCGGCAAAGCAACACATGAAAGGAAGCTATTTACAATGCTACCAAATAACCTAAATCCCGTAAATAACTTCTAATTACCAAACAATTTAAACAAAACAAGATAAAGAACCACAAATAAAGAAACAAAACAAAACAGAAAATATTTGTTTTAATTCTCCCCACAACTTTTTTTTGGGGAGTCACTTCTTAACTTGAGATATCAGTATTAACTAATTCCTTAATGCTCCAAACAGTGGATTTAAATTGTTAATTACAAATATGAATAAGTTACATACAGAGGAAAACAAAGGCTTACAAAGAGGCAAATCAAGGTTATATAAAAAAAGTCACTTGGCACGCAAACAGAATAATTAAACATTATCATTTGGATCATGCACAAGTGCTAAAATCATTGTTGAACAGCACCCTCATTAGCAAGAGTTACTTCTTAAATATAGAAACCAGTAGTCCCAACTGGTACATGCATACTGCTAAGCGGTACATTTCATTATCACAAGACTTATTTTAAAGATATTCTTAACAGGTTTTTTTTTTTTAACTATAAAACAACCTCTCAGTTTTTATTTAAGTTTCAATGATTTCAACAAGTTGAAATTCAGACACATTTGAATGCCATGGATAGGATGCAATCAGTAAGAAAAGCTCAGAGACTTTCAAGCCCTAATGAAAATATATGAAGCTAAAAAAATTAGCATTAGCAGAATTACCAAGGAGTCAAGAATCAGTGGGATGATAAGTCATCCAAAATAAAATGGATTTTGCCCAAACCTCACCTTAAAAGCTAATGACAAATCTAAATGCACTGGACCTACTGGTAAAACGATGTAAGGAGAGCAGGAGCTGAAACACCACTTCAGGATGCTGAGGTCAGAGAAACAGCCGTGATGCTGCGTTTTCAGTATATTGGCAAACACCCCACATCACATCTGAAGAGACAAGACTGCCAAAAAACAAACTACCCTAACTCAAGGTAGAGCTTTCCAAAGAATGAATCAGCATTTTTAAAATATTTGATTTTTATAGTCTTACGAAGTACATTGATGCTGGCAGGGGTGGAAAGGATTGATCAAAACAACTGCTTCTAGATTTTTTTCTTTGTTCTTTTCGGGTGTTTTGTGTGTGTGTGTGTTTTATTTTTGCCAATGGCATATAGTTCATAAAAAAAAGGCACAATTTATCTTTTAAAACAGAAATTCGATATTTTTTACTAGAAAATTGTAATTCTTCTCACTGAAAATATGATTCTTCTCATGGAAAACATGTAATTTTGGTTTATTTCCCTACATATTAATCAATATCAACAAGAATACAGTTGAACCTCTTGCTTTTAAAACAACTGTATTTGCTTAAAACCTGCAATATAAATCTGTTTTGAGTGGTATTAATTTAATAAGCTGTTTCTCATTGAGGTATTTTTTTCCTGTTGTTGCCTCTTCTCACTAAACTCATCAAAGTTACCAGTACAAACTAGTCCTATGTAAAGCTCAGCAACTAAACTATGACATTGACAATGAATCTACCCTTGCAATTGAAATGCTGGAAGTAGCTGATGCTGTTGACCTTTCAAGCTACAAAATTTTGCAAATATCCTGTCTCTTCTCCCTCAGCTAACATGTCTCTCAAACTACCTTTCTATCCTGGCTAACCTTTCCTTGCTTATTTCCTCCTTCTTTCCTTTTACTATTTCCTCCATTACCTTGCTCTATTTCACATTTTCTCTCCATGGATGGGGTTACTGTACCTCACTATATGCATACAGCCTATCTATCTACCTTTCTTTCTCCATTACAGTGGATTCTGTGTTCTTTTACACATTACCTTACATTTTGTTCATAATTAGTATTTCAACCTATCTCCTTGAATCAATCCCGAAGCTCCCATGATAATGCCATTTCCTATAACATCTTTTTCATTTGTGGCTGTATAATCTCTTTTTCATAACAACCAAGAGAAAAGGATGTTTACACTTGGCAAGGGTTCAGGACACACTACCTCCAAATATGGCACATTGGCAGTTGAGAAAACAGCAGACGTAGCAAGATCTCTCTGACCTTCTCCCATCCTTCTTCCCTAAAGGGTCATAAGACCCTTATTTGAGAGGTGCCCTCCTTATTCCTGGAGGGAAGAAACATCCTTATCACTGAAAACAGAAGGACACAGAAAAGAATCTGAACAAACAGGCCTTGCTAAGTTCGCCTAGTTCATTAGCATTAGGTCGTATCTTCTTATTCAATCATACTTCTACGCAACTGTCCACTCTTCATCAAACCTAAGCATAAAAATACACAGGCTTCCGTTTCTTTGGGTCTTCTCTTCCTGATGAAGGCTTCCATATAATGTAAAATTTATATTAAATCAATTCGTATGCTTTTCTCTTGTTAATCTGTCTTTTGTTACAGGAGCCTCAACTATGAAACTAAGATGGGAAGAAGATATTTTTTTCCTCTCCTACACACCCTTTTCCCCTTAGCTTCATCTACTAAAGCCAATGTGCCCTTCCCCTCTCCTTTGATGGCACAACGCCAGACAGGGCTATCATCTGTCACTTCACTTCTAGAAATGCAGTGATGACCTTCTAAAAGCCATCTCATTTCTAGAACCTTCTATGTCCCACTTCAGTCACACATTGGGGTATGGCCATACCCCAGGCCTCATCATAACTTAAAACCACTTTTAGTCCAAAATCTCTAACTTGAAAAAATCTTTCACTGACTGGAATCTTCTGACTCTTCTTCTCACTTCTTATATTATAAATAAACCTCTTCTTTCCCCATCATCTTGACGTCTAGCCCTTTATCCCACCTTGGGATTTCTTCAGCATGAGGATACCTCAAATCAACCACAGTATCATTAACACCTTGGAATTTTTCACTCCCTTGGCCTTCAAATATACTTTTCATCTTTTAATTCCAAAGCTGCTGAGCAATGATGGAGTCACAAACTACAAATCCTTGTCAATTAACCTCAGCTGCACTCTAGTGGCAAGGTAGCAATCAGTTTACTCATCTCTGTGTGACTCAAGATTGACCCTAGTAGCTATTCTAAACATTTTCCATTATCCTTAGTATTTAACCCTATCCACTTCTCTCTCACTGTCAGCAATTGTATGAACTTTTATAAATCATGTGAAATTTAAAGAAGAACTCTCCAACTTAAAGAACTATCTTTGGTTCAGTCATTATGAAAAACAATCTAAAGGTTCTTTAAAAAATTAAAAATAGAACTATCATATCATCCAGTAATCCCACTTCTGGGTACATATCCAAAGAAAATAAAATCATTATCTCCAAAAGGTATTTATACTCCTATGTGCACTGTAGCATTATTCACAATAGCCAAGATATGGAATCAAACTAAGTATCCTACAACAGAAAAATGGATAAAGAAAACACAGTGAAATATATCCAGTCATAAAAAAAGAAGGGAATTCTGTCATTTGCAATAACTTAGATGAGCCTGGAGGACATTATACTAAGTGAAATAACCCAGATACAGAAAGACAAATACTGCATGATCTCACTTATATGTGGGACCTTTAAAAAAAAAAGTCAAGCTCATAGTAGCACAGAGTAGAATGGTAGTTACCAGGGGCTGGGGGGTGGAGGAAAAGAGAAGAGACTGGTCAAAGGGTATAAACTTTCAGTTATATGATGAATAAATTCTGGAGACCTAATGTACAGCTTGTGGCTACAGATAATACACTTGAAATTCACTAACAGACTAGATCTCATCTCAAAAAACAAAACCACACACTATCTTTTATATGCTCTAACAACATATGAAAATGTTTCTAATTTGAATTAAATTTTGGTTACTTACAACAAAGATGATTTTAAAGAAGATCTGAGTAGGGTAATTTTCACGATGAAATTAAATCATCATAAATAAAAAAGAAATTTAAATCTGAACATCTTTAATATAAGATATAACTATTTATTTAAAAAATGATAATCCCTGAATTCAAAGGTTTAATGCATGGATAATACAAAAAAAAATTGACTACTCTCTTGATTCATAAGCTTAATCATTCTAAAAAATATTACAGTCTTGTTGAATTTCTCCACATAGAGGTATTTTTTCTCCTTCATGAAATTTTCTCTCTATTTCCAACTCCTAGCAAAATGCCTGGTATGTAAAAGGGTATTCAACAAACATAATATTCCAGCAAGGATATACACAAACCCCTATTTTCCAATGTGCTAACTGCGTGTGTGTGTGTGTATTTCCCTAATGGAGTTAAGTCACTAAATCCATACCATTAACTTTGCACAAATCACTTACCTTCTCTAAGACTTAGTTTTTTCTTCAAAATAAAGATAAGTTAGATGATCTCTTAGAGCTTTAATTCCAGCTTTAATATTCTATAACTAGTATTTATAAAGTCAGATACGAGCTCATCTGGCTTTTATGAGGCAAATTTAACTAACACAGGGAGAAAAGTATAAAAGTCATCCCAGTCCTCAAGGAGGTAAAAAGATAATTGAGAAGACAAAAACACCACAGTTAGAAAATGATACAAGGGAACATAGAATCAAATCCTAATTGGTAAAGTAGAGGCTATTGGCAGAGGCCCCTGAACTAAGTGCTTTGATGAGGGTAAAACTGGAGGAGCTGGGAGAGATTTCACACACAAAGTGGGAGTTGAGCTGTTTTTGTGAGAAGGTGGGATTTGGACATATGGAGACAGAATGATGACAGGCATTAAATATCATCTGTGTCATGCTGTCTCTTGAAGATCAACTCTTATTAAGCCTAATGAAAGAATTCTTAAATGTACAAATTTGGATTATAGAATAGTAGGGGGAAATAAGACAAAAAATCATTTCCTAGAGAAATAAAAATTCTGCTACATTTCTTCAGATAATTTATATATACATATATAAATTATCAATATCATAAAATACTTTCATGAGTCATGATAGTTCATTCATATACCATTAGTCTTCTTACAGCTAAAGGAAAACATTACCATAAATCATAAGCAGATATATTGGCAAAATATTTAGGGTGCTTTGTGGATTTAAAATAAGGTTTCTAAATTGCAGAAAGCTCTTAAAAATAGAAACATTCAGAGTCAGCTGTAAAGGACTTTGAAAAGGAAAGAGATGAAGTCAGTAAGGTGACTGGAGCATCTTCTTAACTAAAAAGGGAGATGCAGTCTGAGGAATGCAAACATCAAGGTCCATATGGGAAGGTCTGATCCATTTAACACTCAAGTGTTGCTTATTATCACTGTACCAAACAAATTCACACTTGAGTTCATTTTCTAAGGCAGACATGAAACGACTTTAGGAAATGTTGAGTAAAAGATGGATGAACCATAAATAAAACTTAAAAGAGTAGAGCAAATGTAAAGAATGTGGGTGAACAGAAAGAAATTTCAGAAAGCAATGATTTCTGAATACTTGCATTTATATTTTTCCTGTTTTCTACATTGAGAATATAGTACATCTAAAATTTGTATTTCGAATGAGAGAGAAATATGTCCAGACTTGATACCTGGTTTAGGCACAAGAGTGAGCAAGCAAAGGTTTCTTCAAGCTAATGGTGACTTAATTATTGCACAAAGATTACACATGAAGGGAATGAATATAAGAACAATTCCAATAGTAAAATGGGGTCCAGTTGGAATAGGTCTGATTAGTTTAGTTGTAAAGAGATGCATCTTTCTCTGTGGCTTCAGAGAATGAATGGAAAGACATTAATGCTACAATAATAGCAATCAGATCATTCATTGCTATTAAATGCAAGTATCTTTTTAAAGATTCAATTTACATATATTTCTAGTTATTTTACAAAAAGTTGTAGGGTCAAATGCAGAAAGTGACCTGTCATACAGATGATTTATAAGTAGGCTGTTGATAAGATCACTACAAAGCCTCAGAAATGGGCAAAGGATGTCTTGAAAAATGAAGCTATCCTTGTATAATGCAGGATAAGCTGCAATCTTGGAAATGATAAACAGTGACTTTTGAAAGACTATGCAACAAGAACAGTTTTGGGTAACTTACAGATTTCATTTAAAATTGGTAGTTGGAGAGTGGAATTCATATGTGTATCAGTGATTCTTAAGTATGCACCTACTGCATGACAACTGTTGAAGATATGTGGGTTTCAAATTGTTTAGGTATTTTGTAAAGCCATTAAGAATTATTATATGTTCAAGACCAAGAAAAATAGTAATTTTATATATCTTTACTATAACAACATATATTTACTTTATGATATTTTGATACTAGCATTTTATAATCAGTTTTCTAAACTTCTATAATAGCTATTCATGTAAATATTACTATGATATTTTCCCCCAATCCAAATTCCTTACAATGATCCCCAGGGTTCTATACAATCTGATAGTTGCCTTTCTTTTTAATTCCATCTCCTACTATTGTCTCTCTTTTGTCAAATTTGTCCTGGTTTCTTTCTGTTCCCTGGTTACACCCACCTCTTTCCCAGCCTCAGGGTGAGCTTCAAAGATATTGCACTTATGCAGTTGTACAGGGCCCTACAATCAGAAGGGCTTTGAACTATTGCACTTATGCAGTTGTACAGGGCCCTACAATCAGAAGGGCTTTGAACTTCATTTACTCCTCTGATGTTGCCAACTCGGAAGTCTTAATAATTGTTAAACAAGGGGCCCCCCAGTTTCATTTTGCACTGGGCACTTCCAGTTGTGTAACCAGTGCTCCTTTCCATGCGCCCCTTGGGGAACAGGCTTCACTTTCTGCAGCCCAATCACGCTAACCTTTTTCCCAACTCAGACCACTATATGTTCTGTTTCTTCTTTCTGAAACATGCTTCTACTAGTTCTTTACAGGGCTGAATCTTTCTCAAACTTTGGTCTCAACTCAAATGTCAACTCAGACAAACCTTACTGATTTCTTTATCTAAAATGTCTCTTCTAATCATTCTATCTCATTATCCATTCATTTCCTTAAAGGCACTTACTGCAATGTATAACAACCCCATTTATTCGTTTCCTTGTTCATTCTCACACATTCTTCCTCCTAAAGGGAGAGTAGCAGGAAGTCCACAATCTTATCTTTCTGGGTATACTCTGATACACTATCAGAGCTGAAATTACTGACAAGGATTCTCTCCTTGACCAAATTTGAGTTGGCCTCCTGTAAGCTCTGTTGTCTACTGAAGCCTTGGCCTATAAAAGCTGCAAATTTTCAGCACAAATCATTTTGTCCATCCCTGTCCACCCACTTCTCCATTAAAAGACTTAAACAAACATGAACATAATTTATAACAGTTCAAGACCACATCCCTAGGATGACCCTTAAAAAAGGGATTATTAAGGCGTCTGACCCCTTAAAGCGTCTGCCTGAAAAACAAACTCCAGACTGCCAAAAGAATTTACTGTTCACTCTAGCCAACACCTGAAGACAGGTCCCTGCTCACTCTTTCTTAGGGCATTTACTGGAAAGGGTTTACAATGGGGAATCCTTCCTCTGTCCCTTTGAGATGTGGATGTATCTCCAACAACTCAGGAGTGTCTTTCTCAAGGATCTGAAAACCATTTCTTTGAAATGTAATCATCAGGAAGGATAGGACCCCTGTCTCCCAGTCTCTCTCTGGAATGGTAGAATCCTAACTCTGACAATTGCCAGCTCACAGACACAGCTGGTCTGATGGAACTGATGCTGACCAATGCTTTGTCATTTTTCACTTCCTTGCCTCTGCTCAAGTCCCTCTTTTGTTTCCCCAGTCTATTCCCTTCTGAAAACACCCAGTCACCTCTGTACAAACAGAAATACATGTGCATAATCAGTATATTATTGATTAAAATCTGTCCTTACCACTTTAACTAGTGTCTGGTTTTGCTTATCTTTGACAAGAGGGCCTGACACCTGCAAAATGTTCAATATTAATTTGTTGAGTGAATAAGTTGATAATAGTAATAAATGATGTCTCACAAATTTTCTTGGGGAGATTTCTTTTTCCTGGTTAAAGCTATAATGTGATGTGGGCACTTCCTCCATTATAATTCAGCAATATTTTCTACAGATTTCCTCTCCATACACAGGGCACTTATTTATTTGAGATAAGATACCTATGAGTGTGAGATTTATATGTGTATATTTTATAAGTATTACAGCCTTTCTGTCAATTTATGATCCAAAAAAGTAACTCAATTCCCTAAACCAAAGAAAATAGACAGCTTGATGAATACATTTGGGCATTATTTGGAAGGAAGTAAAAGAATAGCTATTAATAGAACATGAGGATAACTTCAGGAAAAAATAGCTGTAAATCAAAGGAAAAACAAGAACTTATGTCCAATACTGGTGGGGCTTAGTAAAATTGAAACTTTAACAAAGTGTGATAATAATGTAAATTGGGATAAACCTATTTTGAAAAAAACGTTGACATCAAGTATTTTGACCATAAAAAATACCCATATTCATTGACTGAAATAACCTACTTATAGTGCTTTATTCTATTGCAATGTAGTTTACATAATATCTGGAATGAGCTACCCTCACAAAGATACTTGTAAGAGTGTTATTTATAACATCAGAAAATTGAAAATAAACTATATGTCCAAATTTCAGGGAATGGTTAGGTAAACTGTAGTAATTCACTCAATTAAAAATTTTGTGACTAAAAAAAATTACACTGTGTGACGAAATGGAATGTCGAGTGAAAAATATCAGGGAAAAAGATACATAAATATAAATATAAATAGAATCTTAAAACCAGAGATATGGAAAAATTAGAAGGTAGTTTATTCAGGAGCTAGAGTTAGGAACTATATTTTTAATATCTCCATTTTCTGTATTTTGCTAATATGAATATGGTATTTAACTATGAAAGCATAAATATGTCTAAAAGAAACATGATTTTTCGTTACATAGTATCATTTTCAGTGTAGGTCAGTATCAGCTCTTAAAAGAATTTGCTACCAAAAAAGTTTAAAATCAAAACACAGATATTTAAAAAAGTTAATATTTTTTTCTGCACTAATTAATTCAACATAAATGAGTTTACTTAAAAGAAAAAAAAAATCTTCAAAGTGATATTTTTTCAAAAAAGATTAAGTCTAAATAAATAATAAAATTTTAGATACTAGTTAATTCAATGGCAATGTATTAAAAACAAAACAGTGGGTTAGTACTCACAGGTATACAATATTCCACCATTGGGTAATGTAATTTGTGACCTTTTGCTGTTCGACCCGAAAAGAAACAACTCTGGCAGACATCATAGTTAAAATGCTTAAGGCTTCTATACCTAGAGAAAACAAAAGAAAATTTATTGGCTTGCATTACTATCATTTAGTCTAAATTTGTGGTAAGAAATTTCATTCATCCGAATTACCAAAAAATAAAATATAAAATTTTGGAGTTCAAGTCTCTGAAACATGCTTCTATCTGTTTATACATGAGAGGGAGACAAATATGCATGTCAGAAGATTTCTTTTAATGTTTGAATACGAATGGAAAATGATAGGCAAGAAAAGAATTATATCTATTAAGTTGAAACATCAAATTTTAAAATATCAATTATACCACCAATAAGAAATGAATTTTAAAATTCCCTCACAAAGATACAGTTTTCAACAATGAGCACTTTTATATTTGGTTTAAATTAGTCACTAGAAAAAAAAGAAATCAAGAAATACTGTGTAACAAAGGAAAAACTAAATAAAGCCTTGATCACAATGCATCCTTGAATGGAAATGGTGTTTTAAAATCTCTGGCGTAAGAATGACACTGCACATTGACTTGTACTTGCAGAATCTTATTTACAAAAGCAAAACCTTAGACGATAAGTTTCTATGGGTCTGAGTGGAAAACATCTTCTCCGAAATCTGTTCTGTCAGAATTGCTGGTAGAACTAAGAACATAAATTATACCCACATCTACAGAAAAAAAATTAAATGATAGAACCAACAGAATGAAAATGGAAGCAAAATTTAAAAGTTGTGTGGCTGTAAACTACTAAGTACTGAGTAGCTTCTAAAATGACCTGAAAAATCACTTGCAAATCAATCTTAAGGAAATCATTCTGCATATACTACAGCCAGCTTACTTTTGCCAAGGAGGCTATTGGTTTGAAACAATCACATACACTAACGACATCTCTTGGCTTATCAGCATGGCTTGACAGGTATGACTGACATCTTCTTTCTAAATGAAATTTTGTTTTCTGCTGAATACTCCCTTGGCAGATAGCCATTCTCTCTTTTTCATTGGTAACATACCCTTGTACTGTTAGCACATTTTAGCAATGAGCCTTGAGAAAATTACTGTTTCTTAGCCTCTCTTGCTGATGTTGGTGACCAGTGCAATAAAAACCAAAGTTATTGGGTGGGGGTTCTAATTGGAATTTCAAGGGACTGAGTTAGCTGGGAAGAGGCATGCTGCCTCTTCCTCCCCACTGGAAAATGGATCTGACATCCAGAAGAGTCACTTTGTTAGCATGAAGTGACTTTGAAGATGGAAGCCACATGTTAGGGATGACAGTGCATGAAAACAGAGCTAAGGGCCCAGGTGGTCACAGAGAACAGTCTTGGATTACCTACCTTCACTCTGTTTACAAGAAAGAAAACTAAAGTTCTAATTTATTTATGCAACTACTATTAAGGAATTGTGTATGATTCTAACTGAAACAATTCCCAGCTTACAAAACATTATGTAAATCTAAGATTTCATTAACATTTTATTTGGAAGTAATTAGTGAAAAACTCTAGCAGTATTTATAAAAGTTCGGGGAAAATGAAATATATATATATATATCTTGGGTAGAAGCTTGATAGAAAGACAGTCTGAATGAAGTTAAGATTATTCTATAATAGACATATTCCTCTATCTTTATTTCTGTACTTGTCTTTCCATTCATTCTCTGAAGCCACAGAGAAAGATGCATCTCTTTACAACTAAACTAATCAGACCTATTCCAACTGGACCCCATTTTACTATTGGAATTGTTCTTATATTCATTCCCTTCATGTGTAATCTTTGTGCAATAATTAAGTCACCATTAGCTTGAAGAAACCTTTGCTTGCTCACTCTTGTGCCTAAACCAGGTATCAAGTCTGGACATATTTCTCTCTCATTCGAAATACAAATTTTAGATGTACTATATTCTCAATGTAGAAAACAGGAAAAATATAAATGCAAGTAAAAGTAAGACAATATATCACTTACCATCTTCCAATTTTCAATATCCTGACATATTTTAAGTTATAGCTAGATTTCTTAAACAAGTTGTTTGCACATATTCGCCTATGTATTTTCCTGAGCCATCTTTATAACGACACGGATAGAATCCTCTCTAAGATTCCCAATGACTTCTGATTCAAAGAATCTTTCTGATGCACTTAACACCTCTACCATCTTGCTAAAGCACACTATGCGTCTTTATTTCTCTGAAGAATCCTGTTCTGTCCCTTATTATACCTCTCTCTAATCTTGCCTTTTACTGAGCAACATCATTGTCCAGGTTTTTCTGGCATTTCCACTTAATGGAAATGTTCAACAACACACTCATAGGTTTAGCTACTATCACACTAATGATGTTATTGGTAGTAACAAAAAGAGCCAACATTTACTGAATGCCTACTCTGTGATAGGAACTGCCCTAGATACTTTCATGTATTAACTATTCCTATGAGGAAACACTCATAGAATTTGAAGTTGAAGAAACTCAGGTTCAAGCAGGCCAAGTATCTTATTCAAAGTCTCAGCACCAAACAATAGATCCAGGATTGAAATCCAAGTAGCCTGACTCCAGAGCTACTTCTCAATACACTATCTCCTGAATATCCTCCCATAACCTTAATCTCTGACCTGCTGGTCAACTTCACATCTCTATCATAGAGACATTTACAGGTCAATTTGATAGTACTAGCAGAAACTTAAACCCTTGAAATTTAACACTTCAGGTTGTTCACCCTTTATAATTGCTCTTTCATATTTTTCTTATTAAATATTTCAAGTTAATTCAAAAGTAGGGAGAATATAATAAACATCCATGTCCCACAACTCAGTTAAATCTTAATATTCTACATAGTTGCTTCAGGTCATTTTTAATTTAAGAAATGAAACTTTAAAGGTCATTCAAATATTTAATGTTTTTAGAGTATTTTATCCTCTCCTTCACTCTCTACATCCATCAGATGCTGAGAAACATGGTCCCTCATGGCATCTCTAGGTTATACCAATGGCCATATATGGCAGATTTTATATATATCTATATATGGCAGTCTCTTCCCAAGTCAATTAATCTGGATCTTTCCCATGGCTTCACATTACCGTTTATATCCAGAGTAATATTTTTGGTCTAATAATTAGTGCTTTAAATCAATTGCTCTTTTCAATACCATTTAATTACTTCTTAATATTAAATCTCTCTCTCCTAAAAATCTAATCTGCTTTTTAAAACCATCTTGATTAAGAACACAAACTGGAAAACCAAAGGGTTCTGGATTTGAATCCTAACTTTGTCTCTGCACAATCGGCTGCCTGGCCTTGGGCAAGTTGACTAATCTTGGAGTCTTAGTTCCTTTATGTGTAAAGTAGAGGTAATACTCCCAATCTTACAGAGTTATTAAGAAAAGTGACTAAAATAACAAATATAACACCTCTTAGCACATTGTCTGGCATAAAGTAAACAATAAATAGCAGTGATTATTAGCTTTGATGACTACATCTCTCATTTGAATTATCTTCCCAGTAGTAGACTGACCTTGCCACATTCCAGCTATTCCCTCTCCCATACATCTATGTCTACCAGATACTCCAAATGTAGCCATTCCAAGAACCCTGCTGCATTTAAACTGTGACTTTACCATTCTTCTTCTTCCAACATTTGTGCTTTGACTTCCACTGGAAGTCATCTATTACCCTAGCTGTCTGCCAGGCTAATGCTCACTCTACTTCACACTACCTACCTGTCTTTTCCTCCTCTTAGAATGCATAGCAGCAAGGCCCTCTGACCTCACAATACTTTAGTCTTCCCAACTACACCATAATGCATGAGAGAAGAGAACTTTTGAATTTTCATTTCTTATGTTAGCCATCCACAGAGAATGCAATGATATGCTTCGTACAAACTATTATGCTGATAAAGTCAGTCAAATGAAAACAATTCTGTTTAATTCAAGATACTAATACTGATACAATATACAACAACAACCAATCCCAGCCCTCCTGATTTGACTCTCCCTCAGAGAATCACCGTATTGGTACTTGATCTTCTGGTACGAATAAAAGATACACATAGGGCCAGGTATGGCGGCTCACGCCTGTAATCCCAGCACTTTGGGAGGCCAAGGAGGACAGATCACATGGTCGGGAGTTTGAGACCAGCCTGGCCAACATAGTGGAACCCAGTCTCTACTAAAAATACAAAAATTAGCTGGGTGTGGTGGCATGCACCTGTAGTCCCAGCTACTCGGGAGGCCGAGGCAGGGGAATCGCGTGAACTTGGGAGGCAGAGGTTGAAGTGAACCAAGATCGTGCCACTGCACACCAGCTTGGGTGACAGAGTGGGACTTGGTCTCAAAAAATAAATAAAAAAAGACACACACAAAATCTTGAATTTCCCTACTGAGTAGGCTTATGTTGTTTCATAATAGATTTCCAAATTAAACTGGGGCTATTTTCCAGATTCCCCCCAGTAGAGAAATATAATATATTCAAGAGGTCAAATGCATACCTATGTTAAGAGGAGTGGATCAGGATGTCCAAAAATGTCCACCTTAGGACAAACCACAGACTCTGCACTGTCGGCTTTGGGGTCACAAACTGAAGAGTCTGACACACTGATTACATTAAAGTATGGCATTTAGCAGTGCTCCTCATGGGAAGAAGTCGGGTTAATGTACTTCACATCAAACTTGGCAGAAATAACACAAAGTAATTTGATTACTTCTCAGCTGGTAATTAAACATTGCTTCCTGCTTACTAAGTTTGACCCCAAGACCTCAGAATATTTACCAAATTCCATCAGGGTTATATATTTATAATCAGCCATACAGTTTTCATGGATGAATCATTTCTGTGACCTAAGTAAACAGACATTCATAAAAATCTCTGGTTCTGATCCAAGTAGTGTAAATGACAATAATAATAGCAACAATAATAAAATATGCTTCATGTAGTAGTTATAAAAAGAAATGCTACTTTTAGATAGATGAGACATACTGAACATACCATTTATTTAGAAAGCAAACCTCCAAATGGGAATGAATGGGAATGGAGGATGGACGTACCACTGAGATTACACAAAGGAAACAGAAAATAGCCTCCTCCAGCACTGGCACGCCTTACCTGAACCCGACAATTGGACATTCTTTACAGATGTTGCATTTGGCCTGATGTTTTGCAGTCTCCGCTGCTGCCACTCGATGTAAAACTGGGAGCCAAACCATGGACTGTGGTTCCAAATGCATCCAATCTATAAACTCTTTCACACTTATTTCTGGTTTATTGTTATTCTGGTGAAAAAAGAAATATATTAAAAGTGAAGAAATGCCTTCATTTAAACTGTAGCTAGTGTTGTTGCTTCATAATCTTCTGAAAATTTGTGCAGAAGAGGAAACTATATAACTCTTTCCATGTCAGTTAAGTCACAATGCTTTAAGGTTCTTCAAGTCAAGAAAATTCTAGAACTTATGAGTAGAAAAAGCAGAAATTGTCACATAGGAAGAAGCAAAAAAATACCAAGACTTCAATATACTCAGATTTTGAAAGAAACAAAAGCAAAAACCCAAACCACTCAATTTAAAGTCATCTTTTTACATAAATAATTCTGTAAAACTCATTTGGCCGGGTGTGGTGGCTCAAGCCTGTAATCCTAGCACTTTGGGAGGCCGAGGCAAGCGGATTGCCTGAGCTCAGGAGTTTGAGACCAGCCTAGGCAACACGGTGAAACCCCGTCTCTACTAAAACACACACACACAAAATTAGCTGGGCCTTGTGGCGTGCACCTGTAGTCCCAGCTACTCGGGAGGCTGAGGCAGGAGAATCGCTTGAACCTGGGAGGCGGAGGTTGCAGTGAGCCGAGATCACGCCACTGCACTCCAGCCTGGGCAACAGAGCAAGAATATATCTCAAAAAAAAAAAAAAAAATTTCATCTAAGACAGTAAAAACTTGTGAAAGACTCACCGATAATTTTACAAACTTGAAGGCCATTATAAATGCTAAATAAAAGCTGTCATTTTTGTGTGTCCTGCTCTAGTCCCATTATATCATCACACAGAAAGCATATTGCTATGGATGTACTTTGCAGAATTTATCAGGATAAATTACATAAAACTCCCCAATCCCTCTTCAATTCCCAATACTAAGTAATTTTCCTATGTGCAAAGCTAAATATCTACCAATTTTATCCTCCTGTTGCTGTTGAGGTCATTCTGTGAACCTACATGTATGACTATAAATCATATTTAGAATTTGCATTTGATATTTTTTGTATTTCTAAAATAAGAAAAAGGGCCATTATAAAATGTAATAACCCATGACATCAATTCTCCTCAAAGACACGGTGTGAGCCTTTTTTTTCCCTAGCAATGATAAATCACTGGATATGCTTTGCCAAAATATCTGTAGACTTGTACTTTATGCATATGTATAACATCAGTAGTAACATTTCTAAAATGTCTTTATATGCAGTAAACATTAAAAAGAAATGAAAGTGCTTTCTCAGTTTCAAATTAGTAACTTAGATCAGTATAAAACTTCGTACATCTTTCTTTTGTATGCATAGTCTCAAAGAAAAAAAACTGATACTTTAATAACATCTTTAATGTATATATATTTTAAAAATCTTGTCTTAAAAAGAACTCAGGACATTTTAATTCAGTTCTTTAGCAGATATTTATTAAAGTAGTTATGATGTTCAAGGCACAGGAAATGTAATAATCTGAATATTTTTGTCCCCCAAAACTCATATGTTAAAAACCTAACCACTTAGGAGATGGTACGAGGAGGTAGAGCCTTTAGGAAATGATTAGGTCATGAGGGTGGAGCCCTCTTGAATGAGGTTAGTGCCCTTATAAAAGAGGCCCAAGATCTCAGAAATAATGCCACACATCTACAACCATCTGATCTTTGACAAACCTGACAAAAACACGCAATGGGTAAAGAATTCCCTATTTAATAAATGGTGTTGGGAAAACTGGCTAGCCATATGCAGAAAACTGAAACTTAACCCCTTCCTTACACCTCACACAAAAATTAACTCAAGATGGATTAAAGACTTAAATGTAAGACCTAAAACCATAAAAATCCTAGATGAAAACCTAGGCAATACCATTCAGGACATAGTCATGGGCAAAGACTTCATGACTAAAACACCAAAAGCAATGGCAACAAAAGGCAAAATTGACAAATGGGATCTAATTAAACTAAAGAGCTTCTGCACAGCAAACAAACAAACAAAAAACAAACAAAAACAAAACAACAACAAAAAACACCTATCATCAGAGTGAACAGGCAACCTACAAAATGGGAGAAAATTTTTGCAATCTATCCATCTGACAAAGGGCTAATATCCAGAATCTACAGAGAACTTAAACAAATTTACAAGAAAAAAATAAACAACCCCATCAAAAAGTGGGCAAAGGATATGAACAGACACTTCACAAAAGAAGACATTTATGCAGCCAACAAACATAGAAAAAAAGCTCATCATCACTGGTCATTAGAGAAATGCAAATCAAAACCACAATGAGATACCATCTCACACCAGTTAGAATGGTGATCATTAAAAAGTCAGGAAACACCAGATGCTGGAGAGGATGTGGAGAAATAGGAATGCTTTTACACTGTTGGTGGGAGTGTAAATTAGTTCAGCCATTGTGGAAGACAGCGTGGCAATTCCTCAAGGATATAGAACCAGAAATACCATTTGACCCAGAAATCCCATTACTAGGTATATACCCAAAGGATTATAAATCATTCTACTATAAAGACACATGCGCACGTATGTTTACTGAGGCACTATTCACAATAGCAAAGAGTTGGAACCAACCCAAATGCCCATCAATGATACACTGGATAAACAAAATGTGGCACAAATACACCATGGAATACTATGTAGCCATAAAAAAGGATGAGTCCATGTCCCTTGCAGGGAAATGGATGAAGCTGGAAACCATCATTCTCAGCAAACTAACACAAGAATAGAAAACCAAACACCACATGTTCTCACTCATAAGTGAGAGTTGAACAATGAGAACACATGGACACAGGGAGGGGAACATCACACACTGGGGCCTGTCAGTGGGTGGGGGACTAGGGGAGGGATAGCATTAGGGGAAACACCTAATGTAGATGATGGGTTGATGGGTGCAGCAAACCACCATGGCACATGTATACCTATGTAACAAACCTGCACGTTCTGCACATGTACCCCAGAACTTAAAGTACAAAACAAACAAACAAAAAAAGAGGCCCAAGAGAGATCATTCACTTCTTCTGTCATATGAGGAAACAGCAAGAAAGGTTGCAATGAACCAGAAGGTGGGCCCTCAGCAGATACTGAATCTGCTAGCACCTTGATCATGGACAGCCTCCAGAACTGTAGAAAATAAATTTCTGTTGTTTAAAAGCCATCCAGTTTATGGTATTTTGTTACAGCAGCCTGAATGAACTAAGACAGGATACAACAGTAAAATGATAGCCGTAGTCCTTGTCTTCATGGAGCTTAGGTTCCTAGAGAAGAAACAAACACTAAGCCATGAATTATATAATTCAGTGTGTAATTATAATTGCACTGAGTATGAGAAGGAAGAGGTGGACGATATTAGGTGAATATAATAGGAAAATACAGCATTATCTGAAGAGGTCAGAGAAAGATTTTCAGAGGATGTAATAGCTAAAGCTAAAATCTAAAGATCAAATAAAGATTAGGTATGAGAAGGGAGGTAGTGGGCAATGGGGAAGGAAGAACGTCTAAACAGCAGACACAGGTCCAAAGGCACTGCTGAGGCAGGAATCAAGGAAATAAAACAGTGCAGCTGGAAAGCGGAGAGCAAGGAGAGGAATGGTAGGAGATGAGGCCAGGAAAAGGGCAGGACAAACAGCAATCTAATGGCACAGGTTAAAGATTGTAGATTTTATCAAAGAAAAACAGCAAGTCTCTTTGCAAGGGTTGCTATTTTTTGAAGCAAATGAGCCTTAGGAAATAAAATACACCACTTGTTGGATGGTACCCAAAGTCTTCCAGTATTTGGCTCCAGCCCGAGTTCCCTATTCCATGTCTCAGAACATCCTCAAAACCCTTCGCCAACACATCCTACACACCAGTGATCCTTCATGCTTACCTGTTGGAAGCAGCTGCGAACACTAGGCTCAATATTACTGCCTCCAAAAGCTGCTACTTCACCTAGCTGCCGGGGGATCTGGATGGCATCATGAAGTAACAGGCCCAGCTGCCTCTGGTCACACATTTCTGTTGGCCCTGCAACTTCCTTAAAGAGATCTGCAAAGAGAGGCAAGAGGTTAACTTTCATCTGTCTACCATGTTCTTTTACTTAAAATATATCTTTGGTAATGTGGACTGAACCATGCAGATTAAAAAAATTTCAGAAGGACATGAATCTGATTCGTTGTCTCCTGAATTCCAATGACCTTAATATTCTGATCTTAATATTCTGCATTACATATGATATTAGATTATTTTAAGAAGCATGTAGTTAACCCGTTCCTGCAAGAATGGGTTATGTATACATATAAACATAAATCATGCATATATAATATAAATCAATAAATGCAAATTTCCTTTTTAAAATGATACAATAAATGCATATGAATTAATTTTATGATCTTCATAAGAACTCCCCTTCTTATTGAGAAAGAATGAGCCAAAACAAAGCTTCCTTCATGACTTGTCAAAGGAATAGATGTAGTTGGGTGCTGTGGTGCATGCCTGTAATCTCATCTACTGGAGAGACTAAGGCAGGAGGATCACTTGAGCCAGGAGTTTGAGACCAGTTTGGGCAACATAGCAAGACCCCAACTCAAAAAAAAATAAAAAAACACAAAGGAATAAACGTACCTTAAATAACAAACCTTTAAATTTTAACAGATTTGTTTACAAACTTTGTGTGTTCACTCCTAAATTCAATATTCTACTAAATGTATATATATTATAACTTATTTTAAAGACTTTTATACTCACATCTATTTTATATAAGAAACACTAAAAAGTACAAGAAGGTGTGTTTTTTCTCCTTTGGGCCAGTCTCCCATTCCTTATTAGCTATAACCACTATTTTTGTTTTACTTCATGTAATGAAATACATTTAATCAAATTTAAAAATTTGTGCATATTTTCATACAGTTTTTAGGTTTTTCCATTCATTAAAAAACTGATTTGTTTTATAATTTTCTTAATTCAGTAAAATTAAAACTCTTCTATTTTGTCCACTCTTGGTTTACCTTTTATTCACCATATACAATACTTTGAAGATCAAAATTATATATTATTTTCAACAATAAAGCTAATATCCTAAGATAAGTTACTTTTGGAAGAGGAAGAAATTTCAAATACAAACAATCTACTTCATTATAGAAATTAATACTTTTTGGAAATAAATTTTCAAGTTCTAAAAATTCAAAAGTACTTAAAATCTAAATGCTCTTCATGTGACATTTTCCAAGAATAGAAGAAAGTGGAGTAAATATTTATTGGATTCTAAAACTATTTTCAAACAGTACCTGATATCAGATCAAAATGCATCATTTTCTCTCTCTCTTTTTTTTTTTGAGATGGAGTGTTGCTCTTGTTGCCCAGGCTGGAGTGCAATGGCACGATCTTGGCTCGCTGCAACCTCCACCTACCGGGTTCAAGCAATTCTCCTGCCTCAGCCTCCTGAGTAGCTGGGATTACAGGCATGCACCACCACACCCAGCTAATTTTGTATTTTTAGTAGAGACAGGGTTTCTCCATGTTGGTCAGGCTAGTCTCGAACTCCCGATCACAGTTGATCTGCCCTACATCGGCCTCCCAAAGTGCTGGGGATTACAGGTGTGAGCCACCGTGCCTGGTCCATTCTCTCTTTTTATAAGGAATATAATGCTAGATCTAACACTGTCAGTGGTGAAATTTCAAACTGAACCAAGCTCAGTGATATTGACACAGTAATTATAATGAAGTATGGCTTTAATTATAAGCATACATAGGGAAAGCAAATTCAATGAAGATAAATTTGATTTTTATTATAATTTTTTCACTTAGATTTGGTTAGAGCTCTACTTATTTCTTTCCATTAAAAACAATAAGACTATCATAGACAAAAATATTTATCCAGTAGTCTTAGCATGATGTTTATTTTAAACCAGTCCCTGGGAAGAGGTCTGTTAAGTAAATAAAAGTTGATGCATATGTATAATAATCTTTGCAGAAAAGTGCACATTTTCAGCAAGATCAACTATGCCCAACTTTCCTCTTTTGAGGCATATGGCTATACCACTATGCCACTATTAAAGTAAAACTACTCACAAAACATAAGGACAAAAGTGTCCTTAGACATTTTGACATATTTCTATAAATCCTTATAAAAGTTCCTACAAAAGTTCACATTCTCAACATTATAGTAAGATACAAAAAGCAGTGTCAGGGTAAAGGGGCAGGTAATAAGAAAGTCATAATCTAAAAACTCAAATTCTAATAAATAAGCACAGAAGAGATACTAATGATAATTTAAAAGGATGGTTTGAAAATGTGTACTTTTTTTTTTTTTTTAAGGTCTCGCTTTGTCATCCAGGCTGGAAGTGTGGTGGTCCGACCATGGCTCATTGCAGCCTCCGATTCCTGGGGCTCAAGTGATCCTCCCACCTTAGTCTCCCAAGTAGCTAGGACTACAGGCATGAACCACTGTGCCTGGTCTGTAAATGTGTTTTTGATGAGGCAAGGAAGCTAGCCAGCTATAAGCATAAAGGCCAGGGCACTGTTAGAAACTAAACAAGGAATATTCTTAGGAAAGGACCAAGAGAAGAAGGTGTTATGGGGTGAAGACACTGACATTGGGCATTGTATTAATAAAATCAATGTTCAGACAGATACCAATGATCTTGAATGGCGGCCCTGCCATTGCATTTGAAGAGCAAACTGTCTTGAATATTAATTCTAATAAAGGAAACAATAATGATATCACAGAAACTGGAATCAGAGTGGTGAAGGTCCTCAAAGTAAAAAGCAAAATAAAACCCCAGGACATTCCAAAGTCTAGATATCCCAGTAAAGATTTAGATTAAAGATTAAAACCCAAGAGATTTCATATTTAATTAGTTCTAAAATGGCATACTTCCTGGATTCAATTAAATATCAGAAATTTCACGGCAGAGCCTTCTGCTTCCCCTGCCAAAATCTGAAAGTTAATGTTGAATTATCCACAATGTAAGCTTTGAGGTTGAATTTGCAAATATTTCAGAGTAAGCTCCACACTATAACTGTTACTTTCAGAGAACCCTAATTGTTTCAGAAGCACAAGAAACCCCAAATCAGAGATGATAAAAAATCCATTTCTAATTTTGTAACATTGGTGTTTTCATTAACATTTTCCTTTCCTGATCATTATAAAAAGATAACGTTTTCAGCTGTTGAAATTATATCTTTTCATGATTATGATTCCAAAAACTACTTCAATTCTGGATAAAGTGCCACAAAGCAAAAGTCTTGGGCAAAGCTTTCTTCTGCATGGCTAACTAGGCTCTCACTCCGTCATAGCACCTTATCTCCTAATCCTACAATCAGCTTTTCATTTTATATAAATCCACATTTCTTTTCACTGACATTCTTGTCAAACTATGTAGAAAAAACAAGCCATCATGGTCTAGACCTGAAATTCAAAATCCAATAACCTCACAGAAATCCCAGAAAATAAAAGCTTTTAAAATGTATGCATGTTGACATAAGACACAAAACTTAACTCAGTTTACAGGGCCTATAATCAAACATCCTATTGTTTTTTAGTATCTCTCCATTCATGGAATATCCCTAAACCTCTCCCACAAATGTATGGATTTATCTGTAAAGAATCATCTGGGAATATGCATGGTGGGATCAAATTCACATTTTATGGACAAAAATAAATCAAAAGATATGTGATAGTAGTTAAGGGTTTGGGGACTCAGCAGCAACTGCTACCATTTATTCAACAACTGCTATTTCTAGGTACCTTAAACATTACTCCTAATTATTCTCCAAGCAGGAATTATTAGCTTCATTTTTTCAGTTGAAGAAAATTTGCTAAATTTCAGCTTCTTGAACTGTAAAATTGGAATACTATTACCTCTTAGTTGGCAATATTCAATGAAATCACATAACCTGCCCAAAGACACTCAGCTACTAAGTGGTAGAGATTTGAAGACAGGTCTCCTTGGCTCCTGAACACAAGTCTTTTCCAAAGCCAATATACCTTTCATTAACTGACAGGTAAAGGAACACTGTTGATTTATTTGATAAATCCAAATATAATAAAAATTTAAAAATCATGTTTTATTTTGTCACAGCTGTAAAATATATTTATTTAGGATTATCGTCTATGACTGTAAAGGTTCTAGTTCATCTTTTTCTTTTAAGCATTGGAAGTATAAAGAAATAAAAAAAAGTTTAGGCTTTGGAGTCAGAAAAACCTAGTATCTAATTCTAGCCCCATCCCTTATCAGCTCTGCAGTCTTAGACTAGATTCTTAACCTATCTCAGCATTAATTTTCTCAGCTAGAAAATGAAAATCTCAAATGCCTACATTATGGAGGGATTATTCTAAGAATTAAATGAAGTATAATTTGTAGTTGGGTCTCACTCCATCCTGGCACCTCACCTCTTAGTTATAATCAGCTTTCCATTTCACACAAAGCCCCAAGTCTTTGCACTGCCACCCTCTGTCTAACTTGGTATAGGCACAGTAAGGGTTAAAAAAAGAGAGAGAACTATTACTACTAACAAATTATATAATTTAAGTTTCCAATAAATTGTTATAATCATTATTATTACTAAAAACACTGTTGGTATAAGAAAGGTCTTACATACATCTGTATTTTTCTTCCAAGAGACCTTTGGAGAGAGACATTAATCCAATCTTCAGACTCTGCACTCTAATTTTTCCAGTTCGACCCCTAAAATTATAAGAATGTTAATGTGTTAGATGCATTTAAAACCATATACAGCATGTTCATTGTTTCTGAATATCTATTTTCTTGGGGGTAAACCATCAAAAATAATTGTATCTTAAAGATGCAACTTTTCTATTAACTTTTAACAATTAATATTAAACCAATACTGTAATTTCATGACATATATTAACAGGGTGTTTGGCCAAGGCTAGAAGAACACACAGCTTGAAGCCACTTTGCACACAACACATAAACTAAGAAGAACGAACTAAAGCAAAATGAAAATGATGATTATAAAGCTGAAAAGATTTCACCTTTAAAAATATTATGAATTGGCTGGGCACAGTGGCTCATGCCTGTAATCCCAGCACTTTGGGAGGCCAAGGCAGGCGGATCACCTGAGGTCAGGAGTTCGAGACCAGCCTGACGAACATGGAGAAACCACATCTCTACTAAAAATACAAAATTAGCCAGGCGGGTGGCGCATGCCTATAATCCTAGCTACTCGGGAGGCTGAGGCAGGAGAATCACTTGAACTTGCGAGGCGGAGATTGCAGTGAGCCGAGATCGTGCCATTGCACTCCAGCCTGGGTGACAGAGCGAGACTCCATCTCAAAAAAAAAAAAAAAAATACTATGAATTAAACCTATACGTTAATAATTGTAGATGCAAGATTCAAAACAGCTAGAGCTACGCACACTATATATATATATGACTTCATACAGGAAGAAAAGTCTAGTGATATATCTAAAAACAAGAACACAGACTAGAAAATTAACTATATACTAAGAGCTTACAACTTGCTGAATACTAATTGGTAATTAAGTATTAATTAAGTATAAATATTGGTATTTAAGTATTCAGCAAATTATAAGCCCTCAGTATATAGTTAATTTTCTGTCAATGCAGTTTTTATAAATTACTATTGCAATTTTAATAGTCAGTGATCTTAGACAGATGTGAAATCCCTATTTGGGGAAATATCAAATTATAATTAAAACCAGAATGTATTAATTAATCAACATTAGAACATAGTTTTACACAATGCTAAGGATAGATCATTTCTATTTCACTTATAAGTCGACCAGATGAAACATGTTTTTTTATCTTTAAAACCAAAGAGTTTTCTTAATTTCATTGCTTATCAAAGAATTACTGAGTAATCTACCAAATGTTAGTCACAGTAGTCCCAGTCCTAGGGATTGGAAGATAATTACAAAAATTAATAAGATATTATCCTTGCTATGGAATAACACATAGCCCAGAAAAAAAGCCTTTATTGCTATCTTTATTATTACACATTTAGGATCCATTTTCATTTTAGGTTTTTATTGTCCATTTTCTTATATGTTTTTAATACACAAGTACAGCACACTTAAAACCTATAACTAAAAGTTTACATAAATATATGAATGTATAAAAGTTAACAATTTGTGCTATTTTAAAAACATAAATATTTGTATCACGTAACTTTAATTTTAAGCAGTCTTCTTGCCAAACTATATTTAATCATTGATTTTATTGATATTTTTACTACTTACACTAATTGATATTCTTCCATTCTCAACTATATGTACTGAAGGAAGTTTCTGTACGCATATTATGACATATAAAGTATGCAATAAATAAGAAAGGAAATCGTGCTTAGGGATTGGTGCAATGTATTTTCAAAGTACTCCCTCAATAGGATAGAGTTTATAATTTATATTAAATCATATCTAATAAACTTACTGAACCCTTAGTATGTAGGTATATGACATTCAGAATTAACCTATGAAGTGACTAATACTTAATATTAAAATAAACATAGCCCTTCTAAGCAGAATTTCTAAATTAATATAATCATTTCTCACAATTACAGAAACACCAGTTTCACATTAACCCTACAGACAGCCATGCTACAAACTGTGTTTCTACTTTATATTTTTTAGAAGTTTCCTAATTATCACATGAAACAGACAATGTTTGCTTCCTTTCAAAAGCAGGAAATTTTTACTCTCTGGACCCAGTCAGACAATAGACTTGCAGAGGATAACAGAAGGCTTTGTGAACGGGCTGAGACAAGTACATGAATGTGGCTAAGGATAAAGTGATCCCTACAGGGAAAAATGGTCAAAATAATATGCATTAAAGCATGACTCCCACTTTACTGTCACAACACAAGAAAGGAATATCATCAGGAAGACAACTGATGCTGTCAATCACCCATTCATCACACCATCACCAGTTACAAAGGCTTACTGTGATCCTGACATTGCTCTGTGTACTGTTGGGACCAAGAGAAAAGCAGAAGACATGATTCCTACCCCGATGAACTCACACACTAGCTGAGGAAGGTAAGATAGGAATACAACTAGAAAACATATGAGACAATCCTTTATGTATGGAAATCAAACATCAAGTACAAGATCATTGTGGCTGCCTATCATTAGTGATTTAGTCTAGGTAGTCATTAGTTTCACAACATGTGACAGAGAAGATAAACCCAAAATCAGACATAGAAGGTATGTCATGCCATGACAGTCCCAAGTAGGAGAACATAGAGTATCACAGAGAAAGCCTGAGCAAAGGCACAGAGGCAGGGGTGTGAGCATCGGAGATAAGACACATTCAGGCCCGGCGCGGTGGCTCACGCCTGTAATCTCAGCACTTTGGGAGGCTGAGGCAGGTGGATCACGAGGTCAGGAAATTGAGACCATCCTGGCCAACATGGTGAAACCCTGTCTCTACTAAACATACAAAAATTAGCTGGGCGTGGTGGCGCGTGCCTGTAATCCCAGCTACTCGGGAGACTGAGGCAGGAAAATCGCTTGAACCAGGGAGTCAGAGGTTGCAGTGAGCTGACATCATGCCACTGCACTCCAGCCTGGCGACAGAGTGAGACTCTGTCTCAAACAAAAACAAAAACAAACAAATAAGATGCATTCAGGTGGGTCAGAGACTTGCATCAAGGTTAACTGGTTGACTGAACTGTACAGGTTACGTGGGACCAGACAATAAAGGACACTGATGTAAATAAGCTACATGGATGTGAGAGACAAGAGGGAGACAGTAAAATATATTAGTGAGTGACATAGCCCAGTGTTGACATATTTAGTCTCCTGATAGTTTTCATAGGCAACTCTTTAAACTGGTTTAACTATAAAGACATTTACTTTATAAAATTATACCATCTTTGGAATAGTGGAACAAATGACACTACTGCAAATGAGGTTAATATTTTTGGTAGAAAAAAACACATTTAAACCAAGTACTACAGACTATTGCTTTATATCATGATTTAAACACTTTTGATTTCCATTAAATCCAGAAGGAAGATTGTGAAATTAAGACCTTTTAATCTGGTAAGATGACTGAGGCTGCAAATTCATAAATGAAATCAATTTTATCTTTATAAAGTACTTTTTACATATATTAGTTCATTTGCCCTTCATAATCACCTTTTGTGTGGTAAGCAGAGTGGATATTTTTATTTCAATTTTTCAGATGAAAAATTAAGATGCCAATGTTAAGTAGCTGCCAACTCACACAGCAACCAGAACCAAAAATTTGAATTCTTGTCATCCATGACAGATGAAAATAAATTTTTTTTACAAAGTTCAGAATATCAGGAGGTGGGTACATGTTAAAATTGGAAAAAAACTGTTCACTTAAAATAAAGTACTATGTTTCCTAGATATAGAAATATAGTAAGAATAATCAAATGATTATCAAAAGACTGAACACTAGTTCTTTAATTATGACTAATATGCAATAGGTAGATAAATTCTCCTGTCTCAACGGGCAAGGTTTTCAATTAGTAAAGAGAAAAGGGCAGAATTAAAGATCCCCAAATCCTTCTACTTTGAGAATTCTGTGATCTGTGTGTGCATCACTCATTATCAAGAGCTGGCTGAAGCTGAAAACACCAGTTCTGGCTGTATCACATGCCAGGAAAGAAGGCAGTCACGGGTATATGATTAGTGAGTGAATGTCAGGACGGCTGAATGAATAGAAGTGTTAGAACAAGGTACCATTCCTCAGATTCACAGATGTATGAGTCTGTAATGTCCTAATTGGAGGGTAGATAGTAATTTCTATCTGATTCTCAAAGAAAATTATTGGTTGAAAAGAGTTAATAACTATTATTTAGATTAATAAATAAATCATGGTTGTTAGAGAAACCTGGGCAACCAGCTCTGGCCGTCTGACATTACTGTCATAAGAATAACTGTTTTTTCCATAGATTAATCCCCAATACTCTCTCCAAGATAGAAAGCTACACTGCATGGGCACCATTCTGATCCAGCATGGTCTTTGCCATCTTTCTTTTTCATAGAAGGGAGGTTAGTCCTGAAAGATTTTTTTCCTTTAAAATGAAAAATGAGAAATTTCAAGATACTGTCTTTCTAAATGAGAAACAGTGGCAAATTGTAGCATTTCCCACATATTCCCATTTGATGGAGGCAAGTGGAACTGTGCCAACATTTAACTCCCTAGAATATGAATCACGGCATTTCACACACTGCTTCCTCCCAACCAAGTGGCACTATTCCCTTTGGGCTGTCCAGTGAAAAGAGCATATGTGTGCATTATGCACTGAACTGTGTCCCCTAAAATTTACAGGTTAAGGTCCTAACTCCTAGTACCTCAGAATGGGACTGTATTTGGAGATAGGGTCTTTAAAGATGTAATTAAGTTAAAATGAGGTCATTAGAGTGGGTCATAATCTGATATGACTGGTGTCCTTAGAGGAAGAGGAGATGAGCACACATCAGACAAGGAAAAACCATGTGAAGACACAGGGAGAAGACGATCATCTGCAGACCAGAAAGAGTGGCTTCCATAAAGACTCAACCCAGCCGACACCTTCATCTCACACTCTCAGTGTCTAGAACTGTTAGGAAATAAATTTCTCTTGTTGAAGCCATTCAGTCTATCATTCTTTGTTATGGCAGCCCCAGAAAACCAAAACAGTGTGTCAGAGCCATGGACAATATAAGGCAACTGAACCTCTTCTCCAGTTCTTCCTTAAAATGTAGTTCAAGATGTATACCTCTACCATATTCTATAGGACTGAATGGAGTTCCTAAGTATTCTATGAATTTAGCAATTTTCCTGGGATGTAAAAGTTAAGTTACAGGTTTTGTAGTTAAAACACCTTTGACCAACTATTTTGGTGAATTTACTATGAAAAAGCATCTTCTGAGGATTCAAATTATTGAAGAGCAACTTAATGGTGGATTAAGGCTAATGGTAATATTTTACCCTAGGAGAACTTAAAATGTGCATTAAAATGAAATGTATTAAAAAATATCAGACAGAGATATCGCAAATCCCGTATTCATTATGGTAACTGAGACTCATGCTTCAGCAGGTTTCTTAAGAGCCCTCAAGCACACAGTGGCTGATTATTTAGAAAGACTTTGTTATGATATTTATGAACACTAAAAGATAAAATACTTCTCTAATTAAAAAAAATCGAGAGAGGAGGACAGGGAAAGTTTCATTAATTGGTACAAAAGTACATATAGGTAGGGGGAATAAGTTCTAGTGTTCTATAGCACTGTAGGGTGAATATAGTAAACAATAATTTATTTCACAGGTTCAAAAGATAGAACAGAGGATTCTGAATGTTTCCAACATAAAGAAGTAATAAATATTTCAGGTGATGGATATTTTAACTTCCCTGATTTGATCTTTACAAACTGTATACATGTATTGAAATATCACTGTGTACCTCATAAATATGTACAGTTATTACATGTAAACTAAAAGGAATAGAAAAAAAATCCAGATTTTTAGTCAGCTCATTGCTAAAGCTACTGTCATCATTATTTACTTCCTATACAGAACCAATCAGCTCCTGAATGTGTGCATTTATGAATGATCATCTATCTTATTTATCTCTAAATCAAAGGTTGGTAAATAGAAGTTTTCATGTAGCTAATTAATAGATAATAACTTTTTGGGCATGAGAGGCAAAACAACAGTTCTAGTTTTCTTTTCTTTTTTTTTTTTTGAGACAGAGTCTTGCACTGTCACCCAGACTGGAGTGGAGTGGCACGATCTCAGCTCACTGCAACCTTTGCCTCCTGAGTTCAAGAGATTCTCCTGCCTCAGCCTCCCAAGTAGCTGAGATTACAGGCACCTGCCACGATGCCTGGCTAATTTTTGTATTTTTAGTAGAGACAGGGTTTCACCACGTTGGTCAGGCTGGTCTCGAACTCCTAACCTCAGGTGATCCACCCACCTCGGCCACCCAAAGTGCTGGGATTACAGGCGGGAGCCACCGTGCCCAGCCCAGTTCTAGTTTTCTTATTTCATCTTTGCATACTTTAACCTCCCACCAGAACAATGAGTAATTCCTAATGTTTCAGAAATGTCAGCCCACAGCAGGTCTTTCTAGAACTGACTATTTCACAAATGTACTGTCGTATTCAAAAGGGCCAAATTAATGGCAAATGAGTTATGCTGGGAGTTGAGAGTGTGCTTTATGAACAGTGAGTACCTAATTAAATGACAGATATTAAAGTGTCCTGTAGCATAAATTATTTAAAACACCATATATATATATATTATATATATATACACACACACATAACCACTATGCAAATAAAGCAAATATTAAAAGACTACCTCGTTCATGGCCATTCAAATCACTCTTCAGTTGGATTACAAAGATTGTAGAGCAGATTATTATGAGCTAATAAATTACTGTAATTCATAACAATAAACAGAAGATTTTTTATTTTGAAAAAAGAAATACTGTGAGACATTATGAAACAAGAAGAAAGTAGGACTTAGCTATATTGTTTCCCCTAGCATTTTGGCAAAGAATACTATAAATTTGACAGTCTTTGTAAATTGAAGCAACATTTTAAAATGAAAGATGTACATTCTTTTCTGTTCTATTGTTTGTTAAGAAGCTCAATGATTTGTAAAATCATTCAGTTTCAACAACAAACATAAATATTTCCACTGGGAAAGTAATTTGAAAGCACTTATTAAAAAATTCACTTAAAAATCAGACATTTTCTATTAACATATTTCATTCAGTGATCGTATTTTAATGAGAAAAAATATAAACTTACGTGTCATAGACATTGAGCAACCAATTGAGACACATATCAACACAGAGTGGAACGTTGACCAGGTCCTTATGCATTTGCTCAAGTCCATCATAAGTTGTTGTCAGACAGTTGATGACATCTGGAACACTGAGGAGCTGGTCATTTTGGTTCAACTTGTGCTGTTTGAAAATTTCATTTGTTGTACTCAACTCTAAGAGATCCACTAACCAGGAGAGAAGAAGGAATGTTTACAGTCATTACATTACATTACATTACATAACAACATCACAACAAAGGCATTTCTAGTCTCAAGTATTTAGCTTGATTCTTCAATTTAAGAATCTATCCTTTTTAGCTAAATTTCAGCTTTTAAAGAAACAAACACATTTCTATTCTTACATTTTACCACACTTTCATACTTTTGAATCTGAACTCTGTTGCTTCCCAATCTTATCTCATTTTTTGCTCTTTGGAATATTAATTATTCCTACTTTCTTTTTCTGGCTTTCCCTTTGCCAGGCTCTTTTTGCTTTTAAATGTAGCAAGGCATAAATCTCTCAATCTACTCCAAATGGCAGCGCATCTCAAATATTACACTGCTCTCCTCATCTTAACTCCTGCAAGCAGCCTGTGCACTGCTCTCTTCATTCTTTGTATCACAGCCAAACTAATTGTTCTTAAACAGTCTTTTATCATGTACATCATTACATACAAAATTTACTGAAGATGCTCCATATTAAAAAACAGGTTTTATAGAAAAATAACAGCTCTCCACTGCCTGCTGAATCAAGCCCGATCTATAAGATTGTCACAAACTGGCCCTAACCTGGTTTACTTCCGATGATGCTCTGACACAGAGGTGACCTGTAGCTAAGAAGAAGTACTAGAGCAGTCAGTACTCTAGACACAGAGGTGACCTGTAGCTAAGAAGAAGTACTAGACAGCCCCCACATCCATTGGTCTTCACAAATTTGTTCCCATCCTTACTCTTCATGTGTACAACATCTATGGTAGGCATGGCTGGGGCTAGAGCCAGGAGGGTGTGCACAGGAGGTGAAGGCAGAGCCCCTGCTCTCAAAGACATACTGATGGCTTTACTAAAAGGAGGAGTAAACATGCCCTATGAGAGGAATACGCAAATTTCTGCTAGAGCTACTACTTCTAGGAGAGGAAAGACAACTGGAAAAGGCTCCCTGGAGAGGTGCGATTTGAAATGGGCTTTGAAAAATGGATAAAATACAAGAGATCCACATGAAGTGAGGAAAGAATTCCAGGTTTAGAGAAGTACTTGAGAAAAGGCAAGAATTCACTCAAGCCCAGAGGCTCTAAGGAATGGTGGACTGCAGTGTGGGTGATGCGTGACTTACACACGAGTGGTGTTTGCCGGCAGTGAAACAGACAGGAGAAATGCATGGTCCAGGCACACACTGCCCAAGGGGAGGCCCGCAAAGGCCCGAAGGAGGAGTTTAGATGAAAACGACAAATTTTTTTTTAATTTAATCAATTTTAAGTCTTTCATTCACTAACTGAAAACAAAGAGACAAAGCAGATTATCAAACTACCATGTATCTATCTATACATTTATTGAGTGTGGAGATGACTCTTCTAAATCTAAACATCTGAGTAAGGAAAATTAGAGTCCACATTAATTTAAGGTCTGCTCATAGACATCAGTTTTTATAAAATTCTTTCTCTGTCTCTGTATTTAACCTTTTAGCATAAAAAAATTAGACTAGAAGAACTCTAATCTTATTTTTTCTTATTTTTTAACTTTTTGGCATTAAAAAAATAAGAGGCAAAGAGAAAATAGTTGGTTATATATACACATATGTTATATATTTAACTTTTAGCATGAAAAATAAGAGGCAAAGAGAAAAAATAAGGTTATATACATATAAAACCAACTTCTTTCTCTTCGCCTGATGCAAAAACTGTTCTCTCAAAAAATATGACATATTTTGACAGTTAACTAAAATGAACAAATAGCTTCCTTTGTATTTATCCATTTGTAACCACTGAATAACTAATAATTTTGAATTTTTAAAGACATGTATGAAATGTGTCCATGCTAGCTGTCTGAGTAACACAGAATTATTTATTTTTTAAGTTATCTACAAATTAAAAGAACTGCTTTAAACCCATACAGAGTAAAATGATTTCAAAAACAACTCAACAGGGAAGACTTTTTTTTTTTTTAAAGAGATAAACATAAAACATACAAGTCTGGATAACGAACCAATCCATTTCCTTCAGATGCCAAATGTATCATTGGTAAACTTAAGCTAATAACAAAAATAAGTCAAATAAGCTTCATATGAGTTAGAGAAGGTGTCAGAAAAAAACTAAGAACCATCTGGAATTTTCACTGTAATTCTTACCTCATTTCTTTGCCCTGTACAGTTGACGCTTGAACAGCGCCAGTTTGAACTGTGAGGGTCCACCTACACGTGGAGTTTTTTCAATTAAAGTTAAGCACTGAACGTGCCTGCCTCTCTTTTCTCCTCTACCCTTTCTGCCTCTGTTACCCCTGAGACAGCAACACCAACTGCTCCTCTTCTTCCTCCCCCTCAGATTAATCAACATGAAGTCAACAAGGATGAAGACCCTTTATGATGATCACTTCCAATTAGTGAATATTAAATATATTTTGTCTTTTACTATTTTCTTAAAATTTTCTTTTCTCTAGCTTACTTTGTTGTAGAATAAGAGTATATATTACATAGCATATCAAATATGTGTTAATTGACTGTTAACATGTTAAGTTTTGGGTGTCAAGGGTCAACTGTACACAGTTTTCAATTGTAAACCTCTAGAGGGCAGAAGCAAAGTGCCTGACAAAGGAAAGTGTTTAATAAAGGGCAGTAGCTAGGGAACTACAGCTCCCCACAGACACCAAGGAACATATTCAAATATGGCCAAAAGGCTGTAAGTTTTCTGAATTCCAACATTAATTATGCCAGTAACACAGCACTGCTATTGGATCCCCACATGGCATCAGGTGACAACAGACCAAATTCCAAAAAGCCCATTTCCTGCATCAGGCTGTCCTTGCATTTCTTTCTGAAGTCTCCCTGGTTATACACTCTGTAGCTGTGACACTAATTTGCCACATCCCACAGACTATCATGTCTTCAATTTTTAGTGATTTACTCTGACACTTTGTCTTAGTGCCTAAGTCAAGCGTAAATCTTCCTGAAGTGTGTCACATTTAGGTACCTTTAAAGAACTGACTACATTTAAATCACAGAAAATTATGATTAAGATTTTCTCATTTCAAAGGGAGACAAATGACAGCTCAGTCATGTGGTAAATGAAACAAACAGCATAATCATTTTCTATCCAACTTTCTGACTTTTTCTTTAATCCCACATACAAGGCACAGGGGATGGAATAGAAATGCATCATCATTCTCCTGTTCTGCAAAACAATGAACACTGTTAAGCATCCAATCTTGGGCTTCAGTGACACTTCTCCAGGTGTCAAGCTATGTGGCCATTCTTTATTTTTTTATTTTATTATTATTATTATTATTATTATTAGCATTTCCCCTATCTTCTCTTCCCCAGAAATATAGGCAGAGCTCAAGGTTTCACATCTGGCATTTCATTCTGTGAGCCTGAGGCCCTCACTCACTCCTCTTACTTCTATTATTGCTTCTCTTTGGATGGCTCCAGATTCTCTTTTCTCCTGCTGATCTCCTGCCTCAACACTTGACCCATGTCCCATTGCTCTGATCCCTACAAGAGCTATATAATTCTCTTTCAGGAACCTCTCCCCATAAAGGCCTGGCCTTCTTGTCATGATGAAATCCAGTCTGCAAACCGTGAAATATCCTAACATCCTTCCTTCTTCTACCTGCCACAATTTACCAACTACCCAATACCCCGAGTCATCAGTTCTTCCTCAGGCAGCCTTAAAAATCCAGACCCTGATCTCCCCTCCTACAACTCCCAGCCAGCTCAGCTTTGATCATCCTTCACCTGAACTATTTACCCATTCTCTGTTCTCTGCCCTTTGGTCTTTCTTAGATATTCCCTAAAGCATACTTCCACTTCTGGCCCTATCTCTAAACTCCCACAATACAGAAAATGCCTCATGGCTCCCCATTCTATAACGAAAAATATCCAAACATGAAATACAACACAATAAGAACTTGAGGAAAAAAACCGAAAGGAATTTCAGGAAAAATATGACGTTCAAATTGACCTAAATTAACTTTAAGGAAATTTCTGGATATTGGACAAAATAGCTAAGCTATTCCATTCAGACTCTATAACTTAATGTTCCTTGAACACCATCTACACCTTAATTCTCACACAGATAACTCCTTCCCTTCTTATCCCCAATTAACTGCCCCATGCCTAAATCCCAGGTGCCTTTTATAGCCTGGCTCATATGCCCACTAATCAAGGAAGCCTGCCTTCTTCTTCATAATGAGAGGACTCTCCCCCTCCTCGGAACATACTTCCCTTTTGCTTTTCTGCTATTACCTATCACATAAAGTTTCAAAATCAAAATACAAAGGAAAACAGAAAATACATATGTGTGGTCTAAAAGAAAATAATAGAACAAATACCCATTAGTCCATCACACAGCTGAAAAAAACAGAATGTTACCACTATCTTGGAAGCTCCTTGAATCCTGCCTAATTACATCCTCTTACAATTATGGGGTAACCATTAACCTTTGTATTTCACTTTCAGTTTTTAAAAGTGTATATAGCATTAGTTTTGCATGGGTTTGAACTACATATAAATGGAACAGAGTGGTACACATTTTTTTTCTGCCATTTAATTTTTTCATTTAATTTTATAGTTCTAAGATTAAATCATGTTGATGCTGATTACTAGCTCATTGATTTTTGTTGCTGTATTATATTTATAAATATGCCAAAACTGAATGAGTTTTACTATGAAAAGTACTGCTATAAATCTCCTTGGACACATCTTCTGGAGTACTGCTATATAACCTTCAAACTCAAATCATTCACTCAGTGTGTCCTAAGCAACCCCTGCTCTGTGCCAGAAATTGTATGAGGTCCTAAGTAGAGACGAACACAGACTCATCCATCCCATGATGGAGAAGCAAACAATAACTAATAAACAGAATATTAAAAATTACCATTGACACTCTGCCTTAGTGCCTAAACCAAGCACCAGAAGTGTCATGTAAGGAAAAGAACAGTTCTATGAGGAGCCATAGAAAACCTCATTAAAAGAGAGGTGATCGACAACATTGAGACCTACAGGAATGAGTGTCCCAGCCAAGGGAAGAACAGAAGGATTAAGTTGGTGCAAAAGTAATTGAGGTTTTTGCCATTACTTTTAATGAAATACCCTAACTTACTTTTAACGGCAAAAACTGCAATTATTTTTGCATCAACCTATACAAAGAGCTAAGACAAGTGCTTTTTAGGCAGGAGGAATGGAATACAGAGTTTGCCATTTCTATCACTAAGTGGATGATGAAATGGTGATGCCCCGGTGGAGCAGAGGGAAGGAGGTGGACAGAGAGGTGAGCCAGGCAAAGACCATTCCATTCTGAGGGCAGCAGGAATCTTTTGTAAGCAGGGCATTGGGTCCATGTGCAACGTTCTCGAAATATGAGTTCCTTCAGTGTGAGAATCAAGTCTCTTTATAGTGTTTTATCTCCTGCACAATCTTGGAGCCCAACAAATGAATGAACAATGACACTGCCCTCTGCCTTATGCTGGGTGGAGATTTGCACATAATGAGAGACAGCCATGACCTAAAGTAGTTCACAGTGGAGATGGGGCAATCCACCAAACATTATTCGAGCACACAAAGGCAAGCACTTGTCACTAAGGTGAGAGAACCTGCTATTACAGGCAATCATAAACTACTGGGAAAAAATGTGGAGACGGGTAGGATTAGCTTGTAAATGTTTCCAAAAGAGGTAAATCTTTAACAGTATTTGGGAGGAAAAAAGGGTTACAAGCCAGTGCAGAGAAAGGGTCAGGGTATTTCTAGTAAACTGAAAGGAAGGGAGAGGAAGAAGCAGATTAATAATAAACTGATGAGCTCCAGGAGTGGCCCAGAGGCCTTGGCTGGAGGGCAGTGGGAGAAGGCTGTAGGAAAAGTGAAGGTCAGTTGGCTCTGAAAAAAGCACCTCATATACTTGAAATCCAATACAATCTAGCCCTTTTCTAACTGTCATTTAGTTGTTTAATTGTCATTACCAATCTCGTTTAGTTTAGAAGTTGGAGAAGCGTCCCTTCTGTTCCTCTCAGGTTTGAGGGGAAGAGCTGAGGAGGGGGTTTTTTTCTTCAGGAATCCAAAGAACCAAGAGAAGAAAACACCAAATGTGTTAATATGCTTATCCACCCATAAGTGTTGTCGAAAACTGGGACCATGTTCATAATGACAAAAAGCAGTCTTCTGTCAATGGAAATTTTGTGGCTGAGTCATTTGTCCTCATTTTATAGCTCATCAGGCCTGAGAAGAACTTCCAGACCCATCAACTGGATCCTGGATGTGCAGCTGAGCCTCTTTCAAAACTGCTGTCACCATGGACTCCTGCGCAGACCAAACATCCCTTTTGTGTGTTCGTAATTTACTTCCTATTCTCTTTTCGCTCAACATACTGATCAGTAGCCAGAGCGTGGTGGCTTTCTTTTCTTTGTCCGGGTAATTCTGCAACACTTGCTGCAACTACTACCACCTGCTAATTATCTTTGAGGCTCTGTGGATTATGCAAAAGTCAAGGTCATCTCATTCTTCCTTGCATTGCCTCATCTGGAGGTGTCTTTCAGCCCTGTAGACTTCTCTTCCATACATAGCTTAAGCTTTTCCTATTTTCAAGCTTTGCATTGCTATTTTTTCTCAATGACATTATACCTCTCTTTCCTCAATTCTTCGTGCAGCCAGCTTAAAATTTATTGCTAACTTCTATTGACTTTCAAGGAGCAGATTTTTCAACCTTAACATATCATTTTTCAAAGCATAATTTTCAAAGCATCACTGAACTGCCTAGACGTATATTAACAGTTAACAAAAGGTAGCAAAGAAGAATACTTGAAACTTTTCAATTTACCCTATCTTAAAAGAACAGGTAAATATCACTTTCCACATCAACTATCTGACAAGGCCTAGGGTAGACTCAATCATTAGAACTACAACCACAAATAGAATCCAGATAGCATAAATCTATATGCTAAGTATTCACACTGCTACTTAATTTTAGGTTATTTTGCGGGAGGAAATATCCTTTTGATGAAAGGACTGCCACAGAATTCCACTCTGAACACATCCTCCACAGGAAAAATGCATTGATAATACTAAATGTCTCAAGATATATTTAAAAGAAAATAGAGCCTTTTATCTCACTTGTTAAGGTGCCAGTTCAAATTTAGATCAGGAATGTGATTTTTTAGTGTTTCTTTATATATAGTGGTATTGAGACAAACTGGAACTCTACATTGCCAAATGGGCAAAAGGTACTGAAAACACATGACTTAATACTTTCTTTGATTTAATCCTTTTAAATTGGGTGGCAGCACAATTTTTGAAAAAGCTTTTTACATTACTCCTGTGTTTTGGTTAATTTTGTTCTCCAAGTAAGAATGGCATGTGTTCAGTACTGCACACTGATGGGGCAAGTAATAAAACATTTATAGAAACAAAACCAACTCCTTGAGTGAGGTACACTGAAGACCAGATTAACTTGGCAAACACTCCATCCTCTTCATTTATCTTCCTCTTGGAAAAAAAAAAAACGCAATTCAAGTAACAGATTGATTAACTTTGGTAGAATAACTCACAACATAGTGCTTTTTGTAGTCTTCGGATTTTGATTGCTGTACGGTAGGCAGAAAAACGTACATTATTCAGGTCAGCTGAAATAGAAAAAGAAACAATTTGAAGATAGGCTTATTATTGAATATATATTGAATGCCCAGAATGTATTTGGTTACTTTGGATGATGAAAAAATATTATGTTTGCCTGAAATAAAAAGTCTTCTCCCAAATTCCCCAACACGTATTTAAGAAAAAAGTTAAATGATCATTAGCACCATGTTGAGATACATCTCAAAGCAGTGCTACAGAGAAAATTCTAAGAAAGTATTTTCAACAGGTGTCAGGGCTCAGAACATGGTGGGTTGAGTACTTTGAAATGAAGGAGACTGGAAGGCCTCAGTAGTAAGGTCTCTCTGACCTCTGGGTCTCTTGTCTCCTGACCCTCTTTCTCCTTCCAAAGTGATAAATAGAAACCAGAATTCCCCTTCCCCAAGGTGGGTCATGAAAACTAGAACTTCTCTTCCCCAAAGCAAGCCATAAAATCTAGCAAGTTCACTGTCACCTTCTCCCTTCTCTCCTGAAGATTCTCCTGTGACAGGTATCCTGTCCCTAGAGGAAAGGAATATGCTGCAGGGAGAAGCCAAGAAGAATCTGAATAGATAGGCCTTGCTGGAATTCCCTTCTCAGTCTATTATCATTAAATTATACCCTTTCATCCAATCACAATTCAATGCAGTCATCCATTCCTCACTCAATCTAAGTGTAAAAACAGACACTTTTCCCTGTTTTCTTTGAGTCTTCTGAAGGTTCTCATGTCAGGTAAAACTTTGATTAAGTAAATTTCTTGTGCTTTTCTGGTTGACCTGTCTTTTGTTATAGGAGGGTCACCATGACCCTTATGATGGGTGAGAAAAGGTACCACCCCTTTCAGCCCTTTGGTAGGAAAAAGAGGAAGGTGATGAAGAGAAAGCACAGCTGTCACATGGCTTATTAAATGCACTGCACAGTAGGCAGAGGGCCCTTCCTTTTTTTCCCAATAAAGGAGATTTTCCTCCAGGGGCATCTTCCCCAAGGACACTTCATTTTCTTCCAACCACACTGTCCAGTTCACTATTCATGGAGCTCATCTTATTTCTATGCTCCTCCCATCCTGATTGATTTGGTTTTCCTGCCCTTTTGCAGATCTGGTTCAAATGATCCTACAACCAATACTCAACTCTTTGGAAACAATAGATATTGTAATTTCTTTCTTTGTCCCCTAAAGACAGAGTATCAGAGATTAGTAGAGTTAAAAGAAAACTCAGATATCATCAAAATTTGCCCCCTCATTTTACAAACTAAGCAAACCAGTTCTATGTCTTTTGTTTGTCCAACTTTTGCAGGCCCCTTCACCCACCAAAAAAAAAAACACTCACACAGAAGCCCAACATTTAAAGAGATTAAAAAAGGGGGCATCCTTTTTATTGAAATGGGAGAGGGAGGCTTCGGGTGCTGTTTTTCCCTCCAGCATCTCCTTAGCTACCCAAAGAGAAAACTTAAAAAAACCGCTGGACCAACCAGAGGAAGTAGGTTAAACAATAAGTTGAAAGCCACATTGCACTAGAAATTAAAACAAAACCGGAATTCTCGTCTGTGTTTTCTTGCATTTTTATATAAAAATGAATTTAGCTTTTAACAATTTAGACAAATTTAAACTAGGTGAGCTAATTTGATGGCACGTACTAAATAAAAAGTGAGCCAAAAGCAAATTTAAGGCAGTGGATTAAAGTTGGCTATATTGTAATTGTATATCTATATATATTTTTTGCGTGCAAAGCTGAAGGTTAAGATGACTCAATACGAAGGAGGTAAAAACTACAATTACATTCCTCCCTGTAAATCAACTCTTTTTGGCTCACATGATTTCAAACCACACAATTCTCCTAAGAAAGGCAATACCTGTTTACTGCATTGCCCTTAGAAATTTAACTACTTTTAAATGTCAATGACATGATTCTTTTAACATTAATATGCCATGTAAGAAAGGCTGGTGATTAGCTCCTATTTAACAATATACAGTTCTCGGCCGGGCACAGTGGCTCACGGGAGCACTTTGGGAGGCCGAGGCGGGTGGATTGCCTGAGCTCAGGAGTTCGAGACCAGCCTGGGCAACACAGTAAAACCCTGTCTCTATTAAAATACGAAAAATTAGCTGGGAGTGGCGGCGGGCGCCTGTAGTCCCAGCTACTCAGGAGCCTAAGGCAGGAGAATTGCTTGAATCCGGGAGGCAGAGGTTGCAGTGAGCCGAGATCATGCCACTGCACTCCAGCCTGGGCAACAGCGAGAATCCACCTTAAAAAAAAAAAAAAAAAAAAAAAAAAAAAAAAAAAAACCGGTTCTCAGTTGTTTAGGTTAATTTATTACTATTAATAACACTTACCAAGGGATTGAAAGAGTTCGGTCATTTTAGGATGGTCCCAACAGGTGGTCTGTGTTTGATGGCTGGAAAAAAAAGGTAAAATTTTAAAAATAAACAAAAAATCAAAAAACTTCATATAGGCCAAAAACGAAATACCCAAGTAGAAATGATTTTTTTCAAATTTTTAAAAATACATGCAAAATTATCCTCATTATCAACCATTCAGAAACCCAATGCCCAATTGTTACTTAACATTTGAAACATTGGCCAGGGGCAGTGGCTCTTCCTGTAATCCCAGCACTTTGGGAGGCCGAGGCAGGTGGATCACTTGAGGTCAGGAGATTGAGACAAGCCTGGCCAATATGATGAAATCCCATCGCTACTAAAAATACAAAAATTAGCCAGGTATGGTGGTGGGTGCCTGTAGTCCTAGCTACTCAGGAGGGTGAGGCATGAGAATTGCTTGAAGCTGGGAGGTGGAGGTTGCAGTGAGCCGAGATCGTTTCACTGCACTGTAGCCTGGGTGACAGAGTGAGACACTGTCTCAAAAAAATAAAAAATATTAATAATAAATTTTAGCCAGGTGTGGTGCCTCACATCTATAATCCCAACACTTTGGGAGCCTGAGGTGGGAGCCCAGGAGTTTGAGACCAGCTTGGCAACATAGCGAGACCTCATCTCTATACAAAAGTTTTTTATAAAAATTTTTTAATAATAAATTTCATTTGAGCAACTACATTGTAAAAACACAAATGAAATCTTTGCTTTGCCTATTTCAAACAGAACTGAAACTACAAATTAAAACCTAGATATAAAATGTGACTGTCATGAACCCTTCGGTCCTGGCTTGATGTGGCCAGATCAATGCAGGCTCCAGAATAAACCCATATCTGTTAAACAGATGTAGATTATCATTCAGAACGAATCCTCCAACAGCAGAAGTAGTGCTGTGGGAGTCACTACACCTTAAAAGTCTCGTCATATTTCCAAAGATTGCAGAAACAAGTTTAACTCTGAATAACATCATCCCACAATCTACAGAGCCTCCCTCCTCTTCTACCTTGAGTCGAACTTTCCTCAGTGCAAATCTACCCTTTCTTCTCTTCATGTGTATCTGGATTCCCCACTCCCCTCAGGCAAGTGTCTCTTGCCACTTAGACTCTGTGTTCCTCTTCTCAGCTTCCTCTCATTAACCAGTATTATTATTTTCTATATGTATTAAATTGTTTTCCTCATGTTCTTCACTTTAAAAGCAAGTTTTATACTTTCTCTTTTTCTGTAAATTTCAAAACTAATTCATATGTTAGATGGAAGTTTTGGGGTAATAAATTGAGGTTAAAACATAAATGGAATGCTTCAATTAAGTTTCTTAGGTAAACAGTTCATGACTTTGGTGGGTCAGTGGCCTTACATTTAAAAAGAGTTAACTGCCCCTTATCTAGGTCAGGGTAGATTCATAACATTTAATAGTGCTCCAAAGACTTCTTAAATGACACCTAGTTCTTATAAAACTATTTAGTAAACTAAATGAACCAGCATAGTACCTAAGAGAGTGATATTACAACATTCATAAAATCAAATTCAAGAGAAATTATTTTTCAAGCCTATGTAATATATCAAAAACTGGGGCATGTCACTGGGAAAAGAATATCATCACTGTTATATATACACAGGTAACAAAAACCCCAAATAACTCATACTTACCTTTGAAAAATATTTAAAGTGTGTATTTGCAGTTGGGTACGTATCCCGGAAATATTAGCAATTGGGTATGTATCCTGGAAATTCCAAGATCTCAAACAAAATAATGTAACTACAATGTGAAGATCTGTCTTGGAAAGAGATGGAAAGTTGTCGGGCTCCTCTACCCAGATTCTTGACTCCAATGCAGAGACAAATACTTCTACTTCATGGTCCACTACTGAACACCAACAAAACCATTCCACCCTTTCGGTTTGATGGTAGTGATACTACAAATTGCTCAAAAGACCATGGAGCCGGGTACTGAAGTTGTTTGACCTAAATTCTTACTATTCATCATTAGGCTCAGAGCTTTACAGAAATGCAGAGTCTCAAAAAGAATTTCCTCCCTATTACCAACAAATATGGAAGGATTTGCTGAGGAGGTAATGCAATTCCAGTAAGGCATCATGGGCTCCCAGTCTGAGAGAACCTACTAGGGTTCATTGATCTCTTGTCTTCTCTTTCAGGGAATTTCAATCCCCACGACAACAGTACTGTCCAGAGACAGACATCCCATCATGATGGAGCAAACCAAGGCTCAAGAACCAAACTAAAGCCATCGGTAATGTAGAGCCAGACGTTATACTTAAACAACAAATATGCTTTCTCTGGAATTACAGGTGTGGGTCTTCACCTCACACAACCCCTACGGAATCACAAGAGGAAAATACCACTATTTCTCAGTCAGGCGGAGGACTAAGAATTCAAGGTGAACACCTCTTGCTAATGGCTCTTTTTAGTGAAACCACTACTGAGAGCTGACGGAACACACACATTTGGCAAACAGATGGAGGGAGGGAACGGGCATCTCCCTTTGTGAATTCAATACCAGTTGATTCATTAGGCAGAACTGCCAACACAGAAAATAAATACAGCCTCTGGTTACAAAAGTATAACTGCTGCTTACCAAACAACAGAAATAAAAAAAACAGGCAATGCAGTTGGCTGCTGTTTTTTTTTTAAGTCGGGGGAGAGGGTTAAAGCAAAATCCACAATGAACCCAAAGGCTTAAAGTATTTGAACAGCTGCAGATAGCTCAGCTCCTCTTGCCAAAATGCCTGAAGTTCTCCCAGAGTAGGCAACCAAAACAGAATAAAAGTAGCATTTTCCCCCAAAATAACAACAGCTTGGGTTCTAATTAATCTCAAATATGAACAGGGAGTGGGACTTCATATTGTGCAGCTTGATAAGCTCTAAAATAAAATTATGATTTTATTACTAAAAATCCTCTCTTTAAAAGGCAACAGCCATGGGAATCTATCCAAGAATAAAATTAAAAAAAAAAAAACAAAACAAAACAAAAAACAAAGTAGCAATTAACAGTTAAGTACAAAATCATATGAAGCAAACAATAGTGAGAACATGTGACATGTAACTAGGCTGGCCAGCCATCCAGTTTTGCCTGTGCAGGGAAAAATTGTGAAGGTCTTTGTTGTGGGCAAAAAATGAGTGGGTATCCTGCAAAGCTTAAATTATCTCTGAGCTATTTTAAACTCTGCAAACTGAAGAAAACAGATAGTAATGCAAATGATTTCTGTCCATATAAATGCAAATTGTGCCCAGTGGAATGCAATTGATTATTGTCCTGTGGATATTGACCAGTTTGTCAGCTTTGCATCCAGAGGTAAATTCATTTTAGCATCCCTAATCTCACTATAAATATGTGACATTTTGTATTCTCTTTGGAACCTATTATAACTTCTTACTGGTTCCCTTACTATGAGTTAAATGAAACATGCTCTTTTTGTATTTGTATAAGAGTTAAGATTTTTGCCTATTTTGAAAACTATCCTTCAAGCAGTATAAATCCTGCTTTATACTAGACTGTATACAGGAATTACATATCAGCATCCTGGTATAATTATTAAAAGTGCCCCCTTACTCTGAAGAGCCCCAGCTGGGATAACATATAATCTCTGCATTTTATGGACATTATTAAAATATTAAGCCAATAAGGTTAAGAAGTAGTATATCCTTCCACCTATCTATTATTATTCATAACAATATAACACTGATAAGCCACAGAAAGTAAAACACAAATAATATAAGACTGTAGCACCAACAAATAAAACAAAAAAAGTTGTGCTGCAATACTGCCTAACATGTAACACAATGAACCAACAGCAAAGGACATGCACTTTTGATAGGCTGGTAAAATCTTGATTTCTGGGCAAATGACTGCTCTGTGGAAGATACTTCTTAAACCCATTTGTCCTCATTAGAGTGGTCTCATATTTTTCCATGAAACCTTAAAGGATGATCAGAAGGCAACTTGTTTCTCCAAAAACTAACACTTACCCAAATATACTTATTTGTTACTAGCTATCCAATTTTATGCTTATAACTGGATTTTGTGAGGTTTGTTATATATCATTCCATTCCAATTATAATTATAAAGGCATATAACAGAACAAAACTAAAGATAAGTAAAAATACAAATGTGGGGACAAGAACTATGTATATTGCTCTGAGATAAGACAATCAAAGAAAAAAATATTTCTTCTTTGCTGTGCAAAGTAAAATATACTAGGTCAGGATGTATATTAATCACAGTAATAACATGCTATTTGAGTGCTCGATTTGTACCAAGTAAACTTTTTTGGATAAACTTTTTCTATGTGTAAATTCTATTTGGATTACAATTCTATGACTTGGGTGACAATATTGTCTCCATCTTACAGATGGAAAAAACTAGGGCAGAGAGTGCTTAGATAGCTTGTCTGAGGTCCTATAGTAAGTAATAGAAATGGGATTTAAACAGAGATAGTCTCATTTTAAGCTAAGCTCTTGATATGGAAGTATATTTGCATAATTAAGGTTTTAAAATATTTCTTGATGAATCTGTCCAAATTTGAGTCCATGGTCTATCATTAGAATCATTACAAATAACCTCATCTCCCTTGCTTCTCTCTCACCCCTTGCAAATCCCAGGCCTGGATCAGCTCAATTACTTGCCTACTCTGGACCTGAGCAGCTGTGGATAAAAACAACTGGAGAAAATCACTCAACAGACAGACTCAATTTACTTTAAAATATGTGATTTCAAACCTCAAATGTCCAACTCCTGGCAACTGCACTATATTCCCTAATAAACTTGCTTTCCCAAACTCCAAAACAGAAATTCACTACTGCTATCTCTCTCCCCAAACTGGTTTATTTCTCTGCCTTAATATCATTTTACTTTATCTCACGCTTCATTGAAAACCTAAATACTACTAGATGAGGACTCCTTTCTCTCTCCACCACCAACTCAGGAAACTTCCCTCCAACTGCCAGTCTGTTATCCTATCTCCCCTTTAACTGAGAAATTGTCCCCCTTCTTATTAAAGGCCAATTCTTCCCAATGATTTCTTAAAAATTTCCTGTGCTGCACTGTCAACCCCTCTCTCAAGAAGACTATCCTTTGTAGAATATAAATGTTTACAGACGTGCCATCCTTAAACACACACACACACACACCCCTACCTCAAATCTACATTTTCTGCTAGTTATCACCTTTTTTCTCTCCTTCACAGGCAAAATTCACCAATGAGTACTGTACCATATCTACTTCCTCGTGTCCCATTCACCACTCCAGCCACTTCTGTTTGGCTTCCAACTTTTCTCCTGCACTCAAACTGGTCCTATAATTATTAGCAATGAACTCCATGGTGCCAAGTGGAGTGGCCATGCCTCAGGATGGGGAAAAATAAGAGACGACAAACACTGTAAGTAAGTTATACAGTGTATTAGAAGGTGGGAGGTACTATGAGAAAACCAGAAGTCTCCAGAAAAGGAAGTTGACACAGGCAAAATACAGGTTCTGTTAACATTTACTTTATGTACACTTATAGAAGTTACATATATATAGCAATCAAGCACGAGCTCCCAACTAATCGATTTTGCATTCAACTGCCTAAAGTATGAAGAGTGAAAACAAATGTTGGCAATCTGATATGACAACATTTATTTGAGTAACACCTTCTTAAAGATCTGAGAGGTGGTGTACTTACTTTGGAATTTATAATCTTTTCAGTCCTTGTTTCACCCAAGACTAGAATATAGGAAGAATGTGGAGTACCCCCATCAGTAACATTGATTCTCACTCTGTGCACGTGCTTGTGTGTGTGTGGGTGTGGGTGTGGGTGTGTGTGTGTCTGTGTGGAAAAGCCCCTGGGGAGAGGATGGAGGTAGTGGGTGAGAAAGCTGCAGGAATAACTTATATATTCCTCAGGTTATATTCAACTTCCTCATCCACTCGCAAACACTGTCTACTGTCCTCTAAGCTTTTAAAGGCAGGAAATCCAAAGATATACTTTTAGAAACAAAAATTAACTTAAGAGAAAAGAAGCGTGGAGGTCAGAATTTCAAGAAAAAAAAAATTCTGTCCAAAATTCAAATAAGATATATGATCCTATTTGATAATAGGTACTGCAAAAGTTTAGAGTCTTCCTTAAAAAATGCCATTAGTATCTCATGATAATGAAGACAGGAGGCAGGAAGACAACATTGTAAATAATGAATAATTCCGTAGGATTTGACTATAAAATGCATTTAAGCTGGGCACAGTGGCTCATGTCTGTAATCCCAGCATTTGGGGAGGCCAAAGCAGGAGGACTGCTTCAGGTCAGGAGTTTGAGACCAGCCTGGGCAACATAGCAAGACTCCATCTCTAAAAAAAGTCCAATTAGCTGGGCATGGTGGCATGTACCTGTAGTCCCAGCTACTCAGGAGGCTGAGGCAGGAGGTTCACTTGAGGCCAGGAGTATAAGACTGCAATGAGCCATGGTTGCACCACTGCACTCTGGCCTGGGCAACAGAGTGAGACCCTGTCTCTGAAACAAAATACACTTAAAGTAATTTCACACTCAAGAGTAGATTTAAAGATACAAACATGGAAAGGACTATATAGAAATAGGCTACCATACCATACACCCCAAAATATAAGATGTCAATATTGCATGTATGACTACTAGAACATTTGTTACAAAACAATAAGACAAAGTTTATTTGTGTTTGTTTTTAAATAAAGTAGTAGAATTAATGATCAAAACTGATGTGTCTACGTGCGAGGGGAGGGACAGGTGATAATTGTCTTGAGGGTACTAAATTGCTTGGAAATATAAACATGCAAATACTCAGTAAACCCAGGGGATCTGCTAGCTTGATAATATTTCTACATGAGCCCAGAATTCATAGGGAACCCCACCTCCCACCCAACCCTACCCTCATCTCCGTGACTCTCAAACTGGGGAGATTCAGACCATCAGCCAAATTCCTGTAGGTCATTTGTTGTTGCATTGGCCCTGGGGAGCCTTGTATGCCCCCATCTGAAGGTGTTAACACCAGGACTATGTTCCCACAACAGTTGAGGGGATCATTGTATCCTTTAAGTTTGCTTTTAAAAGCTGGATTTGTAGCTTTTAGCTTTTTATTAAAAAAAATTACTACTTTATCTCTTTCTTTTATGTATTTTTAAAAGAAGGGATTAATTACTTCTATTTTTTTCTATATGGTTATATGAAATCTTTTACTGTATTATTTTACTTTATAATCAGCATATTTCTATTTATTTTACAATTTTAAACATTATTACTTCTGTACTTTTGCTAATTGCAATGGCAGTTTTAAAAATTTAATCTTTATAAAGTATAGATATCTTTTTTCCTCTCTAAATGGCCCCACAGTGATCCTTCCTACATTGTATGGTAGAACTTTACTAACTGCATCCCTTACCCTAAAAATCAAATTGCCCAGTAAGGCTGATGGTGTCACTATAATGCAATAGAGTTGGGTAATCTAGAAGATTCCAAGCCAAAATACTACTTCATGGCCCAACAATATGTAGACTAATGGCAGTGAAGGTGATATTTTAAGTCCTTAACTACCTAATGTCTCTCAAAGACAATATCAATTCCACCTAAATTACCTCAATTAACTAGGACACCAGTAATACATAAGATTTCTTCCCAGTGACGGTTTGCTGGCTGCTGCAGGGCAGGCTTTCTACTGTTTAGATTTTTAGTTAGCCAAGGTATGCTTATGCTCATTTATCTGAAGCCCCTCCAAGCCCAGGGGTTTAGTGATCCTAAGGTACTTACATTCTTTCATAAAGCAATTTTGTTCTTACCTCCCCATCAGCAGACTTGGCCCAGTGAGTTTTAAATATTTATTTTCAGTAAAAACAGAGTCACAGACTACTAGAAAGACAGACTCTCCAGTACATTTTGCTTATGCTTCTATTTCATTTACTTCTTTATCATTAAAACCAAAACCACAAGCTCCAGTTCTTGAAAGAGATTCAAAGTGCGGCCCAAGAGTTCTTTACTTAAAAAACTGGAACCAAAAAGATACCATCCCTCATCTTCACGAAAGAGGGAAGGGAGAAATAAAGACTGCTGTAGGGACCCTTTTGGAGAGAGCTATGTTTATTTTTCATTGTTAATTATACCTTTGTTACGGGTTTATTCTGTTCTGGGATAAGTTTTCTATAACCGTTAATGATAAAATGCTTTATGTTAATTCTTCGTTGTTGCTGTTACACACACTTTGTTAGCTTTCATTTTCCTGTTAGGCTGAGTATTTGGAGATTGCCTTGCTGATACTCCTCTCTGACCATATTTAGGGAAGGACTATTTCTTCTGTATTGCCTAAGCTGGCGCACAATTCTTCTAAAGAAGTATGCATGAATTCTCTCCTCTAGACGGTATATGTAGTTCTGCCAAGACAAGTATATACAATCTATGCAAATGAACTGTATGACTGCGATAAAGATCAACTACTCGCTCCCCAAGATTTTACAACTATTACAAATTTCAATTCCTTTCAGTTACTGAAGGATTAGGGCAGGTAGAGGGTGGCCTTGGGAAATGAGAGTAGGTCTAAAAGAGCTTTGCAGGATTATCAATAATGGGCACAAGAATGGAAAATAAAAGTATAAAGAGAGATGTAACAAATTGAGGATAATCTTCATTTGGATCCACTCAGAGGGGGAGTTAGAACAAGGGAAAGAAATGTAAGACAGCAAATTTTATAGATATAGACAAGTTTATGCTGGTTAATTTCTTGCAATATTGAGGAATGTCAGTTTTAGAAAATGTGACATGCATGGTATATATAACCAGAGATTACTAATATGTACATAATGAAAGCTGTGTGTTGTGTGATATTGTACATTGTATTTAGGGTTCTATGAAGAATTAACATCTGCACTGCAGACTCCAGTGGGAAAAACTGAGCTATAGAATTGTTAAATTGTGATGGTGACACCTTGTCACAAGAACAGAATAGTCATCTGTAGCAAGACTAAAGGCTTACTGAAAAGTCAACAACTCAGGCTTTAGAGAAGGTGTTATAAGGAAAAAGGAAAATCTTATTTCCTAACTACATCTTATTAAATTCTATTAAATACTGTGACTTACCAACAGGCCGGATGTATAGAGAACCATCTGTGTTTCAAGTCCCTTAGGACTTATAAGCCAGCTTTGTTGGCCATCTTACTCGCAGATACTTAAATCTACCAGTTGACAGAAATCTTCAGATCATGTGAATGGGGAAAGATAGAGGAAGGCCAAAGAGTGTGTTTCCCCACCTCAGAGTTCCTCTCAAGGTCCAACTGGCAAGCACTGTGGGAATGACATCTTCCTATCTATGAAAAAGCACCTTTGTCCATTACCAGACCACAGTGTGAAACTGCTTTAAACATCTAGAAAATAGATCCTCCTGTAGAAATTAGCCTATGGAAAAGCCTATACAACGGCAGTGTGGAGTACTGGAAAAAGCATGGGCTTTGTCCTTGGACAGCTGGACTCAGTTGCTGGCACACAGGAGGTGCATAGTAAATGGTAACCGTCTATGGTATGAAAGAAAGGATGTTTGCTCATACTTTCTCCACTACTATCCTCCTTCCTAAATATAATCCTTCATCCTATTCAAAGTTTCCATGGGACTAAAAACTTCCGTCCTCTGACTCAACTAATATTGGGGCCAGGACACAGCACCGCATAGTGATCAGGAGTTCAGGAGCTGTAGACAATCCCTGGGTTTGAACACTAGCTCTTCTATTTACCAGCTGTGTAATCTCAAGCAAGCTGTAAGCGTGCTTATTAATTACTTTTAATGCAGTTATTGATAATTCATTAAGACTTATGTGTAAATGGGGGTAATTATAGTACCTATACTTCACTTGGCTAATGAGAGAATTAAAAGAGATCATCTATGCACAAGATTCAGCACAACACCTGGCAAATAAATGACTGTTCAAAAATGTAATTTATTACAATGATCATTATTACTTCCCACAGCAACTATTTATCATTATTATATGTTATTATTATTTCTGTGGCAAACTGAGAAATGGTGAATTTTACATGGTTAATGTGATGCATTAAGAAAGTTCAACCGAACCCAAAGCTTTCATTCCTCTTATTCCTCATATTCCCTGGAAGTTGACTTTTATCTGAGGAAATGAACAACTTGTGCAAAATACATAACCAAAAATTTACAATGAGAGATATCTGGCTTTTATGGCAGATTTTTGTATATTGTGAAGGCAGCAAGAACCATTTTAAATTTTCTTTTTCTCTCTCTCTTTATTTATTATTATTATTATTATTTTTTAAGGAGACAGAGTTTCACTCTGTTGCCCAGACTGTAGTGCAGTGGTGTGATCATGGCTCACTGCAGTCTTGACCTCCCGGGCTCAAGTGATCCTCCCACCTCAGCCTCCTGACTGCTGGGACTATAGGCGCATGTTACCATGCCCAGCTAATTTTTTGTAGAGATGGGGTTTTGTCATGTTGCTCAGGCTGGTCTTGAACTCCTGGGGGCAAGCAATCCACCCGCCTCAGCCTCCCAAGCATTAGGATTATAAGCATGAGCCACTGCACCCGGCCCCATTTTAAATGTTCTTAAACCCTGAATACAATGAGCTCTCATTGCACTATACTAGGAAAAAAGAAATAACTAGATCAGTTTCAGAAAGTCTACCTTAGAGGAAGCAAATAAAATTTTCAAATGTTAATTTTAACTTAAGATATTAACAAATAGAGAGGTTTATGCTATATAGACTAGTTTTAACTTAAGATATTAACAAATAGAGGGATTTATACTATATAGACTAGTTTTAACTTAAGATATCAACAAATAGAGGGGTTTATACTATATAGACTCTTTCAGTTCAGATTTATATTCTTTCATTTTCTACAAACACATGAGCCATGGAGCCACCGCAGTGCACTTCAAAATATTAATAAGGAATTACCTAGAGAGACAGAAATGCAGTGGGAAGCCATCAAAGTGGGCTTTAAGTGATCTATAAAATTAAAATATGACATAAAAATAATTTGCCCTTCCTAGTCTCCTTTCAACTTTCTGGCCATATTCTAACAGTGAATACAAAGATGATATACTTAAACACCAAAAACGTTGAATATTTCTACCTGAATATTATTTTTTGTTAGCCATATACATTCTAATTTGCTCCAGGAAATTCTCATTGCATGGCAATCATGCAAAATTTGTTTTAAACATTTTTCTTCTACTTTTGAAGCCACGCAAAGGGAAGTGTATATTAAAAGCTTTTTCATTCTCCATTTGCTTGGTTATTAATTTGGGAATTAAATTTTGTTTTCATAACAATTCTTCACACATAAATACTGGCTTTTATAACTCTACCTTCAGAATTTGATGTTCCTTCTTCATGAGGAAATAAACTGTTAAATTACACAATGAAAGATCCTGGTTAAACAAGTTTTGTGAAAATGGGAATTTGCTATATACAAATGAGCACATTTCTAAAAATTTGGAAGACTTAAAAGACATTTAACACTAAAACTACATATATTTTAAACAATCTGATCTTTTACTGGTGATGGAGAAGATTTTTTTAAATGCTACAGTCCTAAACGTTATTATTTAAAATAGTGGCCATCATTATATTATATCTATTTTCCAGTGCTGGTAATAGTGCTCTAGCCAATGGGAAGCCAGGTAAAACTAACTTTTATTCTACCAATCTGCCCCATAAGAACTCTGCCCCACAAGAACAAGAATACAATCCTACCAGATCCTTCCAAAATTATAAACATTTTGAATTAGAGAAATTCTGATTTAGACAATTCTCAGTCATATATAATTAACCTAAACATATAGAAATTCATTTTTAAAAAAGAGCTAAAATTAAGGATGGACTTTAAAAGTCCCAAACCACACAGATAATCATGATATAAACATAAAGCAAGATATTTAATTTTTTTTATTTAGTAAAACCCAAAAACTAGATCCAGTTTGCATTTTTAAAAAAATCAGATGATAAAAGACTCTAAGTCAATTCAATAAATTAATTAATTTCAATTAATTTGCGTGAACTTCTTGATTTTTTTATAGTACATGCATTAATTTTCTATTGCTGTTACAAAAATGTCTCCCTGGGATAAAATCAAAGTTGGCAGGGCTGAATTCCTTCTCTGGAGGTTCTAAGAGAGAATCCCATTTCTTTGCCTTTTCCAGCTTCTAGAAGCTGCCTGCATTTAAGGATCATGTCTGCTTCCTTTACCTTCCAAGCTAGTAGCTAGCATTCTCAAATCTCTGCCTCCCCTGCCACTTTTAAAGGCCCCTGGGATTACATTAAGCCCATCAGGATAATCCAGAATAATCTCCCTAATTAAAGGTCAGTTGATTTGCAACCTTAATTCCATTTACGACCTTAATTCTCCCTTGCTTTGTAACCTAACATTTTCACAGGTTCCAGGGATTATGATGTGAGCATCTTTCAGGGGTTGGGAGCAGTTATTATTTTGCCTACCACAGTACATCAGATTTATATCTAAATTTGTAAGATTAAATTCAAGTCAATATTCAACCAAGCAAATTAAAGTTCTCTAATACTATTACTATTATTATTGTTATAGTGTACAATAAAAATGTAAACAGTTTTAAACATTTTCAGTTAGATAATCACATCTTCTTTCACTAGAGACATGCCAACTTAACCAGCGTCTGACCTCTTTCCATTCTTACTTGGGCAAATTTGACACCAATCAATTGCTTTAATACCTTGTTCTCAACTCAGTTCACAACTCAGTGCATTGTAGGTTATACACTGATAAAAATATTAAACTCCCATAAGCTAATGTAACGTATATTGCTTATTATATTTATTATATATTATGCAAACCTGTTTTTTACCCTGAGCTTACATCTCAGACTGTAATAAAAAATTATAAGAAAAGACTATTTCACCAACATGGACTTCACACAACGTTTTCAGGAAGTATACTGGAAGAGCAGATTATTAGCATTTGTATAGATTTTGGAGATACCACACCCCATGTTAGAAATGATAAAAAGGAAACTTGGCCCAGAGATCTTCATCTGACTTACCTGAGGTCACACAGCTAACCTGAGACAGAGCTGTCTCCTGACAATAAGTAAGTGTTGTCATGATTATGATGCTGTTCGTCTGACACATAAAATAGGGTCAACTATGACTCATCACTAGAGCACGTTGTAAATTAATATCTTTACTAAGTTACACTCCAAGGGACTATAGAAGTAGAATTTTATCATTCTGTTCCATGACAATATATAGCCCTAAGCCAAGGATCAACGCCTACTAAGAGCCTGTGTAAATTATACAAAACTTATAAAATGTCATATAAGAAGAAGAAACAGTATGCAAGAAGGAGAAACTAACTGGACAACAGAATCAAAGAATGATGAGCCTATGCTAATAATGCAGATAACTTCTATAAGACAAAGAAAAACTTGACAATATTTCACTTTTTCATGATAAATCATTATTTCTTATTGGTGGAATAAAATGACAAGAGTATAAGACATTTTTATATGGATTTTCTTAGAGGAAGAAAAATGGTTTAGAATTTGTACAATTTGACAAATATCATTATGTCAAGAGTATTTTGAAATTCTGTCATTTTTCTCCAATTTTTTTTTTTTTTACTTTTTAGAGACTGGATCTTGCTTTGTTGTCCAGGCTGGAATACAGTATGGCCATCATAGCTTATTGTCTGTCTCCAAATATTTAAATCTCTACTTTAAAATATATCAGCTAAACACACCTATATCCCTAATCTGATACATGAAAAATATAATTCTCATGTTAAAAGTAGTTTCTTTTTAATATTAACTATATCACAGTTTCTTTCAGATAATAGGACTGAATTCTATTTTTAAAAGTTATGGGGAGAGAAGCCTCTTAAGTTATCAATAAAACATGATTTTCTTGGTATCATAAAGGAGAATTAAAATCAACTTACTTGATGTAATAGGGCACTTTATTATGTGAAATGGATCTTTGCCACGGCAGCTGGACTGACGCTGAGGAAACAAAGGGAGATTATTGGAAACGTTGGAAACCAAAAAGCCTTACACCTTAATGCAAAACAACTGAACATTTTATAGCAAATTCAATGAACTGCTCTGGTTTCTGAGCTGGATTCCTATAATTATGAGATCCACTGGGCCAAACAAAAAATGGCTTTAAGGATTCATTTGAAGTAAAACAAGAAACAATACAGGTTCAAGGTCTAATGCCAACTAATCTAACCTGTTGATAAAAATACTTTTAAACTTTCAAATGGTGTTGCTTATAAATACTACAGTTTAAACCTTAGTGCCATCTGGAAACTGTACTCCATATATATTTTTGATAAAGCTAAAACCAAAATTAATTTTACCTGGTATATCCAGATTAAAAATTAGATTTTTCAAGACCGAATTTTCCAGATGACTAATAACATTGTTTACTTTGCATCGTAGTCACAGGAGTAGCTATTGAGTACAGATGGCATTTAAGTAAATTCAATTCTATAACATTTAAAAAGAAGGAATTTAAAAATAGGCAAAAAGTTGTGAAGAACCAAGGCAATCGTCTAGGCAGAAAAATCCCAATTTCTTACTTTCATCTGAAACATACAGAGAGCCCAGTCTCCTACTTTTGCACTAGACCTTACTATGACTGAGATTTTATGGGGTTTTTAAATTGAGGTACTTTTTTTTTTTTTTTTTTTACAATTCTAGTTACTTCTTACTTATAAAAAATATATTATTCCTACATTAACCAATTATTTTAAGACTTATTTAAGAAGAATAGTACATGTGAATTTAGTGCCATAAAAGAATTTTGCTAAATGAACAAATATAAAAATTCAAATAATACTTGGAATTTTCATACTTTGCAAATATCATCAGATCCTCACGTAGCCAGTTGTCACCAATACTTTTTTTCTCAATTTCATGTCACATTAATATCTTACAACTATTCAGCATTCTAAACTTTGCCAAGCATTTTCAAATATATGTTTTCGGTAAGGAAGCCAGCAAGATACACGTTAAAGTTCCATTTGATAGATGAGGAACTAAATGTGTAGAGATAAAATAACTTGCCCAAAGAGTGACAGCCAGTAAATAAACGGTCGAGCTCAGATGTGATCTCAATTTCTGAACACTAGCTGAGCAATTCTTCTACTCAACAATTCCTCCTCTCTTTATAAAAGGCAAGCACTCTGTTCTCAATCTATGCCCACCAAAGTATAAACAGGGATGAAAATGAGGAAGTAGGTATGTTACATTTCTCATTAGAGCCAACCTCATTTCAGTGTTGGCACCAGGCTAATAGGTCAGTTTTTATTTTGTGCCTAACTAAACAGGCTTCTTTTATAACCATGGCTGAAGTCCAAGAAATATAATAAAGCCAAAGATTCCAAGCAGCAAAGGATAACAATTATTAAATGTATTAATTGGGACTTTGTTTACACTTCCCCACTCATTTTAATAATTGTTTTGATTTGAATAACTTCTACCTCCTTGGATTCTCAGTGTTAGATAATACAAGGCCATGTATTTGACTTTTACAAAAATGTGTATAAATTTCACAATATTTCACTTCCAAAAGAATATGTGCTTGATTTCCACTATGAGAGTGATTGCTAGGTGAAAGTATAGCATTTCATCAATATTAAAGATAACTGATAGTTAGAACTGTAAAGACAGTCTCAATTATTTTGTAAATTCCTCTTTCATTTGGTCTTGGTACATAGCTTTACATTTTGAAAAACTGAGCTTTAGAAATCTGGAATACTTAATAATCTAATAAGTATACAGCAAACCTATTTACTTCATCAACATTGATGGTATCTGGACTTTAAAAATGTGTCCTGGCATCTAGGTACACAGTATATTCCAGGAAGGCGTATACCAAAGATTAACTACCTAAGGTCTAAGGTTTGTGAAACAGAAAAACTGTATGGAGTTGAGGTAGGGGTGGGGGCAGTGAGGAGGGTGAGAGGTAGAGAGGTGTAGGGCAGGAAGGGGCAGAAAATGACTGATTAAGATTCTTGAAATTGTAAAAGAAAAGCCCAACCTTTAACTGAGGTAAGGCAGTTTATCAAGAGTGACAAAAACATTAAGAGGAAATATAAATGTAATCAATTTAGTTAGAAGATATAGTACTTTTTAGCTGTTTCTATGGTTATAGTTGCAAAAAAACTGTCATAATTGAGAAATAAGCTTTGCCCTAAGTTTTAAAGTTTACTTAAATTGAATTAAATGAAACAAATTGCTTTCTTACATATATTTGCTAAAGGAAATGAAAGGAAAGGAATTAATATTTATTGAAAGCATTTGTGTCAAGAACTGTGCTAGGTGCTTTGTGTAATTCGATATGCCTTGTCATTGAGTTCTCAAAACAATCAGAGGAAATAGGTAATACGGTATTTTAAGACAAAGAAATCAACCTTCAGAAATTCACAGGTCTGGTAAGCGACAGAATGAATGTTTAAACTCAATCTGGTTGACTATAAATCCGACATTCTTTAGTATCTTCACTAGTGAATGATAAAGTAGAAGCTCAAATTGTTTATTGAAGATCTCAAGAATAGTCCATAAATTTATCAATTCCAGTTGAAAAATATTACATAAAATTCTGCATAGGTGGTTTGGCTACATACGCAATACTCGAATAGCAGAAAAACTAAATATAATCGCAGCGAGCCTAATAAATCAAAATCTTCCCACTTAAAGATTTATGGGGAGTGATTTTTTTTACTTTGAAAGTTGAAGGTGTGTTTTAAATAAGCACATTTTAAGCAGAAAAATTAATTTAAAACCTTAAAAGATAAAACTGATTTCTTTATTATGAAAAAGTTCATAATCTTTGCCTATGACAAAGCAATGATGATATGATACTATGTTAGTTATCAGACATTCCAATGAGAAACCATAGCTAAAGATGAGTTCATTTCTGTTCCACCTTGAAGACTTCTCAGTTGTCATTACGTTATTACAAATAATAACCATTAAGCAATATTTTCTTTGATGTTAGTACCTCCTTACAAGGATCTATCTAAATAAACATATTTATAGCAAGGAATACGGCTTCTTCAATTAAAGTGAAAGAAAATGCTAATTCATTCAATTAATGCGATCAGTCCAGTTTATTAGTACTTACTAGAGAGAAAATGCTGAGAGGATGGTCCAAAATCTCTGTGGGCTTCCTGAAGCTGTTTAAGGCGATCATCCACAGAAACCTGCACACATACACATGCAAGTCAGAGGAAATAATTTGATTCCGAAACAATAACTTTAATAATATTTTTGCTTTAAAGACTATAATAAATGATGCTATTGCCCAGGATATGATTGTTTATATAGACCCCTTGGACCCCTTCTCTGTCTCTGGTATCAGAGTAATGGTAAAAAAAAAAAAAAAAAAAAAGACTCCTTCTGACCTCAAATAATAGTAAACAGTGCCAGGTACTCTTCTAAGCAATTTATAGAAATTAACGCTTTAGTCTTCACAATAACTGTAAAGGTTATTTTTATCATCATCTTACAGATTAAGAAACTAAAACACAAAGAGGTACCCAAGGATATAAAGCTAGTGAGTGGCAACACTCCTGTTCGTATTCTGGTCATACAGTGCCAGAATCTGTGCCCTAACTGTTACTCTGCATTGCCTCTAAGGCAGTACATTGTTTGTAAAGCCTCTAAAGTCAAAATGTGGTCATGGGATCAGTGACCACTCATCTCTCTTTTGTAAGGAAGATGGTAAAAAGTGTTATGGGGAGCAAATGAAAAAGAAGCCTAGGAAACTAGATAGTTAGATAGATAATAGATTATATATATATATGGGGAGTGAGAGAGAGAAATAGACAGTACATAGATAGTGGATAGTTAGAAGGATAGAGTGAGTGAGGTGGTAGAAGATAAACAGAGAATGAAAAGACATGTGAGTATGCAACATCTTATTTTCCTCCAAATTTGTATCTGATCATCTCTACTTCGGGTTGAGATATATATTTCAGTTTGTACAGGCATATTAATGTACTCTTCGTATTTTTTTTAATATACATTTTTGGTTTTGGTTTTGTTTTGTTTGTAAAGACAGAGTCTCACTCTGTTGCCCAGGCTGGAGTTCAGTGGCACGATTATGGCTTACTGCAGCCTCGACCTCCTGGGCTCATGCAATCCTCCCACCTTAGCCTCCCAGGTAGCTGGGACTACACGCATGTGCAATCATGCCGGGTTAATTTTTTTTTTTTTTTTTGGTAGAGACAAGGTCTCACTATGCTGCCCAGGTTGGACACTCTACATCTTTTATCCACATCTTTGTTTTTGTTTTATTTTTAAAGACAGGGTCTCACTCTGTTGCCCAGGCTGGAGTGCGGTGGCACAAACATAGCTCACTGTAACCTTGAACTCCTAGCCTCAAGTGATCCTCCCACCTCAGTCTCTCAAGTAGCTAAGACTACAGACGCACACCACACCACATATGTAATTTTTTAATTTTTATTTTGTAGAGACAGGCTCTTCCTATGTTGCCCAGGCTGGTCTCAAACTTCTGACCTCAAGCAACCCTCTCACCTCAGCCTCACAAAATGTTGGGATTACAGGCAAGAGCCCCCATGCCTAGCCTTTTAAAAATACACATTCTATAGTTAGTTCTCTGCATTATGAAAATGTAAAGGGTTACTAAACTGAGAAACTAAATGCAAATCAATAACAACTGCACACAGCCTACTGACATTTCCATTTCCTTTTTCTAGCCTTGGTCATGTAATGCTAGTTACTGTTCCACTTAGAGGGACAATCTCATTTGCAGCTGTCCTTAAATGAAACTGTGTATGTCTGATTCCCTGGACAGCACTAGTTCCTCCTGGCTAGCTATTTAAATTGCATTAGTATGCACTTTGTTCATTAAGGCCTAAAAGCCTTCAAATGCCACACTTTATGAGTAAAGAAAATATTACTCCTGCAATTCAACAGTGTTGCCCACCAGCATAGATTTTTCTCTTCTTTTCCAACCAGCAACTAACATCTGAGCTCTAGAGGTTACCAGGATCATAGATAAGGATGACAGAATACATATCTTCTTTCAAGTATAACATATTCCCCGACTTCTAATCTTCGGAAATGGTGATAACAGAAATAGAATGGGAAGTAAATCAAGATGGACCATAAGAATCATCACATGAAGATAATGAATTAGAGAAACAGAGCAGAAGAAAAAAAAAGAATAAAGAACAAATATTTCTATGTTCCATCCACTAGAAAAACACATAAATTTAACAGATTTTGCTTTACTAATCCTAGGTTATTAACACTCTTTGCAAAGACTAAGATTGTAAAATATTGTACACTAATTTCTTACTTCTTCAATTTCATTAAGAAAATATGAACCATTGAGTGCTTTGATATTTGAATTAATTCAGCAAACCTATTATAGATAAAATATATCTCTCAAATGTTTTTATGTGCTACATCAAAATTGCATATTTAAATAAGGTCTAGAGTCATTAAACCAACTGCATTAGCTAAAATCTAAGAACTAAAGGTAAACACCACTGGTATAAATGTGCTATCTGGAAAAAATAAGGAAGATATTTAAATAGCAACCAGTTAGAAGAAAAACAATAGAGACTTTCCTGATTTTTCAAAATGAAAAAAAAAATACATGATGAAAGTAAGAAAAATGACTCCTTTATTAGCCATTATGTGAAAAATGTTTCTGTGACCTACCACAGGTTTCAATTACTGTGATTTATTTAACCTTTTGCAATTTTCTACAAATATCATATGAATAGTACATCAAAAAATTAAATTAAACTCTATAAATAAATGAGGCCTTTAGGTTCAAGATACTGAAAGACAAATACCTGATGTCATCACATGCTAAATTCATTATCAAATACCATCAGCAAAGAAAGAGAAAACGGTGAGTGGTAATATAGTGAGGTAGGGTTTAAAGACCACCCAAGGTGTAAGCCTGCATTATGAAGGGGAATAAGCTGATACCTGTAAAAGTTTCCATCGCATATTAAGGTCATCTAGCTGGCGAGACATCTTTAGAGAGGGATGCAGGTCAAGTGGAGACAGCTGACTGGATAAATCATTCACCGTTTTAACTTTAAAGTTGATTGGTGCAATTTCTTCTCTAAATGCCTAGAAGAAAAGAACAAAAAATATATTATTGGAAACGAATATAACAAAAGCTAATACAGTTGATCCTTAAATAACTTAGGTCTGAACTGCATGGGTTCACATATGCACAGATTTTTCTCAACCAAACTTCCTGGGTCCATTTATGCACAGATTTTTTTCAACCAAACATATGGAAAATACAGTATTTGCAGGATGCGAAACCCATATATATATGGAGAGCTGACTTTTCCTACATGCAGGTTCCATGGGGAAATGTGGGACTTGAGTATACATGAGTTTTGGTACATGCGGGGTCCTGGAATTGTACTTCCAAATAAATGGCAAGGCCAGCTCAGAGGAAATCAACTACAGTTGCCCACTCAACAACAGCTGACTTAATTCAGGTCTTCAGTAACTTGGATGAAGAACCAAAAAGTCATTGTTTATTACCCAAAAATATAAATAAATGTGTGAAGAGAAAAATTATAATTCAAACTTTTAAAATGATTATGTATTTCCTTTCATGCTTTCTATTATATGCAGTTTACTCTGGAAAATGTATGCCATTATTTTCCACTTTACTGATATCTAATGTTGATTCTATCTTTAGTTTGTATTCGTGTTTTCTTTTTATTCTGTTTTAACATAGCTACCTTAATATTTTTTCACCAAATGCAACAACTTGATTTTAACATGTTTCCACTTAAAATTAAATTAGAAAGTGGCCAGTAGAAACAACATTCCTAACCATGAAACCAATGCCTATTACAGACTCAAGAGGTAAGATCTATCCCTGTCAAAATCATTTATAATCACTGTCTGTGGTTAGGGCTTGGGCAGGAAGAGTGGAGTCTACAGAAAAAAGGTAAATGAGTCTTAGAATTGACAAATGCCACCTCTGAGCAAGGTCTAGAATCATTAAAACAACTTACTAAGAGCACTTAGAAATTGTAATTATGAGCATCCACATTCTTGACGTTCCCAGTAAAGAATGGAAGCTGCTTGGGAATAGACCCTCACTATTCAGCACAGAACTTGCAATCCAAGAGAGACAGAATTAATTTCTATTGACAAAGGCCCACAAAAATGATATTTGAGCAATATTAAGCTAACACAGAATGGATAATGGAACTGGGATATTAAAAGAAAACAGTTTAAATTTAAATTGGCCACAAAATTATAGTTAATAATGTACCAAACTAAATTTAGAAGTAGTAGGTGTTGTAAACATCCCATTAGCTTTGCCCTCAGGTTTCCTCATTTCTACATTGTCCACTCTTTAAGTGGGGAGGCTCTTTAAGTCTCTTTAAGAGACTAGAGTCAGGGTGAGAACTATGAATGTTGGAAGTTTGAAGTCAACATGTGTAAAGTAAGAAATATTACCGAACCCTGCAGCTACCAACATTTCAAAGACAGGGTAGAGGAAGGGATGCATACAAATTCATGGGAATTGCTTCAGTATGGAAGGAGAAGAAGAGTTGAGATAGTTTTTTTTCCATTGCTGCAGATTCGGCATTTTAATGGATGACAGAATGTGCACACACAGAAAAACACACAAATACAATTAAATAAGAAGAGCAGTTGTATGGTAATAGAGGCATTATAAGTGTAAAAAATTCACAATTAATATAGAAGCACAGGGAAGGAGGAGGGGTGGGTTAGGGTGGGCAAAGGGATTTTTCAGTCTGAACTTTGAAAAGGTCTGGGTCTCTCAGATTCAGTTTGAGAACAATTACAGAATTCAAATCCTTCAAGGTTTCTTTAGTCAGGATTTTAGCTATATGCATTAATATTCTCTCCATGGGTAGGTACCTTGGAGGACTCAAGAACTGTAATTAGCTTTTAAAATCAACATCTTTTTATTTTTATCTATTAAAGATTAAAAATGAAATGCCAGAAAATGTTTTGAGATGCATATAATTTCAAATAATAGCCTATTTTATTTCAAAAGATAGTAAACTTTAAACAAATAGAATATAACTTCAAGACAGGCTTTAAAAATCTTTTGGAACAAAAAAGAAATTCAAATTTTTCCTCTCCAAAAATAATGTTTCCCTATATAAGCCACAGGTTAAAACATTTAAAAAGCTTTGACAAACAAGGTCTTTGGTTTTTGTTTTTCTTTTTATGGTCAGGTGTTATATGGCAATGAGGAGTCTTTCTATCAAGAAAGTTTATCTTTTGTTTTTGAAGAGCTTCCAAATTAAGGGGCTCGAGATAAAGCAAGTTTTAAAATGGTTTCAGAACTGCTGTGTGTTCTAGCATAAAGAACCTATTTATCATGTTATGACTGCACTTTCCTATAACAGAATAAAAGACTATGTGGCCTTCCTTGCCATAAAAACAGAACATCTGCTAGTATCAAAGGTGCTAACTGGAAGTCTGTTGGCAGGTGTGACTCCTAAGCCCTTCTCCTGCCAGAAGGTGTGTATTCTGTAAATAAGAACGATTAATGATAATTTTAGGCAGTTAACATTATTTGATTACCCCCAAGGATTTCGTTTTCCAGTTGTTTTGACATATTTAATAATATTTAGCAAAATTCAGTACTTATTTTTATCTGACTACACTGTCAATGAGATTTGGGGTATACTTTAAACCATCTCTTATATCTCTTATTGTCTAAATTTTATTAACTTTTTTTTCAGGAGATGTTCTAGAATATGGGAACCAAAGGGGAGGTAACCATAAGTCTAACATCCATAGCTTTGGGCAATTCCTTACTACAAACAGAATTTATAGCTAAACTAATTCTTCATTAATATACAATAAGATACAATTTATAGATGAGAGTTCCCAGTAAAAGAGTGTGCTTTTGATTAAATCTCTATCTCCATCCACCAATTTACAAGAGATACCGAGTAGAGAGGAACCTGGAGACTATACCATATGGACACAATTCTGCAAAATCCAGGCTCTGGGAATCAATACAAAACAAACAATTCAGTGTCTTTAACAAATAAACTGAAAAGGAAAAAGGAAGAGAGGGGAAATCTGGGGATTAAAAATATTTTTTAAAAATAGGTAAACCTAATCTACATTGTCTAGAGATGCACAGTTGGATAAAAAATAAAAATAAATGTAAATTATCATAAAAGTTGCATTAGTTGTTATTTGGGGGCAGGGGGTTCCAATGAACCCCAATGAGGGTCATATGGAAAGCACCTGTCCTGACTCCTGATGGGTGGGGTTGCAGCGGCGTTGGCTTTGTAACAATCCCTTATAACAATTTATATACGTGGCTCTCTTTATTTGTGTTATATTTAACAAGAAAACATTTCTTAAAAATCCTTCAAAGACAATGATGCTGACCATGATTTTTTCAATGTGATCCTGCAGCGAGTCAATGAGTAAGTCTCCCACGGGCTTCCAGCCATTCCGCACGGACTCTGCCTCCTTCATGTCAGCGTCCAGGTCATCCATAGCTCCCTGCAGGTCTCTGAGTTTCTCCAATGCCTTGTCCACTTGCTTTTGCCAATTGCTAGTTACAGCATTTAGACTTTCCCATTTTTCTTTGACTTCAGAAGACTGTTTGCGCATGGCTTTGGCAATCTTTTGGGCTCTCTCCTCAGGAGTTAATTCTGTGATTAAAAAAAAGAAAAAGAATAATTTGGATGTCTGATTATATATTCTTAATAGCCAAGTGTGAGTGTTACCATCGTTACTGAGAAATACGGAGAAAAAGTAAGAAAAAATTACTCCAGGGTAAAAATTGTCCAGGGTAAGAAAGAATTTCTCCATACTTCATCCATGAATTCTCTGCTACATTTAATCACACACTCAAAAGGATAATAAAACAGTTACTGAGATTAATAAATTGACCCGGTTTTTGAACTTTAATATATTTCTAAAGCCACTGAAATGTAAGAAGATAACACAAGAAATAAACCAATTTTTCTTTATCATAAATTCAGTTACACAAAATCCAAAGACACTTTTTCATTTCAGTATTCTCAAGAGAAATGGTAAGTATAATTAATGAAGAATGACTATAAATTATAAGCAAAAACTCTCAGAAAATAAGATTAATGTATTGTGTTCCTAAAAATAAATACTGAAGACAAATAACATACCTTAGATAGTGATCATCTCTCTAAGGCTGTTTAGCAGTTTAGTTTTAATAAAGGGCATCATCTGCAGCCCACAGACATTTTAGCAGGAAGATAGCAAGATTTCAAGGACCATCCTAAGTTTGTAATAGAGCAAGGGGGCTTCCACAATGCCTGAAATAAACTTAGAGTTTCAGATAAAAATAGCAAGCATAACACATGGACAGGCCACAGGATGTGGGCTGGAACAGTCCAGAGGAGAAGCAAAGGATACAGACAGAAATCAAAGTCAAGTTCAAAGCCAAGGGTCAGAAATATAAGAGATGGGGAGCTGGTAAAGCAAGGGCAGAGGAATGCAGTCAACACTGAGGAGAAATTCTCAAGACAGCTTAGAAAGGTCTCCAGCATGGCTCCACACTCCTGGGGCCTCACTATCTTCTACACCTTAAAATACCTCCTTTCCTATCTAGCTGGTTTGATGGTGGTATCCAACTGTCCACTGCAAATAAAGAGGCAGTGCAATTGACATAAACTGTACATTAATTTGAGACAGAAAACACATTCTTCTTTGTGATAACATCTCATCTTTCAGTACACATCACATTAGCAATTTCCACTTCACCTCAAAATGTTCCAAATCACTTGGAAAATGATCATCATAAGATGAACTTCACCATAAAATGCACAGAAGCAAGCTCTCCTAAACTGTAACTTTCATCCTCAGTGTAAATTGGTCTGCCTGCTTTATTTAAATATTATATAAAAGCCAAGTCAAAGGTGACAGAACACATATGTTTGTCTCTCTAAATTTCAAAAAAATTCTAGACATTGATATTTAGCAACCGCAGAACTACAAGTTGTGCTGCTTAAGTGGTGGAAGTCTACAGGAAACTTCAGAAATCTCTTGGCAGCTGAACTGAAGGAAGAAGAGAAAACATCACAACTGGTAGATAGGCTGAATATACCAGTACAAGATAAATAAAGAACATAAGTGAATTAGAGGCCAGGTGTGGCAGCTCATGCCTGTAATCCCAGCACTTTGGGAGGCTGAGGTGGGTGGATCACCTGAGGTCAGGAGTTGGAGACCAGCCTGGCCAACATGGCGAAACCCCATCTCTACTAAAAATATAAAAACTAGCCAGGTGTGCTGGTGGGTGCCTGTAATCCCAGCTACTCAGGAGACTGGGCCAGGAGAATTGCTTGAACCCAGGAGATGGAGGTTGCAGTGAGCCGACACAGTGCCATTGCCTGGGTGCCAGAGTTGAGACTCCATCTCAAAAAAATAAAAATAAAAATAAAAAAATAAGTGAATTAGAGAAACAGGTTCAAGTAACTGTCTAGGAGCCCAGAGAAAAGCCCTAAAACATGCAACATGTCAGGATTGCAAAGGCTTCTTGAGAAAGCAGCTCTCTGAAGGCCAGTGTATCATTAGAAAGACAAACTTTATTTAAATCCTTATACCTTTAAGATATCTAGGCTGGGTGCGGTAGCTCACGCCTGTAATTCCTGCACTTTGGGAGGCCAAGGCAGGTGGATTACCTGAGGTCAGGAGTTTGAGACCAGCCTGGCCAACATGATGAAACCCCGTCTCTATTAAAAATACGAAAAAATTAGCTGGGTATGGTAGCGCATGCCTGTAGTCCCAGCTGCTCAGCAGGCTAAGGCAGAAGAATCGCTTGACCCCGGGAGGCAGAGGTTGCAGTGAGCCGATAATGTGCCACTGTACTCCAGGCTGGGCAACAAGAGCAAAATTCCATCTCAGGAAAAAAAAAAGATATCTAAAAAATGATGAATATATAATACTTATATTGTATATATTTTATATAAATATAAAATGTTATGTCTAAGATAAAAAAATCATTCTTAGTCTCATGAGAGGTGGTAACTTTTATGATTAAACACCTGTGTTTGTTAATAAGTCACTTGGGCTTTTTCAAAAATATATCTTAAGCATTGACTACTGTAAAAAAAGAAATACACTACTCATTTCAGAACGGACAACTTAATTATGGTAATTTTCCTCAGATAAAGTAAAAACTCATTCTGTCAGACATTAAATAACTTGGCACAGGGAGGCCCATGGGTTCTTTGTCTTGTGACAAAACATCATCTGCTGCCTCTGACGTTTTTATCTTTCCTTAATGTAAAAATTTATTGATTGAGCAGTCCTTGTGCAGTATTTATTACATAATCCCCACTCAAGAAGCTACTCAGAAGAAAAGAAAAGCTCTGTGTTCAATTCACCATCTGTCTGCCAGAAAGGAAACATATCAACGAATCACTTTTGAGTCAAAATAAGAGTTTCCCAGTGCAGCAACAATCTCAGCTGAATGCATACTTTAAGCCAAGCACAGAGCAAAGTAAAAAACAAAACAAAAACTTTCTAGAAGTCTGTGAAATACATAAGAAGAAGCGACATGTGAAATATGAAGGTATGACTATTTGGGGTAAAATAAATAATAAATAAATTCAAACATCTAAAAGGCAGAAAAAAATGAAAAAAAGGGAAATTATTGCATTCTTAAAAAAAAAAGTACTCTCATTTGAAAATCAAAGGACAAATGTTACTTGAGATTTTCTGAATAGGTATTTGTGGTAAATGCTAAGGACCACCTACAAGTAGAAGCAGAGAATCTGCTTCACCAGTGAAGAACCCCGGTGTCATGTTAGAAACGACCCTCACAGTGAGGGACTGAGTGAGTTTTTAAGGCTGATAATCCAGGAACCCTCCCCCAAAAGGTAGTGATTTCCCTGGTCAGCGTAAGGTCTGGCATGGATAGATAGATGCCAAAGCTCCCCAGGTGGTTCTAACAGGTTGTCAGGATGGAATGTGGCTAGCCTATTGGCATATAAATTGATTTCTCTGGACCATGTAGCTGAAGCTTACGGGACATTTCCACTCCACTGGGTTCTTGTGTCAACACAGAGCACAGTCACTAAATACTGGAGGCCAGAGAGCAAATGAAGCTCAGTGATAAGAGGGTAATCTAATTTGCATTGGGAAAGGCAGTAATAGAGGCTAATGCTAGAGACAGAGGAAACAGCAGGAGAAAACCAAATAAATTTGCTAGCAATTCTGAGATCAGAAGACTTTTTTTTCCTATGTCACTTTCCTATTCTCTAAAGTGTGTGTGTGTGTGTGTGTGTATGTGTGTGTGTGTGTGTGTGTGTGTATGCCCTGTCACTCTCCATTCTCCTCCCTTCGGGTCTTCCCATTGAACTGGCCAAAATTTGAGGGTAGAATTATATTACGTACATATACACTCAACTACTCAGAAGAAAATATATATATTTATGTATAATATACATAAGTAAAATTATGTATATATTATACATAAGTAAAATTATGTATATATTATACATAAGTAAAATTATGTATATATTATACATAATTTTTATATATCTATATATTTAAAAATTTTATACACACACACACACACACACACACACACACACATATATATATATATATGTATACACCATTTTTTTTTTAGTCAGGGTCTTGCTCTGTTGCCCCAGCTGAAGTGCAGTAGCATAAGCCTGGCTCACAGCATCAAACTCCTGGGCTCAAGTGATCCTCCCACCTCAGCTTTCTGAGTAGCTGGGATCACAGTTATGTGCCACAGTGGCCAGCTAATTTTTTTTTTTTTTTTTTAGGGATGAGGTCTCACTATGTTACCCAGGCTGGTCTCAAACTTCTGGCCTCATGTGATCCTCCCACCTCAGTCTCCCAAAGGGCTAAGATTACAGGCATAAGCCACCGCACCTAGCCTCTTACTTATACTTTTATATTTATTTATATTATATATTTATGTATCATGTATTATGAATATTATTTTATATTCATATTTCATAATTTTTAAACACCAATTTATTTATTGCATTACAAAGCTATTTAAGGGACCACAGATAACTATCTTTTAGAAAGAAGAAACAGGAAGAAGACAAAGGAAGAGAGGAAAAAGGAAAGATCAATCCTGATGTTTTCTGTCATCCAATTACCTTTACTTCTTCAAATATGCAAATTAGTGGCACAGCATTTATGCCACGCTCTCCTTTATACCATGAGGAAGAAGACTATAATACACTTCCCTAGAATGCAGGTGAAAAACCAAAGCTGGACCAGGAACAGAGACTAGGATTTGGAATCAGTCCTGCTCCCATTTTGCCCATTGCCCCTAGGCCAGTTACTTGACCTGCCCAGCCCAATTTTATCAAGTGCAAACCCTATTTTCTCATGCTAGAAAAATATTTTATTTCAAGAGTCTATTTTACCTCAATTCAATTATGTAAGAAGGTTGAGCCTCTGTATATCTCAAAGAAATCTTGATAGTAGAGGAAAAAAAACTCTTCCTTTGAGTGCTTATGCAAAGCTATTTTTTAAATTTTAAAAATGAAACTATGTTTCTCCCATGAAATAATGATAGATATTTATTAGAATTCGCCCAGTGTTATTGTTTAATAAACATTTCCCATATGTATGGTGTTTTTTTCTCAATTATGATATCAACATTTGTAATCTCCATTGTGGCTTTTCTACACTTACGTTTTAAAGCCCAATGTCAAGAATGTTTTCTTTCCTTCCATATTGATTTTATAGTAGCCAGTCTAGAGATTGGTATGTCCTCAGTATATAATTACTTAATTGAGTTGGACGGAATTGAATTTTTAGTGCTCCTCTTTATTGAGAACATTCAACTTTACACTTTTAAGTGGACATATTTTCACTTCATTTTTCTTCCTCCTTCTCACATCTGTGTAAAGCACTTACAAAAAAACTATTGTGAAATAGAAGGATCAACCTTACAAAGTCATTTCAGGTATGGTAATTCCAAATACCTTATTTATACTATTTGCTTTTTTGCATGTATCTATAATCTTATTGTTTTATTCTACCAAAAGACGAAAAGGAAATATTAAAACAATCAAGTAAAGAAAAAAATTCACAACTGGCATTTTTACTGTTGGACAATTTGGTAGAAGAAAAGATTAGGAGATTGCATGCCAGTTCCAATACTAACTAGTTACATAATCCTAGATATATTCCTTATCTCTTTCAACCTCAGTTAATACATAGAAAGCTACTGGCACATGTGTGGCACACAGTAGGTTCTTGAGGAAGGTTACTCTTTCATTCCTTTTTACTATTTTATAACTAGCTCTGGGAGGCTTAGATATCTGTAGAGATTTTCACATAAGCAAACCAGGTTGATTAGCCAATAAGAACTCAAAGGAAAAGACTTGACTTGCTCTCTCTCAATATCTCTCTCTCTTTACCCCCCTCCTATTTCTCTCTCTCTTTCCTCATGACCAAAAGATGTTTCTGATTAAAATATTGGGAAATACATTATTTCCTAATTTTCTGATAAAGTGATTAAGATCCATTTAATAACTCTGAAATGTTCAATCAGTGTTTGAGAGGGCCCTGACCATTTCCTACTCTGTACAATAACTGATGACAACCACTCATTATGAGCCAGATTACAAGTACATCATCAAGTGCCACGGCTGATTAGTGCTTCTAATTATGTCCATTTAATAAATTATAAGGATGACAATAACAAGAGGCTACTCAGAGCAGATTCACCTGTTAATATGTAGCCTAAATCTTTCAATACAGATATGATAAAGATGGCATAGATTCATCCATGCTGCCAGTGGACTTCTCAAATTCTTTTTTTTTCTTTTTTTAAGAAAAGAGAACCTAGATATATTTAGGGAACATCAAGACCTCAAAAGTAAACAGATTTAGGGACTACCTTCCACAAATAGTAAATGCAAGTTATTAAGAGAGGGGACACAAATGAAGGGGAACTCAGAATACAAAACACGCTTTGGAGGGAGCTACATGGCACCACTGACCTGAAGTCAATAGAGGCAGAACTGGAGTCTAAATACATTCAAGGTTTACTCTTCTTGTGAAGTGGCCAAAGTAAATAAGCCCAGAGTTGAGTGGAGGAAGAAGCAGGGGCCAACCACTAGACAGACGCAACTCCAAGGAAAGAAGCAGGAAGAGCAAAGAGACCCTGGAACAGACAACCAGGGCCTCGCTAAGCAACCTGAGATCTTTCCATTTTCTTCATTCAGGAATAATCCCTGAATTTCCTCCAAGTAGTGGCAGTTTTGCGATTTATTCAAGTGAATTCCTTTGGGCTGGACATCAACAGATGGGTCACTGGGGGCAGGCAGGTGGCAATAAAAGGAAAGAGGAAAAGCTGAGAATGTTTCAGGAGGAAAAAAACATCTGTTTTGCCTACTACTGTATCCCGAGTATCTAGAACACCCCCCTTGTAAATGGTAGGCACTCAAAACGTACTTGTTAAATGCATAAATCAATCTCTGTACAATATCTTTAACTAGAAAAAGAAAATAAAGAAGAAAATTCTCCCCTTTCTCTTTCAAGAATCAAAGGACAGGAGTTTTAGATTCAAAGTCTTTTATTTCTTGCCACATGACTGCCCATCTCTCCCCAGGCTGCTTCCCAGCTAAACACAGCCCCTAGTGATTGATCGAGCTACAGAGAAGTCTGGAGCTTTCTACCCATGCTCTGCCATTCTTATAAGTTAAATATGGCTTATGTTTATGTACTGCCAAAATAAGTGATGAGTTTAATTGAAGAGGAGAATTCATGCCTTTGCTAGGATTATACTTCTTAAAAAATGGCAAAACCTCTAATTCTTGGAAGATTCCAGTTTTCTACTAAGAACAACAACAATCACAAAACATAAGTACATTATACCACGCTCAAAGAGTCTTGTATCCTCCGGTCCTTTATGTTTAAATCAGAAAGTAATGTCTCAGATGCTGATTATAATAAAATACACACGTGTAAACGATTGCCATCTTTTTATGAGGCAAATGTGATTTATGAATGGCTGTAACACTGATTAGAGAACATAACAGATGGTAAACAATTAATTGAAAATGCTATGTCTATCAAACAAATCTTTATCATATAATTCTTCATGAAGACTATTGTTTATTTAAATGAGATTTTATTACTACAGTAGGAGTTAGCATGAAAAACATTTTCCAAATTTTTACCCAATCGATGGGCTTACTCAGCTGGCTCGTTGTATTTTAGAAAAGTTGAAGACTAGATGCATTATATTCATACAGATATTATAGAACTTTAATTTGTGAAAAATCACATTACTGCTCTGTAGTTAAGAACACCGGAAAAGAAAGTAACATTATATTTTTCTGCGCTTTTTCATGCATTACAACTTTACTAATCTAATTTGGACTTGAGAAGCTAATGAAATTATTGTCGTGGTCTATAGGCCTGAAAGCAATTACTTATACTTCAAATTTTTATATGAAAATTAAAAAGACAAAGTCTAATATTGCCTAGACACCTTCTCCCTCGGTGTTAGGAAATCAGTGAACTGTTTATGATTCCATTATGCAGCGTGGTATTTCAGTGAAGAAAGAGCAACAATAAAGAAAAAAGCAAAGAGTTATAAACATATTCAATTACTGTGTGAATTATTTTAAAATCGAAGAAAATGAAAATAAAATGTTGTTTCTATTGAATAGCTACAAATACTAATTATTACGGAAGTAGTTTAAGATAGTACACTATGGCAGTTAAGAGCATCAAGTTTTGTGACATAAGCCTTAGTTTGTATTTTGGCTCTGTCACATAGAAGACAGTATGCCTCTAAGCCTCTCAGACTCTCAGTTTCCTCATCTGTAGAATGGGTGGTAAGTATTCACCCTTCAAGGAATTATTATGAGAATGCAATTAAACAAGGTAGGTAAGTTTCTTGGCACAGTGTGTGGCACATGGTCAGCACCTGTGAAATTCTGGCTTGTTGGGAATGTCTGCATTTACTACCATTTTTCACTTTCCCCTTCCTTTATGGGATTGGATTCTTCCTCCATTTAGCATGATATTATGAAGAAGGTCTGCCAATCCTAGCAGTCCCTGAGTCCCATGTTACTCGGGCCAAGTCAACCAGAGCCCTCTCCTGGAATATTCTGGATCTAAAGAAGGGTGAGCCCTTCCTGGTATGAGGTTGTGAGCTATACAGTCATAGGAAAGCTAAGAAAATGAAAACCTGTACAGAGAAGCAGAGAAGAAGACATGGAGAAAAGCCTTCTGGGTGGTATTCCAGTCCCTGTGGTCAGCTACGTCTCTACCGTGGCTCGGTTATGGAGGCCAATGCCTTCCCCTTCATGCCTACACTTAGGGAAGCTGTGTGCCTGTCATTTACAATGAATGAGGCTCCAATTAATAAAGTTGTTAGTGAGGAAAACAAAAGCCCTGGGAGAAAACACCCATTAGTTTTACTAGCCCAGTTACTTCTATTAACTAATGTGTAATTTGTCCTCATTTTATTACATACAAGAAAATAATGTTGTAACCTTAAGTTATATGGAGAATATAAAAGTAACTTCTACTAAACTATATAATAATTTCAAATCTTCACTCATTTAATAACTATGAAATTGTATTTGCATAAGTTTGCTAATACTGGCATAAAGTGGACTGACATAGTGGACTGAATATGTCACTTATAAATTCTTCGTTGTATCACAAAATATATGAGATTTTACAGGGAAGAAAAATAGTCTTAATACTTGGCTTTCTAAAATATCAGGAAATATTTAAAAATTAAACAGTATACCCTGAGTTAAATATTACATACCATATTATGTACTAAATATACATAGCCATCTGTCAAAGGACCAAAGAGGAAAACATTAACCCATACATACTTTTTCATCTGAAAAATTATTATTAACTATTCATCACATATACATTCATACACAACTATATAAAGTTGTATATGCACATACACACATACACAACTATACCCACTATACTCAACTATACATGCACAAATAGACTAAATTAAGTAATAGCTGGGTTTTTCTATGATTATTAATAAAATATTTAAATTAAGCAAAATTGACTGCTCCAGGCTGAAACAGAAATGATATTCAGGCAGCTTAAATAAAATAGTAGTTGTAGTAACAGTAATTCTTTAACTGGAATAATTTTTAAAGATGATTCCTGAGGAAACTGGTGGATAAATAATGCAATCTCTTTTTTAATCTAAAAATATCACAAGAAGAGGACAGGTGTTTTCTCCATACATATGTATACAATGAATTGTGTAATTTTCTAAACACATTTAGAGGTGAGATAGCCTATAAAATTGTTAGCAGTTTTATTTAGTGATTGATACCTTAGCTTTAAATCATAAAGTATGTTTGGTGGGGGGTGCTTGTGCATGTGCGTGCCTGCCTGCCTGCATCTGTATGTGGTATGGAGAGAGGAAGACCGACAGAAGGCTCCAACTCCCCTGTGCAGATCTGACTTTTAAACTGAACTGAAGGTAATGAACAGGAGAGAAGGCACAAATATTCCCTAATTCCCTCTGGAGGTTTGGGGGTAGGGGTGGGTGAAGGCTGTTGTCTTGCACAGCTTCACTGTGCAGCAGTGTGGTTCACACAGGAATTCTGATCTGGTACTGAGAACAGCCAGGGGAGGCTGGCAGCACAAGGGAGAGACCAGAAAACATGGATGCAAGTTTAAGAGGCTCTAGACATTGAGATCAAGGAGGAGCTAGGAAGTTAGGGGCCAGATGGCCGTCAGTGAACACAGATAGAGGAGATAAAATCGAAGGGATGAGTCAAAAGCCAGCCAAAATCCAGAGGTTAAGGAAGTCATTGTCATAGACGCATAGGGCTCTGTTCTTGCATCTACCTTTCGTTAGCTGGATGACTTTGGTCAGCACCATAATATCTTCTTGGCCTTTGTGTTTTTATTTTTAAAAAAAATCATACTGTATGATCGGCTCAACTCATTGGGATAGACAGGAGAATGAATATGAAAGTTGCTTGGAAAGTACAAAGAACAATGCAAAGGATGAGAGATTGTTGTACTGTGATACTTTCTAACACATACAAACTAGGGATTAAAATAAAAAAAAAAAACAGTTCAATTGCATTAAAAGGAAAAAGTATACATTGACATGATACAAATTAAATGAAATTAAGTATTTCCATATTGCTCAAACAAAAGTCAGGGACTACTGACAAAGTTGTGAACTTGGTAAAATTTCTACAAGGATTCAGATAATTTTAGTTCAGCTAAAAATCATATTTACTTAATAGCCATTTATAAGCAGAAATCTGAGTAGTTGAGTTTTCCAAAGAGCTACATTTTACCCATTTAGCCCTATTTTTTTATGGTTACCATTTTGGAAGAAAATTTACTAAAATATAATATAAATTCCTATGCCTTCTCTTAACTGATTTATATTCTGTCTTCAGAAATACACACACCATAATTCACAGCTTCAGTTTTCTTTTACTGTTGAAAGTCCCAAAGACTACCTCGTTTTGTTTTATTTTAGGATTCTTGCATATCTTTTTATCATTTCTTTCTCCTCATTGCTGTCAGACAGCTGGAGTCATTTCTTACCATTAATCTTTGTCCCTGTCCTGTCACTTCATTTTGCTACTTACCCATCACTCACCGGACATCAAGTTCATACAGTCGCACCAGTGTCTACAGCAGAAGTTAATACCTCTGAGAAGTACTTCAGTGGCTTTCCCATGATCTAAGAAAAGGATCTGCACTATGTTTTCCATACAATCTCTATCCTGGCTGCTCAGATCATTTTTTTACACTCTTTCAGACTCTCCATCAATGAGGGTAATCACTAAAAAAAGAGGGAAGGGCCAAGCTTCAGACACAGACATTGGAAAACACAGTGAGAGAGACCACAGGGTGCCAGGGAATCATGGCAGAGAGCTCGGGAAGGGAAAGCGTCCAGGAAGACACAAAGCCCCAGCAGAGCCGGCAGGATGACCAGCAGCTGCGTGGGCAAATGAGGCAAGCGTTGGAAATCAGGTCAGAGGACCTACAGGCAGAAAACTGGGATGGGCAATGGGGCAAAGGCAAGGAAGACCACTACCTGCAGAATGTAGTGAGGAGCCTGGCTCCCAGCAAACCTCAAGAGTGGAGTGAAGAGAGGCACAAGGTGGGGCCGGATGGAAAAGCTGAGGACAAATTGCTGTGCAGCCTTCTGTGCCAGGTGGAGGAGCTCAGATCCCATGGCATGCACTACGGGCAGTTTTTATCTCCAGGAAACCTCATGCCAGGTTTGTGCTTTAGGTTTATCATTTTAGGATTTATGTTAATGGAGAAATGCCAATTAAGAATATATTGAAATAGGCCTAGCATAAGATTGGTATGGAGGAAACTAATGTGGAATGGTCAATTAATAGTGATTTTTAAATACTTAAAAATACATACAACAGTATAAGATAATTAGTAATGGAAAAAATTTAAAGGAACTGGAAGAAAAAAAGGCATTGGAGATAAAAATCATGGAGGAAAGTGTTTTCTAGAATGGTTACCTAAAAGAAAAGAGGTGACTCCATCTTGGTATGTCCTTATAGCATGGTACACATCACATACTCACAAAATGCTTATTAAATAGAACCGAAAAAAATCACTTGATTTCTTCCTGATCTAACCTCTCCAACATTGAGTACTTCGGCATCAAACAGGATAACTAATGTTCAAATGCTTGCTACTTCTAATAGCAGATGTACATAAGTCATGGTAAACAACAAAAGTATAAAAGCTATTATGGATAGTTTTCTTCGATTTATTTTTAACAAGTAAAACCAGCCATTGTTATAGAAAATAGTATCAGGAAAGGAGGCAGTATGAAAATTGCTAATCATAAACAAACAACAACAAAAAAAACCATAAAGTTAAATTGACATGACTTCTTTTTTTCTTGTCCCCCCAAATGTAGTATTAAAAACATGGAGCTTAAAACATCCTGAATGTCACAGTAAAATAAGAACTCAAAAACCAGTATTTTTTTTTTCTGTGTATCTTTCTAGACATTTTATTAGGGATTTGAAACATGTGTGCCCAAATGACTTCCTCACCAACACTATGAATGACGCATGACTAGAATGTTCATGAAACTTTTTTTTAAATTATACAATATCGTTTTAACCCTTAAATGACTGACCACTGAGAAGAGTCCAGAATAATGTGGCGTTTTAGTGATGTAACACTTTGTACTGCTTTAAAGTAGCTTTTTATAAACTTCGCAAAGTCCTAGGGAAGAAAGGAGACAAGAAAAGCTGACTGAAGGTAGATTTTAAATTGGATAAGATGAGACAAGTGAACTTCTTATTTTTTTCCCCAAGCTTAAAAAAACAAAACTGTACTAGCACCTTCTTTCTTGTTGTATGAAGTTACAATGTTCTGCCTGACTTTCCAGGTCCTCTGTAGGACCTTTCCAGGTCCTCTGAACCATTCAGCACATACAACCATCTCATCCCCATCTGCCGTCCAGGCACAAGACTCTGGCAACCAGGCCAGGCTGTCTACTGACTCCCCAAAATACAGCTGCTCTTTCCTTATGGCTGAGCTGTTCTGCTAAGGATTCTGTCCCCAGCATGGCCATTCCTCTTTCCCGAACTTAATCACTTCCTACCTGTCCATACCCCTAAGACTAGCTCAGGAATCAACCTCTCTCCACTCTGACCCTCAGAGTCCTTCTCTCCTGGAATGCCCGCATCACTTAGAATCCTCAGGACACAACTGAGTGCATGACTACGGACACTTTTACATTGCTTGCTTTCTCACGCTCTGTGCTAGTTTTGATCTCCCACTAAATTGAAACCTCAGGAACATGCGTTATACTTCTTTATCCATCTTGGACAGTGCTCAGCTCATGCGTATTCTTTCAAACACTATGTAATAAGCACTTACTATGTGCCAGATAGTATTCTAAATATTACAAAATACAGCAGTGAAAAAAAAATAACCCTCTGTCTTCAAGGAGCTTACATCTACAGGGAGTGGAACGAAAGGGACAATAATAAGAGACCAGGTCAGAAATGTAACATGGCACCCCCTGGCATACAGTCTGTGAGCCATTATAAGAATCTGACTTCTCTGAGTCACATGACATGACTTATATATTCAAATGGTCCTTACAGCTATTGTGTTGGAAATCTCTAATAAGGGAGCAAAGGCAGAGCAGGCAGATGAGTTGAAGGAACCTGCAATCATCCAAGGGGTAGTGGGGGCTTAGACCAGGAAAGCATAGTAGACGTGGTGATAAAGGATCATATTCTAGGTACCTTTTGAATGTAGTGATGACAGGACTTGCTGACAGAATGGATTTGGGTGACAAAAGGACAAAGGAGCCAAGAGCGGCCCAGTGGATTTTAGCCCGAGCAACCCAGAAGACGGAGGAGCATGAGGTAAGATGCAAAGACTGATGGAAGAATGGACTCAGGGTGACGGGAGGGGGCAGGGGCTTCTTGACAGATATAGGAAAGGAATTTCGTAAATGTTGAGTGCTCATTCTAGAAAAGTTGGGGTTTATTTCCATTTCATCTTAAAAATCAATAATCCAATTACTCTACTGCTGATAATATCAGTTTCTCCCATCTACAGTTATTCTTTATAGACTCAAGATTGTGAGGAAAAGCAAGTACTGATGAGTTCAACTCTTTCAAAGAATTCTCTACAGTTTCGGCTTGTTTCCTTTTTTGAAAATTTTTGTGGGTACACAGTAAGTGTATACATATTTACGGGGTACATGAGACATCTGGGCTCATTTTCCTTGTTGTTAAATATGGTGATGGCGGCCAGGGGAGGGGTGAGAGAGGAATCATTGTTAAGCATCTAGCTCATAAAAATGTTCTTGTAATAGGTTGTATATGAAGTCAGAATAATAAATAAATGAATTTCTTTATACCTCTTATTTACTCAGGTAGTCATGTACTCTTCATCAAACTTTTATTGAGTACCTGATATATACAGGCATTGCATAGGTTATAAAATGCTCAAAACTGGATTCCTCAACTTAGGGCAAGTAAGAAAATTTTAACATCTGAAAATCAATACAAACAATAGCTGCATATGTTAGATATCCAACAGGACTGGGCTGAGACCTGAGCAGTTCATTTTTCCTCGATGGACCTCAGTTTTCTCATCTGTTAAGTGAATAGCCTTGGACTAGTTCATCTCTAAGGCTCTTAACCATTCTAATATTGTATATGAAGGACATAAGCAAGCCTTAAAATGTTCTTTTGAAAGAACTTCAAAAGATGGAAGAAGGGAAGGTAGCACATCCATGACAAGACAGTTCCAAAATCATTCAAGGAAGTAGATAGTATAGATTGGTTATGGAACTATAAAAATGGTAGTAAAAAATTTGTTGAAAAATCAGGAGGGCTTCAATTACAAAGTTTTTTTTTTTTTTTTTTTTGAGATGGAGTTTCACTCTGTCACCAGGCTGGGTTGCTATCTCAGCTAACTGCAATCTCTGCCTCCCGGGTTCAAGCGATTCCCCTGCCTCAGCCTCCTGAGTAGCTGGGACTGCAGGCATGCACCACCACACCTGGCTAATTTTTTGTATTTTAGTAGAGACGGGGTTTCACCGTGTTAGCCAGGATGGTCTCCATCTCCTGACCTCATGATCCGCCTGCCTCGGCCTCCCAAAGTCCTGGGATTACAAGTGTAAGCCACCGCGTCCGGCCAAAAGCAGTATGTTTTCCAAATGGCAGTAATGTACAAGGATTGTGTTCCATTTGATCAAATGTGCTATATTCAAAATAGCCCTAAGCTCAGCAAATGATATCTTCAGAGTGCAACATATGTGCACAGAAATCACATTTGTGTGCTTTAATCAGTAGTCTCAATTATATGCCTAATTGCTGCATGTTTGCATTCAAGGTGATGATCCAAAGATTTTTAAAATAAATATTATGCTAGGCTGGGCACGGTGGCTCATGGCTGTATTCTCAGCACTTTTGGAGACCAAAATGGGAAGATGGCTTGAGCCCAGGAGTTCATGACCAACCTAGGCAACACAATGAGATTCCATCTCTACAAAAACTTTTAAAAAAGATAGTCTGTGGTAGTCTCAGCTACTCAGTAGGCTGAGGTGGGAGGATTGATCACTTGATCCTGGGACGTTGATGTGCAGTGGGCCGTGATTTCACCACTACACTCCAGCCTGGACAACAGAGCAAAACCCTGTCTCAAAATAACATAACATAACATAACATAACATAACATAACATAACATAACATAACATAACATAACATAACATAACATGACATAAAATGAAACAATAAATGTCATGCTGGAGGCCAAGATTTTTTTTCAGTATGCAATGGAAAGTCAAGAAAGATGTATAATCAGGGGAGAAACACGAATATGATTACATGATAAGATTTACTTATCAGTAGTAGACTAAAGTGGAAGAGAGAGAATATATGGGCAAATACTACGTGTTGCACACAGATGACAGAACAATGCAATGGGACCAATGCTACCAAAAGTAGCAACAGATTCTGCCTAAAACTATTCTAAGTCTACACACAAAAGGCTGAGAATGTGGAATTAATGGCAGTATGTGTGTGCACATGAGTATGTACGTGTGTGTGTATACATTTTTTATATATATATATGTGTATATATATATATGTGTGTATATATATATATATGTGTGTATATATATATATATATATGTATATATATATATATATATATATAAAACAGAGTACTCAAAAGGAATAATTCTTCAAAGATAGAAATAACAAATATAAGGCTGAGTGTAGTGGCTTACGTCTGTAATCCCAGCACTTTGGGAGGCTGAGGCAGGCAGATCACCTGACGCCAAGAGTTCAAGACCAGCCTTGCCAACATGGCAAAACCTCGTCTCTACTAAAAATATGAAAACTAGCTGGGCGTGGTGGTGGACACCTGTAGTCCCAGCTATATGGGAAGCTGAGGTATGAGAATTGCTTGAACCTGGGAGGCAGAGATTGCAGTGAGCCGAGATCGCACCACTACACTCCAGCCTAGGTGGTAGAGTGAGACTCTGTCTCAAAAAAAAAGAAAAAGAAAAGAAATAATAATTATGAGTGATTTGTAGACCACTGGATTTGGTGAAAAGTGGAAGACTCAACAATGACTTAGCTTTGTAGGAGGCTAACTGGAAAGACAGTGTTACCACCAGCAGAAAACAAAAAGAAATGCTAGACAAGTTAAGTGTGCTGTGTGTGTGTGTACATGTGTGTATATACACACACACATATATACAACTAGTTTCAGAGAGTCAAAAAGATTATGGTCTTGATGGGAAATTTATTCGGACTGAAGAAGGTTCCTTGAGTAAGATTCAGTAGGAAAACGGCTACCTGTCCATATGTCTGATCCAGTTCCAGTTATAGTCAAAGAAAGCATTTTCTAACTATGCTTCCCTTACAAGTAATAAATGTTCATGATTTACACTGCTGGACACAGCATGAGGCAATCTTTCAGGTTTGCTGTTACTATGTGAAGTGAATGATGAAAAACGATTTTGAATGGCATGTTTATTTTTAAAAATGCATCAGAATGATTTTATTGTCAGCAGTGAAAAATCACAATACAGATATATATTGGACCCAGAATTCATTACACATTTTCTCTTAAGTTTACTATGTGATATATTGCTATTTGTTAGTAGGGTAGTTACTATTTCAATTTTAAGCTAAAGTATATAAATGTTACAGGTTATTTTTAAATTAAACAAATGTTGTCTGCTTGTAAAAGAAAAGTATTTGGTCTCTCATTTTTAAAAGTAACCTTACATATAGATATTTAAATATTTTATATATTTACTATTATATTTTAATAAATGTCTTCTACTTGCAATTATTTATCACATAACATGTTTAAATATAAGAAATATATATTTTTTGCTAGTAAATTTGCTAGTAAGGTAGTTATTATTTAAATTTTAAGCCAAAGTAAATAAACACACAGGGTATTATTTTTAAATTAAAGAAATGTTGTCTGCTTGTAAAAGAAAGGACTTTGGTGTGTCATTATCAAAAGTAATCTTACTTATAGACCTTGAAATATTTTGTATATTTATTATATTTTAATAACTTTCTACTACTTGCAATTATTTATCATGTAACTTGTTTAAATATAATATAAATTTTTATTTCTTATAGAAATTACTTTTATAGTTACAGTACACTTTTTAGACAATCTATTTTTTCTGCAGTTAATTTCCTTTAAAATTGATATTGAGGTATACAAAAATTTTATTTTCTTAATTTAAGAATCTAGATATCTGTGAATTAATGACATATTTGAATAAAGTAACACTTAGAAGAAAAGATTTAAATATTAGATCCTAAAATGCTGTAAGGAAATTTCCTACTTGATTTTGGGTTTTTTGTTCTCCTAGCATGTGTTTTTATGATGTAGTGGAGAAACCAGTCTCACCTGTTTTTGATTGTAGGTTTCTTCTTGGCTCTTCAGGGGCCTCAATTGGCTGATCAGCCAAGAAAACTCGGGCCTGGTCGACAGCATTCAGGACAGAATATTCTTTCTCCTTTAACTCCCGTCTCAGGGCCTTTCAAAAGAGAAGCAAAAGTTGAGTTTGTAACCTCACGTGTTCACCAAATTATGGGACATCTTCAACTATACCACTTCTGACCACACTTAGCAAGAAAATGACTAATAGCAAGCATTTCAGCTAAGTTAGAAGCCAAAATGTAAATTTTATAGATATGAATGAAGAAAAATACAAAGGAAAAAAGATAATTTCTGTAAACGTTAAGTATACAAAAAAAGAAACAGCTTTAAAATATTCACTTAAGGGAAATTGTTACAGTGTATTTGAATTTACACAAAATGTACTTTTAGGATTTTCACTGATGTCAGATTGATAAAATATAATAGCCTTTGCTAAGATACTTTTTTCTTGTAAGACTGACTGACAAAAAAATTACATCCAATGATACAGAGAAAGGTAATTTCACAAGTAGCAATAAGATCCTCAGAAGGGTTTTACATTATTTAGAATACATTAAGAAAAAAAAATGAAGCGATAGAAACAAAGTACATACATGAAATCAAAAATAAACCAATGAGGGCACATATAAAACAGTCTCCAATTATCTTAAAATATGTTCCATCTCTCATGCTGAGGCAATTACTATTTTTCTTTTGTGAGGTTTTTCATGCAAATCTATGATTCTCAGAATAGTTTCTCTTTAGCACCTTTGTTCCTTGAAGTGGAGCTAAACTTTCACCCCTGCACCTATAAAAACAACCAAACTCCTTCAGTGACTGCTGCAAGATAAGAGTAATGAAGATTTTCCCAGGTGCAATTTTAACGCTGTTGCCAAATGGAATTTGTTAATGTTGTTATCCTCTTAAAATTAAACACATAACCACCTACTGGCTCTAGTATTTTGCCTTCGGTGTAGTTCCCTGGCAACCTATTATGAAAAGTCAGACTTTTATTTTCTAAAATACTGAACTTTCATTATATGTTAGAATGAATAAAATCTTTCCTTTTGAAGACAACTAAATTTTTAGTAGTATTTGACATCACTATGTTGAGATGCTACAGTATTTGCAGGCTAGATCCTTTTCTTCCATAGTCAATAAAAGGTAAGAATGAAAAAATCTAGAAATACCAGAATAATTATCTTATATAAAAATATGGATCTAAGCAACATACACACAAAAAAACCCTGGTAATGAAGCTGACAGAGACTAATGGGCTACATTTTCTATATCCAGAAAATCTCATGATAGCCTTTAGGAAATCTAAAGATTCAAGGAGGATTTAGCAGTAAATCAAGAGTAGAGTGCTTGATTGAATAAGGCCATGAAGCATGCACACGCCACCCGTTACCCTCCTCAAGTACTACTCTAGAAACCACTATTACTGATAATTTTCCTACTCGTGTATAGAGGAGATAAGTCATAACATGGTAAGCATACTGGAAAGTGTGCTTGGACTAACCAAAGTGTAGCTTAACCCTCACAGGTGGGGAGGGATGAGAAGAGCTGACAAGAACTAGTGAGAGACGGAGTGACAAAAATGCTATTTTTTTGTGTGTAAGCATTGTAAATATTATTTTGATTTTTAAACTATACAATTATTACTTTGATAAAAAATTTAAATGAACGAGCAAAGTGAACCAAAAAATCCACAATTAAGATATAGTGATGTAACACAGGATATAGGATAAAATAAAACTTTCTCTAAAATGCAAAGGTACATTTATATGTCCTTCCTAGATCCATAAAACCAAAGACTGACAGCGAAGCAAGCACAAATCAACTAAATTCACACAGCAATTATCACTGATGAGCATTAAATGACTATGTTGGTGGGTGGGGGCGGGGATAACAAACCTTCCATCATCTCCTATTTAACAAACGCAGCTTGTGAAGAAATCGCAGGATGTGTGACATTCAGGAAATTAAAAAAAAAAAAAGATTATATACATCTGGCACTTAAAGTTTTAATATATGGAAATAAAAAGAGATACAAGAAAAATGGAAAAAAAAAGATTTTTAATCCAAAAAAATACACATTTACAAGTCTTGAGCCAGTTCTTTAACTTAGATTATTATGTTGTTAGAGCAAGAAGCTCTAGAGGAATAAAAATATTCCTAGCATTTACTTCCATAATCACCTAAAAATATATAATAACGACATGAAAAATCATGTTACTTAAAAAATAGTGAAAACCAGCAGGTAATATAGCAAAATTATTTTTTTTAATTTTAGTGGTCAAGATATTTCCAAAATCCAAATCAAATCAGTAAATATGGGAGCAGTAAACATTCCTTTTTTTTTTTTTTTTTTGAGATGGAGTCTTACTCTGTCACCCAGGCTGGAGTGAAGTGGCATAATCTTGGCTCACTTGCAACCTCTGCCTCTCAGGTTCAAGTGATTCTCCTGCCTCAGCCTCCCAAGTAGCTGGGATTACAGGTGCCTGCCACTGCACCCAGCTAATTTTTCTACTTTTAATAGAGATGGGATTTTACCATGTTGGCCATGGTTGGCCAGGCTGGTCTCAAACTCCAGACCTCAGGTGATCCACCTGCCTTGGCCTCCCAAGTGCTGGGATTACAGCTGTGAGCCACCACACCCAGCAAGGAGTAGTTTGTTGGGTTTTTTTGTTTGTTTGTTTTGTTTTTTGAGACAGAGTCTCGCTGTGTTGCCCAGGCTGGAGTGCAGTGGTGCGATCTCAGCTCACCGTAACCTTCACCTCTACCTCCTGGGTTCACGCCATTCTCCCGCCTCAGCCTCCTGAGTAGCTGGGACTACAGGGCCCCATCACCACGTCTGGCTAATTTTTTTGTATTTTTAGTAGAGATGGCATTTCACTGTGTTAGCCAGGATGGTCTCGATCTCCTGACCTTGTGATCCGCCCGCCTTGGCCTCCCAAAGTGCTGGGATTATAGGCATGGGCCACCACGCCTGGCTCAGGAGTGGTAAAGATTCTTAAAATGCTGTGCAAGGCCTGTGCTAGATTTCTTCCTGGGGAAGGGGAAGTTCCAGGAATGTACAGATTTAATGCAAGCCACTGAAGAGAAGATGAAGATCTTAGAACAGGTCTTCACTCTGGTTTATCAAATAGGAGGAAGAATTCACACAATGGCATTTAGAATTTAGCACAAAAGATCAACCAGAAAACACCAATAGGCAATAATGTGGAAAGATTAAAAACTGAGAGAAGACGGGACATAAAGGCAAATGACTCAGAGAAGGAAGAGCAGAGGCAGAACTGGCCCTCTGGAAATATAAAACTATTACGGGGCATATATTTTACAGGCAAATCCAGATCTTTTGTTGGAGAAAGAAGACAATATGATCTGTGCAACTTAGGTGTACAGTAATTTCTGATTAGGAATTCTAGACTATTAATAGTCCACAAAATGTGCATTGTGCAGGGGTGTGGGGAGGGAAGAGGGCAAAGGAGAGATTTGTCTTGGAACTTCTTTTTAGATTTCAAAAATTGAAATGGAAATATGTACATATTGGTCTATAGAAAGGATACTTTGGAAAACCAACCTATCAACTTCCTTTATGGATGGAATTTTATTTGTTTAACATGGAGACTCTCACAATAGAGTAATCTCTTTGGCTGTCTGTTTGCTCTGCCTGGAAAGCTCTTTCCCTAGATTTAGCCATATCACAGATTCCCTCATCCTTTTTAAGGCTGTCTAGAAGGTGAGGCCCACCCACCTACCTTATTGAATGTAGCATTCCACCTTTCTCATCCCCTACATTTCCCATTCTCATTATTCTGCTTAACTATCTTTGTATTTCCTAGACCTGGCACCTTCTACTATGCAAAAGAGGTGACATTTCTATATTTCTTGTTTAGTCCCTCTCTTAGATAAAATATAAGCTCCACTAGACCAGGGACTTTTTCTGTTTTTGTTCAGCATGGTAAACAAAGCACCCAGACTAATGCCATGTCTGGGACCTAGTAGAGCCTTGGGGGATCTGTAATGCTTCCTGGGGGAGGTGGTGCGTAAATTGAGTCTTGCAGAGAGGGAAAGGTACTCCCAGCAAAGGAAACTAAACACTAGCAGAGAATGCAGGAGTGTCACAGTGTGCGCCCTCAGGGAACTATAAAAACTTCAGTACTCAGAGAGCGGTAGCAGCTGAAGCTGAAGGTGTGGGCGGAGGTCAGGCCACAAAGACCACTGCACTGCTTCCTATGCACTGAGACTCACTCAACCCAATCATGGGCTATGGGAAGCCACTGACAAGTTGGGGGGTATTGTCAGATTTTTATTTTTGTTTTTTATAATGTATCATTGTCAGGTCTCCTGGATTCATTAAAAGCAAGTCTGAGTCTTAGATTGTATTTTGCTTCCTAACCACATTAAACTCCGTGCTTCAGAAAACAAAAAAAAAAGAAAAAGAAATCCTCTCTGCGCAGGGTGCTGGCTGGAGAATGTCTCGCGAACTCCTTTGATATGCCAATGTAGGGAAGTACAGGAGGCAAGCCTGGGCAGGTGGGAACCATGCCAAGTAAGTACAAATACAGGGCTCTGGCCCTCATGCCAATGCACCACCCAAATATCCTACAAAGCAGCATACATATGATAATTTCCATTCATATCCTGTTTTGTAAATTTAATTTTGTTATTCAATTTGTCCTATTTCAATTATATTTAATTGTATGTCAGAAATAGATTTAACTTTCAACAGTTTTATACATATAATCATTTCACACTTTAACTCTCTCAATTAGACATAAAAGAAAACCTGCATTTCCCAACCACCTGGTGAACATTAATGATAAGATCATTAGACTCCAATGAGCTGTTTTGTACACAGAGCTACAAAGTGGCATTCAGCTTTAAGTTCTAATATCACGTGACTGATATATGGGCCACCTTAAATGCATATAACATAATATAATTGGAATTTTTCTGTTTTAATGAGTTTATATTTTCATTCAAAACAGTTCTGTTCCAGATAATAACAACTTTTGGTGAGGATGTGAAGAAACAGGAACCTTGATGCTTGTTGGTGGAATGGTAAAATTGCAACCTGTATTAGTCCATTCTCACGCTGCTAGTAAAAACATACCTGAGACTGGGTAATTTACAAAGGAAAGAGATTCAATGGACTCATAGTTCCCCATGGCTGGGGAGGCCTCACAATCATTGCAGAAGACGAAGGAAGAGCAAAGGGACGTCTTACATGGCGGGAGGCAAGACAGCATGTGCTGGGGAACTCTCCTTTATAAAACCATCAGATCTTGTGAGACTTATTCCCTATCACAAAAACAGCATGGGAAAAACCTGCCCCCATGATTTAATTACCTCCCACTGGGTCCCTCCCATGACATGCGGGGATTATTACAATTCAGTGAGATTTGGGTGGGGACACAGAGCCAAACCATATCACAGCCACTCTGGAAATCAGTTTGGCATGTCCTCAAAATGCTAAACACAGAGTTGTCAACATGACCCAGCAATTCTACACATAGGTATATACCGAAGAAAAAGAAAAACATGTCCACATAAACACTCATACATGAATGTTTATAGTAGCCTTATTCATAATAGCCAAAAGATGGACACAACCCAAATATCCATCAACTGCTGAATGGATAAACAAAATGTGATATATCCATAATACAATGACATCTTATTCAGTAATAAAAATGAATGAAATACTGATATGTGCTATAACATGGAAGAATTTTAAAATCATGCTCATTGAAAGAAGCTAGACATGAAAGGGCATAGTGTAAGATTCCATTACCATGCAATGTCCCAAACAGGCAAGTCTAGAGAGGCAGAAAGTAGATTACTCGTTGCTTAAGGCTGGGGAACTGGGGAGGGAGGGGAGGGATAGGAGTGACTGCTTATGGGTATGGATGTTCTTTTTGGAATATAAAAAAGTTATGGGCCAGGCGCAGTGGCTCATGCCTGTAATCCCAGCACTTTGGGAGGCTGAGGCGGGAGGATCACAAGGTCAGGAGTTCAAGACCAGCCTGGCCAATATGGTGAAACCCCATCTCTACTAAAAATATAAAAATTAGCCAGGCGTGGTGGCGGGTGCCTGTAGTCCCAGCTACTTGGGAGGCTGAGGCAGGAGAATCACTTGAACTCGGGAGGCAGAGGTTGCAGTGGGCTGAGATTGCGCCACTGCACTCCAGGCTGGGTGACAGAGCGAGACTCCATCTCAAAAAAAAAAAAAAAAAAAAAAAAGTTATGAATCTAGATAGCAATAATGGTGCACAACTCTGTGAAAATACTAAAAGCCCCTGAATTGCACACTTTAAATGGGTAAATATTATGATACAGGAATACTATCTCAACAAGGTTATTATTAAAATAAAACAATAATTCTGTTTTTTACACAAAACAATTCTCTAGGTAATTTGTTTCTTTTTTTTCTTTCTTTTTTTTTTTTTTTTTTTTGAGATGGAGTCTCACTCTGTCGCCCAAGCTGGAGTGCAGTGGCATGATCTTGGCTCACTGCAACCTCTGCCTCCCGGGCTCAAGCAATTCTGCCGCCTTAGCCTCCCAAGTAGCTGGGATTACAGGCATGCACCACCATGCCTGGCCAATTTTTTTTTTACATACGTTTTTGTAGAAACAGGGTTTCACCATGTTGCCCAGGGTGGTTTTGAACTCCTGAGCTTGGGCAATCCACCCACCTTGGCCTCCCAAAGTGCTGGGATTACAGATGTAAGCCACTGCACCCAGCCTAATTTGTTTCTTTTCTAGTCTTTATCCCCAATGCATATGCAAAGTAAGAGCTCATTCTGTGTGTTCAGTATGTGCAATAACAAGATGGCTGCTCCCACCTCAGTGTTTCTAGAGCACTTCCTATTCCTCTAACAGAGCTTGTACTGTGTTAATGTGCATATATTTTGACCATGCATCTGTCCCCTCCATTAAATTGTGAGTTCTTGCATGGTAAGGTTCAGGTCTTAATCATCTGAAATCCTCTACTGTACCTGCCTAGACATATATAGAAAGCACTCAATAAATGCTTGAGCATAATAAATTATGGGAGAAATGCTCTCAGAATTAAATACTATGTATTTAATGTTACAAAACATGTCAGAGCAAGATATAACAAAGTCACCCAATCTGTTCATCTTAAACTGAAATAATGGATTTCAGTTAGTTCTGTATTTTTAAATTATCTACTTTGCAAATTGCTGGTAGTAATTTTTTGATGTAAAACTAAGTCTGTGCTATTAATAAGTATTTCAGTCTGCAGTTGGTTTTTATTTTAGTAATAGCAAATATCCTTTTCTCTTTTTAGATAAATAAGGAACTGATCTGACTGTCATGGATGGTATGGATTCACTCTGTCTTCCTCATTTTGTGACATTCTCACCCATGAGGTAACCCCTTAGGGCATGGTTTCCAAATTACTGTCAGTCATTAGAATTGAAGGGTGTTTCCATTATCATGACTGTGTATCAAACCTATATAAAACTTATAGCTTAAAACAATGACAATTATTTTTCATGATTGTGTGGGTTGGCAATTTGACCTGTTCTTTGGCTGGTACCACCTGGGATTACTAGTGAGGTTATAGTCATCCTGCAGCTTGGATGGGGAGGGCGGGACAAAACAGCCTCACTCACATGTCTGGAAATCATCACTGCCTATTGTCTGGGGTACCTCAGTTTCTCCCTATGTCGTCTCTAATTGCTCTCCAATATGGTACCTGCTAGTCACATATGTTTATTTAGTATCTGAAATATGACTAGTACAGCTGAGGAACTAAATTTTAAATTTTATCTAATTGTGATTTAAATACAAATGGTTACATATGTCTAAGGGTTCCTATGTTACACAGCAAAGCTCTAGAGTTTGCACATCACGGTGTCACAGTCTATTGTTTGAAGCATGTCATGAAGCCAGAACAGATTCAAGAGAATGGAAAAATGTACTTTATCTTTTGATGAAAAGAGCAAAAATTTCCCTCTGCATAGGAGTGTGGACACAGGGAGGCATGATTCATTACTATAAAAATCTACCACACAGGATGAGTGGGAGAGGATGGTGGGTTGAAGATGAGGGTTGGTAATATTTTGTGTAAGTGGTCAGGGAAGGCATCTGAAAGACAGCGATATTTAAAAAAAAAAACCGGAGGGAAGTGAGGGAGCAAGGCATGAGAATATCTGGCAAAAGAGCAATCTAGGCAGAGAAAATGGAAAGTGCAAAGGCTCTGAGGCAAGTGCATGCCTAGCTTAGAGATTGGTGCTCTCAGAGCTGAGTGAGTGAAGAATGAGGGTGATTGCTTCTGTTAAAATGTTTTCTATCAAGGAAGTTAGGGAAAGAGTCCTTGTGGTTGATGGGAGAGACACCTAGCAACCACATACTTCTCTATGCAGCAGATATCTGGCTACTTGCTGGCTCAAGGCTTGGCCATTGAGCTAAAAGTGCTCTTACATGACAACCTGTCACAAAGCTTATGTATTTTGCATTCTACAGGTTGAGCATCCCTAATCTGAAAATCCCAAATCTGAAATGCTCCAAAATCTGAAACTTGAGTGCTGAAATGATTCCACACCTGATACTCTTGCTTTCTGATGGTTCAAATGTATACAAACTTTAGTGCATGAAATTATTTAAGTATTGTATAAAATTACCTTCAGGCTATGTGTCTAAGGTATATCTGAAACAAATGAATTTCATGTTTACACTTGGTTCTCATTCACAAGATATCTCATTATGGATACACAAATATTCCAAAATCCCAAAAACTGAATTTTGAAACACTTCTGATCCCAAGAATTTTACACAAAGGATGCTCAGCCTGTAGTAGATATGTGAAAAGACCTTCAATTCCCCTCCCAGACAAATTGTATAAAGTGAAGTTTTGGCCTCCAAGCAATAGACCAGCATCAGTTAGAATAAGTAGGAAGATACAAAATAATTTCAAAAAGGAAAACTGAGGCTGGCTGTGGTGGCTCATAACTGTAATCCCAGCACTTTGGGAGGCCAAGGCAGGAGGATTGCTTGAGGCCAGAAATTTGACACCAGCCTGGGCAACATAGCTAGACCCCGTCTCAATAACAACAACAAAAATTAGCCAGGCATTGTGGCATGCACCTATAGTCTCAGCTGCTCAGGAGGCTGAGGCAGGACTGCTTGGCTCCAGGAGTTTGAGGCTACAGTGAGCTATGATGGTGCCACTGCATTCCAGCCTAGGCGACGGAGCAAGACACTGTCTCAAAACAACAACAACAGCAACAAAGGGAATACTGAAATCATGTTTTAGAAGTCGCATGCTCTGAGGTGTTTAGTAGAAGGAGATATAATCCCAAATACCTCAAGAGTCAAAAATAACAACTGGAGAGCACAATGATTATCTTGTGTCCAAAAGAAAACATTCAAATTTTCTCCCATCCTTAGGTGGCATTAAAGTATATAATAGATTTTTCAACAAAGATTTCCACCAAAATAAAAATTTTAAAGTACAAATATATACAATATATAAAAATACGTTAGGCATAAGAGAAGGCAAAAATCAGCTATAAACTCAATCTTTGAGAAACTTATAGTATAAAGGGGAAGAGAGAACAATACTAGCCCAGAACGTGGTTAAGTGCCACAAATCTCTGAAAGAGGTACACACGGGGTACCAAGGAGCCTCATTATGAATAAATACACAGAGGAGGGAGGGAGGTCAACCTTCTCAAACACACATGAGCTGTGTGTTGAAAAAAAATTGTAACTAGCTTAGAGGTAATAAGGTGGAAAGCAACTCAAGAAAACAGATAGAATAAACACATTGAAGGTAATGTAGTCTCTCATGGCTTGTCCGATTGTGTACCTTCCACATACTTACTTAAACTAAATGAAGCCGTGAAATGGCAGATTAATGAAGACCTGATTGTAAATATCAGAATGTAGCTACTAAAAATCACAGTTTCCATTCTCAACAGAATGTCTAAGAGCCTGAATTCACTTTATTGAAGACACCCTTCCTCCTGTCCCACCTCTCCGACTCCTTCGAACTCAGGGTGCTCTTTGGATGCTACTGGTGTGCCTCTGAGCACCAGGCAGCCGAATAAACTGCTGCTTATTCAACTTTAAATGTCTATACAGAGATTCCCAATTATCCTCCTTTAATGGTCTTGGAACATTTCTCCCACCTGCTACAACTTAGTGAGAAAGACAAGAGATTAAAAGATAAGACGGTATAAAGAAGTGATTGGCGTGGCTTAGGGCAGAAATACTTGGAAGTCAATCAGCTGATCTTCATTTTCTTCATGAGCATGGCATCAGCTCACCATAATGGCTGGGTTGCTGACATCACTGACCGAGATGGGATCCTGCAAATCTTTTAATAAGAAAACAGGGTCTAAGAGAATTGGAGGGAAGAGGGGAATCCCTGCTAAACCCTTCTCTCCTAAACTAGCAGTTGGTCATATGGACTGAGCTAAGAACAGAGAAAAGCAAACATGTGGGTGTGAAATAAATCCTGGGGTCACCCCCCTTCTTTAAATAGCAACTCTTTCCTAACCTTTCTTCAATCTAAAGCCATTATCCAAATTGTCCGTGTATCAAGCACCAAACTTTGCTAACATGCACTTTTCTTAAAATTTTCTAAATTACAAAATTAAAATGATAGATAAATCAGATCCTGTCTTCTGTTTAAAACCCTCCTCCCATGGCTTCCTGTTGCACTTAGAATAAATTCTAAACTTCCTACCAAGGTCTGGACCCTCCCTGCTGTCTGATGTCATCTCCTAATACACCCTCATTTCTAGCTTCAAAGTCCTTATTTCTGTTCCGAGAACATGCCAAGCTATTTCCTCCTCATGGTCTTTGCAATTCAGAAGGCTTTTGCTTCAAATTTTCTTTCTTTCTTTCTGTTTTTGAGATGGAGTTTCGTTCTTGTTGCCCAGCGTTGAGTGCAATGGCGCCATTTCGGCTCACCACAACCTCCGCCTCCTGGGTTCAAGCGATTCTCCTGCCTTAGCCTCCTGAGTAGCTGGGATTACAGGCAGGTGTCACCACGCCCAGATAATTTTTTATATTTTTAGTAGAGATGGGGTTTCTCCATGGTCAGGCTGGTCTCGAATTCCTGACCTCAGGTGATCCGCCTTCCTCGGCCTCCCAAAGTGCTATGATCACAGGCATGAGCCACTGAGCCTGGCCTTGCTTCAAATTTTCAATAGCTCTGCTCTTTCTCATTAGATTCTAGCACTCAGTATATCTTTTGGATTAATGAATGAGAAAATGAATAAACTGGCATAAAAGAAAATGTGGAACCTCAGGAGGCCATTGTTAGAAGGGGATCAAGGAAGGAAAACACCTGAGAAATGGGAGCATTTCATACAAAGTAGGTCTGTGGAAGAAAGCAGCATGGAGCAACTCTGCAGTAGAAGGAAGTAGTCTTCCCCTTCCAGCCCCCATAGAAGACATTATTATCTCAAGACAACATCTGTGTTGTTTTGCTTTCTTAACAATCTCATTGACCCTCACTGGTGAAAGTCAAAGAAATCCACAGGGCTCACCCCTTTTGACCCTTCAGGGATCCGGCTCCAGTGCCACCTGCACCACCAGCATGAGCTGCAGCCTTCCCTCACGGGGATCCAGCATTCACCACACTCCCTCACCATGGCCTCTTTGCAAACCTGACTCTGGTGCCAGACTGAGCCCTCATGGAAGGCTGAAATTTGTGCCAGAGCAGGTATAGCGGAAAGCCAATAAATTTTTGTATGAATGAAGGAGGAGATGTTAAAAATACTGTTCTGTGGTAAAGTAAAACCAGACAAAGATTTGCAGCCAAAGCCTTAGGTACAGTCCAGTCCATACCACACAGGCACACCCTTACTCATCCTGTGCTCATGGGCCCTTACTTGGGTTTGTCCCTTAAATTCTCTGCGTGTTAATCATCTCTCTCATTTTACTAACTTCACTGGTGAGACAGTGAATGAAAAGATATTTTGAAACTATTCAGTGCTGTAGAATAAAAAATTACTTTTTTTAAGAGACAGGGTCTCACTCTGTTGCCCAAGCTGGTACACCATCAAAGCTCACTGCAGCCTTGAACTTCCGGGCTCAAGTGATCTTTCTGCCTCAGCCTCTTAAGTAGCTAAACTACAGTTGCATGCCACCATACCAGGCTAATTAATTTTTTTTTAAATAGGGACAGAGTCTTGCTATGTTGACCAGGCCAGTCTTGAACTCCTGGCCTCAAGTGATCCTCCTGACTTTTCCTCCCAAAGTACTGGGATTACAGGTGTGAGCACCACTCCCAGCCCATTACTATTAAAATCATGCTAATCTAAAATTCTACCATGTTTCTCAGCTCTTGTCTCAGACTGAATTTCTTTCCAAAGCCTCTATTCACTCTTACTTGTAGAGGAAGGTTCTAGCCATTTTACCTAGAGCTTTGGTTGACCAATGCCAGAACAAAGCCCTCCGTTTGCAGGAACATCTGAAAGTAGATGACTTAACTCTTCTAAGGGATAAATTATTTAATTATGAAAAAAATGGGCCAGGTGCAGTGGCTCAGGCTGGGCACAGTGGCTCATGCCTGTAGTACCAGCACTTTGGGAGGCTGAGGCGGGTGGATCATGAGGTCAGGAGTTCGAGACCAGCCTGATCAACATGGTGAAATCCCCGTCTCTACTAAAAATACAAAAATTAGCTGGGTGTGGTGGCAGGCACCTGTAATCCCAGCTACTTGGGAGGCTGAGGCAGGAGAGTCATTTGGACCCGGGAGGCGGAGGTTGCAGTGAGCCGAGATCGAGCCATTGCAGTCCAGCCTGGGCAACTGGGCGAGACTCTGTCTCAAAAAAAAAAAAAAAAAAAGAAAAAAGAAAAGAAAAAGAAAAAGAAAAAAATGGAATTATGTGATTCTCCAAGATAAAGCCAAAATATTTCATAAGCAGAAAACTGTGTTGCAAGACTCATATCAGTTTAGATTCTTAGAAAGCAAAGAAATAAATGCAGCGGTTTTTTTGTGAACCGGTTTCTTCCAGAATAAAAGGGCAAAACAATTCTCTAAGGAGGTATAAATGGTCAGCTAGATGACATCACACACACTAATTTCAGACAAATATAAATTTCTTCAACTAATGTGTTTAACAAGCCATGGAGAGCTTTTCTCCTATCCTTCTAGGCATGACTAACCCAAACATCAAACCAGTTCTCCTCTTCCTCTTTGTGGAGAGAACCTTGACTCAGGTGTCTGATATTCCAAAACTGTTTTCTAAATTTCTATACATCTATGAAGTACTAGTATTTTACTGCTAACAATACAAGGATCACTAATAATAGAACAAAAATGAGAAATCACAGGCCAGGGTATGGTAAAGCTTCACTTTCACACATTGCTGGAGGCAAAAAATTGGTTTGATCATTTGGGAAAGTAGGCTGGCAATATATCAAAAGTCATTACTATGGTCATATTGTGTGAAACAGGAATTTCACTTTTGGGAATATATCCTAAGAAAATGATCCAGAAAAGCTACGAACACAAAAGTGTTCATTATAACATTATTTATGATTTTTAAAAAATTGAAAGAAACTTAAATCTCCAACACCTGGAATATATTTAGGTTCTATGATATGGCCACAATAGAGGCCATTATGCAACCTTGAAAAGTTATTGTGATAATGACCACATAGCAATGTGAAGAAATAGGCATGACATGTATCTAAGTGAAAAAGATGACATAAAAACTCTGCACCCAAGTAAAACTATGCAAAAGGTAAATATGCAAAAAGGAAATAATGCAAAATGAAAAGGGTTGTTATGGTGATAAAATTATGGCCATGTTTTTATTCTTTATTTCATAAACTCTGTAATATGTTATTATTTTCATAATTAAAAATTATACTTTTAAGAAAGGAATGCCCACTAGAATTGAGCTCATTTAGCATTGAATAAATTACTGCTTTCAAAGAACAGCATTATGAAGAATTACAAATGTGTTTAGAAGCCCATTTTTTGTATTTGTAACAATTATAAAACTTTCCCTTTATATTTTGCTTCAATGACTTGGGGCTATATTTATTTATAAAATATAATGCATGACAACATAGTCACTGAATGAGAGACTCCACATGTTTAAGCTTCTCCCTGCATTTGTTAAGAATCTCAACTCAACTAGCATTCAAAGGTATCAAATTCCTACAACAGAGAGAAGCACAAACACTGGAAGAATCTAGCAATATCCAGCACATACAGCTAAAAAAAAAAAAAAGCTATATTTTAAAAGCTATCTCAACAATTAAAGGTATGCCAATTCATTTTCCCTTAAATAAAAATCTTTCCCATTCTTGAGTTGAAAATTTAGGCAGTATTAAGATAGAGAAAAGATAACCTCTGAACTGACTACAATATCAAGGCATAAAGTGCCATTGTGTTATTTAATTTGCTTACATTTCAAATATGTCATGTAACTGAAATGATTTCTAGCTCTCGAGACAAGATTATTGCTTACACTTCTATTTCAGTTATTACCTTTATTAAACATTTGGCTATTTAAAGTAGGAATATTTTCAAAATGTAATATTCTTTAGAACGCAAATGAATAAAAAAGAATTACTGAGAAATAAAGAGACAAAAGGAACATTCACACCAAAGGACATGTTCCCTTGGGTATAGCTCTTTCAGTCAACATTCAACTTTTATCGAGCATCCAGAGTACCAAGCAAAAAAAAAAAAAAGACATAGAAAATAAGTCATTGTGTTAGATTCTGATAAATGCTATAGAAAAAGAAAGAAGTAGAAAAGGGTGGGGGGGGAAGAGAGAGAGAATGAGAGAGAGAGAAGGAGTGCTCAGAGGGAGCTGCAGTTCAAGTAGAGAAGTTGAGTAAAGAAGGGGCATTTTGGGCAGAGCAGACAGGCTGGCACTGTGACTGAAAGCTCAGCAAGGGACCAGTGTGGCCGAAACCAGTGTGTCAGAGAAAAAACAGCAAGAGAGGAAATGAGCAAGGTGTGAGTAGGGGGTAGGTCAGATCAGGCAGGGCCTTGCAGACCATTCCGAGAGCTGTGGCTTTTCCTCTGAATAAGTTAGGAAGCCCCTACAGAGTTTGATTTATTTTAATAGGAACACTCTGGTTGCTGGACTGATACTTCCAGAGACAGAGGAGTGTCACAGGTGGTAGATTCAGATTCTATATTTTGAACAGAGAACCAACAGGATTTCCTAACAGACTGAAAATGAGAGAAAGGCAGGACTAAAGGTGATTATTATTTGTTACCTAAGCAACTGAAATAATATTCCTACCAACTGAAATGCAGAACGCTGGGTAGAACATGTTATAGGGGCCAATTCAGGAAGCCAGTTTGGTCATATTAACTGTGAGGTGTTTATTACACACTCAAGTAGAGATGACATGTAAACGGATATATCTTTGGGAGTGCTTGGCATATAGATGGCATTTTTAAACCCAAGAAGGAGTGAATACAGAGAAGGTGACATGGCCTGACAAGTGACACATCCCAATTTTAGAAGACAGGGGAGAGAAGGAAGAACCAGGAAGGGAAACTGAGAAAGAGCTACCAGTGACGTAAGAAAAACATCAGGAGAGTGCGGTGTTCTAGAAGTCAAGTAGAGTCCGAGGAACAGTTAATAAGTCAGCAGGAAAGGTGAGGTCTTGGAATGAACCCCTAGTCAAAGCTCAGCCAACACTAACAAACAGAGACATCACAAATTACAACAAGGGGCATGTAACTCAGAGTGGGGCTCAGGATGGCTTCCTTACCTAAGGAGATGGAAAGATGCTTGAAGCAAGTTTTAAGAGGCATTCAATATTGTGTTACATGTGTCAGAATATATATGTTAATGTTCTTCGCAATGCAAGCAGGTCTGGCTATGTGATTGCAGACCTCAGTGTAACAGGGCCCCTTGTCCAAATATTACTAAGAATCTCAAGATGGCAGCAGAAGAACATTAAGCCAAGTGCAGAAACCTTGTAAGAGCAGAGCCCTGTGTGACTGCATGGGACACCTGAGAAGCTGGCCCTAAATGCAGGGTAGCTGAATTATAACAAATAGAGGTATTGCTGGTACAGCAGGCTTCTTTAGCTTTTGGTTTCAAAAAAGCAGTTAACTGCTTACTGGAGAATATAAGCAGAAAAAAATAAATGATGCAAACATGAGACAAATCTGCTAGAATGTAATTTACTCTTTTCCCAACTTGCTTTCAAAGCTAAATCAGCATATATGGATCTGAAGTCATTACAGAATGACAGCAAAAAAGGGCAGAGCACTCATTAAATTTGATAGCACTAATAAAACTACATGAAAAAGGAGACAGAAAACAGGCTTACTTTCCGTTGGTATGCAGACAAAATTTAAAAAAAAATCTCCTACATAGTGCCTTGAAAGTTTTGGTTAACATCCCTCAATGAGCAGTTAATATACAAAATTCATTTTGGTTCCACCCCAGTGACATAAAAAATAATGCCTGAATCAGAATACCAAATATCAATGTTAAAAATGAGACAGAAATTCTTTTGCTTTTCATAGTAATAAAATAGTATCCTTCCCTGTACTTTTTTTTTTTTTTTTTTGAGACAGAGTTTCACTCTTGTTTCCCAGGCTGGAGTGCAATGGCGCGATCTCGGCTCACCGCAACCTCCTCCTCCCGGGTTCAAGCGATTCTCCTGCCTCAGCCTCCCGAGTAGCTGGGATTACAGGCATGTGCCGCTATGCCTGACAAATTTTGTATTTTTAGTAGAGACGGGGTTTCTCCATGTTGGTCAGGCTGGTCTAGAATTCCTGACCTCAGGTGATCCACCCACCTCAGCCTCCCAAAGTGCTGGGATTACAGGCATGAGCCACTGCACCCTGCTTTTTATTTATTTATTTTTTTTTTTGAGACAGAGTTTCGCTCTTGTTGCCCAGGCTGGAGTACAATGCTGTGATCTTGGCTCACTGCAACCTCCACCTCCCAGGTTCAAGCGATTCTCCTGCCTCAGCCTCCCAAGTAGCTGGGATTACAGGTATACACCACCACACCCAGCTGATTTTTTTGATTTTTTTTTTTTAGTAGAGATGGGGTTTCACCATGTTGGTCAGGCTGGTCTTGAACTCCTGACCTCAGGTGATCCACTCACATCAGCCTCCCAAAGTGCTAAGATTACAGGCATGAGCCACTGCACCCGGCCCCCTGTACTCTTTAAAATACATGCACACATAAATGTATTCCTTCATCCAGCTAATATATGCAATACAGGTTGAGTATCTCTAATCCAAAATCTAAAATACACCAAAATCCAAACATTTCTGAGTGTCAATATTGTTACTCAAAGGAAATGCTCTTAGGAGCATTTTGAATTTCAGATTTTCTGATTAGGGATGGTCACCTGGTAAGTGTAATGCAAATATTCGAAAATATGAAAAAATCTGAAATCTAAATACTTTTGGTCCCAAATATTTCACTAAGGGATCCTCAATTAGTACCTATTCTAATGTGGCACTGGATTAGGTGCTGAACTTGTATTTTCTTCTTTCAGTCTTATTCTAAGTATCATCACAAAAGGAGGTAAGCAGCACCCCTTACTCTACTGCATACTCCAAAACATGCCATGGCTAATTTGGAGGATTTTCTCCCTAAAGCATTTTGGTAACACCTTTAGTGATTTCTTACTTATTCCAAGGCATCTTTCAGCTCAAAAGCATCTTGCTCTGTGGAGCCTTTCCCAATCTTCCCAAGCACAAATAATCGTGATTCATGTCTCCTTGGCTGTGTGTCCATGCCTGTATTACAGCACTTTTAATATCTACTGTAGTACTTGTTTTCAAGCCTGCATCACTGCTAGAGAGTGAAGTGAGCTCCATGATTGCAAAAATAGTCTTACAAACTCATGCATGCTTGGCACCTAGCAAAGTATGCAGCAAACATCAGGTACAATATAGAAGTTTCAACCTGAGTGAATATATGAACTGCTAGATAAAATAAATTATCTCTGGGCTAAATATGTGCAGAGGCAGTAAAATGATTGTTTTGCAAAAGGGTTCATTGGTTTTACAGGCCTCTGTTTCTTGCCTACATTTGTGATCCACTCTTAATTTTACCACCAGAGAGTGACACCTATTAGGCTGTCTCACCTCTCCCTCTAAACATGGACATTCTATGGCCCTTTGGGGTAAAGTTGCAATATTACATATTATGATTAGGAGACAAGTCCAGGTGCAGACAACCAAATGGGGTGTTGCAGGTAGGTGCAGGCTCACTGACAGAACTGCTGCTTCAGGCCTGCACACAAGTAACAGCTTGACTAATGGGCCTTAAAGAGCTGAGCGTTTAATAAGGAGTAAGTCAACACAGACTGGCAAAGGTTGGAGAGGAACTTGGAAAATAATTTTTTTTAATTTCAGAAAAAGACAAGTTTCCCACTGTAGGCAACCTTCTAACACAACAAGACCTCAAAATTACAGAATTTCAGGCAGAGTCTCCGATTACTTTAGTAGGGAAAAAAAATTCTACCACACCTACGTGTGCACAGACACACACACACACACAGCCTAAATTTAACAGTAGGGTGTTGTTGTTTTAAAGACAATGTTAGAATTTGTTATTTTAATGAGCAAGTTTGCTAATGTTTCTTGGCAATTCAGCTTAAGGCCAGATATGTTCTGAGTCTTATATAATAAAGCTTGAATATAGGAAATAAACTGGGTTAAGCAAAGGCCAGAGTAGCCCTGAGGGAAAGAACACACAAACAAGAAATTATACCTGAATCATGCACTTTCAATTATTCTAGATTTGCTTTTCTAACATCAAATATGCATTCTATTGGAGAAAGGGTATTAGAGCTCTGATAATTGCTCCTACATAACTTAATATTTACATTGTTATGAAAATGAAGTGCAAATTGTACAGTAAAATCTGCATCTGCAATTTTATCCACTCAAGAGCATTTGGTTAGAGTAAATCCATAACATTACAAACACTATATACATTGTAGGTGCATTATAGGTAATTGTTGACTGAATGATAAGCTCACATTCTTGAAAGGGAAGTTGCATATAAGTGACCTCAGCTTCTTCAAAACTTCAAAAATGATTCTAAAAATTCGATTGAAGTCATTAGATGGGAAGATTCAACTTTACCCATTTATTTTATTATTTATTAGTAAGCTGCTTTTTTTTTTTTGTTTGTTTGTTTGTTTTGAGACGGGAGTCTCAATCTGTTGCCAGGCTGGAGTGCAGAGGTGTGATCTTGGTTCACTGCAACCTCCGCCCCCTGGGTTCAAGCGATTCTACTGCCTCAGTCTCCAACAAGTAGCTGAGATGATAGGCACCCGCCACCACACCTAATTTTTATATTTTTAGCAGAGATGAGGTTTCACCATGTTGGCCAGCCTAATCTAGAACTCCTGGCCTCAAGTGATCCACCCGCCTCGGCTTCCCAAAGTGCTGGGATTACAGGTATGAGCCACAGTGCCTAGCCTATCCATTTATTTTAAAACAGTCCTTAAAACACTACATATTTTTTAAGTAGCAATTTATGTTAACATTTGAGGGAATTAAACATGTACTTACACGAAAAAAATAATGAGTGTGCTGTTTACCAAACTGATACTTGCAAAGACTATAAGGTGACCCTTGTCTAATTTGACGGGTTAATCTAGATAGTAATTGAAAGCTAGTTCTGTTGGGTTATACTAGGTGGTAAATAACAGGTATTAATACAGTTTTATTTAGTTAAAACTGCTCATGTAGCCTATATAGTTTTAAACAAAATAAAAATGATCAAAACTATCAGAAAAGACTCCCAACAATTATGGGAAAAGATATCAGCCACCTTTTACTGAGTGTTTACTATGTGCTAGGCCCCAGGTCTCAAATGTTTATGTATTGTTGAAGCACTGAACAAAGTATTTATTATTGATGTTGCTGAAAATATATCAATGTTCTGAGACACTGATTAAAACACCCAAGAAAGTACGCACATTTAATTAAGGATCAACAATACACTGAAGTTTCATAATAGCAGTGCCTGGGGCATTTACACTACGGAAGGAAAGGATGCCAATCTGTGAATCACTCATTTCTGTGTGTAAGAGAAGGGTTTTGAGCTGAGTCTTTGCTATGGGGCTTCCTGCCTGCTCATCACTAGGGTCTGCTACATTTTTCCAGCAGCATCAACATCACTAGCTAGTTTGCTTTTCTGCTTTGTTTCTGGCCTGTAGAATGATTGTCATGTTTTGGAGCCCACAATGCCATGTTTGGTTTTCTGTTTTTTATATTTGATCTATAACCGCTAGGTGTTTGAACATAGGAGATGCTTTAAAGCATTGCTTTATATCCCTATTCTAAGGCGAAATCTCAGAGCCATCACCTAAACATTTAAATGTAAAGTATTCCCTCTGGATACAGCCAACAAACCACAAGCACAGGGCTTTTAGTAATAGGAATTATTAAAATATATCACTGAGGTGCAGAGGCTATACCTTATTGCTCTTCGTACAGAAGCATCAACTTTAACATTAAGACATTTGGTGAATAGTGTGGATAGGTGGGTGGATGGATGGGGAATGAAATGATTGGCACCACTATTATCAAAGAGTAACTTTGAAAAGGAGTCATTAAATCATTTATGTACATATAAAGGACTAGAATATATAAAGATAGTTCGGAATCAGAAGACTCAGAATATATGAGTTTCTATAAATCAACCCCTAAATAAAGGTTGTATATAGTGGTATTCAAAACTTGCATTTATGAGATCATACCTTTTGGAATAATTAAATTAGTGTTAAGTTCTTTGTCTCTTCACAAAATTCCATCTGATATTCTTTAGACATCTTAAATTAGCAGTGAGAGTTTACGTCAAATTAATCAGTATTGTGTTGCTTGAAATAAAGTAATTCAAACTATTACCTTAAGATTAGAGAATGAATTAGAAATCAAGTACAAGGTCCCTTTCTTTCTATGGGAACTTTTAGGGAATAAAAAACCTTGGCTAATATTAGTATCAAGCCATCTGAGGGTTGATCTTGATTGATTCTAATTATGTACTTTTGAGCTGTAAGACAAGAGTTCTTTGTAGCTAAAAAGATTTTTAAACTTTATTACAAAAAGGAAAAGACCTAAAAAGTAGGAGATCAGAAAAAATACTAACAGAATTTATAATAATAGACAAGACTAAATGAAAAGAGAAGCAACTTTATTTCAGTAAGCTAAAACATATCTGAAAAAATTGGTTTTAAAAGTTATTTTATGTTCTGTTTAAAGCTACATCATAATGTTATAATTGAAAAGAGTTCTGTATTCCCTTAAAGAAGAGATTGGAAATAAATGGGTACATGAACTAAAAGCTTGCCCGAATTGCAACGAAGTACTATGGTTTGAATGTCCCCTCCAAAACTCAAGATGAAATTTAAGTGACACTGTGCTGATATTAAGAGGAGCAGCCTTTAAGCGGTGATTAGGTCATGAGGGTTTGACCTTCATGAATGGACTAATGTCATTATCACAGTGGGAGTGGGTTAGTTATAGCAGGAGTGGGCTCAAAGGATAAGTTCAGCTTCCATCTCCTCTCTGTCATGAACGCTCTCTTGCCTTTGTGCTTTCCACCATTGGATGACACAGCAGGAAGACCCTCATCAGATACAGGCCCTTGATTTGAACTTCCCCGCCTCTGGAACTGTGAGCCCAGCCTCCAAAAGTGTGAGCCAAATAAATCTCTCTTCCTTATAAATGACTCAGTCCCTGACATTCTGTTACAGCAGCAAAAGACAGACTAAAACACCAAGGGAGAAAAGTTGGGGTTACAGAAGTGGATGACTGGGCAAAGACAACCTGAGATTTGGGATAACAATGCGCAGTTCACAGCTCAGCCATAACCTTTTGGGAAATGATTTCTCAAAACACAGAGAACAGGAACTCTAAGTTTAAGGATAAGCAGAGGATCTCCCTTGAATGTAAATTTCATGTAAACAGGGACTGTGTTTTTTTCTATACCAGGACCTCTCTGGTGTCTTAGATCCTAGAAGAACTCAGAGGGGATGAAGGCGTGAGGAGTCAGAGGCCCGAGGAGTCAGAGCCTCTAGAGAAGAAAGGAAAATATGAGAGGCCAAAGGCAAAGCCTCTAAACACTTTATCTAAAAAATGGCACTCTTTTTTATCGATTCAGTTTTGGGACTGGAAAATACAGAAGACTTCTTGGTTTATACATGGTCTTGTAAAAGAATCAGTACTTACAACTCTATTGCAATTCCAAGTATTGAAGCAATCGCAGAATTACCTCTGGACTACAAATTTACAAGATTCTCTTCAAGCAATTCAAAAATAACTGGCTACTATCCAAACCTTCCATTGGTCTTATCAAATGATCAGACACTGATAACCAAATAAGTTATCTTTACTGAAAAGTGAAGTGAAGACCCATATATGCAGCTAAAAAAAAAAAAAGTTAATTTTCAAAAAAATACTGTAAAAAGCTTTAAGAAACGAGTTTTTAATGAAAATTGACCAAGAAGTTGATATTTGTCCATAGGTCTCCTTTTATAAGCCATCTTGATGTTTAACAACTCTTATTATATTAAAATCTGAGTATCCTAGAACTTAAAAGAACCTTATTGAAATTTTCTATACGAATAGTTTTGAGATTAGAAGTCACCTGGGGACACACACCACACACACACATTCACTCTTACACAAATGCCTAGTCCAGCAGTTCTCAAAGTGTGGTCAATAGACTAATAGCATAACATTACCTGAGAACTTGATAATGCACATTTGCAGGCCCCACCCAAAACCTGCTGAATCAGAAGCTCTGAAAGTGGGGCCTACCAATCTGTGGCTTAACAAGCCCATCAGGTGATTCTGATTTACACTATAGGTTGAGCCCATATCCTCCAGAGACTGGCTTAATTGGCCTGGGTAAATATAACTGAGCATTGATATCTTTTATATGTCCTAGGAAAGTGCAGCCAGAATTGAAAACAACTGATCTATACCAATTCTTTCAATTAATAGCCTCACTGAGTCCAGTGAGATTAAGTGATTTTTCCAAGCTATTAGGTTTTATGCTATTCCTGTGTTCTCCCAAACAACAAAATAAAGAGACATGATTTCTTCCCTGATCATACAGCAAGTATGGAACAGAGATGGTCTAGAAGTCAACTATCTCAATCTCCATTGTTACCCATTAGGTTTTTTTCTCTCTAATAATGTTAAAGGCTATTTAATTTATTTCATCAACTTTAACCCTTACATTCTCAACTGGGAACAAAAATTGGTTCTTGGGGTGAAAAAAATCTTAGATATGGATTGTGACCTTCCAAAATCAGCCTACCCAACAAAATCTTTTGTATTAATTTCTCTCATTAGGAAGAAATTTATAGTTAAAGCTATTTAATTTAATTTGAATTTAATTTTTGTAATTGAAAAGGAGGGTAATGATAAAAAGGTTGAGAAAAAATGCTTTAAAGGGTTTTACAGGCATACTACAATCCAGGATTGCTGTGCTCTATGTGCTATGTATAGTCCTATTAGTAGCTATTTGTTGCAAGATACTTGGAGCCAAATAATGTTTACAGTATAGGTTCCTGGCTACTCTTTATGCTGTAATTTCACTCTGTCTATCATGGGCAGTATTAGAAAATACACTGGGTTTTCACACACTATCAGTATTTTACCTGGATTGTAGTGGAGAATTTAGCATATTGATGCATGCAATGGGAAAAAAAAGAATTTTGTTAAAATTTGTAAATGTTCATAAAAATCCCAGATATACAGTGGGATGAGTATCTCTGGGTAGGTAAAAAAAATTACGGAAAATTTTCCCTCACAGTCAGTAGCTTTGTTTGATATTTACCAATAAGTATATGATGACATACTTGAAATGTATTTGCAGAATGTCATTGGAATATTATAATGAGAATACGTAATCAAGTTTAGGACTAAATGAAAGATGCTGTCTCATGTATGCTTTAAATAGAGAATTGATTTTTTTTCAAAATAAAGTTATTTTTCCTTAAAAAATAAAATAAACTGCCAGGCATATAGTAAGTAAATGAAAGTAAGAGAGGGAAGGAGGGATGAAAACTCAGGTTTGCTTAAACTACACTGTGCCTCTCATGTTCCTCTACCGTAAATAAGAGGACTGGACTCTTATTTCTTAGGGTTCTTTCAGTCCAGTAATTGACAATTCTAAATTATACATGAATATACACTAAATAAAGACTTTTCCTGATCAATGGAATATGACAGCAGAGGAAAAGGACATTTTCAAGGACTTAAAAAAAAAAAAAGCTGCCCTGAAATATAGAGCAATCTCTTACACACCCATAAGAGATTTTGATTTCAAGAAAAGACTCAGGATAAGTTAGAGACTTAGGTTTATGTTCGAACACTGGCCAAAAACTATTAAATAAACTCTTAGGAAGGGAATTCTTGGATGCAAGGCTAAGGTTAAACTATGCTTAGACTATTCGATAATTATGACTGATGATGTTCAGTAAGATAAATAATTACGGGTAGGTACCACACTTCTTTAAATATTGCTCTAAATCTACAAATGCATAATCATTAGCCCTAACTGTAATAATGTAGATTTATATTAGTATGAATTAATGTTAATTATATATATTTTATATAATATTTATAGTAACGTAATTTTAAAACATTACTCTTGGCAATTGGTAAAGAAGGTTGCTTTTGACAGAATATACATAATTAAATAAAATTATATACTGCCCTTCAGCACTTTACTTTTCCTAAATTACTTTCATTTCCACTATTTCATTTGATTGTCAGAACAATTCTGTGTAGAAATGGAACTACTTGCTACAGTTTGAATGTCTATGTGTCACCAAAATTTACAGGTTGAAATCCTAACTCCCATAGTGATGGTATTGGGAGGTGGGTCTTTGGAAGGTGATTAGGGCATGAGTGAGGAGCTGTCATCAATGGGATCAGTATCATATAAAAGACTACCTTCCACTATGGGAGGACACAGTGAGATGACATCATCCATGAACCAGACAGTGGGCCCTTGGCAGACACCAAATCTACTAGTGCACTGATCTTGAACTTCTCCGCCTTCAGAACTGTAAGAAATAAATTTCTATTGTTTATAAGCCACCCAGTTTATAGTATTTTGTTACTGCAGCCCAAAGGAACTAAGATACTACTTATTTCCATACACTGAAGCTTGGGTAAGTCAAATGACTTTTTCAGGGTCACCCAGGTCATCAGTGACAGAGCCAGCCTTTAAATAAAAGTATTCTCATTCTAGCTCAGTGCCTTTTCTACTACCAGTACCTCACTCACACCTCTAACCCAAATTATCACACCTATGAGGAGCCAACAACCCTCCTTACCTGCCTCCAGTGCACCCTAAAACCCATGGCCACACACAATTCACAGTAGATTATCTACATTACAGATCTTGTGTCTCACATTAAAAAATGTGACACTGGACTTTCAAACCTTTACTCACAAAGCAACAGCAAATGTCACAACCTATAAAGAAAATATGAAGAATTCATGTTTTTGGGTTTTTTTGTTTGTTTTTGAGATGGAGTCTCACTGTGTCGCCAGGCTGGAGTGCAGTGGCGTGATCTTGGCTCACTGCAACCTCTGCCTCCTGGGTTCCAGCAATTCTCCTGCTTCAGCCTCCCAAATAGCTGGGACTACAGGCGCACGTCACCACACCCAGCTAATTTTTGTATTTTTAGTAGGGGCGGGGTTTCACCATGTTGGCCAGGAAGGTCTTGATCTCTTGACCTCATGATCCGCCTGCCTTAGCCTCCCAAAGTGCTAGGATTACAGGTGTGAGCCACCACGCCCAGCCAGAAAATTCATCTTTTAAGCTTTTATTTCTTCCCTCGAGTTTTTCTTTTCTGTAAGGGTAATGTCAAACATGATGGCAACTAACTTACTTATTAATACATGATGGCTACCCTGGAAGGAATCAAGGAATCCTCCAGCCCTGTGACTTCAGCAATGACCTACAAAGAATGCTTACCCCAAACCCAGCACACCTTTCTGTACTGTGTCATGTTCTAGAGGAAGCAGATAACTGGAGGGTTTTTTGTATAAATTCTGTGAATCAACTTATTCAGCTAATCTATACCGAGTACTAATTTAGCAGAAAGCTAGCATTATACACTAAAATATTAGTTCTTGAGAATAATATGTTAATATTCATTTCTTTATTGTCCATTTTTGGAAGGCAGCTAAAGAAAAAGATAGGGTGAAAAAGGTGGCTTCATATTCTTTCATAAACTAAGCTAGGAAACTGACATAATAGAGCAAAAAAGAGGGAACAGACTCAAGTAAAAACAAAAACAAAAATGTGAGGATATATCTCCAGTGCTTAGAATGGTGCTAGGACATAAAAGTTATTCGGTAAGTAGGTTTTAAATGGATGATGAATATATTTGGAGTCAGACAGACCTAAGACCCACTGCTCCACTTGTGCAATGGATTGCATCCTGCCACTGTTTGAGCTGGTATCCTCTCTCCTGCATCACTGATTCTTCCCACTTCACAGAATCATTCTTACCAGCATAGAACATGCTGAATAATAAAATAATATTAATATATTATTTCATAATTCACTACTCAGCAATGAGTTATAAAACCACTACTTGACCCTACATTCTTTCTTCAGCTACTATCTGATTTTTCTGTTACCTTTGTTGTAAAAGTCCTTAAAATGGTTTTCTGTACTTTTGTTCATATTCTCTCTTGAATCTACTCCAATCATGCTTCCAACTCCATCATGCCACTGTAACACCTCTTGTCCAAGGTCAACAAGATGGTCTCGAGATGATTAATTTTCTGTCCTCATCTTATTTAACCTCTCAGCAATATTTGATCCTTGTGATCACGCCCTCCTTCATAACACACTTTCCTCCTTTGGCATCCTGGACTCTGTTCTCTCTTGGTTCTTCTAGCCTTCTGGCTCTTCCTTCTCAGTTTCCTCATTTTCCCAACCTCTGAAGTTGTGGCTCCTCAGGGCTCATTTCTTAGAATATTTTTTTTCCCTTGGTACAATCACATACAATCTCTCCCTATAGGTGATCTCATCCAATCCCAGGGCTGATATACAGGCTGACAATTTTGATCTCTAATCCTGATCTTTCTTCTAACTCATCTCTAATCCTGATCTTTCTTCTAACTTCAGATTTATATATCCAACAGCTTAAACATCTATAAGCTTAACATGTCAAACATCGAGCTCTTACATTTCCTTCCCAGACTGCTCCTCCAGCAGTTTTCTTATCTCTCTAAAAGGTACTTCCATTTTCTATTTGCTTTGTCCAAAAATCTTTGACTTCTGACATCTTTGGCTCTTCTTCTCTCATTCCACACATCTAATCCATCAGCAAATTTTGTTGATTCTTTCCAAATGTCTTCAGAAAGCAGTTACTCTTCATCATCTCTCCTGCTATACCCTTTTCCAATTCACCACCACTTGGGTTACTGAAATAGTGCTGAACTCCTCTATATTCTACTCTTCATAATTTACCTATATTATTACATAATATTAGATCACAGCACTATAGATACCTACATCTTCCATGGCTTCCTCTCTCATTGAGTAAAATCCAAAGTCCTTAAGAAAGAATATTCAAGGACCTAAATGATCTGAATCCCTTTCTCCCACCCGCCACCCCAGCTTCATCTCCTATCTACCATATTTGGCTAAATTTTTTCAAACATATTGGTCTCCCAGCTATTCCTCAAATATGCCCCAAACATTGCAGGCTCTGTGGCCTTTGTGCTCTCTGCCTCCTTTCCCTAAATGTTCTACTTTCAAGAGGGGTTGCTAAGTGCTTACTACATCACTCCAGGTCTCTGTTCAAAAATCACCCAATTTGTGATACTTTCCTGACCTTCTCCATATAAAATAGCACCTTGGCCTATAATCCCACATCCTCCTGTATCTTCTTGACCTTGCTTTATTTTTGTTATTACCGTAGGACATATATATTTATTGCCTATTTGTCTAGTGTCCATCTCTCACAATCAGGTAAGAACCTGGTTTTGTTCATTATTGAGTCACCAGTGACCAGAATATGCTGGTTCATATTAGGCACTCAATAAATACTTGCTGAATAAATGAACCAATTGTATTACCATCATTATCAGTATTATCTTCATTACCTAAAGGCTTAGGTCTCAAGGACTGAAGCAGAGCAACTGCCTGCAGTGCTCTAAGATAGAGCAAAACACAACCTAAATCCAGGTTACCTTGCTGGGAGGGAGGCCAAAATACAGCCAGGACAGACTGAGAGGCTGATACATACTTTATGTGCTAAGGCCAGAAGAGGAAAATCATTTCATACCTCAAGATGTGGATTTCGGTAAACACTATTAGCATATGGCCATAAGCAGCTTGTATTCCTTACAGAGCACATCTATTAGAAGAGCTTTGTGTTATTCTGTTTCATCCCTAATACTGTAACCCACAAAAAGGGACTACTGTATGAATAATTAATAGAAGTAAAAGTTAGAAAAAGTTAGGAGAGAATAGGATTTTCTTAAATCGGTCATTTTAAATCTTCTATTATTATTATTATCTTGCATATCATACATCAACAGTGTTTTCCTTTTTCTTATCTTGGAGCTATTTCTCTATCATATTCCTGCTTCGAGTAGAAAGAAAAAAAATACACCCAAATGGTAATTTTGATAATCTAGTCACAAGGGTTCAAAAAGCAAATAAATAAATTTCAGGGTCTTATCATTTTGTATTAAAGCAACTTATTACATAAATGACATTTTCCTTTAGGAGATGTGTGCATTCGTGTTTGTCATTTTTAAAATGGAAATAGAATCATAGTGTCACCTTAAAATGACCAGATTTAGAATGAGAACTTTCATTACATGGGAGGAGTGAAAAATACAATAAAATAAGATGATATGTATATACAAGAAAATGGGCATAAAGAGATATTAAAGAAATCAATGGAAAGTGAACAAGGCACAAATTTAATCACACAAGGATCTAAGGATTAATGTGTCAGTTGATAACATTTCAGCATATCTTTTGGCTGATCAGAGTAAAAGTATACATTTGCATAGGAACAGAAATTTGAGCAGTATAAAAATGTAATCAAAGAAAAGGCTTGGCTCAGAAAAGTAAAACACATAAAATGATTTTAAATAGTATGGTCTTCATCTGCATTACTTTTTTTTTTTTTTACTACAAGTCCTTATTTTTCACTTTTATTAAACACAAACAAGATAGTTTGTAATTCCTTATGACTCGATGCCTTTTGAATTTAAGATTAATTTGTAGTTTAAAAATTTTCTCAGGTCGGGTAAGGTGGCTCATGCCTGTAATCCCAGCACTTTGGGAGGCCGAGGAAGACAGATCACCTGAGGTCAGGAGTTCGAGACCAGCCTGACCAACATGGTGAAATCCCGTCTCTAGTAAAAATACAAAAATTAGCCGGGCATGGTGGCATGCGCCTGTAGTCCCAGCTACTTGGGAGGCTGAGGCAGGAGAATCTCTTGGACCCAGGAGGTGAAGGTTGCAGTGAGCTGAGATCATGCCACTGCACTCCAGCCTGGGCAACAGAGCGAGACTCCATCTAAAAAAAAAAATACAAAATACAAAATTAGCTGGGGGTGGTTGCAGGTGCCTGTAGTCCCAGCTACTTGGGAGGCTGAGGCAGGAGAATCACTTGAACCTGGGAGGCAGAGGTTGCAGTGAGCTGTGATCATGCCACTGCACTCCAACCTGGGTGACAGAGCAAGACTCCATCTTAAAAAAAAAAAACAAAGTTAGTTGGGTGTGATGGCAGGCACCTGTAGTCCCAGCTACTTGGGAGACTGAGGCAGGAGAATCGCTTGAACCCAGGAAGCAGAGGCTGCAGTGAGCCGAGATCATGCCATTGTACTCCAGCCTGGGCAACAAGAGTGAAACTTGGTAAAACAAACAAACAAACAAACAAAAAACAAAAAAAACCCAAAACCTCAATATATTATGATTCTAAAACCTATTAGAAATTTAGATAAACTTCATAATAAGCTAAAAGCAATATTATACTTCAGATACTGGTAGTGTTTGAAAAAAATTTAGTTAAATGTGAAGATAATACAAATGGAAACAATGTATGCACTTTAAATGTCTACTGGCAACTAAAAGCAGACGGTGGTGGGGGGGGGAATCCTGTGATAATTGGTTCAACTCTGATACTTATCTATAATTGTATTTCAAATATCTACCTCACTAGAATTTGAATTAAGCGACTCACTATAGGTTATCCACTTACCTTACAATGGTCATACTGGAGCTGTAAGGCTGGAACATCTCCTCCAATAGGCATTTGTTTCTTAAGCTCTTCATCTTTCATATTCAGCCATTTGATCAGTTCTTCTAAGGACATCAGCAACCTGTTCCACTTCTCAGCGCTGGCCTCCAAATGGGCCCTGTTGAGAGATAATAATAATAATAATAACCACATTTAGAAATGCAAATTACATTCACAAAATTATCTACCTTCCTTTAGCATAATAATCTTATCTGACCAAGTAATGTTTACTTCCACAAAAGAGACTGACTCCTTGTAAATACATATATATATGTATTTATAATATACTATATATACATATATATGTATGATATACATATATACAATACATATATTACATAAGTATATATATTTATACATATGTATACACACATATATCCATTTCCTGTAAGAAACAGCTATTTTGAATAGGCTATAATATTCAGAGGATTTATTGGTAATAACTATCAAAATTTAAAACACAGACCTATACAAAACGAAGGCTTTCAAGAAGGATGTCCGTGATAGAATGTACAATTATAAACCAAGTTTTGATAGTTTATGTATAGTATATACGCACATCCAAATATATTTTTTTCTCATTTTATCTCTATACATGGAGAGAGAGAGAGGAAAATAACCACTAAGAGCACAGTAAATACCTAATTTTAGCTATTTTTACGCCATTTAAGGATTTACAACAGACTCATAGTATTTTTCTTTCCAAAAAAAAAAAAAAAAAAAAAAAAAAACCACTGACTAATTATTATTATTATTTTTTTTTTTGAGACAGAGTATTGCTCTGTCACCCAGGCTGGAGTGCAGTGGCGCAATCTCGGCTCACTGCGACCTCTGCCTCCTGGGTTCAAACTATTCTGCTGCCTCAGCCTCCTGAATACAGCTGGAATTACAGGCATGTGCCACCATGCCCGGTTAATTTTCGTATTTTTAGTAGAGACGGGATTTCACCATGTTGTTCAGCCTGGTCTGAAACTCCTGACCTCATGATCCACCGGCCAGGGACTCCCAAAGTGCTGGGATTACAGGTGTGAGCCACCGCGCCTGGTCTTGATTAACTTTTTTAGGAATGGAAATTACTGATGTGTTACTTTCTCTTGTAACCAAAAACTCCTTCTGTTGTAACCAAAAAGCAGAACAATAGCAATGTTTACTTCAAAAAGTTGGAAAATAATCAGGCATTGCTTCGACAGGATACTATTTGGCTTAAGGTTGACCAATGTCTAGTGACAAATGACCAGTGTGAATAGAGAACAGTTGGGCGAAAGTCACTGCAGTACTTTATACTCTCATTTAAAGGTGAGGTCTTTGTTTCAATAATAATTTCTGCATTTAACACAGAAATGCACCTTCAGATTCTTAGATTATGAACTCCATAATCACAGATATGTTTAGGAAATACATTTTGATATGGTTAAGGTTCCAATAAGAGCAAAGGCCCTTGAGAATAGGAGTATAAATCTATGCACATGTTCCTTTTTTGCTCTTGTTAGGGCCCTGGTGAAAGCCCACTTATCCAGCCTCAGGCCCACTGGTGGGCTGGATTTGAAAATATGGATCAGTCAGAAACAACTCCAGCGACTCAAGGAATCGAACTGGGCTTGACTCAATCCTGCATCATCCCAGAGGGCAGACTGTGAATGCGGGCTTATGCCTTAACTTGGGGAAATGGAATTACTGTGACTGCCCATGATCTTTGAGGTTTAGAGGTGTAACAAGGCACACGTCTGCCTTTCATCAGCATATGCTGATTAAAAAACGCTGTGTGAAATAATAAAAAAAGTTTAAATACAGAACGAAGTTCAAAGCATTTTGTAAATCTCTGAGAACAGTATGATTAGAAAATTTATTTTCTTGTATTTATGATCAGTTCTATTTATTCCACAGGTGCTACAATTGAACTCATTTTACAAAACTGTGGTTAACAAGGTCCTGATTCTGCTTGAGCTCCAGCTTTTCTGTGTTCATATTGATTAACTTTAGGCCAAATATGTAATTACCTTTCCCTGATAACTAATAATTTCACTTGTCACAGAGCAGAACTAAATAATTTCAATTATATTAACTGAAAATTCTCTGTAGTTCTAAGCCATTTTGCAGCAAATAAATTTGACTGAGCTACTGCAATTTCTTTCCAATATTTTTAATTGCAAAACCAGCTAGAAATCAGATGTCCTCAATCAAGAAGCACTTGAGTGTCTCCGTGTGCAAAACATTTATACGTGTTCCCTGCCCTTTTATTTCAGATGATTTGATCCTGCATCTTCAACGTCTGTAGTTTAACTCAATAATCAATAACTAAATCACACATTATATTCCTTTGAAATTGAGTTGCAAACACTTATTGTATTGAAATGCACACAAACATATTTTCCAATGCAGTCTTCTTTGACTGCACAGAAATAATGAAACTGATTACTGAAACTTACAGTATTTAGAATCTGAAAAACTATCTATTAATTATGAGGATGAAGACAATACTTTTTAAAAGAAATGCTGAAGTGGCTTTGAAATCAAAAAGAAAACATTGGTATATGTGTGCTTCTCTGCATCTTTGATTTTTCATAGTAAAAAGCAAGTTGATCTGCCAGAATCTTTGTCTGGCAAATCTGTTCTGGTTATTCTCAAATAGATTATAACTATGTGTTTAGTGGATTACTACCATATGCTCAAATAAATGCATGCTTCTGTAGCAGCCTTCAGTGTTCTAGTTTCATTTTAATTCTTTCATCTTGAAAGATGAAAGCCTTTTCTTGGGCAACAGGTCGAATGCTTTGTAAGAAGAAACTTTAAATTTGCGTTCAGCTTAGTGGTACTTTCTCAATTATCCTATAAGCATTTTAAAACTTAAATTTCTCTAAGACTATTGATAACTAGTGATCAACCAGATTTTCAAAATCTTCACATAAAACATTTCTTTATCAAACATATCTGTGGGCATTCATATTTTTAGACAATTGACTTATTCTAACATCTCAGCTGCTTCAGTTCACTCCTTTAGTACTTTGATATGTACAAAGCAATAAACACTTTTATTGACTGTATTATCAACCTAGGATGATGTCTACTACAGAATATCTTTTACGCAAGTTACTCCTTTTAAAATTGAATCATTTTTTACAACTCTATAAGTATTTTTAAGTGACCAGTTATTCTTAAAAAATGTAATGCAAAAACATGTTAGAAGGTAAAGACCCATAAAAATGGTACTTCATCATTTAAGCACAGTAGAAAGGAATTATGGAAGTAACTACAAACCAGTATCTGTTTTAAATCAGCAAAAGCCTCCAACTTTCAAACAAACTGTATCTTCAAGCAAGTTATTATTCCTTCTCCCAGTGTACAGATATAAAAGGAAATAGTGTGAGTAAGTGTGAGAAGGAGCATTGGTTAAAATAAAATACAGTTTTTCATTTACTCAGCACAAGTAAACATTTACGGAGCACCCACTCTGGCAGATATCCCATCCTCTGTTGTGTAATGACTACCCAGAATCAAATGTCCAATTTGGTATTCTTACTACAAAAGTATATATATATATTTTGGTTTATGGTAAAATCTCCAAACTATAAATTGGGTTATAATGAAAGAAAATACCTTTATTAGTCCAAGAACAACAAGTAACTTTAAAAGATTGTTCCTACTCCCAGGAAAGGAATTAAGACATATTAGGAGAAAAGAGTCAAGTCTTCAGAATTCAGTCTGACGGTGCTGAAAAGAACACCAAAGCCGTGATTCCAATACAGTAGACATCAGCAGCATGTGGCTATTTAAATTTTAATTTAGGATAAATAAAATGAGTAAATTTTGAAATTCAGATTATCAGTTGCACTGGTCACATTTCAAGTGCTCATTAGGCCACATATGGCTAGCAGCAATTGTATTAACCAGTGTAGATATAGATAATTTCTATCATTGGAGAAAGTTCTATTAGAATGTGCTACACTAGAGAAACCAGAAAAAAAAGAGAGCAGTTCCTCTATTAGATTTGGAAAAAAAAAAAATTTAGTAGTTTCACAATATGGTTAGGAAAAGCAACTATCTAAGGCTAAACATAGTGTCAATGACACTGTAAAATGTGGTAACATTAGATTTAAATGATGATGTTAAAGGTTAATCTTCTCTACGGGCTTTTAAAAAGGTGCCCTGAATTTTTAATAGACTCATAAAAGAAAGGGAAGATAGAATTTTATCTTTGAACTCTGTTTTCATTAGATTTGACAATTTTACTGGCCTTTGAAACCATGTTAATAAAGATCTATATTAAACATCATTATGCTGATAAATGGATATTTAATTAAGACAATCTCAAATTAAATAAGTTTAACATGAAAATTTAAACCCATGTTATCCACAGCAGAGAACTTATTAGTGTATTTCCAATTCATATTTTTCCAGTGAGTAAAAAATATAATAAAAGTTCCTGACAGCCTGTCTTCTAGCTGACGTTTCAAATCATTAGCATTCTTCTCTTGTACAGATTGAAGTGAAATTTATCATTGTATGTATTGTTTTAGATGCTAAAGGAGATGTAGCATGTTGGATTTTAGCATATAAAAAGTTTAGGCTGAGCGCAGTGGCTCACGCCTGTAATCCCAGCACTTTGGGAGGCTGAGGCGGGTGAATCACAAGGTCAGGAGTTCAAGAGCAGCCTGGCCAACACGGTGAAACCCCGTCTCTACTAAAAATACAAAAAATTAGCTGGGCGTAATGGCGGGTGCCTGTAATCCCAGCTACTTGGGAGGCTGAGGCAGGAGAATCGCTTGAACCCAGGAGGCGGAGGTTGCAATGAGCTGAGATCATGCCACTGCACTCCAGCCCTGGCAACACAGTGAGACTCTGTCTCAAAAAAAAAAAAAAAGTTTAATCATGGCTATCCAAAGAGAATGAAAAATAACGTTTAAGATATTAACCTATGGTATTGAGCCACATATTATTACATTGTTCCAATGGCCACACCATGGTCAAAGAAGTTAATACCTGTAAAACACTTAGGGTAGATCTAGCATATAAATATTAGCTGTTATTATGATCTTAGCAGACATTTTCTTTTTAAAAAATTATGATAAATTAGAGCAAATGTTCCCTGCCATGACATTTTATGCTATAAAACTTTAATATCAACTTTAGCGCAATAAAAGCATAATGTGAAATACAGAACCAATGCATATTAAATACTCCAAGTAGCATAAAGAGTATCAATCAGATAGCCTCACTCTCAAAAAAAAAAAAAAGGCCACCTGCAGAGAGAGAATTTGGGGACTAAAAAGGATCAAAATCTTTTAAAATAGGCATGGTGATATCAGAGCAGAACTGTAGGAGACTGAGACACAAAAAAACCATTCAAAAGATCAACTTATCCAGGAGCTGGGTTTTTGAAAAAAAATGAAATAAAATAGATAGACTGCTAGCAAGACTAATAAAGAAGAAAAGAGAGAAGACTCAAATAAATGCAATCAGAAATGACAAGAGGGATATCACCACTGACCCCACAAAAATACAACCATCAGAGAATATTATGAACACCTCTATGCACATAAACTAGAAAATCTAGAAGAAATGGATAAATTCCTGGACACATACATTCTCCCAGGACTGAACCAAGAAAAGATTGAATCCCTGAACAGCCCAATAATGAGCTCTGAAATTGAGTCAGTAATAAATAGCTTACCACCCAAAAAAAAGCCCAGGACCAGATGGATTCATAGCTGAATTCTACCAGATGTACAAAGAAGAGTTGATACCATTCCTAATGAAACTGTTCCACAAAATTGAGGAGGAAGAACTCCTCCCTAACTCATTATTTGAGGCCAGCATCATCCTGATACCAAAACCTGCCAGAAACACAACCACCACCAAAAAAACTTCAGGCTAATATCCTTGATGAACATCAATTCAAAAATCCTCAACAAAACACTGGCAAACCGAATCCAGCAGCACATGAAAAAGCTAATCCACCACAATCAAGTAGGCTTTATCCCTAGGATGCAAGGTTGGTTCAACATATACAAATCAATAAATGTGATTCTTCACATAAACAGAACAAGACAAAAACCACATGATTATCTCAATACATGCAGAAAAGGCTTTCAACAAAATTCAACACCCCTTAGGTTAAAAATTCTCAACGAACTAGATACTGAAGGAACATACCTCTAAATACTAAGAACCATCTACAACACCCCACAGCCAACAACATACTGAATGGGCAAAAGCTGGAAGCATTCCCCTTGAAAACTGGCACAAGACAAGGATGCCCTCTCTCACCACTCCTTCAACACAATATTGGAAGTCCTGCCCAGGGCAATCAGGAAAGAGAAAGAAATAAAGGGCTACCAAATAGAAAGAGGAGAAGTCAAACTATATCTGTTTGCAGGTGACAAGATTCTATATCCAGAAAACTTTATAGTCTCAGCCCAAAAGCTCCTTAAGCTAATAAACAACTTCAGCAGCGTCTCAGGATAAAAAAAATCAATGTGCAAAAATCACTAGCATTCCTACACATCAACAACAGTCAAGCCAAGAGCCAAAGCAGGAACACAATCCCATTCACAACTGCCACAAAAAAATAAATTACTTACGAGTATAGCTAATCAGGGAAGGGAAAGATCTCTACAAGGAGAACTATAAAACACTGCCCAAAAAAATCAGAGACAACACAAACCAATAGAAAAACATTCCATGCTCGTGGATAGGAGGGATCAATATCATTAAAATGACCATACTGCCCAAAGTAACTTATAAATTCAATGCTATTCCTATTAAACTACCAATAATGTTCTTCACAGAACTAGAGAAAACTATTTTAAAATTCATATGAAACCAAAAAAGAGCACAATAGCCAAGGCAATCCTAAGCAAAAAGAATAAAGCTGGAGGCATCATGATACCTGACTTCAGACTATACTACAGGTCTATAGTAACCAAAACAGCACGGTACTGGTATAAAAATAGACACATAGACCAATGGAACAGAACAGAGAACTCAGAAATAAGGCTGTATGGCTACAACTATATGATCTTTGACAAAGCTGACAAAAATAAGCAATGGGGAAATGATTCCCTATTCAATAAACGTTGCTGGGTAACTGGCTAGCCATATGCAAAACATTGAAACTGGACCTCTTCCTTATATCATATAGAAAAATAAACTCAAAATGGATTAAATACTTAAATGTAAAACCCAAAACTATAAAAAAAAAAACCCTGAAAGACAACTGAGGCAATACCATTCTACACATAGGAATGGGCAAAAATTTCATGATGAAGACACCAAAAGCAACTGCAACAAAGGCAAAAATTTGATAAATGGGATCTAATTAAGCTAAAGAGCTTCTGCACAGCAAAAGAAACTATCAACAGAGTAAACATACAGAATGGGAAAAAATTGTTGCAAACTATGCATCTGACAAAGGTCTAATATTGAGCATCTATAAGGAATGTAAACAAATTTATAAGGAAAAAACAAACACCATAAAAAGTGGGCAAAGGACATGAACAGACACTTTTCAAAAGAAGACATATATGCAGCTGACAAGCATATTAAAAAAAAACCTTCAACATCACTGATCATTAGAGAAATGCAAATCAAAACCACAATGAGATACCATCTCACACCAGTCAGAATGGCTATTAGTAAAAAGTCAAAATATAACAGATGCTGACAAGGTTGAGGAGAAAAAGGAACACTTTTACACTGTTGGTTGGAGTGTAAATTAGTTCATCTATTGAGAAGACAGTGTGGCGACTCCTCAAAGACCTAAAAACATAAATACCATTTGACCCAGCAATCCCATTACTGGGTATATACCCAAAGGAATATAAATCATTCTATTATAAAGACACATGCATATGTATGTTCATTGTAGTACTATGCACAATAGCAACAACATGGAATCAACTTAAATGCCCATCAATGATAAGACTGGATTGAAAAACTGTGGTACATATACACCATGGAATACTATGCAGCCATGAAAAAGAACGAGACCATGTTCTTTGCAGGAACAGGGATGAAGCTGGAGGCCATTATCCTGAGAAAACTAATGCAGGAACAGAAAACCAAATACCACATGTCTTCACTTATAAGTGGGAGCTAAATGATGAGAACACTTGGATACATAGAGGAGACCAACAAACACTGGGGCCTATCAGAGGATGGAAGATGGGAGGAGGGAGAGGATCAGGAAAAATAACTATAGGGTACTAGGCTGAATGCCTGAGTGATGAAATAATCTGTGCAACAAACCCCCATGACACTAGTTTACCTATATAACAAACCTGTACATGTACCCTGAACTGAAAGTAAAAGTTAAATAAAATAAACATGAAATCTAAATAATAAATAATTAAAAAATAAAATAAAATAGACAAGGTGGTGAATATAATAGAAAATCATTGCAAATCACAATGCCAATTTTAAGTAGAAAGTATCAAATTATAGCAGGATCAATGTTACCATTTTTCACTTTCTAGTGCAACACTAGGCAGAATCCAAGATTAAAGACAAGGGATAGAGAGAGTATGGACATTGGAATGTCAGAGACTGGGAAATAGAAGAAGTTAAAAGGGGAAAGGAAATTCAAGCTCTTGACACTGCTGAAGTATCTTATGATGGGCTCCAAACTAGGTAGAAGGGATTAATGGAGTCTGAAAAGAGGAAGGGTTTAAGTAACTGAAGATTAGAAGAAAGATGTGAAAATTCAGGAAAAAAAAGGAATAAATGTTTAAAAGCTGGAGAATTTGACAGTTGAAAATACTTTAGGATGTGCATTTAAATATAATCAAGTTGGGGCCAGGTGCAGTGGCTCACGCCTGTAACCCTAGCACTTTGGAAGGCCGAGGAGGGTGGATCACTTGAGGCCAGGAGTTCGAGAGCAGCCCAGCCAATATGGCGAAACCTTGTCTCTACTAAAAATACAAAAATTAGCTGGGCATGGTGGCACGTGCCTGTATTTCCAGCTACATGGGAGGCTGAGGCATGAGCATCACTTGAACCTGGGAGATGGAGGTTGTAGTGAGCCAAGATTGCACCATCGCACTCCAGCCTGGGCAGCAGAGCAAGACTCTGTTCCATAAATAAATAAATAATCAAGTTGAAATATTGTAGATCTAGCATATAAACTGAATAAAACTTTTTTTTTCCCTAGATGTTGAATTGGAAGCATTGTTAGCATGCTTCTTCCACTTGGAAAGACGAAATAGTGTGTAAAGATTCATACTGTGAACTTATTTCCAAGAAGCAACACAGGAACTTAACAAGAAAACTGACAGACACCACAGACCCTTTGAAAGAAGCAGCAGGCTGCAGTGTATATCATGAGCCAGGCCAAAAATTGTAAGTCCCCAGAGTGTGAAAAAGGGAGAAACTGCCTACAGCACATACACACCCACCGGGGAACCTGGCAATCCAGGTCAGGGAAAAGGCCTTAACCCTACCCAGCTCCGGAGCTGGTGTAGTGAGCAATGGGGAGTAGATGAGAAGGAACCACATCGGGATGTGCTGTGTGTGCACTCCCAGTCTCCAGAGGGATGAAGGGAAGTCATTCCTGATCCTGTCTCACAGGAGACCTTGTGGAGGTCAGCCAATTAACTCAGGCACGGGTCGCAGGTTAAGAGATGCTCCCAACTGAAATTCATGATATAAACTTGAGTGGGCATAGGAGCTGGGTGCCCCTGCTTCATGGGCAGATGAGGATGGGCATGGCCTGAAAGCCCTGCAGTTTCCATCTCCACTGGGAAGGCTTATGATCTGGGGCAGTTTTGAGTTTCAGTGCAGACTGGCTGGAACTTTGCTAGCTGTTGCTGTTAGTGGAATGCTGCAGATGTGAGACCTGCCTTGCCAAGTGCAGGGAAGCTAGGTGGGTCTTACTGCTGCTGGCTACACCCCCCTCATTTGCACTCTTCTGTGCAGCAGAGGCAGCTGTGCTCCTCCTTGGAACACTACCCCAGCAGCCAGCAAACTGTCCTCCAATCCCACTAGGGCTGCTGCTTGCGTCTGCCTGTGGAGAGCCAGAGCATGGACTTGCCTGACCCACCTCCCTCCTGGTTTTGCCCCTTCACTCCTCCTGGTAGCTTAACACACACACACACACACACACACACACACACACAAAAAAAAAAAAAAAAAAAAAACAGAAACTTTTGGGAGCTCTATGGCCCCTCCCATTGCTTGGGACACCAGAGTACCTCCCCTGGGTAACATAAGGCAAAGCATAAATCCCACCAGTACCACCACAGCCAGTGCCCTTTTCCAAGTGCCACCTTCTAGCTGGAGGCCAACTGACTCACTCCATGATAGCATCTGCAAGGAGAATAACACCACACCAGGAAGGGGAAAACTTGTGTGACCTTGGCCGTCACCATTACCTGCATCACCCTGGCTAACCAGGAGGCCCTGAGTCTGCCCACGTGACCTGTTCGTTACTATTACACATGGCATGTGAGAAAGCCAACACACTAAGGCTATTTATAACCAAGGAATATCACAGAGTCTACATCACTCCTCTGCAACCCCCCTCAGAGCTGGTGCTGGCACCCACTGCTGTGAGACTTCAGGACAGGTCACATCACTGGATCCCTTGCAGACATTCCCCCTGCACCAGCCTGGACTGTGGCAGTCCAAATGGGTTGCTAGACTGAGTGGAGCAGCAGCATTCACAATAGTCTGGCCCTCAGGGATTCCTCCTCCTAGGGGAAAGAGGGAGTGCTCCACATCAAGGGAGCAACCCGTGGGACAAAAGAATGACAAAAGAATGAAGACAGCAGGCCTTGACTCCCAGACATTTCCACCTGTGGGAAGTTTCTTTCAGCAGAGGCATGGGTGTAATGCTGGGCTCAGTGGAGAAAGTCTGCAGCTCTGCCCCAAGAGTCAGGCAGCCCTGGTGCTCCTGAAGGGTCTTGGAGGAGGGGACTTCTCTCCTTCACCCACCATTGCAGACACACCTGGGGCTGCTCCCACAGGAGCTTGGCGTGGGTGCACCTGTAGACAGCCATTCTAGAACAGTGGGGTGACTGCATCCCCACAAGAGAAGTACCTTCCAGGTTCAGGCTTACATGAGGGGTAGAGTCACAGTCCCTCTCTATATGTAACATCAGCATTCCTACAGATGGAAAGAGGTATCTGTGTCATCTGAATAGCCAGGAAACTGGGTCAGGAGAGTGACTGGGTAGTGGGGCTTTCCTGCTGGCCTGACAGGAGGGCTGAGGTAGCTTCCTCCCTTTTCCCTGAAAAGACCTCAGTGCATTTCCCTGAGAGATCCCCTAGCTGCCTCTGTCAAGGCTGGGACCTCTGTGCATCACTGGGTATTACATTACCCACCTGTTTGGTTTTTACTCATGGACACCTCCACTACTGGCCTGAAACCTGAACTGTTCAACCTAGTAAATGAAATACTGGATAAAATAAATAAGTGCACACCACTGGGGAATGAGATAACCTTCAAGAGACCACTGCCATTCCAATGCCACAGGAGACAGTGAACCCACTCACACACCAAGCACATTACTACTACAATGAGTATCTGAGAAAGCCATCATACAGACTCTATAACCAAGGAACTCATACAGAGTCTTCACCCCTGAAACCATGCAGAGCTGAATTGGGTTACAATAAACTAGAGTCATTAAAATCACATCCTCAAGGAGAGAAAAAGAAATTTAAAAGAACACATAGTCGAACAAAAAATAAATTAAAAAATAATTAGAATAAATAGTTTTCTGCAATGAGAAGGAGCCAGAAAAATAATTCTGGCAATATGACCAAACAGGGTTCTTTAACACCACCAAATGATCACACTAGCTCTCCAGCAATAAATCCAAATCAATATGAAATCTTTGGAAATACCAGATAAAGAATACAAAAGGATGACTATTAAGTTACTCAACCAGATACAAGAGAAAAGTGAAAAACAACATAAAGAAGTTATAAAAACAATTCAAGATATGAATGAAAAATTTTCTAATGAGATAGATTTAAAAAAACAGAACTTCTGGAAATGGAATACATATTTAAGGAATTACAAAACGCAGTGGAAAGTTTTAATAGATTAGACTAAGTATAAGAAAGAATTTCAGAGCCTTGTCAAAATTCTGTCAAAAGCCTGTCAAAAGACAAGGCTTTCAAATTAACCCAATCAAACAAAATTAAAGAAAAAAGAATGAAAAGAAATGAACAAAGTTTTCAAGAAATATGGGATTATGTAAAAGGGCCAAATCTAAGAATCACTGGTGTTCCTGAGGGAGAAGAAAAACCAAATAGTTTTGAAAACTTATTTGAGGAAATAACTGAGGAAAACTTCTCTAGCCTTGCTAGGGATTAGACATCTAAATACAAGAAGCACAAAGCAGTCCTAGGAGACTCACTACAAAAAGGACATCAGCAAAGCATATAGTCATCAGGCTATCTAATGTCAACATGCAGGAAACAGTTCTAGGAGCACTGAGACAAAAGCATCAAGTAACCTATAAAGAAAAACTTATCGAATGAACAGCAGACTTAGCAGACTGCTAAGTCAGACTCAGTAGAAACCTTACAAGCTAACAGGAATTTGGATCCTACCTGTAGCCTCTTTAAACAGAAAAAACCGTCAGCCAAGAATTTTGTATTCAGCAAAACTAAGTTTCATAAATGATGGAGAAATAAAGTATTTTTCACACAGCCAAATGCCAAAGGAATTTGTCATATGCATATATATTTAGGATTATAATATCTTCTTGTTTGATTATTTCATTATTATATAATAACCTTCTTTGTCTTTTTTTGATTGTTTTTACTTTAAAGTCTGTTTTATCTAATGTAAGAATAGCTACTCCTCACTTTTGGTTTTCAATTGCAAATAATATATTTTCACCCTCTTTACCTTGAGTCTATAAGAATCCTTATGCGTTAGGTGAGAAAGAGAAAGTCTTCCCTAACTCATTCTATGAAGCCATTATCACTCTGATACCAACACCAGGAAACAACCTAACAAACAAAAGTACAGACCAATATCCCTGATGAACATAGATGCAAAAATCCTCAACAAAATACTAGTAAACCAAATCCAACAGCACATCAATAAGATAACTCACCAAAACCAAGTAGGTTTCATCCCAGGGACGCAGGAATGTTTCAACATATGCAAGTCAATACAAGACCAGCCACACAAGAAATGCTAAAAGGAGTTCTCAATCTTGAAATGAAAGGTCATTATGCCCCAGAACAGAACCTTCTGAAAGCATAAAACTCACTGGGTCTATAAAACAATAACACAATAAAGAAAACAAAGTGTCTAGGTGACAATCAACATGATAACTGAAACAGTGCCTCACATCTTAATAATAACATTGAACATAAATGGTCTAAATTTCCCACCTAAAAGACATAGTGGCAGAATGGATAAAAACACCCAAAGTGTCTCTTCAAGACACTCACCTAACACATAAGGATTCTTATAGATTCAAGGTAAAGTGGAAGAAAATATGACATGCGAATGGCAACCAAAAGTGAACAGTAGTAGCTATTCTTATATCAGATAAAACAGACTTTAAAAGCAACAACAGTTAAAAAAAAAGACAAAGAAGGTCATTATATAATGACAAAAGGATCAATCCAACAAGAAGATACTACAATCCTAAACATGTATGTGTCTAGCTCTGGAGCTACCAAATTCAGAAAGCAATTACTACTAGGCCTAAGAAAAGAGATAGACTGCAGCACATTAACATTAGGGGACTTCAACACTATACTGACAGCACTAGACACATCACTGAGGCAGAAAGTTAACCAAGAAACACTGGACTTAAACTACACTCTAGAACAAGCGCACTGAACTGCTTTTTACAGAACATTCTACTCAAGAACTGAAGAATATACAATCCTCTCATCAGCATATGGAACATTCTCCAAAATACATAAGGCCACAAAACAAGTCTCAATTAATTTTTAAAAATCAAAATTATATCAAGCATCTTCATAGACCAATGAAGCAGAATAGAGAACCTAGAAATACAGCCAAATACTTACAACCAACTGATTTTGACAAAGCACACAAAAACATAAATTGGAAAAAGGACATGCTATTCAATAAATGATGCTGGGAACACTGGAAAGTCACATGTGGAAGAATGAAACTGAATTCCTATTTCTCACTATATACAAAAATCAACTCAACATGGATTAAAGACTTAAATCTAAGACCTGAAACCATTAACAATTTTAGAAGAAATTCTAGGAAAAACTCTTCTGAAAATTGGCCTAGGCAAAGAATTTATGACTAAGACCCCAAAAGCAAATGCAAATGTAGCAAGAACAAAAATAAATAAATGGCACCTACTTAAACTAAAATGCTTCTGCACAGCAAAAGAAATAATCAACAGAGCAAAAAAACAACCCACAGAATGAGAGAAAATATTTGTAAACAATGCACCCAACAAAGAATTGATATCCAGAATCTCCCAACAAAGAATTGATATCCAGAATCTACAAGGAACTCAAATTAGCAAGAACAAAAACAAATAATCCTACTAAAAAGTGGGCAAATGACATGATTAGACATTTCTCAAAAGAAGATATACAACTGGGCAACAAACATATGAAGAAACACTCAATATCACTAATCCTCAGGGAAATGCTGGTAAAACCACAATGAGATACCACCTTACCCTGACCAGAACGGCCATTATTAAAAAGTCAAAAAACAATAGATGTCAATGAGGATGTGGTGAAATGGGGATGCTTAAACACTGGTGAGAATGCAAATTAGTACAATCTCTAAGCAGATTCCTCAAAGAACTAAAAGTACATCCACTATGTGATCTAGCAATACCACTGCTAGGTATCTACCAAAAGGAAAAGAAGTCATTATGTCAAAAAGACACTGGCACTCGTATGTTTATCACAGCACAATCCACAATTGCAAAGATTTGGAACCAACTTAAGTGTCCATCAATCCATGAGTGGATAAGGAACATGTGGTATGTGTATACCATGAAATACCACTCAGCCATAGAAAAGAATACAATAATGTCTTTTTCAGCAACTTGAATGGAGCTGGAGGCCATTATTCTAAATAAAGTAACTCAGGAATGGAAAACCAAACACTACATGATCTCACTTACAAGTGGGAGATAAGCTATGGGTATGCAAAGGCATACACAGTGATATAATGGACATATGAGACTCAGAGGTCGGGGAGGTTACCAAGGCAGTGAGGGATAAAAAAAATAAAACTACAAAATGGGTACAATGTACAGTACTCAAGTGATGGGTGCACTAAAATCTCAGACTTCACCGCTATACAATTCATCCTTGTAACTAAAATCACCTGTACCCTTAAAGCTACTGAAATTGTAAAACTTTTAAAAAATAAATAAGTAAAAAATAAAAATGAACTGGATAAAACTGTAAAGTTAAATAACAGTAGATAGACAGGTCCAGTATATAATAAGCTAATGAAGGAAGGCACCCCCCTGGATAGGACTCATAACCTTAATGTGAAGGAGAGCCATCTTACTGATGAGGTTGAAAACAATTCTTATTTGATTTGATACAACAGAGGGCTCTTCACTAACTAATAGGGGAAAACCAATTGCATTCAGATGCACATGGCCAGGTCGAATGTAATAAAATAAAATGTGTACTCTGGAAAACAGTCTGCCCTTGATCTCCTGGAAATTGATTATCTCAGGGATGCCAAGATGACAGGAAATGTTAACTGACTCCCAGTGTGACAAGGTCTACGGGACTTAGAACAGGGATAAAGGCATTTACAGATAAAGTAAAAAGAAACTTGGAAATCAAAATATAAAAAGTTGTGAATATGGATATTGGCACCAACAATAATAGTGGAGAAAAGGATGGAGAATAAAAGGTAAATGGGGCTGGGCGTGGTGGCTCACGTCTGTAATCCCAGCAGTTTGGGAGGCCAAGGCGAGTGGGTCACCTGAGGTCAGGAATTTGAGACCAGCCTGGCCAACATGATGAAACCTCGTCTCTACTAAAAATACAAAAATAAGTTGGGTGTGGTGGCAGCCACCTGTAATCCCAGCTACTTGGGAGGCTGAGGCAGGAGAATCACTTAAACCCAGGAGGTGGAGGTTGCAGTGAGCCAAGATCGTGCCACTGCACTCCAGCCTGGGCGACAGAGCAAGACTCTGTCTCAAAAAAAAAAAAAAAAAAGTAAAGGGACACTTGAATTAATGAGGAATGTAGAAGCATGTCCTATATATAGATCAGGAAGAAGCAGAAATAAGATGATGAAAGATTAGGATAATGGATGCATTCACTTCTAAGGAGATGTTGTTGAAAGATGGAGAAGCAATGCTTAATGAGTCACAATGAGGCTGGCAATTGTCCCTCTTATCCCTGTGTGACAGGGCTCCCTTTTCAGCCAGTGTTTTCTGGCACCACATTTGATGTTTATGGCTGGTATTCAGGCCGTTTGGTGTCCATAGCAGTTGGTAGAGATTCAGAATATTCTCATTGGCTGCTAGGTGAGGAAAATGAGGAAATTAACCTCTATTGAAAAGAGTTTCAAGCGAAGTAGGCAATTAAGGGGAAACCCAACATTTAGAGAGAAAAGTGATGGAAAAGTTTCGAGAAATATTTGAGACATAGGAGAATGTGTTCACAATAGAAGGCAGTATAAGGAGCAGATTGTGCATGAAAGGAATGAGAGGAAAGAACAGAGAAGTAGGGCTGAACAGTGTGCTCCACAGTGATCACTTTCAGTAGGCAATGAAGGAGCCAGGAGCCTGGGAGGTGGATTGCCTCTACAGATTTGTTATGAGAACACTCCTCCCACTCCTTGGGGAGGGATTTTCTCACTAAGCACACTCTGGTCTCTTCTCCACCCCTGAAACAGTCCCTGCAAAGGTAGAGTGACGAATCTGATCTGTAAATTCAGGGAGAATAATTGGGCATGCTTAGCTCAGCCCATACGGTCCACTTGACGACAGGCCATGAAGATACTGAGTTCTTTTCTACTCTTCCATGTATGGTTTCTCACTTGGGAAGCCACCTTGCCCAGTGACTGCTGGTGATTCTGCCTCATTCTGGGGTTTGGTTGACAGCTCCACTCACCTTCACTCTAAGTTACCACCTCCAACCTGGCCTCTATCAGTAATTAACATGGCATTTGAGTTCTCTATTGGCCACATGATGAATGCCCCTTGAGCACACTTTGTTTCATACTTGTTCAGAATCCAGCCAGCAAAGGGGGAAGCTGTTTTGGGAGACCTTCTCAGAAATCCCCAACATTACCGACCGAGAGAAAAACATAGGGTAGAGAGAATTCCTGTGTATTTTAAATTAGTGCCAAACAAAGAGGTAATCAATGAGAATAATAATAGCTAACAATTACTGAACACATACCACGTGCCACCATTTTTGGCAAATGCAGAGGCTAAATTAAATAACAAACTATTTTATCTTTTATAAATATCCAAGTAATAACAAACATGCTATTTTAATTTTATCTTATTCATTTTTTAAATATAAAAATAAAGAAGAGATCATTTACGCCTTTAGCTAAACTTACCTAATCTAGTTAAAAATGGCTTTTATCCAAAAGTCAGGCAATAACAAATGCTGTCTAGCATGTGGAGAAAAAGGAACCCTTGTGAACTGTTGGTGGGAATGTAAGTTAATATAAACACTATGGAGAACAGTTTGGAGGTTCCACAAAAAACTAAAAATAGGGCTACCATATGATCCAGCAATCCCACTGCTGGCTATATACCCAAAAGAAAGGAAATCAGTATATCGCAGAAATATCTGCACTCCCATGTTTGTGGCAGTACTGTTCACAATAGCCAAGATTTGGAAGCAACCTAAGTGTTCATCAACAGATAAATGGATAAAGAAAATGTATTTATACAAAATGGAGTACTATTCCACCATTCTGTCATTTGCAACAATGTGGATGGAAGGGGAGATCATTATGTTAAGTGAAATAAACCAGGTGCAGAAAGACAAACATTGACTATTCTCAGTTATTTTGGGGATCTAAAAATCAAAACAATTGAACTCATGGAGATAGAGTAGAAGGATGGTTACCAGAGGCTGGGAAGGGTAGTTGGTGGGGCAGGGGGGTGATGGGGAGGAAGTGGTGATGATTAATAGGTATAAAACAGTTAGAAAGAATGAATAAGATCCAGTATTTGATAGCAAAACAAGGGTGATTATAGTCAATAATAACTTAGTTGTACATTTTAAAATAACTAAAAAAGTATAATTGGATTGTTTGTAACACAAAAGATAAATGCTTGAGGGGATAGATACCACATTTTCCACGATGTGATTATTATGCATTGCATGCATGCCTGTACCAAAATATCTCGTGTACTCCATAAATATATACACCTACTATATGCCCACAAACATTAAAAATAAAATTAAAAAAATTTTTAAAAGCCATATCTAATCTCTGTAAAAGCACGGACAGGTTAATATAGATACAGATACAGCTTCAAGCTGTTATAAACTTGCAATACTATCAACTATAATAATAGAGCAAATGCATTCTTCCCTCCTCTTCCCTTCACAGATGAGTTCCTTGAGATAACGAGACTGAGTAGACTCAGTTCTTTTTCCACGTACTCACCTCCCCTTCTGTCTCTTTAGTCCTCTGCAATCAGATTTCTCCCTCAACCAGAAAAAAAAAAGGCCCTGGCAAAAGGCCACCAAAGCCCTTCTAATTGCTCCTGGACTCTGCAGGCCTGATCTTACTCCACTTCCTCAAGCAGCTTGCACCATTACTTATGCACTTCTTTTAGAAATCCCTCTTTCCTTGGCTCTCGACAGCATTCCTGGATCTCATCCCTCTTCAGGATAGGGACTTCTCAGTTTCCTTGCTGCTTCCCTCTCCTTCACCATTCCTTATGTATTAGAGTTTCTTGGACTTCTTTGCCCTCTTCTAATGTTTCAACCTCTCTAATAACTAACTCACAATGGTTACCTGCCACCTGTCTCTGGACACCGCCTCCCGTCTGTCTATTTCACCTACTGCTCTCTTTTGAAGAGCAGATCTCCATCTAATGGCTTTGGCTGTCTTCTCCTGGATGTCTCACCAGTGTCTTAACAACGTGAACTAATTATCTGCTCAATCTCTCTTCCCTTTCCTAGATGCCGAAAGTGTCTCCTACCAGGTCTCCCCTCTTCAGAACAGGCTCATCCGAGGCATCCTCCGTAGCTGTGTGAGGGATTCTTCCAAAGCCCAAATCTAATCATGTTACTCAAAAGGCTCCCAATTCCATCCACAATGGAAGGGAGCTTGGTTACACATAGGTGTGCATGACTTGTCTCTTACACCTCTGTCTTTTTGTTAGCCATAGTCTTTTCCCCATGACACCAGCAGCAAACTGTATTCTCAGCCAGACTTAATGTATTGATTTTCATATCAACACAGTGTTATTTCAAGCCCCTAACTTAGTTACCCTTCCCCAGTCATCACCTAGACTATCTGGGGAATAACTATATATGTTTCAAGGCTCAGCTAAGGAATGACCTCTTTTATGAAGCCTTCTTTGATCATCTGAAGTGAGAGTAACCACTCTCTGCTTTGGGCCCTACCTTAATCTAAACAGATTTGTGAACCTCTAGGGGTAGGGACTACATCTTATTAATAGCAATGCCTTAAGCACAGAAATAAGTTTTTATTACATGCTTGAATAAGTGCTTGAATCTCTTGAGGTGACTAATCAAAGTAAAAGTTATTTTAATTCATTATCACATTAATTTATTATTACATTTTACTGGAATGTCTGATCTACCTTAATGCAAAAGTCCACTGCCACAAGCATATTCTCCCATCTTCTAAAAATAATGTTAACTTACTTATTACATAATATTCCAACTGTAGTTTATAAGTTCTTTCTTTCCAGGTTAAAAAAAAATGTGTCATGATAGGCTTAGGCAATAACTCCCAAGAAAGACCAAAAATTTCTTGTCTGTAACTTTTTACTTAGAATGATCTGTTTATGATATAGGTCTTCATTAAATTATTCTTCCTAAATAAGTCATTCTCTAACCTCTGAAAATCCCAGCACCATGTATACCATCTTCACTAGGGCCAGCTCTGGAATTCTTAGGTTGCTGGCATAGATGACTTGCTGGATGCTCAGTGAATGCTTTTCACTATTAATATTTTAAATATTTTTGTTCATATTTATGAGGAATGGAAAGTTGCAACCTGATGGGATCTAGGCAGTTGAAAATTCAAATCTTAAAAAAGTATAATCCCTCACTACATAGAACTCCCTAATTTTCTTCTCTTACTAAGAAAAAGTAGTTGGCCAATGCTGACCTATTGTATTTCCCAATGGGAACTTTACACAGAGCATCCATGTCCATGCTGCATTGCTCCCTTCCTCACATGTAAGAGGAACTGCAAATTCCACTCTCTGAGCTCCAGAAGAATAAAAACCTTTCAATACATCTTAGAAAAAAAAATTTTAATTCATTTATGATAAGTAATCATTGAAAATTCTGTTCTCCATTAAATCTTGAAACCAGCTGAGGCAGATCCAGTGAGCCCCTTTATGTATAAAAATACTTAACTAGATGCTTTCTTAGGCAGGATTTACATAGATTAGGGAACTATCAAACCATTCCATTAAATCTTCATAGCAATCATGAGTGTTAAATATTTCTATTCTGATTTTGTAAATAAAATAATCCAAGGCTCAAAGAGGCTGAGTAGTTTGTTCAAGATCAGAGAGTAAATAGTGAAGTCAGAGTCAAATTCAAGACCATTTGGTTTAAAGGATGTACACTTGGTACAAGGCAAAAAACAAAACAAAACAAAAGCTGATCCAGGACTTCCTGCCAATGTTCTGCTTTTAGATTTTTGCTCAATAACATATTTTTCAGCCAGTATTCACTAAATTTATATATAATTAGGAGCTGTCCACTCTCTATTAAATATGATCTTAAAATATTCTTGATCCCAATAACACTAATCATACTGTCTCTCTGGGTAATTTTCAAGGTCTTTTCCTAGTCAGAATTCTGGTCCTAAGGTTCATCCTTATTTAATTTTACTCTCTCCAAATGCAGACATGAATCATCAATTTTCCATTTTAGTGTCCATAAGAGATATTTAATTTCTATAAATACATCTTGAATGAGGCATAAAAAACAACATGATTAAGCAAAACATGTTCACTGCCAAGAGTAAAAAAGATCTAGATTCAAACTCTGACTTGGCACTTCTTAGCCCCAAAACTTGGCAAGTTCCTTATATTCATTAAACCTCTGTTTCCTCATAGAAGAAATAATGTTACCACCCACCTTACTAGGATTTTTTGATTACGAAATAAAGTAACATTTGTAAAGATCCTAACAAGTACTTAGTCAAGGTAAACACTCAGTAATTAGCAGATGTTGCTAACAGTATTGTTACTAGTATTGTTAGATTTAAAATATATGAACATTTATGAATAGTCTAGAACAGGTGGCAGAAAGTATTGGACACAAATAGAGCTTGAACTATATAACTCAAGGAAACAGGCTTTGCATTAAAATCTTAAACTATTTCTGATGAAATAGAAGTGGTGGTAAGGCTGCGCTTTCTCTTTCTGATATACAAAAATCACAAGTATCTACCCCTTCCACCCCATTATTTTTATTTTGATATTGACTATTCTGACCTGATGCTAGCAGATTTTGCTTTTAAGTCATTCCATCTTTGGTTCATATCATCCAGTCGATGTTGAAGCATAGTAGCCTCTTCAGAATTTCCCAAAGCTTTTACCATCTTCTGCCTGTTTCCGTCAATGCTTTTAAATATGTCATTGTGGGCATCAATTTCTGCCTGGATGTCCTAAACAGAAAAAAGCAAATAGATAATGCAAGTGTTAGGAATCAGTATATCTTTATATTCACAGATGAGTTGCTCTCAAGCAAAATAGTTCATTTCACCTTAAATTATAAGAAATTCAAGTGCTTCCAAAATTCTTATTATTCTGAAAATTATAGTCTTTAAATCTTCAGTACCTCCAGCTTTGTTCTTTTTGCTTAGGATTGTCTTGGCTATACAGGCTCTTTTTTGGTTCCATATGAAATTTAAAGTCATTTTCTCTAGGTCTGTGAAGAAAGTCAATGGTAGCTTGATGGGAATAGCACTGAATCTATCAATTACTCTGGGCAGCAAAAGAAACTACCATCAGAGTGAACAGGCAACCTACAGAATGGGAGAAAATTTCTGCAATCTATCCATCTGACAAAGAGCTAATATCCAGAATCTACGAGGAACTTATATTTACAAGAAAAAAAGCAAACAACCCCATCAAAAAGTGGGCAAAGGATTCAAAGAGTCACTTCTCAAAAGAAGACATTTATGTGGCCAACAAACATATGAAAAAAAGCTCATCAGCACTGGTCATTAGAGAAATGCAAATCAAAACCACAATGAGATACCATCTCCTGCCAGTTAGAATGGCAAGTACACAACAGGTGCTGGCGAGGATGTGGTGAAATTGGAATGCTTTTACACTGTTGGTAGGAGTGTAAATTAGTACAACCATTGTGGAAGACAGTGTGGCGATTCCTCAAGGATATAGAACCAAAAATACCATTTGACCCAGAATCCCATTACTGGGTATATACCCAAAGGATTATAAATCATTCTACCATACAGACAAATGCACATGTATGTTTACTGCAGCACTATTTACAGTAACAAAGACTTGAAACCAACCCAAATGCCCATCAATGATAGACTGGATAAAGCAAATGTGGCACATATACACCATGGAATACTATACAGCCATAAAAAAGAATGAGTTCATGTCCTTTGCAGGGACATGGATGAAGCTGGAAACCATCATCCTCAGCAACTAACACAGGAACAGAAAACCAAACACCGCATGTTCTCACTCATAAGTGGGAGCTGAAAAATGAGAACACATGGACACAGGGAAGGGGACATCACACACCGGGGGATGTCGGGGGGTAGGGCGAAAGGAAAGGGAGAGCATTAGGACAAATACCTAATGTATGCAGGGATTAAAACCTAGATGATGGGTTGATAGGTGCAGCAAACCACCATGTCACATGTACACCTATGGAACAAACCTGCACGTTCAGCACATGTATCCCAGAACTTAAATTGAAATTTTTTAAAAGGTGTTCAATACACTGACTCCTCAATTTTTTTAAAAAATGTATTGTAATCTATAGTTCATGTACCAGCTAGTTAGATGTTGGTATATCAGATTCAATTAGCAATTTTTGAAATCTTATACAACTGTTGTTGCCAAATCACTGAACTTTGCCTAATATCCAACAGACTCTTACTCTCCCGTTTTCACATAGGTAAAACTTCCCTTAAAATATTACATCTTACAGAGGTCACTAAGATATTACATAACTATAACTAAAGTGTTTTTCACATTTTGAAACATTTACTAATAGTTTGTCCTTTCAGTCTTATAAAATTTATTTCTAAAATGTTAAAAGAATATTTTTATATACAAGTTCATCATCTTTAAGAAATAAAAACTAGTAACAACGGTTTCATCACACACCGGGGCCTGTTGTGGGGTGAGGGGCTAGGGAAGGGATAGCATTAGGAGAAATACCTAATGTAGATGACGGGTTAATGGGTGCAACAAACCAACATGGCACATGTATACCTATGTAACAAACCTGCACATTTTGCATATGTATCCCAGAACTTAAAGTATAATTAAAAAAAAAACAAACTTTTAACGTGTCAGCAAAAATACTTCCAAAAGCATAGAATAACTGATATATTCAGGCTTATGCACACACAAAAACAGAGAAAGAGGGGAGAGGGAAATTTTGACAAGATCTAGCCTTTATGCACATATTTAAGTGAAGTTATCTGATTTAAAATGGTTCTTAAATTTATCAACCTAATTATTTTATTATTGATGTGAAAGATCATTCTTGGGAATAAGCACGAAAAACATATATTTGGCATGTAAATAACAATCTAATTCTTCTGTAACAGAAAAATTTCTGGCTAAGTATAAAGAAAGTACAAAGAAAGTCAGTCTCCCTAACTTTACTTGCCCTTAATCTATTTTGATAACTAAATATAAAAGAAAATATTATCCCACTGATTTATCCAAAACAATTGCATGCATTATCTGGGAAATTTCAATAATTTATTTATATCTAGTATTAAATGAAAAAGCCAAAAAAAAAGAAAAATAGTTTATCTTTATAAAATACATTTGGGGGCAGTTTAAGTAAAATTAGAATTATTATAAATTTTTTTAAAATTGGTTCAGATTTTGGGGAAACATTTGGCAATCTATATCAAAAGCCATAGACTTAAAATTCTTTTGAGGAAAATGGCAGATAGGAGACAGGTCTAATGCACAGCTCCTGCTTAGGCAGACAGAACAGCGTCTGGAGACTCACACCGTGAACTTTCGCTCCAAGAACCACTGCAGGAACATACCAGGAAAACCAAAAGAATTCACAGACCCTTTCAAGGAAGCAACTTGCCACTGCAAATGCCACAAGACAGCATAAGCTCTTGGGAGTTTTACAGCCTTACCCATCACCTGAGATGACCTGAGTACTCATCCTGGCCAACATAGGGCAACATTATACCATCCTTCTACTACTGCAGCTGGTGCTCTCTTGAAAGCACCACCTCCTGGCTAGAGGCCAACCAACTCAAGTTATGACAGCAACTCATAACAGAACAACCCTGCTCCAAAGAAGGAGAAAACAACAGCTAATTCCACTGCTTACCACACATCAGCTTAACCACAAGTCCTGAGTCTGTTCACATGACAACTTCACTGCTAGCATAACTGGCATTCGAGAAAACCAGAGCACTAAACCAAACTACAACCAAGGATTCCCACAGAGTCCACTTCACTCCCCTGCAGCCTCCACTGGAGCAGGTGCTACTATCCATGGCTGGGAGACCTGAGGACAGATCACATTACAGGACTCTTTGCAGACATTCCCTAGGATCAGATTGGAGCCCGGTAGCCCTGCTGGGTGGCTAGACGCAGAAGAGCACAACCATCACTGCAGTCTGGTTCTCAGGAAGCCCCATCCCTAGGGGAAGGGGGAGACCACTACATCAAGTGATCATCTTATGGGGCAAAAGAATCTGAACAGTAGCCCGTGAGTTCCAGATCTTTCCAATGAAACAGTTTATTCAAATGAGAAGGGGAACTAAAAAAGCAGTTCTGGTAATATGAAAAAATAATGTTCTATAACACACTCAAAAGATCACATTACCTTTCCAGCAATGGATCCAATCCAAACCAACAAGAAATATCTGAATTGCCAGATAAATAATTCAGAAGGCTGATTATTAAGCTACTCAAGGAGGCACCAGAGAAAGGTAAAAACTACCTTAAAGAAATTTTAAACATGGCCAGGTGTGGTGGCTCATGCCAGTAATCCCAGTACTTTGGGAGGCCAAGGCAGGAGGGTCACTTGAACTCAGGAGTTTGAGACCTGCCTGGGCAACATGGTGAAACCCCATCTCTACCCAAAATACAAAAAAATTAGCTGGAAATGGTGGAATACACCTGTGGTCCCAGCTACTTGGGAGACTGAAGTGGGAAGACTGCTTGAGCCTGGGAGGCAGAGGTTGCAGTGGGCCAAGGTCACACCACTACACACCAGCCTGGGTGACAGAGGGAGACCTCATCTCAAAAAAAGAAATTAAAAAAACAACACAGGTTACGGATGAAAAAGTCTTTAGAGAAATAGATATCATAAATAAAAGACAATCACAACTTCTGGAAATGAAAGACACACTCAGAGAAATGCAAAATACACTGGAAAGTTTCAAGAGAATTGAGCAAGTAGAAAAAAAAAACTTTAGAGCTCAAAGACAAGGCTTTCCAACTAACCCAATCTGACAAAGACAAATAAAAAATAATTAAAAAAAAAACAGCCTCCAAGAAATTTAGGATTATGTTAAACAACCAAATCTAAGAATAATTCATGTTCCTGAGGAAGAAGAGAAATCTAAAAGTTTGGAAAATTTATTTGAAAAAAAAAAATCAATGAAAACTTCCATGGTTTTGCTAAAAATCTAGACATCCAAATACAAGAAGCTGAAAGAACACCTTGGAAATTCGTCACAAAAAGATCATCACCTAGGCATACAGTCATCAGGTTATCTAAAACCAAAATGAAGAAAAGAATCTTAAGAGCTGTGAGGCAAAAGCATCAGGTAACCTACAAGGGAAATCCTATAAGATTAACAGCAGATTTATCAGCAGAAACTCTGCAAGCCAGAAGGGATTGGGGTCTTATTGTTAGCCTCCCTAAACAAAATAACTATCAGCCAAGAATTTTGCATCCAGTGAAACTAAGCTTCATAAATTAAGCCGAGATAAAGTCTTTTTCAGATGAATAAATGCTGAGAGAATTCACCACTACCAAATCAGCACTACGAGAAATCATAAAAGGTGCTCCAAATCTTGAAAAACGACTTGAAATACACCAAAATATAATCTCCTTAAATCATAAATCTCACAGAACCTATAAAACAACAACACAATTTTTTAAAAAAGGGTATTCAGGCAGCAACCAGCATAAGGAATAGAATAGTACCTCACATCTCAATACTAACATTGAATGTAAATAGCCTAAATGCTCCACTTAAAAGATACAGAATGGCAGAATGAATAAAAATCCAACAACCAAGTATCTGCTGTCTTCAAGAGACTCACCTAACACATAAGGACTCATAAAAATTCAAAGTAAAGGATTACAAAAAGATATTACATGCAAATGGAAACCAAAAGCAAGCAGGAGTAGCTATTCTTATATCAGACAAAACAGACTTTAAAGCAAAAACTAAAGAGACAAGAAAGGATATTATATAATGATAAAAGGATTAGTCCATACACCTAACATAGGAGCTCCCAAATTTATAAAATAATTACTACTAGACCTAAGAAATGGGACAGATGGCAACACAATAATTGTAGGGGACTTCAATATTCCACTGACAGCACTAGAGGGGTCATCAAGACAGAAAGTCAACAAAGAAACAATGAACTTAAACTATACCCTAGAACAAATGGGCTTAACAGATATTTGCAGAACAGTCTACCCAACAACTGCAGAATATACATTCTTTTCATCAGCACATGGAACATTCTTCAAGATAGACCATATGATAGGCCATAAAACAATCCTCAATAAATTTAAGAAAATCAAAATTATATCAAGTGCTCTCTCAGAAGACCACAATGGAATAAAATTGTGAATTAATTCCAAAAGGAACCTTCAAAAGTAAACAAATACATGGAAATTAAATAATCTGCTCCTGAATGATCTTTCAGTTAACAAAGATATCAAGATGGAAATTAAAAAATTATTTGAACTGAACAATAATAGTGACACAACCTATCAAAACCTCTGGGATATAGCAAAAGCAGTGCTAAGAGGAAAGTATACAGCATTAAATGTCTACACCAAAAAGTCTGAAAGAGCACAAACAGACAAGGAAAGGTCACACCTCAAGGAACTAGAGAAACAAGAACAAGCCAAACCCAAATCCAGCAGAAGAAAAGAAATAACAAAGATCAGAGCAGGACTAAATGAAAGTGAAACAAACAAACAAAAAACACAAAAAGTAAGTGAAACAAAGAGCTGGTTCTTTGAAAAGATAAATAAAACTGATAGACCATTAACATGATTAACCAAGAAAAGAAGAGAGAGGATATAAATGAGCTCAATTAGAAATGAAATGGGTGATACTACAACTGATACTACAGAAATACAAAAGATGATTCAAGGCTACCATGAACAATGTGAACACCTTTACACACATAAGCTAGAAAACACAGAGGAGATGGATAAATTCCTGGAAATATACAACCCTTCTAAATTAAACCAGGAAGAAAGAGAAACTCGGAATAGACTAGTAACAAGCAGCAAGATTGAAATGGTAATTAAAAAGCTACCAAAAAAAAAAAGTCCACACCAGATGGATTCACAGCCGAATTCTATCAGACATTCAAAGAAGAACTGGTACCAATCCTATTGACACTATTCCACAAGACAGAGAAAGAGGAAATCCTCCCTAAATCATTCTACGAAGCCAGTATCACCCTGATACCAAAACCAGAAAAGGACATAACAAAAAAGAAAACTACAGACCAATATCACTGATAAACACAGATGCAAAAATCCTCAAAAACATACTAGCTAACTGAATCAAACAGCGTATAAAAAAGATTATCCATCATGATCAAACGGGTTTCATACCAGGGATGCAGGGATGGTTTAACATCTGCAAGTCAATAAATGTGATACAACACATAATAGAATTAAAAACAAAAAATCACATGGTCATCTCAATAGCCACAGAAAAAGCAATTAACAAAATCCAGCATCCCTTTATGATTAAAACCCTCAGCAAAATTGGCATAGACGAGACATTCCTTAAGGTAATAAAAGCCACCTATGATGAATTCACAGCCAACATTATACTTAATGGGGAAAAGTTAAAAGCATTCCCCCTGAGAAATGGAACAAGACAAGGATGTCCACTTTCATCACTTCTATTCAACATAGCACTGGAAGTCCTAGACAGTGCAATCAGACAAGAGAAAGAAATAAAGGACATCCAAATCTGTAAAAAGGAAGTCAAACTGTTAGCTGTAAAAAGGAAGTCAAACTGTTAGCTGATGACATGATTGTATACCTAAAAAACCCTAAAGACTCAACCAAAAAGCTCCCAGATCTGATAAATAAATTCAGTAAAGTTTCAGAATACAAAATGAATGTACACAAATCAGTAGCACAGCTATACACCAACAGTGACCAAGCCGAGAACAAATCAAGAATTCAACCCCTTTTAAAATAGCTGTAAAAAAAATAAAATACTTAGGATTATACCTAACCAAGGAGGTAAAAGATCCCTACAAGCAAAACTATAAAATGCTGCTGAAAGAAATCACAGACAACACAAACAAATGGAAGCACATCCCATGCTCATGTATGAGTAGAATAAATATTGTGAAAATGACTATACTGTCAAAAACAATCTATAAATTCTACATGATTCCCATCAAAATACTATCATCATTCTTCATAGAACTAGAAAAAAAAAAAACTCTAAAATTCATATGGAAGCAAAAAGGACCCCACATAGCCAAAGCAAGACTAAACAAAAGGGAGAAATCTGGAGGCATCCCATTAGCTGACTTCAAACTATACTACAAGGCTATAGTTACCAAAAGAGCATGGTACTGGTATAAAAACAGGCACACAGACTAATGGATCAGACTAGAGAGCCCAGAAATAAAGCCAAATACATACAGACAACTGATTTTCGACAAAGCAAACACAAGCATAAAGTGGGGAAAGTTACTCTATTCAACAAATGGTGCTGGGATAATTGGTAAGCCACATGTAGAAGAATGAAATTGGATCCTCATCTCTCACCTTATACAAAAATCAATTCAAGATGGATCAAAGACTTAAATCTAAGATCTGAAACCATAAAAATTCTAGAAGATAACATCAGAAAAACTCTTCTAGATATTGGCTTAGGCAAAGACTTCATGACCAAGAACCCAAAAGCAAATGCAACAAAAACAATTATAAATAGACGGGACTTAATTAAATGAAAAAGCTTCTACACAGCAAAAGAAACAATCAGAAGAGGAAATGGACAGCCCATAGAGTCACAGAGTGGGAAAAATATTCACAAACTATGCATCCAGCAAAGGACTAACATCCAGAATCCACAAGGAACTCAAACAAATCAGCAAGAATAAAAACAAATAATCCCATCAAAAACTTGATTAAGGACATGAATAGACAATTCCCAAAAGAAGATACACAAATGGCCAACAAACACATGAAAAAATGCTCAACATCACTAATTATCAGGGAAATGCAAATCAAAACCACAATGTGATACCCCCTTACTCCTGCAAGAATGGCCATAATTAAAAAATAAAAAAAAATAGATGTTGGTGTGGATGTGGTAAAAAGGGAAGTTTTACGCTGCTCATGGGAGCATAAACTAGTACAACCACTATGAAAAACAGTATGGAGAGTCCTTAAAGAACTAAAAATAGAACTACCATTTGATCCATCAATTCCATACTTGGGTATCTTCCCAGAAGAAAAGAAGTCATTATATGAAAAAGACATGTACACAGGAATGTTTATAGCAGCACCATTTGCAATTGCAAAAATATGGAACCAGTACAAATACCAATCAGTCAACAAGTGGATAAAGAAAATGTAAACATATATGTATACACACACACACACACACACACACACACACACACCATGGAATACTACAATACTACTCAGGCATAAAAAGGAATGAAATAATGGCGTTCACAGAAACCTGGATAGAGTTGGAGACCATTATTCTAAGTGAAGTAAGTCAGGAATGGAAAATCAAACATCGTATGTTCTCACTTATAAGTGGGAGCTGAGCTATGATGACAGAAGGTCATAAGAATGGTATAATGGACTCTGGGAGCTCCAGGGGAAGGGTGGGAGGTGGGGTGAGGGATAAAAGACTACACATTAGGTTCAGTGTACACTGCTTGGGTGATGGGTGCACCAAAATCTCAGAAATCATCACTAAAGAATTTATGGATGTAACCAAACATCACCTGTTCCCCCCAAAACTACTGCAATTTTAAAAAGCCATAAAAATGTTAAAATTATCTAACTTAAGAAGACTTATGTATAAAAATGTTTTAACACACTGATTGTTTTTAGAGTAAAAGAGTGGAAGCTATCATAATATATTAGTGGTGATATAATATTTTTAACAACAGGATATAAAACTATATATTATGATAATTTCATTTTTAAAAGTACATACTTTAATTGGCATATGCATTTGTGTATAATTTGACACATACACAATAGGACTACAAAAATAAACAAAAATAGTGTAACCTCTATAGAAGAGGATTACAGATAAGTTTAGTTTTCATCTCTATACTTCTCTGAGTTTTCAAAAAGTTAAACTCAAAGTTTCTTTTTATTAGATAAATCTAACAAATTTAAGATATAGAGTGTCTATCCAATTTTTTTCCTACTTTTCCCTTATAAAATTGTCAGCATAACTATCCATATTAGTTTGGCAATTATCTTTTCCTCCTGAATTTAATGGAAGCAACCTAATTGTAGCTAACTCTGGCATGACAGCCAGTAATGTATCATAAGTAAGTGTGAATTACAAACAGAAAAGCAGGGACCAGAGCTGGGTATGAAGATGTGGTGTGAGTCTCCATGGCTATCATTGGTAATGAACAGTAAAACAGCTCACTGCAGAAATAAAAAACTTGCATTTCAGGCAATGAATCTGAATTAGTAAAGGAGAGCAAACTCCTAAACACCATAGTTCTATTGTCCTTCTACTCTGAAGCTTTTCTTTATAAGACTCTGCTATAGTCTGAATATTTGTGTCCTCCCAAAATTCTTTTTTTTGAACCCCTAACCCTGACAATAATGGTATTAGGAGGTGGGGCCTTTGGGAGGTGATAAGGTCATGGGTGGAGCTCTCATGAACGAGATTACTACCCCTATAAAGGAAGCCCCAGAGAGCTGCCCTGCCCTTGCCATCAGGTGAAGACCCACCTAGAAGGTAACACCTATGAACCAGAAAGTAGGCCCTCACTAGAATATCGAATCTGCCAGTGCCATGATCTTGGACTTCCCAGTCCCCAGATCTGAGAGAAATACATTTCTGTGGTTTATAAGCTACTCAGTCTATGGCATTTTGTTATAACAGCCCAAACTGACTAAGACAGCCTCACTCATTGTAAGTTTCTCTTGTTATAAATAAATAAGCAGGGTGAAAATTTACATAGGAATACTTTAAATACTCAGAATGCTTTTCTTTATTTAAAATTCACTCCTAGTAAGCACACCCATGCATTCTACCAAGAATCCAGGCTTAGGGACCAGCATCTAAGTGCTTGTTTTTCAATCACCCATAGACCTCCACTAACCAGAAACACCCAAGGAAGGGCCTTTTGCACCTCACTACTCCAATCAGCATGTTAGGAAGATGTCAGTTACATGAGGTGAATTGGCAGCACTGACCTAGTATTATTTCTGATGGGATTTGAGATGTCTAACATGACACTAATAGGGTCAGATTTAGAGACTGGGTGAGATGAACACAAAGTTTAATAGACAGCTCCTGCAAGATTTATGGTCCAAATTTGCAAACCCATTGATCTCTGAGGTTATCTGACCCAAATGACAAAACCAAATCTGGTCCAATGCAAAGTGTGGTTTGCAGTTTGCAGAATTAGGCCTAACCGCTGAATAAAAACTCTGAGATTGTTGAATCTTTTGCATTTCACTGGCAGTTCTATCCCAGAGCAGTGCAGAAGAGAAGTGAATAGGGCAGCTGGGAAACAGAGCCAGATAATGATTCAAGGTTCTCAGGCTGTGCAACATTATGTGTAGAAAATTGCAGTCTCATTATAATCATAGTTTGAGATGTGCCAAATAGAAATTCTCAGTGAAAAAAAGAAAAAGGGAAGTTCCGCTGAAAAGTTCTTTGGTGTCATCTCCTGATACAACTGTTCTATTTTTGTGTCCTGAAGTGCATTTTAAGACCTCTAAAGAGACATATTTAAAGGTGTGCAGATAGTGTTTTGCAATGATTTTATGCTTACGCTATATATCTGTAAGGTAGCCATCTTTCTCAGGAAGCTCAATGACACGACAAGCAAGGCACCTCTTTGCTCTCTATTGCCAAGGAGAACCTGGCTTCAAATTTCCTGTTTAAGTTCCTATACATCATTATCGATGAACCACACCTAAAATCACAAGACAACTTCAAACTACAACATCCTGATGTGGTTTGACCTATTTGATTCCTTTCACATTGAAGAGAAGCAAAAAGTAAAAGGCCGGGCACAGTGGCTCAAGCCTGGAATCCCAGAACTTTGGGAGGCTGAGGCAGGTTGGTCACCTGAGGTCAGGAGTTCCAGATCAGCCTAGCCAACAGGATGAAAATCCCATCTCTCATAAAAATAGAAAAAAATTAGCTGGGTGTGGTGGTGCATGTCTGTAATCCCAGCTACTCGGGAGGCTGAGGCAGGAGAATCACTTGAGCCCTGGAGGCAAAGGCTGCAGTGAGCTGAGATGGTGCCACTGCACTCCAGCCTGGATGACAGAGGGGGATTTCTTCTAAAAGAAGAAGAAGAAGAAGTAGAAGGAGGAGGAGGAGGAGGAGGAGGAAGAAGAGGAAGAAGAAGTAGTAGTGGTGCATTAAGATGCATAGTTTTCTAAGTTTCACAAGAGCATACGCAACATCAGGACATTTGGGTTCCAAGAACATAAAGAAAATTCGCCTTCTCACATCAGATCAGGCGATGTGTTTTCCAACCCAGCTACCACGACGAATGGGAATGAAACAGGACTGCATAGCTGGCCCAACCAAGGATGATAAGCAGTTCCACAAACCTTTCTTTAACTGTGCTACCAGTGATCATATGTTCATGTTGGAATATAATTTTCAGTATGTGGAAAACCCTTCCACACATGATCATCATCAAAAGTTGGGAAGAAAATCAAACCACAAGTGATCAAAGAAAAGGAAATCCACAGACATTATTTTGTTTTATTTGACATTTGGTGGCATATTAACTTTGCCAAATATACCCAGAGTGCCTCAAAACAGAAAATCATCTTAATATTTCTTCTGTATCCTCACAGTCTCTGTTACATAGAAGGATCCTAATGTAAACAGAGTAGATAGATGACACATAGATACACATATCAATGTATGAGTGGATTAATAGGTTTATTTTGATTGACTGGCAAATTGGCCACTATAGTGCTAGGAGAAAACCAAACAATTGAAAAATTGGAAGGAAATGTAGTAATCATTTTGTGCAATTTCTTCACTTGAAAAGTTTAATGGGGGAACTTAAAATAATTTAGAAGCCTGCACTGCAAAGTCCTGGCTAAGCTTGCACTGAAAATTTAGAAATAAATGCAGTTAATGAATCATGTTTCTTCGTAGATCACTATGCAATGATGCACTGATTTGAAACTCAGGATGTCAGCATGGGAGGCTGTCAGATCATGACCCTGATGTGGCGTCAAATGCTACAATAAATTAAAGTTCCATGAAAGAGGGCTGGCTCTCACTGCACAGCTGGGAGACTTGGCCCTACTGATGCTTACCTCTGTCACCTGCAAGCCCTTCTGAACTTTAAACAGCACAAAATGGTTACTGATAATTAGTTATGGGAATGTAATCCATCTTGAAGCACAAAGCAATGCTCTTCCAAGCATTTAACATAAGCCAGTCATGTGCACAGAGGGGCCATGGCAAGATATTCAAGCAGTTGAACTAACATTTGAAAACAGGGCAGAAGCAATGTCCTAAGGATTCACTTGAAAAGTATTTTAAAACAATGTAAGTATAATGTAGAAGGTTAAGAAAAGCCAGGAGTTAGAAAAATAGGACTACACACTTTTCTCTAAATAAAACACCATCAAAAGCATAAGATGCAAACCCTCAGAACAGCCCTCCAGAAGATGGCTACAAAAGCTCACTGAGGTTCACTGATAAGTGGTTAGTCTTTCTGTAAACAACACCCACTATTCAGATCAAGATAAACTTCACAAATACGGGAAAACATTTATTTATTTACTTTTTACTTATTTAATAATTAGTATTTGACTACAAGTTTTGCCCTTAACTGGGCATTTCTCTAATGATATAACCCATAGAGATATAACTGTAAACACTTTATAATGTATATCAAATAACTTGTTTATAATGTTTCACAGTCAAGCTACTACTTGATTATAAAGCTACAAGTAGTAGCTTGATTATAAAACATTATAAACAAATTATGTGATATACATTATAAAACAAATCAATAAAACATCATGAAAATAAAACATATTTTGCTTAAATATGTAAGCAAAAATATTTCCTCACATTATAATAAACAGAACTGTCTGAAATCTCTGACAGGAAACAGAGATTTAGAACAGTACCACCAGGAAGTCTTCAACAACTAAATGGGTGCTAGACTAGATTCATCCTCTTTGGTCTTGTTAAAATAATTTTGGTTTATTTTTGCACCAACTATTTACTTAACCTTATGTGGCAACAGTGATGTTTTTTTCTGAAGGAGTTCTGACCCCTTTCCTGAAGGTGAAGAAGAAATGAGGTTAGAACAATTTCGCTATCATGTCCCAAAGCTCAGCCTAACTAAACAAAGTTAATCATTAGAGGAAAATAAATCCACCATTCCTTTCAAAAGTCAGACTAGATTTCAGAATTATTATCAGGAGCTCAGCAGGATTACTGCCAGAGCTTTAGGTTTTGAAAATGAGGAATCATGATTTTAAAAATATATATATATATTACTTAAATAATAATAGAATAGGCAAATAACATCATCTTCAAAGGTTATGTCATATGTAAATATGTTTTGAAACAGTTTGTGAGGTTTCTGGGATAGTAATTGTCATTAATTATTCAATTAATTTATTGATTTTAATTATTATTCTATAAATTTTCTTCCAACAGCTAATCTCACAGATTTTAATCACTCTATTGAATCACATTTTTGACTGACAATAGAGGTGGTATCATCAGGTCTACAGCAGCATTTCTGAATTAAGAAATCGATGCTAATAATGTTCTTTTCCTATTATCTGTGATGATAAATATAGGTAAGACTCGAGGTGGGTGGATAGCTTGAGCCCAGGAGTTCAAGGTCAGCCTGAGCAACACAGCAAGTCCATGTCTCCAAAAAAAAAAAAAAAGTAAGACAACAGAGTAGAAAACAGTCAAATTACTAAGTGGAACAAACTCAGATAGTGTGATGAAAACTGAACAAACAAATCAGATCGTGTAATCAAAACTGAACAGGTCAGAAAACCCAGAGAAAAATTATCGCATTTCAAATGTTTAAAACTACAAGCCTGGGGCACACAGCTTCTCAACTTCTGACCCATGTCAAAGCAGTCCCTGTTACCCTGAAAGCTCCCAATTTCTTCCCCTGACACAAGTCCACCCATGGGCCACACACATGCACACACATTGGTATATAATCTCATTTCCTTCTTTCAACTTAAACTCATCTGTTAAGTCTCAGTTTAAATGTAATTTCTCCAGGAGAGACTTCACAAGTACTGAGATTAGGGCTATCATTACTCTTATAATTTCATCTACTTTTGCTTAATTATGCAGTTGTCATTGAAAATGTCCTTGTCTGTATCCTCCCATTCGGCCATAAGATCAATGTCTTCTCCATCTATACACTTAGACTAGCACCTGGTACATACTTCACAAATATTTGCTAAGTAGGGAATAAATGAGGAGACTTTGAAATGTGTTTACTATATCTTATTGAGGACACATTTGTTTTAAAATGAGATATGGCAAACTGAGCAATACAATATAGCTTCAAATTGTAATTATAAAAGATAGAGTCATGTGAAAGGAGGTAAATGCCATAAAGTAATTCAGCATTGAGTGGTTTCTCTCTGTGTTGTTATGATAGGAAGCATCTTTGCCCAAGGAGTCACCAAGAGAATGGTACTAAGAGAACGGCACTCACACACACAGCAGACACATACATCAAAAAATCCCTTAGAGAACTACGATTATCATTAACCATTCAGTAGCAGGTCTGAATAAATTAATAAAAGGCAGCAGTCACTCAAAATGTCACTGAGCTAAAATTGGCCATTACACTATCCTCTGTGACTATTAAACAAAAGAAATACAGTACACAATGCAAATGGCTTAAGTATGACAGTATGTTAATAGTCCCTAAAGTCATGAGATACTTCCTTTAGGAAGTACTTTCAGGGAAAAAAATTAATTAAAATCAGCGTGGCAAATAAAACTACCTATTGGCTGGATCTCAGAGAGGTGTGTTGGTGGACTAGTCAACTTTGAATGTGAACTCTTCCCATAGTCACCCTTGAGCCCATGGCCACAACTTCTCATCCCTTATCACTTTGTTAGATGATTAGGACCTGCTTGCTGGCAGGCACATCTTGGTATGGGGTCATCCTCCCCTGGTAAGAAGTTCTTCCTCTTTAGGTACCACTCGAGTTGGCATGGTTCCCTCCAATTGGGCCTTCCTAATCTGTAATGAGCTGTCATCTTGTAGGAACATAATACTTCCTGCCTGCAAGAGACTCCTAGCCTTGCCCTTTCTGGTTCTAGAAGACTAGAAATCAGTACCCAATGTAAGAAATTGCCCATCCTGCCTGTGCTGGGAAACTACAATCCCAGCATCACACATGCTGAGACAAGGTGCTCAACCACATGCCAAACATTCTTATATGAGTATAACATGCCAAACATTCTTATATCCAGTAAAAATCACAAAACCACTGGATGTCTCCAAAATTCAAAAATATCAACTAAAATATCCCTTTCAATTTACCTTCACAAAAAAACTGCTGTCTTAAAGTTATGCTGAAGGTCTGCTTTCACCTGGGAATTTTAATGATCTGACCAGTCTATAACTTTCCAGATTAGCCACCATTGGAAGGCCTGCTGCTCAGCTGTTGGCCTCAACTACTAAGCGTATCAGGATTTGAGTCTACTAGTCCAACAGTGGACCCTCGTTTTCTTAAAGCCTGAAATTCCTTCAGGAATACAGCAAAATCCCCTTTCTACTGTGGTCACCTAAACTTCAGACTGAACAATGACAACTGCTGATATGAAAAGTGGTAAATCGTTAAGGCTAGTATTCTCTCTAGAAACAGGTTACTAATACTGAGGAAGAGACAGGACTGAGAATTGAGGGTAAAGGGACTCTACCTCTGCGTGTAGAATGGCTGTTACTCAGCTTCTGAAGGGATCCTGTGGCTTCTGCATTATAGCAGTAGGCCTTGGTCTTTCCCTAGAAATGGCATTATTGCTTTGTTGGGGGAAGGTGGTTAGTTGTATTTGAGACGTGTGAGGTACTGATACTTTTCCGTAATTCCAGTTTTCCTGCCAATAAACCAATGAAGCAACATCTCAATATATGAGACAGATTTTGTAAGAATACGCAAAGGATTTTATTAACACTTTGGAAAGAATACATTCATGTACGACAACTTCCTAGAAGTAAAATACGGCCAAAGAGATCAACTTTCACATAGGTTTTTATAAAACTGCCTAACACAAAAATACACATATATGGAGAACTTCAGACTGAGAATTACATCAGGACTGTTTCTTTGAGTTCGCCTTTTGTCTCAAAAATAAATAAATAAATAAATAGATAATAATAATAATAAAAATCCCAAATCAAGCCTTTGACAGGAAAAAGCCAGTAGATATCTTCTACTGTCAATTCAACTACTAAAATAGGAATAAGACAAATACTAAGACATGGGAGTTAAAAGGGGAAACATGCTAATATAACCAGAACTTCTAACTCTGCCAATAAAATGGCTTGAAGCTGAGGCAGGTTAGGAACCCCTGGTATCTGACCTAGACTTTTAAGACTAATAGCAGCAATTACAATACAAAAGTCCAGCTATTGCCCACAATTACTGCCTCTCAGGGGGTCTAAGTAATGAATTATTCATGTAACATATGCTCTATACCTTTAAAGGAAGAAACAGACAAATCTATACAAAACAAGCTAACAGACCTCTTTATGGTCATAAAGTTTGTCACCTGCTGTTACCAGCTGCCATAAGGAAGATATTCCTTGCCTTCCCCGCCCCTTCTAAGTGGAGAGCAAGCTGAGGGAGAACCGTCTTTTACTCTCAGGAATTTAGATGCTTAACCACATATTAAAGCGAGAGGTCGAAGTCCGCCCTGTGTTACAAGCCTAATCCTTACATTACAGTAGAGGTGCAGAGAGAGATTGGGAGAAGCAACTGCAGCCAGGAGGGAGCAAAGAGCTAAATTCTTCTCTCTCCACATTCATCCCACCATAACGTTCCTATCATCAAAAGGCAAGCAGTGACTGCAATTGTTTTGGAAAAGCTTCCAAACTTTTCAGATGGCATGATGTTGCATCTTTTCCCTCTGGCAATTGTGGTTTGTAAGAAAAAGCCCATTATTCTTTTAATGACTCAATCCAGTCCCGCTTCTACAGTATTTGTACTTGCAATGATCCATGGGGCATTCACGGTGAAAGCCACTGAGCACAGCTTTTTAAATATTAATAATTGACTTACATACCAAGTGAGGGAGGACTTCACCCCTTTCTGCCTTTCTTTTTCTTTAAAGACTGGAAATTGGAAGAAGATTGGTGTTTGGCATCCAAAGGCTAAAGAGGGCAGGAGCGCATACACGCATGTGGAGGTTTTCTGTTTTAACTATAAATGTAAGGTAGTATTTGGCAGGCTAGACTCCATCTAGATTGTGCCAGGAGCCTTCCTATGGAAAAAAGAGCTACACGCACATTTAATAATCCAAGCATTAAAGCTTCACAGTGCATGCAAGCACTCCATGTTTAAAACAGACACGCTCAGATAAAAAGCCTGAGGTCAGATGTGCCACTGTCACTGTGAAGCGACTTCTGCCACCCACAGCTGAGTCCCCAGGCAGAGGGCTGTACAGGGCAGTGCACGGCAGGCAGTGGCTGGACAGATAAACCTGAGGGGTATGGAGAACAGAACCCATGCCTACGAAGTCAGACTTTGGCACCAATACCCAGTGTTTTTTGCTGGATTTTTATTTTATTTTCATTTTCTTTTTTTTTTCTCCAAAGAAGTTTCAGTTAAATTACCAGCTGACTTGAGTACAAAGAGTTTCTTCTGATGTGGAATTCTAAAAGTGACAGGCATCATGAGAAGCCCTCCTGACCAAAGGAAGTAATTGCTAATTAGCCCTTTACTTGAAAAACATCTTTAAAGGAGACAGCAAAATTGAATATTCCTTATAAATTATACTAAACCACCAAAGAGTCAATAGAGCATCTATCTAAATGTATAGTGAAAAAAAAGGCAAGAAAGAAAGGAAAAAAGTACATTCATGAAGTTTGCTTTCTGCATACCTTTTCAAATTTTGTCAGCAGTTCCCGTAAGTTGAAGTTCAGACCAATCATTGTCCAGTAGCCCTTGAAGCCTACATCTTTCCGGCAAACTTCCTTCAGACAACAGCGTTTAACTTCTAAACACCGTATCTTTTCTGGCTATACTTTAAAATCCTTTGTAAAATCCTTTACAAGCCTTGCCCTTGAGCTATGGTCCATCAGCAGCAGCGGCAGCTTGCGCTGGGACATTTTAGCCACCCCACTGTGGGTCCGTTTTTTCATGGACTTCGGAGTTCGCAAGGAATAGACCTGCTTCTGTATTTCCTGGTAGCTGTGTTCCACGAGGCTGGCATGGTCTCCTCTTTCTCTGGGAAGTCCAGGATTCCCTTCTGCTCACCTCACTAATGACCTGCAGGCCACAACTGTTCTCTCCAGGGCCCCAAGCTTAGAGTTTGGTCTCAATTACATACAGCAAAAAAAGAAGCTATATCCTGGAAACTTGCATGAGAGAAGAAAAAAAAAAAGCCAAGTATTACCAACTTCCTCCATTCAGACCGATTTCAGAACGAAAAAAAAAAAATCCTGGGTAAAGAGCCAGTTTTCAAAGAGCATGACTTATGTAGAGTTCGAAGGAGGAGTGTACTCTTAGCTGAAGAAACACCAAAACACAGGACAAGAGGCCACCGGTTCTCACTCTCCCAGACACCAGCAGCCTGGGTTGCTATGGTAACCACCAAGCTAGTTTCAGTCCATTTCCCTAGGTCAGCCTGGCCTAAGGGATGCTGTCAATGCAACAGAACTAAACTTGTTTTAAAAGGTGTTCTGTCTGTCCAGAGAAAAGCTCTCGCAGCAAATCTAGTCCCTTCTGCCGGCTTTGTGGCAGGGGAGAGCAGCCTCAGTGGGCTCTGGCAGCTCCCCTGGCTGATCTGACAGCAGTGTGGTAATCAACTTCTCTTTCCAGCAGTTGTTTATTATTTTAATCAGCATCCTCCCTTTCCACCACCCCTCACCCAGTTTGAAGTGAAAGCTCACTCCCACTTCCTGGAGGCCTGCCTGCCCCAAAAGTCAGTTCTCTATCTTTTACATTGTCTCAATCTTGAATGGATCACAGGTTCCATGTTCCAGTTGGGAGCCAACCCATGAAAAGAAAAGGGAGTGAATGTACAAAACAATACAAATCACAAAAGGAAATACGCGTTGATTAATTTTATTTTTCAAAAAGGTGTTAGCAGGCAACTGATGAAGAAAATAGTTTTAAAGTGTTTCGATCTCTTTGATGCCGCTGAAAGTCATTCAGACTGTTTTCTTATAGGGAATTTACTTGTTTCTGACATAAAACTTAATGAGAGAAACTACTGTACTCAAAATGTGAGTAATAACTACATTGAATGTGTCTTCCATTTTGATGTTAAATTACTACTGGCACTCAGAGAAACACCATCTTCCAGGAAGTTTTAAGTGTCATCGCTTTAAAGAAAAAAACTCCAATCCAAATTATAAATTCTTTGTAGTGATATTATGGATATCATTCCAAGGCAAATGTGATTTTGCTTTTGCATTACATAGCTATACAGTATACCAATAAAGTATAACAGAAATGTCCATTTGAAACATGTTTCTCTAGTTGTAGGCAGAGTTTCATCATAAAGATGCAGTGCTTATAATGGTGACACTACCACAAGTAGAATAATGTAAATTTTAATATAAGTAAGTTTACTTTTTTTGCATCAGGGCATAGACCAAAGTGGGGGGGGGAACCCCTAAAATCAGAATATGCATCTCCTAAAGGGCTAATGAGTTGCTTAAATATCAATACCGTTAGCACTTATTTAATCATGGGTCGTAAGAGATTCCATTTAAAACCAGAAAAACTAAAAATCTATCAGGGAACAGTATACAATGTTGGTATTATTTTTTGGATTTGCAAATCATTTTTCTTTCTATTTCATTCCTAACTTATTTTCATATCAGTATTTAAATAGCATGTGTTTTACATATGCCCATCTATACAAATTTTAACAAGCTTTTAAAATATTTTCATTATTTTTTCATAAAAACCTGTATGTCCCCAGGGGCAAAATGGCTTTATGAGCTTTCTAGCAGAACGTGTTTCACCTCAACGCACATTTGATTTCAAAAACAAATGTGTTAATCTAATGCTTATTCAGAAATTCACAGGTAAAAATAATCTACAGTTTGGATCAAAACAGCACTGACATCAGCATGAAGACCAACCATCAGAACTGTGGTGAAGAAACTTACAGAGAAAGTGGCCACAGGGAACCTGGTCTGTAAAGACTCTGGGGCCACATGCTGAGATCTTTCAAGAGCAGCAAATAAACTTTTTACATAAATACAAGACAAAAGAAACCACCAGCACCAGCACCATCACCACCACCACACACACAAAAAAATAAATAAATAAAAAAGGGAGAGAAAAAGAACAATCTTTCTCAGCTGGGCAAACTTCCAGCTACCACCCAGGGTGCTGGATGGCTGGGATCAGGGACATGTGCAAACACGCCATTCCATTCCCCCATGCACAGATCAGAAGGGTGAATTAAACAAAAACTCCGTGGAACAACAGGGAATACCATAGTCTTTCTCTAAAGTAGACCCTTTCTGTTTAAAGGGCTCTTATAACAAGACAAGAATGATATGTTATTGTTAGAGTCCCACATATCTTGTATCCACACCCAAGGTTAAACACAAGGCATAAAGATGAGGGAAAAGAAAGGGTATCCTTTGTATTAGGCCTTCTTCCCAAAAGATAAGAGCATGGGAACTTTTATCAGCCTGATAAGTACCTGAGTCCTGGACAGGAGAAAGGAACAAGAGTATGTTCTCCTGTGGAATTCGAGAGTAGAATATCCAGAAACTGTTGCCTTTGTATCAGCTACCTTCTCAGAACTGACATCCTCTGCTAAGGTAGAAACGATGACACTTACCGAAAACTCCCTTATATACAGTTATGCAGCAACAAAAACTAAGATATTGACAAATCTAGCTATGATGTCAGCCTCTTTTTTTTTTTTTTTTTTTTTTTGAGATGGAGTTTCGCTCTTGTTGCCCAGGCTGGAGTGCAATGGCGCGATCTCAGCTCAGCGCAACCTCCACCTCCCAAGTTCAAGCGATTCTCCTGCCTCAGCCTCCCGAGTAGCTGGGATTAGAGGCATGCGCCACCACGCCTGGCTAATTTTGTATTTTTAGTAGAGACGGGATTTCTCCATGTTCGTCAGGCTGGTCTCGAACTCCTGACCTCAGGTGATCCACCTGCCTCGGCCTTCCAAAGTGCTGGGATTACAGGCGTAAGCCACTACACCCAGCTGATGGCAGCTTCTTTCGAAGAAAGAGTACAAAACTCAGTGGATCCATATTCAAAAACAGATCATCAAAAGAATATGGGATCATTTGAAAGATTTTTTTTAAATTCTTAACTAATTTTAATCACAGGGTAACTATACTCTCACTAAAACACAAGAAAGCAACTAAAAATGTTGTTTTTTAAGTGTTAAAGTCAAATAGATTATTCATGTAAATATCCAAAGTCATTCTGTGAAATTCAAATAGCTAAATATCTAATATATTACTCAAAAGTATTGCACTCTTTGATAACTGATACATTAAAAGACTTGTAAATGTGAGTTGCTTTTATAAAAGTGAGCACATTTCATCATGAATTTGTGTTTGATATCTATAAGATAAAGTGTACTTTCCATTACCCAGATGTAGTGGCCCATGACGATAATCCCAGCTACTTGGGAGGCTGAGGTGGGAGAATCACCTGAGCCCAGAAGGTCGAAGCTGCAGTGAGCCGAGATCGTGCCACTGCGCTCCAGCTGGGGCAACCAGAGTGAGACTTTGTCTCAAAACAAAGAGTACTTTCTTAGTTTAAAGTCAGTACACAAAATATCATCTTGGTAATATACCTACATTTCTACAGTCCTTTTTTATCAACCACCTCTTTGATACATTATCACCTGTAATCCTGTAATTATTAAAACAAAAAATAGATGCCTCCAGTGTAAGCAATACATCACCAGAGAGACTTAATAAATTAGATGATGACATTTGAAGTAGTTGACATTTTCCCAATTTAAGCCAATGTGCAAATAAATTGTTCACTAATCCTCAGTAGGTGGAATATGCTTGACACTACCAATCCCTGTATCAGATCAACACTGAATAACCCAGGAATCTCTAGCTAAATAAACCATGTTTCAAACATAGACATAGAGTTTCATGAGAAAGCAAAAAGTTCCAGAACCACAGAGAAGCACAGGAAAACTCAGCAATGGACTCAAGAAAATCTAAATCTAAACTGCTTAATAAAAACCACATTCCAATGCCAAAATGAAGAGAGCTATAGGTATGGCTTTGCCAACAACTTTCAAAGGGTAGGACAATTTACAAATGTTTTGTACTTAAAAACTATATTTCATATAATTTGTTAAAAGATGACCTATTTAGTAATTTTATTAAGGCAATAAAAGATTCTTTACAGCTCAAATAAGAACTTTACATCTTACTCCTATAGTGGATCTTAAGGCACCCTTCCCACTAAAGACAATTTTTAAAACTGTAAAGATCAAGTATGTTTTCTATGTAAATTCTAACAGGTTTCTCTTTATATTGGCCAACACAAAGAACAAAAAGAAAAGAAAAGAAGAAAAGCTTCTTAGGAGCCTCTAAAGTGAAGCATATGGAAGGTCAATAGGTGATTACACATAAATCGCTACATCATGGCTTATTCATTACTAAAATGAGGAGTTTCTGGCATGGGGAGAAAAGTTTATTTGTTGTAAGCCCATTCTGACTCAAAGAAAGATCCAACTTATTTCTTGTGAAAGAAATATACACAATTCTCCTTTTCATAACCCTTCTAACTTGGGATTTAGAATTCAAAAATAAAATAGCTTCAAGACCCTAATCGTGATCTGAGTTTTCAATTCATTGTCTTCTACCACTGAAGTTCCATTAGGGAGAGACCAGTCCATACATTTCGACTTTCAAGTTAACATCAGCCTGCAGCAAAGTGTGTCAGCTGGTAGCTATTTAAGGTAATATACAGCCCTAAAGGGCAAAAAGTTCAATCTAAGGATGGAGGCCTGAGTCCCCTGATGAAAGGGAAAACTCTCCTTTTATCCCAGGAAGTTCAGGCACTATGCTTTGTACGCAAAGAATTATTTTTAATGTTTGTCTCTTCAGTATAATGCCATCTACTTTGATAATTTTACAGGTGGTCATGGAGAAATAAAAATTAGGATTCATAAGAAAAAGATTCAATACTTAATATATTTTCTATAACACATAACCAAAAGATTCCAATAGACATTCAAAGAGGCTCAAAGAGCTTTTTCTTCTTCAGGAAAATGGGTGGGTGGGGTAGGGGTTCAGGAAGAGAAATACCAGCTGATTTGCTTCTGAATTAGCCAACCAGGTGCAGGAGTCAGCCTTCAGCAACCTTCTAAATATTTAACAATTCAGACGGCACTTTATTAGGTGACTAAAAATAATGCCAAGACAAGTTAATGCTTCCAAACCATATTCTTCCTAAAAAATATGCAGCATCAGACAAGAGGGAAACAATCTCAGGAGGCCAAGCCTCAAATTCCAGATGTCTACTGACAGCACAAGCCTGTAGCATATGCAACTAAATCCACAGGGCTCTGGGAAAAAGGCTCTTAAAGGTTTTCAAAAGGTTTTATAAAGGTTTCTCCAGTTTTCTTCAGCTATGTAGATTTAGTAAATTGAAGCCAAAATTAAAATACAAATTTTAATAACAGCAACTAAAATGTCAAAACAAATCAAAATTGAAAGCGCCGTTTTCAGTCACAAGTAAAAAGCTGGTACTTTCCCCAGGAGGGCATTGTTACTATAATCTGAATACATATTTAAGGAACTGAACATTGGGTAAACACAGAGGAAGTTCAAACTAACCCCACGCGATCAGCTATACTTTTGTGTATAATACTAAGCAGTGGGATTTCTCTCATGCTTGGAGGCTAATCCATTCATTGTGGAGCTACTGCTTCAACTCTGAACCATGTCCCTGTCATCTTCTTACTTAGGAACCCATTCTGCATTCTCTGCAAAATCACACTCTAAACCTACTTCAACTCCCTAATCATGATCCATCTTCACTAATATCACCAATAACCAGTTAATACTTAACCACATGAACCACTCACACTTACAACTATGGTTTCCCACAAAAAGTCACACACCACAATCACACATTTTCTCCCCTCCAGTCATATTTACTTTCTGTACCGTTATCTCTCTTCCTTCAGATGTTTGCTCTGAGCAATGAGTTCTACATAGACGGTGAACACAGACAATGTATTATGCACCTTTCATGGAAATCAGTAGGCTGATTACAAAATGAAGAATTCCTTTACTTTAAGTCATTACATTTCCTAGAGATTATTAGAATCTGCCAAATTTGAGGGTAAGGGATAATTTAACAATGCCCATCAAATGTTAAAATGCATATAACTTTTGACTCAGAAATTCTATCACTAGGAATTTGCAAACATGTGTACAGACATATGTACAAGGATGCTCAATAAGTCCTACTTGACTTATTGAGCTGAAAACAATCTATATGTCCATGAAAAGGTAACTGGGTAAACAAGTTATGGCAGACTCACATAATGAAATGCTGTACAACTATGGAAAAGAGAGATAATTTCTTTTTTTTTTTTTTTTAAGATGGAGTCTCGCTCTGTCGCCCAGGCTGGAGTGCAGTGGCGTGATCTCCGCTCACTGCAAGCTCTGCCTCCCGGGTTCACACCATTCTCCTGCCTCAGCCTCCCAAGTAGCTGGGACTACAGGCGCCTGCCACCACATCTGGCTAATTTTTTGTATTTTTTAGTAGAGATGGGATTTCACCATATTTGACAGGATGGTCTCAATCTCCTGACCTCGTGATCCACTTGCCTCAGCCTCCCAAAGTGCTAGGATTACAGGCGTGAGCCACCGTGCCTGGCCAAGAGGGAGATAATTTCTAAGAGCAAATAATTAACCTCTAATATGTATGCACGTACATATCCTATGTATACGCCAAAAAGGGGGGGAGTGATATGTAGTTATGTACAGGTACAATCTATGAGATACAGATAATATTTCTGTAAAGATCTATAATACAGCAATAATGGCGACCTGGAAGGGAGGGACTGGAGAGCTGAGTGTCTAGAATGAAACATTTCAATGTTCAATCTTTTATACTGTGTGAAAATTTCACCACAGCCTGTGTTTCTATTTTCATACAAAATTAAATCATTAGATAGAAAATACCCAAGTAAAACACATTTACCTTCCTGAGTAGATACCTATTCCAAAAAGGGTGGCATCATTATATTTGAAAGCTAATGCTACTGGAGACAATTATTTTTGCCTTTAAAAGTTTCAGAAGTTTTGAGGTGCCAGATGGTCTAACACTACCAAACCAGCCCTCAATAGAAACAAGCTTTCTGCAGCAGTGGGCTGGTCAATGGTAAGCTTTTCTAAGGGACAGACAGAACAAAGCCTTTTTGTTGTCATAAGTTACTTTATAACTAGTAACTCCTGCTTACTTAAAGGACAACTTTGTGTCTAAACAGGCATTATATAACTCGAGCTATTCTCTTCCCAAGGAAACGAGTATCCCTATTGTCATCTAATACTGTGATACTACGGTCTAAAGTTTTTTGGAATGTTTATAAAAATCCATTGATAACGCTTGAAAATGAATGTCTGGCCTGATTTGTCCAGGCAATTGAAGCATCGCTTTATCTTTCAAGTAGGTTTAAGTGATCCCACCTAGACTGTGGCAGAGTGAAAGCGCCAGAGTCTACTAGTGTCTAAAGAGATGCTGCAATGTGAATAGCACCTTCGTACATGGATCTAAGTTGCAGAAGTGAAAAAGAAAATTATAGTTTAATCGTGAGGGCAGGTCTTTCCCGTGATTTTCTTGTGATAGTGATTAAGTCTTATTCCCTGGACCCTGTTTGTCAGGTTCAGAGACAGGAGGCTTTATGTGCCATGAAGGTTACTGTAACAAAATATTAAAGGAAATGAACGTCCACAGGTGAAGCACCATCTGACACTGACATCAGCCACATTCTTGTTTAGGGATAAGTTAAGCCACAGTAGAAGGGACTTTGCAATGTCTTGTCATCTCAAGCTCTGCATTTGAAATTGCTAAACAAAGGAATTTAAAGTACAATTTCCATCTAGAATTTAATCTGGAGAGTGTTTTAACTTTAAAATCAGAATATGGAATAATTAGGAAGTAAAAGAGCCTTTAAAAGTACAACACAATGGGGACTCAGGGGAAAGTGTGGGAGGGGGGTGAGGGATAAAAGACTACACATTGGATACAGTGTACACTGCTCAGGTGATGGGTGCACCAAAATTTCAGAAATCCCCACTAAAGAACTTATTCATGTAACCAAACACCACTTGCCCCCCAAAAACCTATTGAAATAAAAAAAAATACTGTAAAGAAAATAAAAAGGCAAGACACAAACTGGAAGAAGATATTTACAACACGCAAACTGACAACACTACACATTGGTATAGAAAAGACTATATGTAGTTCAGGATGATAAGAACTTAAGTCATCAGAACATAACTTCCTCACTAAAAATTGAGTCAGATCATTCTACTACTATGATAGTCTGAAAAGCAATACAGAAAATGTTTTAATTGTATGAGAAAATATTCATTGATGTTACATGTAAACTAGATTACTTATCTGTATTATTTCATCCTGGCCCTATAGTATATATTTCATGGGATAAAAAAGAAAGAATAACACTCTCGAAATCAAACGACCTGTGTCATGATTTCCTTTATGACACTTATCTAGCTGCTTGACCCTGGAACTCTTGTCTGAACCTTGATTTTTCTGTGTAGAATATTCCTCTAACACTTGAGCAAACACTCTTATCAAGAAAGACATTCACTAGTACTATATAATTGCGCATTTGTTTCAACACAAATTTATTGAGATTTAGATAGTTTTAGTTACAGGACAATTAAGACTTTCTTATTATTATATGTATACCAGAAATGCCTGCATTGACTTTTTCAGAGGTGAGGGTTCCACTAGTTTTCATATATATCAAAAAAATTGATAAAAACTCTAAAAATATATTATTATAGTATTATTATTTCGGTTGGTTTAACAGCAAAAACCGTGATTACTTTTGCACAAACCTAATATTTTGAGAGAAGCTAAGTGTATGATATTTTAAAATATTTCTTCATTTTTTACCACAAAGAAAACTTGTTATGAGTTAACACTGGTTATTATTAACAATAAAATTTTAAAATAAAATATAAATAGGTTACATAAAGATTTATCAATGACCAGTAATTATTATTATTATTATTATTATTTGAGACAGAGTCTTGCTCTGTCGCTCAGGCTGGAGTGCAGTAGCGCAGTCTGGGCCCACTGCAACCTCCGTCTCCTGGGTTCAAGCGATTCTCCTGTCTCAGCCTCCTGAGTAGCTGGGATTACAGGCTCGTGCCACCACACCTGGCTAATTTTCGTATTTTTAGTAGAGACAGAGTTTCACCATGTTGGTCAGGCTGGTCTCAAACTCCTGACCTTGTGATCTGCCCGCCTTGGCCTCCTAAAGTGCTAGGGTTACAGGCGTGAGCCACGGCGCCCGGCCTATGACCAGTAATTATTAAAAGCCAGATTGAATAATAAAATATTCATCACATCAGTGAAGCCATTCCTAAAATAGCAATGCTCTATTGTATTCATTGACGTATCCCCAGAAATTACAACAGTCTCTACCATATAGTAGACAACCAAAAGTCGTTATTGAATTACTAAATTATCTCATACATATCATCTCAAACAACTTTGAAACTTTAAAACAAGTTGGAATCACCAATTAATACACCCACATATACACACTACTTAAATATCAAAATATCTTAATATTTTTTGATATTTCTTGCTTCTTTTCTCTTCCACCTCCTGATATGGTTTGGCTGTGTCCCACCCAAATGTCAACTTGAACTGTAGCTCCCATAATTCCCACGTGTTGTGGGAGGGACTTGGTGGGAGGTAATTAAATCATGAAGGTGGGTCTTTCCCATGCTGTTCTCCTGATAGTGAATAAGTCTGATGAGATCTGATGGTTTTATAAAGGGGAGTTCTTCTGCACAAGCTCTCTTGCCTGCCACCATGTAAGATGTGCCTTTGTTTCTCCTTTGCCTTCTGCCATGATTGTGAGGCCTCCACAGCCATGTGGAACTGTAAGTCCATTAAACCTCTTTTTTTTAAATAAATTACCCAGTCTTAGGTATGTCTGTCTTTATTAGCAGCATGAGAATGAGCTAATACATCTCCTCACAGGATTTCTTCACGTCATCATTCCTGAATCCAGTCTCTCTGTATTCTCCAGTTCTGTATGCTGCATGACAAACCTAACTGAATTTGAAAACTAATGAAAAAGTTACTTCCTTTAGCTCACCTTCTATTTCCTCATTAAAGCTAGTATACTAGTAGCTAATTTAAAATAAAAAATAAATATGACAGTTTTTAGAACACTTATACAAAATGCTTATACCTTGCAAGTTCTGTTTATGCTCCATCGAAAACACTTAACATTAAAAAAAAAGAAGTTCCCTTTAAGTTCCCGGCTTACAGATTTAAAATTCAAACATTCTTTATACTGTCGTATCATTCCCTGTTTCTTTAATGATTCTCCATATTCCAACCCCCAAATAACTAAACTGTGATGCAGTGCTGTCCAATAGAACTTTCTGTGATAATGAAAATATTCCATCTTTGTGTTGTTCAATAATAGGATGGCTATTAAACATCTGAAATGTGGCTAATGATGTGACTGGGGAAATACATTTTGATTTTGATTTTAATTCATTTAAATTTAAATAGTCACATACAACCAGCGGCAATGGTATTGGAGAGTGCAGCCCTGACTCCTAACTTTCAAGGTGCCACAATACAGCCTTATCCTACCTACCAGGCATCATTCCTACAATGTTCTAAACAACAGGCTTTCCTAGCATGCCCTGATGCACTTTGTACTTTTTCTCTGTTGACAGGATTCTATTTTCTTAAATAATAGCCTCCTCGTGTTTTGTTTTTTTTAAATCTATTCAAATTTTATCCACCCACTGAGGACCAATTCAATTTCCACCTTCTACTCAAAGCCCTGCATTAAAACCCTAATTCAACAATTCCCTATCCAAATCGGCCATCTCCATTATGCTGTACTGTTACCCTGTACCTTATTTACATGTTGCCTTGGCTTGTTTACAGGTTGTTTTGCCAATGTGCTTTCCCTTCCTTGTCACCCCAAGGGAGTTAAGCTCTTTAAATAATGAAGAAAAAAGTTAAATTTATTTGTTCCTCAAATGACCTATAGAATCCTAAACATAAAACCATTGCTCAATAAATACTTTTTATTTGATATGAGCAAAACAATTTGAATATATTAAAATGATTCACTCTTCATGTTTTGCCATAATAGAAAAGAAAGACATGATCTTGACAGACTTTTACACATTTACAAAGTTACCAAAATAGTCTCCAAATTCAAACTGCAAGTCAAAAATTCTAGGGCTTGATTTTAATCCATCGTTCCATTTTCTAAGGATCCCAAGTTACCCTGCAGATCTGCACTCATCTTAACTCATAAATTGCCCCCAGGACAGAGAGGCTCCCATCTTCCTGTAAATCATTCAAGCTTAACTTCATGATAGAAAACGTTAATTTGATTGTATTTTTTTAGTCATACTTTAAATTTTAAAAGAAAGTGCTGCCCTCTTGTGAAATGAGCTAGAAGATTTATCATTTCACTGACAGTTGTGTAAATACTACAAAGGGATTAAAAGTTAAATTTTAACATTAAAACAAAAACAGGGTTTATCTCAAAGTTGTATGTGTTTCCCCTGAGGTCTCTCCCCACTGTGCTTTTCTGCTCTGTTGGTGAATTTCCCAACCAAACAAGAAATGGATATTAGGGTAAACTGCTCGTCCTTGCACTATAATTGAAAAATAATGAATGAGTGGTGTATTTTCACTCTATTGGGAATGAAAGGCTGTAGTTTCTCTATATTACTGAAGGAATAAAGGGAACAAGAGCCAGCAAAGGAGAAGACGCATCAGTGACAACATGGGAAGACACAAGTCAACTCACTGTCTGACCTTGGGCAAGAGTTTAACCCATACATGCTCTACTCTCAGCTATAAAGTGATTATTTCAACAATATTCCAAACTGTGTAGAGTTGTGTTAATGTTAAGTAAGAAGTATAGGTGACATAAATAGCATAGTGTTTACCATCACACAGTAAGTGCTTATTATAAGTCATTTAAACAATAGGGTCCCTAAGAAAATCTAACAACTGTAATACATGTGGTCCTTTATTCAGGCATTCACTATGTGGCACAGGTACTAGACACCATGAAAAAATACATATGAAAGTATTATTTTACAGGAGCTTCCATTTTGAACTATCCATGTGTGAAAGTTGTTGATACCAAAATGGAATCAATTATGTCAAACCCTAGCAAATGGAGTTGGAAGGCCACGAAGGGGGAGCCCTCACTCACAAATGCCTGTAAAGGCCTTATAGGAGACATTCCCGCATTTACTGCACATTTGCCTGTAACAGGACTTTTAGCAAGGAAATTCCCCTAGACCGCAAAGCTCCAGATAAGCAGCTTGCACAAGGACATCTGTCTAGTAATGACGTCTTTAACAATGATTTGTCGCCAACTCTTACAGCAAGCTCTTGTAACCAATGATCTTTCTGGTTTAACAAACAGTTTATGAAGACTTCTCTTTGTCTTTAAAAGTCTCCCTTTGGTCCCAGTCTCCTTGATGCGCCTGTGATCTGGCTCAGCACACATTTTCTGGGTTATAATCCTCTGCTATTTTCAAATAAACTCCTCTGTTCTGGAGAACCTAAGTTTCTTTTCAGATTGACACATGAAAATACATGAAAAATTATTCCATAGTTTCATGAAGAACAAGTATGAGCAGATTCACAATTGACAGAAATGACCAGTATAAATCCTATGGGCTTTAAGGATCTAATTAAATATATCAGTTCACTCGAAACCTACCTGAGTGACAAATAATGAATTATCTCAATTCTAAGGGTACTAAGAACTAGACAGGAGAAAACAAATACCAAACTGAGTATTATCCAATACAGTTTTCTTTCTTTCCAGAGTGTGTTTTTTGTAATAAGATTTTGCTTTTACTCCTATCCTCTCTTCTGGAATTAGGATGAAGGGAGGATGAGAGATTGGCTGGACAAAATAGCATAGCAAGAGCAGACTGAGCTATTTTGACTATATTTCTAACATCATTAACAAACTTGAGTAACTCACACACTGGTTTTCATTTACCCACCACATTGGGTCTCACATGTAAATAGGTCCATTTACATAAGAATATTAGGAACAGGTGTGCCCATTTTAAAATGTGTTTAAAATGTAGAACATTCTTTGATTTTCGGTACACTGAGGGAGTTGTCTACATAAAGTAATCTTTAGAAAAATTCTTTTGTAATGTAGCAGATCTTTTGTCAAATTAAAAGCCGCCCCCTGATACATTTGCTTTCCCAGTTTGAATTTTTATGTGTGAGAGGTTTTCTTGACTTAGGAAAACCTCCCATTTCTTGATCGGTATTATGATAGGGAATAAAGGAATGTTGGCATGGTGAAGTGAAAAAATGCCTCAAGGAGAGTATGGATCTTATATTTCCTTAATATAATACATATTTTCTCTTTTTAAACAAAATCTCTTTTTAAAAATAACCTGTAAGAATGGAGGAATGACAGTCATGTTGTTCTGTTATTCTAATTAGTTGCTTGTCTGTTCAAATAGTAGACAGCCACAGAGGAACCTAGTAACATTTTGGTGAGCTAACTGTGGAAAAAAGTCTCCAATTAAATGCAAAGAAAGGAACTTAACATGCACACATTTTAAATTAAATAATGCTTTGACTTTACTGGAGTCAGGCAAAACCAGTGTTGACTCATCATACACTTAAGGGAATGCTTCTACTAAATAAATGAAGGTTAAAAAGGTGGAAAAACATGCCTCAATAACTTTTCAAGCCGAATAGAATTGCATGACACTGTAACCACTAATTTTCTTAATCTTGTAGAGGGGGTAGAAGTCTGACAAAGTGAACTGTTAAGTAAGTATACAGTAAAATCGAAGGAGTAGACCTAGGCCTTGTTACCATTTATTTAATCAGGTAAAATAGAATCTGTTTAGTGACCCATATGAAAGATCAACAAGAAAAGGATTTCAAGTTCAGAGAATAAGAGAAATGAACCCCTAGAGTGTGTGCTAAATAATATGTTTTCAATAAAGGTGTGTTGATTCAATGTGATGGACCACTGAATACCATTTTGACATAAATTTTTTTAAAGAGTTGCTTTCTCCCCCACTCCCATTACAAGCAGCCAACTCTGCTCTGACCTCCCACTTTTTGCCAGAGTCAGAACCATGCTTTGAGAAGCCCATAATACTCACATCACCAACACAGCTTTCTCCATACCTCCTGCCACTTTTAAAATTTGTTCTCCTTGAGCCCCAACAGCCCCGTTATACAACACAGACTTCTTGATCATCACCTTTAAGGGTGTCTTCTCCAGATCCTTTTATTTTTTCAGATTCTTATGCATTTCCTCTAACCCTTCAGATTCTGTCTCTTGTTATTAATCAAAAAACTAACATCACCTGTATGTTTGCCACCTTGTCAATTTTGCAAAGTATCGTTTTATGACGTGAATCCTATTTCCATTATTTACCTAAATGTTTGTGTTTTCTCTGTTCCTTCTAAATTGAACTAAGAGGAAAGCCCAAGGAATAATGCAGAAGTTATCTTTGAAGCCAGTGAATTTAAAGACATCTTCAAAACAAAATACTTTATAACAAAACAGTATCTAAGGACTATAAGTATTTTAAAAGATACAATTCTATTGAACTGAATAAACAAAATTATTTTTAATAATTAAAGCAGACACAAATAATTCCTTAGAGTGTCCTTAAGAACAAAAATTACTTGGGAATAGAATCCAATTTAATCCCTGGCATGGATATACCTCCAGGACTTTACAAAATTCTATGCTAATCTCAACCTAAAATAAACAATAGAGGGACCAACTCTCCACAACAAAGAGTTTATTGAGAATAGCAAGAAATTGCAATTCGGGTTATGCTTGCTATGGCCCACCACAGGTGCATGCAAAGAGGCTGAAGCAAGGGGAAGCTTTTGAAAGAAAAAAAGTCCACATGAACTGTTTTGAAACAAAGACCACTGGTTCCAGGAGCTTGTTACAGGAATCCACATTAGCTCATTGATGAAGGCAGCTCTTGTTAGGCAAACTTCCTTGTGCAAGCAGCTTATCTGGAATACTATGGTTCTGAGGAATTTCTTGGGAAAAGTTCCATCATAGGCATACATGTGTGTGCTCCCTTACTTCATGGCCTCCTGGCTCCATTTTATTACTGCTTGGCATAAACCACTCCATTTTGGTACTGGCAACTCTTACATCAACTAAATTCAAATTTATTATTACTCTTTAATGAAGTTGAGATAAAGTTGGTTTCTCTGACAAACTAAGAATTACAAAATGATACAATTTCTTTTTAGAAAAACACTGTGGAAAAATGTAACTAAAACACTGCCAGGGAAAAAAATATAAAGTAGGCCCTAAAAATATATGACTAATATATAGCCAAATATATAATTCCATATACTTTATATTTTATGGCTGTCATAATTATCTCCATTTTTAGAACTTCTTGAGATTATTATGATATTAACAGTTTGTAAAACTAAATCATATTACATGTATAATAAAATATTTATTTTCACTTCTTAATGAGTCAGATAAAAATCATTCATTTGGAATACCCTGGTATTTTATTCAAAAACCCAATTCAGTTTAGAAAAGTATTGAACCTATGTATGAAGCTCTTATATTTTGCATCTCTGGATCCAAAATGACATGTAAGCATCAGCCATTTGAACAAATCAGGGAGATTTTTCCAATACTAATTTTAGAGTTAATTTAAAATGGCATAAGAGGATAAGGATTAGGAATTTTTACTTAACAAGCATTTAGTTCTGTGCATAAGGTTTCTACATAGGCCTACATAGGGTTTTGCTTTTCCTTCACATGTATTGATTTGCTTCAGCAATTGTGGATTCATGCCTCTTATTCATATATTTCCCTGCTTTGCAAAAGTAAATATAAATTAGTCATACGTGATTCAATATTAAGAAGAAAAATTTCCCATCGATTTTGCCTTTTTCAGGAAGATGATGAAAATAATTAACTACATTACAAATGCGACACGACAGAAATATCATGAACTCAATTGTGCAGGTAAAGCAATTTTAAAAAACGTGTGCATGTTTCTAGAAGAATATAGTGCTGCAATTTTTGATCCAGTCTCAGGACCACCTCAGCAAAATTAACAAATTTTTTTTTTTTTTTGAGATGGTGTTTCACTCTTGTCCAGGCTGGAGTGCAATGGCATGGTCTGGGCTCATTGTAACCTCCACCGCCCGGGTTCAAGCGATTCTCCTGCCTCAGCCTCTCAAGTAGCTGGGATTACAGGTGCCTGCCCCCATGCCTGGCTAATTTTTGTATTTTTAGTAGAGATGGGGTTTCACCATGTTGGCCGGGCTGGTCTTGAACTCCTGACCTCAGGTGATCTGCCCGCCTCAGCCTCCCAAAGTGCTGGGATTACAGGCATGAACCACCGTGCCCGGCCCAATTAACACAAATTTTTAACAAAACAAAACTATTTACAAAATAAATAAAAATCTGAACAACATGACTATCCAATACAACCTACTCTCTTACAGGAAAACGTTAAACTCTTTTCTTCTTGTTTTACTCAAATGTAATATTTTAAACCTTAACTTATACTTTGGATACTTACAGTCTCCTTAAAATACATTATTTTCCATTCCTCTCTGATAGACCATAATCTAAACTTTCACCTTTAAAGTCCCCCCTACCAACTTCCATGACTCTTTCTCTAGTTTTAAAATGATAACCACTCATGTATGTTACTTTCTAGTCTCCATCATTTTCTGATAGAGACATGAGCTGTTGACTACCCAGTACCTTTAAGTTTAGCCTTGAACTTTTCTCTCATGCACCGGTAGGTTTTCCAGGACAATCTATTATAAAATAGTAGATACTACTATAAAATAGTAGCTATATAGATACTATAAAATAACAATAATAACTCCAGGAAAAATATCCTGAAGATCAGGATGAAAGGAAGACTGAAGCAGAGGATTTGGGATTCTGATAAACTCCATGGAAAAATAAAAAGTTTATGTAAACTCAGAAGGAGCAAAAAAGTATTAAATTAGGCTCATGGTCAAAATTTCTCTGATTATGTAAAATCTATTTGAGAAGCACATCCAATAATATATTTTACAGTCAGAAATATAATCTACCCAGGGAAATCAATATTAAAAAACCATACCAATATTTATTCCCCCAATTCTAGGGAAGACTATATAGTCAAAATAAAACAACCGCCCTACTGGGGAAAAAAAATCTCCTCCTTCTTGGGCTGGGGAGACTGTGTCACTATTTTGTAATTTCCCCAAAATAAAGAAGGCATTACAAATTAAATAGTTAAGAAAACGTGACGTTGTAGAGTCCCCTGAGAGAGTAGAGGAGGTGGACAGATTTGTGACATTTTATCTCTAGACGAACTTTCCTGTCACTAGTACAAAACAGGAGGAATGGAGCCATTTGCAGCACAACTTATCTGAACAAGGGGAAGGCAAGCACAAAACTTCTCAAAAATCCCTCAAAATGTATTACTTTTGCCTCTTGGGATTAGAGTTAGAAAAACAAAAGATTGCAAACACAAAAAAAGAAGATATTAAGGTGACAATGAAATCAGATTATCAGAAAATGAAAAAGAAATGGCTTGAAATAAGATCTAAACATGACAAGGACAACTAAGACAAAAAATTAGGCTTTATACAACGAATATAATCTCTGTGGACCCACACTACATATTAAATCCACACCTGTTAATTTTGCTGGCTCATAATACTGGGTATTTGTATAAGTAGTCTAAATTAAAGGAAAATTAGCCATAATAAAAAGAGAAGTTCAGACCACGCTTTTGCAGCTTTTTAACTGGGTCAAAATTGGCCAGCCCAAACACAGACAGTAATTAAGAAAATATCATCATCTTTTCAAAAAGGGACATACACTCTATGCCTTGTTTGAGATCTCATTAACTTGGAATAAGTTCTAGTCAAAGACAAACAGGTTTTACATACCTTACTAGATTTTAATTATAGCTAAATATAGTTGCTAATTTCATATTCATGTAAACACTTGCATTGCCTGTGTCAAGATTCCTCAGCAATATTTCTGTGAACTGAAAAGCATAAAGTCAACCAATCACTAATCAACCGCTTTATTCATGGCAATATTATTCGGGTCTTGAGTATTTTTTCCTTAATAACGAGTTCTACTCAATTGAATTTCTAAAAACGTAAGAGAAACTCAAACTCTAAAAGTAGCATTTTGGTATCTACTTAATATAAGCATGGCATCCAGAATCTATAATTACCTTAGGGCCAAGGAATCATTTCCATAATGGGTTATGTAAACCCAAAATAAAACTCTACATGCCCCCCTAACCATCTGAATGGACCAATCCTCTTGGCCAAGGGCGTTCCAGAGTTAACCTGAAAAACTAGTTCAGGCCAAGATGGAAGAGGGGGTCAACATGCCTCATTACACCCCTCCAGCATTAACATCAACACAGACTTTAAGTCTGATATGAAACATCTGTAATCTGTTCTCTCTGAAGCCTGCTACTTGGAGGCTTCCCCAGCAGGATAAAACTTTAGTCTTCACAACCCCTTATTGTAACCCAGACATTCTTTTCTACATTGAATAATTCTTTCAACCAATAGGCAATCAGAAAATTTTCAAATCTACCTATGACCTGGAAGCACCCGTCCCTCCATTTTGAGTTGTCCCACCCTTCCAGATCGAACCAATGTAAATCTTAAATGTATTGATTGATGTATTATGTCTCCCTAAAATGTATAAAAGCAGGCTGTACCCCAACTACCTTGGGTACATGTCCTCAGGACCTCCTGAGGCTGTGTCATAGGTGCATCCTTAACCCTGGCAAAATAAACTTTTTAAATTAATTGAGAACTGTCTCAGATATTCTTGGGTTCAGAGTTATTATCATTGGTAAGAATGAGTTAGGAACCCTAAGATACAATCTAGTGCACAGTTTGTACTACTAATAACTGATCTTCCTCAATTTCAAAGGAAAAAAATCTTTTATTTCACTTTATTTACTTATTAATCTGAAATAAATATTCTTTGTTCAGGAACTTCTGGTCTTCAAATGAAACTGATAACCAAAAGACTGCTGGCATTAAAAACTATTTCAACTACAAAAATTAAAAATTAGTATATTTTAGGTTTCAAAAACAATGAGGATCACAGTTGAGAAGCAGTTCTTTTCAAAACATTTTAATTTATAATATAAATATTGGGACCAAGTTGGCAGACTTTCATACAAACCCCTAATAATAACAGTTGTTAAAACAAGCATTTATATAGCAATTTTCATGAGATCAGAGCTTTGAATAAACAAACATAAACTGTACTCCTGATTATATACCTCCCTGCTCAAATCTGTAAGTTATGAGATACTCTTTAAGGGATAAAAACTTAACACATTTTTTTCTGGCAATTTCTCAATAAACTCTAAATTCATGATCTTAGTACAGAAATATATAAATTGAATGTACGATATCAGTTTAGGAAGACGTAAAATAGAGTTTAGACACTGTAAAGCTTTTGGGGTTCCTTGGTATTATACTAAGGGATACACTTAATGTATCATGTTTGGGACTGGACTTTGGCGGTCCTCTCTAATCTACTCTTTACAATAATTCAATTCCATCTATAATATACTTGATAAGTATATTCCAATTTCTCTTTGCGCATCTGACACAGTGGGGAACTACTTCTCATTAACATTAGATTCCACAATTTGTTCTTGATATTAAGGTGGAGGGGGGAGATGTTTCCACGATATGTCTTAGCTTCCTCTTGTATCACAGAACCAACACATTTTCAAAAGATAATCCTTCCTCTATTTGACTATAACTATCATGATCCCTTGGTTTCTCTCTCTCTCTCTGTCTCTCAATCTCTCTCTCTCTCAAAACCAAAAACACTTTGTTCACTGGGCCATTTTTTCAAATCTTAATGTTGTCTGCATCATCTCTGGCACATGCTGGAGCCTTTCCTGGGAATAGCCTCCCTCTCTCCTGCCCCTGATAATGCCTCATGGCCCTGTGGCCAAGATACTATCAACACATTCTTCAGAATTATCTGCAGACGCTCTTCCCTGGAAAGTCTGCTTTGGCATTTCAAAGCTTTGTTAATGCCCCTCTTCCATATAGAAACTCCCACAGCAACATGGCACAGACAGCCCTAACACAACACAGATCACCTTGTCTGTTTATACAGCTTCATGATTCAAAAAAATACTGAAAATAAAAGCAATAAGATAAGAAAAAAAAAAAGTAAGAAGCAATAAGACTGTGTATTTGATTGATCGGGTGTGGAAAGGAAGAGAAACAATGTATTCAAGAATGATACCTAAATTTCTGGCTTGGGTAACTGAGCAAGATTAACAAACAAGGGAATATACTAAGGGAAACAGATTTGAGTTTTAAAGGGTCTGTTGAATCACGAACTTGTATGTCCAGTGAGCAGTTGCATATAATAATTTAGAGCTCAGGGAGAGTTATGGGATGGAGACAAAGCAAATAGATTGTTACAGAAGCCTGGGAAGCCTGGGAAGAGTATATCCAGTGAAAATGAAAGAGATTTAAGGACAGAAATCTGGAAAATTAGTTAAGTATGGAGCAAAGGAAAGTGAACAAAGAAAAAAAGTGAAAAAAATGGCCAAATGTAGCAATAAAATTAAGAGTATATGACAAATCAAGAGGTGAGGACACTTGAAGGAGAGTATTGTCAGTGTACAATGGGACAGGAAGATAAAATTATGTAAAATCTGGGGAGAGGTAAGCAGTAAGGTCATCAAAGATCTTGGCAATGCCCATGCTGTTGTCACTGATGCAGAACATCATTGCCTTCCTTTTCTTTTATTTTTATTATTTTATTTTATTTTTTAGAAACAAAGTCTCATTCTGTCCCTTAGGCTGGAGTGCAGTGGCAAGATCATAGTTCACTGCAGCCTTGAAGTCCTGGGCAATCCTCCCACCTCAGCCACCCAGGTAGCTAGGACTACAGGCATGAGCCATTCCTGACTAACTTTTTTTAAAAAATTTCTTAGAGATCGGGGTCTCGTTATGTTGCTCATGCTGGTCTTGAATTCCTGGCCTCAAGCGATCCTCCCACCTCAGCCTCCTTGAGTAGCCCCATTGCCTTCTAAAAGGATTATAAGCAATAACTACAATTTAATATATATCATTCTCTCATACAAGAAAAAGAAAATACACATAAAGTATGTGTGCAACTTCCAAAATTAATTTTAAATACCACTGGTAACTCAGAGCACTATTTAGTAACTTTGATTAATTGAAAATCAATTCTGATGTAATTTTCCAAACAGATATACCCTAGACCTAACTTTTTGCTAAGAAAATGGATGTTGTATCACTATGAAATTCTACATACAGTGACAAAGACAGAACTATGACAGACCTATGTTAAGTGACTTCTTTCACTGTTAAACAAAAATTCTAATGATTTACTACCTGTGAATCCCTATTTAAAGGAAGCATCCAGGCCCTAGAGATAAGCAGTCCCAAGAGGAATAAAACCAATTTCACCACATTCAAAACAAAACACTGCAGTCTGAAAGAATGACAAAAAACATGAACTATTTTTTCTATTTAAATACATTTCAAAGAATAAAAACAGTATGAATACATCAACAAGGATGACAGATGCTCAAGAGCTTATCTTCCGAGTATAATGAGCACTGTTTTAAAGAAAAGTCCCCTGTACTTCAAAATTGTTTCAAATGTTTCAACTAGAAAATCATTAGTGGTTTTTTTAAAACAGTGCTCTCATTAGATAAAAAGCTTTTCGGAGTTTATAAACTACATTAACCATTTGGGGTATTTCAGAACTAACTAACATGTTGGAAAAGAAAATTTCCTAAATACTATCTTGATATCTAGAGCTACCAAACACTGAAGCTATACAAATACAGCGTAGTGTCTAACAATGTCTGATGCATAAGGTTAAATATGTCTCTTCTATGAGCCATAATTCCTGAATCCTCCTATTCACTCAAGTTGTTTAAAAGGCTCACGTAAAGAAGCCATAATAAAACTTTTTAAAAAGATTTTTTTAAAAATTCAGAAAAAGAAGAACATTAAATCAGAAAGTGGAGGCTATCGTAGGCAATTATAATTGAGCACAGGGCTCCCAGCAAGTGTAAATGAGCCTGGAGCTCCCTGGCTGCCAAAGCTAACAGAAAAGCAGAAATTAGTTACATCATTACCCAATGTCCATTAGGGTGGAGGGGAAAAGGCAAGATGTTGAAACATATGCCACGTACAGAAAAACACCATTTCTTTTTTTTTTTTTAAACAACGTGTATGTGAATACAAGTGCTTGTATAAAAATACATAAAATTTTCTGGAAAGCTGTATAAGAAACAGTGGTTATTCTGGGTGTGGTACTTAGGAAGAATCCCAGGGCAGGAGACGTTGCACGTTATAACATGTATCTACTACTATAGTTGCTCTTTCAAGAAACGTGCATTATTTCATAGTGTAAAAATCTATATTAGATTTATATATAGTTTATATTAAACTATAATTTTATTTTATAATTTAGAAGTATAATATAAATGAATGTAAAATAATAAAGAAGATAGTACAGGGCAGAGTAACGTAAGGGCCACATAACTACATTAGATTCTGAACATCACAATATGATAGAAATCAAGAAGCACTTGGCTGGGCGCAGTGGCTCACGCCTGTAATCCCAGCACTTTGGAGGGACGAGGCAGTTAGATTGCTTGAGCTCAGGAGTTTGGGAGCAGCCTGGGCCACATGGCAAGACCCTGTCTCTACCAAAAATACAAAAAACTAGCCGGGTGTGGTGGCATGCACCTGTGGTCCCAGCTACTTGGGAGAATGAGGCAGGAGGATTTCCTGAGCCCAGGCAGCAGAGGTTGCAGTGAGCCAAGATCACATCACTGCACTTCAGGCTGGGTGTCAATGAAGACTCCGTCTCAAAAAACAAACAAACAAACAAACAAAAATCAAGAAAGAAGCACGATTTCAACCACCTCATCACAAAATAGTTACCAATAAAAAAAACCTCAAGGCTACTCTGTTACAGTTTGTAATCAAACTTAAAGATAGCTCAAAGCAGAAATCCAATCATGTTCTTTCACAAGACCAGTGAGAGAGAGAATGAGAGTTCAAGAAAGAGAGAATGAACGAAGAAAAAAGAATAAGGAAGATGTAAATGCTATACTGCAAGCAACTATAATCCCAATGTATAGCACTGGAGTGAGCTATAAAGATGACTATTACAATGTCTGCAAATATGTATTAAAATGTCTGGAAATATGAGGAAAAGAATACTTCTGCTGCTAAAATCTATCTTCTTTGTTATCTTCATTATCAAAGGAAAACTTTCTTAGAGAAACCAGCTTAAAACTATTTTTTTTTTATTATACTTTAAGTCCTGGGATACATGTGCAGAACGTGCAGGATTGTTACATAGGTATACACATGTCATGGCGGTTTGCTGCGCCTATCAACCCATCATCTACATTAGTAGGTATTTCTCCTAATGCTCTCCCTCCCCTAGCCCCCCACCCCCTGACAGGCCCCAGTGTGTGATGTTCCTCTCCCTGTGTCCATGTGTTCTCATTGTTCAACTCCCACTTATGAGTGAGAACATGCAGGGTTTGGTTTTCTGTTCCTGTGTGAGTTTGCTGAGAATGATGGTTTCCAGCTTCATCTATGTCCTTGCAAGGGACGTGAACTCATTTTTTATGGCTGCATAGTACTCCATGGTGTATATGTGCCACATTTTCTCTAATTACAAGCATAAGAAAGTATGAAACAAATCATGACGGCTTACACTTCGATGGAATAGAAACTTTTATTAAAAATTTGCAACATACTATACCTTAAAAATTTCCACTTTTAAAAATACTATCACTATTACACTCAATTCTAGGGTACTTAAAATTCATACATATAAATTATAAATAAACACCCAAATACAGTGTCAAAAGTCACCACATTCATATATTTAAAAAAAATAATAATTTTCTAAGAAGTCACAGCCAAAGGAAAGAATGACTAGGTTTAAATATTTCAATAATGTGAATTATTAAATTTTTTTTAAAGGCAGCAGGGGGGCCTAGGCTGGGCACGATGGCTCACACCTGTACTCCCAGAACTTTGGGAGGCCAAGGCAGGCAGATCACTTGAAGTCAGGAATTCAAGACCAGCCTGGCCAAATGGCATAACGTCATCTCTACTAAAAATACAGAAATTAGCCAGGCGTGGTGGCATGCACCTATAGTCCCAGCTACTCAGGAGGCTGAGGTGGGAGGATCTCATGAACCCGAGAGGCAGAAGTTGCAGTGAGCTGATATCGTGTCACTGCACTCCAGCCTGGGTAACAAAGTAAGACTCCCTCTCAAAAAAAAAAAAAAAAAAAAAAGAAAAGAAAAAAAAAAAAAAAGAAAAAAAAAGGCTAGCTGCTAAGTAATACTGAGAAGTCTATGAATTCAGAAAAGGACATTGCAGGCTGGGCATGGTGGCTCACGCCCTTAATTCTAGCACTTTGGGAGGCCAAGGTGGGCAAATCACTGAAGCCTCAGAGTTGGAGAGCAGCCTTGGTAATGTGGCGAAACCCTGTATCTACAAATAATAGGAAAATTAGCCAGAGGTGGTGGTGTGTGCCTGTGGTCCCAGCTACTTAGTAGGCAGAGGTGGGAGGATCGCTTGAGCCCAGGAGGTCAAGGCTGTAGTGAGCCCAGATCATACTACTTGGACTCTAGCCTGGGTGACACAGTAAAACCCTGTCTCATGTCTCCAAAAAAAAAAAAAAAAAAAAACACACAAATAACTGGAGGTTTTAGATTGTTGATTGCCTTTAAAAACCATTTCATACTAGGTGACAATATTCCCATATATACACAAAAGACTAAAAACATATTAACAGGCCTAGCAGTTCTACTCAAGAGGAATAAAACCACACAAAAACTTGCACATAAATGTTCATAGCAGCATTATTCGGAATAGCCAAAATATGGAAACAACCCAAATGCCCATCGACTGATGAGTGGACAAACAAAATGTAGCCTATCCACACAGTGGAATATTATTTATCAATGAAGAGAAAGGAAAGTACCACAAAAGCTACAACATGAACAAACCTTAAACACATGATCCTAAGTGAAAAAAGACAGTCATTAAAGCACTATAAACTGTAGGATTCTATTTATATGAAATACTCAGAATGGCAAACAGAAAGTAGACCCAAGGTTTCCAGCAGCTAGGGAGAAGTAGGGATGCGGAGATAATAGCTACAGGGTGGTGATGGTTGTACAGCTCTATAAATACACTAAATACCACTGAAATGCACAATTTCAATGGGTACATTACTTGGAATATGAATTATATTGCAACAAAGCTTTTACAAAATAAAAAACATATTATCAAGTCAAGATTCTCTTCTATTGTCTCCGTTAATCTTAACCTCATAAACCCTAATCCTGAGCCATTGCTGCCAGAAACAGAAAAGAACTTACGCCATCCCAGCCATGCATCTGTGGGAACATTCAAGTAAAGTCTCCTAGTTGTCACCCACATGGCAACGCTAACCAGGGATGGCCAAAAGATGACCCTGACGGACAGTCACAAGGTGGCAGCTCATCTGAAGGGCCCCCAACTGATACCAGGACTTCTTCACCCAAGCTCCTCAATTCAAGATACTTCAGGGTGGCCCAGCAGTTCAGATTTTCTAAACCCAAGTTCTCATGAGCTATTTACTGGGCTCTAAAATCCTGAATTCTTGATCACTGCGAAGGCAGCATATCCACACATCCCATGCCTGGACTGTCCATGTTCTCACTAGGCACCAGCACCGGCTCGGACACTATGCGTGATCTTATAGTTTGCCTGAATGGGGCTGAACAATAGGAGTTCCCCTGGGCAGCCTGTTCTGACTGCCAGGTTGGGCTTTTTTGCTCAGCTGTGCAGCTAGACATTTAAAAGCAGGCAGAATGCCTATTCCTGCACATCTAATCCAAAAACCTTCTAGCTCATAGGAAACACTATACTAATCATGCTTGAGATTACCAGTCAAGTAGTGAGGAAATATTTTCTGACAAATTGCAAAATATTATTTTTTCAAGTATTTTCAGTTTCCTGGGATTGAATAAAACCATTTTAAAAGAATTTATCATACCGAAGGGAAGGAAAAGAATGAAAACTAGTCTAACAGATAACTAAAAACATGCAGTTAATTCATCAAATAGAATATTAGTGTAGTGCAGCCCATTAAATGGTACTTAGATTGCTTTTCCTTTTGATGACTACTCTGGTGACTATCTGAAAGAAATTGTGTGTTCACTGAGATAATGTACTCACTACAAAACAATACATCATTCAATGCCACACTTCTGAGGAAAAAATATTTTGTGAACAAAATGGAGAAGCAGGCCGGGCGCGGTGGCTCACGCCTGTAATCCCAGCACTTTGGGAGGCCAAGGCGGGCGGATCACGACGTCAGGAGATCGAGATCATTCTGGCTAAAACGGTGAAACGCCGTCTTTACTAAAAAAAATACAAAATATTAGCCGGGCGTGGTTGCAGGTGCCTGTAGTCCCAGCTACTCAGGAGGCTGAGGCAGGAGAATGGCGTGAACCCGGGAGGCGGAGCTTGCAGTGCGCCGAGATCGCGCCATTGCACTTCAGCCTGGGTGACAGAGCAAGACTCCGTCTCAGGAAAAAAAAAAAAAAAAAGGAGAAGTAGTGAGTTATATTTCAAGTTTCCTTACTCCTTAAGAAATGTACTATCTGACGGAATAGGTAAAATAATTATAAATATATATGTCCAATTTATTTTGTTAAATGCCTCATTGCACATAAGCAATGAAGCACTGGCAAAATACTAAATTATGCCAAATATTATTGGTTGTTTAAAAACATACTTTAAAAAGGTAAAAGTTGGGCCAGGCATGGTGGCTCATGCCTGTAATCCCAGCACTTTGGGAGGCCAAAGCGGGCAGATCACCTGAGGTTGAGAGTTCAAGACCAGCCTGACCAACATGGAGAAACCCTGTCTCTACTAAAAATACAAAATTAGCCAGGCATGGTGGTGCATGCCTATAATCCCAGCTACTTGAGAGAATGAGGCAGGAGAATCGCTTGAACCCGGGAGGCGGAGGTTGCAGTGAGCCAAGATCTTGCCATTGCACTCCAGCCTAGGCAACAAGAGCAAAACTCAGTCTCAAAAAAAAAAAAAAAGTAAAAGTTTACAATATAAAAATAAGTCTATTCTTACACAGTATTTCTAACATTTGTGAAAACAAATCACGGGTATGCTCTTGCTGTTAAGATGTAAAAATTAAATAAGACCGCAGGTATCAGAGAAAGGAGTTTCTGCAGTTCAAGACTGAGGACAATATTTTACAAAATTGTACATCTCTGCTGTCAAGAAAGACAATTTATAAAGGTCTGAGTCATGTTTGCTATTATTTCACTTCTCATATTTCTGAAATTTTCAGGAAAAAAAAGTAGAAAAAAAACTGCACCTCAATCTGTCTGTAAGTTTCTATTACTTACTTCCCAGATCTTCAATTTGAGGAGATGTCCCCCATCTTACTGAGACTCTCCAGCCATATTCACAAACGTTTCTCAGCTTTTGATTTCTTTTTCAGTGTCAGTATATTTATAAAATATATTTTAACACTTGGATACAATTATAGAACAGAATATAGACAATATGAATAACCAAAAACCAAATGTTAAAAAAAGAGGATCCATTTTCATAACTTAGTGCAGTTGAGACTTAAGTTGTTTTCACATAGGATGGAATTAAGAGGAAACTGGGTTTTCTCAGTACAACTTTGGTTCCCTCAAGATCATGTAAAAGCTAGATGGTCCCCACAGAATTCAGAAAGCTTTCGGATATGCATGTTCTAATAAATGTCTTTACATTTTTGATGGACCCTGGCGCTTCCCAGGTCCCTTACAAGCCAAGGTATCTGAAAGACTTTTTCTTAACATCCAAAGGGTAGCAATGTCAGTCTTTTACGATAACTCAGAAAAGGTCAGAATTTCTTCACCATGGAAAATTTAGCCTCCATTCCCTCTAAATTAATTTTCCTTCTTTTTCTTTCTTTCCAGAGCATTAGTATGCCTCAGTGAAGTATGACATTATTGTGTTCCGAATGCCAAGTGGAATAACTTATAAAACTTTTTTTAATAGAAGGAAATAGAAGATAGAGCCCAAAGCCCTCCCAAATATGAAATGTGAAAAGAAGTAAATGAGAGGAGAACCGATCCACAGTAGACAAAATGAAATAAAATATTCTACGCTCTTTTGAAATGATGACAAGCACCTCTCTCAACATCCTTGATTACCTGTTAAGTTACCACAATTTTCCAATACATACGCCAAGCTCTCAGCACTCCCTGCTACTCCTTTCCCTCACAAAACCTTTTCTTCCTTAATTATGTATCCCCACAAATTAGTCATTTTTGGAATTTAAAGAATGATGAGCCAAGAGTACTTTAAGAGCTCTCTAAACTAAAACTTCTTTCCAAACTCCCTCTCTTTCCTCCAATATTTGGAATATAAGCTATACAATAAGATATCCTAAGATCAGCATTGCTGGAGTTGGCCAGGTGAAATTAGTGAATGCCAGACAGGAGGTTACTTAGGAATAGTTCCAAGTCATCTTCAAAAGAATAGTTACACACACACACACACACACACACACACACACACCTCTCTCTCTCACACACACACACTCACTCTCTCTTTCTCTCTCTCTCTCTTTTGGTTTTACCTTCAGCAATGCAACCTCAAAAACTTGTACTCCATCCTCATACTAGAAGGGAATATCACTTAGCAGGTTCAGCTACAGACAAGGACAGAGAAGGATCTTTCCACTGCAACTGATATGACACCCTCTGCTTTGCCTCAACCAAGGTCAGGGGACATGACCGCTAATACCACTGCATGTATGAAGGGAAGGCAAAGCAGGGAAGAGAGAAGAACCAAAACCAAAATAATAAAAGTATCTTCTTTCTTCTTCTTTTTTTTACATGCAGATGAAAAAAAAATCTGAAAAGTCTTCTTGGGGTGGTTATTGTGAAAGAGCAGGGCTGAATGAGGGACAAGGAGGGTGACAGTTGCAGCACAGGACACATAAGCAGATAAATACTGAACTCAAGCCTAATCTTCAGGACTACAAACCGAGGAAACATATTAATGGTATGCAGAGTAACTTAAATATGCATATAACAAACTCTCCAGCTCAATTCTATTCAATAAATATTTATTAATGACCTGTTTTGTATCAGGATGATATGGTTTGGCTCTGTGTCCCCATCCAAATCTCACCTTGAATTGTAATAATCCCCACGTATTGTGGGAGGTAACTGAATCAGGGGGAAAGGTTTTTCCCATGCTGCTCTCATAATAGTGAATAAGTCTCACGAGATCTGATGGTTTTATGAAGGGGAGTTCCCCTCACACACTCTCTGGCCCACCGCCATGCAAGACGTGACTTTGCTCCTCCTTTGCCTTCCACCACGATTGTGAGGCCTCCCCAGCCATGTGGAACTGTGAGTTAATTAAACCTCTTTCCTTTATAAATCACCCAGTGTCAGGTATGTCTTTATTAGCAGGGTGAGAACAGGCTAATACACAGGCCCTCAGCAAAGCATGAAAATTAACAAGACTAAGCTCTCCTTTTGAGTGTTAATCCTTCCTATAATATATATGCTTAGTAACTCCCAATCAGAATGCCACTTCATTTTTTATTTATTTTTTGAGATGGAGTCTCGCTCTGTCACCCAGGCTGGAGTGCAGTGGCGAGATCTCGGCTCACTGCAAGCTCCGCCTCCTGGGTTCATGCCATTCTCCTGCCTCAGCCTCCCGAGTAGCTGGGACTACAGGCACCCACCACCACGCCTGGCTAATTTTTTTTTGTATTTTTAGTAGAGATGGGGTTTCACCATGTTAGCCAGGATGGTCTCAATCTCCTGACCTCATGATCCGCCTGCTTCAGCCTCCCAAAGTGCTGGGATTACAGGCGTGAGCCACTACGCCCGGCCAGAATGCCACATTTGAATGCTTTAAAATGTTTTAAACTGTCTTCCATATTCTAGATCTCCATTCTACATTAGCAGGTATGCAATATGCCTAAAATGACACAAATAAATTAAATTACAAAGGAGATGGAATTATCTTTCACATATCTAAATCATGCCATGGCTAAAGCAGAAGCAAAGTTTCAGCTCAGATGAGGAGCACAGTGATTACATGACAACATCTACATTGGAGTTCAAAAGCACCAGGAACAATCCAACAATGCTTAAAGGAATTAGTCTCTAGACTTAAACACTTAGGCATTTAGGATGCAACATCCCTGCTTCCTTGCTGGACATGGAATCACAAGACTCAGAATAGAGGTTACTTTTTGAGAGAAGAAGGGGGATCTGATCAAGGAGGCACAGACAGCTTCTAAGGATCAGCAATAACTTGGAATAGTGATTGTTTTAATTATGATTCTTCATGCTGTCCATGTATGTTTTACATACTTTCCTGTATGTATGCCACACTTTAAAATAAAAGACAATACAGCAAGTATCTCTGGAAGAGCACACAAGAAACTGGCATCGGTGGCTGCCTCTTGCAAGGGCGGTGACAGTCTATGGTCATGATGCGTCATTTAGGACGCAGTACACTAGATTTTTTACTACACATCCTTTTTGCTTTTTTTTTTTAAACTATGTAGCACCTTCTGAAAAATAAGTAAGAGCAAATAAGCAAATATGCTAACACTTTGCTCACGCATGATATTAAGATTCAAGGTAAGCAATGAAGATTTGTATGTCACAGTCAAAGGGAAAGATTTTCAAGAATGTGGATAAGTACTGCTATTGGCCATGCTCAGAATAAAAGAAAATTTCATAAAGAGAGCTACCAATGTAATAATCAATTTTCCATACACAGGGTAATCATTAATCAAATTTAACAGTTGCAGAACCTTATTCCTCCAGCCCAAAGATTTGTCATATTTTACAGGTCCAATGCCACACAGGTTAAATGCCCTGATCAGTTAAACCAGCCCTCAACTCCAGAACCTCCTATCTGCCCGGGCAGTTTAACTCTGTAACAATGACCAATGTATCCCAAAGAGATGAGAGTTGTGAATCGTCAGATCTATCATCCTCAGCCTCAGGGAGCCCCCTGAGGAATCTGAGATTCACCATACTGTAAGAACCCTTAATAGTCACATACCAACCAAAATGGAATCAACAGAATGTTTCTATGCGTTCTTTTGGATGATTCTATTTAGGATATGAGTTAGTAAACCATGAAATCTAGTTCACAGAACAACTCAGAATGAAGGAGCTTTAACTAAAGCATGTCTATTAGAGAAAAAGTCAAGGAAAAGCTGAAAATGTTGGAAGTTCTAAAGAAACACAGTTTAAACAGCTCAGTAGGGCTTCCAAAGAGAAGCATTTCAGTGGAATTCTTGTGGGATAGAAACCAATGGTTTCTGGTGGAAGTTTTAAGCACTGGAGTTCTGCACACATTTCAAAAAAAAGGGGCTAACACCCTCCTCTCAGGAGTACAATAATAAAAGAATACTATATTCATACAGATTTTTCAAAGGAAGTGAACACTGGAACAAGAGCTTTGAGAGGTGAATAAAATATCTGATTAAAACGTCATGTTTATATAGACCCCAAAGAAATGAAAGCAGAGACTAAAACGGATACTTGTACACCAATGTTCATAGCAGCATTATTCACAATAGCCAAGAAGTCAAAACCCAAGTACCCATAGATGATAAAGAGATAAGCAAAATGTGATATATGCATAATAATTAGCCTTAAAAAAGAAGAAAATTGGCCAGGCAAGGTGACTCACGCCTGTAATCCCAGCACTTTGGGAGGCCGAGGCGGGTGGATCACGAGGTCAGGAGTTCGAGACCAGCCTGACCGACATGGTGAAACCCCGTCTCTACTAAAACTACAAAAAATTAGCCGGGAGTGGTGTTGTACACCCATAATCCCAGCTACTCAGGAGGCTGAGGCAGGAGAATCGCTTGAACCCGGGAGACGGACGTTGCAGTAAGCTGAGATCATGCCACTGCACTCTAGCCTGGGTGACAGAGCGAGACTCCACCTCAAAAAAAAAAAAAAAAAAAAACACAGAAGGAAATGCAGAAATGTGCTACAACCTGGATGAACCTTCAGGACATTATGCTAATGAAATAAGCCAGTCACAAAAAGACAAATATTGTATAATTCCACTTGTATAAGGTAAGAGTAGTCAAATTCTCAGGTACAGAAAGTAGAGTGGCCATTACCAGGGATTGGAGGGAAGGAGGAAGTGGGGAATTACTGTTTAATGGGAACAGAGTTTCCGTTTGAGATAATAAAAAAATTCCAGAGATGGCTAATGGTGATAGTTGCACCACTGTAAATGTTTCTAATGCCACTGATTTGTACACTTAAAATGGTTAAAATGCCATATTTTGTATATTTCACCATAGTTTTTAAAAAGATCATATTAACAGAGTTACAAAATAGAGCAATGAATTCAAAGACAGAAAGATAAGGGTTATCAATATTATTAAAAACGCCTCTTATCTGAATCACATGAAGAAACAGAAAGTAAACCGATAAATGAATGTAACAGCTATTACTCCCTTTGACAATGCTTTGGCCTTTACAATGGGAATGACACCATTTAGATGTAATGCCCTTGTGCAAAGCACAACTGTACCCAACATCTTCCTCTTGGAGACAACTCTACCCCCAACCCTACCCCACCCCACCCTCCTATCCCATTCATCCTCCCACTGTGCCATGCTCCTCCCCAGCCCCCTAACCCCCCATCTGCCGCGTAGTGCACACACACACACAGGTAGGGCAAAAGGTTACTGAATGGGGCCTAAAACTAGGTCAGTGTTTTGTTTGTATATATCAAATCTTATTTCTCAATGATCTACAAAGACATAAGATATAAACCAGAGGCTGCAAACTGAAATGCCTAAAAGAGACATGCAGGTAACACAAACGCAGACTGTGATTTGTGTATAAGAAAAGCCACAACACCAGGTGGATCACAAGGTCAAGAGATCGAGACCATTCTGGCCAACACGGTGAAACGCCATCTCTACTAAAAGTACAAAAATTAGGTGGGCGTGGTGGCGCTTGCCTGTAGTCCCAGCTACTCGGGAGGCTGAGACAGGAGAATTGCTTGAACCTGGGAGGCAGAGGTTGCAGCGAGCCGAAATTGTGCCACTGCATCTCTAGCCTGGGCGACAGAGCGAGACTCCGTCTCAAAAGAAAAAAGAAAAGCCACAACACAAACTTGCTACAGAGGCAGCAATCTCAGTGTTGGGGGAAACTGAGTGGCCTGTAGGCAGCTGTGGACATGTGCAAACCCACTGTAACCAAATCTACCGATTTTTCTGCCTTAAAAGAGGAATTATTTCTAACTCATGAAGGTGGAGTAGAATTGGAGAAATGCAGAAAGGCGGGGAGGAAAGCGGATTCACGTTTGAGGTCGGAATGTCATTTGGGTTCTTCTCTAGTCTGGCCCTTGACCAGTTGCGAGAGGGAAACTGATTTAAAGGAGATTGGAGTGATACTTTGTGCCCAGAAAACCTGCAGACGTCTCTGAAAGCCATGCTTGGGATAACAAACTATTTATTACTGACCCTGTGATAAGGAGAGTTTTTCAGATGTTTGTTGAAATAATTTTTGCAGTACCATGGTAAACAAACTGAAAAGGTGAGAGATAATAGACTAGTTTAAAAATGTAAATCAAGATTTGCATGAATTCTTTAAATAAACACCCATCACTGCTTAACATATTTTTAATTAATAACTATACAAGTCCATATTTGCTTTCTTTGAAAGTATGAGGCAATGAAAATAAACTACTGGTCACTGTCAGCCCCTAATTTCTGTGATACAGCTATAGAAATATTGTCTGAAAGAAAACTGTTTGATCGGTCCAGTGTCAACAGAAACTTTTCAGCCAGAAACTGATTTTTTTTCCTTCTTTTCAAGCTTAGAACAAGGCTTTATAAAATCTCCAGTTTTGTTTATGTTTTCAAAACAATTAAACATCATTTGATGTTTCTCAATTATTTTTGTCACATAAAAGGAAGATGAAATATATTCAACTGGCCCCATGAAAGCAAAAACAATCTTAGTAAGGCTGTGCTTTAGGTTTACTTCTGTGGTACAGAAGGTAAAGATTCTAATAAGTAATAGAGGACTAAGGGGCCCTAGGGAAAATATGTAGAGCAAATCAATTCATAAGTATTTGCATTAGCACATTCCTTCATAAATTTGCCAGCTTCTCACTGAACATGGCACCAATTTATCTCAGTCCTCCGGCTTTTCAACCACTTCCTTTGAAAAATCTAAATGAATTCTAATGGTTGTGATTTTAGACCAGTATTCTTTACATGCCAAAATAAACAAAATTCTTTCAAGTTTTTAATTCTGAAAACCAACAAAGTCAAGAAGTCGCAGGTAAGTTAAGGAATCAAATATGCAGATAAATACCTCACAAACAGATTATCCCATCAAATTTCCATGGAAAGCATAAACCATAAAAATCCAACTCAAAATAGTATAATTACATAGCTTTCCATAAGACAGGTAGCCAGTAAGGGTATCTAAAATATTGATGAAGGCAAAAGACAGTTATTTTAACAAGAAACTGATTCTATTAATTCATTGTTGACCTAGAATTACAGAAGTCTGCTGTGGCTGCTCCATATTTGAAACGTTACATTCACTGGTTTCTTTACAGGGGGCATCACACTATTTCTTCCAGACGTGTGGATATTTTCTTCCTAATGAAAGTACTTCATTAGGGCCTTTATTGCCAATCCAATAATTCAATGTTAGTAGCCATTAGAGTGCCTTAATTTCAATTTTAGCCACTGCTGTGGAAAGTGAAATGGAATTTCAGAAGCACTATTTTCCTCTGTTATAATGGTCATCTTGTCCTCTCTTCTGACTCTGCCCTCAGAGAAAACACATTCCGCTCTCTTTTCTAAAAAGAAATCTCTGTCTCATTACTCCCTCAACGTATTCATGGTATTTGATTTCACTGTCAAAAACGATCTAGACTCACTGCCTCATCAAGCATTGATTTTTAATCTAAGTTCCTAAGGCTATTTACTGAAATGCTCTCGTAAAGACCTGACTTCCTATCCTATCTTAGTACTGTATCACCACTGCCTGCTGCACATTTCTAGCTGGAGAGCTGACTTAGCTGCCAGGATGTCAATGAAGCCGAAAACTCCTCATCTCCTTCCCATTGCCCCTTCTGCCCAGCCCCAGTCAACCTTACCCTCACTTCACTCTTCCTGGTAATGGCCCCCGGCCACCCTTCTGATCTTCTGAACTGAAATTTTGGAAGTATCTCCAAATGTTCCCTCCCCTCTCGCACACCCATGATAACCAGGTATCAGTGGCTATTTTCTACCAATTCAAACTGCCCACATCTACTTCTGCTTTTCCATTTTCAGTGACATTTCCATTCTTCGGTTGTTGGCTGACTCTTGTCTAAGCTCTTACTGTCGTCGTGCCTGGTCTCCCTCTTCTTTCCACCTATTACTTTTCTGTATTACATTATAAATTGTGGCCAGATTAATCTTTCTAAAGCACAGTAATGCCCTCCCTTGCTCAAAAACCTTCAGTAATATACTCAAATCTAGACTCAAGTTCATATTCTTTGACAAGAACTCAAAATCCTGTATTATCTGACCTAATTTTACCTTTCTGTCCTCATTTTCCCAATATGCTCCTTTTAACAGACACTACTTGGCAACACTGGCTTCATCCCATTCCCAAGCCACTAATCAAGCTGTCCCCTCTGCCCTCAATGTCATTTTCTTTCTTTCCCACCATTTCTACCTTTAGGAACCCAGCATAAAACATCTACCTGGTGGCCAATTTTCCCAAATAGAAATAATCTCCCAAATCTGAATTACTGTAAGACTTTGTTCCTCTCTCTCAATGATTACTTTCTTCTACTTGTCTTCTTTTATTGCCCCAGAGATATAGTTTTATCTGCCCTCTAAAATTCCAAAATTCAAAATTCAAAAATTATTAAAGGTATCATGTATTTTTCATCTTCCTGTCTTTCAGTCCCCTACCAATGCAGGATAATTTTCCCAAGATGTGCTATAGAACCTGTTGTTGAATGAAGGGAAAAAATCCCGTGAATAATTTTTTAAGCACTGAAATCTAAATACTAACAAAGCAAATAGTGAATTAGAAATATTAAAATTAAATACATTTTCTATCTCTGTAACTTGCAAAGCTCTAAGACATTTTTACACCAAGACTTCCAAACAGCTGACTTAGTAATCTATCTGAAAGAGGACTACCATTTTTCTTCACTAAATTCTGTGTGCCATAATGAAATTAAAAGCAATCTTCAATCTTCCCCAGTGTTCCAAAGGGGATCTATTTCAATGTATGAATGAAACAGCGTAGTTAAGAGTAACAAGTACTTAGAATCATTTAAAGTCATTTACAAAATAGCCTTAAACATTAACTCTTACTATCACTGTCATTTGCAAATAAAACACTTTGTAAAAAATTTCCAAAGGTGAATTAAAGGTGTATTTTATATCTAAGTTCCTTAAATGATTGAAAAAATGAATTTATATACACAAGCTTCACTGACATCACTAATATTTCTGATTGATAAAATATATTGCTAAATCAATTATTTCGACCTTTCTCATATTACAGATGAAGAAATTGAGGCCCAGAGAATCTAAACGACTTGATCCAATTCACACAGCTAATTACAAAATCAGGACCCAAACTCAAGTGTTCAGTCCTCTATTTACAGAGCTACTACTTAGGCTGATAAAGTAACACCAGTGGGAAAATAAGTTTATCTAGGAGATTCCTTTATAATTTTCTGGAAGAAATCTGGCTGATTGGGAGAACTGCCACTGTAATTCTTTAAAATGCCATGTTGCTAGCACTGTCTCTATACTAATATTAATGGAGTTGCCAATAATCTTGCTCTTCTGTTAATTAGTTATGTCTCATTTTAAAAACAAAGGTGATCCAGAATGAAACAGGTATCATCTGCAACAATCATTGTCCAATACGAGAGTGACAGTCACTTTCCAATGCAGATGGGAGTTCCTACAATCCTTTCCTGTTTTCTAGAGCTAAATTTCCTCTTTGTGAGAAAACATATTTTAAAAGTCCATTTATAAATAAAAGCCTATAAATGTTCATGCTTTATTTCCCCTTGGATAAGGTAAAACAACATTACAATACAGATGATTTCTAACATTCTTGTAAAGATATCAGAAAAGACACATTATTATTCCATCTAAAATAGTAAACCAATATATTTTTCTTATCACATGATCCCACAAATATATAACTGGCTATTATTCTTAAATTTGATGTCATAAAAATACTTATATCTTTTCTTGATTAGAAGATACCATCCAGCCTGGCACAGTGGCTCACACCTGTAATCCCAGCACTTCAGGAGGCCAAGGCAGGCAGATCACTTGCGGTCAGGAGTTAGATACCAGCCTGGCCAACATGGTAAAACCCCATCTCTAATAAAAATACAAAAATTAGCCAGGTATGGTGGCATATGCCTGTAATCCCAGCTACTTGGGTGGCTGAGGCAGGAGAATTAATTGCATGAACCTGGGAGGCGGAGGTGGCAGTGAGCCAAGATCGTGTACTCCAGCCTGGACGACACAGCAAGACTCCGTCTCCAAAAAAAAAAAAAAAAAAAAACAACAAAAAAAAATGGATACCATCTATTGTAAGATAAAACACTCATTCAATGGTATATTTGAGAAGAGTAATATTACACATATGTATAAATAATAGAAAATATTCAACTGTTTATTAAAATTTCATGAAGAATGTGATAAAACATGTCACGAATACAATGAAGATCTATTTATATTAAGGATGAGCAAAAATAAGCAAGAGCTTTAAATAAACTAATTATAACCAAAAAAAGGAGAAGAGGGAGAGAGAAGGAAGAAAAAGGAGGACAAGGAGGAAGAGGAGGTGGAAAAGGACAAAAGGAGGAGGCAAAGGAGAAAAAAGAGAAGGCGTAGGAAGAATAAACATCTTTTCCATAAACCAAACAGATCAGCTTAACAATTCCCTTCAGCATTACTAGCAAATGAATCAGATAGTTATTACACTCTTATACTGGGGGTCTCATATGCAAGGTAAAAGATACGGCAGTGATTGAGGTATAAGGAGAGTCTGACTTGTGAACACGATGAGAATCACTATACCTTTCCTAATTAAGTATCAGCAACATCCACCTGTTTCACATACACAGGCTACATATGTTATTATTAACACTATGAGAAGACTCTGCATTGCCATCAAGGAGAGAATATACAAATCTGAGAAGAGAATTGCATCATAGCGAGATAAGTGCTATGGGAGCCCAAGATAGGGCGTAAACTCATTCTGTCTGAAAGGGATGAGAGACAATTCACTGATAAGATACATTTGATATGGGCCCTGAAGGATCAGTAAAACTTTCTAGAAGAAAGGCATCCAAGCAAAAGGATAGGTACAAAGTCAGAAAAAAATACATGGTTTCTCTGGAGAACCATAAAAAGTTTCATATACAGTATGGTTTGTTCACATTAGCAATAAAACAACTATCGTTCTCTAAAATGGTTCATAATCAATGTTTTATAACTCACTGAAATTGCTATTCCCACTCCTAATAACAGTTATTAGTAAAAATGAATATTACAAATAGGCGTTTTTCTAAGCACTTTACCTGTAATAGCTCATTTAATCTTGACAACAACCCTAAGAGGTAATACCACCATTAATTACTCTCATTTTGTAGATGGAGAGACTGGGGCCCAAAGAGGTTAACTAGTTTGTCCAAGGTTACAGTCTGACTTCATGATACCCTTAGATCCAATACTGTAAATCACACACTCAATCATTAACCCTACTAATACCACACTGGAGCTGCTCTTACTATGCAAGCTCTCCTCACTTACACCTGACCAACCTAAGTATGCTGTGGACAAAAAGAATGGGAATCCCAGATATCTTCAGGCCTCCTTAGAATCCTTACCATGTCTCTTCTTTTCCTTCTTCTCCCTCAGTGTTTCAGACCTCAAAGCTGCTATTTCACTTTACAATAATCCTTAATTCCCTCCTCATTCTCATAGTAATATCACCAAGAAGGCAGCCAGATCAAAAAGAAAAAAAGTAAAGAGTTTGTCTATAACAGGTAAATCCCCAGAGTTGTCTTGTCCCCAGCTCACCACACCTTTATTAGAGAAGGTAGGTTTTCATGAAATACAGACATAGAGATGTACAAGAGATGGAAAAAAAGTAGTAAGAAAACCAGTATTATCTTGGATGCTGTTTCTCATTGACTACATACATCTCAGCACAGTGATGGCAGAAATTTAACATCTCCCAAATAATACATTTTTCAAGAGTTCTGGTTCTTCTTTCCCTTGAGAAGCTATGCTTTTTTTCAAAGTGATTTTTTGAAATAAGAAAGGCCTGTAAGTCTACCAATTAAGCAGATGGAGCCTTTATTAGAACAGGAGCAGAAGCTAAAAGGGCAATGGCATGCACACCCCGATTAATTTACCCAGGCATCAGAGTTAAAGGAACCCGCTCTGGAGCAAAAACATAGTAGCCAATAAAATGCAAATGGAGAGTTTAGCAGCACAGGTGGGTACTTAAAAATGATTTAAGCAAACTGGCACATAGTAGTGACATTTTCCATTCTGCAATCATGGCCATCACAATGATCTCATTAAATTTACAAGCTAACTCCAAATAAGCCAGGCTCAATATAAACAGAAGGCATCTAAAGTGATGCAAGAGGAATCCAATATATAACTCTCCATTTGCATCCTTAACAAAAAAGATAAAGAGAGACACATTCATGCAGACACACTGGATATCTGGGAGAGCTCCAGAAATATCCACACTTACACATTACATGTGATGTGGTACTCCAGGTTTAAAGACCTTTCCTATTACAGAAGGAATGCCCTTCCTGGGTGGTCTAGTGTTGAATCATCCACCTGGTTTTAAAATGCTTCCTTATTTCTAACTCAACTGCAATAGAAACATTATCCGCAAAATTTCACTTTCAAAATGGGGGCAGATATTAAGGCATCATTTTTAAGTCCTCTTCTCTCCTATGGAGTCCATCTAACTTTGTCTTCTTCTTTGTCATCTAACTTTGTCCATCTAACTTTGTGTTAGAAAATTAGTAGAACTGGGATATTTCACATTTTTGACACATTTTGACAAACCCAACCAAATTCCACAGCAACTTCACAAAGATTAATGTACATCTCCAGAAATAAATCACATAGAATAAAAAATGTATTCACCATTGAGAAATTTCACAAGGCACATTAACACCTTTTTCTGTGTAGACACCCAAAAGTTTTAAAGGTAAATTGGGCTTCTCCCATATTCTGGTTTAAGAGGTTGTAAAGTTGTATTCTGCTTCAGTAACTATTCAGCTTCATTCTATAATGAGTTGCATTTCTAGACTGACCAAATTGATAGGCAGAGTCCTCAAAGGATAATGGCATCATTTAAAGTAGAAGGCACTGCTTAAATGCCAAATAATCCTGATGGCATAAAAAACAGCTGTACTTTACTAATGAATATGACATTGTGGTCATACTACTACATATTGATTTAAAAATTAATAATGATAGTCTGGCACAATATTAAAAATGTGTTTATCGACCAATTTGATATGAATTTTGTTGTGCTTATTTAATCACATAGATACCAAATTCATAATATGCTACTAAGACCTCGAGGGAGTCATCTATGACTCTAAACTTACTATGATCACAAAGAAATTATATCTAAAATAATGGGCTATTGCTAAGTGTCAGCAAAATCGAATGATTCTATTTAAAAGATCAAATAGCTTAATCACATCAAAGTTATGCATGGTCAATTTAATCCTTATCTTTAAAAAGGCTCTTGTTGAAAGAATATAAATTCTGATGTGAGGAACATAAAAGTTGTTAAATACTATACCTAAATATATCATTTTAAATATTTGCATGTAAATAAAACATATTTGGTGTGTTCTAACTTTATTTGGCTGTTATTGTTGTGTTTAATGATACAGCACCATGCTTAGCTTTAACTAATATAGCATATAATATAGAGTATTTTAATTTCCAAACTTTAAACAATAATAACAGAGTAAAAGAACTGGGAAAAGGTTATCATTGTGCCAAGTACATAGTAGGCACAAAAATAAATATCTGTCAAATAAATGAATAGCTAGATGGGTAAATAAAATTAAAATGGGGCTCATTTTTTTAAAGTTTCTTGGTTAACTACTGACTACTAAGATTCTTTGAAGCAAATAGATTTTGAAAACCAACTCTAAAGTCTTTTAGCCTGTAACCAAAGTACAGTTAGTGCATGCCTAATAAATAAGCATGTGTTTTGTACATGCCTAGTTAATACATGGAAGATTAAATTCAAATGTCAAGCTAAAGACTGGTTTGTGGCAAAATATTCAAACAAATTGAAGAAATATTTATTAAGGAATACACTCAAGGAAGCACTGTACTTAGTAGTATCATCAATAAAAAGTAAATATAATATTTAAACTTGAAAAAATTTCAGCTGAATAAATTTCCAAATTTAGTGTGGCATTGTAGAGGAGAGGTAAAACCTCCAGTGGATATCCCAAAGCTTCCATTTTCCAATGTATGACAATGACATTAAAAATTATGACCCTAATTATAACTTTCAAATAGTGACAGATGGCTTCTCTGAATGGTCTCTGTACCTTTTAATTTAGTTTGCAAAAAAGATCCATCTGAATTACAATGTAAGTGCATTAACACTCACATGTATTCTCTTTTTAAACACCCAGGTGCAATTTAATCAAAGCAAGCTTTTAGAGAAACAATACAATACAGTCAAAGGAAAGGATTTCTCAATGTTCTGCTAAATCGAGGGATGGCTTTTTTGATTATCTGGAAGAATAGTTGAACTGCCCATTTCAAACAATCCTCCCTGAACTCCCAAGCAAGCTCTGCATGGTACCGAGTGGGTAGCAGTAAATTTGAGATTATGCTCCCCTGCAAGCATACTCCCCGGTAGAACAGTAGCTCTGTGCAGCTTATTCAATGCAAGGTGATCATGCTTCAACAGCTTGGCTATGCAGAGCAAGACTGATGGACATTTACGAAGAGCTGAAAAAAAAGAACACCTTCCTAAAGAGAAGTCCACCTCAACTCTCCTGAAATGATCTGAAGAAGTACAGGGGCCAAGTTCACTCAATGCAATCCCAAGGGCAATCTCCTGCAGTTCATCAACAAAGCATAGCCACAATGACTTTAGACTGGAAGATGTTCAAAGCAAACATAAATCAATACTCATAGTTCTGGTCTCCATAAACATAACCTCAGCAGATCCAGTATTAAGAAATATAACTTGCTGAAGCTGCCAAGAGGAATTTATTGCCAAACGCAAACCTGGATACCAAATTGAGGTGACTTACAGTTACACTACTTTAAATAGAGGAAATATCATGTGAAATCATGATGATGGTTTCAGAATAGTTAATTGATAGCAGGGATTGGATGGGTAGGCCAGTGGGTGATTAAAAACATTCTTAGTTATGTTTCTAAACATATCATTTGTATAATACAGAATGCTTCTCTTTTTGCTCACCAGAGTGATGGTATGGTGGATATAATTCAGCCAAAAGAGGCATCAAATCATTAAGAACTCACAATGTGCAGACAGATGGAAGACAGAACACATTCCTGACTAATCCCAATGAAAATTATCCACTGATATCTCAAGAAATCATTTCTATTGACCCTGAATGTAACCAACTACAGTATAACAGTATTATGGCACAAGTTCTGCTTGAAAATCAATAATGCAGGGTTTGAATTGAATTCATGGGACTTTATTCAATAATAGATTTCTGCTCACGGATTCAAAGGCAAAGGATAGTCAATAAAGGCCACAAATAGTCTTCCCGTATTCCTAACAGATTTCTACACCAGGTGGTAGAACGCTATGGCGGGCTGGCTGCACTGATGCCCACCTGCGCCTGGAATAGAACCTGGCACAAGAAACACAGGCTCACAATTTATAAGAGCGGAACTGGCATAGAATTCAGAGAGACTGTACAATGAGCCAGTGGGCATAAGATTTGGGGAGACTAAAGAATTCTTTTCTTGAAAAGGAAGTGGTAAGCCATTCTGGGTATTTTTAGAGGCTATTAAATAACTATAATAATATACATAAAAATCAAAGTAAAAGGCTACCAAAGATGTTCACTTTGGTTAATTTTAGATTGTGTGAAATTCACCTTTATTTTTAAAATCTTTTTTAAAAAAGGGCTTTTCAAAAAAAAAAAAAACTATCAGACAAAACACAAATTTCCGAAGTAACCACTGATCCATGAGTGCATAGGAAACAAACTGACTTATATTTGTCATTAGCATTACAAGGCTTGCTACTGCAAATTATAATGGCTTGTAGCTTAATCCAAAGGATTCGCTAACAGTTATTTCTCTCATCTTTATTATACATTTCTATAGATTAAAGGTATCCAACAAATTGTCTTTAAATTCTAGCCACAAACCCTGCTTTATTAAGTAGTTCTTAAGCAATAATGGTAATTATAATTAACTGTGTGAATTATTTAACAATAGTTCAGAATCAATACTTGTTAAATTATTCAAGATTTCACCTGTATGCTGTTAAGGCCCACTGCTTATCTAATTCAGAGTAACTGAATTAAACACAGTATAAAACATTGTACATCCTTAGGGTCCAATGCTACTGCCGAGAAGGAGTTACAACATGGAGATCAGTGAAAACTGTTTCAAGATAATGAGACACTAGTGCAAAGGTCCTGTGGTAGGAAGGCTTGGTATGTACAAGGAAGAGAAAAGAGCCAAATACAGTGGGCCAGGGGACAGGAGTGATGGTTAAAAATTTTTAAAATGTCAGAGAGACAAATGGCCCTGCCTGATCATGTAGGACCTGGTAGGGCAGCGTAAGGGGTTTAGATTTTATTATAAGTGTAATGGGAGCCTTTGGGTTGTTTCAAGCAGAGAACTGACATGACTTGGTTTATGTCATGTTATGTATTTGCTTCCATAACTTATGTTATGTATTTGCTTCAAATACTAGAAGCAAAAACAACACTTAGATGGCTACTCCATTTGTCTGGATAAAATGGCATGGCTTTGATGGATTAACCATGAAAATGAAGAGAGACAGATGATTAAGAATATACTTTGGAGGCAGAGACCAATGTGCTAGCTGAGGTACAACAAATAGGAATACATAGGGTAGGTGAAAAAATGAGCAATCAAGCGTGACTTAGAGTGTTCTGGTTTGAGCTAAAGGATTCAGAAACTAACTGAATGAAAAAGTCCTAAAGGGTATCATATGAGCACAGAGAAACTCCTAGTCCAGGTGTCTAAAGGGAAAGGCAGTGAGATAGGCTTCCCAGGAGAAGTAATGCCTGAGATGGCAACTGAAGTTAGACAAGTGGACTCCTAAAGAAAACAGTCTAAACAGACAGAGGAAATCATATTTATGAAGGCTCAGAATTAAAAGATCATGTCCAATCATTTATGAAACTGAATTAATAGTGATTATGGCCAAGTAATATAGGAAATGACTTCTAGGAAGCTGCGCCATTGAGAAGTGTGTCATTTTATAATATTATAATATATAATACTGACTCTCCACTGAAACTACAGATCTAGTGCTTTGTGGACATTCTTTCAATGTAAGTATTTCTGAACAGTTACAAACAAACTGTTTTAAATAAACTAAAATGTCTGTAATTGATTCATAACAATGTTTCATGAAATTTAGCATCTTTTCTGTATCTCAACTTTTCTGTCAAGTATTTTATACCCTATAAATGAATATCGGGAAAGAGGGGGGTTTGTTATTTAGACTAATGCTCTAATTTGTGCCTTTGAAATGTTGAGGGTTTCTTAAAGGTTCATATATTGAAAGCTACACGTTATCTTTGTTTAAGGTCAGGAATTGCTTCTAAACTTCTTTAATTATCATGTAAATAACTTTCCTAAGAGGAGAACAACTTAGAAAAAGCCTATATTTCTAACCCTACATAGACTCCATAGCCCAAAGTACAAGAAAGAATTTATTCATCCACATATTTAACACCACTGTGCAAAAGCACATTTGACCTCCTCATTTACAAGTTAATTCATAGGGATCATTCTAACTGAAGTGCTGCTGGTAATGGAAGCACCACAGGCCAAAGGAAGCTTGCAATGTTCAGGGAATATCTAGCTCCTTTTGTTTATTCATTCCCTTGTTCATTCATTCATTTACTTTGCTTGAAGAATGTGATGCAACTGACATGTAATCCATCACATATCTGAGAAAACCTTACAATTATTTTCGAATTTGTACTTAATTAGGAAGATGAGCTGAGACTAAAGGGATGTATTTAACCTAGCGGTTAGGTTCAAAAACTCACTGGAAACCTTCCCAGGAATCTGTCCTTGGGGGAAGGTCCTGGGACTCCTGTATTTTTTCCTATGATTTGGTAGCCACTCTTTTCACTCTTGTTTCTTCTTCATTTGCTCTTTCTAGAATCAGCTGGATCTTTTCTCCATGCTTTACTGTTTCTGTTTTAAGATAATATTTGAATTTATATTCTTGTTTACCACCATGAATCTCATTCAACACCTCCCCACAGCACCTTTTAGAAGCAGGAGAAAGCATTACATACCAGCATTATACCTATTCTTTCAGGCTACACCTGCAACCATTGGTAAAATTAATGACAGGCAAACCAAGCTGCTGAGACTTCTAGTGTTGAGTCGTTACTATAAATTCAGAAAAGGAAAAAAAAGGCTCTGACTCATAATGAGAGAATCATTCTTTCCCACAGTCACAGGTGAGAGGAGGAAAGAAGAAATCAATGACAATCTGATGAGTACTTTTAGTATGGGAAAAGATAAAATAAAATAGTGTTTTGAAAATATATATGTTTGCATACATGCATTAGAACACATTTTAATGCGTGTATATATATTTAATTTTACAAAATACAAGAGAATCATATCACTATTTTTTATAAGTTCCTTCCTCAGTTTTCTTTGGGGAGGGGTTTCTTGTCAGCTTTATTGAAGTATAATTAATTTAAAATAAAATTTTAAGTACACAATCTGATGAGTCGTGGCAAATGTATACAGTAGCGGGACCACCACCACAATCAGCATATAGGTCATTTTTAACACTCTAGAAAGTCCTTTCATGTCCCTTTGTAGTCAATTCTCAAGCCCCTGTCAACAATTGAACTGCTTTCCATAACCATAATTTTGCCTTTCTAAAATGTGATATGAATGAAATCATACAACATGCATTTAGTGTTTTTGTTTTTGTTTTGTAATTGAAAAACCATAGTGGTACACATTTATGGGATACAATGTGATACATGGATACAACACGGCATGATCAATCAAACTAATTAACCGATTCATCTCCTTGCTTACCTGTCATTTCTTGATAAGACATCTCAAATTTATTCTCTTAGAAATTTTGAAATACATAACACATTATTGTTGATTTGGTTGGTAGCCACTCTTTTCATTCATGTCTCTCCTTGGTTTGCCATAAATCCTCTTATCTATCTGAAACTTTGTAGCCTTTGATCAACAATTTCCCCTTCCTTCTCTCCCTCCCTCACCCACCAAGCTTCTGATAACCATAGTTCTACTGTCTACTTCTATTAATTCAAATGTATTAGATTCCATAGATAAGTGATATCAGGCAGTATTTATCATTCTTTACAAAGGACTTTAATCTCTTTACATAATGACTTCCAGGCTCATTTATGCTATCACAAATGACAGGATTTACACCATTTGTAAAGGATGAATAGTATACCATTATGGAGATATACCACATTTTCTTTATCCATTCATCTGTTAATGGATGTTTTGTTGTTGTTTCCATATCTTGGCTATTGTGAATAATGCTACAATGAACGTGAGAGTGCAAATATCCCTTTAACACTGATTGCAGTTTCTTTGGATATAAAGACCCAGAAGTGGGATTACTTGGTTGTATGTATTTCTATTTTTACCTTTTTAAGAACCTTCATACCATTTTACATAATGGCTATACTAATTTACATTCCCACTCACAATATATGAGTTCTTTTCCTTTTCTCTGTATCTTCTCCAACACCAGTTATCTTTCATGTTTTTGACAACAGCCATTCTAACTGGGGTGAGGTAATATCTCATTGTGGTTTTGCTTTGCATTTCCCAAGTAATTAGTGATGCTAAGCATTTTTTCCTGTACCTGATGATCATTTCTGTATCTACTTTTGGGAAATGTCTGTTCAGGTACTTTGTCAATTTTTAAATCAGTTTATTTGTTTTCTTGCTGAGTTGAGTGCTTATATATATTGGCTGTTAACCCCTTATCAGATGTACGGTTTGCAAATATTCTCTCCCCTTCTGTAGGTTATCTCTCCACTTTGATTGCTGCCTTTGCTGTGCAGAAGCTTTTTAGTTTGATTCAATCCCATTTGCCTATTTTTGCTGGTGAACGGCCATATTAAAAAAATCATTGCCTTAACCAATGTCAGGAAACTTTTTCCCCATGTTTTCTTCTAGGAATTTTACAGTTTCAGGTCTTATATTTAAGTCTTTAATCCATTTGAAGTTGATTTTTGCCTATGGTGTAAGATAGGGGTCTACTTTCATTCTTTTACATGTGGATATCCAGTTTTTCCAACATAATGCATTGAAGAAACTGTCCTTTACCCATTGTGTGTTCCTGGCACCTTTGTCAAAAATCAGTTGACTATAAATGTGTGGGTTTATTTGTGGGTTTTCTATCTTGTTCCATGGATCAACGTGGAATTGCATGCCGATTTTATGACAGTACTATGCTGTTCTGATTACAGTCTCTTTATAACATGTTTTATAACCAAGGAATGTTAGGCTTCCAGCTTTGTTTTTTGTTTGTTTGCTTGCTCCAGATTTGTTTTAGCTATTTAGAATCATTTGTGGATTCATACAAATTTGAGGATTATTTTCTATTTCTGTAAAAAATGACACTGGAATTTTAACAAAGATTGTGTTAAATATGTAAATTACATTGGGTAGTATGGAAATTTTCACAATATGAAGTCTTCTAATCCATTAACACAGAATATCTTTCCATTTATTTGTGTTTTCTTTAATTTTTCTTCACCAGCGTTTTATAGTTGTCAGTACACAGTCATTTACCTCTTTATTTAAATTTATACCTAAGTATTTTGTTGTTGTTGCTACTGTAAATGGGATTGTTTACTTAATTTTCTATTTGGATAATTTGTCATAGGTATATGAAAACACTGCTGATTTTTATATGTTGATGTTGTATCCTGCAACTTTATTAATCAGTCCTAGAAGTTTTTTAGTGGAATCATTAGGGTTTTCTATACAGAAGATCATGACATCTGCAAATGGAGACAATTTCATTTCTTCCATTCCTGTAAGAATGCCTTTAATTTCTTTCCCTTCCCTAATCGCTCTGGCTAGGACTTCCAGTACTATGCTGAACAGAAGTTGTGATAGTGGGCATCCCTGCCTTGCCCCTGATCTTAGAGGAAAAGCTTTCAACTTTTTACCACTGGGAATGATGTTAGCTAAATGTTTGTCTATACATCCTTTACTGTGTTGAGGTACATTCCCTCTACAGCTAATATGTTGAGAGTTTTTATTATGAAAGGGTGTTGAATTTGGTCAAATGCTTCTAATGCTTTTTCTGCATTTATCGCGATGAACATATGGTTTTTGTAATTCATTTTGTTACTGTGATGTATCACATTTATTGATTTGCATATGTTGGGCCATCCTTCCATCCTGGGGATAAATCCCAATGATCATGGTAAATGACTCTTTTTATGTGCTCCTGAATTTGGTTTGCTAATAGTTTGTTGAGGGTTTTTTCACCTGTATTCATTATGGAGATTGCCCTATTGTTTTCTTGTTTGTTTTGGTTTGGTTTGGTTTGGTTTTTTTGAAACAAAGTCTTGCTCTTGTCCCCGAGGCTGGAGTGCAATGGTGCAATCTCGGCTCACTGCAACCTATGCCTCCAAGGTTCAAGAGATTCTCCTGCTTCAGCCTCTCAAGTAGCTAGGATTACAGGCAAGTGCCACCACGCCCGGCTAATTTTTGTATTTTTAGTAGAGACGGGGTTTCACCATGTTGGCCAGGCTGGTCTCAAACTCCTGACCTTAGGTGATTCTCCCACCTTGGCCTCCCAAAGTGCTGGGATTACAGGCGTAAGCCACCATGCCTGGGCTTGTCTAGCTTTTGTATTGCTAGCTTTGTAAAATTAGTTTGGAAGTATTCTGTCTACTTTGATTTTCTAGAAAAGCTTAGAATTGGTATTAGTTCTTCATTAATATTTGGTAGATTTCAGTAGAGGAGTCATCCAATTCTGGGCTTTTCTTTGGTGGGAGAATTTTTATTACTGATTCAATCTTCTTACTTATTATTGGTCTGTTCAGGTTTTCTCCTTCTTCATGATTAATCTTGATAGGTTGTGTGTGTCTAGAAATTTATTCATTTCTTCTATGTTATTCAATTAGTTGCTGTATAATTGTTCAGTTCTTATGATCCTTTGTATTTTGGGAGTATCAATTGTAATATCTCCTTTTTCATTTCTGATATTTACTTCTTTGGGTCTTTTTTTTTTTCTTGGTTAGTCTAGCTAATGGTCTGTTGATTTTTTTTTTTTCAAAAAAGAATCTCTTAGTTTTGTTGAAATTTTTCTTTTATTTTTCTAGTCTGTATTCCATTTATTTTGGCTCTGATCTTTGTTCTTTCCTTCCTTCTGGTCACTTTCAGATTAGCTTGTTCTTCTTTTTATTGTTCCTTGAGGTGTAACATTAGATTGTTTATTCATGATATTTCTTCTTTCTTGATATAGGCATTTATTGCTATAAATTTCCCCCTTTCTGCTAATTTTGCTGCATCCCATAAGTTTTGGTATGCTGTGTTTCCATTTTTCTTTGTCTGAAGGCATTTTAAAATTTCATTCTAATTTTTTCTGTGACCCAGTGGCTGTTTAGGAGCATATTGTTTAATTTCCACATATTTGTTTATTTTCCAAGATTTCTCCTGTTATTGATTTCTGGTTTTATCCCACTGTGATCTGAAAGAACACTTGATATGATTTCAATACTCTTACATTTGCTAAGGTTTGTTTTGTGGCCTAACATCTGATCTATTCTGGAGATTATTTTATGTTCACTTAAGAAGAACGTGTATTCTGTTGCTGTGGAATGGAATGTGCTGTTAGGTCTATTTGGTCTATACTGCAATTCAAGTCCAAAGTTTCTATACTGATTTTCTGTATGGATAATCTGTCCACTGTTCAAAGTGGGATGCTGTGGTCCCTTGCTATCTTAGCACTGCAGTCTACGTATCCCTTCAGGTCATTTTATAATTGCTTTATATATTTAGGTGCTCTCTAATGTTGCATTCATATGCGTTTACAATTATGTCTGTGAATTAATACCTTTTTATCATTATGTGATAGCCTCCTTTGTATCTTTTATGGTTTTTGACTTTAAATCTATTTTGTCTGATATAAGTATAGCTCCCCTGGCTCTCCTTGGGTTTCCATGTGTGTGAAATATCTTTTTTCACCCCTTCACTTTCTATGTACATGCTTATTAGGAAAGCAAGTCTCTACTAGGCAACATGTGATTAGACCTTACTTTTTCTTTAATCCATTTGGCTACTCTGTATCTTTTTATAATAGAGAGTTTAATCTATTCTTTATTTCCCCATCCATTGAGCCAGTCTTGGTTATTTTATTGAAGAATTTAATCCATTTACATTCAAGGCAGTTACTGATAGGTAAGAATTGCTACTGCCGTTTTGGAATTTGATTTCTAATTTAGATCCTTTGTTTCCTTCTTCCTCTGTACTGTCTTCCTTTGTGGTTTTTCTGGTTTTCTGTGGTTGTATGTTTTGAATCCTTTCTTTTTATACTTTGTGCAACTACTATAGGTTTTTACTTTGTAGTATAAAAGTTGCAGATACCAAGATGAAATTACTCTTCTCAAACCCAAACAAATTGCAGCCAGCAAAGCACATAGAGAGGTCGTGTGTGGATGTCTGAGATAAAACCTATCTCAAGTACTTTCTAAAATAGCCACACAAGAACTTTTTCATGTCCTTCACATATCTCCCTCCCACAAAGGGACCCAAAATGGCGAGGAAATGGAATATCCTCCTCCAATTCACTTTTCCCCCTGTAGAAACCATGGGTCTAGGGAAATTCTCTGTGTGTGCCACTGTCCCAGCTTGGGGGAGGGGTGGTACAGTCAAAGAAAACTGTTCCGCTTATTGTTCAGCCACAGCTTTTCTCAGTTCTGTGGTCAAGTGGATGTCTCAAGTTCTGGGTTATTCACAATGGTATTCTTGCCTGATGATAGTTGTTAGTTGAATTTCTGGGAGAGAGGGGAACAGAGAATGAGGCCCGATAACTTCTATTCTACCACCTTGCTGATGAGATTTATTTTAGGAAATTGGCTCACATGATTGCAAAGGCTTGACAAATCCAAAATCTGCAGAATAAGTCAGCAGACTGGAGACCCAGGGAAGAGCTGCTCTTCAAGTCCAAAGGCCATCTGCTAGTAGGATTCCCTTTTCTTCTGAGGAGGTCAGTCTTTTTCTATTAAGGCCTTCAACTGATTGGATGAGACCCACCCACATTATGGAGGATAATCCGCTTTACTAGAAGTTGACTGATTTAAATGTTAATCTCATCTCTAAAAAATAACTGCATAAAACATCTAGTTTGAACAAAAATCCGGATACCATGGCCTAACCAAGTTAACACACAAAATTAACAATCACATTAGTGTGGAGAGATGAAAATGAAATCTGGGGAACACAAGATTTGTGTTAGAAGGCAGTAGAGTGATTGACCAGCCTGCTTTATCTGGGACTGAGGGGTTTCTCAGAGCAAGAGGATTTCAATGCTAATGCTGAGACAGTCCCAAATAAAACAAAACAAGGTCACTCTAAAGCAAGGTTATTTCATCAGTCCTTGTTCTTGTTTCAATCTCTTCCAGTTTATCTCTGACCTTCTAAGTTATACAGATTCATGGGCACAACAGTCTTTGGACAAGAAACTACCAAAATAATGAAAAAATGTACTGTAGTTTATACAGAAGTTTTTGGTGAATTTTGATCATGATGATGAGTGTCCATCTCTAAGTGTACTGATGAAGTCTAGTGTACAAGCCCACCAGGATAATGTCATCAAAGTTTCAAAGTGCCCAAAAAATCAGACAAATAGCCTTTACCCAGTGAAACCTATGGTCCTTTTTGCAAATTTTCTCAAACAAGATTATCAGTGAAATGTTGGTATAGCAGAAAGAGCATTTCCTAAACTTATTTCCATGGTAAAAGTTGGTTCAGAAGAAAAGAAGATGTTTAGAAAATATTGACATGAGAAGATGTTTAGAGAATATTGAGATGAACAAAGTTAAATAGCAGAACTTCCCATAGCCTTAAAAATATAATGTGCATCGTGCAGCTCCAAAGGAAAGCATAATTTGCAGAATTTTCCAAACTGGGCCACAGAAATCACTTTCACAGTACACACTATCTCCCAGAATAGGGTTCAACAGAGATCCAGTTTGTTAAAGACAGGATTAACAAGACATACATAGAAAATATTTCAGCTCATCAAAATATTTGCAGAAACATAATTTCTGGCTCAACATTGATTCTCATAAGCAATTTTGCAGACTCCATATTTGTTTATGTATCTTAGTAAATGATTCAAATGTTGATTCACTAGTGAGTTTTACCTTTAAAGAGAAAATTACTTTTCTTCTTTCACTTTAACATATTTACAAACCAGCAAATAAATGGGTAAAGGATGTACAATGAGGCCAAGGACATCATGTGGTGGAGCCACAGCCCCTCACTTCTCTCCTCCTTACAGGCGTTCACCTGAAGCATCCTGGGTAACAGATCTCTCTCTGAGCGAGGAATTGCAGGTCACCTGTAAAATTATTCTAATTGACTTACACTTCACTAAATTTTTAAAGTTAATATTGGCACTTACACCTCAAACAGAAATTCCAGGATAAAAACTCAAGAAAGCTAAGACAATGAGATTTTAGGAAAATGTGTGTTGCAGGTTATGGAGAATTTCTAATTCAGTATCTAAATTATGTAAGATCAAATTTATAGAATCCAATTCGAGAGTGTTGGATACTATATTTCTAAGAGTTTGCATCAGTGCTACTTTGACCCACTGGAAATACTGCTTTAAGACCCAGATCAATTTGAGAGAAGGTCTGAGAAACATTTTTAATATAATACAAGGCATTCATGCAAACTTGAAAACAGATACTTACTGGAATGAGAAAATGCAAAACTAATGAAAATATTGAAAATGTCAGTACATTGTGTAGCACTTAAACTGAGCATTAGCTAATTTTAATGATTGCTTTTTCCTGTGCTACTGCCAATATTGTCAGCAACAGATGTTGTTACTGAAAATGCTAATTATTATAGGTCATAGACACCCTCTAGCTCGCTCTCTTTCTTGCTCTCTCTTTTGGTTTGTATTGGTAATTACATCTGTGCATGGATAAGCTGCATATGATTTGAAGTTGTGTTTTGTGTAGGATGATGTCATCACATCAAAATAACAAAGAGATCAGTTGTTTAACTTCCCAATGTCAAACATTGTTTTACAAATAGTACTGAATAAAACTAAGTTCATTTATGATCACCAATCACTGCATTGTCACATTTCAGGTCGACAAGGTACAATTAGAATATATTTCCATTTGGTTATAACAAGCAAATAACCTCAAATTAAAATGTTAAGACATGAAAAAAATCACAAAACATATACTATATTAAATTTCCAAGAAAGAGTTTTTGCAGTATGGACATAAATGCCACTAAGACAGGTACAAAACTTGAAAATTATTTTTAGTAACTCAAAAATGCAAACATTTACAAAGAAAGATAAGGAGAATTTAAAATAAGAGTAAAAAGCTGTCATAAAATCCTCAAAATAATTTCTTCTGCTTAATTTCTAAATATCCCAGATATCAGGAAACTTAGCCTGCATTTATACTATGAAAATCTGAAATGAAGATTTCTTACTTTATACTTAAGTATTAAGTTCAGTTGTTAGATACAAAACATGAAATACCAAAAAAAAAAAAAAATGGCACCCACACTGAAGTTAACAGATTCTGAGATTAGCTGCAAGAAATAGGACTGTAGCGTTTTAAAGTAGAGGTGACACAATAAACAGAATATTGATTCACTTCTAAGTAATTTTATACAAATAATTGACAGGTTATCTCTTGTCAAAACTGAATGGTAATGGAAAAGTTATTCGGTCACAATGAAATAAGAGTGGGAACAGACCTGGAATTGGAGTTTCATAATGAAACAGCAAAGGAAGTTCTATTATCAATGCCCTGCCTAGCAAACTGGTAGTTCTATTCTATCCTAATTCATCTCATCAAGTACTCTTGCATACCTATTATATGCCAATGCTGGATATCAGGGCTGTGATTCTGTGTATAGCAAACCTTTGGCAGATGTGCTATAAAATTTTGATGCATGAAAAATTTAATTTTGTTAAAAATTTTGTACCGTGCTGTTTTGGATATATAACTGTCATGGAAAATAGGATTAACTGAGAAGGTCCTATGACCTGGTACAAAGGTGATACCATTAGCCTAAGATCCAAGGGGTAATGACCAAGACATTCCAAAGAGAGATCTGTGTTCATTAGTAATTAGAATAACTTTTTCAAGGCAATAGAGTTTTACTCAATAGCAACAGAGAGCTGCAGGGAAGCCAACGATATATCGTGAGAAGTGGATTCTTCCATAAATATGAGACTAGGCTCAGATAAAATATTTGCAAACTTTAGTGATTTTTTTTTGTCGTTTATTTTTCATTTATTTATTTATTTTGAGACCGAGTTTCGCTCTTGTCACCCAGGCTGGAGTGCAACGGTGCAATCTCGGCTCACTGCAACCTCTGCCTCCCGCGTTCAAGTGATTCTCCTGCCTCAGCCTCCCCAGTAGCTGGGATTACAGATGCCTGCCACCATGCCCGGCTAATTTTTGTATTTTTTAGTAGAGATCGGGTTTCACCATGTTGGCCAGGCTGGTCTCGAACTCCTGACCTCAGGTGATCCACCTTCCTCAGCCTCCCAAAGTGCTGGGATTACAAGCATGAGTCACCACGCCTGGCCTTTTTATGCTATCAAACTTTAATATTCAAAGTTGAAAAAAAATTACAAAGTATTCCACATATTGTACTGGGGAGACACATGACAGAAAAAGACAACTTCTTCATGATAGAAAGAACACACCATTAGCTGAATAATAATAATTCATTTATACAAAGCTCCTGAGTTTAAACAAATTATATTAGTCTAAAGTCAGTTTCATAATCTTGCAGATCGGCCTAGAATTTTATGAAGTATAGTAACAACATGCAATTTTTAATTCTTTAAAGCCTTAAAATCAGCTAATTGATTTCTTCAGGCAACATCATTCATAATTGAGTGGAAGTTGCCCCACTTCACACTCTTCTTTTTCTCTCATAATCCTATATGGCTTTTCAGAAGGCCACACGGAGTATAACTACAGCATATATGGCATACCTTATACATGTGTAGGCAATGTGCTGGGTAAGACATGGCCATGCATGGTTTACCTTACGAGCTCAGAGATATGACTTACTGTTTCTACTGCCTAGATGTGAAAAGGGCTCATAGACCTCGAAAGTAACATAATCAAATGTAAAACAGTATCTAATTTTAAAGCCCAGTGGATCTGGAATTACAAGGAAGCAGAAAAATGGAGACAGGATGCAGAGGTAGAATTCATATTCTGGAAAGCATCATATTTCAAACACACCCCTATAATTCAAACATTTTATTTGATGGAAATCATATGAGGCTCTGAGTATTGATATACCACTGCTGTGTCAAGAGTTGACTAGACCATTTCTGAATTAATTAAAATATAAAAGTAAATTCCCTTAAAAATACTAGTTATTTTAATAATGCTGGGCCCATTCTTGTAACTTCTGCTTTCTTTTTAGGAACTAATGGATATATCAATGACTAGGTATTTTTAATAAATCATTGGAATGTCTACTTTTTTCATGAAATATCGAAAGTTTTTACGATAAAGACTGAAATTTTGTTCTCAAATACTTAGGGAAAAATATACCTCATTACTTCGATGACAGAACTGCTTCCTAGTAATTGGCATTTCTTAACATCAAAGAGATGTTAACCACGTGTTGAAACATCAAACACACGTATACCACCTCAAAGGAAATAAACAATTTGTCATGGACAAAGGGTCAATAAATATAACAAAAAATTCTTACAAGTAATCACTGATGCATAAAATGCTCAAATTAACAAAGATATAAAAATTATAAAATTCAAGGCTAATCAGAGTATGGCGAGATGAGTGTTCTCATATGCTATAGGAGTAGACATTGGGACAGCCTTTCTGGAAAGCCACCTCGCAATGTATAACCTTTGATCCAGCACATACACAGAGAAACCTATCCTAACAAAACACAATCATTTGTTACAGTAAAAGATATGCATAAAAAATTCATTGCAACCTTATAAGATCAAAATCAGAAAGCTATTTGTCCAGAACACAAAATGCAACAGAATGTTTACCACTGCCCTAAAAATATGACATAAAATAGTTAAAGAAATACAAATATGCTTATAAAGTACTATTAGGGAGAATCAAACAAAAAAAATTCATAAAAACAAAAGGAATTCTATAAAAGACAATTCTAAATTTGTGCAAAGATGCTTTACATGCATACAGGCGTATCTCAGAGACATTGCAGGTTTCGTTCCACATCACCACAACAAAGCAAATGAGTCACACAATTTTTTTGGTTTCCCAGTGCATAAAAAAGCTATTTTACACTAAACTACTCTATTAAGTGTGCAATAGCATTATGTCTAAGAAAAATAATACACAGCAGGTCCTAGAATAATGTTGTTTCATTCAATGTCATTTAATTCAACATTCTTTCATTATAATATTGATGAGAAAAAACAATGCTTCCAGTCAGGGCCCCTGTCTGTATGGAGTCTGCACTGAAAGTGTTCAGTGTTCAGTGAGTAGTGCTTGTTTGTGATTGTTTTGGAATTGCATGGTGGGAGGAGGCGATACTGAGAATTTTCACTTTGCAAACATTTGTTCCTTTATTAATCTACTCCCACCACTATGACAGACATCACTCATTGATTCACCTAAAACTGGGTAAATAAGTATCTCACTTGTATTTACTAGTCTTTCTTAAATGTATGCATAGCTTACAATTCAATGTTTTAGAAGTATTTTGGTCTTTATTTAGAAGTTTGGTGATCTTTTGTGATGAGAAATATGCTGTAGGAGGCCGGGCACAGTGGCTCACGCCTGTAATTCCAGCACTTTAGGAGGCCAAGGCGGGTGGATCACATGATGTCAGGAGTTTAAGACCAGCCTGGCCAACATGGTGAAACCCCATCTCTACTAAAAATACAAAAAAAAAAAATCAGCCGGGACTGGTGGTGCGTGCCTGAAGTCCCAGTTAGTCAGCAGGCTGAGGCAGGAGAATTGCTTGAACCTGGGAGGCGGAGGTTGCAGTGAGCCAAGATCGTACCCCTGCACTCCAGCCTCGTTGACAACAGAGTGAAACTCAGTCTCAAAAGAAAAATAAAAAAAAAATGCTGTAGGAATTTAACTCTTCTTTATATCAATTGACTCATGATAAAACTGGTTTTGTTATATGACATTTTGCTTAAAGTCGTAGTTTCCAAGAACCTATCAACAATGTTAAGGAAGGACTTACTGTACATACCTTAATTTTAAAATATTTTATTGCAAAAAAAAATGCTAACGATTGTCTATCTGGGCCTTCAGCAAGTCATAACCTTTTTGTTGGTAGAGGGTCTTGCCCTGATTTGATGGTTGCTCAGTTAAGGGTTGACTGACATTTTCTTAAAATAAGACAGCAATGATGTCTGCTCCATTCACTGATTCTTCCTGTCTGCCCCATTTATTGAATCTTCCTTTCATGAAAGATGTCTCGGTAGCATTTTGTCCACATTAGAACTTGTTTCACAACTGGATTTGTTCTTCTCAAGCCTCTCAAAGCCACTACTTTACTAAGTTTGTGTAGTATTCTAAATCTGTCATTGTCATTTCCATAATGTTCATAGCATCTTCACCAGGAGTAGATTCCATCTCAAGAAACCACTTTTTTTGCTCATCCATTAGAGGCAACTTTCCAACAATTCAAGTTTTACCACGAGATTGCAGCAATTCATTCCCATCCTCAGGCTCCACTTCTAATTCTACTTCTCTTGCCATTTCCACCACAGCTGTAGTTATTTCCTTCACTGAACTCTTGAACCCCGCAAAATGATCCATGAGGGTAGGAATCAACTTCTTCCAAACTCCTGTAAATGTCACTATTTTGACCTCCTGCCATTAATCAAGAATGCTCTTAATAGCATCTAGAGCAGTGAATCATTTCCAGAAGCTTTTCAACTTACTTTGCCCAAATCCATCAAAGGAATTACTATCTTTAGCAGCTATAGCTTTATGAAACATTTCTTAAATAATAAGACTTGAAAATCAAAATATCATCTCGATCCATGGGCTGAAGAATGGATACTGAGTTAGTAGGCATGAAAATAGCATTACTCTCCATCAGAGCTCTTGGTTGACCAGTACATTGTCAATAGCAGTAATATTTTGAAAAGAATCTTTTTTTCTGAGCAGTAGGTCTCAACATTGAGCTTAAAATATTCATTAAATCATGCTGCAAACAGGTGTGCTGTCATCCAGGCTTTGTTGTTCCATTTATTGAGCACAGATAGAATAGATTTCACATAATTCTTAAGGGCCCTAGGATTTTCGGAATGGTAGGTGAGCAATGGTTTCAAATTAAAGTCACCAGCTGCATTAACCACTAACAAGACAGTCTTGTCATTTGAAGCTTCGAAGTTAAGCACTGACTTCTCCTCTCTAGCTATGAAAGTGCCAGATGACATCTAATTGAAAGCTGCTGTTTCATCTACATTGAAAATTTGTTGTTTAGTGTAGCCACCTTCATCTATTATCTTAGCTCCATCTTCTGGATAACTTGCTGCAGCTTCAACATCAGCATTTGCTGCTTATTATTTGTACTTTTGTGTTATGAAGATGGTTTCTGTTCTTAAACTTCATGAACCAACCTCTTCTAGATTCAAACTTTTCTTCTGTAGCTTCCTTAACTCTCTCAGCCTTCATAGAATTGAAGAGAGTTAGGGCATTGCTCTGGATTAGGCTTTGGCTTAAGGAAATGTTGTGACTGGTTTGATCTTCTATCCAGACCACTAAAATGTTCTCACTATCAACAGTAAGGCTATTTTGCTTTCTTATTATTTGTGTTTTCACTGGAGTAGCACTTTAAATGTCTTTCAAGAACTTTTCCTTTGCATTCACAACTTGGCCAACTGTTGGATGCAAGAGGCCTGCCTGGCTTTTGACCTATCCTGACTTTGGACAGTCCTTCCTTGCTAAGCTTAATCATTTCTAGCTTTTTATTTAAAGTGAGCATTGTGCAATTCTTCTTTTCACTTAAACACTTGGAGGCCAATGTAAGGATATTAACTGGTCTAATTTCAATATTGTTATGTCTCAGGGAATAGGGAGGCCCAAGGAAAGTGTGAGATGGGAATGGTGTGTTGATGGAACAGTCAGACCACACACAACATTTATCGATTAAGTTCAGCATCTTATATGGGTGTGGCTTGAGGTGCCCAAAACAATTACAATAGTAACATCAAAGATCACTGATCACTGGGTAAAATAATATATAATAATAATGAAAAAGTTCGAAATATTGCAAGAGTTACCAAACTGTGACACAGAGACACAAAGTACATGCTGTTGGAAAAACAACACTGATAGACTTGTTTCACAGAGGGTTGCCACAAACTTTCAATTTGTAAAAATGCTACAGCTGGAAAGCACAGTAAAGCTATGTGTGATAAGATGGGGGTATGCCTGTGTACACACAGAAAAGAAGAGTGAAATGAAAGTAAGACATTAATAATATTCCCTTCTGAATAGTATGGTTAACTGGTAAGTTTTATTTTCTTCTTCCTTCCTTTCTACTACATTTTACAAAATGTGCACTTTCTTTTTAATATATCCAAGAGTAAAAGTGTAAATGCTATTTTAAAGCTAATGAAATCTATTTTCATTTGCCAAACAAAATTATAAGTGATTTGCTGTATATGCATATTCAAGCTGTCATTATACTTCTTTGACATTCAGAGGTTTTTCTAAAAAACATTTTTTATACCTTACAAAATCAACTTAGAGATTTAAAAAAAACAAGTTTCAGCATAGTTGACATATCCATTTCACTCCTCACAGTTAAAGGTATGTCCAGAATAATAACCTCCCGCCTCCAACCCAGTGTGTCCCTCACTGCTTCGTTAATTACCTTAATTATTTGTTTAACCTCTTAAAGATTTTTTCAATATAAAATAATATCAAGAGAACTACTTAATTGAGTACTCTTCCTCACTTTCTTCCAGCCCTAACCAACCACCCCATTTCCCCAAATACACCTGTACTAAATCAGGTATATATCAGGAAATACATGGGCTGGTTAATTCCTGGTCTTCAATTTCTGTCCTTTATTAGTAAAGAAAACATTCTACTGCTTTACACAGTGCTTTGTGCCTTAAATGAGATTTCTCCTAGACCGCAATAAATATTTGCTAATTTTGATTTAATTTAAAGACGAGGGAGGTTAATCAAGAGCAATTAATCAAGAGCACAAACTAGATGTCATAAATAAATAAATACATTTTAAAATTCTCCAACAACCTTTGAGTTATTTCTAGTCTAGCAATATTCATTCTGATTTGGAAACCAAAAGTAAAATTCTATGGCCCCCAACCAACTGAATGGATCCCTCCTCTGGGCCAAGGGCATTCTAAAGTAAACCTGAAACACTAGTTCAGGCCGTGATGGGAATGGGTGGTTGGACATGCCTCATTATAACTTCCTCTCTTTGGAATTCAGGCACAGCTGACTAGCATTAACATTAATACAGCGACCTTATGATTGACAAAACAGACTCTCTCTAGTAACAAGATATCAACATGACAGATAGCAGGCCCTGAAAGAAATGTAAGTATTTTACCCCAAAATATATTTCTTTGACATATTTTGAAATACCCCTGCAAAGCTGTCTCTTCTGGGGAAAATCTACATTCCATAGAGAATCCCCTTCCCTTTCCAGGTCTTTTTCCCTATCCAGGAGAGAATTAATTAAGAGTCTGGTACGTTTTTATGTCTGATAAGAAACATTTACAATCTATTCTCTCTGAAGCCTGCTAACTAGAGGCTTCATCTGCAATAATAAGAACCTTGGTCTCTGCAACCCCTTATCTTAACCCAGACACTCCCTTCGATTGATTCCAGGTCTTTAGATGAACTCTTTCAACCAACTGCCAATCAGAAAATCTTTGAATCCTCCTACGACATGGAAGCCACTTCAAGTTGTCCCGCCTTTTTGGACCAAACCAATGTACATCTTACACGTATTGATGGACGTCTATTTTCTCCCTAAAATGTATAAAACCATGCTACACCCTGATCACCCTGGGCACATGTTATCAGGATCTCCTGGGGCTGTGTCATGGGCCATGGTCACTCATATTTGGCTTGGAATAAATCTCTTCAAATATTACAGAGTTTGACTCTTTTCGTTCACAGATTCATCCTTGGAAGCCAGAATGATATATGTTGTTCCATATAATTTTCAGTAAATAAGGAACAACCCTATGTTTCAAACATTGTAATTCCTATCATTCTTTCACCAGATAAGCAGGGGAAAATTCAGGTTATCTGGCAGTGTAAAAATTCTAGATATAAAGAAGTTTAAAATGTAATGATTTAAAAACAACAGTATGTGTGCTAAAAGAATCACACCATATGTGATTAAGTCAAATTATAAAGCACCAGCTTTAAGTAATGACTCAGAGAAATGAGAAAAGCAAAACAAAAAGGTATAGTTATGAATGGGCTTCACATTGACTTATTATGAGTAAATCATTCCTTTGACAAAGTTTATGCTTCTTTCATAGATAAAGACCAGGATAGTTCTAGAGCTTAAGAATAGAAACTTGACAACTTTCTACTAACCTTGATGAATAAGAAAGACAAAAAGATATTATGTCAACACCAAAAGAAGGGCCCCCATGCCTGTCTCAACAAAAGTTATCAGTTGCAAGCCTTGTTAAATAAGGTTACACACCAACTTTCCTACTATATCGAATTTTAGAGAATGACAGCTTTCATAAAGGACAATTTTGTTGCTCATCTCTACAGGAATTAGTAAAATATAATAAATGAGGGTATCAACTCTACATATTTCATGCTTTGAAAAGTTGCAAACTTTTATAGTAGGCATGCCTAGCTTTTGCAAAAGGAAAAAATGAATTTTTAAATGTGTTTCAGTTAAATGTAAATGAGCTAAATGAATGAAAGCTGCAGACTCAATAAATGTTTATTGCCAGGTAAGTTAAGGCACTTTTTTTTTTTTTTTTTGAGACAGTCTCACTCTGTTGCCCAGGCTGGAGTGCAGTGGTACAATCTCGGTTCACTGCAACCTTCGCCTCCCAGGTTCAAGCAATTCTCCTGCCTCAGCCTCCCCAGTAGCTGGGACTACAGGCATGTGCCACCACATCCGGCTAATTTTTTGCACTTTCAGTAGAGACAAGGTTTCACCATGTTAGCCAGGATAGTCTCAATCTCCTGACCTCATGATCTGTCCACCTTGGCCTCCCAAAGTGCTGGGATTACAGGTGTGAGCCACTGTGCCTAGCCAAGGCACTTTTAAGCCATTTTGCACTTGTCACCATCTGAAGTTGAAACATGAAGAATCCAAAAACAAAAGCATTTCAAGTTCTTTTATGATGCTCAACAGTAAAGTATGCAAGGGCTCAAGTAATCTGACAAGCTTTTATTAGAATAGGGTTGTTGTTACCTATAAGACATTTTATCATAAAAATATTCAAGCATACAGAATAATTGAAAAAAGAGTAAAATAAATACCCATATACTGACAACCAGACTCAACAGCTGTTAAGATGTTACCATATGTGTTTTATCTAAAGAGATACATTTCATTAATTAATTTTTGGAACCACCTTCAAGTAAATCATTTACTCCAACTATTTGATTCATTTGATGTCAATAGTCCAAATTAGAAACATATAAAATACACTTTGGTAGTACAGTCCCATGAAACCCAAAAATGGAATATATCCATATCATCGCAGTTTGGTCATTGCCACTACTAATTAATCCTATAGGATTAACTCTTTTAAGCTTCTGTCTCCTGATCTTGAAAAAATCAGGAAGCTAAACTTGAGAATATCCAAAGTCACCATAGGTTATTAAATGTTACCATTTCAATACCCACAGGAAAACTCTACTCTCACTGCCCTGTTTGATCTGCATATGAAACTCGGAAAAACCATAAGACACCTGGACGACAGCTGGCCAGAAGCTGCCCCGTACCCTAACCCGCAAGGATGTGGACACATTTCTAGAAATCACTCCAGCTTTTAAAGTAAGGATGACATTTGGCATAAGTAAACTATTGAATTATTAAGTTGTCTAATGAGGTACTGATTCTCAACCACATGCAACTTCCTGAAATTTTGGTTTATATGACATAATTTCTCCAATCTTTCTCTAGCTTCCTATCAAGCTTACTGCTCAGCTTTTAGAAATAAGCATAATAGGTCATTAGGCTTCCATTAGAAGCAATTACTTCAAAATAGAGCAAATGTTCCCCTTTCTTTACCACCACACCGTATAAGGATCTTCCACAAAGACAGGCCATGTAATGAAGCAATCTAGGTTTTGTTTCAAGAATTAATGCAAAACAGCACTCAGTCATTATGGTCATTAATTCAGGTTATTCACTACCTATCAAAATCACACTCTCAAAAAACATATTATGCAAAGCCACTTGAGATTTACCAGAATGTTTAATTATTATTGAAATTCAAGAAAGATCTTCCTTCTTCAAGCCTTCCCAGCATCTAAGATTACTAATGTATAGATTTTTAAAATTATGGCTGCCCTAATTCTGGATTGAATAAAGACTTCAAAATACTTCATTTGACTAGATGCTGCAGACTCAGGGGCTATTAGTCCTGCTCTGAAGACATGGACCCTTTTATGTAGCCCCAGTTTGAATCTAAGTTGTTTGGAAATAGTATGATTTTACTGGCAGAGAATGTACCTCAATATGGAAGCTGGCTGTGTGCCCCAGGAAAGAAGAAAAATGAACTGACCCTGCATTGCAGAAAGACCTAAGGTGGTTAGTATTCAACATTCTTCCGCCTCAGTTGAGACACACAGAAGTTTGAGTTAGTCACTGTTTTCAAAACGCATTTCAGCAGTGCATGGTGAGAAACTCAAATGTAGGTAAATATTGTCATTGATTGTTATTTGTTGTTTTTATTCATAGGAAATTTAATATTTCGATTTCCATAATACTCCAGCTCTGCATAGCAAATTCATAAACATTAATACACTGGTCCTATAACAGCTTTCTAAAATATGTGGAATGTAAATTATTCCCACTGTCTAGAAGACAAAACTGAGGACTGATATGTCACTTGGGTATTACATAAGATCAAACAAGTAAGGAATCAAATCTAGATCTTGTGATTCCAAATTCAGCATTTTTCCCATTATACTTTACTTGTACTGTATTCTAAATAATTTCTATTAAAAGTACATTACTGTGCATATTTTATAGATATGATTTACATAGCATTTAACATAAGCTGCCCTAGATAGTACTAAGAAAACTCAAAACTATCAAATTCTCTAAGATAAAGTAGTAAATTTATCACAATGAATTAGAATTATATTTCCATGACTTTTACCTAATCCCATGGTTTCAAAATCTTACTGTCAATCTAATATTAAAAAGAGAAAGTGTTCAGGGTTGCCTAGGGCTGGGGCAGTGCGGTGGGAAGAAATAGGAAATGACTGCTCATGAGTGTGAGGGATTTCTTTTTAAGAAGAGACAAAAGTGCTCTAAAATTAGATTATAGTGATGGCTGCACAACCCTGTGAACATGCCAAAAGCACTGAATTGTACATTTTAAAAGTGACTTTTACATGAATTATATATCAATAAGACTATTTTGAAAAGAAAAAAACTAAAGTCAAAGTATATAGAACTTCTGCTTTACTGTACTAATTTTTAAATCTAAGGAAAAATTGAAATTTGGTTTATTTATTCAATATTTACAAATACTGTTTTGTCCACAGAACTAGAAAACAAGGTATAGTCCCAAATTCAAGAGTTTACAATTCAGAAGGTCAAAAAGAAATAAATAGCTAATTATAGTACCAGGCAAAGTTAAATACAAGTTCCACAAAAATAAATGCACATAAGATGTAGTGAAAGATACTACAGTAATCTCCTGGGAGCTTAAATATGGAGTACCAGTGGGTTGTGTGACCTTGGGCAGCACAAAAAAAATATATTAAAGCACTTTAAGAGCAAAGCTCTACATAGATGTTAAGGCACTGCTTCCCTATTTATAAAATAAGGAAATTGGTCATTTCTACAATTTCCATAAACTCTAATGTTCTACAAATCTATAATTTAATTCTAGACAGACTGACTTCTACTGTGAATTATTTTTCATTTTTGCTTGAAATATTGTGTAATTCCCTCATCAACTAAGTCATAACATAAAAGTATAACATTTTTGTCACTCCCATACCAAACTGACTTACATCCAAAAGAAGGCTGTTTCCTTTAAAAGAGGCATTCTGAAGAATTATGTCCTTATTTTAAAGATACAAATATTATGCAATTTCTTTTTTAGAATTCCTTTTTGGAAATGCTGTCTGTGTTTGAGTATCTCCAATATTCACAAATATTTTTCCTTTGAAAATGAACTAAATTTTGGAAACAGTCAAAAAGATCTGGCATACATAGCTGGCAATCAAAAGGGCAACTTTTTTATTAATATAAAAATGTAAATGAATGAACTTTGTAGACATTTATGATGGACAAGTACCCAATGTTCTCTGAATACAATCAGCATACTTTTGTGCTCCATGTCTGAGGCAGAAGAATAGGGTCTGGAGACAGGCAGCCTAAGGCCAAGTCATGGCTGAGTTCTTGGAATTGGGCCAAAAGGAAAACCCCATCTCTCCATGCCCAAGTGAGAAGAGGCCAGAGACTCCCCTCTTTACAAAATCCCTCTACCCTAGCCTACAAATGGGAAATGCCTCTGATTGGTTGCAGGCCAAAGCTTACCTTCAGCCTCTGATTGGTCGCAAGCCAAGGCTTCACTTCAGCCTATGATTGGTCACAGGCCAATCCTTCTTTCATATAGGGTGTTGTAACCAATTGGAGGCCTCTAAGGGTACCTAGGGGTGTCACCAAATTTTTTTAGTTTAATAAAATCCCTAAAGCAAATTGCAATCAGGGCTTTTGGGCCACCTGCTCAAGCCCATTCCCACTCTGTGGAGTGTACTTTTCTTTCAAAAAATCTGTGCTTTCATTGCTTCATTCTTTTGTTGCTTTGTTTGTGCATTTTGTTCAATTCTTTGTTCATTGCGCCAAGAACGTGGACAGCTCCCAGTCAAGACTTTGCATTCTGGTAACAAGTTTACTCATTCAGTCTATTCGCAGAGTTTTCTGCTCTACTAAAATTCTATCTACTCCTCAAGATCCATATTAGTACTAACACTTCTCTGACATTTTAAATTCAGATTTTACTGCCCCTTCTTCTGTGTTCAAACAACTTCTAGTTTTATTATACTGTATTTGTTGCATCCCATTTTAGAAACTACAGTGACTGGGTTCTCAGTATCTGAAATTCAGACAGTTCTGGGATAGAATATTTGATCCCACACAGGTAAATCATTCAACTTGACTAGGTTTCCGTTTATATTCTATAACAGGGTTATGATTTTCATCTAACAACTTCATAAAATATTTTTAATTGGTATTGCCTATTGTCTGTGAGGATACAAGAAATCAGGCATTCAAGCTGGTAGTGGTTATGTAAACAGGTGCTACCTTGCAAGATGGAAATCCGGCAATAAATATCAAAAGCTTTTCATTGGCTGGGCACGGTGGCTCACACCTGTAATCCCAGCACTTTAGGAGGCTGAGGCAGGGGGATCACGAGGTCAAGAGATCGAGACTATCATGGCCAACATGGTGAAACTCCGTCTCTACTAAAAATACAAAAATTAGCTGGAAGTGGTGGTGCACGCCTGTAGTCCCAGCTACTTGGGAGACTGAGGCAGGAGAATCACTTGAACCTGGGAGGTGGAAGTAGCAGTGAGCTGAGATTACTCCACTGCACTCCAGCCTGGTGACAGCAAGACTCTTGTCTAAAAAATAAAAAAAAAAATTTAAAAATTTAAAAAGCTTTTCATTGTTCTGGTCCTTTTGGTCCAGTTATGCTATTCTAATAACGTACCCTGGACATAATCAGGATGCACTTAATGATGTATAAGGATCATAGAATTATTTATCATGAGAACATTGGTAACAACCTAGTTACCTAACCATAGTGGGTTCCCTGAATAAATTATGGTGCAGCCACTCAATAGAATTTTATTTACATTGTTTTAAAAAAGTCACAATATAAGACATAAAAAAAGCATTCATGACCTACAAAGCATTCACGATGTGTAAAGTGTAAAAGGAAGGCTATAAAATCCTAGAATAAAGCTACAGAGCAAATTGCATTTCCCGTACTTCTATATTACAACCACCCTAGCCTGCAGGATGCCAGGGTAGGTGCAGCTACACTCTAGACTTTTAAAATTCTGAACCCAGAGTAAATACACAATCAGATAATGTTTTCAACTAAAAAAGTTCCCCCTTTTCTCTACCTCTTTAACTCTTGCAACATTTACCCTGAAGAAAAAGGAAAATTCTTCATTTTATAAAATTTTTGAGCCAAGAATCAAGAACTTTTTTTTTCCGGCTATAATTAATACTAGATTTATACCAAGAATACTAAATTCGGATTTTGGGGGGTGAGTTTAGACTCAAAACTGATGGCACCAAAAAGCATAATTCTTAAAATGTATACTTTCCAGAAGTACATTTAAAATTCTCAGTATTTCTTTCCATCCTCTACTAAGCAACCATGTTTGTTTTTCCTCCTGTATCACTCACAGTAAAGACGACTTCTTTCCTTTGCTTTGTTTAGTTTCTGGCAATGGAATAGGATTCTTTTTAATATGAGGTTTTATGTCAATCAGCATTATATCAGTTTCTTTGTGGGTTAACTAGATTTTTAGGGGCCATCTCAGAGCCTAATCTATAATCCAGAAAAGGCTTCATAAATTGAGGAGCATCCTACAGGATCTTCTATCACAAGCCCCACTGGTCAAGGGAAGTTTTTTCTTGCATTTCCTCAAGCTGAGACTCAGAGAAAATAACAACCCCAGGGAAAATTTCAAAGATTTATTTTCTCCTTCACTGTTGAAAGCAGGAGTTTATGGCATCTTCGCAGTGGGGTGACCAGGGTGCATCTGAACCCCAGTGAGTCAAAGTCTGCAGGGGCATGAATCCTTTGGAAAAATTCTCTGGGCGACTGTAATGTGAACATCCTTGTTAAGATGTAAGGGTTACTTCAGAGATAAAGATAATGAAGATTATGATGCCATCACCACAACCAAGAGACATGAGACTGTGCTAGGCATGTCAGGTGGATCATCTCATTTGATCCACACTCAATCAAGGTGGGAGAATAATCCTACCAATAGTGGTAACGGTAACAACAGTAGCCAACCCACATAGCAGATATGTGCCAGGCTTTGTTTTTACCATTTTATCAATATTAACTTATTTAACTCCTACAACAACCTTATGTGTGTGTGTGTGTGTGCATGTGCGTGTGTGTGTGTGTGTGTGTGTGTGTGTGTGTAGATTGAGAGAGAGAGAGAGACTAATTCCAACCCTATCTTCTGAAAAGGGAACTGAAACACAGAGATGTGGAAGGATTTGCCAAGGTTACATAACTGGTAAGTGGCAAAGCCAGAACTGTTTGAATTTAGTCTCACGCTAGACTCGTGTGAACGACTAAAATTCCTCAGAACAACATATTTGTACTTCCTTGTTTCCCATGGAAAATGCAACACTGCATTTTACATTTATGCTGCTTAGCACATATCTCTGATGCATGACAGCCATTCAATACATGTTCTTTGAATTAAATTTTTTAAAAATATATACATATTTCTTATTTTAAACAACTCAGTCTGTTAAGTTAGTTGACTCCTTTCAGTTTCTTTCTTAGGGAGCTATTATGTCCTTTTAAATATAATGATAAAAAACTACATGTGGGTATGGAGAACTGGGTTCAATGAACACATAATTTAACGTTTGTACTGTTAAGAATCAAACCAAATTAAGTTATAAATCAAAAACCAGAACCAACTATTTTAATATGGATGGAAATGACCCAATCCATCTTTCTTATCAAAGTGCAAAATGAACTCATTTTTAAAAATCTTTATTTCCTTAACATTATATAGCCAATACTTGAACATCGAACATCGAAATAGTTTTGAAAAGAATATATTTCCTTACTTTTAAACTTCTAGGAAAACAAGTACATAGCCACCTGCTCAAAACTGTCAGGAACTTTGGAAGGCCGAGGCAGGCAGATTGCTTGAGCTCAGGAGTTTGAGACCAGCCGGCGCAACATAGTGAGGCCCTGTCTCCACAAAAAAAATACAAAAAAATTAGCCCGGTGTGGTGGCATGCACAGTAGCTGTGATCCCAGCTACTCGAGAGGCTGAGGCGGGAGGATAGCTTGAGCCCAGGAGGTCAAGGCTGCAGTGAGCCATGATAGCACCACTGTACTCCAGCCTGTGTGACAGAGACCCTGTCTCAAAAAAAGAAAAAAAAAAAGCTGTCAGCAATAAAACATCCATTATAGACTATCTCTGTTTCCTTATGTCCAAAATGAAATGGTTGAATCAGATGATTTCCAACATCTCCTCATTCTCCAGAATTCCATGTTTTAAAGGAACATGGAATGTTCTCATGCTCCAGCTCATGTTTTAAAGGAGACTGCAGGTGAAATTTCTTTAGACAAGGAAATGCATATGGAAATAATTCAGAACAAAACAATATCTATTACTTAGTTAATGTAATCTCTCTTTCTATATCTTCTATACTGAGTGACCCATTTTATCCCAATATAATTCCAAAAATTCTCTATCTAAAATTACAGGTAGAGAGACACTGGCTATTGAAGCAGAAAATCTATGTTGAACACAAGCTGCACCGCATACTAGCTGAGCAACTAACTACTGGCATGTTCCTTCACTTGCTGACTTGCAAAACAAATTTCTTTCCTATCTATCTCTTAAGGACACAAGATAATATAATATTGTTAATATTACATTTATTAATGATGTAATATATGAGAAAACACATTGTAAACTCTAAAATACTAAAAATGTAAGGAAACTGTACTAGCAGTATCAAGATATTTTCCCATCATAACAGCTAACAGTTATTCTATTGTTGTAGTCAGCCATTTTTCTCTCAATTCTGTTAAAATAAAAACAAAATAGTTGTCTATTGTGCAAACAGTTCAACATCTTCTTCCATTTGATGTTTTTCCAAAATTCTTGCTTAACTTTATGAAGCCATACTTTCACATAAGCCTATTATTTATTAAGCACTAAAAGGCACTGTCTGCTTTTATAAGTGAGCTTTGTTATAAATTAATCTTTTTAGAGTTCCACAGAACTGAACAAACTAGAAGATGAAAAATGAAAAGCAACCCTCTGATGCACTTCACATCCTTTCCAATTTCAATTATTTGGACTCATTTACCTCGCCCAGAAATGAATAAGCTTTGTGAAACTGAGAAAGCTACCAAGGCATAACATTTTCTACATTCTTTTATCTCTATGGTAGGAACTCTACTAATTACTTATTTTAGAGAACTAAAAATAAACTACCAAATATACTAAGAGAAGTTGGTAGTGATCACAGTTAAGAGTAAGAGGAAGGAGCTATGTCTGCACATTTAAAATCTAGCAGTACCTACAGCTAGGAAATTTCCACTTGAAATTTAATAAACTTTGCCTCTAGGAAAACACAAATCATCAACCCTTTAAGTTACAATTATCAAATAATACTCTACAAATAAAAGAGACCTTTTATCCGTATCCTTAATACTACTTCAACTCCATCTCAGAAGGACCTTCTATTTGTTCCGGATTTGTACTAGTATTACACTTCTAGACATACACCAATGATAATGATATCTTGGCTATAAAAGAATTTTAAAATGCTACCTTATAGAATGTATTAGTTATTCTTTAAGTGAGTGACAAAGCATTGCATCAGATCTAATTATACTGTTTTTAGCTAATTATATTGACTTTATCCAAGTCATTGATAGCATGAGTTTTCTGATTAAGAAAATGTTAGTTAATTGGATAACTTTTTAAAAACATAATTTTGACAACACATATCAACTTGGGGAACTACAGCAAAACAGAGGTCCAAGAGCTTTCTAAAATGGCACTTGTGCTCTTGGAAGCCACAGGAATCATGTCTGATAGTGGCAGGCAGGGGTGCAGGTGTTTTCTCCTTGATCCCGTCTCACTTTTGTCTGTAATCTTGACCTGACTAGGAAGTGCAGAAACAAACGCAGAGTAGAGAAAGTAGTCTGTGTGGGTATCCATACAGCTCCCAGGAAACACACCTACAGCATCCATAGAGAGGGTTAGATGGAGGCAAACCCATCTACATACGCCATTTTTCTCCATTAAACCTCAACCTTCACACAGTTTCTGTACTAATCTAACCAAGACTTTCTCATGAAGCCAAGAAGAGACAACTCATATGATCAAGTGGGAATTCTAACTTGCAGACTAGAGGGTCATGACTCTGAGCTCCATGGTTCAAACAATCTATGTATGAGTTGGTTATTGAGAGAAACTGAGGGAATCCAAGAGTTGACCTTAAAATACACACATCTCAACAATCAGATCATGTTAAAGTAAATCTCCATTGCCCTGGATCACTTCAGGATTTAATTGTCCAAGGAGAGCAGGGTTCTCCTGTGAAAAAAAGGTGGGGAAATGTTTGAGAGTAAAAAATACAAAATTCAACCGGTCGAAAATACACCACTCCATTCAGTGTCTTCTAAAAAACCACATACTCAACCTTAACTACCTCTAAATACAGGGAGCTGTACATGTAGATGAAAAATAATATGTGACCTTACTTCATCAGTGAACATAAAAACCTGCTGAGAGATTAATGTGCCTTCATGTTCATTATCTATTTACTCATTAGCACTACAAGCAACTACATAGTTCTGTGTTGTCCACGTCCACACATGAAAACACACACACACAGCCACAAAGCAAGCCTTTTGTAGACATCACTGGTCAATCGTGACTTCCCAGGTGGAATCTTCTGGTCTCTTCTATTTTTCACAGAATATTCAGAAGTAGTTGCTTTAATACCACAGAAGACACAGTATTCCGGGGAAGACTTTGAGATCAGCACCACACTGAAAGCTCAAGCCCCCTAGAAGGCCAGGCTAAGAATAGCCATAGTTTCACTCTGTATGTAAATGACTAGTCACCAAAATCGTGTTGTGTATACCACATAGAGAAAAAGAATCAACTGTGGTACAAAAAGGCAACAGTAGAAAGTAAGAACAAAATTATACACTACTAATATTTAATACATGATTTCACCATGGCATATATGTATAATTTTTAAATGAATACACATCTATATACAGCTAGATGTTTAAAAGATTTTTGCTGAAGAAATATGATCAGAATAGTTTGGGGGGTGACTAAAACCACTTAAACTAAAATGATTTACATATACATTCAAGCAAATAGAAGTTATATCACTTAAATCAACATTTTCTAAAATGCTTGAGTCACGAAGGAGTCAATTTACAGCACTAAATATTTTTAAATTTTTCTCATTTTTCTATAATGTTCATATCCCAATCTACTTTACAGGAAACTGCTTTTTACCATGCCCTCAATTGCTAAATATTTTACAGAAATTGGCACTAAGAAAAAAATAAGGAGGACTTACAAAAATCTCTTCTGATTTAACATTAACACAAATAACCCAGTTCTAATCTAAAGACTTCATGATATAAAACACCCCAAAGTAATCACGTAACAATAAAAACAAATTAAATTCAATATTATTTTTCAAATCATTTACATCAGCTTTTTTTCTACTGTGCTCTACTAAAAGAAAAATTATTTTATAGGCATGAAAATTTTAAAGAAACTAAGCAAACAAAACCATATCTGAGAAAATTAGCATCCAGTGTAGGGTGATTTTAGGTCATCAGGGCAATTTCAATGCTGCTAATTATATCTCCAAGTAAGCAGCACTTACGTTTTTGCTTCCTGCTCAAATTTTATTGGATGTATAACCGAGAAGAAATATTTTTAAAGGCAAAAAATACACGTGAATGTGTAAATAGATTGTGGGAGGGGAGTATATTTTAACTCTGAGAGCTGTGACATGCCTTTTTTCATTCCTCCCTTCTCTTTGAAACATACAAGAAAACCCACAAAATGAGAATATTCTACACAAGTATCTACTCGTGTAACACACACACTATCTTCTGACAAACAAGAGAAGTATGAAAATAAGCAGAAAAGACGAGCTGCCACAGAGGGAAAAGTCTAACAAAAGACTAAACAAATAATACATAAAAAGAATGATCCTCAAGAGGAATTTAAAAGAAGATAAAAATATTCAGACACTGAATTTCAAAATGCCAATATGAATTTTAAATAGTCAAATTTCCCTCAGATTATGCCACATTTTATTCTCATTCATTTTGGTCTCTACATGTATTTACAATAGACTGTTTCTGTATTTTTATGGAGATACACAAACTTAAAGCATTTTTTTCTAAGAAACTAAATTTAGAGAATGTGGGAGGAATAAGGAGAAAGTCAAGACAGCATTTACAATTTAATGGGAAGGGAATTTACAGTGTCTTAAAGCAAATAAATGTCAAACCCATTTAAACTTTTAGGTATGACACATGGACTATTGATAATTAAAATACAATTAAGTATTTTTGGTTGGTATAGCTACCTCTATCAATATTTGAGATGGCAACTGTTAATATTTAAGTCTACAACTAAATTTTCATTTCATTACATTAATATAGCTCAATAACTTAGATCAGTTTTCAAAATATAACCACACAAATAAAATTTATCTGTTACTAGTTTATTTATTTCATAGTAATTGTGCCGCTTCCTAATCTGGATTTCCAGTTCTTTAGGCAAAATCTCCTATGTCACTGCCTTATACTGACACCTGCTGCAATGTACTGGAATTGTACATTTCTCATTGCGTTAATCAGGCAGTTGTTAATTTTGCATATGGGAAAGAATACGTGGAAGATAGTATTTCAACAGCAAATAATGTAAATTTTAATTCTCTAAATGAAATAAGTAACATTTATTCTAAACATTTAAATTTTCATGGTATCTTTAGGAAATTATAAATCAAGAAGTCTTCCCAAAAAGCACTTCTGATGGTAATTTATCCAATGACTTCAGTGACTTAACTTGTGCCTATTTGCGGTAGAATTAGCAAACTAATTAGCAACTTTCTCCAATACTTGACTTCTGCTGTTTCATCTTTTGCACTAACTTAATACCTTCGACTTTAGAAAAATATTTGGTTTTGTGAAAGTACACACACAAACGGATCAGGAAAATGACCCTGCTCTTAAAAAAAAGAAAGCTTTATACATTCATACTGGTAGTTAAAAAAATTAAATAGCATGAATTAGTGAATGAGCTTTTCTTATCTATTATCAAAATTGCCTTTTCATGAAAAACATAAATGTTTTACCAGAATAAACTTATCCACTGAAGTAGAGCAAAACACAACACATTGAAATAACTAGGTTTACAAATCTTTGTAACTGAATTAATTAAGCTCCATTAAGTTTTAATTAACTTCTTATGCAAATAAAACTCTTGTAAGTATTTCTGAAAAGAATACCCCACTACCTGAATCTGTCTCCCAAAACTTCCGGAAAAAAAAAAAGTTTCCAGACAGCAATATATCTAATTGGCCAAATTGTAAGAAATTACAGTGTGATATAATAAAGTTAATGGAATACTGCTTCCCACCTCAATCTGCTGCCATATAAGCATCATCTAGATGCCTGGACATGCCATACTGTATATCATCAGAAAAATAATATTTTCTTAGAGGCAGTTGTTTTGATCACAAATGAGTTTGGGCAGCTAACAGAGCAACAAGATACATTCTTGAGAACGGTACTAAAAATATGATAGGAAGGAGGAATATAGTACTGCGGTAGTGTAAAAATTGCTATTATAACTCTCTCCTTTTATATCAAAACACTCTAATTTTGACAAAAGTAATGACATAGTATCAACATAGTTTGAATAAAACAAAACTATGATCAAACATATAACAGCTGACTTAAAAAAATACAGCAGCTGATTGAATGGTTTATGTTCGGGATGACGTAGTATTAGAAATTTGCAACTGTCAAACAAGTTGTCTCCAGTAAGTCTACTTAATTCATCCATCCAAGTGAAATTAAATTCTTCAAGTGTAACTATAATATATGGAGATTTAAGAATATAGGGGATGTTTTATGATGAAATTCAGTCTGATCATTTTTTTAAAATGTCTTTTAATTGTTTTAATTGAAAAAGCAATTAGCTATAAAACAATGGAACATTTTTTAAAAATCTACTGAAAGATTATTTGGCACTCTTCTTTTAATTTTACTAAAATTTACATAAGATTAATGTGCCATTCACTATTAAGATACTGCAAAGTACCAGAGAGGTAACAGGTCTTAATGAATGTAGTAGTTTTGCATCATATTTTCTCCAAACATTTCACTAGCCCATCTCAGAAGACAAGATTGTGTCAATTGCAAAAGAAACTATGTACTAAAACTAAAACCTGTTTTAGATTTTTAAACAAAATGTAATTATGCAATTCACTTTAACAGCTTTCACAATCAGTTACTAAGAAAGGGAATCTTTCCTTGATAAGAACCTGAAAGATTAGTTTTTAGAGCCTGAGAAACAGTAGAACTGTCAGACACCCGAGATCCTTATTTTCAATCACTCAGTTACCTTACAGAGCTTCTGATACCGAGGAGAAGAAACTGCCATCCTTTGTAAGCGATGCAACAAAACCACAACTTTCTGCAGAGACGTTCTCACCACAGCCATCATTTTAAGTTTACCACACTTCTGGAGACACCTCAGAATTTGCATTATAAATGAAGAGCAACGATCATTTCCTCCCGGTCACTGGACAATGATTTGTCAGTTCTCTGAGCATGCTCGTTTCCAGGAAAGCATTTGAAAGATACAGGGGGTTAGGTTCTAGGAAAAAGGAGGCTGGTATTCCTTCAACTTCTCAATTTAAAAAACACAGACAAACGCCACAGAGAAAGCCCCCCAGCAGATGCTCACAGGCAGCACTTGCTCAGCCCGGCATGGCCAGAAATGAAGGAAGTTGTCGAGCAGCCAAGCGCTGCCGGCTGCGGGAGAGGAGTGCGCTCAGTAGCCAAAGAGGATATTAAGTGAAACATTAAAGCTGCAGATAGAAAGCGGACATCCCCTGGGAACAGGGATTCAACATATCACTGCCACCACCACGGTGCATGCCCTGTAGCTGGTTTCTATTAAGAGAGAACAGAGCATTCACCGTCTCTAAAGAGGGATATGTTCACTACCCAATAAATGCAGCTCTAGCTGTGCTCTGTGAATTAGTGAACAGGAGACCCTGTTATAAATCTTGAGAAGAGCAGAAGGGTACACCTGACTCTGATGACAACAGCCCATACATTAAGTGCTAAAAAATCACCCCCAGACAGATCTCAGCCCAAAATCACCTAAAACAAAACAAAACAACAAAAATAAAGCAAAACAAAAAATACTTGCAGGGGTTATATGACTAAGACACCCTAAAAGCAGAGCGATCCAGTGGATTCTCATCTGCCTGCCTAGAAGGAAAGCCATTAGAAATGGAATAGGTTAGGATTTGTCTAATTAAACAGCTAAGTGAATAAAAAATTAAAAGTCTGTAATTGACTACTGAACATTCCAAATTGCCACATTTCCCCTTAGACAGCATCTTCATGATCTCATTGTATTTGCCATAAAGCTGTTTTAATTTTATGAATAGGAAATATGAGGCCATAATTATATCATATAAAAATCCAGTACATAATTTTGGGGTTCTATGTGTATATATATACACACACTTGAGACATATTCTCTACTGCAGCCTGAACATCATTGCAAATATCAACTGGGGTAAAGTACTATCAGGAGATGTGCAAAATAACCCTGGATGATTAAATGACTGGGTCAAAGAGCACAGCCAGAAATAGAACCCAGATGTTGCTCATTATCAGTGTCCTGCTCAAACTGGTAACCGGGCTAATGCTGCAATTTCACCTCTGTCTAATGTTGTCATGATTCTTTAAAAGAAATGCAGTATTTTCAAGTATTTGTTTTTCCTCCTTTACTTCATTTGCCTTTCTTAGTCCTTCATGTTACAACGATTTAAAGTCCTATATTGTGTCTTACAGAACGGTGTTTATCAAGCAGTGCTTTGCCGACTTTATTGGGTCTTATAGAACTGTGTTCATCAGGCAGTGTTCTGTGGACTTCTGCCTGTATCTTTTTTCCCTGCAGGTCCATACTGAGAATCTACACTGCCTCCCTCTGGTGAGGCTAACAATGTCACCATATCTGTGTAAAGCCAAAAGTGGAGAACATATTCAAAGGATAGAGTATAAAATGTTAAGGTATTTGGCAAATAGATAGAAATAGATTAGTGATTGTTCAGAGGGGAGGGAATTGGCGGGGAGGAATGGGAAATTGCTAGTAAAGGGAAGGGGTTTCTTTCTGAGGTAATGAAAATGTTCTAACTTGATTGTGGTGATGGTCGTACAATCGTGAATAGACTAGAAACAAATGAATTGTAAAATTTAAATGAATGAACTGTACAGTATGTGAATTATATGCCAAGAAAGTTGTTATTAAATAAGTATGAAGCTATAATTCCTGTCCTAGAACCAGCAGATGAAGTCCCCATGAGATAGGCATTCACCCCTCAAACACAGTGCTAAGCATGCAGCTGGGCACAGGAGAAAATCTAAAACAATCTATAATCAAAGTCTGCATCTATGGAACAAGACGATGAAAATGAGGCTAAAAGCAAACATAGGAGATAAAAGTGTAATAATCCTAAAACGTAAATTATTAGAGAGCAAAACCAGCCACCCATGACAACACCACTCCAGAAAGGCAGCAGAACTCAGGATTTTACCCAGCAAAGAATCAGAGCATTTCAATTAATTGGTAATGCCAAATGTAAAGCTGAAATTTTTAAATATAATTAAAAGAATAACAATCTTTTAGAATATGAACATGCACATTAAGAATAAATGCACTTGAACTAATAAACTAGTTGGAAGTCAATAATGGGCTTTCATACAAAAGCAAAAAATAAAGTTTCTGCATCTTTGGCCAAATACTCTTATCTGAATATAGATTCACAGTGACAACTGCATACCAGGCAATTCCTCCTGGATGTTACTCCAATGCTTCATTTCAACAAAGTCAAAACAGATGAAATTTGCCATCCCCACACATTTCCCGCTAACTTGCAACCCTGCTCTGACATTTTCTTCTATGTTCCCAGTCTTAGGCTCTAACACCACTTGGCAATCTGCCTTTCCCCTTCCTCAGTCTATGTATACTATTGAGTCATTAGATCTACTACCCCTGCCATTGTCTCCTTTCTGGTAATTATTACCTGTAGCCTGGATGGCTACATGAGTATCCTAACAGGCCTCTCTTCTGTCACTCTTGTCTAGTTCAAGTCCATTCCTCATACCATCAGCTAAATTCCTATAAAGCAAAAATCCCATTGCATCACTCTTGTTACTATCCTTTATGACTTCTCTTCATTGCCACTGGATTAAAATATAAATACTTGCATGGCATTTAAGACCCTCTATGAGCTGGACTGCTCAGTTCTCAAGGAGCTTGTCTCTCCTGCAGGGCTCCAAAGAATCGGCTTTTCTCTTGCCAAAAGGCTTCTGCTGGGGAATAAATCCTAACAGCCTTGCAGCAGGGCAATGAAACATAGATACATAAATCCAAATCATCATCCATCCTTAAAAGAATGGCATGTATCATAGCATACTCCCAAAAGTTAATCATCTTCCATGTGCTTTAGACCTATCCTTATCAAAATTCACCCAAGATTCACCTTAAACTGAGCATAGAATAAACTGCTTTATCTTCCTGAAATACTCCCATGGCCTTGGATCTGGTTGTCATAAGACATGAAGCAAGTATAAACAGCGAATGTGTCAGCTAAGTAGTTCTACATACACATCCTGTGCATGCAGCAAAGATACACGGAGCTCCTTATTCCATCTTCCTTAGTGCACAAAGACTGTGCACCACCAGCACCACCACCACCACTGCCACCACCATGCCACCAGAACTTTTCTGTTATGATTTGCCATGCTTCTGTACAGTCATTTTCTCCAACAAACGTCTCTCCATTTCCAAACAAGTTTCTATTTTAAATGTCTGTTTACTCATACAAAAGGAGAATCATTAATATACAACACCATAAAAAAATTAAAATTCTCTTGCCTCAGAAAAACTCAGTAAAAGGTACTAAATCTCTAACAATCTTCTATCTATAAGGTGCTGAAAATAAAACCATGGAACTTTTTTAAAAATAGAATGGAGAGAACACTTTAAAATTAAGAGCATTTAATAACAAAGCAAGGGAGTGAAAAATCATGCGAATTACCGTAATGTGAAACATTCTAAACATAAATGTACATATTTATCTTTAAACAAAGGAATTTTAGTGGACTCTTAGTAAATGTCCTCTTTATTACTTTCTACCAGCCAAAAGAGACTATTTTTAGCAACACTAAAGTAATAATGTATTATATTTTATAAAGCATTATAATGTATTTTAATATTTTTATCAGCACCCTTTCTTGATGCTGTTTGCCATAAGTAATCCTGTGCTTAGATATTTTTATTTTGAAAGATTTTAAACATTTCTATTTACATTTGTCTTCCACTGTTTGAATATTCATTAAATATTGAGAAGAGTCTTAGCTATGGTAAGAATATATCCTAAGATAAAATATGTCAGAAGACATCATTAAACTCTAGAATAGGCCTGTGTTTTGCTGGTGCTCATTACCAGGGTTCATTTAAAGCCTCCTTTATTCATTGTGTATAAACTGTTACCTACTCAAGTGCACAGCCTAGATAGCTACTGAAATTAAACCATTGCATAAGTTAACTAACTGTGAGCATTTATAGGTCAGGCTTTTTCTTGTTTAAATCATAAAAAAATAAATAATCTAGCATCTATCCACACTTAGAGTCCTCTATGACCTCCTAAAATACAGATGATGGCTAAATATTTTATCAATTAACATTTATAGTGACCTCATGAGGCTCAAAAGAGTGAGTCAAAGGAACAGATTTAATTTTGATACTTGCCTGGTCACACTCATTACCAAGTCACAAAATGTATTGCGCAATGAATAAGATAGAAGCAGCAATGTATTTAAACAGAAATTTTCAACAAATGAATCTTAAGAACTCAACAGTAAAACACCATGAGTTTTCATGCACAGGGACAATTTATAAATAAGCTCATTCCAAAAAGATCTGTTTTTCAAATTGTGTAACTTTTCAGTGAAAATAATTTCAAACTTAAAGAACAATTGTAAGAATCAGAGTAGTTCAAAGAAAGACTCTGTATCCTTCATCCAGATCCACACATTTGTTGACATTTTACAAAATGGTCTTTTTCATGTTTTCAGAGAAAAGAGTTCCTAAGAACGGATTTAAAAAAGGTTTCAATGCTGAGTTTCATAACGGTGAGTCAAGGTCCAAGGACAGCAGTCAGTATTCACTTAGGATTTGCACACAGGGCACTGCGTAGGCAACAATACAGATAATATAATCTCTGCCCTTGAAGAACCATGTGACCAACTGGGACAAGCAGAGACATGTATCAAAAGACAATGGAGGCCAGGCACGGTGGCTCAGGCCTGTAATCCCAGCACTTCGGGAGACCGAGGCAGGTGGATCACTTAAAGTCAAGAGTTTGAGACCAGCCTGGCCAACATGGTGAAACCCCATCTCTACTAAAAATACAAAAACTAGCCAGGCATGGTGGAGCACACCTGTAATCCCAGCTACTCAGGTGGCTGAGGGATGAGAATCACTTGAACCCAGGAGGCAGAGGTTGTAGCAAGCTGAGATTGCACCACTACACTCCAGCCTGGGCAACAAAACAACAACAACAAAAGACAATGGAACACGTGTTCACAGGTACATCAGAAATAATAGTTGTCAAACTGATGTGAGCATGGCATGGTATAAAGTAATCAGATGTAATACTATGGTTGACAAGGAGACTTCCCCATTGAAATAGGTTTTTGTTTTGTTTCTTTGGGAGTGGACAGAGTCTCGTTCTGCCACCTAGAATGAAGTGTAGTAGTGCGATCTTGGCTGACTGCAACCTCCACCTCCTGGGTTCAAGTAATTCTCATGCTTCAGCCTCCCAAGTAGCTGGGACTACAGGTGCGCACCACCACGCCCGACTAATTTTTGTATTTTTAGTAGAGATGGGGTTTCACCATGTTGGCCAGGCTGGTCTCAAACTCCTGACCTCAGGTGACCTACGCACCTTGGCCTCCCAAAGTGCTGGGATTACAGGCGTGAGGCACCACACTCCGCATGAATCAGATTTTGAACTGGAAGGTTCAAGAGTACTGAAGCAGAACTACTTGAGGGCAAAAAAAGATTCAGACGTATTTCATAAGATTCCTTATAATGTTTATAAATGAAAAGTTTTATATTAGCACATTTTGTGTAGAAGAAATATTTGAACCTCAGACTACATATACAATCACAGTTATCAAGCTAATGACATAAAAGTAATATCATCAAGCCTAATATTCTTAGTTATAAACTAAGCCATAGAGCTTTTGCAGCTTTTATATTAAGTATGTATAATAAATGGAGAAAGAAACAACTTCACATTAAGGGAAAATGCCCTTATAATTTAGGATTCAATAAAGCTAACCATAATAGGGCTTAAAATGACAAAAAGCAGAATAGCTGTGAGCCTCTAACTCTAAATAAACAATTATTACTTCCATAAAACAAGGTGGGTTTTTTCCCCTCTAACATTAAGTAAAAATATCTAATAGAGCTTATTTCAAGAAACCTATTATTCACAGGAGAGCACGGATTTCATAAGAGAATAAAGTGACAACTTCACCTTTTAAGGGTAACACATTTGCATGCAGAGGGATCAAAAGCACACAGGGCAAACACAGGTACTGGTGTGGTTTCCCATGCACTTACCTGCATCTGCTGTTTGAGTTCCCTGGCCAAGATACTATCCTGAAGAGCATTCTCCCGATGAGAGGCATCCACAAGCACATTCACTGTGGTCTCTGCTTCTTGGATCCACTTCAGGAAGTTTTCCAGATCTCTGCGAGAGGCCTGCACCGTCCTCCACTCAGCCTCCAAGGCGTTCTGTCTGTCAGCAATACTGAAAGTAACAATATGACAGCACGGCTCCATTACTTACAGTGTTGTGACATTCCACATCACGCATCCCCTAAATAAAAAACTAACAGGCAGCCCCCAAAGGACCTTTTATTCAAGTCACCATAGGTAACTGGGAGATTTATCTGTATGTGTGTCTTGAATAATCCTTAGTGGAGGGATCATGTGAATTCTGAGAAGAGTGAAAGGGGGAGAGCCATAAAAATATTAAAATCACATCCATATCATAAAATAATTATAACTACATTTTACAGCTCATAATTGTAAGTTAAATTATTCCCCCATATGTTGTAGGTCAATACAAAAGGCAATTCTATTCATTCAGTCACTGAATCCTACCACTCCTTTAAGGATTAAATATTCATACAGTCAGCGACTATACGAATATTTGTTGATACTGCCTTTATGTAAGTCAATACAATTACCTTTTGTGTTGACTTACATAAAGACAGTATCAACAAATACTCCTACAGTCAGTGGCTAAATGAATTCTAGGAAGAAATAATATCTGAAGAAATATTTAAGACAAAATAAAAATAATTGAAGCAGCTGATTTTATATATTTTAAACAATTCATATATATACAAGTTGGTTTCTTATTTAGTAATATTTAGAATGCATTGGACAAATGAGCTTCTATAAACCCTTCATTAAATCTACATCAAAATTAGAACACAGAGCTATCTTGGAGTTATATGAGTTAAGAGATACACACACCTGTAAATTCAACATTTAAAACTTTATATTCTTCAGAGCTCTATAATAAGAAAACAACTCAATTTTAAAAATTAGTATCGATAATTTCACTCCTAGGTATTTAAATCCAAGAGAACTGGAAATATTTCCACAGAAAAACTTGTACACAAATGTTTGTAGCAGCATTATCTATAATGGCCAACTAGTAGAATCAACCTAAATTGAGACAGAAATTAATAAACAAAATACACTATATTTATACATAGACTATTATTCACCCATAAAAAGGAATGAAGTACTGACACGTGTTACAATATGGATGAACTTTGAAAACACTATGTTAAGTGAAAGAAGTTAAACACAAAGGGCCAGATATGGTGAAATTCCATTTATACAAAATTTCCAAAATAGGTAAATTCATATATATAGAGAAAGTAGATTAGGTGTTGCCTAGGATTGCATGGTGGAGGACAATGGAGGCTGACTACTAATGGTATGGGGTTTCTTTGGAGGATGATAAATTTTCTGAAATTAAGAGTAGTGATGGTTGCCCAACATGGTGAATATACTAAAAATCCTGATGAATTTTGTGATACAGCAGTCCCTCCTGATCTGTAGGGGATACATTTCAACATCCCCAGTGAATGTCTGAAACCCCAGATAGTGCCAAACCTTATATATACCATGTTTTTTCCCATGCATCATACCTATTTTTACAATATAAATTAGGCACAGTAAGACATTGATGATAATAACTAATAATAAAATAGAACAATCATAACAATATACTGTGTAAAACTTCCGTCAATGTGATCTCTCTCTTTCTCAAGATTTCTTTTTGTATATACCACAGGTAACTGAAACCACAGCAAGCAAAACCACAGATAAGGGGGGACTACTGTATACAAATTGTATCACAGTAAAAATCAGCATATCTAATAGACTTTATTTACACGTATTTTTTCTCTCTGTCCATCCATTCATCCATCCATCCGTCCTTCTATCTGTATATATACATAGAGGGAGAAATGTCTGGAATATTAACTTAATATTCAAACAGTTATTTTTGGGTGCTGGGATTTAAGTTGGTTTACTTTCCTATTTGTACTTTTTGGCATTTTTTTTATTTTATAATGATGCAGTATCTTTTTTTAACATATCATTTTAAAAAATGGGCAAAAGATTTAAACCTATACGTTACCATAGAAGATGTTTAGATGACAAATAAACAAATGAAAATATGCTCAGCACATTAATCATTAGAGAAATGTAAATTCAAACCACAATGAGACATTACTTCATGTTAAAACGGCTTTAAGAAAATGACTATACCAAGGGTTGGCAGGAATGTGGAGTAACTGCAACTCTCATACATTGCAGGTAAAAGTACAGCCATTTTGAAAAACAGCTGGCAGTTTTTTGTAAAGTTAACCATGCATTAGTGATACAACTCAGCAATCTTACCCCTAGATATTTATCCAAGAGAAACAAAAACATATGTCTAGGTGGGGCACAGTGGCTCATGCCTGTAGTCTCAGCACTTTGGGAGGCCAAGGCAGGCAGATTACTTGAGGTCAGGAGTTCAGGACCAGCCTGGACAACATAGTGAAATTCCTTCTCCACTAAAAATACAAAAATTAGCTGGGCATGGTGGGGCATGCCTGTAATCCCAGCTACTCAGGAGGCTGAGGCAGTAAGAATTGCTTGAATTCAGGAGGCAGAGGTTGCAGTGAGCCAAGATTGTGCCACTGCACCCCAGTCTGGGTGACAGAGTGAAACTGTCTCAAAAACAAACAAACAACAACAAAAAAAACCACCATATGTCTACATAAAATCTGTATGCCAGTGTATATAGCAGCCTTATTGGTAATGGCCAAAAACTGAATACAACCCAAATACCAACTGGTATTACATACGGATAAAGAAAGTTTGGTACAGGGATACAATGGAATACTATTCCACAATAAATATAAGCAAACTACTGATACATGCAACAACATGCATGGAATCTCACATGCATTCTGCTAAGTCAAAGAAACCAGACACTAAAGACTACATACTAACATTCTGTTTATATGACATTCTTGAATGTCATCAACCTCATCCTAGCACTTACTTCTTAACCTGCAGAATCAGTTCAAATTTCCTCGCCTGGAATTTAATTTCCTCCATAATTGATCCCAGTTTACTTCTCAAACTTTATCCCCTAGTTTTCTTCAATACTCTGTTTAGGTAATAGTGGTGTGCTCCTTTTTCTCTAGAATATTCTTAATATTGTGTCCACACGAAAATGTTATATCCACATAAAAATGTCTTGCTGACCCTCTCCATTTATCACAATCCTACCACAATCCTACGACTCCTTTAAGGGTTAAGGACTACCTCTTCCAGAATATTCCATCCCAGTTCAGTATCCTTGTTATGAGTTCGTAAAAGGTCAATAATCCTCTTCAAACAATGATTAATCACATGAATCCTGGAAAAAGGCCTTGAATGATGATCTTGTTTCATTCTTAAATTGTATTTTAACTACATTATATAGTTTTCGTATCTTTCCACCCATTCTATAAACTGCATTTCAGCAGAACTTTTTATACCTTCATATTCCTGAGTCCTATTTATACAAGTATTTACCAAATGACAATCTTTCCATAATATTCCTTTATTTTATTTTATTTTATTTTATTCTAGAGATGGAGTCTTGCTCTGTCACCAAGGCTGGAGTGCAGTGGTGTGATCTCAGCTCACTGTAACCTCTACCTCCCAAGTTCAAGTAATTCTCCTGCCTCAGCCTCCCAAGTAGTTGGGATTATTGGCGCCTGCCACTACACCTGGCTAATTTTTGTATTTTTTTAATAGAGACAGGATTTCACCATGTTGACTAGGCTGGTCTCAAACTCTTGACCTCAGGTGATCGGCCCGCCTCGGCCTCCCAAAGTGCTGGAACTACAGGGATGTGCCACCACACCCAGCAAATTTTTGTATTTTTTTTTTTTAGTAGAGATAGGGTTTCACCATGTTGGCCAGGCTGGTCTTGAACTCCCAACTTCAAGTGATCTGCCTGCCTCAGCCTCCAAAAGTACTGGCATTACAGGCTGAGCCACTGTGCCCGGCCATGCTATGTCTTTAAAATTAGCTCCTACGGTTAAACAATTTACAAGAAAAAATCAAACTACCAAATCAAAAAGTAGGCGAAGGATATCAACAGACATTTCTCAAAGGAAGACATTTATGCGGCCAACAAACAGATGAAAAAAAGCTCAAAACCACAATGAGATACCATCTCACACCAGTTAGAATGGCAATTACTAAAAAGTCGGGATAAAACAGATGCTGGAGAGGATGTGGAGAAATAGGAATGCTTTTACACTGTTGGTGGGAGTGTAAATTAGTTCAACTATTGTGAAGACAGTGTGGTGATTCCTCAAGGATCTAGAACCAGAAATACCATTTGACCCAGCAATCCCATTACTGGGTATATATGCAAAAGATTATAAATCATTCTACTATAAAGACACATGCACATGTATGTTTACTGTAGCACTATTTACAATAGCAAAGACTGGGAACCAACCCAAATGCCCATCAATGATAGACTGGATAAAGAAAATGTGGCACATATACAACATGGAATACTATGCAGCCATAAAAAAGAATGAGTTCATGTCCTTTGCAGGGACATGGATGAAGCTGGAAACCATCATTCTCAGCAAACTAACACAGGAACATAAAACCAAACACTGCATGTTCTCACTTATAAGTGGGAGTTGAACAATGAGAACACATGGACACAGGGAGGGAAACATCACACACCGGGGCCTGTCAGGGGGTGGGGGGCAAGGGAAGGGAGAGCATTAGGACAAATGCCTAATGCATGCGGGGCTTAAAACCTAGATGACAGGTTGATAGGTGCAGCAAACCACCACGCACATGTATACCTATGTAACAAACCTGCACATTCTGCACATGTATCCCAGAACTTAAAGTAAAAATTTTTTTAAAAAAACTAAAAATAATAATTGAGCTAATTATAAAAAATAACTCCTACATACCATTTTTCAAGAAGCTCCTAGATATCCCCCACAGAACTCAGTTTGCAAATCAAGAAGGAGGAAGATATGAGAAGCATAAAAAAGAGATCCAGCCCAGGAAGAAGCAAAGGGGCTCTCCTGTTAATGGTGAGAGGAGATCACAGAAAAGAGGGTCTGAATCCAAACTGGAGCAGGTATGGGCTGTCTTCAGCGTTGCCACCACTCTGTATTCCTGTTTTAACGTGACAAAACTTACAAAGGATACACTCAGACAAAATGAGGAAATCGCCCCAAGAAGAAAACAAATAAACCAAACCAAAACAAACAAACAAAAAAGGCAAAAACAAACGAATAACACAAAACTTCCATGAGATCCAAGCAACAGGGATTCTAAACTAGGAGCAAAGCAAATACCCAGCATGATGGCTGTGCAGCAGGCCTAGAAAGCATGTCTCCAGAAGAGAGGTCACCAAGGACCAAGGAACAATATTAGAAGTGATAGCCTGCTGAATGTGACTGGCTTTGTGGAAAATTGTACTGTCAGGTCACTGGAAAATGTGGGAGGGATTAGCAATAGGTGCAAAGAAAACTAGGCATATAAAAATAAGGCAATTATTAATTTCAGGTAAAACAAACACATAGGAAACAAAATTACAGTAAACCTCAGTTTTTAGCTGGTAATAATGTTTGGACAAGCAAAATAATGTCAACACTGTATATGTATTTACCTAAAATTCAATGGCGAAGCAGGGAAAAGAACAGTAGCATCCCTAAGCAACTTCCTATGTATTTACCAAAATAGGATATCAGCAGACAATTTCTAATACTAAAGAATTGAAAGATGATGGCATACCCATTTTATTTAGAATATGGAAATGTAAAAATGATAGAAGAAGGTAAGGAGAATAGTTGCCTCTAGGAAGGGGACTGCAGTGAGTCGAGGGAAAAGAACTATATTCTGTTATAAACCTTTCAGTGCTTAGTGGTTGTTGGTTTTTTTGTAATCATAGGTGAATTTTAATTTTTAAAATTTAGAAGTTACCCACTAGAATTTGAGTAGTTGTTGTTGGTGGTGTTTTATCCTTCCCCAAACCCTGCCCATATTTTCCATTTTTAAAACATCAACAGAAAAAACATTAAGAATAGCCAAATGAAGGCTGTGCTAAAAAGGCACTAGAAAACAAAGATTAAAGGAGTGCACATATGCAATCAATCCACTACACACAGGTGATTCTCCTTTAAGAACATTCAATATATAAAATTTAGTCATTAAAAAATTTAGTAAGGTCAAACACCTTCATTTCCCATAATCAGAATTCTTTTTTATTATTTAAGAATATTCATATGCACATAATAGGTTATATGGCAACAGCTAATGTAAAAAGAGATCATTACAGATTAATTCTATTAAACCCTGAGAATGTCCAAACTAGGGAAAAGGATGCAAATGTCCAAGAAACCTAAGTGTAAAGGCAGATGATTCTTCTTATATGACAGATATTTAAATACCTAGCAAGTATAAAGGACAAGGCTACGAGGGGAGGTAGACAACCTACGGTCATACTTCAAAGGAAAAGTGAGCTAAGGGACCATGAGCACTTGGCCTCAGACAGTATTCCACTGGGTAAAGTAACTTCAGCAGCACACTTTGGTGACCAGTGGAACATTCTCAATCCAGAAGCTAGACCACCCATTGACAAATTATCTACTGATCATCAGTGAGAAAAGAGATACTACTTTAAAAAATATTCACTTTGTATGAAACTTTCAGAAAAACAAATTTTAGTTGTTTTGTAAGAGATGTCTACTTTGTTGGTTATATAAGTAAAAAAATATGGATTTTGGATTAAGGTAGACAAAGCTCCATTGCTCACTAGCCATGAGCGCTTGGGCAAGGATTGTCTTCATCATCCCTAAACTTTGCCTGATACACAGGTTTTCCATCATCTGACTCTGGCTCACCTCCCCAGGAGGCATCTCCCCACTTCACACTTCATATGTTATTTATCTATAAAAATGAACCAATTATTAATCCTCTGAGTGGTCACTGCCTCTGTCGCATCCAGACCTCTACATTTTACTTTTTTTTACCTTAAATATCCTCCTGCTCCTTTCCTCCAGCCTCCACTAATTTTCTCCATCCCACCTAGTTAACTTCTACTGACCATCCAGACCTGGGTGCAAACACTTTCCAAAACCATGGTACCTTCCCCAAGGCATCCCATAGTTTCCCCTACCATGGCTATTGGTGTTTCATTGCTGCTATCATAAATAACCACAAACTTTGTGGTAAAAAACAACACAAGTTTATTATCTTACAGTTTTGTCAGTGATCAACACGGGTCTCCACTAGACTAAAATCAAGTTATCAGCAGGGCTGCATTTATTTCTGGAGGGTCTAGGGGTGAATCTGGTTCCTCTTCTTTTCCAACTTCTAGAGGTTGCCACATTGCTTGACTCATAGCCACTTCTTCCACCTTCAAATCCAGCAACAGCAGGTAAAGTCGTCAAATCACATCTCTCTGAACCACTCTTCTGCCACCTCCTCCACCTTTAAGGACTCCTGGGATGAAATGGGGCTCACCCAGAAAATCCAGAATAATCACTTTGGGGGACACTTTTCTGCCTTCCTCATTGTATCTCTGATCATGACAGTAAGCAATTGTTTTCTTGCCTGTTTAAAGCTGTTGCTCATCAGTGCACCCAATAGGACCAGGACCTACATACAGTAGAAACTCAACAAGTATTTATTGAATAAACTTATACAGCAATAGGAATAACATCTCCATATTGCAGCAATATTTGAAGGAGGAAATGAGATATACACATATAAATGTATCAAGATATAGTGAATACTCAGTAAATATTTTCCCTAACCTCATGTATGAATTTGGTGAAATACTAGGCAATTAATTTTGCTTATTGCATGCAAATGTGAAATTTAATGATAAGTGTCCTGGAATTTTTTTTTAATGCATATATAGCTGGTATCAAATTTTTATCATAAACTTAACTACTAAACATAATGACTATACTAAAAGTCAAACCCTACTTATAGCAGTGCAAATTGTCTTCATATTATTATAATGAATGTATGTGTTTAAGTTTAAAATCATAGCTTATACATGTTATTTTATATTCTGATTTTTGAAATTAATATAATTTATATAAAATTTCTAATAGACTATAGCTTAGTTGTTTCCTCCACCTCCAGTTTATTTTTTCTTACTTTTAAAAATTAGACCCTAGGCTAGAGTATGGTATACTCAATATTACAAGATTTTTTATCCATTCTCAAGGAACTCCACATGATTTATCATAATATCATAAGTCAATAAAATCACTGAAATTAGAGTCTCAGGAACACGTATTCATACTTTATTACACAGGTGAATATACCACCTTTAATGCCATTTGTGTACACTGCTCTCAAAAGACAATGACCTAATTCTATCACCTCCACCATTTACTAGCTGTATGGCTTGGGGTAAATCATTTCAAATCTCCAATTTATTTTTTTCATCCTTAAAATAAGGGGCTTGTACTGGATCAGTAAATTACCCATTTCAAAATCTCCAGAGATCCTTTTAAAACTACATAATCCATCACAGGAATCACAAAACCTACTAGAAGTGTTCCTCCACTCTCACCTCCATCCCTAGTTTCAAATTCAGCTTCATTAAGAATTGCTGCATGTAAACGAAAGATGACTGGCGGGAATAGATGAGTAGTGTGCCGATCGCAAAAAAGGTTGGGAAGCATTAATGTGGAAGAGTTCTAAGATCGCATCCAGCACTGAACTTGCATTCGTCTATGATTCTCAATGTAGATTTCATATTTGGCAGTTCTGACTGCTACGTCTCAAGAAAGATCAGAACACAGCTAGAGGACGTATTGAGAAAAATAACGAGATAATACAAGGGAAGGAATGCTGTTACAGGAAAAGAAATGATTTTAAGCTTAGGAATTTGTGGCTAGAAGACAAAGGCAAAGAAATTTTTTTCTAAATCTTTTGTTAAATCTACAAATCACAAAGAACACAGACTAAAAACCTAAAGATACAACATTTTAAGTTTAGAAGGGTAACATTAGCAGAAATAATTTTTTTTTTTACTTCAAACAGAAGAAGCAACAGACTATAAAAGTCTTTACTGCAAGAAATGACACCAAGTAAAAATATAAATAGCTTCCCAAAAAAGATTTAAGGACATCCACGGGTGACAGATTTATAACACTTTACAGTAAAGGGAAGTAGGATTTTTTTTAAATGTAAACGCTTAGCTTTTAAAAGATATTTTTGTAATAAAAGCAGCTATGACACCCTATAGCCTATAATCATTTTGTAACACAATAAAACATGACATACTTGCCTTTTTAAAATGTTATTTTAAAGATGTTAAATAATACTTGATATTTTAAGCTACAAGATATATTATTTAATCAATTGTGCATTTACTTATAATTGGTCAAAAGAGTATTTGAACATGAATAGATATGTCTCTCTTTTTAAAGAGTTTAATGAAAAGAGCATCTCAGGAAACCCATCAATGTGTGTTGCCAAATTTTGGTGTGCTCAAAAGGTGACCTTTACATTAATATAATATTTAAATACATTTATCTCTTTTAGAATGAAAAACAGCAGCATCAGTAGTTTGAGTGGCAGGTAGAAAACTTACAATGAAACAATACCTTAAACTTTTCAGTGAGCACCTTCACAAGGTAATTTTGTTCTTTTAAATAATATTCACCTGGGAAATACATTAAAGCATGCTGTGGGGAAAAATGCAGTTGAAAGAAGAGTCAGTCTTCATTTCACAATCCCCTGCTGCTACCCCATGATCCCTGCCCACAGCCTTGTGAACCCAAAGGAGCATCTCTCTTGGGGCTGTGATTGTCAGGAAATAAATAGTCAAGACCACAGAGCCATTTCTTTGAGAGGATTTCCCTCACCACATCCTATTTCCCCTTTAGCTAAGTCACTACCAGATATTTGGTCTTCATTAGTCAACCAATATTGAATCATAACTCCAATACCTTCCCCAGTCTGCTCCAACACACTCCCCAACCCTTCTTCCACCATGCTCTAGAGCTCCTCTTCTAGGATCAGCAGACTCTGCTGTACCTTCCATCTCCCCAGGCCAATCCCTTTTTGTCTTCACTGAAACCAGTTTCCATAGGGCCATTATTTCTCCTGCAAACTTTTTGTTTTTTCCAGAGTCTGGTTCTGTCGCCAAGGCTGGAGTGCAGTGGTGTGATCACAGCTCACTGCAATCTCCACCTCCTAGGCTCAATCGAACCTACCACCTCAGCCTCCCTAGTAGCTGGGACCACAGGCATGTGTCACCACACCCAGCTGATTTTTGTATTTTTTGTAGAGATGAGGTTTTGCCATATTTCCCAGGCTAGTCTGGAACTCCTGGACTCAAGCGATTCACCTGCCTCAGCCTCCCAAAGTGCTGGATTACAGACATGAGCTACTGCATGGGGTTCCCTGCAAACTTTTCATGAAGTCTTTTCCTTTTTCTCTCAGATCCTTTATGCCTCAGTTTGAGAAGCTGGAATAAGGGTCCTCCCTGCTCCCCACTGCTACCTCCAGGTTATTGTTCACCCATCTTCCAGGCAAAATCCCACTGTAGAAAGCACAACACATGTATCCACTCTGTTCCTATACTGAGCTTCAGGTTCAGGGGCACTGTATATAGAGGTTGACCACTGCCTCAATGAGGAAGTGAAGTTTGAAATCCAACTTAAGGTCTGTTTGCCAAGCCATAGCTCTAGTGAGGAATGACACCACCCAGAGAAAGGGACACATTAGACACTATTATGGACCACAGGCAATCCTGTTCTCCTCTCATTTCCAAAGATCTTACTCTTCCCTGCTCCATCTTTCTCCCACTTCCATCTGCATTCTTCTTCATTGCCTCATTGAGTAGATGAATGCTATTAAAGAGTAGTTCAACAGGGCTACCTTTCCTTACATTTAATAATATAAACCACAAATAGGCACTCATTACTGCCCAGCAATACCATATATTTACCCTAGGAAACTCTCCATCCCACTCACAAAGATCTGAACTTACACCCAATCCTCTCTCTTCCAACTTCTCTTAGTCCTACCTCCAACTTCACTGACAATGTGCTCGATAGATCATAAAGCTCAGTTCTTGCATGGAGAACCTTTCATCTTCCACCACTAATGGTCTAGTTCACGTACATCTAAACTCACCTTCTCGTTGACTTTTCTGGTCATAATGAAAAATGCATTCCAGTTCTTACCAAACCCAATTCTCTAAATCTCACTTTCTTATCTTCTCAAAGCCTTCCTGTCCTCCTTCCTTTGTCCCCTCTGCATTTAATCATCAGTCTCTCATCTAGTGGGTCATTCTCATAGGCACACAAACATGCTTTACTATAATCCATTTTAACAGAAAAGTCAATCGACTCTCTTAACCTTACAGCCCCCACACTAAGCACTACCTAAAATCTCTGTCCCTCTTCACACAAACTTCTCTAAAGTTGTTTCCACAAACTGTTTCTACTTCTTCACCTTCATCTCACTCTCTAGCTTCCAGCCACATTACTTCCTCCAAATTGCTCTTTCCAAAATCACCAGGAATGTCCAAGCTGTGGAATTACCAAAATAGTGTGCTGTGTCATCCTATTTGGTTATTCAGCCCAATTCAATCCAGTAGATCATTCTTTCTTAGAAACATTCTCCTCTCTCCATTTCCTCTAAGAGATATTCTCCTCCCTCTATTTCTGAACATGACAAATCTGCGTTTTTTCACTTCATTGGAAATTTTTTCTGAGTCCCTTTTGCTCCTTCCTCCTTTTTTGTTCAATCACCAAACCCTAGGCCTTATGGACTCAGTTAAGCATACCCCTCTCTTCTTCATCTTCACTCCTTCCCTGGTGATCTCATCCAGTCCCACATGTTCAACCTCCAATGTGAATGCTGAGAACTCTCAATTCATATCTGAGGTCCAGAACATCTGAGTTCCAGATTAACATACATAATTGCCTATTTAACCTATATACTTAGATATCTAACAGGCATCTCAAACTTAACAAAATCCAACTTGCAATTTTTGTTCTTCCAAAACTCCCACATCCTTTCCCAATTCGGTGAATGGTACCACCACTCATCCTTTTACAAAATACCATCTTGGATTGTTTCCAAGCCCTTAAGGCATATATCTAATCCACCAAAATGTCTTTTCTACTTCCAAGGCATATCGCAAATCTAACATCTTATTTCCATCATTGCTGGCATACAGTAGCCACGGGGACCACCATGTCCCAGTTGGACCACAACCATCACTTCCTTTCTGATCTTCGCAATTATTCTACTATACCCACTAGCAACCTATTATCCACATAAGATCCAGAGAGATTAAATTTTAATATATATACACATTAGACAGTGTCACTCCCTTCCTTAACAATTCCAATAGCTTTCTATTGTACTTTTAATATCCAAACTCCTTCCCATGTGATATGATTAGGTTTTGTATCCACACCCAAATCTCACCTTGAATTATAACCCCTATATCCCCATGTGTCAAGGGAGAGACCAGGTGGACATAATTGGATAATGGGGATGGTTTCCCCCATGTTGTTCTCGTGATAATGAGTGAGTTTTCACAAGATCTGATAGTTTTATAAGGAGCTCTTCCCCCTTCACTCAGCAATTCTCTTCCTGCCACCTTGTGAAGAAGGTGCCTTGCTTCCCCTTCACCTTCCGCCATGATTGTAAGTTTCCTGAGGTCTCCCCTGCCATGCTGAACTATAAGTCAGTTAAAACTCTTTCCTTTATAAATTACCCAGTCTCAGGCAGTTCTTTATGGCAGTATGAAAACGGACTAATACCCCATGTCTTACAAAGCTCAGCATGATCTGGCCTCTGCCTTCCTCTCCTACCGCATCTCAAGCTCTTACCATCATATTCATTATATTGCAACCACATGCTGTGCTCTTTCCTGCCTCATGACTTTTATATTTGCTGTTCACTCTGTAATTTTCTTCAGATGGTTCCTTCTTAACCTTCAGAACCAGCTCAAATGCCACCAAGTTATGCTTTCTAAATTTGCCTCAGTTAAGTCCCTCTCTTACATAGCACCTCTTTAATTTCTCTTACCTCCAAAACAACCTCCTATAATTATGTATTATTTTCCTATTTACCACTTACGTACATTGCAGGCTCCCCCTATGCAATGTCAGCTTCCTGGGAGCAGGAATGAGGTGTATTTATGGTTGAATCTTTAGGGCTGGTCACAGAGCTTGGCAAATAGGAAGCTAAATAAATACTTGTTTAACTGGTTGATTAATCAATTAATGGAAAAAGAAACAAATGAAAACAAAAACAAAGACTGTGGGCATTGTTTCTGTGGGCATTGGCTCTTTAGTTTGTTTGATATGGAGCTAAATGTGCTGAGAAAATATCCGCATGCTTGAGTTTGATATTTACAAAATGAAAACATTAACATTCATAGGCATTTATCACAAAGACATTGTTGGCAATTGTTTTTTAAAAAAAGTAATAAAATGATACTTGAAATATTAAAACAACGTAACAGAAGAGGAAAATATAGAAGACTATAATTTTTACCCTTCTCTTTTTGGCCAGCTTTATTCCCAGCTTGGAAGGGAAAACTAAAAATCAAATCCTAGCAAAGAAAATAAACAAAACAAGTTGAAAAATAAAGGTGATTTTCAGGGAAAGAAGTAAGCTTCCGAGAGGATAAATCAAGTTGACTGACCCAAATCTCTGAACCTCATATTGGTGGGCATGCTAGGAGGATAAGGCTACCTGTACTTTTCACCTAAGCCCATTCATTCGGGAATGACAGCTGCTACAGCATTCATTTTTAAGAGCTTGAAGGTTGAGCCTGGCTGATATCAGGCCTTATGAAACAATCCCAATATAAGTATCTTCTACTGATCACTGTTAAAAGGAATTGACCAAATTGGACAAAGAATAAATGCTGAAAAAAGCTTCATTTTTATTAATCTATAGGGACAATAAACATCATTACTGAAAAAGTAATAACAGATATAATAGAAGCTTCCAAATATACAACAAAATTACTTGGAAAGTCAATCAAAATTAAATTTTTGAAACTTAACCTGTTTTCAGAATAGTTACAAAATCAGTCTTTACTATACACAATATTTAAATAACCTTTTGAAAACTATATACATTCCACATGTCTAGCTGGCCATTATTAATTAATAAATATTAATGAGAAAGATAATAGCATTTCAAAAGAAGAAAATAAAGTTATCTTACTGAATAAATCTGTATTTGTGCTCCCACATTAAATAATTGTGTCTTATGAACAGACACTTCTCAAAAGAGGACATTTATGTGACCAAACATATGAAAAAAAGCTCAACACTACTGAGCATTAGAGAAATGCAGATCAAAACCGCAATGGGATACCATCTCATGCTAGTCAGAATGGCAATTATTAAACAGTCAAGAAACAACAGATGCTGGTGAGGCTGTGGAGAAATAGGAAGGCTTTAATGCTGTTGGTGAGAATGTAAATTAATTCAACCATTGTGGAAGACAGTGTGGCATTCCTCAAAGACCTAACAACAGAACTACCATTCTACCCACCAATCCCATTTCTGGGTATATACCCACAGGAATATAAATCATTCTATTATAAAGATACATGTATGTGTATGTTCATTGCAGCACTGTTCACAATAGCTAAGACATGGAATCAACCCAAATACCTATCAATGATGGACTGGATAAAGAAAATGTGGTACCTATATACCGAGGAATATTATGCAGCCATAAAAAGGAATGAGATCATGTCCTTTGCTGGGACATGGATGGAACTGGAAGCCATTATCCACCGCAAACTAATGCAGGAACAGAAAACCAAACACCGCATGTTCTCACTTATAAATGTGAGCTCAACAATGAGAACACATGGACCCAGGGAGGGGAACAACACACTGGGGCCTGTAGGAAGGGGGCAGGAGAAGGGAGAGCATCAGGATATATAGCTAATGAATGCTGGACTTACTACCTAGGTAATGGGTTGATAGATGCAGCAAACCACCACATTTACCTATGTCATAAACCTGCATGTCCTGCACATGTATCCTGGAACATAAAATAAAATAAAATAAAATATTTTTTTAAATAAATAATTGTGTCTTTTTAAATTCCGTATCTTTTCTTCCCAGGATGGTTGGACTTTTGCTTTGGCAGAAAATGCTTAATTGCAAGGTAAATTCAGCAACTGTGATAATTCTGCAAACCAAGGAAACTGCATTTTTTAAGAAATTTCATCTGTTAATAAAATTTTAGAATATCTATACTGCACTCAGAAAAGCAGACAAAGAAGTATTTTATCATTAATTAAAGTAGAAAGAGTTAGAAATGACTATGGACAAACAACTGATAATGACTCAACCTTCTGCTAATTTAACCCCAGAAAGTACTGTGCATTTGACTAAAGGAAGTGGACTTATCAGAAAGACATTATATGAAAGAGCATATGATGACACTTTGGGCATCTTTTTCTTAAGCATATACTACCTACCAAGAACTTTTACACATAACTTTTGATATCACAATAACCCCACATATTAGACATGTTCTCCACTTTAGAATCAAGGAAATGGTGACTCGGTGAGTTGAAATAACTTCCTATAGGTTAGCACAGAAGGCAAGTGCCTAAGATGGGCTTTTAACCAAGGATTGCCCCATATACCTTACACTCAGTGCTTTCTGTTCTGCCTGTACAAACCTAGAAATACCTTAACATAGGCAAGGTAAAATGCGATAAGGACAAGGAGAAAAACACAGAGTAATTAGTGATTTCTAAGAAACTATTTATAGCACACAGTTATACTGTCTCATTTCCTTTACAATACTTCAGTGTAGATAACTATGTGTGTATATACATGAGTGTGCATATATATACATACCTGTATATACATGCATGTGCAAACACGTCTATACACACAGTTATATGTGTGTGTATATGTGTGTGTATAAACACACACATATATGTGTATGTATATATACATGTGTGTTACACAGGTGTGTATACGTGTGTGTGTGTATGTATATATATATATATATATATATATATATATATATATATATATATATATATATATAATGTTATTTTTGCCCTGGAGTGCCAAAATATATACAGCTAAAATAGCATTTTAGACCCAAATCAGGCATCCACACTGACTGTGCTATAAACACATTTCAACAATCACTATCTCAACTGGCACTAGAAAATTTGTTAATTAGCATTAAGAGATGGAAGGAAAAAAAGTGATAAGTAAAAAAAGTAGTGGTCAGGATATATAGATTAGTTAGAAACATTAGAGACAGGCCTACTTTTCAAAGAATCCAAAAAATCAGGATTCAGTTGCGTTTCAGAAGTAATATTATTTTTGAACATTAGAAAACTAATATTATGAAAGTAACTATATTAATTACTACCCCTGAACAGGGTCTGGGGAAGCAATCAAACACATTAATATTTCTGCAGCAAGGAAAAAGGCTATTCATACTAACCAGAATAAATAAAGACTTTAATAAAGAGCTGCATGGTAATTCAAAGATTTCTGTTATCAAAGCTGTTTTTAGATTTTGGCATTGTAGATAAGGGATTGTGGACTTATAATTGTGAATAGCTAAATTATTTAGGCTAACTGCAATTCATACAAAACATTTCCTTTGAAAGCTGATATTGAACTTCACACATTATGCTGCACAGTATTCCATGTGCAAATATAACAACCCTTCACCCCTCCAGAATTTGGCTGACAATGATGTATATAAAGAACAGGCTGGAAGATAAGAGGGCAGCCATGGTAAAAAGGCCTCTCAGCAGCCATTAGACGGGGTGTGATGGCCACGTACTGGAGTGCATTACATTATGCATAAAAAAGGCCCCGTATCTTTCATCTGATATGGCTTCTAAACTCAACACAGATAAGAATCAGTAAGCGGAATTACAGACAGAACTGAGAGGCGGGTACACAAAGCAGTCACCAAGAATGTCAGCAACGGCTGACAGTCTGATTCAAAGAACAAAAATGAAACTGTTTTTAGAGACAATAAGAGCCTGGCTTGCCAGTCAAGCTTGAATTCCAATCCCAACTCTGCCATTATAAGCTGTGTAGTCTTGAGTAATTCCTTAACTTCTCTGTACTTCAGTTTATTCATTAACATAGGACTGATGAAAATGCTACCTCTCTCCTGCAGTTGTTGTGAAGATTAAATGAAATGATGTGTGTGAAGAGGTCAGTACAGTGCCTGACAATGAGACGACACTCAAAATTTATACGCACAAAACAAAGCCCCAAATCTCACAAAGTATAGCAGCCTGAATAAATTTACTGCCAATTCTTCAGAACTCACAGCATGAAGAGCATTACCATTTAGTATAGAAAAATATCATCCTGACTGTGTTGCATGACTTTGAACATGTCACTTAACTTCTCTGAGCCTGAGAATATTAGATTAGACCATGTATTCTCAACACAGGTAATAAATGGTTATTTCTTTTCAGGGGGAGGGTGAAAAAATGTATTCTTTTTATGTATAAAGCACAACCATACAGTACACAGTATATCATGGTATTAAAATTTCATGGGAAGATGAGTCTACACAGGCTCCTTAGGGAAGCGATAATGTAAAGAAAGGTTGAGAAACACTGGTTCAGAAGAACTCTAAGGTCACTCGTATCCATTAAAGTTCCTTAATTCTATCTTTGCAACAATACTACCAAGAATTCAGAAAAAAGTTAAATATACATTCACAAGCTTTAAGAAGGCAAAGAAAGATTTATATATTCTACAAAGATGTCCATTTAAAATAGTTAAAAATTGTAAAGTTCACTGGGTTTAAAAGAGAAAACTCTCTTTACATATAGAAGCCCTAGTTATCATTCACGAAGGGATCCTATGAGCCAGTTTTGCTCTGTTTTCCCTGTTTTATAGATAACAATATATCTAAATCATGTCTAAATATTAATATAATTACTTATTTCCACCCCCCGGAAAATGCAGAGAGAAAACACAATAAGGACAACCACTTGTAACTACAAAGAAACTGGAACATTGTAATTGTCTTAGCTATGATAAACGAAAAATCACCTTGCAATATAATTCATTTTTAATTGCCTCTTCCATCTAATCCAACTACTGCTGTAGGCTGTCTTAAAATATTTACAAAGTAAAAGCAAAAAAAAAAAATAAGAAGAAGAATTGGAGGTGCTAAATAAAGCAGGCCACACATTCCTAACGGATAAATTTTTTGTTAAGTTTACAAGGAAAACAAAGTCCTAACTCTTATACATGGAATTTTTGGAAACACAAAGACAGAGCATATTTAAGGACTATATCTCTTTTTTTTATGTTAGCTATATTATGCAAATAATTTTTATTCATCGTACTTACTGTAATACGTATATGTTTTCATCCACAGTTCCTGCAACATAACTCCCATAACACTTGTTATAGCCTTTTGTTCTAATATTGGGGTGCCTCAGGGCTCAGAAGCAGGCCTCAGAAAACAATCTCTCTCTGTGACCTTCTCCTGCCCTTTCACCTCCTTCTTTCTCTCCTGAAGGCAGGAGTCTTCCCCTACCTTTCTGTCTTGGAGATGGCCATAAAGAAATTCTCTAACCTGCTTTGTCTGATTGTAGGTCTTTTCTTTTTTTTAATTATTATTATTATACTTTAAGTTTTAGGGTACATGTGCACAACGTGCAGGTTTGTTACATATGTATACATGTGCCATGTCGGTGTGCTGCACCCATTGACTCACATTTAACATTAGGTATATCTCCTAATGCTATCTCTTAAGGTTAAAGCTGTTTTTAATTCACCTTCTTCCCTGCCTGAGTTATGATATCCTTACTAAATCCAAATAACCTATTATAATAAAAGAGAAAAGTTGTAGTAAAATGTTAGAAAGACCAATATTATAGCCACTCTGCTTTAACCACTTGTGAAGTTTTGTCTTTGCTAACCCAGTCTTATTTTCTCCAGTATCCAAGGTATATCTAACAACACATTCAACCTCACATTGTGCCATCATAACCCTCTTCTTTGAGTTTTCAGAGCTTCAGAGATTGTAACTAAAAATAACACTCTGGAAGTGTATAAAACGTATCCATGTCAAAATGTTATTAAATGCTTAGCCATACTTTATTAGCAGGAATATATCAGGAATATAAAGTGCTCTAATACCCATTTTATTCACGTCAAAATAGATGTGTTTTGATACCAAATTGGTTTTAAGACAGTTGCATTTTAATAAAGATGTGCGTAATTTCACCTAGACACAGGCATTCCCAGTACTATATGCATGATGTAAACATCTTTTTTTACTAATGATGAATATAAATATGCAGTCTTAAAGAGATGCTAATCACTGTTTATAGTTTCTCAAATTCTAGGTGTTCAAGTGATTCAAGTGACAGAAAATTCTCTTGTAAACACATATTCTATTTTGGGCTGTTCCAAATACTCTGACTAGACAAAGTAATGGGAAAAAAGATAGTAAATTAACTAAAATCCTAAATGCACATAGATTATTTCAGGGATCTAGTGTTGGATCCATGTGTGTCTGGTCCTCAACTTAGGATGCCCCACCCAAATAGCACGCTATTCCAATTACCTTTAGGGATACCATTACCCTGATGCATCTGTAAACACCTGCACTCCTTACCATCAGAAGACTACAAAGTGTATTCTAGATAATACTGAGAGCGTAAGACAATCAGAACACATAATCATTGGCAAGGTTTAGGCTGATTTAAAAAAATAAAATAAAAAACTCCATTGTAAAAATTCAAAAACATATTGTATAAGCATACATTCTGTACTAAGTATGATAATACTAACTCAGAACATCACAGTATAAAAATACATAATAATAAAATGTACTTGTAGTAGCCACATGTTTGGCAGGTTTCCACGAGAAAGCCAAAGCCATCAAATTCTCAACTTGACAATATACATTTACCTGCCAGGGCCTTAGACTTACCTTTGTTTGAGATTGATCCATGATGTTTTTAAGTACTCTGTGGTTTCTTTCACATTCCTTGTGTCATCACTCCCATATTCCTCCAGGAGTTTCTGCAGGACGTTATCGAACGCCATGACGATACCATCTCCAGGACCCAGTTCTTGAAGCAGTATCTGAGGTGCAAGTGCAGGTCTGTTTGTTAGACTTGGTCACTCAGTAATTAGTATAATCAAAACAATGGTACTCCCAGCAGATTTTGACATGCTTTAGATACAGATATCACAGGATGAAAACAGACTGGGGGCAAACCCTTTTGTTATATGTAAGCTTAAACCAAAATTAGTAGAAGTGAAAAGAAACATGTCCAAGAAAGTGATCGAGTACATAGATGACAATATTACAAGATTATTATCATTTTCTTTTTGAGATATTTTCCTTCCTCAAACCATTTGTCTTTTTCATTCCTTCTGCTGTACCTCTCTGATCCTTACACGGACATGCGTCATAAAGGACTGAATACAGAGACAGTTCCTGCATACATGCCTGGAGAAACGTGAAGAATCAACAACATGGACGTCTTCCATCTCTTGCCCCTGGATCACAAGGTGTGTTTACAAAGATAACCACTTGAATGGATCAAGCTGCCAAGCAAGGTTTACTGAGAGTTTGCTTGAATAGCCAAACTGATGCTGAATTTGTCCACTGGCATTGGTTCTTTGACATAGTTTTTCAGCCTCTGAGAGTCTCTGGATCAAGGTACTCACCATGAAATCTAAATGACAACTGAAACCTTTAATATAATGCTTTTTGTAGCAATTGGGAAGATTTTAAATCAGCCTAAGGTTTCAGAAGAAAAGAATCACACTGCTGATTAAAAAATAATGTTCTAATATGATAACTGAAACACTGACATCACTTTTAATTGTATTCCTCTAGTTAAGGGGCCAGGGGCTTCACTATTACTTGGGAGTCATTTGGTGGAAACAGTCAGCAGTATCACAAACACACAGAATGATCCAGAAATGCATATAACTGGCCACTTGCTTTTAAAACTGTAACCAAGTAAAGTCTGCATTTGTGGAGAATAAAAACATACTTCCACATTTTCGATTGTTTTCTACATATACTTTCTTAAATTCTTCACAAATATACACTTCCATCTTAGGCTAGCTGAAGGGCAAATAAATGTTATACCAAACTATAACCTCACAACTAAAACCTCCAATTCAAGAATATTTTATAATTTTATACAGAGAATCTTAAAAGCACTTTTAAAAATACCATAGTTGTTCAATATTATCAACTCTATAACTGAACTGATGACAAAAAAGATGTCTGCTATTACGAAATTGATAAAACAGTTTGGTTAAAAAGTCATTAAAGGAAACTAAACTTACTTATCTGATTTGTTCACTATAGTAGTCCTCAAATGAAAGTCTTGGAAAAACTTATTAATAAAAATAACCTTCAGGGTAAGTAAGTAATATGGTTTGGATTTGTGTCCCCACCCAAATCTCATGTCCAATCGAAGGAGGAGCCTGGTGGGAGGTGACTGGATCATGGGGATGAATTTCCCCTGTGCTGTTCTTGTGATAGTGAGTTCTCACAAGATCAGATGGTTTAACAGTGTGTGACACTTGGGAGGCCAAAGTGAGCAGATTACTTGAGCTCAGGAATTGCAGACAAGCCTGGGCAACATGGCGGAACCCCGTCTCTACAGAAAATACAAAAATTAGCTGGGCATGGTGGTGCACGCCTGTCATCCCAGCTACTTGGAAGGCTGAGGCAAGAATCGCTGGAACCCAAGAGGTGGCTGTTGCAATGAGCTGAGATAGTGCCACTGCATTCCAGCCTGGGCGGCAGAGTGAGACAATGTCTCCAATAAATAAATAAAATGTGTGGCACTTCTCCCTTCTATCTCTCTCTGTCTTGCTGCCTTGTAAAGAAGGTGCCTGCTTCCCCTTTGCCTTCCACCATGATTTTAAGTTTCCTGGTACCTCCCAGTCATGCTTCACTACAGTAGCCCTCAAATGAACTGTGAGTCAATTAAATCTCCTTTCTTCATAAATTACTCAGTCTCAGGTAGTTATTTATAGCAATGTGAGAACAGACTAATACAGTACAGAAGGGAGCAAAAGAGGGTTCCTGGAATCTTGAAAGTGTTCTCTTTCTAGATGCTGATTTGAGGGTGTGTTTCACTTGCAAAAAGTCAGTGAGCTATAAATCTCGGAGACATGCATATTCTTACTTGTTATGCCTCCAGAAATTTTTCGAAAAAAATCTTCCAGATCAAATTCTTCATATAAATTTCATTAGACACTCTAAGAACTTAGGAAAAAACATGGCAGGGTCCTATTGTTAAGAATTACAGTGAACAATAGAAAAAAAGTATATCCAACAAAACAATACTGCCAAAAAATATCTGATGAGTCTTACTTGGTTATCAGAAATTTGTTTGGTGAGTGGATCCCGTCGGGCTTGCTGAAGAATATAGAGTCGAGCCTCATATTTTCTCATCAGTTCTTCAGTCTCCTCCCTATGGTCATCCCACTGAAGACTGTCAATAATCATGTCCTCAAGCTGCTGCTGTCTTAGCTCAACGCCATGCTGGGTGCCATCCCACTGGTTCTTGACCCTTTCCACTGAGGGTAGCATTATAAAAGAAAAAAAAATCCCAACATGTAACCCTCAGGAGAAAGAAAAAATATCATATATCAAATGTATCACAAATAAGTCTATAAACAGAAGAAGGCAAGCTGATAAACACATTTTGAAGGAATTTTAATATACATCTGCCATCCTATACAATTGATATATTTCTGAAACGGTGTTTGAGAAAAAAAAATCTTGAACTCTTATTTTCAGTGCTCTAAAACAACTCCCAAAAAAATATCTACTATTATAAACTGATACTGCCAAACAATTATAAAGAAAATACTGTTCTATTTAATTTTGTATTTACAGTTGTATTTATAGACCTGGTTTGATGAAGGTAGGGTTTAACAGTACTTCATGACAGAACTTTAAGACAGAGAGATAGTCACCTGTTACCCTCAAAGGAGAATTTTCTAAGGCAGTCTTGATTTTAGAAGAAACTGAACTGTGTAAGAATTTTTTTTTGCATTTGTTTTACTGTAGCAGGAAAACTCTCTAAAAGGAATTTTATATATTCAAGTTCAAGAGAAATGCTAAAAGTAAAAGAGACTCATGAACTGTGCACCCAGCAGCTCTTCATCATAAAAATTCCATACTGGCTCTTGTCCTTCCTCTTTTATTATTGTTCATTCCTTTCACTCATTATCACCTTCTCTCTCTTTCTATTTCTCCTCAAGCTTTCTCTCTTCTCCTTTCTCTATTTTTAACAAGGTTTTAAGGACAGACAGATCTAAGGAAACTTTTTTTTTTTTTTTTTTTGAGAGAGAGTCTTGCTCTGTCGCCCAGGCTGGAGTGCAGTGGCACGATCCTGGCTTTCAGCTCGCTGCAACCTCCGCCCCCAGGTACAAGTGATTCTCCTGCCTCAGCCTCCCATGTAGCTGGGACTATAGGTGTGTGCCACCACACCCGGCTACTTTTGTATTTTTAGTAGAGAGAGGGTTTCCCCATGTTGGCCAGGTCTCGAACTCCTGACCTCGTGATCTGTCTGCCTCGGCCTCCCAAAGTGTTGGGATTACAGGCATGAGCCAACGCACCCGGCTGGAAACTTAAATTTTTTATTAATCACTTCAGAGTTAGTTCATAATCTTGAACTGAGGTACTAATAAACAATAACTTAGAATATCCGCAAGAACCTGCTGATAATAAGTAGGTAGAATGTTAAAACCACGCTGCTGAAAGATGCTTTGGATATCAGACAAAAAGAAAGGCTATAGTTAAGTACCAGGCCCAAGAGGAACGTAACTACAAGATAACATTCCAGCTGAGTTATCATGGAACACTTTGGCAAAGTTCTTGGGATAATATATGGTTATAGTGAAACATAAAAGCTATCAACTGGCTGGGTGCAGTGGCTGACACCTGTAATCCCAGCACTTTGGGAGGCCGAGGCAGGTGGATCACCTGAAGCCAGAAGTTCAAGACCAGCCTGGCCAACATGGTGAAACCCTGTCTCTACTAAAAATATAAAAATTAGCTGGGCATGGTGGCAGGTGCCTGTAATCCCAGCTACTTGGGAGGCTGAGGCAGGAGAATCGCTGGATCCCAGGAGGCAGAGGTTGCAGTGAGTCAAGATTGCACCATTGCATCCAGCCTGGGCAACAAGAGTGAAACTCCATCTCAAAAAACAAAAAAGCTATCAACAAGGCTGTTCAGGCCTTAAGTTATACTTACATGTCATCATTCTTTAAAACTTGCTCAATGAGACAATCTGTTTCATTCTGTCTTAGCTGTTTAAATAAATTGCTTAAGTTTTAAACTTAAGGAAGAGAGGCCAAATCTATCATAATGTTCTCTTGTCAGTTAAAAAGTTACATAAAGTACTTATGACCAATTCTATTACTAATAGAATCCTTTAACAGTAAACAAATGAAACCAAAGACATCAAGCGAGAGTAAATATCACAGGTTTATCATAAGAAATAGGCAAATTATCCCATTCATTGTGAGTTAAGCCCTAAAACGAGGTTACTATTGGTAGCAATACATTCCCCCTGGGAAGGGTTTTTCATATAATGAGGAGTGATGAAGGTTATAGAACCTCTACACACACAGAAATATTTATATATAGAGAGAAAATAGAGTGTGTACATTCAATGGGAAAGGGAAGATATTTAGGAGAAGTCTTGTAAAACAAAAAAACAAACACCTGAAAGAAGTTTTGGACAAAAAGAGAGGTGATGGAAAAAATAATAATTAAAAGAAAACATCAAGATGATAGAAAAAGCAAACTGGAAATGGCTTGTCAATAGTTTGGTATCACTAGAGCAGAGGAGCTCCCCTGTGATGTGAGGGAAACCAGCTCACTCCAAAGTTCCATAATAGGCACAATCCATCCATTCATAAAAAGAGAAAAGAAGGAAAATGATGTATTTAGTAAAAATAAGCCAACACTGTTAGACATTAAAAGTTCTTTTCTAATGTATCTCCTATAATAACCCTGTTGCTACCATGACTATTTTGAAATCAAAACATACTTTTTACAGGGAGAGTAGCTGACTTTCTTCCCTTGACAAATATTAGGATTTATCCTTCCAGTTTATATTTTGTCACAAATATTTATTAGGTAGTTAATTTGTATTGGCACTGTTAAAGGCCCAAGGGCAGAAAGACGGATATTCACAATCTATGGAAGAGAGAGACAATTAAAGTAGTTGTAAGATCTATAATAAAGCAATGGGGGGAAAGGCCATAGAAGGAACTAAAAATAGAAATTAACATTCACCAGGGACCAGAAGAGGAGGGAAAGATGTCACAAAGGGGATGACATTTTAGCTGCTGCGTAGAATTGCACCTGGGAAGAAAAGGCCAAGAGAAATAAAATAATGCAAATAAAGGTAAGAAGACTAGGAAATGTCAGGATATTTTAAGGAATAACAGCATAATTACAGGCCGGGCTGAGGGCTGAAGTGAGAAAAGGGGTAGTGGCAGCAGATTGTGACAATCCCTAGGTGTCACTCTTGAGAATTTAGACTTCGTTTGCTATTGGTAGTACATTCCCACTAAGAAGGGTTTGTAGAACCTAGATGCTTCTGAGCTAGAATGCAAACCCCAAGCAAGGATCTTTGTTTGCTATTGTTTTGTATGTTTATTTTTTGTTGTTGTTTTCTCTCATTTATAACTAAAGTATCCCCAAATTAATGCCAGTCACATAAGCACATAGTAGTTGCTCAATAAATATTTGTGGACTGAATTTTGGGTTGAGTTAAAAGACACAGTAAGACCTGATTTTAGAGAATAAAGTATAATGAGAGAAAGGATTTGCATTCTTGTGAGTTCCTTTAACCTTTTTTTATTCCTCTAAAAGAAAGCCTAAGTTAAGAGAAGAAAACCCAATGTGTAAGTAATTACTTAAGAGTCGTGATGTTAATAATTAAGGACTTCATAAGGTTATTGTAACAATGTTCACAAAACATAAAAACAAGGGAAAGCTACATTTCTGTATAAATAAAGAGTAACAAATATTAAACACTATTACTTTCTAGTTGAATAATCTTTGAAAATGTGTTTGTGTGTGTGTGTGTGTGTGTGTGTGTGTGTGTCACCATTTGCAGGGAAAGTGGATGATAATACATAACTTTTTTTAAAAAACTTACATTTTTCTGTAATTGCTGTTCTCATATCTGAACTGGAAGCTTTATTTTTCAAATTCTGTGCCAATGTAAAAACATAATCCAGCTGAGGATGGCGCTGTTCTAAGTCAGCCTTTGTAATCTGTTAAGTAGAAATGATTATTCGGATAGGTTAATAAGCCATATGAGAAGAATAATAAGCAAAACAGTTGTGCTGACATCAAAGTTGTCGTTGTTTTCCTCCTCTATGGCATAGTGAAGCATCAGCAACGTGGCAGAAAATGAGTGCATGATTTAAAGTCAAGGATCCTGCATTCAAATCTCAGTTCTTCCATTTAGCACCTGAGTCACCAGGCAAGGAGCTTTACCTCTCTGTGTTTTTGTTTTCACAAAAAAGAAATAATAAAATACTGACAGCTCAATTACATCCAGTCTGAGGACATTAAACAAAGAAAATCCCTTCAAAAGCTGAAAAATGCCCTGAAAACATTAGCAGTTATTGCTGCTGATGATGACTTGCATATCTGTTCTGTGTCAGGTACGAACACAAACTAATGTCATAGGGTTGGGGGTGACACAGAAAAGTGCTAAGAGGAATAACTATAAATTAAATCCTCTTAGACACGAAAAACTGCTGCTGTAGATGGTTTGTCTCTCAGTGCTAATAAATATGGGAGAAATGGTAACAACATCAGGAAAATCATGTGTTTTCAGTACAGAACTAATGACAGTCATAGAGACTAGAAAGCAATTTACAAAAAATACAAATAGTGGCAAATGACTTTTTCCCAGTCCTTCCTCTTTACAAATTCACCCGTTTTGTAGATTCCAGCTACTCCTTTGGTGTCAAATATTACTTCTAAATGGATTGCTCACAACTTTCAATCCTAAATCCCAGGGCACATGGTAATGAATACTGATCACTTCCTTCTAAATGGCATAAGGACTCCCCACCACAACACGTCTGAAACTAAATCACTCAAACCCTCATTCACACTCAATTTCTTCTATTCCTTATTTCTGCTAATTGCAACAGCATCATCTTAGTCATTTCAGAAAGGGCTCTTTGCCTTGATTTATGCATTTCTTGCCTCCAATCCATCCTAGTCTTCTACTAAAGCAGAGCACGGTTATCATGAGTTCATAAACACAATTTTAAAAAGAAAAAGAAATGGGAAGGAAGATGTTTACCAATTGCTTACAGACTAAAAATCCAAAGGGCTTTGCACAGCCTGCAGGCTCCTTCACAAAGGGAATTTGAGCTGCTTTTCCTGCCTTGTTTCACACTGTATTTCTTAATTGCACAAATGTTGGCCCTACTGTCCTTTGTGCCTCCTGTACCACATGACTTTATTCACTCTGTTCCCTATACCAGGAATGTCACCACTTTGTCCCAGATGCCAAAATCCCACACAGTTTGCTTTCCATCACTGGAGAAGTGATCCCCTTCCTCATCCTGGCTCCCCCAACAGGTTGCCTGTACTTCTCCTGAGGCTTTTATTAGACTCTTGCCTTGCTACAGTAATTTGTCAACTCATATGCACTCAGTGCCTCTGCCTCGGTGTGGACTTATTTGTAATGTGGGGATAAAAACAGTACCTATCTCACAAGACTATTAAAGAATTGAATGAGATAACGTGTACAATACTTAGAAAAATGACCAGCACACATGAAGCACTTAATAAAATTTAGCAAGAGCTGTTATTATTATTTCATTGTAGTTTCCCAATTTCTACCTAGAATATTCTTGTCAGTATCCTTGTACCACTCACAGCCCAGAACTTAGCACACACTAAATAGGGAAAAAGAATTTTTACAAATGAATATTAGATGGTACATGTATAGTAGTAAAGTTATAGGAGATATTCACTTTTAAAATCAGAAATTAATCTCATTATGAAATATAAGTTGCAAAGGCACTTTAGGAGATTATCCTACATCACACAACAGGCATGAAATGCTAACGCCAGCTTATATTTATACTAATGTGCCTAGCTTTACGGTATCAGTTTTAGATTTTAAAAATGCACTGGGTCTTTAGTTTAAGTCAGTAAACCTGATCATATCACAACAGTATAAATGCAAGAAAAGCTCTATGCTTTGTAGTTAGCCCTGAATGGTTGTTTGACAGATACAGAATTTTTTAAACCTCATTCTCTCATAGTTTAGGATAAACAAAAGGGATTCAAACAGATCTGGTCTACCTCTGGGTTGTGGCGTTTCCATGACAAGCTTTTACACTATGCACCTACTTTCATTCGGGAAACGGTCTTATTGATCTCTTCTACATCCCCAACAGTGACAATGTTGGACTTCAGCATCTGGTCGATTAATACCAGCCAGTCGGCTAGTTCTGTTATAGTTTTATCAAGATCAGCAGGAATTGAAATTTCCGAAGTACGATGAGACTGAACAGGAATATCTGACGCAGATGATACTAGCACCACCTTTTGGACATTAGGATGAGCTGAAATGAAAAATGTAGCAAAAGAGAAATTAATCAACAGGATGTTTTAATTATGGTGGTGTCATGGTGACACGTGTATGTGTATTTAAATAAAATTTAGTTTAAGTAAAAAAAATTCTAAGAGGTTATTTTTTCATACTGAAATGGCTATGGTATTACCTGTAATATCCATATGTCTTTGGTAGCTATCAAGCCAACAAAACAGTTTTGCAACATTCTATAACATAATCAGCACTGACACTGAGAAAAATTAAAAGTACAAATGTGGGAGAACTGGAAGTATTATTTTATTTTGGCAAGATGATTTTAATTATAAAGCCAACTTATTCATAATTTTTTATTTTTTTCATTTAACTTTATAATGTGAGCATATTTTATTCTTAGTAAACACAATTATGAATACCTATGTAATAACCTATACCCATATTCACTTTTATTTAACCCTTGGATATTTAGATTGCTCCTGAAATTTTATTTTAATTTTTTAAAAAACTTGCAAAGAATATCTTTTCATGTAGAGTATTTTGCACATTTCTGATCTCTATCTTAGCATAGATTTCCCAAGTAGAATTACTGAGTCAGAAAATACAAAAAAAAGTATGTATTTAATATTCATTGCCAAATTGATTGGTTTTGATACAATAAGTAGTTGAATTAGTAATTAAAACTATCTGTAACCTACTTCAGGTATGATATATTAGATGAGGCTTAAATAATTTTCTAAAATGTATAGCCAATCTGTAAATTCAGCACAATCCTAATAAAAATCCCAACAGGCTTGAATGTAACAAAATCATTAATTCAAATTTCTGGTTATAAAATTAATATTGAAGAGAAAAGGACAAAAAACAGTCAAATTATTTTTTGATAGAGGAATATGCCCTCCCAGATATTAAGTTATATTATTTAGCTAATAATTATTAACTCAGTATATTATAGACTGAGACATTTAAAGAGACCAACAGAAGAGAAGAGTCACAATGTGTAGGTGGCAGAGAAATCTGACCTTGGCAGAGACTGAATTACAGATCAATGAAGAAGAATTTACTGTTCAATTAAGTGAGTCACCACGGCTGCAGCAGGGAAATGATGGGACTGATTTTAACCTCACATACACCATAGAAAAATTAATTCTTAGTGGATTAAGGACCTAAATATGAAAAACAAAATTGTTAGTTAAAAATAAGGAATACTTTTATTACTTCAGAGGACTGAAGTAGCTCTCAAACAAAACACAAAAAAGGGAAGCTATTAATAAACCATTAATGGTTAAGAATTCCAAAGAGCACCATAAGTAAAGATTTTAAAAGCCTTTGAAAGATGAAAGGAGATGGTATTTGCAATGCCCATTGCAGACAAAGAACTGATAGCCAAAATACTTTTTCTAAAACTTAAAAAATCATCTAAAGACAATCCACAAAAGAGGAAATAAAAAAGGCAATAAACATAAAAATGTGAAATAAATGTCTGACCTCTTCTATAACTGAGATAGTACAAATTAAAATGAAATACCCTACATCCACAGGACCACCATCAGAAAAGTGACATCTGAGAAGCTCTAGGTTAAGATGCCTACACTATTATCATCAGCACATTATTTGCCTTTTTAGGCTCAGTCTCTCCCACGTGTACAGTGTGTTTTATCTAAGTCTACATAACGTGACATCACAAGAGACCAAATGCAGAAGCAGAAATAAGAATACAGCTGTGTTCTATTAAACTAGACATTTAAGAGATTTCAAAAAATATAAAACTGCAGCTTTTCCAGGATTTTGTTTGTTTTAGAAAACAGAGTTGTTTGTTTGTTTGTTTGTTTGTTTGTTTTTTCTTTGAGATAGGGGCTCACTCTGTCACCCAGGCTGGGAAGCAGAGGCACGAACACAGCTCATTGCAGCCTCAACCTCCTGAGTTCAAGTGATCCTCCCACCACTGCCTCCTGATTAGTTGGAACTACAGGCCTGCATCACCAAGCCTGGCTAATTTTTTTTATTTTTAATTTTTTGTAGAGACAGGGTCTCCCTATGTTACCCAGGCTGGTCTCAAACTCCTGGGCTCAAGTGATCCTCCTGCCTCAGCCTCCCAAACTGCTGGGATTATAGACATGATTCACTGTGCCCAGCATCTTATGCTAATGTTACAAAAACATGCTATTTTTGTTAACATATAATGGCTTTATTATTATTTTTAAACAACTTAATAAATGAATTAATGGAAAATTTTTCTAGTTAGGTAAATACGGATAACTATCACTCACAAAAGCAAAAGCTATTTGAGGGTCCTCAATAATTTTTACAAGTGTAAAGGGGTCCTGAGAGCAAAGTGTTGAGGTGCTGGTAATGCTGTAGAACAATAAGAACCCATTACACACAGCCAGTGTCAGTGTAAACTGGGCCAAGTAATCCAGACAGCACCCTAATGGCAGCTAGTGAAGTAGAAGGCACCCATATGCTAAACCCAGTGATTCCATCACTAGATATACACCCTACAGAATATCTCACACATCCTTCTGCCCCATCTTCACTTTAACTTTTTTTGTAGATAAAAAAAATTCATTGTTTTAATTCATCAAATACCTATTAAGAACCTATTATGTGTAAGGGGCTATTCTAGACGCTGCAGGCATGAGAGTGTGCAAGACAAAGTTTGGGCTGGAGTGCAATGGTACGGTCTTGGGTCACTGCAACCTCCACCTCCTGGGTTCAGGCGATTCTCCTGCCTCAGCTTCCCAAGTAGCTGGGATTACAGGCGCCCGCCACCACGCCCAGCTAATTTTTGTATTTTTAGTAGAAACAGAGTTTCACCATGTTGGCCAGGCTGGTCTCGAACTCCTGACCTCAGGTGATCCACCCGCCTTGGCCTCCCAAAGCACTGGGATTACAGGCATGAGCCACCGTGCCCTGCCAGAGCTTGCATTCTATCAGGAAAATGGATGTGTGTTATGAAGTAAAATCAATACAAGAAGACAGAGACAGGGTGTATCTGAGATATTGTGGGCAAGAAAGGGCTATTCTAGAAAGGGATATCTGAAGGAGAACTAAAGGAAGTGAGTATGTGAAACATGAAAATATCTAAGAGAAGAACATTTGGGGAAGACAAGAAGAAGGAACACCAAGCACAAAGACCAGAAATGATTACGTTCTTGGCATGTTTGAAACAGCAAGAAGACCAGTGTATTTGAAACAGAATGAACAAAGGGAAAAGTAGTAAGAAATGTGATTAAAGAGACAGGCAGATATGCATGGTGTTCTGGACTAAGGCCAGACTTTGGAACTCATTTATGTGGATGGAAGTGATTAAAAGACTGTGAACAAAGAAACGACACAATCAAACTCGTTTAAAAGAATCACTCTATCTGCTATCAGAGGAATAGGTCATGGAGAAGTACTGAGGCAAGAATAAAATCAGGATTATGAGTTAGGAGCATATTCCAATAATCTAGATAGAAAGATAAGGGTGTTCAAGACCACGGAAGTAGGTGGAATGGAACATGGAAATGATGCTACTTGCTGATGGATTGAATATTAATTCCAGAGAAGAGTTGAGGTTGACTACAAGTTTATTGGCCTAAGGACTGGGTGAATCATCTAAAAAAAAATGTCTACAGTTCTGGGACTGGTAAGCATAGGTAGAAAAGAGAATTTAGAGGATTGTAGTATATCCAATGTTATGTAATACTGTACATCAGTTTAAATGAGTAGACTAGAGCTACATGCTTCAAAAGGTATGGCAATAAGGATGATCTAGTAGCTATCAGAGAAAGAGGATACGTAAGCAGCCCAGAGAATATGGGATCCTATGCATAAGTGGAGGAGCTGGTCTTAGGAAAAGAGATAATAACCCTTTCACTGAATAGGAAGGAAGTGTGTAAAGTATATGGGTACAGCCGCAGGTAGCTTGATGGATTCTCTGGTGGGAAAACGAAAAAGGTTTTTTTTTTCTTTTGAAAATGAGATGAGGTCACTAGTTGAGAAATGAGTACCAAGGAGTACTCAGAAGAAAGTACGGTAGGACTGTCTCTTAGCGCTGAGTGCTTATTTGAAATGAATAGTCATAGCTCTGAAATGAGTACAGTCGGCAAGGTGTTGGCAAGGATGAACCTCAAAAACATTATGCTAAGTAAAAGAAGCATCGTATGACTCCATTTATATGAAATATCCAGAATAGAGAAATCCATGGAAACAGAATGCAGATCGGTGGTTGCCAGGGGCTGGGAGTAGGAGGGAATGGGAAGAAACTGCTTAATGAGTAAGAGGTTTTAGTTTGGAGTGATAGAAATATTTTGGAACTAGATAGAAATAGTGGTTGTACAACATTGTGAATGCATTAAATGTCACCAAATTGTTCACTTTAAAATGGTTAATTTTATTTTCTAAATAAAATGTTAAAAAGAAGGAACTGAATTAAAACACTGCGTAGGAGGAGAGAGACATACTAAGATTAGCTTCAGGTCTCAGGCCTATCCCAAGGACGAATATCCTGTTAAAAATGAGCCATCCACCTAATGGAAGTTGTAGCTTTGCTGTTAGCTTTTTATACTTCTAAATATGTATTCAAATTTTCCCTGCTCCTTTACCATATAGAGGTTTTAAAAAGTAAGATAACCCATGACGATTTTATAAAATGCATCAAATTCTTTCCCTATGATTATGGAGTTGAGCCTGTATTTGCAAAGCAGCAGTACCCAAATGTCAACTCAAGTGTTCTGAATATTAATCAAGAAACTTGATCAGGCCCCAGGTACTTTTTGTGCAAATTTCCAGAAATACAAGTAATAAAAAACACAAACTTGGTCCTCAATTAGCTTGCAATCTCGAAAAATGAAAAAAAATATATTGTCTGTCATCACTTTTTTCAAAACTTGAGGGGAGGAGGAGGAAGAGAAGGAAAAGAAAAGAAAAATAAGAGGAATAAGAGAAATAAAAAGAACCCTCCCAAAAAAAAGAGGTAGAAGAGGTAGAGGTGGAGGACGAGAGAAGAGGTAGAAAGTAGAAGGTGGACATGGAAGTCAAGGAGGAGGAGAAGGACAAGGGAGAAGAAAAAAGCGGGGAGGAGCAATAAAAAGAATCAGCAGAAGCAGCTGTCAGGGAGTGAGTGGACAGTTAGAGTTGGTCACATTTGCGGTTTTGCCAGGTGACTCAACAGAGGAAGAGCAGGGCATGATGGTTCAGAAAACTTGCAAGGCAGTGGCAACAGTGGCTATGGGGCAGGAGCCTGCGATCTAATCTGGATAAAGAGAGAAGGAAATAGTGAGAAAACATTCTTCTTTCTCCACATCCAAGTGAGAAGTATTTGTCTCCTAGGTTGGAGAATGCTTCTAAATATCCATCCCCCACCTGCTTCCCAGGATATCTAAGCCTTTTGTTCTCAGTCATGATCAGGGTCTAATTACATATGTTAACCAAGCTCATGTTAACACAACAAGTTATAGCTGATTTCCTGAAAAGCTGCCTGGACCCAGAAAACTAGTCCCCAGTTTTTGCACCTAGCCTCTCATCTTCCCTTCGGCAGGACCTGTGGATGCCCAGGTAGCACTGGAGTCCAGAGAAAGGCCAGCCTTATCTGCCGCGAGAACAAATGCCTTACCCACACTGGGCAGCCAAATGTGTCTTGGGTTTAAAGAAGATGTTCTTTCCAAATCATTGAAAGTAGATTAAATAAAGAAAATGGCACGACGTTTCTAAGTCTTTCTAATTCATGTATGAGGCTCATATCACAAAATTTTACATACTGATTTTTTAAAAAACTTTGTTAAAGATAAACATATCTTACCAGCAATCCTTGTCTGTGAAACAGAACTGGGCTCCTGGATGCATTCCTTCAGGGTGGTAGGCACCTCTCTGCAAATCTACCGCATCAGGACAAACAGAAAGAGAAGAATACTACGTAAATAAAGATGACTGTAGTTCAAAAGAAGAGGTGTTATTCTGAATGGCAGCTCTGCTACTTTTCTTCCCCTAACGACCTAAACTTCTGGCTCTACCTTCACTCTCCATTGCAATCTTGTTTGAGCCCCTAACTCCACTGACATTGCTATCAAAAACACCAACCAGTCCTTAGCTGTCCTGACCCCTGTGCACCAGTTAATGCCGTCCACTCCCCCTCCCTTGAATTCTGTTATTACTCTGCAATTCTGGCTTTCCTCCTACCTCTCTGGCTGGCTCTCCTGAATTTCCTTCACCAACTCCTTTTCCTCTGCCCATCCATCAAATACCAATATCCTTCAGGGCAGCTGTGTTGCTCTTCTTGCCCTTCACCCTGGGCTCTCCCTGAGTCCTGGTTTCCAAAGATTTCAGGAATCAAATGGAGTTTTGAGAGGCTAAAGACTGCCCAAAACATATCTTCAGTCCAGCCCTCTCTGTGAACTAGATATTCAGATATGTCCACATCTGAATTCCTTATCCCTATCTTCCCTGACACCCGTTTCATAAACTCTTCTGAAGATTCTAACTCATCTTTCTATATCAATTCTTAGGATCACTTCATCTATCTCCGTAGTGAAGCTATAGCAATATTTCAAAAACATGACTTTCCTCTGCTTAAAACCCATCAATAGCTGCCCACTACCCTCAAAGTGGTAGATTGTTTGCAACATGGAGCTCAAATTCCTTGTGATGCACAGTGAGTCCTCCAGGATCTCATCTCTGAGAACATCCCTCAGCCTTCCATTCTACAGTGGGCTACTTCCTGGACCTATATACACTGTGCTCATTCTCTGTCTCTTCTAGACACTTTCATTTGCCACTTCTCTCTACACTGCACTTTCCCTCATTCTTCACCCGACCAATACTTATTCATCCTTCGTAAATTAACCAGAATGTGATCTTTTCAACAAAACCTTCCACAGCTACCCCTCAAAGCCAAGCAGGTGCTCCACCTTTATGTACCCATCACTACCTGGATGTTATAATTGGTTGTCTGCTGGTCTCATCCATGATAAGCTCTTTGAGTTAGAAGGAATGCCACACTCTTTAATGCATTCCTATCTCTTAAAATGATACCTGGCAGAAAGTGAGACTCCAATAAAAACCTATTGAGTGAATGAATGACTGTATGAATGAATGAAATAAACCATGTTAGAATTTCCCAAATTATGTTTGTTGAGATTTTCTGCACAATGAGCATTGTTGGTCTTAGACATTCATAATTCACCAAAGTGAATTATATTAAAATTTACATGAAATTCTGCAATAACCAAAGCTCTAGCTTTGTCTGACATAGTGCACCCAAATTAACAACTGTGCCCTTTTCTGCAGAATACCCACTGATACCCTTTGTGTTAAATAAATATGTGTGCTCCGACTGAATATGGACAACCTTTCTGGCAAGTGACACAGGACCTAACATGTCTGGAAAGGAGTGTAGGGGAGAGAGAGCAGTGGATATTGTAGGAGAGATCACAGGACGCCAGGCCATGAGAAGCCTCATAAGCCAAAAAAGCATTTTGGCTTTCACCCTGAGCAAGATAGAAAACCATTGGTGGACTTTGCTCAGATAAGTCACTTGATCTGAATTATGTTTTAACCAATCATATTGGCTGCTTTGTCTAGAACAGAATAACAAAGGGCAAAGGAAGAAGCAGGGGAGATGAGTGGGGCAGCCTTTGTAGTCATCAAGACAAGAGATGATGGCAGGCTTGAAACAAGTTAGTGGCAATGGGGGTTGTAAGAAGCAGTCAAATGTATGATATTTTTTGACCTAAGAAAAGTCGAAAGAATTGTAGAGGAAATATCTATGTGCCCTCTGACATCTACAACTGTCAAACTTCTGCTACATTTGCCTTATCACACATAGCCATCTGGCTATCCAATAAACCATCCATCCAGTAGATACGTATTTTGAAGGAAAAGCTGCTAATGGTGACTGAGGTATAGTTTTTGGTTTGGGGGTTTTCTTTGTTTCTTTTTGTGATAGAATTCATATACCATAGGATTGACTCCAATATTTCTGACTTAAGTAATAATAAGATGAAACTTCCATTGACTAAGGTGGGAGATGTATATTAAGGCACAGAAGGGAGAGGGATATCAAAAGCTCGATTGTGTATGTTAGTTTGAGGTGCCTATTAGACATTTAAGGAGAGATGTTGAGCAGGTAGTTGCATACACAAGTTTAGAGTATGGAGAAAGGTCCAGACCAGAGATACACATGTGTGAATCACAGTGACTCAACAGGCAGTGATTCCCAATCAGAGAGACCAGATCAATAAAGCACCTGCATCATTAGCTATAGGATAATGGCTACCATTTAAAGAGGATGAGAGAGAAAATGACTGATATGGAGTCCATCCAAACCAAGGACAGAGACATATCCATTCAATGTCCTATACAGACGTCATACTCTGAAATGGTGTGTACCAGGTCAAACAAAAAAGATATCTATGACTTTATCTACTTTTAACCGTTTCAATGGCAAAAAAAAAATAATGGTAGGAGGGAAAGATATTAGTTGTATTTGTAGTCACATGCCATTACATTTCACTGGAACCTAGTAAATATATATTTAATGAAAAAAATCATTGAAAATAAACATACATGTGTGAAAAGTCATGTGCAAAATCAGGATGCTATTTTCTTTATTTATTTCTTTTTTTTTTTTTTGAGACAGGGTCTCCCTGTCTCACCCAGGCTGGGGTCCAGTGGTGTGACTGCAGCTCACTGCAACCTCCACCTCCCAGGTATAGGCAATTCTCGTGCCTCGGCCTCCCAAGTAGCTGCGATTACAGGCGTGTGCCACTACGCCTGGCAAATTTTTCTATCTTTAGTAGAGATGGGGTTTCACTGTGTTGGCCAGGCTGGTCTCAAACTCCTGGACTCATGTGATTCCCCCCATCTCGGCCTCTCAAAGTGTTGGGATTACAGGTATGAGCCAACACACCCGGCTCAGAATGCTATTTTAAGGTCTTCATTTTCAGAATATCATCACTGGAATTTTCTTACTAATTCCAACATATATTCATTATTTAATGTAGTATATAATGTATAAATCCCCTAGGCCAAAGAGTTCTGTATAAAATAAAAAGTATTCTTCTAGAATATATGCCTCTGTCTATGACAGATAAAAAATATAAACATTAGTAAGCTTTAGTAAAATTTGCCCCATTTGGACATACTTGAAAGTAAAGCAGTTACATGATCCCACATCTCTGACAACAAAATCAATAAATATGAGAAATGTGTGATAGTAACTTTACACACACCTTATTCCATGTCATATTTACAGTCCTTAAGCTTTCTGAAATTTTATCCCTTTCAGGTAAACTCAGACTTTTATCTGAAAGCATCTCCAATTCAGTTCTATTCAGCCATTTGAGTTTTTCAGCATGTACTTCCATTTCTTGAGTTAAGTCCTGGAGAAGTTAAAAGATAGGTGTGGTTAGAAGGTAGTCAGATAAGGGAAAATTCAAGAACTGTATTAGAAACCTTTTTGGTATTATTACAAATGTAACTTTCTAATTTGTTAAGTGAAAAAATAAACTTATAAGAAGCTTAAGCTCATGCTAACAAATGATAACTAGGAAGGGAGTGAGCACATGCCTTCTGTGTGTATTTTTGCACTCCTGTGCACAAACGGGCTCTCTGGTACTCACTGTCTCTTAACCGGGTCATATATTATTTTTACACTGCTAATTTAACATTCTGTTCTTATCTCCTCCTTGCTACTCCATCCTAATATACTGTTCCACCTTTTCTAACTCTCCTCAAATTGTTTACAAAAGAGACATTCCCAAAAAAACCACTGAAATTTTTAGGTAAAAAAGGAAGCTTGTTAGATATTGTCACATTTTAAAAAGAAAACTTAATATATGTTCCACAAAATATTTTTCATCATTATTCAATGTTTCTTTCTCAAAATGCTTCAATCATACTCCTTTATAGACAAAATCTCTGAATTAGTAAGTAACCTTTCACACACACTTATGCTTGTACATGTATGAATACACACTCATAATTTCTTTTTTTTTTTTTTTTTTGAGACGGAGTCTCGCTCTGTCAGCCAGGCTGGAGTGCAGTGGCACGATCTCGGCTCACTGCAACCTCTGCCTCCTGGGTTCATGCCATTCTCCTGCTTCAGCCTCCCGAGTAGCTGAGACTACATGCGCCTGCCACCACGGCCAGCTAATTTTTTTTTGTATTTTTATAGAGATGGGGTTTCACCATGTTAGCCAGATGGTCTCGATCTCATGACCTTGTGATCCACCCGCCTCGGCCTCCCAAAGTGCTGGGATTACAGGCGTGAGCCACCACACCCAGCCCACAATTTCTTTTTTTAAAAAAAAATGTGAGCACATTATGCTGAGTGTTCTGCAACAAGTATTTTAATTCTTAACACAAAAAATAAATATTTATGAATACAAAATTTATGGATATTTGGATATATTTATACATCTATATATGTATGAATTTTTATAGATTATATACATATACAACTATAAACAATACTTGTTAGTTGCAAACCAACAAAGAAAATCTGATTAATACAACCATGACACTAAACCTATTGCAAGCTGCATTTTGTTCCTCAGCAAGTCACTCTGATAATTACTGATTATCTATAAAGTTGAGTTTTGCAGCTTTATAGACAATAATCAGTAATTTTCTTCCAAATCTAAAAACAAAAAACGATATTTCATAGCCCTATTGTATTTTAAAATGATAAGGTCAGTTTACAATATCCTAAAAACCTTTGGTCTAATACTGACACCATAATAGTTTGTTCTTTTTACATAAGTGAAGTTTAAGCTCTGCAAGACCAAAATTATAACTGCTCTTTAAAAAATAAAAGATATTCCTCTTTCAGGTTCACCACATTTACCAAAAAGTACAAAGTTTCTTTTCCCTTTTCTTCTTGAGACACGCAGTATGTGACTCTGAAGTATAATGTTCGGGCACCAAAAGGCATATAGACAGAAATAAACAACTTACTCTTAATTCTTGCAGGTTTTCTCCCAATTCGGTGGTTGATCTCTTTTGCATAGCATGCTCAGCCTTTGTTAACCAACAGATAATCTCATCTAGCTGATGCCTGTACTTCATCACCTGCTTACTTTCTCCTTTTAGCCTAAAAGAATATATTATTTAAAAATATTGAGGAAAAACTGTCCAATTAAGCAGAACCTTACATATTTGCTTTGAATATCCTGACTAAATATTTCCCAAAATAAATAATTTCTAATAATTATTTTAATATATATTTTAAGTGAAACAATGTATATATTCTACAATATAAAGATTGCTTAATAATAGACCAAGAAGCTTTTTTCCTTAGTTAAATTCAAAAACATTGAAACTAAAGAATATTATCTTCCCTCATCATAAAAAGTTATGTAGAAATTGAATACAAAAGCCTTTTTTACAGTTAGATACCACTCCGCAACATAATGGAAATTTTTTAAAACATGAAAAATGTCTTTATCTAAAATAATAGGGAAAAAGCATAATTCTCTTTGAGTGTTTCACGAATATTGAAAGGAATCATTATATGACATGTTATCACATTAGGTGGTAACTATTACTCTGCTTTATTCATAGAACAGAAAGAATAAGAACAAAGCAAGGTATCAAGAATGGGAGAATCTTACAAGTATTAGGGAAGACAAGAAACATGTGAATTTGGCTTGTTTATTAAAATAACTATTATATTTGAATAGAGCACTGTTACAAAAAGAGATATAGAAAAAAACAAAGCAAAAATTTTAAATGATGCAAGGAAAACAGTCAAATGAATATAAAAAAGGAACTGCCTCAATTAGATCTTTATAGTGTTATAAGAATAACATTTATAAGAATATAAACCATCTGTCAGAAGAGAGGAATATGATTAGAACTCATATGACAAATAAGATTATGTGTTTTTTAAAAGGATTTGAAAGCTATTAAAAGCCTGGTGGTATCTTTATTTTTATAGCTGCTATAATTAACTGCTGGTTTAAAAACTGAATGCAATTTTTAAATAAATTGTATTGTATCATTCCTAATAAGAATTTATGTTTTTGCAGCTAGGAGTTTTCATTTTTAATCACAAAAGTTCTCACATAATCGTGCAATACATGTAATAAAATATTAGATAATACTTCTATATTTAATAAACAGTCAATATTTGATGTATAATGTTTAAAAAAATGAAAATCACTACAAAATCATAATTTTTAAGTATCCATCAAGAAAGAATGCTCCTTTAAGATTAAAAATAAATAAATACAGCAACAGCACTAATTACTAAGACTAAAACAAGTAATCTACCCTCCATAGTGAAAAGTATTTAACTTAAATGACAACTTTGGAAACACCCAAAATACTATTATAGGCCTTTGTTTCTAAAAAAGAGTTGAAATTTCACGTCCAATGTTTCAAGATCATGACTAATTTAGTACTTTCAAAACAGAACTATGAAGAAAACTAGCATTATAAAGTGATTTCAATAAGATATATTTGAGTCACCCAATATTTTCATCTGCAAATTAGCTAAATATAATCTACATTTTAAATATTATCCCCAAGAGTAAAAACAAATTATAAATTCATGTTCTAACAGAAGAAACAATTGCTCACTAAGGAATAACCCACTGGGCATGGTGGCTCACGGCTGTAATCCCAGCACTTTGAGAGACTGAGGCAGGAGGATCACTTGAGCCTAGGAGTTCGAGACCAGCCTGGACAACATGGCAAGACCTTATTTTTACAAACAATTTAAAAATCAGCTGGGTGTGGTAGCACACACTTGCAGCCCCAACTACTCAGAAGACTAGGGTGAGAGGATTGCTTGAGCCCAGGGGCTCAAGGATGCAGTGAGCTACGATTGCACCATTGCACTCCAGCCTGGGTATCAGAACAAGACCTTGTCTCCAAAAAAGGGAAGAAATAACTCTGCAGGTTGCTGAACTATGCAAATACTTAACTACAGGCACTCAATACAAAAACAAATTGAACTGTGTGATAATTCTCAATTACTTTGTTAACAACATATATACAATCTACCCAAAATGGTCCCAATTTAATATAGACTACCAACCTAAGGTGAAGTTTAGCGTTAATTTACAAAGACAAATATTGTTTTAGTCAAAATATAAGCTGTTGGGGAAGAGATTCATTATTCTTTTCACTTCCAAAAAATGAGTAAAAACACGTATTAGCTTCACCTTATTAGTTTTAGGAGCTGTAATTACCACACTCCACAGATATCTACCTTTAGAAGAATTTCTGCATTTATTGTTAAAACCCTCCCAGCAGGTACATGTTTTTCCTTAAAAAGGTATAAGAGAGGATAGGCTCAGTGGCTCATGCCTGTAATTCCAGAACTTTGAGAGGCCAAGGCCAGCAGATCAACTTGAGGCCAGGAATTCCAGACCAGCCTGGCCAACATGGTGAAATGCCATCTCTACTAAAAATATGAAAATTAGCCAGGCATGGTGACAGGCACCTGTCATCTCAGCTACTGAGGAGGCTGAGGCACGAGAATTGCTTGAGCCGGGGAGGCAGAGGTTGCAGTGAGCTGAGATCACGCCACTGCACTCTAGCCTGGGTGACAGAGCGAGACTCTGTCTCAAAAAACCAATAAAGGTCTAGGAGATAAATCATTTCAAGCTAAGACCCTCCATGCAAACTGAATAGCATGACATATAAGATCTTATGGGACCTCATTTTCCAATCCTTCCCCTGGTCATTGAACCCTCCTCTCCTTTCAATCCTTTGCAGATCTCTCACACGACGATGCTATTTATGCCTCCCACCTCTGCTGTTTTACTTCTTCTGCCTAGAAGGCCCTCCCTAGAAGAAATTTATAGAAAATTGCTATAAATGCTTTAAAACTCAGCTTCGGCATGCTTCCTCTGTGACACTTAAATTCCACAGCGCATCATATCTGCCTCTGTGACACTTTATCTTTTTAATGATGTTTTCTTTCATCATTTTCTTCTTCTTAGTCTTTGAGTTCCTAATCATACTTGTATCTTCAGTGCTAAACATAGAGCTCAATAAATATCGATCAAGTCATTAATCAATCATTGGCAAAATTCAGCAATATGCTTAGAGAATAAGTTCTAAGATAACTTGCTTTCATAAGAAATAGATACTTTAAGTGTTTACTATGAATAGTCAAGGCATGCACATTTTCCAAACACTATTGCATTTAATCCTCATGACAGTCCTCTGTGGTGATATCATAGTTCTCATTTCCAGAGGAAGACACTTTGGCCAGAGAGTTCTGTGCTCTTTCCAAGTTCGTACAGCATAATATTGAGAGCATAAGACAGTATGATCACTTACTTTCTATGAGATCTTGGACAAGTTACTTAACCTCGCCTCTCTTAGCCTCAGTTTCTAAAGCTGTACAAGGCTTAACAGTCCCCTAAGAGGTGAGTCATGACTCCTAAACAAGGCAATGTGTGCAAGGTGCCAGATACTCTCTCTGCCATGTGGTAATCTCTCAACCAAAACGTACTAATTATTATTTGTCTCTTACCAAAACACACAAAATAATAGATTTTTTAAATGAAAAGCAACTGTAGGTCACATGATACTTGAATATTTTAGGTTGCATAATAATACTGGACCTGATAAAGTATTAGATTGGCCTTTCACAAAATGATAGCTTATCACTAAAATAATACTTCATCAACAGAGTTAAAATTAACAGAAAAAAAAATCGTGGAGTTTTTAACCCTAAACTACCAACAAGAAACAAACAAACAAAAAAGATCATTAATGACGGAATATATGAAACAAAGTAGAAATCATTCATAAATCTTGACTGTCTCAGAAAATAATGTCAAATAATTTTAAATATGGAAAGTGTCTATAGTGTTGGGCATTATATTCCAATTGCAAAACAAATTTGCAACTGGAAGATGCCCAAATAAAATCTGAGTCACTGTAACATAATCTGACATAAAAATTAATAATACTATATTATATTATATTATATTACATAGATGAAGAACTTTATTATTGGCAAAGCATGAATAGAACACAACATTTGACACCAAAATAACTTAGTGAGACGTATTACTAAGGTAGGCTCAATCAGGAAATAAGCAAAGGGAAGGTCTGATCTTGAACCCAGACCTTCAAACCTGAAACCTGGAGTTTCAGTTATTTCAACTACTTTAAATTCCCATCATAATCACCATATCATAATAAGCAGTTGTAAATAAAAGGAATAAAGGTGTTTGGTTTTTACATATGTAGCATTTGAGTAGAAAAGTGAGACTTTATGGACAGCCTAAAAATACAGGAAGGGAGAACGTGGGCAGTGGAGGTCTTAAATGTCAGTAAAATTCCTATTATAATGTCAAACAATAAAAGAACTCATTAGATTGCATCTTAAAAGATTCTATCCAAAATATGTTCACTCCTGTGCCTGCAAACAATCATAGCTAAATCACCTTGGCTGCCTATCCTTCACTTCTGCAACAATTGCATCCCAGCGTTGGTTTAAACCTGCCAGTTTTTCTTTCAAGAAGCTTCCATCTGCCTGGGAGAGTTTCTGCACAATCCCATCCCCAGTTCGGTTTAGTGCTGCAAAACTGGGCTGGTGGCTGCTGATGCCCACCTCAAGTTCCTGTAACAGAGCACAACTCAAGATTAGTTTCACTAATAAGTAAATGATTCTGATGCAATGAATCCACCCAAGTATTGTGGTATCAATTTAAGTGTGAAAGAAACAAACTCCTGGAAAGATATTTTATGTTAGAAAAAAAAGGCATTTTAAAACAATTTAATTACATTTCAATGAACATGCTAAATGAAATTTATTTTGAAATCTAACCCACCTTCATGAATGTCATCAGGCAAAATACAAGGAAATAGGGCAGCTTAATAACTAAAATGAATAACAGCTGTTTACATTAAAGCATAAGCATCAATCATGTTTGATGAAAATGAATTGCTCATCTTCTTTCAAGCAAGTGCTTGAAGGCATTGCTTTAAAAAATTATATACCCCAATAAATCCTTATATCCTTGTGTCCTACCACATACAAGTAAACCTAAATGCACATTTTACTAAGATATTGCTTCACTGGTTGATATGGTTTGGTTGTGTCCCCACCCAAATCTCATCTTGAATTGTACCTCCCATAATCCCCACATGCCAAGGGAGGGACCCAGTGGGAGGTAACTGAATCACAGGGGTGGTTACCCTCGTGTTGTTCTAGTGAGAGTGATCTGATGGTTTTATAAGGGACTTTTCCCCCACTTTGCTCAGCACTTCTCTCTCCTGCCGCCATATGAAGAAGGACATGTTTCTTTCCCCTTCCACCATGACTGGACGTTTCCTGTGGCCTCCTCAGCCATGCTGAACTATGAGTCAATTAAACCTCTTTCCTTTATAAATTACCCAGTCTCAGGTATGTCTTTATTAGCAGCATGAGAACAGACTAATACACTGGTCTACAAATGTTTAAGTAACAGATTGAATGAATATTTTCAAGTCAAATTTAAACACTTATCTGTAACTCCAAAAATAAGAAAAATGCATTAACACATTTATTTATTTATTTATTTATTTATTGACACAGTATTGCTCTGTCACCCAGGCTGGAGTGCAGTGGCACGATCTTGGCTCACTGCAACCTCTGCCTCCCAGGTTCAAGCAATTCTCCTGCCTCAGCCTCCTGAGTAGCTGGGACTGCAGGTGCGTTCCACCATGCCCGGCTAATTTTTTGTATTTTTAGTAGAGATGGGTTTTCACCATGTTAGCCAGGATGGTCTCGATCTCCTGACCTCATAATCCGCCCACCTCAGCCTCCCAAAATGCTGGGATTACAAGTGTGAGGCACCGCGCCCGGCCACATTAACACATTTATAAGAAAAACAAATGAATTATCTTTAAATTGTCATGTCCTTCTAAATAAAATACATTTAAAAAACTTAATAAAAGAGAAAATATTTTTATCAATGGTAGAATTGAAATTGCGTGTGCTTTCTACCATTATTTTTAAAGACCTATTGTTATCAGAACTAACTTTGTGTTATATTTTCCCAAGACTGAATTAGACTTACATGAGCAGCTGCCCTGCTGTCGCTCCAGAATAATTTACTTTATGATAATTATCAATGATACAAAGAAAAATGAGATGCCTAAGTGTTTAAGTACAAAAAACAGAGGTGAGGCATGCAAATATTTTTTCTGTTCTTGGTATAGTCTTAGGCATAACAGTTTACAAATTTTATTCTAAATATAAAATTGTTTAAATAAAATTGTTTTTCACATTAGCCACCAAGGAGTATTTTTATTTAAATTTCTTTGAAATCCTGATTGAAAATTGTGATTGACCAATTTCTTAAACTTTTATAACTGGTAACAAGAATTGGAACAAAAATTACAAATTGTCCATTGACTTCTGAAAAATTAATATATTTTGTCCCTACTTCTGAAATCTGTCTTAACAGGCATACACTAACCATATGTGCAGTCCCCCTCCTCTAACAGAAAGCACTCACCTGCTGATGTATCCTGGCTTTCTCTAAGTCCAGGCTGCCACCTGGAGCACAGGTATCAACCAGTAATTCTTCAGCCTCTGTTATCCACTGTGTGAGGTCATTAAGGTCACAATGGAACTGTCTCCATTCTTCCATTGCCCTGTCAAAACAACTAGAGGACAATACACAAAATAAAATAGGTTTCCAAATTTTCCAGGACTGCCTAAAGCCATTTTTCTAAAAAAGAAAATCAAATTTCATTTAAACAGAAAGACCTCAAACAACTGAATTCACAGCCTATTGCTCCACAAAACCAATTTTCGTAGTGGGATACAGGTAATAATTCCTCCTAGAGATATATGCATCATAACAAGGGCAAAGCAATCTGCTCACACCACCAGCTACCAAATCCTCTCTCTCATACACACACACATGCACACTCACGTATACACACATGCACACTCACATACACACTCACAAACACACTCACACACACACTCGAGCAGCTTTTTAACTAAAAAGATGCAGCCTTTTCTGGCTTGAAAAATCAGGATCGATTAGTTGTAGGCATGTTAACGCATCCAACTTTATACATTTAACATTTAAATACTGTGAAATATAAAATATGATTCATTATTTTCTTGGGGAAAAATATGTTGTTTTACTACCAGAACACTTAGTTCCCGGCAAGAATAAAGCACAAAAGGCCAAAACACTTCAAAATGCCCGTATACCCCTCTATCTATATGTTATATACTGAATTATGTCCAATCAAAATTCTTATGTTGAAGCCCTAACCCCACAGTGTGACTGTACTTAGAGATAGAGCTTTCCAGGACACAAATAAGGTTAAATGAGGTCATAAGTGTGGGGCTCTAGTCTGAAAGGACTGGTGTCCTTATAATAGGTGGAAGAGTCACCACAGAGCTCTCTCATGTGAGGACACAGCAAGAAGGTGGCCATCTGCAAGCCAGTAAGAGAGACCTCACTAGACACCAAATCTACTGGCACCTTGATCTTGAACTTCCAGCCTCCAGAACTGTGGGAAAGTAAATGTCTGTTGTTTAAGCTACCCAGTCTATGTTATCTTATAACGGCTGCCTGAGCAGATTAATGTACTTCGGGTAATGACTGGTCCTGAGGGTCCCATTTACCTAAATACAGCAAAGTATGAAATTGCATGCAGAGCCCGTTATGCAATAAGACAGAGGGCTATTGAGATTTCTGTTTAAACCAAACTCTTTTAAAGATGGCAAAGTAAAACCCAGTGCTTGTTATATTCAGGATACATGAAATAAGCATAAAAAGGAAAAGCTTTATTGGACCAGGATCCTAAATAATTTTTTCTCCTATCTTTTTGTTTAAGAGTAATGGAGCTGAGTTTTAGAAGTGATCTCTGAGATCTTAACAATATTAATAAAATATATATTTTTTAAATAAAATGGCTCCTAATATCAATAACCCCTAAATAATGTGTATATCGTCTTTCTCCATGAAAATTACTTTTAACATTTTGCTAATACTGCCCACAGTAAAGCAATTTTCTATTGAGCATGGAAAAAGAAAAGCACTTAAAAAAAAGGCACTATGAGGTGATATTGACACTCATTATCATTTGCAAAAATTCACAATAACTACACAACAATCACAATTTCCAAATTCGAGATGCTATAAGACTGTTCCAAAGATCTAAAGACTTTGAAAATACAAACATTAAACTTAGAATGTATCATCAGTGACAGAGAGAAAAAAAAATGGTGGATAGGAGGAAGGTCTAACTTGCAGCTCCCACTCAGACAAACAGCAGCATGTGCAGACACATAGTGGACTTTTGTTCCAAGAACTACCGCAGGAACATACCAGGAAAACTGAGAGAATCTACAGACCCTTTGAAGGAGGTGGAATGCTGCTGCATGCTGCATGGGAGAGCCGAGGAACTGGAGATCAGCTTGCGTTCTCAGCTGGGAGACTTGTCACCTGGGGCAAGTTCTCAACCCTGCTCACCAGCTGCCTGGAAATAAACCCAATGCTGTTGGGCCAGTGGGGGTGTGGGGGTGGCGGAAGGGGTTCCTGATAGGACTAAGACTGGCCTTTTGGGCCGTGGGCTGCATGGAAACTGAGTGAGGCCTGCAACTGCACGCTTTCCCTCACTTCCCTGGCAACCTGTGTGATGCAGCAGAGGCAGCCATAATCCCCCTGGGAACATAACTCCACTGGCCTGGGAACCACACCCCCATCCCCCATAGCAGCCACAACAAGCCATGCACAAGGAGAGTCTGACTCAGCACCTAACCCTGCCCAACCTGATGGTCTTTCTCTACTCGCCCCAGTAGCCAAAGACAAAGAAGATAATTTCTTAGGAGCTCTATGGCCCTGCCTGCCGCCTAATCCTCTCTATGCTACTGCAGCTGATGCTCTCTTGTAAGCACCATCTCCTGGCTGGGGGCCAACCAACAGAAAACCAGCGAACTTAACCAAAATACAACCAAGGACTCTCACAGAGGCCGCTTCACTCCCCTGTTACTTCCACCAGAGCAGGTGCTGGTATCCACAGCTGAGAGACCTGAAGACAGATCACATCACATCACAGGACTCTTTGCAGACACTTCCCAGTACCCGCTCAGCACCCAGTAGCTGTGCTGGATGGCTAGCTTCAGAAGATAAATAATAATCACTGCAGTTCAGCTCTCAGGAAGCCCCATCCCTAGGGGAAGGAGGAGAGCACTACATCAAGGAAGCATTTCATGGGACAAAAGAATCAGGACAGCAGCCACTGATTCCCAGATCTTCCCTCTGACATGCTCTACCCAAATGAGAAGAAACCAGAAAAACAATTATGGTAATATGACAAAACAAGGTTCTTTAAAATACCCAAAAAGATCACACTAGGCTGGGGGCAGTGGCTCATGCCTGTAATCCCAGCAACTTGGGAGGCCAAGGCAGGCAGATAACCTGAGGTCAGCAGTTCAAGACCAGCCTGGCCAACATGGGGAAACCCTGTCTCCACTAAAAATACAAAAATAAGCTGGTGTGGTGATGCGTGTCTGGAATCCCAGCTACTCAGGAGGCTGAGGCAGGAGAATCACTCAAACCTGGGAGGCGGAGGTTGCAGTGGGCTGAGATTGTGCCATTGCAACTCCAGCCTGGGCAACAGAGTAAGACTCCATCTCAAAAAAAAAAAAAAAAAAAAATCACACTAGCTTACCAGCAATGGATCCAAACCAGGACAAAATCTCTGAATTGCCAGAAAAAGAATTCAGAAGGTCGATTATTAAACCAATCAAGGACACACCAGTGAAAGGTGAAGTCCAACTTAAAGAAATCAAAACAATGACACAGCATATGAAGGAAAAAATCTCGAGTGAAATAAACAGCATAAATAAAACAACTTTTGGAAATCAAGGACACACTCAGAGAGATGCAAAATGCACTGGAAAGTCTCAGCAATAAATTCGAACAAGTAGAAGAAACCTCAGAGCTCAAAGACAAGGCTTTTGAATTAACCCAATCTGACAAAGAAAAAGAAAAAAGAATTTTAAAAAATGAACAAAGCCTCCATGAAGTTTGGGAATATGTTAAAAGACCAAAGAATAATTTGTGTTCCCAAGTAAAAGAGAAATCCAAAAGTATCTAAAACATATTTGCAGGAATAATTGAGGAAAACCTCCCGGCTTTGCTAGAGATCTAGATATCCAAATACAAAAATCTCAAAGAACACCTGGAAAACTCATCGCAAAAAGATCATTGCCTAGGCACATGGTCATCAGGTTACGTAAAGTCAATAAGAAGGAAAGAATATTGACAGTTGTGAGGCAAAAGCATCAGGTAACCTATAAAGAAGAATCTATCACATTAACAGAAGATTTCTCAGCAGAAACCTTATAAGCTAGAAGAGATTGGGGTCCTATCTTCAGCCTCCTTAAACAAAACAATTACAAGCCAGGAATTTTGTATCCAGTGAAACTAAGCTTCATAAATGAAGGAAAGATAGTCTTTTTCAAACAAATACTGAGAGAATTTGCTGCTATTAAGCCAGCACTACAAGAATTGCTAAAAGGAGCTCTAAGTCTTGAAACAAATCCTAGAAATACAACAAAATAGAATCTTCTTGAAGCATAAATCTTGGCCAGGTGTGGTGGCTCACGTCTGTAATCCCAGCACTTTCGGAGGCTGAGGCAGGTGGATCACCTGAGGTCAGGAGTTTGAGGTCAGCCTGGCTAACACAGTGAAACCCCACCTGTACTAAAAAATACAAAAAAAATTAGCCAGGCATGGTGGTGGGCACCTGTAGCCCCAGCTACATGGGAGGCTGAGGCAGAGAACTGCTTGAACCTGAGAGGCAGAGGTTGCAGTAAGCCGAGATCATGCCACTGCACTCCAGCCTGGGTGACAGAAGAAGACCTGTCAACAACAACAACAATAAAGCATAGATCTCAAAGAACCTATTAACAATAACAAAATGAAAAAAAAAAAAAAACCAAGGTATTGAGGCAACAAATATCATGATAAATAGAATAGTACCTCATATCTCAATAATAACATTCAATGTAAATGGCCTAAATGCTTCATTTAAAAGATACGGAATAGAAGAATGGATAAAAATTCACCAACCAAGTAACTGCTGTCTTCAAGAGACTCACCCGACACATAAAAACTCACATAAACTTAAGGCAAAGGGGTGCAAAATAACAGTCCATCCAAATGGACACCAAAAGCAAGCAGGAGTAGCTATTCTTATATCAGACAAAATAAATTTTAAAGCAACAGCAGTTAAAAAAGACAAAGAAGGACATTATATAATGATAAAAAGACTAGTCCAACAGGAAATTATATCCTAAATATATATGCACCTAACATTGGAGCTCCCAAGTTTGTAAAACAATTACTACTAGACCTAAGAAATGAAATAAACAGCAACACATTAACAGTGGTGGACTTCAATACTCCACTGATAGCACTAGACAAGTCACCCAGACAGAAAGTCGACAAAGAAACAATGGAATTAAACTATACCCTAGAACAAATGGACTTAACAGATACTTACGGAACATTCTATGCAACAACTGCAGAATATATATTCTATTCATGAACACATGGAATATTCTCCAAGATAGACCATGTGATAAGCCACAAAACAAGTCTCAACAAATTTAAGAAAACTAAAATTACATCAAGTACTCTCTCAGACCACAGTGGAATGAAATTGGAAATCAAGTCTGAAGGGAACCCTCAAAACCATGCAAATATATGGAAACGAAATAACCTGCTCCTGAATGATCATTGGGTCATCAATGAAATCAAGATGGAAATTTAAAAATTCTTTGAACTGAACGATAATAGTGACGCAACCTATCAAAACTTTTGGGATATGGCAAAAGCGGTACTAAGAGGAATGTGCATAGCATTAAATGCCTACATCAAAGAGTCTAAAAGAGCACAAATAGACAATCTAAAGTCACACCTCAAGGAACTAGATAAACAAGAACAAACCAAACCCAAGCCCAGCAGAAGAAAAAAAAATAACCAAGATCAGAGCAGAGCTAAATGAAAATGAAACAAATAAACAAAAATACAAAAAAAAATGAAACAAAAAGCTGGTTCTCTAAAAAAATAAATAAAATTTACAGACTATTGGTGAGATTAACCAAGAAAAGAGAGAGGATCCAAATCAGTTCAATCAGAAACAAAATGGGTGATATTACAACTGATGCCATAGAAATACAAAAGATCAAGGCTATTATGAACATTTTTACATGCATAAACTAGAAAACCTAGAGGATATGGATAAATTCCTGGAAATATACAACCCTCCTAAATTAAACCAGGAAGAAATAGAAACTCTAAACAGACCAATAACAAGCAGCAAGATTAAAATCATGATTAAAAAATTACCAGCAAAAAAAAGCCCAGGACCCGATGGGTTCAGAGCTGAATTCTATCAGACATTCAAAGAAGAATTGGTACCAATCCTACTGACACTATCCAAAAGATAGAGAAAGAGGGAATCCTCCCTAAATCATTCCATGAAGCCAGTATTACCCTAATACCAAAACCAGGAAAGGACATAACAAAAAAGAAAACTACAGACCAAATCCCTGATATAGATGCAAAAATCCTCAACAAAATACTAGCTAACTGAATCCAATAGTATATCAAAAAGACAATAAACCATGATCAAGTGGGTTTCATACTAGGGATGCAGGGATGGTTTAACATACACAAGTCAATAAATGTGATACACCACATAAACAGAATTAAAACAAAAATCACATGATCACCTCAACAGACTCAGAAAAAGCCTCTGACAAAATCTAGCATCCCTTTATGATTAAAATTCTCAGCAAAATTGGCATAGAAGGAACATACCTTCAGGTAATAAAAGCCATCTATGACTTTTAGCCCATAGCCAACATTATACTGAATGAGGAAAAATTGAAAGCATTCCCCCTGAGAACTGGAACAAGAAAAGGATGCCCACTTTCACCACTTGCATTCAACATAGTACCGGAAGTCCTAGACAGAGCAATCAGACAAGAGAAAGAAATAAAGGGCATCCGAATTGGTTAAAAGGAACTCAAACTGTTACTGTTTGCTGGTAACATGATCATATACCTAGAAAACCCTAAAGACTCATCCAAAAAGCTCCTAGAACTGGTAAATAAATTCAGCAAAGTTTCAGGATACAAAATTGACGTACAAAAATTAGTAGCACTAAAAATTTAAAAATGAAAATAAAATTGAGATGTAATCTATCACTATTAAACTGGCAAAGTTTTTTTAAATAATAAAAAAAAAACCTGTCAATGTTAGTAAGGGCTCAAAAAGAAGGATATTTTTACAAATACTGTTGGCAGGGGTATAGTAACCAATTTCATGATATAATACAGGGGTTTAAAATGTCATTATTTTTAAAGAAATTTGTCTTCATCTAATGATCAAGCCTAATGAAATATAAGTATGGATAAAGATGTATGTAAAAGAATGTTCTCCAAAGGTACAAAGAGAAAATTTGTAAAATCCAAACAAAGGAATATACCAAAGGCCACTAAAAGCTATCTTTTCAAGGATTAGTCACATTGAAATATGTAGGCTAAAATAGAAAAAAAGAGAAGGAACATGATGCCTAGTTTTTGTGCGTATGTCTCTCAAGTTACCCAATGTATTATTCTGTGCTCCCTTTCCTCTTATACAGCGCTTTCCACTGGGTTATTTCATAACTTATTTGCCTTTCCATCACATCCACAGCTACTGGCAAAAATCTTGCCTGTTTTCATTTCTACCTATTAATAGTCCTGGTCAAAATCTAGTAAGAAGGCTCAAAAGCATTCATTTAAACAGAAGGCTATAAAAAAGAGTTTGGTACTATATATGGATTCTAATTATCTGTAGCTGCCTCTGTTCTTCACTCACATTAATCATCAAGTGTGCTGAGAAAGTGAACATTAATGAAAAATTTCTTTAGTTTTTTTAAAGAGAATGGACACTATTTAGACACTAAAAATTAGAAGTGCTTCCATATCATTAAGATATTATGTTATAAATGGTCATCTATACATGATCACATTCCTCCTTTAAGGAACTATACTCATCACAATTTATTAAACAGGGCATAAGGCCGGGTGCAGTGGCTCACACCTGTAATCCCAGCATTTTGGGAGGCCAAGGCAAGGCGGACTGCCTGAGGTCCGGAGTTCAATACCAGCCTGGCCAACATGGTGAAACCCCATCTCTACTAAAAATACAAAAATTAGCCAGGCGTGGTGGTGTGCGCCTGTAATCCCAGCTACTTGGGAAGCTGAGGCAGGAGAATTGCTTGAACCTGGGAGGCAAATGTTGCAGTGAGCTGAGATCATGCCACTGCACCCCAGCCTGGGTGACAGAGCAAGACTCCTTCTTAAAAGAAAAAAAAATAATAGGGCATCCTACAAGGATATGAAACATGTTCTCATTAATCTCAGTGTCCACATGATCTTCTTCACGCCCATGAACTTGCAGGCATTTTTTTAAATTAAATATTAATTTCATTTACACATACCCTTTCCGATCACTGTACATTCTATTAATTCTGTCCCATTTTGCATTCAGCTGAGTAAGTGTATCTCTGATCTGAATGGCTTCAGGTCCAGAGGCTTCAAGGATGACATCTGGCTGTTTTTCATGAATGACTGCAATCTGCTCTCCAAGTTTGTCCAGTTGGTCTTTGATATTCTAAAAATATATTGTCATAGATTAACAAAATCCAGCAAAGTAACAAAAAAAGGAATCACAGATGACCAGATATTTATATTGTAGAACACTCATTTGAAATAATAATGAGACATAATCATTGTTAATCATGAAAACTGAAAACTTTTTTTTTTTAAATGATACTCTGTTTTAACCAAAGTGTGTGGAATATGCTACATAATATACTCAAGGCAGGAAAAAAAGTCCTCACAATAGTAGCATTTGTACAGAACACATGAAAGGCTTCAGTAACATTCTCTATAGGTAATGAGGCATTTGAAGCTGGAAATAGTGATATTTTCAAATATCTAATAATGTTAGTTTAAATGAGAGGAATGCACTATCAAATCCATATTATCAGTGAATTTATTGTGATTTTACATATAAATGCAATCAAGTTACATGAAAATGCCTTGCTAGAATTTAAGTTTAATTAACTTACAATCAAGATGCCATTCCATACCTCAACTGGCCAATTTTAAACCATTATAGATTGCCTGATAAATGCTGACAATTAACATCAACTGACAATCTAGTTTATAAGACAGGAAGGTGGTCTATGTCTCTGTTTAATTTTAAACAAGGCTCTGATGTTGCAAATAATTTATAACTGTGCACATTTAACAATCCATACCCACTTTTTAAAAATTCAAAATTTAATATATTTTCTTTGACAATATAGGAAAGCTTTACTAGTCATACATATTATTAATCCCCTGGCACAAATTGTAAAAGATATAGACCATCTAAGTAGGCACAAGAACAAATTTCTTCCTCTACTTCTACATTAACTGTGGCCATTCAAACACAGTGCCCAGAGGTCTACCTTCAGAGAGTCTTCCTGAAAAGAGAAGTCTTCGTAAATAGCAGTGTTGAGCTCTGGAACATTAAGCGATAATTCAACATCATCCATGCAAAGTAAAATTTTGTTAATTTCAACCAGATAATCTGTAGGAAGAAGTGATGATCTAATTCCAGAAGCAAGTTGACCCATTTTCCTCTGTTGAATAGGGATTGCCTACAAAAACAGCAAAAAAAAAAATATATATATATATATATATCTCTTAAAATACCCCCACAATGAATAATAACAAGACTATTGTGTGAAGGAATGCAATATCATGAACCAAATTTTTAAAACTTAGTTTTAATATTTTATATTATAAACCTACCTTGCAACAGAAAACCTTAACAATCTGTATCCTAATTTTCATCTGCAGCATGATATTAAACAGTATAAGTATGTTATTAATTTGACAGGCTTTAAGATCTATGCCATCTAAACTCAGTTAGCAAACAAAAAACAACAATTCCTTTCTTGAGTTGTTGAAAGAATGAGAATATCCTGCCAATCACAAAGTTTTGTATGAAATAAAACATTTTGATACATTATTTCACTCTTTTAAAAATATCACAATTTTAAAATTGGACCTCATTGCTAAAAATATAAGCAAGTTAAACATGTTTCCATAACACAACATGAAATGCACAAAGGGTTTTGATTAAAGTAATATCCAGGTAATTCAGTATGTAATCTTAATCTCTGAGAATAATATTATAGAGCAGGAATATCCTACATTAGAAAATAGATCATGAAGTGTCATATTTAGACAGACTTGAGGCTCTATGGACTACTCATCTGCCCTAATATAGATTTTCTGGATCCTCTTCTCAGAGCTTTCTTTTTCATTTTTATTTTTTTGGGGGGGTGCAGGACAGAGTGTTGCTCTGCCTCCCAGGCTGGAGTGCAGTGCTGTGATCTCGGCTCACTGCACCGTCTGCCTCCCAGGTTCAAGCGATTCTTCTGCCTCAGCCTCCTGAGTAGCTGGGATTACAAGCATGCACCATCATGCCCAGCTAACTTTTATATATTTAGTAGAGATGGGGTTTCACCATGTTGGCCAGGCTGGCCTCGAACTCTTAACCTCAAGTGATCAGCTGACCTCAGCCTCCCAAAGTGCTGGGATTACAGGCATGAGCCACCATGCCCGGCCCTCTTCTCAGAGCTTTCTAAACAATAAAGTGCTCTCTGGGATGGACCGCCAGTCCTTCAGGAGTTCAAACCCTTTACTCCTAGATGGCCACAATTTAATAAGTGCTACGTATTACCACTTGCAAAGGGCCAAACTGCAGCTGCTCATGAATTAAGGTACCTTCCTTGACACTTTCACTTCTCCTATGTTGAACTTCTAAAAAATGATAATCATCTGTAAATTCAAGATGATAGGTAAAACGATCACAAATGCATGTTAATTCAGTTAGTGATCTTGAAAATGGTTACAATCCAATCTCTAAAGGAATCCAAGACTCATGACTAAAATCATTGAGTGGATAACATGGTGTTGAACCTAGAGGACTGCATTATTGCCTCCTAGAATTTGTTAAACTACTGCGTCCATCATTTGAGGGTAGTTCTGGATAGCCAGGTTAGAAGCAGGTCTATACATTTCTTGACTTTAACAACAGAACTAATTACACTTGTCTCCAAGATTAATTTTATTATCCTAATGCCGCAAGTTTAAATTTTAGTCAGAAAGCATTTCTAGATATTTACCCATATGTCTAAGGAAACAAATTCTGTGTTTTAAGCAAATATAAAAGAATGCTGAAATAAATAACATATCTACCCAGAAACCAGTTATGAATAAAAAGATGCTAAGTATTTTTTAAGAAAAGAAAAAATCAAAAATAATTCTTTTGGATTTTCATTTCAAATAAGCCAGTGTTTTTATTTTGGAAGATCAGAAAACTAGGCTCAATTGTTCTCCCTCTTAACTTTAAGGAAAAGAAAATAGCCCAATGAAAGTATTTCTAGGTTGAGTAATCATGTCGAAAAAGTAAAAGAGGAAAGTGGGACCCGTTTTCCTTCTTGGCTTCCCATCCATTAACCAAGATTTTGCTGAAAGGTCATCTGTTTTCCAAAAGACCAAAAAACTCCAGACATCCAACTACTTTATTATGCTTGTAGGGACATTTACCTTTGTAGTACTTTCCTCATTTAGCACCACTAGATAATACATGCCACATTTGTTTTTTAATCTGCTCCATTAGGTAAATGTTGGGAGCCACTTTTATACCTCAGCTACTACTGCAAGACTGGAATTCCTGTGCTGCTTCTTCAGTTACATAACGGATTGTCATTCTGCAAGACCACGTGTACCTGAAGCTTTAGAATAAACTAGGGAGGTTAGTAGGTATCATAAAGATCCAAGTTTAAAAAATTCCCATTCATTAAGACTGCCTCTTTTTCTTTTCAGACTATAGGACAATCCAGGATTTTTCTGAGCCTTCCCACTCTTGCAGAAGCAGCAAGGCCGTTCAAGACTTAAACATGTGCTTTCTGTATTCCCAAAATAGATTTTTTTCCCCCAAGAGAGTGATCAATCAAAATGCCCTAGGACTAAAAAAATGTCCTCGAGATCTGACCGAGACTTTACTTCTGGACAATTTTATTTTTAAAGAATTCTCCAAGGACACAGAAACACAAATATACTAGAGGTCAGTACTTAAATGAGACAGTGTTACATGACGTAGCTCACATCATATAGCAAAGATTAAAGAGATTTTTAAGTGAGTGTTTTATTAAATTTCTAAGTTTTGTTTTTACCAAACCATAGGAAAAACCTGGAACTAAACAGAATTGAATATTCATCAACTTTCTGGAGGATGAAAACTTTTTAGATCCCAAAACAGAAACCCCTGAAAAATCACTAAGGGAAAACATAGTCACCTGTGGCTAAACAAAAATTTTAAATGGTTATATCTTAAAGATAAAATAATTAGAAGATAAATATCAATAAGATAATATTTTATAGCAATTATGGCAAGTGGTTAATATCTTTATAAAGTGCTCATACATAATTTAAAAACAGTAATACTCTAGTAAACAAATTGGAAAAGGTCACTTAACATATATTTCAGGTAAGACAATGAGTCCTGTAAACTAGTGCTTCTCAATCCTAATTGTACATTAAAATCATCTACAAATGTTTTGTGTTTTGTTTTTGTAAATGCCCACACCTAGGTCCTGAGAGATTCTGATTTACCTGTTTCAGGAATTAGATTTGGGCACTGTAGTTTTTTTAAAGCTCCCCCACAGTAATTCTCATGTTCACACTTAAGAATCATATAAGTTTGAAAACTATAGATTTGAAGTTTGTAACATAGTTCGCCTACCAATGTTAGTAAAGCCAGAATGAAATTAGCTTGTATAGTATATATTAGTACTTTTAACAAACAAATTTATTTATGTATTAAAAGCTTAAAACTTATTTCTATTTTGTGCCAGTAATAATTTCTGATTTCGGACCCAAAGATGAAAAAGATATTGCCTGAACTTGGAGAAGCATTAGGGAAGAAAGATACTTTAAAAAGTCACAATAAAGCAGAGAACTATAATATAATCTGACAGAAGTTAGAAATAAAAATGGAGCTGAGTTTTAAAAGATAACGCATTTTTCAGCTAACCTAAAAAGACAAAACTCACTCTAGGGAATCGGAATAAAATTAATAAGTTCCCAGATGTGCTAAGGCACATGATGTGTTTAGGAAAATGTAAAGAAAAACCAGCATAGCTGTACTACATGGGAAGTGACAGCACATCAAAGACATAAGGAGCCAGGGGTCAGACTGAAGACTTTGTATGTCGTTATATTGACAGACCTTGCATTTAAAGCTTTTTCTGTATTTTGCAATATTTTCCTAAACAGTTTCTTCGATGAAGGAATGACATGATCAGCCATGACTTTGGGGAGAATAACTGTGAGGAAGAGACAAAGGACATGCTAGAGTGAGAAAAAACAGACATAAGAATATGTCCATGGGATATAATATCATGGGAGAAAATCATTAGTCTAAATTATGGAAAGGATAGTGAAGTAAAATAAGCTAAGGCACTTTCTGATGGTCATAAAACAAGCAGCTGGTAGAGCAATATCTAACTTCACGTTCAAACCTGTATGTTGCTTCAAGCAGTCTCAACAGTTTTAATGCCTACTCAGTGTGATGTGAGAAGATATGTGAGGAACAAGAAATAGTTAAGAAGGATGTTGAGGCTTCAGCCTTGAGAGAATGGCTAGTTTTTAAAGTATAGTCATGCATTGCTTAATAACAGGGACATGTTCTGAGAAATGTGTCTCTAGGTTATTTCATTGTCATACAAACATCATAGAGTGCCCTTACACAAACCTAGATGGTACAGCCTCCTGCACACTTAGGCTGTGTGGTATAGTCAATTGCTCCTAGGCTAAAACTTTACAGCACGTTATTGTACTGAATACTATAGGCAATTCTGAAACACAGTTGGAAGTATTTATGTATCTAAACATATCTAAACATAGAAAAGGTACAGTAAAAATACAGTACCATAATCGATCTACTTAATTTCCAAAGTCATCAAATAAAAATCGTTCTAGAAGGAACTACCAAAGAACGGACCCCAGGGAACAACAGCACACTTAAAATGCAGCTAGAAAGATTGCCGTTTAAAAAAGAGCTGGAGCTGGATATGGTGGCCCACACACCTGTAGTCCTAGCAACTTGGGAGACTGACATAGGAGGATCACTTGAGCCTAGGAGTTCAAGATCAGCCTGGGCAACATAGAGATACCCCATCTTTAAAAAAAAAAAAGAAAAATATAAAGAAATAAAAAGGGAGCTGGTAGTGAATCTTTACTAGAATATAAATCATATTACATCACTTTCACAAACTGAGTTATTTTTAAACTAGAAATTTTTTTTGACATAGACAAGACCTTCACAAATAAAATATGGAATTGGAGGAAGCCACTTCTGAAATAGATAGATCTCTTTTAGGTTTGATAACATAATCAGAAATCCAAAAGAGATGGCCAATAATAAGGTTTTACATTTCCATTTTGAGTTCTGCACCATCCAAAAATATGAACACATCTAGTAACACACACTAGAAAGGAGGAGATGATATTCCAACTGGTGTGTTTTAAAGCATCTGTGATGCAGCATCACACATCTGAATGGCAAGAGTTAAGTAAGGTATTTAAATGCAACAGAGACTCTCCAATCATAATACCTTAATTTTGTTGTATCTAGTATGCAAAAGTAATAATTGCAAACGGATCTTTTCTTTTTTATTATCTTCCATAGGTTGATGTAACATTTCTTCTCCTCTTTGTAGAACTTCCTCAATCTGGGCACTCTCCTCATCCATCTAAATTTTTAAAAGGAAAAAAAAAATGACTCAAAAGAAAAATGCATAAGGTCACTTCCTATCAACTCCTAAGGAGGAAAACTAACCTACTTAGTATAGTATACGTCAAGATATGTTAACCTGAACGATCAAAAAATTTATGTTTTTTTTAAATATATTTTATATTTGAAGATAAAATGTCTCAAAGAGAGTTTAGCAAACATTAGATAATACTAAGGATTATGTCTAGTTCAGAAACTGAGTCTATTTTCTTTTTAAGCACATGAATCATGTGACTCTTACATTGACACACATCAAAAAATCACATTTGAATCTGTTTCATCATGTTTGACAGATTATATGGGCAAACATCTTGATGTAAAAATGAAATTAATAGAGAAGAAAAATGAGACCACCATGGTTTTGAAATCTCCTTGAACCAACCTTTTCATCTTCATCACTGGATTCCAAGTGTTTTTCCACAAATTTTAACATATTTTCTATGTCATTTTCTAATTTTTCCAAGTCAGAGAAAGGCACACCAGTTTCAAATGTTTCAGTGGTGACCAAACATTGGTATAATGGTTCCTGAGCAATTAGCAACTGTAGAAGGAAAAGAATTCTCTGAAAATAGATTTTTAATTTGACTTTCCATCATTAATCAGAGAGATGGGGTGTCAAGAGAGAAACTAACACTTTTTTAACTGACTTTTCTATTCAGCTCAGCTAACTTTTGTTTCATTCATTTATATGGCAATGATTTTACCAATTCAGACTTCTCTGAATGACCCGTTTTCTCCAAACTCTAGCCAGGGATGTGACGTAGTATTGCAATTCATTGTGGCTGCCCAGAGTGTTGTGGCGTGGATTTGGAGACCACATGCGAGCATAGCAGGAAACTATGGCCATGATCCAGAAACTATCCTTACCATGGCCACAGAAAGGAAGAACAGCCACCCAGCCCCCAGGGCAGGGACACCTCACAGAATGTCTCCCAGTTAAGTTTCCTCAGTAGAATTCCCCTTGGATTTTCATACACAAACGTCAAAGAAGTGCATATTTCTCAATGTCATCTTTTCAGATAACATCTACGTAGAAAAATTTTATATTTGTTTAAATAAAACTCAATAAAACAATTTTAATAAAACTAAATGCAGATAAATACCATCTGGGGTTGGCTAAGTGTGGGAAAACTAGCACTCTCATAAAGGTCCTATTTATTACCCTGTTAATTAAATGTCTAAAGCTCTTTATTAAATTTATAAAATCAGGTAGTACTTTCCTACATTAGGATTAAACTGTGAAATTATCTGTAACTTTTAGATTTGTCGTCATATAAAACAAAAAAAAAAACAAGTTCTGTGGTGTGTGCAATGTGAAGACATATATAGAGTGTGACCATAAAATAAAGGGTTTAATATTCATCCCTAGCTTGGGAATTAGTTTCATCATTTCATAACCAATTCTAACCTTTGACTGAGTCTTTGAAACCTTTTCTCAAATAGGTTATTTTCTTCAATACTAATTGCTTGTTTTCTCTCCTTCATATGCACAATCACAAATAAATACGGACAAATGCTCCATTCAAAGAAAAAGTGATTAAAAACATTTTAATTTAAAAATTGTTGGCCGGGTGCAGCAGCTCACACCTGTAATTCCAGCACTTTGGGAGGCCAAGGCGGGCAGATCACTTGAGGTCAGCAGCTCAAGACCAGCCTGGCCAAGATGGTGAAACCCTATCTCTCCTAAAAAAAACACAAAAATTAGCTGGGTGTGGTGGCAGTTGCCGGAAATCCCAGCTACTTGGGTGGCTGAGGCAGGAGAATAGCTTGCACCCAGAAGGCGGAGGTTGCAGTGAGCTCATGCCACTGCACTCCAGCCTCGGTGACAGAGAGAGAAAACAATAAAATTAAAATAATAAAACAAAATTGTTGATGTATGTACTGTATGACTATCATTTAGATACATACCCATAGGAAAAATGGTTTACTCTAAAAGCATAATTACTCACTTTGGCACTTTTGATATGTTGAGACACCTTTTCAAAGTTCCTATTCAGCTCAGCTAACTTTGGTTCTACAAGCTCCCTGCTTGAGCTTCCACGGGCATTCATCAAAATAAGGGCTTGATCGCGGACATTTTCAACCTGGAGGTTGGCATCATCCAGCTCAGATACTAAACGCTAATTATAAGAAAACACAAAATTATCTCATGGGAAAAATCAAACCCAAACATGAGTGTGATGCTTATACAGAAGGAAAGGTAGTTTAAATAAATATCTGGGATCCCCAGTAAGAGATTTCAGCATAATCAACCAGGTGAGAGCTGTTCACATAGGACTCATTGGAGAACACAGAGGTAAGTAATTCTCATTGGAAAATACAGAAGTAAGACTCGCTGGAGAATACAAAAGTATGTAAGACTCATTGGAGAGTACAGAAGTAAGACAGACTCATTGGAGAATACAAAAGTAAGTAAGACTCACTGGAGAATACAGAAGTAAGCAGCACTCAATGGAGAATACAAAAGTCAGCAATCAGCAAGACTCATTGGCATCTTATGTGAATAGGTCTTACTCCGGTTGATTGTGCTGAAATCTCTTACAAGTCTTTCAATTTCAAGTTCGTCTCTTATTTTGTCTCTTATTGTCTCAGTTTCTCCCATCAAAATAAATGTTAATGAATCTAATGCTTGGGAGGAATGAGAGCTAAGTAACTTAGAGCATTCCAGAAGAGAAAACATGACAACAAAACATGCCACTCCCAAAAGCGTTACTGATGTCTGTGTTTGCTACCTTCACAATTTCTTCCTGTTTACTTGTTGGTTTCTTTTCAATTTCATCCAATAGAGCTTCAGCTTGATAAAGCCAGGTACTTATGTGAGCCACGTTCCCATCAAATATTTCTAGCTGGTTCTGATGGTTCTACAAAGGAATTAATAAAATGCTTACATAACCATATGAAATATTTAAGATGATAATCTTAAAAGAGATTTAAAAGACCTTCAAAGAGCAAACTGTACCATGAATTTAAAGGAGAGCTTTCACCTTCCTGCAGAGCTCTTCTTCAGTGAATAACTCATCTTATTCCTAAAAATGCACATCTATGGTGCTTAACACTTTTTAAATTTATTTGATTTAGACCTCAGCACAATAAAAAGTTGAAGTAGAATAAAAGGTGAAAGTTTCTTTTTCAATTTCAATGCAAGTTCATCTCTTATTCCTTATTCTTATATTACAACTGATCTGATTTGCCCTCTTCAATCTTTTTTTCTTTTTTCTTTTGAGATGGAGTCTTGCTCTGTCACCAGCCTGGAGTAGAGTGGCACAATCTCAGCTCACTGCAACCTCCACCTCCCAGGTTCAAGTGATTCTCCTGCCTCAGTCTCCCGAGTAGCTGGGACTGCAGGCTTGCACCACCATACCCAGCTAATTTTTGTATTTTTAGTAGAGACGGGGTTTCACCATGTTGGCCAGGAAGTCTTGATCTCTTGACCTTGTGATCCACCTTCCTCAGCCTCCCAAAGTGCTGGGATTACAGGTGTGCGCCACCACACCTGGCCCATATTTTTAAAAAACTCATTTAAGGAATAATTTTTTAAAATGATGAAAATATGAATTGAAAAAGATTCTGTATGCTCTGCTCAAAGGACAGTGCCTTTGTATCCTTACCTCAGTATCACCAGCCCTTAATATTACATCTGGCACAGACCACAGCAAGATGTACTGAAGCAGGACATGAAATGTGCTTGACAGAACAGATTTGAAAACAGAAGCAAGAGTTAAGCAGATTATGACTGGGAAAAACAGTTAATCTAAGGCAAGAAGTTAGAGTGTGACCAAAAAGGGTAACGAGACTTATGATGAAATTAACCTTTAGCAATTATATTTTGTGGGATAAAAGAAACTGGAAAATGCTTAGACAGTAAAAGTTTTTACAAAGAAAGAAATCATTAATCTATAATATGAAACATAGTTGAAAAAAGAAAATGTAGGCTGGGTGTGGTGGCTCACGCCTGTAATCCAGTACTTTGGGAGGCCCTGATGGGAGGATCACTTGACCTCAGGAATTCAAGACCAGCCTGGACAACATGGTGAAACCCCCTCTCTACAAAAAATAAAAAAATTAGCCGGGTGTGGTGGCGCATGCCTGTAGTCCCAGCTACTCTCAAGGCTGAGGTGGAAGGATCACCTGAGCCTGGGGAGGTCGAGGTTGCATACCACTGCACTCCAGCATGGGTGACAGACTGACACCCAGCCTCAGAAAAAAAAAAAAAGTGAACAAATAAACAATATAAAAATAAAACAAACTTGCCCTTGTACCCCTGAACTTAAAATAAACATTTTTAAAAAAAGAAAATGTGAACTAATAAATGATATGAGAAAATATCAACAGTGATCTGGATTCTAAGTAGGAAGAACTGATGAGTGCCAGACTTGTTTACCCCTATTAAGCAGGTAAATCAAATGTTCTAACAGCACTAGAAAGATACTGCTTGAATGGAGAGTTTGAAAGGTGTAGACTGAAGAATACAGAAATAAGGGCCATAAGAATGTGAAATAAAGCTAGTAATTAAAAATTAATATATAAAATATTTAATGAGCATATTCTATGTGCCAAGAATCTCATATTCACTATTATATTCAATATTTAACAACTCTGTTAGGTATATACTTTTGTTCTCATTCTGTATATATGGAAATTTAAGCTTAGTAACATTAAGTAACTTAGCTAAAGTTAAACAGATAATAAGTCATGGACTGTGGATATAAATCTGTTAGAGATCAAGAGCAAAGCCCATGCTCTTCACTGCCCTACACATCCTGAGGAATTTAAATAAATATTCAAACACATGATAATGTATTTTTTATGTCTCTATCCATTACCTAGTAATTCTATAAATTTGATAAAAGTCCTATCTCAGGTATTTCAGAATTAAAAAAAATTATAAATGACAATGCCTTCCTCAGCAGGGGAGGGTGGGGTGGCCATATATTCACAATTAGTATCATAGGAACATAAAACCATATAAAAATTAAATGGTAACTATTTCCATGAGATGCAAATTTACAGAGCAGTGGCATAACCAAAGACTAACACATATACAATATTTAATAATTATAATCATAGCAAAATCTAAAATTGGTTGTTTTGCATATAGTTATTTAAGAGCACTACATGTTTAAGGCTCATAATCAATCATTGCAAAACTGTATGAGATAGATATAATAATGTCCATTTTACAAATTAAACAACTGAGGTTTAGAGAATGTTTAAGTAACTTTACCAGTGTTACCAAGCTAGTAATGAAAATTTTTACATAGGCCGTCAGATGCTAGAGCCTGTGCTCTTAACCAGTATGCCATTATTCAAACACTATGAAGATTTTATATAAAAATAGCTTCTGATAGTACGAAAATCAAATACAATATGAAATCATTAAAATGAAACAAATAAGGTGCATTTACTAAAATATGAAAGTACCTCATTCCATGCAGATCATGAATATTTAGAAACACTGTAAATTCTTTCTAGTTATTACCTTTCCAAAGAAAAAATAAAACCTAGTCTAATGAAATTAATTCACAAGCAAAACATCACTGTGACACACAGTAAACAGGATTTGAAATTTAATCAAAGTTGTATTCATTTAAAAAATAACTAGAAGAGAGGAGAAGATTTCATCATTTACTTTTTCCTGAGACATACCATCAAGGTATTGCACCAATCTTCAGTCCAGGTACGAACTCGGCTCCACCCAGCGTTAAGGACGCAGAGCCTCTCTTCTAAAATAGGCTCACTGCCCTCAATCAAGTTTTGCAGGGCAGCACTACTCTCTGTGATGGTATTTAAATCAGCTTTTCTCTTTTCCAGATCCTTCAGAACATTCTAGAAAATAAAAACACCAAGACCTACTTGATGCTTCAGAATATTATAAAAGTATATACAACCTTAAATTATTAAAAACTTTTCTGCCACATATACAAAGTAGTCCATGACTCCCTATATAATTTACAATGTCAAAGTTTACAAAATTCCCAAACTTATTAACATAGTGAGAATTCTTAAGTTCCAAATGGAAAACAAAATGTGTAATTCAACAAATACCAGTGAGTGTAACACACTCAGCTGTGGGAAAGCAATTATTTCATTTATTTAAATATAAATCCATTTATTACATATGAATGCCAATTACCTTCATCATCACTCTAAATGTAAAGGCTCAATTTCATTTTCAGTAACTACAAGCTGGCAAAGCAGAAGGATCCTAGAACTCACAACTTAAAAAAATTCACAATGAATTTATCTCCTAGATTACCAGAGGAAACTATCGATGTGTACTATAGGTACTTGCAAGGATAACATCTTACAGCTGGGTGATTTCACATATAATATACTGAATAAACATTACAAAAAAACATTTCATGTAAGTAACTCACAAGAGAGCAGCAAGTCTAAGCTTTGGTCTTACAACTGTCATAAGTGCAAAGATAATACTCTGGATGGTATGATGATAAAGTGATCGGCACATTCGTAAGTTTCACCAGGCAAAGTATATAGTCACAGAATTATAGAGAGAGCATGAGTTCCACAATTAAAACTACAAAGCTCTTTCAATCAAAAAGCAATATGCATGTATCTACCCTACTGCTACTATTATTGACCATTTTTTAAATCAACATTTAAACCAATCATTTTAAGGAGCTCAAGTTTATATTTCTACATTAAATCACACCTTGGAAAGCATACCAATTACAAATTCACAAATGAGTCCAGGTTTAAACACTCACTTGGCCATGTCAATTACTGGCATATTTATGACAGAACTGAAATACTACTTTCCAATATTATTCTCTAGCAAGGGGGGAGAAAATAAAGGATACCCAATAGCTATGCTCTCAGCAATTATTAATAAGAATCTTTCATTTCTTCAGTGGGCATGTACTGATTGACTAGAATAGCATTTAAGAACTATAAAAAATAATGAACTACAAGTAATTACATCTAAATAGTACACATACTTTTTTACAGTAAAAAAGATTACATTGAAAATAGTTATATTTAAGTTATGGAATAAAAACAGTATTCAGAAATGAAAATATTATTTATTTAAGCTTTGCATTGAAAATAATTTTACATAATCTTTAAGTGCAAATACATTAAAATGTGGTGAAATCTGCATGTTCCTTAAATCTGAAAAGACAGTGATAAAAAGATGGTGGTTATTAATATATACTGATGTTTCATTTGATTTACTCTAATGAAGAGAATGTGCTGTGAATTTGTGACTTGTATATATCATCTTTATCATTTCAATTCTGAAATAAGATTAAATGGAAACTTAAGAGCATATTGTTCCAAAAGAAACAAATTTTTCATTGCTTTGAGTCTTTACCTAAAAAAGCTATGAGAATCAGCTGAAAAACAAATTGAATTTATGAGTATATGAACATGGATGTTTAAAAATTGAATATATAAAATCAATATCACCTATGTACCAACAATAAGCACTCTGTAAAAAAACCGAAAAGTATATTTTTACATAGCAATAAAAATAGATATGTAGGAATAAACTCCTGTGCATATATGAATAATGTTTATAAAGAAAAAAATCAAAACATTATGTAGGAATGTGAAAGAATTTAGGACAAAAATGAGACATATATGTTACCGAATAGAATTAATATAACAAAGATATCAATTCTGCACTACACAAATGTATGAATTCAAGGCAATTCAAATCAAAATTTCCAATAGAATTTAAGAATTTAACAATAAAAATTCTAAAGTTCATATAAGATATATACCAAAAATGAAGCATAAAGAGAGGGAACCCATTAACTGCAGTTAAAATATACTATAAAACATGGCTAAACATTCTAAAAACTGGTACATTTCATGGGGCCAGATCAGTGGAGCAGAAAACAACGAAAGGCAACAGGAAAATAAGAATATATGAACTTAGCATGTCAAATCCATGGGGACAAGGTTAATTACTCAACCAATAGCACTAAGATAATTGGTTATCCTTTTGGAAAGAAGGTTAGAGCCTTACCTCACGAAATACACCAAAATAAATACTGGAAAGATTAATGCATTAAAGGTAAAAAGATGAAACTATAAAAGAGCTAGCAGAGGAGGTGGCTGGCAAGATGGCCAAACAGGAACAGCTCCAGTCTGCAGCTCCCAGCAAGACCAAAACAGAATGCAGGTGATTTCTGCATTTCCAACAGAGGTACTTGGTTCATCTCACTGGAACTGGTTAGACAGTGGGTGCAGCCCACGGAGGGTGTCGCTTCACCAGGGAAGCGCAAGAGGTTGGGGAACTCCCTCCCCTAGCCAAGGGAAGCCATGAGGGACTGTGCCGTGAGGTACGGTGCTATCCAGCCAAGATACTACACTTTTCTCAAGGCCTTCACAACCTACAGACCCGGAGATTCCCTCAGGTGCCTACATCACCAGGGCCCTGGGTTTCAAGCACTAAACTGGGCAGCCGATTGGGGAGACACCAAGCTAGCTGCAGGAGTTGTTTGTTTGTTTTTTTTCACACCCCAGTGGTGCCTGGAACACCAGCAAGACAGAACCATTCACTCCCCTGGAAAGGGGACTGAAGCCAGGGAGCCAAGTGGTCTAGCTCAGCAGATCCCATCCCCATGGAGCCCGGCAAGCTAAGATCCAACGGCTGGAAATTCTCGCTGCCAGGACAGCAGTCTGAAGTCGACCTGGAATGCTGGAGCTTGGTGGTGAGAGGGGCATCCACCATTACTGAGGCTTGAGTAGGCAGTTTTCCCCTCACAGTGTAAACAAAGCCTCCAGGAAGTTCAAACTGGGCAGAACCCACCACAGCTCAGAAAAGCAACTGTAGCCAGACTGTCTGATCTCTGAAAGAAGGGTGGCAGCCCCAGCAAGGGGCTTATAGAGAAAACTCCCATCTGCCTGGGACAGAGCACCTGGGGGAAAGGGCAGCTGTGAGCAAAGCTTCAGCAGACTTAAATGTTCCTGCCTGCTGGCTCTGAAGAGAGCAGCGGATCTCCCAGCACAGAGCTCGAACTCTGCTAAGGGACAGATTGCCTCCTCAAGTGGGTCCCTGACCCCTGTGCCTCCTGACTGGGAGACACCTCCCAGCAGGGGTCAACAGACACCTAATATAGGAGAGCTCCAGCTGGTATCTTGTGAGTGCCCCTCTGAAACGAAGCTTCCAGAGGAAGGAGCAGGGAGCAATCTTTGCTATTCTGCAGCTTCCCCTGATGATACCCAGGCAAACAGGTCTGGGGTGGACCTCCAGCAAACTCCAGCAGACCTGCAGCAGAGGGGCCTGTTAGAAGGAAAACTAACAAACAAAAAGCAACAACATTAACATCAACAAAAAGAAGGACCATGCAAAAACCCCATTCGAAGGTCACCAACATCAAAGATCAAAGGTAGATAAATCCACGAAGATGAGGAAAAACCAGCGCAAAAATGCTGTAAATTCCAAAAACCAGGATGTCTCTTCTCCTCCAAAGAATCAGAACTCCTTGCTAGCAAGGGAACAAAACCGGATGGAGAATGAGTTTGATGAATTGACAGAAGTAGGCTTCAGAAAGTGGGTAATAACAAACTCCTCCAAGCTAAAGGAGCAAGTTCTAACCCAATGCAAGGAAGCTAAGAACCTTGAAAAAAAGGTTACAGAAACTGCTAACTAGACTAACCAATTTAGAGAAGAACATAAATGACCTGATGAAGCTGAAAACACAGCACGAAAACTTCATGAGGCATACACATGTATCAATAGCTGAATCGATCAAGCGGAAGAAAGCATATCAGAGATTGAAGATCAACTTAATAAAATAAAGTGTGAAGATAAGATTAGAGAAAAAATAATGAAAATGAACAAACAAAGCCTCCAAGAAATAAGAGACTATGTGAAAAGACCAAACCTACATTTGATTGGTGTACCCAAAAGTGACAAGAAGAATGGAACAAAGTTGGAAAACACACTTCAAGATATTATGCAAGAGAACTCCCCGAACCTAGCAAGACAGGCCAACATTCAACTTCAGGAAATACAGAGAATGCCACAAAGATACTCCTCCTCAAGAAGAGCAACCCCAAGACACATAATCGTCAGATTCACCAAGGTTGAAATGAAGGAAAAAATGTTAAGGGCAGCCAGAGAGAAAGGTCAGGTTACCCACAAAGAGAAGCCCATCAGACTAATGCAGATCTCTTTGCAGAAAACCTACAAGCCAGAAGAGAATGGGGGCTAATATTCAACATTCTTAAAGAAAAGAATTTTCAACCCAGAATTTCATATCCAGCTGAACTAAGCTTCATAAGCGAAGGAGAAATAAAATCCTTTACAGACAAGCAAATGCTGAGATATTCTGTCACCATGAGGCCTGCCTTACAAGAACTCCCAAAGGAAGCACTAAATACGGAAATGAAAAACCAGTTCCAGCCACTGCAAAAACATACCAAAATATAAAGACCATGGACACTATGAAGAAACTGCATCAACTAATGGGCAAAATAACCAGATAACATCATAATGACAGGATCAAATTCATACATAACAATATTAACCTTAAATGTAAATGGGCTAAATGCTCCAATTAAAAGACACAGACTGGCAAACTGGATAAACAGCCAAGACCCATCCGTGTGCTGTATTCAGGGGACCCATCTCTTGTGCAAAGACACACATAGACTCAAAATAAAGGGATAGAGGAATATTTACCAAACAAATGGAAAGCAAAAAAAAAAAAAATGCGGGGGTTGCAATCCTAGTCTCTGATAAAACAGACTTTAAACTAACAAAGATCAAAAAAGACAAAGAAGGGCATAACAGAATGGTAAAGGGATCAATGCAACAAGAAGAGCTAACTATCCTAAATATATATGCACCCAATACAGGAGGACCCAGATTCATAAAGCAAGTTCTTAGAGACCTACAAAGAGACTTAGACTTCCACACAATAATAGGGGGATACTTTAACGCCCAACTGGCAATATTAGACAGATCAGTGAGGCAGAAAATTAACAAGGATATTCAGGACTTGAACTCAGCTCTGGACCAAGTGGACCTAGTAGACATATACAGAACTCTCCACCCCAAATCAACAGAATATACATTCTTCTCAGCACCACATAGCACTTATTCTAAAATTGACCACATAATTGGAAGTAAAACACTCCTCAGCAAATGCAAAAGAACAGAAATCGTAACAAACAGTCTCTCAGACCACAGTGCAATCAAATTAGAACTCAGGATTAAGAAACGCACTCAAAACCGCACAACTACAAGGAAGCTGCACAACCTGCTCCTGAATGACTTCTGGGTAAATAACGAAATTAAGGCAGAAGTAAAGAAGTTCTTTGAAACCAATGGGAACAAAGACAAAACATAACAGAATCCCTGGGACACAGCTAAAGCAGTGTTTAGAGGGAAATTCATAGCACTAACTGCCCACATGAGAAAGCAGGAAAGATCTAAAATCAACACCCTAATTAAAAGAACTAGAGAAGCAAGAGCAAACAAATTCAAAAGCTAGCAGAAGACAGAAATAACCAAGAGCAGAGCAGAACTAAAGGAGATAGAGACACGAAAACCCTTCAAAAAATTCAATGAATCCAGGAGCTGGTTTTTTGAAAAGATTAATAAAATAGATAAGCCACTAGCCAGACTAATAAAGAAGAAAAGAGAGAAGAATCAAATAGTCACACACAAGAAAAAGATAAAGGGGGTATCACCAATGATCCCACAGAAATACAAACTACCATCAGAAGATACTATAAGCACCTCCACAAAAATGAACTAGAAAATGTAGAAGAAATGGGTAAATTCCAGGACACATACACCCTCATAAGACTAAACCAGGAAGAAGTTGAATCCCTGAATAGACCAACAACAAGTTCTGAAATTGAGGCAATAATTAATAGCCTACCAACCAACAAAAGCCCAGGACCAGATGGATTCACAGCTGAATTCTACCAGAGATACTAAGAGGAGCTGGTACCATTCCTTCTGAAACTATTCCAAACAATAGAAAGAGAGGGACTCCTCCCTAACTCATTTTATGAGGCCAGCATCATCCTGATAACAAAACCTGGCAGAGACAAAACAAAAAAAAGAAAATTTCAGGCCAATATCCCTGATGAACATCAATGTGATAATCCTCAATAAAATGCTGGCAAACTGAATCCAGCAGCATATCAAAAAGTGTATCCACCATGATCAAGTCGGCTTCATCTCTGGGATGCAAGGCTAGTTCAATGCAAATCAATAAATGTAATCCATACACAAATCAATAAACGTAATCCATCACATAAGCAGAACCAATGACACAAACCACGATTATCTCAATAGATGCAGAAAAGGCCTTTGATAAAATTCAATACCCCTTCATGCTAAAAACACTTAATAAACTAGGTATTAACTGAACATATCTCAAAATAATAAAAGCTATTTATGACAAACCCACAGCCAATATCATATTGAATGGGCAAAAGCTGAAAGCATTCCTTTTGAAAACTGGCACAAGACAAGGATGCCCTCTCTCACCACTCCTATTCAATATAGTATTGGAAGTTCTGGCCAGGGCAATCAGGAAAGAGAAAGAAATAAAGCGTATTCAAATAGGAAGAGAAGAAGTCAAATTGTCTCTGTTTGCAGATGACATAATTGTATATTTAGAAAACCCCACAGTCTCAGCCCAAAAACTCCTTAAACTGATAAGCAATTTCAGCAAAGTCTCAGGATACAAAATCAATGTGCAAAAAATCACAAGCATTCCTATACACCAATAATAGAGAGCCAAATCATGAGTGAACTCCCATTCACAATTGCTGCAAAGAGAATTAAATAGCTAGGAATACAACTTACAAGGGATGTGAAGGAGCTCTTCAAGGAGAACTACAAACCACTGCTCAATGAAATAAGAGAGGATACAAACAAATGGAAAAACATTCCATGCTCGTGGATAGGAAGAATCAATACTGTGAAAATGGCCATACTGCTCAAAGTAATTTTTAGATTCAATGCTATTCCCATCAAGCTACCATTGACTTTCTTCACAGAATTAGAAAAAAACACTGTAAATTTCATATGGAAACAAAAAGAGCCCATATAGCCAAGAAAATCCTAAGCAAAAAGAACAAAGCTGGAGGCATCCAGCTGACTTCAAACTACACTATCAGGCTACAGTAACCAAAACAGCATGGTACTGGTACCAAAACAGATATATAGACCAATGGAACAGAACAGAGGCCTCAGAAATAACACCACACATCTATAACTAACTGATCTTTGACAAACCTGACAAAAACAAGCAATAGGGAAAGGATTCCCTATTTAATAAATGGTGTTGGGAAAACAGGCTAGCCATATGCAGAAAACTGAAAGTGGACCCCTTCCTTACACCTTATACAAAAATTAACTCAAGATGGATTAAAGACTTAAACGTAAGACCTAAAACCATAAAAACCCTAGAAGAAAACCTAGGCAATACCATTCAGGACACTGGCATGGGCAAAGACTTCATGATTAAAACACCAAAAGCAACGGCAACAAAAGCCAAAATTGACAAATAAGATCTATAAACTAAAGAGCTTCTGCAGAGCAAAAGAAAGTACCAGCATAGTGAACAGGCAACCTAGAGACTGGGAGAAAGTTTTTGCAATCTATCCATCTGACAAAGGGCTAATATCCTGAATCTACAAGGAAATTCAACAAATTTACAAGAAAAAAACAAACAACTCCATCAAAAAGTAGGTGAAGGATATGAACAGGCACTTCTCAAAAGAAGACATTTATGTGGCCAAAAAACATATGAAAAAAAGCTCATCATCACTGGTCATTACAGAAATGCAAATCAAAACTACAATGAGATACCATCTCACACCAGGTAGAATAGCGATTATTAAAAAGTCAGGAAACAACAGATGCTGGAGTGGATGTGGAGAAATAGGAATGCTTTTACACTGTTGGTGGGAGTGTAAATTATTTCAACCATTATGGAAGAGGTGATTCCTCAAGGATCTAGAACCAGAAATATCATTTGACCCAGAAATCCCATTACCGGGTATATACTCAAAGGATTATAAATCATTCTACTCTAAAGACATGCCCACGTATATTTATTGCAGCACTATTCACAATAGCAAAGACTTGGAATCAACCCAAATGCCCATCAATGTTAGACTGGATAAAGAAAATGTGGCACATATATACCATGGAATACTATGTAGCTATTAAAAATGTGAGTTCATGTCCTTTGCAGGGACCCGGATGAAGTTGGAAACCATCATTCTCAGTAAACTAACACAGGAACAGAAAACCAAACACCACATATTCTCACTCATAAGTGGGAATTGAACAATGAGAACACATGGACACAGGGAGGGTAACATCACACACTGGGTCCTGTTGGGGGCTGGGGGGCTAGGGGAGGGGTAGCATTAGGAGAAATACCTAATGTAGATGACGGGTTGATGAGTGAGACAAATGACCATGGCACGTGTATACCTATGTAACAAACCTGCACGTTCCGCACATGTATCCCATAACTTAAAGTATAACAATTAAAAAAAAGGAAAAAAGCTAGTAGAAAAAAAAAGTGAATAATTAAATGAACCTGGAGTTGAGGTGGTCTTTCTAAGCACTAAAGGCAGAAATAATGAAGAAAAAGATGGATTTTGTTCATTAAAAAATATTCAGAAGGATTTACTTTTTTTCAAAAAAAAAATAAAACTTAAAAAAACAAAAAAGGAAGCTACAGTAATAAAAAAATTTGTTTGCAATCAAACACAACTCACTAAGCATTGATAATCAGAACAGATAAAAAGCTCCAAATTAAAAGACCAATTTGGTGATAAAAAATGGTCAGAATTAGAGTAAAAAGCGGTATTTTTAACAGCGCTATAGAAGACCTATAAACTTGTCAAAAATGTTCTAATTAAATAACCAAAACATGATGTCAAGTAGAAATTCTCATTCGCATGTGGTAGGTGCACTATTTCTGAAGAACAATTGCATAATATGTATAAGACTTAAAAATGGATATATTCCTGTCCCTTGATCAATACTTTTAGGGTTAAGAATTTATCCTCAGGAAATAATTATGAATGTATGATATGGTTTAATATATTCACCATAGCGTTATCTATAATAATGAAAATGGTAATAATTTAAATGGACATGAATAGAGAAATGAGAAAATAAAAAAATTAAGAATGAAATACTATGCATATCTCTAATATGCTATATAAAAACAAGTATAGGTAAAGAAAAATGCCAAAGATGTAAGTTTTTAAAAGAAGGTCAATAAATACTAGTTACAACAAAATTTATTTTTAAATATATGCTTTTGCATGTGCACATCGAAATGTGCTCAAAAAAATGAAAAAAAATAGCATTGTTTGATTATAGGTGATTTTTGCTCCTGTTTTTTTGTATTACACTAGGCAAATTTCATTCAAATAGCTTCTATTACTTATGTTACTAATTTAAAAAGTAATGATTTTCAAAGTATACTGCACGAGGATGATAATATGTCCTTGAAAAACTTAAATTTAACAACAATAAAGTTTGGTGCCTTTGTTTTGCATTCAACCACAACACACCGATGACTTGCAATGCTCATTTCCCTCATACATTCCTTTCTTCACTTCCTTTACACTCACACTGCTCATGGCATGATCACGCTTTTCATGAGCTTTTTTCTAAACTGAGAATAGTCTTTCCAGTGTCTACTATCTTAACTTTCTCCCAGCTGTCATCTCCACAGAGCATTCAAAGTAAGCAGGAGTTGTGTCACCCCACAACCTCTCAGCACCTTCTCCTCAAGGCCCACAGCAAACGTGTAGAGCTGTAGAGGGTGTCAAACTGATACTTGTGGCTTTATATAAACATCAGTCACAGTATTGATCATTTATATTCAGCACTTCCCACTAGTATACTCGCTTCTTTCTCAGGAAAGAGATTTAGGAAAACAGAATGCCTTGTTAAAAGAACCACTCATGTTCCATTCAATTCTTTCTCTACTGCAGAAGCCAGAACCAGCAAATCAACTTTCTAATCTCTGTGATTTCAAAGTACAGGGTTAAAGAAAACTCTTGTATTGATTTTTTAAAATTCTATTCCTAAGTTCTTTACATCTGAAAGTTTGCAATAGAAAGATTACTTATTGGTTTTAAAATGTTATTAAAGAAGAATTAAACTCAGCACAATTCTTTGTAAACACTCTGTAAATATGTGTCATTGATTTTAAAGGTGGTGAATTAGGCTTTTAAGTACTATATAAAAATAATACCTATAAAGGCCTTGATGATCCATGAATGTAATGCTTTTGGAATCAGGATAAAAATATCTTATTAAAAGAGCTGTTTTACAAATAACCCCATTAAAAAGTGGGCAAATAAAATGAACAGACACTTCAAAAAGGACATACTAGCAGCCAACAACACACGAAAAAATGCTCAACATCACTAACATTAGAGAAATGCAAATTGAAACCACAATGAGATACCATCTCACACCATTTAGAATAGCTATTATTAAAAAGTCAAAAAATAACAGATGTTGACAAGGTTGCAGAGAAAAAGGAACACTTTTATACTGTTGGTGGGAATGTAAATTAGTTCAGCCTCTGTGGAAAGCAGTTTAGAAATTTCTCAAAGAACTTCAAACAGAATTCTGATTACTGACCCAGAAATCTGATTACTGGGTATATAGGCAAAGGAAAATAAACTGTTCTACCAAAAAGACACATGCACTCATATGTTCATCAGCACTATTCACAAGAGCAAGGACATGTCATCAACCTAGGTGCCCATCAATGGTGGATTGGATAAAGAAAATGTGATACATATACACCATGGAGTACCATACAACCATAAAAAAGAATGAAATCATGTCCTTTGCAGCAACATGGTTGCAGCTGGAGGCCATTATCCTAAGTGAATTAATGCAGGAATGGGAAACCAATTACCACGTTCTCGCTTACAAGTGGGGGCTAAACATTGGGTACGCAAGGCCATAAAGAAGGGAACGATAAACACTGGGGACTAGTAGAGGGGCGAGAAACAGAGGGAGGCATGAGCTGAAAAACTACCTAGTGGGTACTATGCTCACTACCTGGGTGATGGGATCATTCATACCCCAAACCTCAGCATTACACAATATATCCATGTAACAAACCTATATGTGTACCCCTTAATCTAAAAGTAGAAATTATAAAGAAAATAAAATATAATCATTATTTTTAAAATATTTTTTCTTAGGACAGAGAAGTGGAAAAACAATGCAAAAAAGAAAAGGCTAGATTTAATATAAAATGGAGGGACATGGTATCCAACCAGGTCGCCCGAACAAATGCCATGTTACGCTGGCATCATGCTGGTGTTTCATCTGAACTGCAACTTACTTTAGCCCAGGAAATTTCTGTATCCAAGTCACCAAGCAGACCTTCTGAAGTGGACTTCTGTACCAATTCAGTTTCAGTAGCAGAAAGCCATTCAGAGAGAGAAGCAGCCTCTTTCTTCATTTTCCGGGCCAACTGTGATGCTCTTTCCAGATCCTGTTTTCCTTCTGTCACCTGAGACGGAGAGAGGCAGGGAGAGACTGAGACTGAGATGGGAATGAACATAAATGAGAATGAATCAGAATGTTAACTAAAGATCCAAACTGATTCATATATAACCCCCAAGACATACATAACCTTTGTCTTAGCACCTTAGAATCCTCTAAGCTTGCATTTCTGCAAGGAGGCAATATGCTGTAGTGGTTAAGTGCCAGGCAATCCTGGGTTTTCATCTTAGCTCTATCATTAATTTCCTAAGTGATACTGGCAGAGGTATAGCCCTCAAAAGATTGGTATGAGGCTGGGCACAGTGGCTCATGTCTATAATCCCAGCACTTTGGGAGGCCGAGGCAGGCAAATCTTTTGAGTCCAAGAGTTTAAGACCAGCCTGGGAAACATGACCTCATTTTCTACAAAATGAAAGACCTCATTTTGTAAAAAATACAAAAAATTAGCCAGTATGGTGGTGCGTGCTCGTAGTTCCAGCTGGTCAGTAGGCTGAGGTGGGAGAATCGCTTGAGCCCTGGAGGCTGGGGCTGCAGTGAGCCGTGATCCTGCCACTGCACTCCAGCCTGGGCAACAGAGCAAGACCCCGTCTCAAAAAAAAAAAAGATTGTTATGTGTATTAAGCGAGAAAAACACACATAAAAGGGCAGAAATAAAGTTGAAAAATCACTAGTATCTATTATAATTTTGAACATAAGATATCTTAGAATCCTCTCCATGAAGGAAAAATACGGTATTATAGTAACTTGAGGGGAAAATAGCACCATTTTCACAATTATATGTTTTATAATTAACCACTTTAACTTAAAATGCAGTACACGACTATACAAACCAAACCTTATTATTATTTTGCTCTCATTGTTGTTGACAGAAAACAAATGAACTTAACTAACATTTACCAAGCTCTTAATACAGCTTCCGTGTTGTGCTAAGGAATCTTACACACGTATGCAATAAAATTCACAAAGCCTCTTTCTACTTTATGGATAATGAAAATGAAACTTAAAGAGGTTAAGGCCAAGGCCAGGGTGGTACAATCTTTGGATTGAGCCATGCCATTCTGGCTTCTACCACCATCACTCCCAGACATTGCCCTTGCTAAGTTCAATAATGACCCCAATGGCAACTGATCTAATTAATATGTTTATGTGGACATCATATTTAACTTTCAAAATATCCAAAACAGGTAACTGCACTCTGTCAAAATACCATCTTCCCCTAGCTTTCCAGACCTAGTACTCAACTGTGTCCCTACCACTTCTTGCTACTTACATTAGTTTCTTTTGCAAGCTCATCTTCCTGAGATTTCTTACTAAATGATGTAATTCTTAAGACTTGGTTGAGGGCCCTCTTCTTTCACTATATCCTGTTCCTAGACAATCTATCATCCCTGATTACTTTAATTATGACCTCTATGCAGATGACTCATAAAATCCACCTCTTCAGTCCAGATATATTCTCCAGACCTGAATAATCATGTGAGTACCCGACATTTCCAATTAACATTCTCAAAGGTACTTAAAATGTCAACATGTCCAATACATACCTGTGATTTCTGCATGCTTCTACCTTTTTTTTTTTTTGAGACAGAGTTTTCACTCTTGTTGCCCAGGCTGGAGTGCAGTGGCACAATCTTGACTCACTGCAACCTCAGCCTCCCAGGTTCAAGTGATTCTCCTGCCTCAGCCTCCCGAGTAGCTGGGATTACAGGCACATACTACCACACTCAGCTAATTTTTTTTTTTTTTTTTTGAGTAGAGACGGGTTTTTGCCATGTTGACCAGGCTGGTCTCAAACTCCTGACCTCAGGTGATCCACCACCTTGGCCTCCCAACGTGCAAAGATTACAGGCATAAGCGACCGCACCCGGTCCTCTATCTTTTCTTACAGCACCCATCTCAATGGCCACACCATCCACATCATCAAGCCAGAAACCCAGGGGTCATCCTTCATCTCTCCTCCTGGACCAAGTCCTGTTGATTTCACTTCCTACATATGTCTGAAATCAATTCACTCACTCCATCTCCACTCTCCATCCTAGTTCAAGGTACGACCATCTCTCACCAAGTGTACAATGACTTCGAAACCAGTCTCCTCACATCCACTCCAGCCTCCCTCCAATTCCTCTTCCAAAATGCAGTGAGTAATCCTTTAAAAGACATATCTGAGTATGTAATTTGCCTACTAAAACCTGTGCAGTAACTGCTTAAGACACAGATTTTAATCTGTAACACAAACTCTATGACATTGGCAGGATTTTGTCTAATCCTATCTCCCTAGCACCATGTTCCTCACACTGGCTCTCTCTGCTCTAGCCACATAAATGTACCACACTGCCTCCTGCCTTAGAGCTTTTATATATACTGTTTTATCAGTCTAGAAATCTCCTCGTTTCACCCAGGTTACTCCTACCCAGACTTCAGATCTCGGCTTATGCATCACCTCCTCAGGGAAGCCTTCCTAACACAAGACTGGGTGAAACCCCCCTTTACCTATACTCTTAAAGAACCATGTACATTCTTCATAACTCTTCAGACTGATAATGTGACATCATCTCATGTAACTACTCAATGTTTTTCTCTTTCACTACCCTAAGTTCCATTAGACAACGAGATAATTTATATCTTTCCTCATCACTGTCTCCTTGTATAATTCCTGACACAGAGTAAAATCTCGATTGAGTGAAACTTTAAATGATAAAATTAATTAATACTAAAATTATAGTCACAATTGGAGAATTAGTGCAAAAACCAGCAATACCATTCCATTCATAAAATGCCCAGTCAGTGAATAAATATAATAATATTTAACGAATAACCAGCTGTATAATTCCAAAAAGAAGCTCTAAGGTGTGTGTTCCAGACATGTAATACATCAAAATGTATCACATCAACAATCTAAGCTTGCAGAAGTGAGATCAAAATCACCCAGAAAAAGTATAAACTGGTCGTTCTGATTTCAACTGAAAACAAAATTTCAGCTATTTTTCTCTGGGCTTATATAGAAACTTCAATATTACCTCAACTGGAAGTAGTTAATATTTCCTAACTGAAGGAGGATCCAAAATACTATCAAACATGGGTTTTCAATATTACCTATTAAGGTTTCACACTTCCACACATTCTTTGCTCTCCTGGTTTCAGGGCAAAAATTCATTCACTCACAGTAAATGCTCAACAACTCCTGCATGGATTCACTAAAATGCCCAAATTAGAGATATTTCTTGCCAGGATTTCAAATCCTGGTAGATTAATGTGAACTTCTTGCCACTGGTTATTTACTAGAGCCCTGATGTTTTAACATTTCTCGGTAGACTGTTCAATTTAGAAATCTAAGGACCAACAACTTGAGTTTTTACAGGGATTATTATTTCCCATTTTTCCTACATGAAATGGGAAAACATTAGGACTAAAAACAGAATGTTTCTCACAATTAAAATTACACTTAGAAAAATCTTACATGTTGCGACTAGAAAAAAGCCAACACCGGCTACTGCTATCCATTGAAATTTGGAATTATTAACATTTATTTTTTCCCTTGTATTTCTTTGAAGTACTAATGAGAGGTGACAGCATGCTGGCAGTCCTCACAGCCCTCGCTCGCTCTCGGCGCCTCCTCTGCCTGGGCTCCCACTTTGGCAGCACTTGAGGAGCTCTTCAGCCCACCGCTGCACTGTGGGAACCCCTTTCTGGGCTGGCCAAGGCCAGAGCCCACTCCCTCAGCTTGCAGGGAGGTGTGGAGGGAGAGGCGCGAGCGGGAACCGGGGCTGCGCGCCACGCTTGTGGGCCAGCTGGAGTTCCGGGTGGGCTTGGCGGGCCCCGCACTCGGAGCAGCAGGCTGGCCCTGCCGGCCCCAGGCAATGAGGGACTTAGCACCGGGCCAGCGGCTGTGGAGGGTGTACTGGGTCCCCCAGCAGTGCCAGCCCACCGGCGCTGCGCTCAATTTCTCACCGGGCCTTAGCTGCCTTCCTGCGGGGCAGGGCTCGGGACCTGCAGCCCGCCATTCCTGAGCCTCCCACCCCCTCCATGGGCTCCTGTGCGGCCGGAGCCTCCCTGATGAGTGCCACCCCCTGCTCCACGGCGCCCACTCCCATTGACCACCCAAGGGCTGAGGAGTGCAAGCCCACGGTGCGGGACTGGAAGGCAGCTCCACCTGCAGCCCGGGTGCGGGATCCACTGGGTGAAGCCAGCTGGACTCCTGGGTCTGGTGGGGACGTGGAGAGTCTTTATGTCTAGCTCAGGGATTGTAAATACACCAATCGGCACTCTGTATCTAGCTCAAGGTTTGTAAACACACCAATCAGCACCCTGTGTCTAGCTCAGGGTTTGTGAGTGCACCAATCCACACTCTGTATCTAGCTACTCTGGTGGGGCCTTAGAGAACCTTTATGTCTAGCTAAGGGATTGTAAATACACCAATTGGCACTCTGTATCTAGCTCAAGGTTTGTAAACACACCAATCAGCACCCTGTGTCTAGCTCAGGGTTTGTGAATGCACCAATCAACACTCTGTATCTAGCTACTCTGGTGGGGCCTTGGAGAACCTTTGTGTCCACACTCTGTATCTAGCTAATCTGGTGGGGACATGGAGAACCTTTGTGTCTAGCTCAGGGATTGTAAACGCACCAATCAGCGCCCTGTCAAAACAGACCACTCGTCTCTACCAATCAGCAGGATGTGGGTAGGGCCAGATAAGAGAATAAAAGCAGGCTGCGCGAGCCAGCAGTGGCAACCCGCTCGGGTCCCCTTCCACACTGTGGAAGCTTTGTTCTTTTGCTCTTTGCAATAAATCTTGCTACTGCTCACTCTTTGGGTCCACACTGCTTTTATGAGCTGTAACACTCACTGCAAAGGTCTGCAGCTTCACTCCTGAAGCCAGCGAGACCACAAGCCCACTGGGAGGAACGAACAACTCCAGATGCGCTGCCTTAAGAGCTGTAACACTCACTGCAAAGGTCTGCAGCGTCACTCCTGAGCCAGGAAGACCATGAACCCACCAGAAGGAAGAAACTCCAAGCACATCCGAACATCAGAAGGAACAAACTCCAGATGCGCCACCTTAAGAGCTGTAACACTCACCACGAGGGTCCACAGCTTCATTCTTGAAGTCAGTGAGACCAAGAACCCACCAATTCCAGACACACTAAGTCTACCACAATGAACATATATTACTTGTAGTATCCTTAGAATAATTTATGGAATATCAGTAGCCATTGAAAGTATAAATATTAGCCTGAATTAAATATTAAAAATAAATTTTTTTTAAAAACAGTGTCTCACTCTGTTCCTAGGCTGGAGTGTAGTGGTGTGATCTCAGCTCACTGCAACCTCTGCCTCTCAGGTTCAAGCAGCTCTCCCACCTCAGCCTCCCAGGTAGCTAGGACTACAGATACTCACCACCATGGCTAATTTTTTTTTGGAAATTTGTTTTGTTTTTGGAGGTTTTCATTTGTATTTTTTTGTAGAGACAAGGTTTCATCATGTTGCCCAGGCTGGTCTCAAACCCCTGGGCTCAAGCCATTACCTGACTCAGCCTCCCAAAGACCTGGGATTACAGGCGTGAGCCACTGTGCCTAGCCAAAAATAAATTTCTATGTAACTATGAATCACTGTAATATTACCACATACATTTAAAGAAATATAACAATTATTACAATAAATTGAAAACACGTATGAATCTCATAATTTTCAAACATGCATTTTCCAAAAAATGAAATTTAAAAATACATGAGAGAGAACGAGAGAGAGAGAGAGATTGAGAGAGAGAGAGAGAGAGACAGAGAGATGAGCTGTGGGGCTGCTCTCCTCACCTGTGCGCCCAGGTCATTGTAAAGAACCTTCAGGGAAGTCAGCTGCTCATCCATCCCTTTTGGGTTGTCCGTTTGCTGTTTCTGGACAATATGTCTTCCTGTTTTAATCACAGTTTCCACTTCAAGTTTGACTTCACTCAAAGTTTTATACAGTTTCTTTAAAACAAACAAAGAAAAAGACAAATTACACACTGTGGTGACAACTTGCCAACTGGCATCATGTCAGACCACAGCTTACACAGATTGACAGCCAAGACCTAACTATGGTGATCAAAGGCCATCATCTTTCTCAGATTTGGTCTGAAGGTCGAGTCAAATGAAATCAAGCTTGTAATAACTTCTTCAAATCTGACAAGAAAATAAACTAATAGAGTTTATGCTCATTCTTTCAAAATCTCAGACAAATGCTTATGAAAGTACTTGATAATATAAATATTTTTCCTACATAAAATGGGAAAACATTAGGACTAAAAACAGAATGTTTATCACAATTAAAATTACATTTTTAAAAAATCTTGCATGTTATGACTAAAACAAGCCAACACTGGCTACTGCTGTCTGTTGGATTTGGAATTATTAACATTTATTTCTATTTCTCAGAAGTACTAAGTCTACCACAATGAACATATATAATTTGTATGATAAAAAATACAAAACTCGATATATCAAGATGTATATAACTATAAGTAAACAGATTTCTGATGCAAATCAAAACCACAATAAGATACTATCTCACACCAGTCTGAATGACCATTATTAAAAAGTCAAAAAACAACAGATGCTGGCAAGGCTGCAGAGAAAAGGGAACACCATACACTGTTGGTAGGATTGTAAATCAGTTCAGCCCCTAGGGAAAGCAGTTTGGAAATATCTCAAAGAACTAAACATAGAATTATTATTCAACCCAGAAATCCTATTACTGGGTATATAAGTAAAGGAGGATAATCGTTCTACCAAAAGGACACATGCACTCCCGTGTTTATCACACCACTACACACAATAGCAAAGACATGTCATCAATCTAGGTGCCCATCAATGGGGGAATGGATAAAGAAAACGTGGTACAAATACACCACGGAACACTACACAGCCATAAAAAATGAAATCATGTCCTTTGCAGCAGCATGAATGCAGCTCAAGGCCATTATCCTAAGTAAATTAATTCAGGAACAGAAAACCAAATACTAAATGTTCTCACTTATAAGTGGGAGTTAAACAATGGGCACACATGCACATAAAGATGGAAAGCAAAGACAATGGGACTCCAAAAGGAGGGAAGGAGGAAAGGGGCAAGAGCTGAAAAACTACCAATTGGGTACTACATTTATTATTTGGGTGATGGGTTCAGTCGAAGCCCAAACCTCAGCATCATACAATATATCCATGTATCAAACGTGCACATGTACTTCCTGAACCTAAAAGTCTTCAAAAATTAAAAATAAAAATAAATTTAAATATAAAAAAAGAAATCGTAGTTCTGTAGGTCAAATTCAGAGCTGTCTTCTTCCTAGTTACCTGAAACCAAAAAGCTTTATTCTAAACAGCTTCTCTTGACACCTATACATCATCATCTCAACATCTCATAGGACGCTGTCATGTAACAGACCCCTGAACTATGTATGTTCCATGAAGTCAAGGACAGCACTTTCTCTGATTACCATTATGTCACAATAATCAAATAAATACTTACATACATGCACATATATATTAAAATTTATCCTTTGTTTTGAAAAGCACAAAGAACTGTCCCTATACCTCTCCTGTCCTAAAGAGTCTCATCTTAAGTTCTGTGATTCTCAAGCAGAACACTAATTCTAAGATTGTGTCCCCTTAGCCACATTATTTTTAAATTTCTATTCAATTGAATTATAAAGTTCAAGACTAAAAAAGTAATAAGGCCTTATATATCATTTCTTCTTTCCTATCTTAAGGTTTAAATTTCTATTGAAATTTTTATTTTCCTAGAAAATGGAATTTTTACGATATCCATTCTAAGTATGGTTCTTCTAGCTAATTCAAATTTATCCTTGAAAACTTTGCTTATTAGTCACACTCTGCTGAAGCCCTCCTAACTTCACATGGTGATTAAGCTGTATTTCTTTTGTTTTGGTTTTTGTCATCATGTTATATACATGTCTATTCTAGTTTCCTTAGCTATCTCTCTTATCTCTTCTAATTTCTTTGGAGGGAAAGACCACACTTCTTATTTTTTAACACGTTTTCCATCATCAATCCTTATGTTTAGCACACTGTAGACTAGTGATCACTGGACACACTAGGCATGTACTTGCTAGACCAAGCCATAACAGCTGCTGAAAAAGCCACTGGATGTGCCAATCACCCAAAAGCCTCACCATACACTTGTCCAGGTGCGTCTGTATGACGTCAGGGTCTACGTCCTTCACATCCAGAACGTGAAGTTCTGCTTTCACGCCATCCAGCACACGCTTGCAGTCCAGCATGCGCTGCTCGAAGTTAGCTGGCTTCTGGAAAAGCTGGAACTTTGTGGACACCTCTCGGAGTTTCCTCTGTTTGCAGAAATGAAAATATGCAATTCCCATCAGGATGATTATCTCTCTCATCATGAGCATAACAGATACTACTAAAAATTTGTACCATAAAGTACCAAAAGAAAAAAATTCAGAAATATGACCCAAAATAAAAAACTCCTAATGAATCTCAGTGAGGGTACCCGATCACCTAAGTGAACTGCATAGCCCAGTGTCAAAAATTACAACACTCAGTGTCTCAATCTCAGAAGTAATAGATTTGGATAAGAAATTTAGATAAAGCTGACCTCACTGGAATTAAAACTTCATGTTCAAAAAGATAGTTCAGGAACCTAGAACTCAAAATGCCCTTCATCACAAGTTCAGAGTGAAAGTCAATGTCATATCAACCATGAAAGAACTAAATGATGCTGCATCCAATTCATGCTCGGCCTGCCCACAGCATCAGCCACACGATACTGACAGAGGCTCTGCATTAAAGAAAAAGTGTATATAAAGCTAACTTCTAAATCTGGCTCACTCTCTTGTTTCTCATCTCAGCTATCAAAATCAGATTTCATATTTTTCCACACATGCAACAATTTGTTTCTGCTGCCCTAGGATGCAACCTTCAACACATCATCACTCCCATCCCATGGTTTACATCACAAAGAATACAAACGGTGCCCAAGTAATCAATTCTTTCTCTTTTTTGAAGAAAATTCCCAACAAGTTGAAAAGTAAAAGGAAGCTCCTGGCCTTCTTTACCTGTAGCACATCCATCTGACTTCCTCCTCTGGCAGTCCTACTCTCTGGGGAGGTCAGGGGCTGAGAACGCATATTTCTTCTCAACTCCTCTAGGGTTAGCTCATGGGCTGAGATCTCTGCTTGGATTTTCTAAAAAGAGATTGGAAAGGGGAGAGGATGTCCTTTTTTTTTTACTTAAGTATAAAAAGAGACAATACAAAAGTTCTATATCGTTGTGTAATACATGATATCGTATTTTACATAATGTTGACCTCCACAGAAGCTTTAATAAGTTTTTGTAGGCCAGGTGCGGTGGCTTATGCCTGTAATCCCAACACTTTGGGAGGCCGAGGCGGGTGGATCACGACATCAGGAGTTCAAGACCAGCCTGGCCAAGATGGTGAAACCCCATCTCTACTAAAAATACAAAAATTAGCTGGGCACGGTGGCGGGCGCCTATAATCCCAGCTACTCGGGAGGCTGAGGCAGGAGAATTGCTTGAACCTGTGGGGCAGAGTTTGCAGTGAGCCGAGATCGCGCCACTGCACTCTAGCCTGGGCAACAGAGTGAGAATCCGTCTAAAAAATAATAATAATACGTTTTTGTATAATAATAATAATATGGCCCACTGCATGGTATGACTATTGTACATGACGCACCTGCTAAGGGCTTTGCATTTGTCGTTTCTAATGTTCACAACTTATTTATAAGGAAGGAATTGTCCCAACTTCACAGCTAAGAAAACTACAATTTAAAATATACAGGACTTTTCAGCCAGGCACAGTGGCTCACGCCTGTAATCCCAGCATTTTGGGAGGCCGAGGAAGGTGGATCACCTGAAGTCAGGAGTTTGAGACTAGCCTGGACAATATGGCAAAACCCCGTCTCTACTAAAAATACAAAAATTATTGGGAGGCCGAGGCAGGCAGATCACTTGAAGTCAGGAGTTCAAGACCAGCCTGGCCAACATGGCGAAACCCCGTCTCTACTAAAACTACAAAAAATTAGCCGGGCGTGGTGGCGCGTGCTTGTAGTCCCAGTTATTCGGGAGGCTGAGGCAGGAGAGTCACTTGAACCCAGGAGGCGGAGGTTGCAGTGAGCCAAGATCGTGCCACTGCACTCCAGCCTGGGTGACATAGTGGGATTCTGTCTCAAATAAATAAATAAAATAAAATAAAATAAAATAAAATAAACTATATAAGACTTTTGCCAGAGTCTCACATAGAAAGCAAGAGAACTCCAAAACCCAAATGCTGCCCTGTAAGTAAGGTCAATCTTTCCCATTGACTCTCGGTTTTGGAGAGCAGGAGGGGTTCTCTTATAGTTGAGGAGGCAATTACAAAAGCTCTCTTTACAGCTCAAAAGCCCTCAAATGCACGGCAATACCTGAGCTTCCTGTGGAACTTGGAAAGCATCTATCCTGTCAGTCAGGTATGTGGTGAGCTGTTTGTCCAGCTCCCCCAAGCTCTCTTGCAAGACTTGAAGCATCTGGTCAGTTTCCCGCAGCACCTGGAGTTGCTTTTCCAAAGAAATCTGCTTGCTCTCTGCCTGCACAAAGGAGAAATTGAATCATTAGTTGCCCAACACAAATATAAATAGCAGAATATATATATTCTGGCCACTAAGAAAAGACCATAAAAGCTTTCATCCAAGACTTTAGCTTTCTTTATAAATAAATAATAATTACTAATGATAACAGTGAAAATGTCCCACTAGGATCTTATGTACCATGCAGCTGAATTACTAATTATTACTTCTTTCTATATATAATGTTGAAATACAAAAATGTAAAGGTTTCCCATAAGATGCATTAAACAGAAGATAAAAATGTGTTATTTATTATAATTTTAAAGCATTTTTAGGAATCAGCAATGTCTGCCAATTAAGAATATAAAACATAAGAAAAATGTCTATCAATACACAAACATCAGAGTCTCTTTTTTTCCAAAGCCTAAAACAAATTCTATAGGTGTACATACATATCAAACTACTATTTACAGCACTTTTGGGTTAAGCTTGATGTTATTCATGGGCTGAACATCAACAGTTATTATTTAATATGTGTTTGGAAGCACCTAATATTCATACCCAACCTTCCTATAAAAGAAATGTTCTTTCTCTAATTTGTGATACGAATATGTATGTTACAACCTGGATATGAACTAAGAGACTATGGCTTTCACAGCAGCTTATGTGAAATATCATGGCCCTAATATTTACTAGGATAGTATGAGTTGTTGTTCTTATATACAGCTATCATATGATCCTTAATGAAAATTAAATGTTTGTAAGTAGAAGTAATCTCAAAAATAATTTTTTTAATCATCCAGTTCTGTCTTAGAGTGTTAGATCTATTCTTCCTTTCTGAATATTTCAATACCCTCAATGCCCCTGTTAGCATTGGTTACCAACTTTAACCAACATTAAAGATTTTTCCAACATTAAAGCTCTATGATATGGAGCTTAGGGCCAGCTCCACTTCATCAATACCTAATCAACACCCATGTATGTCCCAACTCTTACCAGGTGACTTAGATCTTCATATCGGCTGTTGAAAGCCTCCAGTTTCTCACTGATTATATCATCCAGGATCCCCCCATCAATCAGAGTCTGGCCAAGCTCTCGAATCTGGGTGCGATTATCTGCCGGGTGGCGCAGAACAGATTCCAGAGACTGGAATGGAGATGGGAAAAAAAAATAATAATGCATTTACTAAGGCAAAAGGTATCAAGGATCCCCAAAATGTCTATTTGTTAAACAAGTAATTATATTTTCTAAAAATCTACCTAAGTAACAGGACCAAAAGTTAAGTAAATTACTAATTCACAAAAATATCCATCATGGGATTAAAAAATGCATAAAATTGAGAAATTAGCACAAGTGATATATGATATAATTTCACAAAAATAATTTCAACTATTATTAATTATGGGAGGGTGAGGCAGGAGGATCACTTGAGCCCAAGAGTTCAAGGCTGCAGTGAGCTGTCATACCACTGGACTCCAGCCTGGGCAACAGAGCGAGACTATGTCTCTAAACAATAAATAAATGAATAATAAAAAGTTAAAAATAATTATTAATTATATGGGGAAATGCTCATGACACAAAGTTCAAAGGCAGAGAACAGTACTATACAAGCAAAATGATCTCAACTTTTATTAATTATATTACTAAAAATAAGTAGTCATTTTCCTACAATATATGCAGAATAAGAGGCATTGTTTTATATACACACTTTTTATATACATAAATCTAATTAACCATATGGGCTAAATAGCATTCCCAGTTTACAGATTGGAAAATTGAAGCTCAGAAAGGTTAAATTACTTGCCTACATACACACAGTCAAAAGAAGAGCTAAGATTCCAACATGGCTCTAAAGCTTTAAGACTCCAAAGCCTGGCCAAGTGCGATGGCTCACACCTCTAATCCTAGCACATTGGGAGGCCGAAGCGGGTGGATCACCTGATGTCAGGAGTTCGAGCCCAGCCTGGCCGACATGGTAAAACCCCATCTCTACTAAAAATACAAAATTAGCTGGGGTAGTGGCACACGCCTGTGATCCCAGCTACTCAGGAGGCTGAGGCATGAGAATTGCTTGAACTCAGGAGGTGGAGGTTGCAGTGAGCCAAAATCATGCAATTGCACTCCAGCCTGGGCAACATAGCAAGATTCCATCTCAAATAAAAAGATAAATAAGTAAATAAAAGACTCCAAAGCCTTTGATCCAATATACTACCTTCTAGTATGCATACATAAAAGATAATAATTAGGAAGAAATCTACAAACTGTTTTAAAATGTTTATCTTAGAGTTTGCTTTATACTTTTCTTTATTTTCCATATTTCAAGAATATATACGTATTCACTCTTACATTAGGAAAAAAATTAAGCTTTTCATATTTTTCATTCACTCTGTCTCTCACTCTGCTATATTTGAGAAGTGACATCTTTTCTCTAGCAGAGCATCCGTCTCCTGGAATGTAAGTGCCACATTTTACTCATTTCTGACCTTTAATCCAGTTGTCCACTCAGTTCCCACATGGTACCATGACATTTTTAAAAGCCTATCTACCCCCTTCCCTTTTCTTTTTTGTTAAGCAAACCTACCCTCTTTGCACTGTATTTCATTTAAGAAACGGTTATTAAGTTAACATGTGCTACACACTGTGCTGGGAACTGAGGAATAACAAAGCATCGGGTACATTTCTTGGCCTCAAGGAGTTCAAATCCAGGCTTGAAGACAAGCTCCTACGACAAGATCCCATGGCTCAACCACTGTCTTAACTTCTAGCATCTGAAGGTAAGAGACAGGAATCCCCTATAAACTGTCAGTGCTGTGTTTAGTGAGTAAAAATAACTTGTTGATGAAACAAGAGAGCAGTTGTCCTAATAACATATGGCAGAGCTTTGTCCAGGGCCTACTAAAATAAACTGGAAAACCACTAGAGTGCTTCAACATGTCTAAAATGTAAGATGTCAAACAGCTAACCACGTCTTGAGGCTGATATAATGGGTCACCAATAATCTAAATACACATGATTGTATAAACACTTCAGGCTATGGAAGAAAATGCAAGTGACATTGAAAACCACTGAGGAAGCAAATGCATTTGCCTGCGTAAAGCATTACATTCCTCATTGTAATACACGTGTGGCCTCATCACAGCAAAGAGAAATGCCGTGGAGATCACGGGTTCCAACCTCCAGGGCTTCGTTGACAGCATCCGTCTTCTCAGGCAGGACCTCTGTGCTCTTCATCCGCTCTTCCAAAGTGTTTAACCAGGTAGTTTCAAGATCCAAATAGTGAAGCAGTTCAATCCAACAAGACCAGACCTCCTAAAGCATGAAAAATTTTAAATTAGACAAAAAGCCATTTCACACATCGTATCTCTAGTACTACACATTCTCTTTAATCGCTAATAATTTCATTTGGATGTGAGTATACCTAGGAATTCAGAACTGATGGAGTTGAAACTTCAAAAAAATAAAATAAAATCGGCCAGGCGTGGTGGCTCACGCCTGTAATCCCAGCACTTTGGGAGGCTGAAGCAGGCAGATCATGAGGTCAGGAGATTAAGACCATCCTGGCTAACACGGTGAAACCCTGTCTCTACTAAAAATATATATATATATATAAAAATATTAGCCGGGTGTGGTGGCGGATGCCTGTAGTCCCAGCTACTCTGGAGGAGGCAGGAGAATGGCGTGAACCCGGGAGGCGGAGGTTGCGGTGAGCTGAGATTGCACCACTGCATTCCAGCCTGGGCAACAGAGCAAGACTCCATCTCAAATAAAATAAAATAAAATAATCAACAAAATCATATGAGACCAGTTGGTGAAGGGTGGGGAGCAAAGAGTGGGCAAGAGGCTGCCTCACTCTTTAAAATAAATTCCATGATCTGATTTAAATGTCAAAAATAGAACTATATAATTAGTAAGAAAAACAGGAGAGAAACATTATTTAGTTTGTTTTTTAAAGACCAAGTGCGGTGGTTCACACCTGTAATCTCAGCATTTTGGGAGGCCAAGGCAGGTGGATCACATGAGGTCAGGAGTTCAAGACCAGCCTGGCCAACATGGTGAAACCCCATCTCTACTAAAAATACAAAAACTAGCTGGGCATGGTGGCAGGCACCTGTAATCCCAGCTACTCGGGAGGCTGAGGCAGGAGAATCACTTGAACCTGGGAGGCAGAGGTTACAGTAAGCCCAGGCCACGCCACTGCCCTCCAGCCTGGGTAACAAGAGTGAAACTCCATCTCAAAAAAAAAAAAAAAAAAAAAAAAAAAGTTTGGTTTTTGAACAAAATGAAAAAATTGCTCCCAATTGTAAATTTTTAAAAAATAATTTCATAGAAAATTGAAATCTCCTGGGCCCCACCCAATTCCAACTTGGAGCTAACTGATGTAAAAGTTTGCAATGTAGCCTTCCCAACTTTTTTCTAAATTCATGAGGACATGTCAATATAAGAGAGCCACATTTTACCAAAACTGGAGTTATACTGTTCTTACTGTGTTGGTTTTGATCACTCATTCCCCTCTGAGGTTTCCAGAGCAGGGACCCAGGGGTTGTGTAGTGGGTGGAAACATTTATAAATTTATAATCCCTTATTATAAGAGGAACTTATTTGAGTGGTAAGTTTAGGAGAAAGAACTCAGCTGGATGCCTCCTGGGCTTGTCGTCTTGAATGTACTGAATGAGTGGAGGCATCTTCTGGTTTACATAAATGAGTGAAGGCACCTGCCGGTCCACTCTCCATATGAAGTATGCTTACCAGATCAAGGAGCAGTACATTTTTCTACAAAGGGCCAGCCAGTAAATATTTTAGGTTTTGGGAGGACACATTTGCTTCCTATCACAGATTCTTCTTGGAGGGGGGTATGTGTTGTACAACCCTTGAGAAATGTATAAACTATTCTCAGTTAACCAGGTATCCAAAACCAAACTACAAGTTAGATTTAAACCCTCAGCCAGTCCGGGTGCAGTGGCTAATGCCTTTAATCCCAGGACTTTGGTAGGCCAAGGCAGGAGGATGGCTTGAGCCCAAGAGTTCCAGACCAACTTGGGCAACATAGCAAGACCCCCATCTCTACAAAAAAAATTTAAAAATAATTAGCCAGGTGTGGCATTGCAAGGCTGGAGTCATAGCTACTCAGGAAGCGGGGGCAGGAAGGTCACTTGAGCCCAGGAGTTTGAGGTTACAGTGAGCTGTGATCATACCACTGCACTCCAGCATAGGTGACAGAGCAAGACCCTGTCTCAAACAAAACAAAACAAAATCCTCAGCCATAATTTTCCAGCCACTGAATTAGAATAAAAGAAAAGAGGTTCTAGTCCCCCAATTTCCACAAGCAAAAAGCAGACCAAAAATCTGCTCAGATGCAAGCACAACCTCTTTTCTTATGGGAAAGAAAAAATGACTCAAAGAAGACCACTTCCAAGAAGCAGACAGATCCCAAATCAAGTAGCTTTCTTACTAACTTGCCTCAATGATATATATTTATCTTAGCACAAAATTGGTTTAGAACAAGAAACGAATGAATTTACAAATGAATGAATGATCAAAGTAATGAATGAATTTAGGTTAAATATTGCAGTTGCCATTTTTTACCATTTCAAGATTTGCCACAATACAAATATTTGTTTTACGTCAAATTGAATGTAAATTAAATTGTTGTAAATTGAAAGCCTTCTTAAATCTTCCAACAAGCAATAACAAAAGTCATACTACTATAAAAACAAACAAGCAAAACCTCACTCTTAGTTTAAAAAAATTTCATAGACTCATCTACATTTTACGTGTAATGGCCAGGGAGAAAAAAAAAAGGTATTTTATCTAAGACCCAGTAAAACTGTCACATATTTAAGTTCTATTTTTCCTTCAGGTGACTCTTGAACTTTAGACACCACTCAAAAGAAAATAATTCCTCTCTATGTACTCAACCAGGCAAAACAAAACAAAAGAGAGGCTTGAAATGTGCTCTGCAATTTTTGGACTGGAATAGGCCCTACAGATCATCTGTTACATGAAAACCTGGATTGCACCTATAAAAAAAGTAAAGTTTGAATATACAAAATGACTTGCCCAAGAACCTTCTGATAATTAGGGACAGATTTTGGTCTCCTGTTTTTAACCCCTCTTTCATTTTTATCAAACTATTTCCCAAGAACTATTTTTTCTTTATAATCCAGAATTTGAAAGAAAAGAGAAGTTTTCTCCAAGATTTGAAAATGGCCAAAACATTACAGAGTTTGGATCTCAGAAATACATCACTGAAAATAATAATAATAATAATAATAATAATAATAACAACAATAATAATAATAGCATACCTCTAGCGTGTGGCACTTTCCTCGAATTCTATTACAAAGAAGTTGGTAATTCTCCAGCACAACATTCAGCTCAGACGTCAACTCCTGGCCACCAGAGGGCACCTTGGCAGCTAATAACTTGATGTTGTCCTTGAGAATCTTCACTCTCACCTCCTTCTGCAACACATCCTCTTTTGCCCTCTGTTCCAAGAAAGGATGGATGAACTTGAAAAACGTCTCCCTTTCTCAGTAACCAATTTCTTTTCTTTCTTTTTTTTTCAAGAATTAAACCAAAGTTAAAACATCTGGATGATTCTAACTGCCAAAATAGAACATTATTTAGGTAACAGTGAATGGTTCTTTGTGGGGTTTTGTTTTTGTTTTTGTTTTTGAGATAGAGTCTTGTTCACTACAACCTCTGCCTCCCAGTTCAAGAAATTCTCCTGCCTCAGCCTCCCGAGAAGCTGTGATTACAGGCACCCACCACTATGCCTACCTAATTTTCATATTTTTTAGTCGAGATGAGGCTTCGCCATGTTGGCGGGGCTGGTCTCAAACTCCTGACCTGAGGTGATCCACCCACCTTGGCCTCCCAAAGTGCTGGGATTAGAGGCGTGAGCCACTGCACCCAGCCCAGTTGAGCGTTTTTGAAATAAGAATGCTAACTCTGAAATTTCACTCATGCATCCAATGTACTCAGCTCCCACAAATGTTTTCATTTCATAACAGCAGTGTTAACGTAAGTTATCCAAAGTATGTTTACTGACATGAAGTATTTTCAAAGTCTGGGTCCAAGATCAGAATTTAAGTGAGTGAATTTTCATTATCACTGGAGGGCTGAGCAGATTACACTGTGATAAATATATTTTCACAAAAATTGAGGTACACTATGGTAGAAGTATCTTTAAAAGTTCTCTAAATAATTTAAGCTTTTTAAAAAATTATAGAACATAGGCACATGTATCCTTCTGCTAATTAATAGCATTTCAATGATAAAGTTAGACTGAGATGATCTGATCCAGAAATAGCTGTTTCTCAGTGCTAAGATAAACAATCTGACATTCAGGAAAATCAACCTATCAGGTTGGTGCAAAAGTAATTGCAGTTTATGCCATTACTTTTAATGGCAATAAATACAAATAAAACAGTCTTTCACTTTCCCCTTTACTTTTCTCTACTACTTAATGGTTTTGAACTTCCTTAGATTGGGGGAAAGTAATTAAGTGTAGTGGTTTTGTAAGTCCTAATGGCTGTTTGAAAGAATAAAAATAAATAAAATGTTGCCCAATCAAATATTTAAATATCATTTTTCTCAAATCTCATCTATAGCAACTTTTAAAATCCACAGAACTACAATGCCAATAGTGTAAAGAAAGACAATAAATGAGACAATTCTTAACATGGTAGCCTATTTTAAAATACCTTATGTACTGAGTATTTTTAAATCTTTCAAAAAGAGCTACACTAAAAAAGATGTTTTAGTGAAAAAACAACTTCCAACAAGTCTCCTGTCATATTTACTTTGATTCATGTATAATAATGTATGAATGTCATATAATCCCTTTTTTGAAAAAAATCACAGATTTTTGCTTTAGTTACACTTCTAGGTAAGTTAACTTTGAGGTAAAACATTAGTCACTGTGTTGCTTAAGCTTACAGGAAAAAAAAGCTTTGAAAACACCATCTCCTTTGGCTTGAACATTCAAGGACAGTTGAAGCTGTGTTAGAAATTTGGGAATGATGCCCAGTTCTTTTATTATATATAAAAAGAGAGTGTTCAAGACTATCGACAGAGGAGTACAAGTTTACAGGAAATGTATCCAGTGGATCCAACTAATATGAACTCCCCGATGCATTCCTACCGCTATTCCTACCTGCTCTAATGAAACGTCAGTGTTCATATGTGCCGTATGTATTAACTGGAAGATTAGTAACAGGAAAATAAGAATAAACCTCAGACAACTTGGGAGGTCTCTTTTGTTCCCCTTACAAAAAATAACTCTTTGTGAAAATGTTTGGAAATAGTGATGAATGCAATTAATGCCACTGGATTGTGCACTTAAAAATTAAGCTGACCAATGTTATATGTATTTACCCCAATTAAAAAAAAATGATCATTCTTCCTCATGCCCACTACCAGAGGTTTTTAAGTCATTCTCTGTAGCCTCCCAAAGGTCTAACTTAAGAGCTTGTCTCATGGGCCCTCATGGACTCAACTCATGGGCCAAGCCAAATATGTGGACTCCTGGCTTTCTTCCCCTGCTAAAATTAGAGCAGCTACCCTGTTATGTTTTTTTAATTCAAAAACCTACTGTGAAAGATGCTACATGCACATAGTGTTTGACAGATAGACAGATGATTGATGTGCTGGTTTTAAAGGGAGGAGGGAGGCATGAAGCCTGTTGGCACTGGTCGTCCCCGCCTCACCTTCATCTCTTCCACAGCACTCTCAAGCTCTTCTGGTGACTTGTACTCAAAATCCCGCTCCAAATATTCTTCCTCGGCCTGGGTCATCCATTCCTGCATCTCTGCCAAGTCTTTCTTCAGGTTCGCAGCTTTTTCTTGACTTTCAGACAACCTACTTTTTTGAGTAGCGATCTACAAAGGAAAAGCCATTCCCCCAAATAAACAAATGTTAATGTGTTCAATGTCAAGTTTTAGCTCTTAATATTTAAAGGCACAGTAATAACTTTCCACAACGAATTGCATGCTTTAAAATTCAGATAAAATCTCATACATCTCATGCTAACGCTGTGGAATATAAGCAGTAATGAAAATAATCTTAAGACTGGGATTCCACACCACATTTGGATAATACTCTTATCTCGAAATAGCTATTATAATTTTGACAATGCATAACTGTTGACTGTAATCCCAGATGTAGGAATCTAATCTATAACAGTAAAAGCACATATATGAAGTAAATTTAATGTAGCACTACTTATAATGGAAAAAAGAAAAAAGAAAGCAAAAACAAAAAATCTAGAAGCCAGTCAGTCTTGGTGGCTCACACCTGTAATCCCAGCACTTTGGGAGGCCACGGCAGGGGGATCACCTGAGGTCAGGAGTTTGAGATCAGCATGGCCAACATGGCAAAACCCCATCTCTACTAAAAATACAAAAACTAACCAGGCATGGTGGTGCATGCCTGTAGTCCCAGCTACTTGGGAGGTAGAGGCGGGAGAATTGCCTGAACCTGGGTGGCAGAGGTTGCAGTGAGCCGAGATCGCACCACTGCACTCTAACCCAGGGAACAGAGCGAGACTCTGTCTCAAAAAAAAAAAAAAAAAAAAAACCCCTAGAAGCAATCAAAATGTCCATTTTCTTCTTTTTAACTGCACTTCCCATTAAGATTTCACTTTTAAAAAGCAGGGAGGGAGAGGCTGCTATTAAAGATGTCATAAGACACCGCTCTATAAAATTTTGGTTTTGATGTCTACTATGTTTGTATATGCCACACAGACACAAAAAAGTTACAGTAAAAAATAGATAGTTGTCTGATTCTGATTCAGTAACTTAGTTAAAAATTTTGGAGAAGTCTAGAAATATTTTCAGAGCACTCCTCCCCATAACGACAAACTGACTTCTACTGTGAGAGAAGGCGCCGTTCTGCAGTCACAGTCCAACCTCTACTTGGCAGGTTCAGCCTCATGCTCAAATTAAACGCCACAGTAGTGGCCACCCTGCCAGGGCCTGCTTGGCTGCTAGGTGGATAGTAACCAAAGGCCAGCACAGGAGCTGGATGGTTCTCACAGAAGTTAGAGTTAAGCAAGAGACAGAGGCTTTCCCAGTCCCTCCCTCCAAACAGGATCTCCGGCATAAAAATAGACAGGACCAAACAAGAGCTTTTCTTCCACTGTCCCCACAGGGTAACCAAGGAGCTGATGCCAGCAACACTCACAATCCCATTCCCAAGCCTGGCTGATCATCAGGTTAACCTGGTCAGCTTTTCATAAAAATACATGCACACACACAGAAAGAGAAAGAGAGAGACAGAGATTCTTGGGCCCCATTTCCAGAAAATTCTCTGTATGTGTACTTCTTGAACACTAGTCAGCAATATAATTTTCACAGATCCAAAAAGAAATGAAGAAAATAAAGACACTACCATAAGCTTAACAACAACAAAACACCCTCAAAATTATCTTTAATTATCCTGAGAATATATACTTTCTATTTTTTGGCATTAAAATGTTCCTTTTTTTCAGGATATCATGAATATAATAGATGAAATAGACTATCTTTGTTTGTTGATTTGTTTTATATGCCTGTTCTTTTTAGCAAAATGAAAATTTGGCAAAATTATGTTTGTCCAAAACTACTTCAACATTTGTACTAGTCAATGCAATGCAATAGTCTGGAAATGCTCTAGATAATTATTCACACATGTGGTTACCTCCTTCCTGAGGACACTTTAAATTTCCCATATATTTATTCCTGTATTTTGAATCAGTAATTCACAATGAATTATTTGTCACCATATGTATGTGGATGGATGGATAGATAGATAGATAGATAGATAGATAGATAGATAGATAGAGATACAAACTTCTAATTATCACCTTCCTTGATCCTCATTGCCACTTCCAAACCATTTTCTATTTCCTCAAAAACCCCAGTTCCTTAAGGCACATGCCATCAGATTATAGCACATTGAGAAAAATTTGAATTTAGCTAGGATAAGAGATGAGAGTATAACATTATTAGTTTCTTAAGTGTGATCATAGTATTGTGGTTTTGCAGAAGAATGCCTTCATGCTTGGAAAATCATGCTAGAGTATTTAGGGGTGAAGTGTCATGATGTTTTCAACTTACTGTTCAAAAGTACCAAAAAAAAAGGGTGTGTGCGTGTGTGTGTGTGTGTGTGTGTGTGTGTATAAAGAGAAAGGCAGAGAGAGAGAAAGCAAATGTGGTAAAACATTAGCAAGTCTCTGAATGGATGGATATACAGCTGTTCCTTTTTATCATTCTTTAACTTTTCTTTACATTTGAACATGTTCAAAATAAGTTGGGTAAAACAATAAACACAAAGCAAAATATTCAGTTATGCAAATATAAATTTTTCTGATACAAACATTAGCCAAAAGCATTTTATTAAGAAATACGTACTATTTACGTGACTGTGGGGTAAGCCTATATTTCATATTGACTTCTATTTTTCACTGCTTTGTCACTCACTTCAGCTATATATAGCCTCACTATTATTCCACTAATAAAAATCAAAGCAATTGGGAAAGAATACCTCCCAGTTCTACTGTTCCCATATCATTTCCTCCCTTCCATTACCACGGAGAAACCATATCTCTAGCAACATCTTCACTTAGACGGTGGATCTCATCCTCGCATAATCACAGACTTCACTTGATAAATTCTCCTATCTCAATCTCTTTCTGCACCATCATTTTTTTTCTAAAGTGAGGTCCTCTTATTAATATCTCTCATTTAATATCTCTCATTATTAAAAATAACAAAACCACCTCTTTGGATTCCCATCACCAGCACCCACCCATTTCTCTGCTCCCCTGAAGACAGAAATTTCTCAAAGTTGGTTATGCTTGGTGTCCCAGCTCCTCAGTTCCCATACCCTCCTCGAACTATCCACTATGACTTTTTTCCCACCAGTTCATTGACCCTGCTTTCTCAAGGTTATTAAATGCCTCCTTCTTATCAAATTTAAAGCTCGATTTTCTGTTTTGATTGGCCCCTGCAATCCTCAGCATTAGGCCCTGTGAAAAGTTTTCTCCACCTAGCATTTGGGACCCCACATTCCCCGTTACTGATTTTTCCTCCTTAGCTTCTAGCATCAAATTTAACCCTTCCAGAATGGTAGTCATCATTTCACCTACACCCACAGAAGCTTCTCCTTCGTTATTGCAGTAAATGACACCACAATTCACACAAAGTGGAAGCTTTGTAAAAATCCTGAGTCATCCTTGACCATTCACTTTTTCTTCTATCACACATCCAATTCTTTCCTTAGGTCTCTTCTTTATTTTCAAACCTAATATTTCTCATGCCCTCCATCACTACTTCGTTAAGCCTCCCTAGTGTATGGGTCCATCCTCTCTCTCCAAGCCTGCAGTAACCTTATAAGAATTCTTTCTGTTTTCATTCCTGCCTTCCCAGAGCAAACTATTCACATGAAAACCAGAGAGAGGCCGAGTGCAATGGCCCATGCCTGTGATCTCCACGCTTTGGGAGGCTGAGGCAGGAGGATTGCTTGAGGTCAGCAGCATCTGACCAGACTGGCATCTGGTCTCAAACTGCTGACCTCAAGCCATCCTTTTGCCTCAGCCTCTAAGAACCCCATCTCTACAATTTTTGTTTTTTTTTTAAGACAGGATCTGGCTCTTTCGCCCAGGCTGGAGTGCAGTGGTGCAGTCTCAGCTCACTGCAACCTCCATCCCCTGGGCTCAAGCCATCCTCCCACCTCAGCCTCCTAAGTAGCTGGGACTATAGGCGCACACCACCATGCCCGGCTAATTTTTGTATTTTTTATAGAGATAAGGTTTTGCCATGTTGCCCAGGCTGGTCTCAAACTCCTGAGCTCAGGCAATCCACCCACCTCAGCCTCCCAAAGTACTGGGATTACAAGCATGCACCACTGCATCTGGCTCAAAAATATTTCTAAAATTATCTAGGCATAGTGGTGAACATCTATAGTTCCAGCTACCCAGGAGGCAGGAGGACTGCTTGAGCCCAGGAGTTCAAGGCTGCAGTAAGCTAGGATTGTGCCACTGCACTCCAGCCTGGGTGATACAACAAGATACTGTTGCTAAAAAAAAGGAAACAAAACAAAAAGCCAGAGTGACCTTAAAAGATCTATATCACATGTCACTTCCCTGTTCAAAACCTTCCAATTGCTTTCTGTGTAATATCATACTTGAAATAAATCCCAAGTCCTTTCCTCCAAGGCCATAGCTAATCCATCCTCTGCCTACCTCTAACCTCAAATATTCCCATTCTCCAACTCACTAACTCCTCTCTGTTTTATTCCAGCTACACTGCCTTCATTCTTTATTAAACAGACCAAGTTCATTCCCACCACAGAGTTTTAAAGCCTGCTATTCTCCACGCCTGAATGTTCTTATCTGAACCTTACAAGGCTCATCTCTTACTTTACTCAGTTCTTTATTCAAACATCCCCATCTCAGAAAGTCCTTCCCTGACCATCCTATTTGAAATAACCCACCTAGCCCTAACTCCTTGCTACTCCTCCATGATATTATTCATTATCCATCTGCCTCACTAGAATGTAAGCTCCTTAAGAGGAGTTTCTTCTTCCTTGTTCAATGCTGTACCTGCAGTGCCTAGAATGATGCTTGACAGGTGGCAACTGATTAAGAAATATTTGCTAAGTAAATAAATGGTCCCACTCAAATGTCTTAGGGGTAAAGCAAGTGTCATAAATGTGTTTCAAGCCAGATTTAAGACAAGAATGGATAAGCCCTGAGCCAAACTGGACAATCAGCACCCTCTCTTAATTTAAAAAATGATGCCTTTTTTTTTGGCCCCAGCTCACTACCCATGCTGGAGTTATTCTAGACCATCGTTTTTCAAACTGGATGGGTCATAATACATTTAGTCAGCTGAGAGAAGCTACAGTCTACATCTCCTGAAAACCGTAGGTAGTAAAGTTGAAAAACTCACCTCCTTGCTAAGTTTCTCCAGTTGAGTTTGGTAGTCACCTAGTCTTGTCTGCACCCAAGTTTTTATTCCAGCAACTGGACCACTTCGAAGATTAGTCTCTATTTCCTTCATGTTTTTCAGAGATGATTCAATTGTTTCTATTTCATTAACAAATGCCTAAACACATAAAAGATGCATGTTGAGTTCATTACTATATAAGTGGATGCCATAATTATAGTTTGTCTGCTTATCTCCCTGCAAATATTACACAAGCAGACTGCTTAAGAGTCAGTACTTCTAACTACTTAAGAAATATTGTGCCTTAAGAAACTCATTTCACCTGGGTGCTTGATATAGCCATCTGCCAAATTAGACTGGAAATACTTGACTCTCAGAAGGGAATAGCCTTTTAATTAATGTAGAGAAGCCTGATGATTTCACCAAATATAAACTGCATGCACTATTACTAGCAAATTCATTTCTTGTTTTTTGTTTTTTTAACACTTTAAGTTCTAGGGTACACGTGCACAACATGGAGTCATTGTATATTGCTTTTCTTGTGCCACATGGTGAGGATTTAAGAAAAACATACTTAAATGAATTTGATGAACAGACACTTCTCAAATTCATTTGTTAAATATGTTTTTCTTAAATCCTCACCATGTGGCACAAGAAATGCAATATACAATGACTCCTAATGAACCAAAATTGTTCTTGTTCTCTATTCTATAACCTCTCAAAATTCTATAACCACGTCCAGAAATAAAAACTTGAAGAATCTGTCATTCTTTTATTAGCTATAAAGTCATAAAAGCTTTATGATGAAAGATATTTTATCTAGATGTAATGCTATGCTATATTCTCACAATTTTAATAATAGCAGCAAATAACATAGAAAAAGAACAAAATGTTATTTATGACAAGTTCCCCAGATCAGCAGAACTCACAGAGCACTGGTCTAACTGCCTCTGTAGACCTGCGTCGTCTCCTTGGGCAGCCTGCTGTTTCATTAAGAAGTCTTTCACGCCATCCATCCACTTCTCAATGACTGTTGAATCGGCCTAATCGAACATGATAACAGAGGGGGATATTACTTCGTGACGTTCAGCCTACTACATCTCAAGATCTACCGCCACTGGAACAAAGGAACTTTTTAAAGCTCCGATAGCATCGCTTTCATTTATGTTATTTCTTTTTCTAAACCTTCCAAATTTGAAAATGATTATTTTCTTCATTCTTGACTAAAATCCTCAAGAGATGACAGGTTAGTAACCACTCTAAAAATTTCCAAACGCTAGCTCTTTTTGCTTAAATGCAAGCAATAGTTATGATTTAAAATGCAAATTACAGGGAAAAAATGCATTTCTAGGTTTTATCAGCTATAAAATATTTTGCTCTGATATAATTTAGAACAATTTTTCTCTAAAGTTAGTAACTCAGAGCAGGAATAAACAAATAGCACGGTAGAGGGAATACAATAGATGGTTCTCATTTCTGCTTTTGGATGCCTTTTTATCTGAGAACTCAAGACAGTCCCCGTTCAGCTCCAATATTTCATCCAACATTTATTAAGCACCTACTATATATATAAAATCCAGCTACTGTGTATGGCGATAGGGGTTCAAAGACAAATGTGAAAGCAAACATTTTGCAAAGAGAAAGAGACTTTAGAGAGAAGGTAACATTGGAACCAGGCCTTAAAGAATGCAAATAAGGGCCAGGTACGGTGGCTCACGCTTGTAATCCCAGCACTTTAGGAGGCCCAGGCTACGGATCACGAGGTCAAGAGATCAAGACCATCCTGGCCAACAAGGTGAAACCCCGTCTCTATTAAAAATACAAAAATTAGCTGGGGGCGTGGTGGGGCACCTGTAGTCCCAGCTACTCGGGGTGGCTTAGGCAGGAGAATAGCTTGAAACTGGGAAGCAGAGGTTGCAGTGAGCCAAGATGGCACCACTACACTCCAGCCTGGCGACAGAGCAAGACTCTGTCTCAAAAAAAAAAAAAAAATGCAAGTAAGTAGATGCAATTTTAGCTTTTGAGCTCCAATACCAAAATCATTGTCATTTCTTTCCATAGGTGGGCAACTGCCATGTTTTTCTCTGGTCTTCTACTGATTACATGTTCCCAATTCCTTCCATGATGTCTGTAGGACATGATATTTAGGTATTGCTCACTACTCTGATCAACACGCTCTGGAAACTACATCAATTTTTAATGTCCTTAAAATATGCCACCCAGAACCAACTATTCTGATCCTTATAATGTTTGAATTGATCACAAAGATCTAACTAGTTTATATAAGGTTATCAGAGATTATCTCAAATACTTTGGTGAAATCAAGACTTGCCAAGAATGTTCATTTGTGAGCATTATTTGAACTAAATGAGAGAGCATCTTCAAATGTGAGATGTTATCACTCTGTGTATCTAATAATCTAGGCTTCCTCCTCCAAAAAAAAAAAAAAAGAAAAGAAAGTAGTACTTAAAGGAAATGAGTCTGGGCAAGGCCTATTATTGGTATCCATGTTGATTCCTGGTGACCACGACATTCTTTCCTAAGCACATATAAGATCTCTAGTCGGTTATTTATCTTACAGTTTGGCTAGGAACTGACATCAAACTTACTTTATATCTTCTGCTTCTAAAAACTAATGTTTCCTCTTAATTAGGACATTCCTCCATCTCCATTTTTCTGGTAATTTCTCACAAGATTATGACGTAAATGACCCTGAGATCAAGGGTAAAAATCCCACTTGGGATGTAGATTTATGCATCTGGAGGAGCTCTGAGTGGTTTTGCTTGTGGTCCTAAGTTCAGGCTCTAAAGCACTCTCAGTAATGACTATTCTATACTTTGTAGTTTTGAAGGCCATTCTCTGATGAAGATGGCAAGTAAAAAGTGCTTATCTAGCTAGGTTTCTCTGTGTCTTCCATTAATATTATACCATCCTGTCTAAGCACTTCTGCATCTCGTTTATTCTTGGCACAGCTTTGAAAGCCTTTCAGTTCCATTGCACACTTTCCCCAAGCTGCTTCCTCCTCTCTTCTCCAGCCTGTCTGACACTATTCCCACAGGTCCATGCTACCCTTATATATTTTCAGTTGGTTACAGGTCACTTCTGTGTTTGCTCCAGCATTTCAAGGTCTTAGCATAGAAGGCTTCTTGGGAAGACATGCTCAGGACGGGTAGAGTGGGGCATCCAAAAAAGACAGAAGTGCAAAAAGAGAGAAAGTGTGAATACATTCACAGAGTTCATAAAATGACTTTAAAAATTCTCCGTTTAACTTGTCACCACAGATTCTTGCACTGCTAATCTCCATTCTGCACTTTTAAAGAATGCATTACTGCTGTATAACTGGGAAATTCATTAACTCTAGTTTGAATAAGGAAAACTGATAGTCTCCTCAGCCAAAATTTTCAAAATTTATATGGAAGCATTATATTTCAAGGAAGTTTTAACCACAATTGGCTTTGACTTGAGTAAGTGGCCTTAACTACTCCAGTCACTGGCATATGAGGAAGTTTTATGGCCTCAACAGCCTTCCCTCCTCCCTCCTTCCCACCCTCTCTCTAATACACGCAGACCCATCAGGGCACATGCAATTCACATGTATCTGTTCCTTCTCTCCCTCTGACATGAGAAAAAAAGAAAGAGAAAAGAAACAGATCCCTCTCCCTCTCCCTCTCCCCCTCCCCCTCCCTCGCCCCCTCCCCCTCCCTCTCCCCCTCCCTCTCCCCCTCCCTCGTCTCCCTCTCCCCTTTGCACGGTCTCCCTCTGATGCCGAGCCAAGGCTGGACTGTCCTGCCGCCATCTCGGCTCAATGCAACCTCCCTGCCTGATTCTCCTGCCTCAGCCTGCCGAGTGCCTGGGATCGCAGGTGCGCGCCGCCACGCCTGACTGGTTTTTGTATTTTTTGGTGGAGACGGGGTTTCGCCGTGTTGGCCGGGCTGGTCTCCAGTTCCTGACCGAGAGTGATCTGCCAGCCTCGGCCTCCCGAGGTACCGGGATTGCAGACGGAGTCTCACTCACTCAGTGCTCAATGTTGCCCAGGCTGGAGTGCAGTGGCGTGATCTCGGCTCGCTACAACCTCCACCTCCCAGCCGCCTGCTTTGGCCTCCCAAAGTGCCGAGATTGCAGCCTCTGCCCGGCCGCCACCCCGTCTAAGAAGTGAGGAGCGTCTCTGCCCGGCCGCCCAGTCTGGGAAGTGAGGAGCGCCTCTTCCCGGCCGTCATCCTGTCTAGGAAGTGAGGAGCATCTCTGCCTGGCCGCCCATCATCTGGGATGTGGGGAGCGTCTCTGCCCCGCCGCCCTATCTGGGATGTGAGGAGCGCCTCTGCCCGGCCGCGACCCCGTCTGGGAACTGAGGAGCCCCTCCGCCCAGCAGCCACCCCATCTGGTAAGTGAGGAGCCCCTCCGCCCGGCAGCCACCCCATCTGGGAAGTGAGGAGCGTCTCCGCCCGGCAGCCGCCCCGTCTGGGAGGTGGGGGGCGCCTCTGCCCGGCCACCCCATCTGGGAAGTGGGGAACCCCTCTGCCCGGCCGCCACCCCGTCTGGGAGGTGTACCCAACAGCTCATTGAGAACGGGCCATGATGACGATGGCAGTTTTGTGGAATAGAAGGGGGGGAAGTGTGGGGAAAAGAAGGAGAGATCGGATTGTTGCTGTGTTTGTGTGGAAGGAAGTGGACATAGGAGACTCCATTTTGTTCTGTACTAAGAAAAATTATTCTGCCTTGGGATGCTGTTGGTCTATAACCTTGCCCCCAACCCCGTGCTCTCTGGAACATGTGCTGTGTCCACTAAGGGTTAAATGGATTAAGGGCGGTGCAAGATGTGCTTTGTTAAACAGATGCTTGAAGGCAGCATGCTCGTTAAGAGTCATCACCACTCCCTAATCTCAAGTACCCAGGGACACAAACACTGCGGAAGGCGGCAGGGCCCTCTGCCTAGGAAAACCAGAGACCTTTGTTCACATGTTTATCTGCTGACCTTCCCTCCACTATTGTCCTATGACCCTGCCAAATCCCCCTCTCCGAGAAACACCCAAAAATGATCAATAAATACTAAAAAAAAAAAGGAAAGAAACAGACAGAGAAGCCATGTAGGCCAATGGATCATCCCAAAAGTGACAAAGGGAATAGAAGGGAACCTGTAAAGCCACACTATAATATTTTCACTACTAAAAATCCTGCATGTAATTCTAACCACACTGTGCTCTAAAAGAGACAGTGTGCCCATATAAAGAAATGCTGAGGTCTGACTACCAAGCTCAGCACCTGCCTAGCCATGGGGCCTTGAGAAACTAATTTTTCTTTGAGCCTTAATAACTCATTGTGAAACTGGAATCATAACAACTATCTTGTCTGGTTGTTCTGAAAAACAGAGACTCCCACATAGAAGAATGCACTAAATGGTAGCGATTATTATACTAAGATCTACAAAACCAACTGCTTTATTATGACCAAGATTGAGACCATAAAAGAGTTACCACATCCAAGTTTTGGTGTTTATGTCCCATCAGAGGCACCACAGGAATGAACAGCCAGGATGAGCATGTGTTTGCATAAGCATGGGTTTCACTTTTTTAATTGCTGCCAACATTAATGCTTGTTCTATCCTGTAACTGTTTCAAAGTAACTGTTTCAAATGGCTACTGCTTATATATCTGGCTAGACCTGGCCAAATACAGCTCATGGGAAGGAATTGGTACAGAAGGAAAGGCCCATCCTTTAGAAGTGCCTGGCAGCAGCAGATTCACTCGGCGTTTCCACCTCGTGGCACACCGCGCGGGAAGGGTTATCAAGTCCCAAAGATCAATGCTACCTACCACCTGTACCTGTATGGGTGAAGGCAGAAGACAGGGAGCTCTACTCTGCCTTCCACTCTCCCTATCTTATCTCCCCTTTCCCTGAGCAAAATATTGTCACAATCAACCTGTAGCAGATGTTTCCTGTGCTTTTCAAACATACCAAAAGTCTGCTCATCTTTAAGTCAATTCCACCACAACAAAGAGGTTGATTACAAAGATCGTCAAAGAGCTCACATGAAAATAGTGTTTCTCTGTCCATTTAAAAATTACTCAGCTGATGCACTTACAAGCTTCTAATCTACAATAATGACGATTTTTTTCTTCACCTCCATCTGCTTACAGAACACACGCATGCACACACACACACACACACACACATTTCTTTAAGGGACTTCAGTTCTTACAAACCAAAACGAAATATAAAAACTGTTAGTAAATTTCTAAAGCAAATGTCATTATTTCACATGCAAAAAAAAATAAACTAAGTACTAATCTGGGGCAGCCATTTCTCATACCTATTTTTACTCACAAATATTCAAATGAATATAAAATTACGAATACAGTATTTTTTGAAAATCAAAATATCAAATATTCTAGTATGGAAGGGTCAAAGTCTACATGGACCATCACTGCTCAAAAGCAATGATTTCTAAGCATTTCAGATGGGCAACAACCTGCTATGGGATCACGGACAAGGAACAGCAAGGTCATTAAAACAATTCCTCTGACCCTATCTCACCTCATTTCCCATCCCCCATCCTGTGACCTAAGGATGGAGGTAATTTAAAGCTTGGTAAATCTGGATTTAAGACAGTAAGATTGCAAGGTACACAACTACCTCTGGAGACTTGATTACAGCTAAATTCTTGGCATTTTCTTTTGCTCCTCCCCCATCTGTCGGAATGTCCACAGCTTTTTAAGACATAGACCAGAAAAAAAAAAAAATAGTGTGAAGCCAGAATTAAAACAGTAATTTAAGGCAGCCAGGTTCCTATTTTGTTTCACTTTATAATACTCAATAACCTCAAAAACACAACCTTGAAAATGTGCTCTCTCACTTAGTAGGGAAGACAAACAATGACACTGCTACTACACTTATTAAAAACTAATAAGGTTCTTAAATCTAAGGAAGGGAATATATGAATATTCCCTTCAGTAAAGTAAAATGTGTTCACAAATGAGAAAAAAAACTCAAACCCTTATGAGATAATTATATCAATTATATGTTACCTAAGAAGGGTTAAATCATCCGTACTAATATTACTCTTAGAAAGTATTGCATTTTTACCCTAAAATGCTTTCCAAAGTACTCTCAAAACCTGGTTCTGCCTGTTGGAGCTCCAGCACGCCCCCCTCCAGATTCCGGGTCAGAGCAAGTCCATTCATGTGTGCCTTTGACTGTTCAACAGTTGAAGGAAGAGGCATGACTACACAGGTGTCCTGCCACTTAGGATAACCAGGCTTTAGACTGTATAAATCCACTCTCACTAGAGAGGCCGGACACATCAATTACATTCACATCTGCTAACTTGCTCTATGCCTGACAGGGATCCAACCCTCAAAGAGCTCATGCCTCGTGGGAAGAGAGACACACATTTCTCACCATAATAAAAGACGGCCTGAGATGGGTCATTGTGAAGGTGTAAATGACACACAGTCGAATCACAGAGGAGGGAACGATTATCTAGCTATGGGTGTAGTGATGAGCTGGGCTGAAGACAGATGAGCAGACAGGAGGAGGAGGGATGTGAATTCCTAGCAAGTACATGACATTTTCAGAGAAAGGCAATAGTCTAGGATGGTCTTTGGTGACCCACCGTATTCTCCCCACCTGACTCAGCTCACAGTGGAGATGCAGGGAGGGCTTCAGGGCAAGAAAGGGACATTTTGTATTAATGGCACTTGGTATTAATTTGTATTAATGGTGAAGACAACCAGATCCTTTCAGAAGTACAACTCTGGTATTGGTGTGAAAGATGAATTCCAGAGAGAAGAGACAGGAAGTGGGAATCAGATTTAAAGGGTAATGAAATTTTCAGGGAAAGAGATTGCATGAGAGCCTGAACCCAGAAGGAAGGGCCTGGAGGAGGAGCCTGAAAAGGCAGGAGCGCTGGAAAATAGAAGACAGTTTTGTGTGTGCCTTGGGGACATCTTTCATTTCCCAGTTATACATAGGGCAGGAGCTCTTGAATAAGGAAAAGGAAGTACGTAATATGAAATACTTTGCAGCCCCTAAATCCAAAGATATTACTACTGGTGAGGAGAGATATATAAGCAGCCTCTTAGGATTTTATAATATGTTATCCCCATGATTCACATGAAAATCCAGTCAGTAAAATCAATAATGGAAAAAAGAAATACCCATTTCATGTATTTTCAAATGTTTTGTCACCTGGAAGGGGTATAGTAGTTTGTAAAAAGTAACAATGAATATTTTACCTCGTAAGTACAGGAATGGAGGTTATTGCTTTGGCATGGCACAAATAAAAAGAACTTAAGAATGTATTTGGGCATAACACAATGAATAAAAATATGTAGGTCCAATCTCAACATGCACAAAAGGAACCAGCTATGGAGACAAAGGAAATGCAGGCAAATGAGGAAAAACACTGCAATGCCAACAAATAACAGAAAACTGAAATTCGCACACAACTAACAGCCTCTTACAAATATTGAAGGATAGCAGAAAAAAGCAAGCACATGGCCATGAAAACACTTTCAAAGTTTAAATGTGCTGTATCAATGAAAGATGTTATTAAGTAGTGGGATTCACTTCCAAACTCTATCTGGACTATGGATTTAAATGTCCTTCACAGAGTTCCAATATCATTTCTTTCCACAGTGTGGGGGAAAATGATTGGAATTAGCAATATTTGTCAATTGTTCTTGTCTAACTTGTATGTACAAGGATCCACTGTTAATATTAGCTGCCCCCAGGAAAGAAAATGGTATTGGGGAAGAAAAGGAACTCTAAATGTTCACTGTAAGTATTTCTGTGGTATTCAATTTCTTCACAATGTGTAGGCTTCAAGTACTACTCATGTAATGAAAAATGCATTTTAAAAATAAACGAGTTAACTATTTTGTTCCTACAAAACATTATTATGAATTGGCATTGAATCTAAAACCTACTGTGCTTCATGCCTTAAAGACAAAAATAATTAAATGCCTAAAAAATCATATATCAGGTCATTGAAAAAGGGAAAACAATGATAATCTGCAAATAAATATTTATTATAATTATCTAATAATTTGAGGGTGTGGAATTTAAAGTTTTCCCAAGTAAATCATGAGTAGTTAAGTAACCAGCAATTCCTACAAAGCAAAAAAAAGGAGTTTTCTTTTGAATTTAAGATAAAACATGTATTTCAATGAAGAAGTTATACAATTAAGAAATATAGACACTGTATTCCTTAACCACAATCTTGCAGTTAGTACACAAGAAGCAAATAAAAAAAGTACTGGACATTACAAATCTGCTACTGTAACAACAAACACTTACATATCCAGACACACACCCTTGATGTTGGATATTTTTAATGGAAATAAATATTTCCAAGTGACCACTTTTAGTGCCTGGATTTGCTACATTAATAGCAACAACCCACCAAAGCTTAAAGCTGGATTACTATAACCACAGGACTCTTTTGTATTTTGGGAGAATATTTATTCTCTTTAAGCTCCATATTGAAATAGTAGCATACATTTAGCTAACCCTAAGATATACTTTTAAGAGTCAAAAGAAGACTAACTCTGAGGTTAATCTCCATTTATACTTTGGACTTAAATCTGAAAACAAAGGGATGATCTTTTGAAAAGATGGGGAATGTTTCATCTGGCATTGCTAAACTTTGGCACTAGTGACATTTGGAGCCAGATGATTATTTTGTTGTGAGGCTGTCCTGTACATGGTGGGATGTTTAGCTGCATCCCTGGCCTCTACCCACTGGAAGTCTTCTCCCACAGTTCTGACAACAGAAATGTTTCCAGAAATTAACAAGTATCCTCTGGAGGGTAAAATCACCCCGGTTGAGAATCACTGATAATACAATGCTGGGACCATAACCAAAAACTTTAGAATTATAGAAAAGGCCAATGCTCATTTTGAAAGCCGGGAACAATTGCAACTCATAATACACAACGAGAAGTGGGACCATCGCAAAGTAAAATGGGCCAGGCATGGTGGCTCATGTCTGTAATCCTAGCATTTTGGGAGGCCGAGGAGGGTGGATCACCTGAGGTCAGGAGTTTGAGACCAGCCTGGCCAACATGGTAAAACCTCATCTCTACTAAAAATAAAACCTTAGCCGGGCATAGTGGCATGTGCCTGTAGTCCCAGTTAATCAGGAGGCTGAGGCAGGAGAACTGCTTGAACCCGGGAGGCTGAAGTTGCAGTAAGCCAAGATTGCACCATGGCACTCCAGCCTGGGGCAACAGAGCAAGACTCCATCTCAAAAAAAAAAAAGTAAATGAGTCAAAAACACTAAGCCACACAAAACACATTTCTCTCCATAATTACTGGTTTATTTGAATGAGATCTCCATCTAGAACTGCACTTACACCTAGAGAAAAACTACCTCCTGTCACTACCATCACACACAGCTACCCACACACACACACAACCCCTCCATCTGTATCTTCTGCTGATCATTCATTGGAACTACCCATTAGTTCCTGAGTCAAAGAACGCCCCTCCAAATTCAGTGGTCCACTCAGAGAATCTGGCTGGATCCCTTCCACACTAATCTGTGAGGTCTTCCAGCTCCTCTTCTACCACGTGTTCTCTGACTTTGATTTTCAAAACATACATTTTCATTAATTTTTGTCTTCGCTTTCAATCTTTTCACTTTTTGGGGGCAATATTCCTTATGCAAATTTGCTTAGCATCTAAATCCAAATCTATATATATTTAGATCTAGATCCAAATATATGTAGATATAATATTTAGATGTAGATCCAAATATATGTAGATATATATATTGTATCTACATATATTTGGATCTACATCTAAATATATATAGATTCGGATTTAGATTCTCTCTATATAAATAAAGATGTATATGCATATATACAGAGACATCTCCCTATATATATAGATATATATCTACACATATTTGGATTTAGCTTCCAAGAGAATCTATCTATCTATATATATAGATAGATAGATATACAGAGATATATCCAAATCTAAATCTCCTATTGCTAATTTCATTTCATTCGTTGAAAAATATTGATTGGATGCCTTCTCTGTGCCAGGCATTGCTCTAGTTATGAGTACATCTTGGCATACATCGGTGAATAAGAAATTTAAAAAAGACAAAGATCCCTGACTGATGGGGAAAAAAAAAAAAAAAGACCAAGGTAAGGAGTCACTGGAGGATAGGAAGCCTTGCAGGGAGAGAGTGTGATTGGTTCATTCTCCACCCAGAACTTTCCTATTAAAATACCAGGTGACCTGGAAACTCTGCTTCTCCATCTTTCTCACAGGCAGAATGTTAAAATCTGACACTGACTTCTATTGACATTGACTCTCTCCTTATACATCCTCACATTTATCCTTTCCTCTTAAACTTTATCACTGCTGCATCTGTCAACATTTTCAGGTGTAGTGAAGGATCCTGTTTCTGAATTTTCATGTCCCTGGAACGATTTGCCTTCCCACTCTGACACTGTCAATGGCCTATCTCTGACTTTTGACTTCAAATGTCAAAAACCTGCAAAAAGTAGTTTCATGTATTCAGCAATTTACTACTACCTGGGCTATTTCTACCACCCCAACCAAGTTACTACTATAATCTAATCAACAGTCTGTATTTCACACAGGCCCTCCATGCCTGAAACATTATTTTGACCATTTTTAAGCAATTTTCTCTTATCTTCAAGGTCCAGTTTACTCTACTTTTGACTTTGCTTCCAGGCAAAAGGAAATAAATGTGCTCTCTAGCACATTAAAAGTACATCTTTGATAAGTCCCAACTTAAATACATAATAAATGGGGATCTAGAAAGAATGTAAAATATTTAAATAATAAATACGTGAATCTTATAAGATAATTACTATTTACCCCGTAATAAACTTAAACTCCCAGTGGCCTCTGGATTTACCTCAAAAGCTCTGAGTGTGAGAGCAATTTCCTCAAGCAAATGTAGATCTTTGGAAACCAAGACCTTTAGCTTGTTCCACTTTCCTTGCACATCATCAAATTCTTGCTTATATAATTTTTCTACATCAGGATGAACATTTTTCTCCAGAGCCTTTGTTTCTTCTGCAAGTTTATGTAATGCAGGTTTCTGATTCTCAAGGATTTCATCAAGGGTCTGGAAAAAGTTTTAAAAGATTAAAAATATGCACAAAAATGTGTCTGCACAGATATAGTAAAATGGGCTATATAAAGTCAAAAGTCACTTTAAAATGCATTAGAAAGCATTTTTATCTAAAAAGAACAGTGGGTGGGAGTGTGAATTAGTTCAACCACTGTGGAAGACAGTGTGGTGATTCCTCAAAGACCTAAAACCAGAAATGCCATTTGACCCAGCAATCTCACTGGGTATATACCCAAAGGAATACAAATCATTCTGTTATAAAGATATATGCACACTATGTTCATTGCAGCACAATTCACAATAGCAAGGACAAGGAATCAACCCAAATGCCCATCAATGATAGACTACTTAAAGAAAATGTGGTACATATCAACCATGGAATACTATGCAGCCATAAAAAGGAACAAGATCATGTCCTTTGCAGGTATATGGATGGAGCTGGAAGCCATTATCCTCGGCAAACTAATTCAGAAACAACAAAAAAAAATACCGCATATTCTCACTTATAAGTGGGAGCTGAATAATGAGAACATACGGACACATGGTGGGGAAAAACACACACTGGGGTCTGTTGGAGGGTGGGGCATGGTGGGAGGGAAAGCATCAGGAAGAAGAGCTAATGGATGCTGGGCTTAATACGTAGTGCAGCAAACTACCATGACACACGTTTACCCATTTAACAAACCTGCACATCCTGCACAAGTACCCCTGAACTTAAAATAAAAGTTGGAAATCAAAAAACAAAACAAAACAAAACATGAAAAACTCATGAAAAAAATAGGCATAATCATAAAAATTAAAGCTTTTTCTTCATGAGTTGTGTGTGGGCAATACAGTGTATTCTCAACCCTAAAAACCAAGGGAACAGCAAACCCAGTGTGGGCCAAGTGTGCAGTGCTCAATGGCTGCTCTCCTTTTCATCTAATAGCACAGAGCCATAAGGCTACTCAACTAAATGACCTCGGAAACATTCCTATTCGATGCAGAAAAAAGTATACATCAACACGTCAACTGATAGTCCTCATTTCATAAAGATATTTTAGCAGATTTTATGAACAGGTTGAGAATTTTAAGCTAATCACAGCAGAAGGAGAAAATATGCTTTTCTTCTATGAAAAAATTTTTAATAACTGTACTTTCTTTTATGTGAGGTCAAACTAACCCTCAAATCATAAACACATTTTTGCACCAATGATGAACAAAACTGACCAACTTTTTTTTTAATCTCTGAAAAAACATTTCAAAATATGTAAGAGGAGATATTAGAAGAAGCGCTAGAGTTCTAACATGGAAGATATATGTTACCTTTTTTTCTTGCAGGGCCTTCTCCACCTTGGCAAGATCATTAAGGACATTCAGAGACACCTGGGCCTTATTTTCTGAATCATTTAGCACATCTTTCAGTGTTTTCAATGTTTCCAGATATGCATGTCCAGGTTGGCCCTTCAGTTCTGTTTATTTAAAAATATTTAGTTTGAAAAAATCATATTAGGAACCAATATTATTACATAGACCATTATCCTAAATGAATTCCAATACATGGCAAAGGAGACCCCATGATTAAAATGTAAAAGGGTCTCTGTTAATTAACAACATAGATCATTCCATTGGCATTTCTGAGAGTCAGACAGTGACTTCATTCCTGCGGATGTTGACGTTTGAAATATTAACTAACCCACTATAATTTTTCTTCATTTCTTCATGATGAAATGTCTCTCTGAAGATGGAACAACAATGTCCCTTTTGTTCCATATAATCTCCTCTTCCTTAACAGCTACACAAAGAATAAAAGAAAACAAAGATCCCTTCAACCAGTCTTGCTGTAAGCTCCACCGTGTAGACAAACCCAGGTCCAGAGTGGAGGAGATTATATGGAAATACTGCCACCATGCTGCCCAGGTACCCTGAGAAATAATGACTGAACAGCCAGCTGGAACAGTGTCTACCTCAGTCACTAATGTAAAAATATCACAGAAGTAACACTTGCGTGGAAAGGAAGTGAGTTCTCTTGAAGCACAAAGAGGTGAAACCAACTAGCAGCAAAAGTTAAACTGCCTACTGATCCTTGTCAAAAGTGAAAGCACAGCTTGTACCAATAAGTGGAGAAAGAGGTACCCTCAAAGACATATTTCACATAACTGAATTCAAGGAACAAAGACATGCTGTCCAGATGCACTTTCAGAAGAAAGGCAATACGACACATTTGCCTAGCATGCACACATACAGACACTTCCAGTCATCACACAATCTACAATTGCTGAAGTTAGGCTGGGTTACATGTGGAGCATTTCACACAATGCTCAATGCATTTCACAAAATAATGCACAATGCAACACAGTTCCTAACTCAAATGGCAGCTAGGAAGTAAATAGTGTAACGTAGGAGGGATGAGCTTTCAAAATCTTTAACAGTGAACCTTCCAAAACCAAGTGTATTCCAAAAGTAAGAACTCTAAAATTTTTCTGAATCTGACAGTGGAATATGATTTCTTTTAAAAGACAGTATGAGACTGCCAAAACTTTAACTATTTTGAGGAAACAGAAGTAAGGGATCATTCATTTTGATCCTCCTAGCAATGATATTAAGTGGCCTCCTCAACCAAAGGAAGAAATTGCACCTGTTTCTCAAAAAAAAAAAAAAAAAAAATCTTTAAAAATCATTATATCCAGGTCAGGTACAATGGCTGACACCTGTTATCCCTGGTATTTTGGGAGGCTAACATCTGTTATTTTGCCTAACACCTGTTATTTTGGGAGGCTGTTATATCACCTGTTATAATGGCTTACACCTGTTATTTTGGGAGGCTGAGGTGGGAAGATCACTTGAGCCCAGGAGTTCTAGACCAGCGTGGGCAACATAGCTAGACCCTGGCTCTACTAAAAATAAAAAACCAGCCAGGCATGGTGGTGCATGCCTGTAGTCCCAGCTACTCAGTAGGCTGAGGCAGAAGGACCACTGAAACCCAGGAGGTCAAGACTGCAGCTATGATTGCACCACTGCTCTCCAGCCTGGGTGACAGAGTGAGATCCTGTAGCTACAAAAAAAAAAATTATTATTATATCCTACTGACACAATTTTAGAGAATGTGAAACTTGCTTGTATGTTTACAAAAAGGTGTGAATCTGGAAAAGAATCTGAATACAGAAGACTTTAAGACTTTGAACAATACAGGCACAAAGGAAAATGGAGAAGGTTGGTGCAAAGCAAGCAAGTGTACTCAAGTTCTAAATGTTGGGAGTCATGTTTACATTAAGGCAAACTGAGACAGGAGATTTTAAAATTGTTGGGTTTACCATTCTCTAGATGTTGTTGACGATCCTCTACAGCCTCTTGTACAGCTTGGTAGCGGCCCAGAAAGCTATCGAAGCCCCGCTGGACAAAATCTGGGGCAGAAGGCTGAGACATCAGGGCCGAGCAGCTTGCACGAGCCATTTCAATTTTGGGGTGAAGGCCAAGAAGATTTGTCAATTCCCGCTAAGGAAGAGAAAATACGGTCACACAACTCACTGAAGATGAACATCCTCACAGGAAGTTAATCAGGGCAGCATTAACTTAAAGTTCATGATACGAGAAGCCCTCCTTAACTCTGGAACTGCACATAGAATTCCTCCACTTTCCAGACCGTTGGCTCCTTACCTGACAGGAATCCTTCAAGCTTGGCAAGGACTGCCGGGAAGATTCAGAAATGGAAGTGTGTTTTACCCACTCCTCCTTTGTCTTGATGACCTTTTCAAGCTCATCAAGCTGCTTGAAATAAGCATTTATATCTTCCTGTAGCTGAATCTTTCTTTCTAGATCTTCCAAATGTTGAGATACATTCTTCCATTCTGATGAAACCTTCTCCAGAACATTTTTTATTTCTTCAGTAGGAAGGCCTTCTATGCAGACATGAAAAACAAGCAAACAGTCTATATATTACAAAATGTGTCTTGAATTTATTCTGAACATTCTAACACTCAGAATAGTGAGGCAATGTCACACATAATGATCACTTTCTTAAGTCCCTTTTAATACAACAACAAAAATTTATAATGATGCACTTAAAAATAATGATGTTTATTTCAATTCCTTGAACAAAGAAGAAAGACATTTTAAAATAACGATTCAGGCACATCAGTAGAACTTCAGCCACTGCCTTTTCTAGATAATATATGTTTCCATCCATGCCATGCTTCTACTCTGCTAGTTTATCACCTGAACCAGTGAAATAAGATCAACTACCTTGATCTGTCTAGGCCCGACTTCAGAAAGAAGACCCTTTGTCCTAAGAAAAAAAGAAAGCTGGCTAGAAAAACTAGGAGGCAGCTCAGGTCTTGGTGACCAAAGCACAGTGTCATATAAATTAAAAAATGAATGGCGAGGATGCCTTATGCTGGGAAGCAACCTGGTGAGTGCAGGAATATTAAGCCAGCAGCCAGGCTCTAGAAGCATCAGCAAGCCCACTGGAGACCTTGCACATAAATAAGCAAATACCAAAAGACTGAGGCAGCAATAAGATGATCTACTTTAGAAACACATCAGGGAAAACAATGCCACCATTTTTATTACTGAAATCTTATCATTTTATTTGTCCGATATTTTTGAAAAGTAGAGAATGTTCCTAAAAATAATAAAGTCATATATAATAATAGGTTTTATCATAGTCCTTCCCTTAATCTAAAATACCTTCAAATCCTCTAAAATGACTATGAAAAAGTATGGGAAATCTTCAAAGGAATCTTTCTATTCGGAGGAAAACATGCATACCAAAAGGATGGCTTCACATTTTTATTGAGTAGGAAAGCAATAAAACAATCCTGCTTTATAAACATATATGATCAAAATCCAGGATAATGAGAGCTTGAACTAAAAAACAAAGGCATAAAAACAAAAAGTCATGTATGATCCACAGACAATGCAACTTTGAAAATTTTTATAATACACTGTGTCTACTGAAAATCATAAATGAGGGCATATCATGCTGTCATTTGAATGTGTCACCTATGTCAATTGCAGAAGTTCACTGTTCACCACCATCTCTCAGGTAAGAGAATATGAGACATAAGCAAAGCATTCACACCACAAGCCATGCTGCATTACCCCTGTTAATGGGGAGAGTATACAAAACAAATCACCATTTTCCTAACAATATGAACAATGGAGATATGGGTCATGCCCCTGCCCCATCATTTCTATTCTAGGCAGGCAAAGGAATAGTAACACCAGCCACATCATCTTTATGTTGGACAATTCATACTAATCAAGGAAGAAAATTAAGTAGGTAAATAAAATTTCTGAGATGGAAAATTACCACTACTCATCTAGAAAACTGGAAAGAGGTGCTCACTTCAAGAACAAGGGCGGTTAAAACAACTTCAGTTATTTTTTCACTGACAATGTCTTACAAGCCATTCATTTTGCCTCTTTAAACCAATTTTAAACATCTGAATCTCCCTTTCTCTAATCCTGAGATATTGCTGGTTACAGTGATGCCCGGTAATGATTCAAACACAATTTACATCTTATAAAAGGAAAACTGCACATTGTCTTTAAAAATAGTTGTTTTACTCCCAGAGATCCAGAGTTTAAAATTTTCTATTTCTATAAAACACAGAGTTCTTAGAAGGTGACTAGTCAAAAGGCAAAATCAACAGAAGATCACTTTATTAATTGTCTAAAAGGGAGAACATAGAACACATTCCTGCCACTCAGTCTCACTTGACTTTACACTTCTCAGTCTATCACTATTGGAATCAAGGGAAACGTTTACAAAACATAGGACCTTCACCAAACTTCCTGGGCTTATATGCTTAGGCAACCACAATGGGCATTGATTCATAAAGCCACATTATCCAGATGCCCAACTACTCTACTGTATTTTACTAGATGAAGAGCTCTAGGAACAAGATAAGCTAAACGAAGAAAACCAAGTATATCAGCTATGAAAGTCAAATGAAACACACTATTTTATTTATTATTATTATTATTATTATTATTATTATTATTATTATTATTTTGAGACAGAGTCTTGCTCTGTCACCAGGCTGGAGTGTAGTGGTGCAATCTCAGCTCACTGCAACCTCCGACTCCCTGGTTCAAGCGATTCTCCTGCCTCAGCCTCCTGAGTAACTGAGATTACAGGCATGTGCCACCATGCCCAGCTAATTTTTGTATTTTTAGTAGAGACGAGGTTTCACCATGTTGCCCAGGATGGTGTTGATCTCCTGACCTCGTGACCCACCCACCTCGGCCTCCCAAAGTTCTGGGATTACAGGTGTGAGCCACTGCGCCCAGCCTCACGCTATTTTATTTTCTAAAATTGTTTCTATGCTCTATGAGATACCTCAAAACTTATGTAAAATGCATTAGGCAGGAAAGACCTATCAGAATTGGCTATGGTGGGCTTTTTGATGGAACTGGTTTCAGAAAAACAGTGACGTGATTATTCAAATATGGGTTTTACTGAAGAATTTGACATGCCTCCCTAACTGAACTGGAACACACAGACTTTATCCAGTTCAGCTCCCCCATTTCTCAGCTTCCCACTGTTGTCCTAAAAAAAATTTTTTAATAGATGCATCTTTAAAACAAAAAAGAATTAGGGTCCTCTAATGAATGCATTTCTAATTCCACCAATGCTTGAAAAAACATGATAATACAAACTATAAAAGGTTTCCTATGAAATTGGGCAAGTATACATTAGGTGACAAAAGCCCCATGTCAACTATTCTCCAGTGTTGCCTTTGGCCTTTTGCAAGTAGCACTTTCATGTGAACTCAATGTCCAGAATGTGTCTATTTAGGACCCATTTATGGTAGAATTTTATGGACCAAAGCCTATAGTCAGCTAATAAACTAATAGTCACCTGATAAACTAACAGCTAAGAGTCAGCTAATAAACTCCCTCATTTTCCAGACACCAAGGCAAAGAAACAAGGGTTCCAAGACTTTCCCAAGGATAAGAAACTAGAAAAGGACAGGAGAATCCAAGTTTGCCCATTCCCCCAATCACTGTTATTCTCACTATAACATCACCTCGCACCAACTTCTCATCTACATCAAGTCTCCCCCATCTTCATAATTCTGCCACACTGCTGAAAACCTGACAGAAATGGGAGTAAATTCAGTACACAGATTCAAGAAATTATCCCATATTCACATCAGATAAAGTCAGAGTCACCAGGTACAATGCTGAGGTAGAAGTAAAAAATCTATGCTTGTAAAGGAAATAAATTCAACATCCAATGCATTATAATTATTGAATGAATCTCAAGGGAAGTTATCATCTGTTTGTGTCTCTGGATCTCTTCAAGTAAATACTGGAAAGAGTAACCTCCAAGTGGGATGCCCACAGGAAGGACAACTAAGACAATCTGCTAGAATGGATTTTGAAAGAAAATATTAAATACTATTCTATTTAATTTATTTAAAGAAAGAAATTAACATTTATTAATAATAAATGGATTGATAATACATTTGCATAATTTCAAAATAAATGGACATACACTGTCCACATGGTATACATTCCATATTTTGTGTGTATGTGTATATATCTATATATGTTTGTGTGTGTATATATGTTTCTGTGTGTTTGTGTGTGTGTGTGTATACACATATCCAGTATACATACTAAATAAATAAACATATTTGTTAAAGGCTGGAGGCAAAATAATCTAAGGTCAAAACAACATGAACAGTTGTTTTCTGGAGGGAGGAAGGTGACTAACCCAAAAGAGAAATTTCTGGAAAGATGGAAATTTTCTACAGTGATGTGTGTGTGTAGGTTACACAGGTATATCTATTTGTCAAAACAGCACAGCTAAGTCATGTATTTCAATGTAAGTAAATTTTACTTCCAAGAAAACTGTAAAAATAGTAATAATTGAGAGGCTGAGGAACGAGTAAAGGTATAGATAATTCAAGAATGGCAGAATATTGTCAATTACTAAACTAGGTAACTGATACAAGGAAGTTCATTATAGTATTCTATTTGCTTTTATACAGTTATATTTTCCATAACAAAAAGTCAAACAATAAAAAATTAAATGCTACTGCTTTTAAGATTCTTGTCAAACTAATATTCCTAATTCTGTATAGGTATCTGTACAGGTGTCAAGGAGAGCTACAGCAGCCTTCCAAAGTGCTTACCATTATTAGACCAACGTACATGGAGTGCAAGAAATGTCTTTCAACATTTCTCTAGAACAAAGAGAGATTCATATGCAAAACTGCACATCAAGAATATTAATCTTTAGCTTATTCTGAGTCACTGGGAGCTACAGCAAAAAAAAAAGTCTTGGGAGCATTTAAAAATTTCATATATAAGTAACACCTTATCAAACTTAACTATAAAAATACTGTAGTAAATAAATATAATGCATTAAAAGTTATCAAAAATCAAATACCCTTAATGAATTTAACGTAACTTCGTTTCCCAAATGTTGCCAAGTAAAGTTTTCTTTTGCTACCACCCTGCAAACAAATTCCCAATATATAAACCCAAAGGATACAGTTTTAAAATATACTATGCTAGTGGGTTTTAACTGTTCTGCTAATCAGGGTATCCAGCCCCGACCCCATATAAAATCAGAACAACTTTGCTTTTATCTGCTTTTTTACAATCAGCTTCAGAATAAAATTTCATTTTTAAAGATTCTGCTGCCTAAAAACATTTTTGAAAACCATTTATCTAGCCAAAAGAGGATTCGAGTATTAAAGCAAAATATTTAATAGGGCAAACTGTAATATTATTCGATGCCACCATCTGAAAAATATAGGGGAAAAAAATCAAGGATCTTACCTTTTCCCATTTGCTCCACAAGGATTTGTCCAGTTTGGTTTAATTCATCTGCTCTGGGGATTCTTTCTCTCTGTTCTTTTTCTAATGCCTGCAAATGAAGTCCCAACATAAGAATATTGCAAACTTTCTTCTCAATATAATGTTGCTGTTTTAAATGTTTAAGTTGAATGGCCCTCCTACATTCTTTTTAAATCTGAAAAGGTAAATTCAAACGTAATCATAGCAACTAAAAAGCATTGGTTTCTTTTGTAAGAAAAAAAATGTACCTCATAATTATAAGCTCCTATTAGAAGGAAATAATTAAAATTATGTTTTAGATCCAGGATATCTATTCACATACATACCCTGAGTACGCCATGCCATAAAAATAATGGTTTGAGTCAAAAGAATTGAATGTGTTATGACAGAAGTTGTTGAACAAAAATTAACTAACAAGAAAAAAGGATAGGCTGGGCATGGTGGCTCACACCTGTAATCCCAACACTTTGGAAGGCTGAGGGGGGTGGATCACTAGAGGTCAGGAGTTTGAGACCAGTCTGGCCAACATGGTGAAACCCCAACTCTACTAAAAATACAAAAATTAGCCAAGCGTGGTGGCGTGTGCCTATAATCCCAGCTGCTCAGGAGGCTTAGGCATGAGAATTGCTTGAACCCGGGAGGCAGAGGTTGCAGGGAGCCGAGATTGCACCACTGCACTCCAGCCTGGGCAACAGAGCAAAACTCCCATCTCAAAAGAAAGAAAACAGAAAAAATGGATAGAAATATTTTGAGGCTCAGTATTATTTGTTTGGGTTATATTAAGTCTAGGGTTCAATGCAAACTTCAAGCACAATCATATTTCATACATAATTTTTAAATAATGAAAATAGTAAATATGCTTTAGAACCCAAACCAAAGCATTTTGTTCCTTTTTTTTTTTTTTTTCTTTGAGGCAGGTTGTCACTCTGTCACCCAGGCTGGGGTGCAGTGGCACAATCATGGCTCACTGCAGCCTCAACCTCCTGGGCTCAAAGGATCCTCCTATCTCAGCCTCCCGAGTAGTTGGAGTTACAAGTGCAAGCTCACGCCCCACAAATTTTTTTTTTTTTTTACTTTTTGTAGAGACGGGGGTCTCCCTATGGTGCCCAGGCTGGTCTCAAACTCCTGGGCTCAAGCAATCCTCCTGCCTTGTGCTGGAATTATAAGCGTGAGCCATGGCAAGCCCAACCCACATTTTGTTCTTTATGTTGAGGAATGGCTCCTAATTTCATTATTTTTTTTATCTCTATAGTTTGATACTCCCAAGACAAAATTCTTTCCAGAACTAGTAAGAATGAAGCAAGTAAAATCATGTATACACACAAAAACACAACTATATGTGCACACAACTCGGTATTTGAATTTTCTCTCATTCCTCCATCCCCAACTGATATTTATATATTATTCATATTTATATACTATTCAAATAGTATCCATCATAACACAATCACAACTTCTGAGCAACCCATATTACTTCAACCAGACAATCCAGAGAAGAATCCCAATTCTAAATTGTTTACATGTAAGTGCTATCAAATAAATTCAGCTATCCTACTTTGATTTTCACAAAGTTTACTGTGACTAGGTAGAACAACCTTCTTATAGTCAAAGATCAAGGAATATTAGTAAGAGACTCTAAGAAACACCGTTTATTTTGTCTAACTAAAGATCAATGTAAAAGTCACCATCGAACTGGAGAAAAAGGCAATTATCTACTTTTTACAAGTTGATTTTTTGCTACCTCTTAAGATGGCAGGAGACTAGACTATAGATTCTCTACCCAGGTGCCCAAATAGTTAATGCAGTAATGTGTAGGAGACGTATGAGCACCCAGGACAAAAAAGCTCTGCAAGTTCCCATCACACTCTTCAGAAACACACATAAGCATGGAAAGCGGCAGGGCTAAGATCCCACACCTTTTAATTGTATTTATTTTTTACAACTCTAAAGAAAATATATTGAATACACTTTTTGATTTAAAATAGTTTGTTGTATTCCGAAGGCAAAACATCTTCAGCATAATGTTAATATAGAGTCATAAATTATTAGATACCAGATTAAGGGTGATCTAAACTAACTAAAAAGTAGTACCACTAACTGGATCACCATAAGAAGTATTCCTCACTGTACATCTCAGTGACTGACAAAGATGAAAAAAAAAAAACGTCCTCCAAATAGGGATCTGATGACAGCTAGCATGAATGGATTCAAAATTCACTACAATGTACTAAAAGCTACCTTCTGCCTACATTTATTTTACAGGAGGCTTTTGAATTCCATAATGTCTTTATGCCAGCAGAAAATCCAGCATGATGAACTATTTTATGCACTAGGATATATGTGGTTTATGTTTTTTACCTTCAACTTCTTTTTCATTTCGGAAGTGTCTTGCATCTTCATATACTCTTTTATCTCTGTGGTCTGAATGGCAGTTTTCCATTTCAAAATCCAGTTCAACAGCTCTGCACTTATAGCATCAAACCTGTTTGAAGATTCAGAGGTGACCATTTGTCATGTTTCCTTCTACTGTTTTACTTGACTCCAGAAAGAGCAACTCAAATGCTCATCAGGAATATGTCTTTTTATCACTCCCCCAAAAACAGCAACCCAGAAATAGGGTAACCATGCAAAATGAGATCATATATTTACAACTAAAAGTATGAAAAGAGTAATAATATTATAGGGTTAATAAACAATTGAAGAAAATAATTAAATAATTTGTTGTTGTTGTTGTTGTTTCGAGATGGAGTCTCGCCCTGTCACCCAGGCTTGAGTGCAATGGCACGATCTCGGCTCACTGCAACCTCCGCCTCCAGATTCAAAGGATTCTCCTGCCTCAGCCTCCCGAGTAGCTAGGATTATAGGTGCCCACCACCACACCCAGCTAATTTTTGTATTTTTAGTAGAGACAGAGTTTCACCATGTTGGCCAGGCTGACCTCATGATCGGCCCGCCTTGGCCTCCCAAAGTGCTGTGATTACAGTCATGACCCACCATGCCTGGCCTTAAATAAAAATTTTTAAAACTTTACATATTAAAACAATTTTCACCTTTATAAGGAATCACTTGTATTTTTATAAATGCTTATAGATAATAAAAACCAGAGTTGGTTAGATAATCAGCAAAGAACAAGTACAGACATTACTAAAGTTAACATCTTCTTTTGTTCAATATGTAATGATTGAGCCTTACTAAATGTCAGGCACTGGGCTGGGCTCTTGATATGAAAGTGAACCAGATACAAATCTCAGCTCCCAAGGAGCTTCTAGTCTAGTAAGCAATGGAAAGTAACAGGCAATAACAAAAGAATTTGCTAGGTGCTAATTCCAGGAATTCACAGGAGTGGCTTCTAATCCAATTGGGGCATGGATGGCTTCCTAAAGGAGAACAACAGCATTACACTGAGGAGTTTCCCTTGCCAAGGGAAAGCAGAGAAAGGGAAGATCACATTTTGCAAACTGCAAGTATTAGTTAGGCGTGTCTGGAATAATGAGTACTGAACTCACAAGGGAGGGACAATTGACGATGTGGCCAAGAATCACATGGACCAGCTACAAGAAGGCCCTGCAGGACATATTAAGGAGTTTGGACTTAACCCAAAGGCAGTTGAGAGCCAAGGGAGAGTTCTATGCATGGAACTGACATGATTCTATTTATCCTTTAGTGTTCACTGAGGAGAAGGCATTAAAGAGAGACGAGTCGAGAACAGGCTGTGAAAGCAACGGGAGTCACAACTAAGATAGTAACAGTGGGAAGGAAGACGAAAGGACAGGTTTGAGAGGTGTTGAGAAGGTTGGTCAAAACCACAGCAAGGAGGAACAAGAGGAGTCACGATCACTGATTGCTGGCCTTCTACCCGGCCCCTTTCTAAGTGTTTTATGTCTATTATTAACTCAAGGAATCCTCACCAGCACCCTAAAAAGTATACACTATTATTATCCCCTTTAGAGATGAAGGTACTGAGCTCACAGAGGTTTTCAGTAACTGTCCCATGTCACAAAGCTAACAAAGGGTGAGGCTGGGATTCAAACCAAGACTGTCTTCTTAACTAGTACCCTCCCCACAGAGCTTCTCGATACATTAAGCAGTGGCACAAGTCGTTATTGCTGATTCTTGTGAGAAACTTTGCTTAAAGTGTTTCTGGTGAACTATGAATATTTTATCTTTTCATCAAGGTAGATTTTCCCTGTAAAATGTGAGGGATTTTGTGATGCTCTAGATAAATATCTGGGGTCAAGGTATTGCTCAAACAGGGATATGTTCCTCCTGTCATCTTAACAGCAGCTTTCTATTTAATATTTCAGAGAAGAGACGGCCATCTAAAAATCGCACGTTTCCAATGACCTTGGAGACTCAGTCAGCATCTGCTCTCAATATGGGCAAGAGTGATGCAATGATCGCAGGTCACAGGAACAGGTGTCTACATTCTAGGAAATGACTGTCCACTGTACCGCGAGCTGGTAAAAACCACCACCACAGCAGCACCAGGGGAAGAGAAGTGGAAATGAGCTGCCATTTTTTAAGCATATATTTTAAACTAGGCACTGCATTAAGCAGTCATTTAAGGCCCTCGATTATTGGGGTAGTCCATTTTAAGGCAAACCAATAGTGGTTTCTAGAGCAGACAGAAGATATAAAAGGGTCTGGAAACCATGTTAATAGGAATGGTTAAGGATCCCCTGCACTTTCTGACAATAAAAACTGGGGAAGCTATATTCAAAGACTGAGGAGGTCACTGTCGAGTTGTGACAGTGAAAGAAAGAATAAAAAGACAGTCATGGACAATCATATCCTTCCAAGGAGAATAATGGGAAAGGAAGAAAGAAAGCTTCGATCACAAAGTTCTCCCAATTGAACACAGGATAAATAAAATCATCCAAGAAAATTTGGATGCTTAGCTAGTGCCAAGTAGAATATTCAGAAGACAGGGGCAGTGAGTGGTTCAGTAGTTGACTTTTCATAATAATAATACTTATTATGTCTAGATTTGCCTATGATTAATGATTAGTACAAAATAGGCACCAAGTAGAAAATATAGTATGTGCAATATTGGATTTGAACAATTTCTCTATCTCTTCTCACTTTTTCTTAGCTTCAATATCCACATGGATCTGTCTCTTCTTTGGGGGAGGAGGAGGAGGCAGTTCCTGCTTAGATTTTTTTGTAATTGCTTGTTCTCTTACACGAACAGTCTCCAAAAGGTCCTTCTGAGGAATCTGAGACATCCCCAGCTTTGCTACAGCCTGAGTCACCTGAAATAAAAGCCATCCAAAATTTCAATGTTTATAACAGCTTCATTGAGATGTAATTCACATGCTATAAAATTCTTTCTTTGAAATACACAATTTAATGGTTATTAGCACATTTATACAGTTGTATAATCATCCTCACAGTCTGTCTCCAGAACATTTTATCACCCCAAAAAGAAATCCCATAGCCATAAACCAACACTCCCCATTCCCCACTCCCACCAGTGGCAACCATGCATTTACTTTCTATCTCTGTGGATTTTCCCCTTGTGGACATTTCCTATGAATGGAATCATAGCGTATATAATCTTGCGATTGGCTTCTTATACTTAGCATAGTGTTTTCAAGGTTCATCTATGTTGTAGCATGTGTCAATACTTCGTTCTTTTGTATTATCAGATAATATTGTATGCATACACCACATTTTGTTTATCCATTCATCTGTGTATGGATATTTGAGTTGTTCCACTTTTTGGCTATTATAAATAATGCTGCTAAGAATATCTGTCTACAAACCAATGTTTTATGTTTGACTAATTCATTAAAATATTTTTAAGATTAATAAGATTACTTAAGATTTAAGATGTTAAGATTATTTATTGGCTAAGTATAATCAGTTACTATAAATTAAATTATAGGATATTAAGATAATCTATTAAAACTTACTTTAGAAAACTGAAGGTGATTTTCACATGTCAATTTTTCATCAGGTGTAAGGAAACAACTTTTTAGTTTATTTCATACAAATTAAAACTAACCTGAACATTTAAATTTTAAATGTTTACTTCATGGCACAACATATGATCCAAATCAAAAAGTACCTGGTTGGAGGAATCTTCTAGTCTCTGAACCAAAGAATCCCATCTTTGAGTCAGTTCCTCTGAGTCACTGTTGATCTTCTTAGATGCCTTGGAATTATCAAGTAATTGTCCCACATCCTGGCCAATCTCACTCAGCTGATCCAATGTTTGACGCTTCATTTCCATGTCTTCCTTCAAAATCTAGTATTTCAGATATTTATTAGATGACTCTTTTTAACAGGACTTTGTCTTTCTGTTCCCCAGCCAAAAATTTTAAACATGTATCTTTTATAGTAAAATGTACATGCTTTGCAGTTCACTATGCTAAAAGGTAAGACTCGTGGTTCCAGATTGTTACAGGGCAGCAGTCTAATGCTAGGTAATGAGCTGTAATCTGCATTCACTAAATTCTACTAACCATTAGCTATAAAACATTAAGATATCATAGGCTTACAACACAGATGCTGACAACCCCATCACTTACAGCCAGACGTCGAACACTGACACTTAGTTCCTTTTGGTCTTTGAAGTTGCTTGTCTGGACTTTATTTAAAGCCTCTTCTTTTTCGGTTAACCAAGCTTTCAACAAGCACTACAAGTAATAACAAAAGTTGAACTTTATCTGCAAAATCATTTGGTAATTCAATTAAATCATGCATCCAAATTTCTAACTTTTATTTTATTAGAGGCTTCACCCTTACATGGGGATAAGAAGGCCTTCAAACACCTAAGTCTGAGGCACAAATGACCCAGAAAGATACCTTTCTTTAAAATATTATCCTTCTCAGATTTGTAACAGAACAATCAGACATTAGCCTCATACCTAGGGAACTAAACCTAATTCTCAAGGAGATAGGTGGAGGGAAAAGGGAAAATCCAACTATGCAAGTCTCCAAAGGAATTACATTACAACTTCCTAGAGGCAGAAGTAAGCTCGGAGATTGTCTTGTCCCAGCCCCTCATTTTAGAAAGGAAGGAAAGAGAAGTCAAGTTACATGTCCCAGATCACTTGGATAGTTAATGGCAGAGCTGGGTCCAGGGTCCACACCCCAAAACCAGTGTTTTCCATGGCATCATGTAGGAAATCCACACTAGCATTCAAGGTTCAACAGCAATTATGATTAAAGGAGGGAGTCTGAAGAGCACCCAAAGCCCATATAAAGATTTTTCAACTTCATTGGACAACAATGTGTGTTTTCTAAGCAGAGGATATTCAGTCATGTAGAGAGATAATCCTGAAGAAGGGATGGAAAACAACCGTAGCTACATTGTGATAATTTCTCCCAAAATGTAGCATTTAGGGTGGAAACCCTTTTCTATTTAGTAGGGAGGAAAACAACTTGGTTCTGTATTTGCAACGGAATCAATTCTTTCTCAGCAATTTTATTTATGAATTAAATATTTAACAACTATTCCTTGCCTCTATATTTCACCCCCCAATGGATACTGTCCTCAGTCTAGTGAGGCTGGTAAGATATGCACATAAATAATGATGCCATCAGACAGAACATGTAGACAGTACACACACACACACAAAAGGTATAGTTAAAATGTCAGATCATTATAGAACACGATGAAAGGTCAGTTTAAAACCTAAAGTGGTACAAGTGACTGAAATACTAGCACTCTATTTTTAAACTGTTTTTTATCATCAAATTAAAATTATTTCCAAATTTGCAATTACTTTACTGGATAGAAGAGTAACACAATGGTTTTCTCTAGCAATCGATGTCTTCTACTGCAATTATTACTATTACTATTATTTTTATTTTTTGAGACAGAGTCTCACTCTGTCACCCAGACTGGAGTGCAGTGGTGCCATCTCGGATCACTGCAACCTCTGCTTCCTGGGTTCAAGCAATTCTCCTGCCTCCATAGCCTCCTGAGTGGCTGGGATTACAGGTGCCCACTGCAGGCCTGGCTAATTTTTTGCATTTTTAGTAGAGACAGGTTTCAACATGTTGGTCTGACCTCAAGTGATCTGCCCGCCTCGGCCTCCCAAAGTGCTGGGATTACAAGCGTGATCCACCGCGCCCAGCCTTTCTACTGTCATTATTGAAGTAAAATTTTAACTATTCTGAGACTTTTTGGCCTAAATACAAGGTTCACAATAAACATAAATATTTATAAAGTGAAATGTAAATATTTGTAACATGAAATGTAAACATTTCATAAATCAGAATCAGGTCCCTTTTGTGATTCCTAATAAGAAAAATCTGACCACAGATTGAGGGCGGGGGGGGAAGTAGTCATTAACAATTTATATTTGGACAAATTCTGCAACTATCTGCCACCATATTTAGTAAGCCACAAAACATCACACACTTGAGTTTTTTCCCCTGAAGAGAATATAGTTGCTTCTTATAGATGGAAATGAAATGCATTTAAAAGAATCAAAATGGACACTGAGAGATGTGGGAATAGAGTATTTGCTTTTTTTTTTTTTTTTTTGAGAGGGAGTCTCGCTCTTGTCTCCCAGGCTGGAGTGCAGTGGCACAGTCTCGGCTCACTGCAACCTCTGCCTCCTGGGTTCCAGCAATTCTCCTGCCTCAGCCTCCTGAGTAGCTGGGATTACAGGCACCCACCGCCACACCTGGCTTATTTTTATATTTTTAGTGGAGACGGGGTTTCACTATGTTGGCCGGGCTAGTCTTGAACTCCTGACTTCAAGTGATCCACCTGCCTCAGCCTCCCAAAGTGCTGGGATTACAGGCGTGAGCCACCCTGCCCGGCCAGTATCTACTTATTTTTTAAACCACAACTGTTTGGCATTTGGGGAGAAAAGTTTTGTTTATTTGTATTTTGTTTCAATGGTTGCTTTTCTGGAAAGACAGAGAACAGGCAAAGAGCCACCAGTCCTATTGAAAAATTAAGGTGGCAGCTTTGTACAACAGATTCATTTGCTGTGATAACACTTAGTGGAAAAAATATGCAATTAATCCAGTGTTAAATCAAAGGTGTGACTAAATAATATTTTCTCATTAATTTCAATACTTGTTAAAAATCAAGAAAAAATCTAGGGAATTAAAGTTCACAGTGTGTTGAGTGGATTCATTACTCATTATTTACTGAGCACAAATTATATGCTAGGCATTGTGTTGATACAAATTCAAATACATCACCCAACACAAATCCACTAATAACTATGATGTCAAACAAATCATGAAAATAGCATATCTTCTAAGTACTAACATTCCAAGTAATGAAAACAGGTCAAATTAATGGAGCCAAATGACACAATCTCTGTGAATAAGCTTCATGATCAGTTATAAACTGGATAGAAATTTGATCTTTAAAATAATTATTTATATATTTTCCTTTCAAAGAAAAGTAAACAAGGCAACTTTATTCTAAAGTCACAATAAAAGATGGGTTACTTTTCACCATTTATTTTGCCCCTTATGGAAAACAGTTTCATACCTGTTCTTCCAATAATTCCTGCCACAATATATTGATTTCTTGTAACCTATTCCAGCGTTCTTCAGTCCAACGGCATACTGCTGTCCAGCGCTCACCAAGTTTCTAGAAAAAGGAGAAACCATCCTTTGTCAACACAGCCTTAAGAGAGAGTTATCACAATCCTTGAAGAAATTCATGATTTCCATTGTTCTTTATTATAGAATAACAACTTATAAAAAGTATTTTTATAAAAATTGCTTTAAAATAACAGACTAGGCCTAGAAATGTATGAATCAGAAAAACTAATTTCCATAGAATTGAACAAATGATTTCACATAGCTAGAAACTAACATAATAGAACTGTATCCTCTGAATCTTTGACTCCAAACCTGCTCTTTCTATTTCATTGTGGTTTTTATGAGAATATGACATTTTTACATATTATTAAAAAATAAAACAAACATATCTACTTTTTGTGCTTCAAATTTTTCAAATTTTTAGCTAAAAAAACCAGCATGTCTGTTATATTCCTTAACTCTCTTTTACATGCCAAGAAAATTTTCATCTGTGGTACCAAAATTATGAAAAATGTTTAACTTATAAAACCTGTTTTGAATAAGAGAATTTTTATGAGACAATAAAAAAATCAAATGATTTGTTCTGTTTACATTATGTGATCCATAAAAAAATTCCCCATAAGTTACATAAATTAGCAATAGAATCTTACTAGTATCAGCAATACTAAATAAATTTTATTAATTATAAAAAATCACTCTTCATGATTATTTTCTCCCAAAATCATTTTATTACAATTTTACAAATAATGATTAACAAATGTTAAAATTTATTTTTGTACTATATACATGTGAACAAGAATTATTTAATTCATATTATACTATTTTGATACTTAATATGAGAATAAGCTTTTCATAGTACAAAGGGGGAGAAAACTTAAGAGCCAGAAGATAGATTTCCAGTCTCAGCATGATAACTCATTGTCTATTTAAATCTCAGGAGGACTACTTAACCTCTCTGAATCTCAGATTCCTTACTGCTAAATAGTCAAGGCATGAATACTTAGCTCTCAGGTTATAATAACTAACTACTGCATACAAGTCTTAGAACCTCTGGCTGACTTTAAATATCACAAAAGCAAAAGGACCTCACGTGATGAAATTACAGTTTGGATTGCCTCACTTAATGAGGCATCATATTTAAATAAATTGGCAACGTCTTACCAGAAAATCCAAGTATTGTTCAAATGAAATACCAATAAATTTATCTGTTAAAGACTTGTAAAGATACACTATTGCCTTTGTGCAAAAAGAAGCAATTTTGGGAGGTTTCCAAAACTGTTGTTGAAATTCACATATTAATCTACCGAAAACACTGAGATATTGAATCCTACTAGGTGAAATTCTCAAACTTTACTATGCACATGATTTTTCTTACATTGCAAATTCACTGCATCCCTCCCTCACCTAGATTTAGGTAGTGGGTAGAGCCTAGGAATCTACATTTTAACAAGCTCCTCAAGTGCTTCTGAGAAGAAGTCAGTGGATCACTTAATAAGATCAGCTCCTGTGTGATATGGTTTGCCTGTGTCTCCATCCAAATCTCATCTTGCATTATAACTACCACAGTTCTCACATTTTTTGAGAGGAACTTGGTGGGAGGTAATTGAAGCATGGGGGCAGATCTTTCCCATGCTGTTCTCATTATAGTGAATAAGTCTCACGAGATCTGATGGTTTTACAAAAGGGAGTTTCCCTGCACAAGCTCTCTCTCTTTGCCTGCCACCATGCATGTAAATCGTGACTTGCTCCTCCTTCCCTTCTGCCATGATTGTGAGGCCTCCCCAACGATGTGGAACTGTAAGTCCATTAAACCTCTTTTTCTTCCCAGTCTCAGGTATGTTTTTATCAGCAGCATGAAAATGGACTAATATAGTAAATCGGTACCAGTAGAGTGGGGTGCTGTTGAAAAGATACCCTAAAATGTAGAAGTGACTTTGGAACTCGGTAACAGGCAGAGGTTGGAAACATTTGGAGAGCTCAGAAGAAGACAGAAAAATGTGGGAAAATTTAGGGTACCTGTGGAAGAAATTTCTAAGCAGCAAAGCATTCAGGAGATGACTTGGGTGCTGTTAAAGGCATTCAGTTTTATAAAGGAAACAGATCATAAAAGTTTGAGAAATTTGCAGCCTGACAATGCAATAGAAAAGAAAATCTCATTTTCTGAGGAGAAATTCAAGCTGGCTGCAGAAATTTGCATAAGTAACAAAGAGGCAAAAGTTAATCACCAAGACAATGCGGAAAACATCTCCAGGCATGTCAGAGGTCTTCACATCAGCCCCTCCCATCACAAGCCCAGAGGCCTAGGAGGAAAAAATGGTTTTGTGGGCTGGGCTCAGGGTCCCCGTGCCTTGTGGCTAGGTACTTGGTGCCCTGCATCCCAGCTGCTCCAGCCATGACTAAAAGGGGCAAAGGTACAGCTCAGGCCATGGCAAAGGTGCAAGCCACAAGCCTTGGCAGCTTCCATGTGGTGTTGAGCCTGCGGGTACACAGAAGTCAAGAATTGAGGTTTGGGAACATCCACCTAGATTTCAGAGGATGTATGGAAACACGTGGATGTCCAGGCAGAAGTTTGCTGCAGAGGTGGGGCTCTCATGGAGAACCTCTGCTAGGGCAGTGCAGAAGGGAAATGTGGCCCAAACAGAGTCCCTACTGTGGCACCACCTAGTGGAGCTGTGAGAAGACGGCCACTGTCCTCCAGACCCCAGGGTGGTAGATCCACTGACAGCTTGCACTATGCACCTGGAAAAGCCGCAGACACTCAACACTGACCCATGAAAGCAGCCAGGAGGGGGCTATTTCCCGCAAAGCCACAGAGGCAGCACTGCCCAAGACCATGGGAACCTACCTCTTGCATAGGCGTGACCTGGATGTGAAACATGAAGTCAAAGGAGATCATTTTGAAGCTTTAAGATTTGACTACCCCACCGTATTCCATACTTGAATGGGGACTGTAGCCCTTTTGTTTTGGCCAGTTTCTCCCATTTGGAACAGATGTATTTACTCTTTGCCTGTGCCCCCATTGTAGCTAGGAAGTAACTAACTTGCTTTTGACTTTGCAGGCTCATAGGCGGAAGGGACTTGCCTTGTCTCAGATGAGACTTTGGACTGTGGACTTTTGAGTTAATGCTGAAATGAGTTAAGACTTTGGGGGTACTGTTGGGAAAGCATGATTGGTTGTGAAATGTGAGGACATAAGATTTGGGAGAGGCCAGGGGTGGAATGATATGGTTTGCTTGTGTCCCCATCCAAGTCTCATCTTGAATTGTAACTCCCACAATTCCCACATTTTAAGTGAGGAACCCAGTGGGAGGTAATTGATTCATGGGCGCAGGTCTCTCTCTTGCTGTTCTTGTGATAGTGAGTAAGTCTCACGAGGTCTGATGGTTTTAAAAAAAGGAGTTTCCCTGCACAAGCTCCCTCTCTTTGCCTGCCACCATCCATATAAAATGTGGCTTGCTCCTCCTTCCCTTCCACCATGATTGTGAGGTCTCCCCAGCCACATGGAACTGTAAGTCCCTTAAACCTCTTTTTCTTCCCAGTCTCAGGTATGTCTTTATCAGCAGTGTGAAAACGGACTAATACACTGTGCTTCCAAATCTTGTCATTATGCACAAGGAAGCTGGGGACTGCAACCAGCCCCATCCATTCACCCCAAGAGCTGAAGTAAAGGAATCAATACCTGGGTACTCCTGTAGCCCACACACTGTAGAACCCCAACTGAGAAGTACAATCAAAGGTAGGTTTTTCTACCCTTCTGGATAAAGAATGAGAAAGGACATGAAGAACAAGGGCAATATGTAATTGGGTCTCAGACCACAGGTCCCTCAGGATTATCCAACTTTACAGCACTCTTACCTGTAACTGGTCTTCTAGGATAGCTGTAGCACTCTCACCACTGTTTTCATCAACAATGACCACCATGTGAGTTAGTGAATTTACTTTCACCTGTTCAGCCTCAAGATCACTTTGCAAACTCTAGAGAAAAAAATTAAGATAAACCATTATTTCTACTTTCACATTTACCTATTTAAAACGCACTCAGTTGTCAATAGTAATTAAGGACAGTTAATGAGGCATCATATTTAAATTTCCAATCATTACCCTAACTGTTCTACTAATGAAACTAATCCTATTATACATCTTTACATTCCATTATCAACAAAGGCAGTTTGAGGATGCAGTGTTATAACAGACTGCAAATGGAGATATCACCACTTTTATTCAAGTTCTGGCCCTCCCTCAGAATTTATAGCATAAAGGAGTTGAGTGTCCATACTAGGAATTAATACAAAAATGTAGAAGTGGTAAAGCAAAAAAGTCCAGAGCTTAAATAAACCAAGTCAGAGATCATTTTATCTAGTGTAGGACAGTATAAAGAGATAAGTAGAATGCTACACGATAGTCAAAAGTTACTCTGATTAGCTACCCAATAAAGCAGTTAAAGAAGTATGGACACCTTAGATTCTCTCGCCTTTTCCATGGGAAGAGCATAGTCATTGGATACATGTGTATAGAAAATTTATAGGCTGGGCATGGTGGCTCACACCTGTAATCCCAGCACTTTGGGAACCCAAGGCAGGCGGATCACTTGAGGTCAGGAGTTCAAGACCAGCCTGGCCAACATGGTGAAACCCTGACTTTACTAAAAATACAAAAAATACAAAAAATTAGCTGGGTGTGGTGGCACACGCCTGTAGTCCCAGCTACTTGGGAGACTGAGGTGGGAGAATCACTTGAACCCAGGAGGCAGAGGGTGCAGTGAGCTGAGATTTTGCCATTGCCCTCCAGCCTGGGTGACAGAGCAAGACTCCATCTCAAAAAAAAGAAAGAAAGAAAGAAAATTTATTTAAATACTATCAATAGTGTTCTCAAATGCTTCTCAGAGTTGTGTTTAATGTATTCCTAAAGTTTTACATATTAGTTACCTCAATGTTTCACTGATCAATAAAAGTCTTCAATTTACAGAGAGCATATTTTATTCTATCTTTCCTTATCTTGACTATGAAAAGTTTATCTCCTAGACTTGTGACCAAATTAAATTGCCCACCCAATTTTGGTTCCTAACTTAATGCCTGACGCTTTCCTGAATCATAGACGAAGAATTTGCTCTTCACCCACACACCATGTGAACGCCAACATGCTTGGGTTCTTAGCCACTTAGAGGGCCAAAAGAACCCTTCTCCAGTTGTATGAAAGCTATGTACTTTCAAAAGAAAACTGCACATCACATATAAAATTTTACCGTGCCCTTTTATCCCTGGCTCAGAAAAGTCTCATCTCTATCAATTCCACCCTGTGAGCTGCTAAATGAAGACAACCCTGAAGAAGTGTCCCAACTTCATGTTAACGATAGATGTCATCAGCCTCTGAGATGCTAAGTGCTGCTCTTTCATATTTGATAAGGTATCGAAGAAATATGAGACAGATTTACTTTATGTTCTTCTAGCAGCTTTTGTAGAGATTTTACATCATCATCCAGGGGGCAAGTTTCCATCTTCTGAATGCGCTCCTCTGTGAGTGTTAACCAGGCGGAGAGCTGCTGCAGTTGCTTCTTCTGCAGTTCCATCAGCACATCGTGCAGCCTGTCCGTGGGGAACACAGCATTATTCCTACAAGCCTTTTCCCTTTGCAAAGTCAAATATACATTCTGGGCACCGGAGATACAGGGCAAGGGAAGACACCCTTGTCTAAACATTCAAGGTAGCATTTAGTCTTTAAATATAGAAGCCAGGAAAGTAAACTTTTATTTTGTCCTAAATGGAGTTCATTAAATGCAGACAAAGAATGCAAAAAGCAGCACCCTGTATTCATATCAGAATCATTGTTTCTTCAATCAGGAATTCCTGCTTATTAAATAGGTGGAAGTGGCAATGAATGCAGTTTGCTCCTTAAGACACAATACATGAAATAAAATAAACCATGAGAAAGCTTTAAAATAAAAGTCACAAAATGGAAAAGTAGATCAATACTCCATAGTCCTGTCTTCACACCAAGTTAATGTTTAGCTAATCTTAACATTGCAAATAAGTAACTGCCCCTATGAAATGTCTTTTCCTTTTTTTGGAGACAGTCTCACTTTGTTACCCAGGCTGGAGTGCAGTGGCTGAATCTCAGCTCACTGCAATCTCTGTCTCCTGAGTTCAAGCGATCCTCATACCTCAACCTCCCAAGTAGCTAGGATTACAGGCATGGCCCACCATGCCCAGCTAATTTTTGTATTTTTAGTAGAGACGGAGTTTCGCCATGTCGCCCAGGCTGGTCTCAAACTCCTGGCCTCAAGTGATCCATCCGCGTTGGCCTCCCAAGTGCTGGGATTACAGGCATGAGCCACCATGCCTATCCTCTTTTTCCTTTTTGTTAAATTCTGTATTCCAACTTTTATCTTTTGGTGTGGCTAACACATCAAAGGGGAAACAAAGATCATGCAGAATTCCAGCAATATTACCCGTAGAAAAGAGTCTTACTTTTCCAAGGCAAGTTCTGTAATCATCTCGCTTTCACAGACATGCAGACATCTACTAGAGCTCAACTGTGCAAAGCAGCCTGTGGAATTAAGTGCATTTCTTGGCTTTCCACTCACCGGGACTGTCTGTCCATACTCTCCACCCTAAGAGCCTCCCATCTAGCATTCAGCAGGGTCATCTGTTCCTGAATCTCAAATTCTTCTTCGTCTGACAGAGTTCCTTGTGTTATCAGTTGGTTGCCTGCCTGCAGGACGCTGCCCACACTGCTCTGGTGTGCAGTCAGTTCCATCATAAAAGCCTAGAAAGGGACATTGTTATAATTTGTGAGCTACTCAGTGCAAAAAAAAAAAAGGAAGACTGAACAAATTGCTAATGCCTAACCTAAATGTCAGTGATGCAGAAAAAGGTAGCCTAGTAGAGCGCAAATAAAATAGACATTGACCACATTTTTTAATCTCTGAAAATAGGAATAAACACCTGCCATAAGTTAAAAGAGAAATAGCTCAAAGCAAGCAATGATGCATCTGATAATACCAGCTATTTTAAAGTAAATGCTGACTATGCTACTCATAGATCATGAACATGGAATTCTAAATAAATAAAATAAAAGGCTGGGTGTGGTGGCTCACACCTATAATCCCAGCATTTTGGGAGGCTGAGGCAGGTGGATCACCTAGGCCAGGAGTTCAAGACCAGCCTGGACAACAAGGTGAAACCCCGTCTCTAACTAAAAACACAAAAAATTAGCCGGGCGTGGTGGCACATGTTTGCAGTCCCAGCTACTTGGGAGGCTGATGCAGGAGAATCACTTGAAGCCAGGAGGTAGAAGTTGCAGTGAGCCAAGATTGTGCCACTGCACTCCAGCCTGGGTGACAGAGTAAGACTCTGTTAAAAAAAAAAAAATTATAAATATATATATATACACACACATATACATATACATATATAATATATAAATAGATTATATATAAAAATATTTATATATTTTATTTATATATATTTATTTATATATTTTATTTATATATAAAATAAAATATATATTTATTTTTATTTATATATATTTATATATAAATATATATTTATTTATTATATATATAAATATATATATAAAATAAAATACCATACTCACCCAAGAGGAACTGTTTAAGAGATATTACCACTTATATTATTTTCTATCCAAAACAACAAATAAGATCTGTCAATTCACATAACTATACAAAAGAAAAATTTAACCAAAAGAAATCTCCATATAGTGAAATTCACTATGCTGCAATATAGTATGTCCTCAAAGGAGCAGGAAACTTTTATGATATGAAAAAATACAGGAACCCTGGGTATGACATTTGCTTAATCATGCAATTAAAAAGAATAATCATTTCCTAGGGAACACTCAAATCTTAAAGATTTGGTGTATTGGTTCACTCGTTTGCTTTTGAAATATAACAATGCACTTCAGAACTGAGCAGTACTATGCAATGATTTTCATCAGTGGCTCTCCAAAACACACAAGGAGACTAAAATCTAAAATCTAATTCTGAGGCACAGTTTAATCACCCATACCAATTTTGTGACAAAGCACTATTTAAATATCACAGTTCCTGAAATAAACCATTGACCTTTCCAAAGAACAGAATTCAGTAGATAACAAATAGGAGAGTAGAGTCCCTGATTAAGGCTCAGGTCCCGTGGGGGACACACCCTGCTAAGAAACTACAGATATTTACTTCATGGGTTGCAAACTGGTCTTTGACTTCTTCAACATCATCAGAAATATCATCCTGCTCCTGGAAAGTGTCCTCAGCAGAAAGCAACCAGGTCAGCACTTCCTCCAACGCAATCTGATAGCTGTCCAGATCCATGTCAACCTCAGTGACAGTGCTGGGAGTTTCAGCTCGGGGACTCTCATGCTCCTCCTCAGGCGCTGTACTCTGTAAAAACAAAGCCAAGAAAAACCCACACTAATCATCAAAGCAAGAGGTGTTCAGCAAACTCACACTGTATGGCGAACCCAAAGTACCCACCACTCTGTCTTAGGCACTAATCCAATTCTCAGGAGCCAAATGGGCACTGCCATGAATGAGTTAGAAGCATTGAGTAAGTGCACTAGGGTAGCAAAGAGTATAAAAGCAGCATGCACTCATGAATTCTGTACTCAAGGAGATTCTAATATAGTTAGGGACAGAGAACCCACATGAATCACTTCTGAACAGAAATTGAAGAACAGCTATTAGAAAAGTAAATGCCATGGTCCCAACAAGGCATGATATTTGAGTTCAACAAAGGCTAAAACAGGAAAGTTTCGTAGAGGAGCTGGAACGTGTTAGGCCTTTTCTGTAATTTAAAGAAAAAGAAAGGTGAGAATTCTGCCTTGACCCTTAGGTAAATTGCTTTTGCTGAACTGCATTTTAGCATTGCATTTTAGACACTAAAAGACAGCCACACAGGCTGCTGTACTGATTGTATTTTTCTTAGGCAGTTGCCCTCTGGTTTATCTGATGGCCTTTTAGGGCTCATGGAATAAATTTCTATCAACCTCTTTCTAAATAACTGAGTATTTCCATATATACTTTAAGAGCTTATAACCAAATTGACTCTCCCTAGTTCTTTTGTTCCCTTTCAGAGCAAGATTTCTTGAAGACTTGCCTACATTCTGTCTCTACTTTATCAACTCTCATGCATGATTTTTAAGTACAATATTTCAAATGTACAGAAACGTATAGAGAACAATACAAAAAATGCTCAAGTATTTAACAGCTATGGTTTGTTAACATTCCCTTTAACTTCAACTTGCTATTTGCCCCATGACTCAACTGAAAAGGCTTTTACCAATGTCATCAATAACCTTCCCATTGCCAAACGGACCTTTCTAGCATCATCTTCAGGGTGACCATATAATTAACCAACAAACTAGAGTATTTTTGATGATAACTGTGCTCAAACAACAAATCCAAACCAGAACTGTCCCAAGTAAGCCCGGAGAGCTGGCCACCCACGTTCCTTGCTTCAGACCTTGGTAGCACTCCTCAAGGCTGAGCAACTTGAGCTTTCAGAAGCTTGTTTCCCTGCTTCTGTGACACTGCCCTGGTTTCCTGCTGGTTCAACAGCAGCTGCTGACTCATAAGTAATGAATCTCCTCAAAATTAAGTTCTAGGCTCTTTTTTCTCCCCACTGTATACTGTGTCTGAGTAATCTCATCTACTCCTATTGGATTTAAAGAACATCTAGAACCACCTAGGAGTCTGGATTCCAAACTCTCATATCCCACTATTTTCACATCTCTACTTCAGCGCCTCCTAGGCATATTAAACCATGTCCATATTCAAAACCTTTACTTTCTTCCAAAGCTTGTTCCTCCTCAGACTTCTCCAACTCAGTAGATGGCTCCTCCCTGCAACTAGGTACTCCAGCTACAAACCTGGGAGCCAGCCCCAGCTTCTCTCTCCTTCATCTTCCACATTTAATACATAAGTAATTCTGACCTTCCTTCAAAACTTCGCTCCCTCTCCCTCCCCCTCCCCCTCCCCTCTTTCCACGGTCTCCCTCTGATGCCGAGCCGAAGCTGGACTGTACTGCTGCCATCTCGGCTCACTGCAACCTCCCTGCCTGATTCTCCTGCCTCAGCCTGCCGAGTGCCTGCAATTGCAGGTGCGCGCCACCACGCCTGACTGGTTTTCGTATTTTTTTGGTGGAGACGGGGTTTCGCTGTGTTGGCCGGGCTGGTCTCCAGCTCCTGACCGCGAGTGATCCGCCAGCCTCGGCCTCCCGAGGTGCCGGGATTGCAGACGGAGTCTAGTTCACTCAGCGCTCAATGGTGCCCAGGCTGGAGTGCAGTGGCGTGATCTCGGCTCGCTACAACCTCCACATCCCAGCCGCCTGCCTTGGCCTCCCAAAGTGCCGAGACTGCAGCCTCTGCCCGGCTGCCACCCCGTCTGGGAAGTGAGGAGCGTCTCTGCCTGGCCGCCCATCGTCTGGGATGTGAGGAGCCCCTCTGCCTGGCTGCCCAGTCTGGAAAGTGAGGAGCGTCTCTGCCCGGCCGCCATCCCATCTAGGAAGTGAGGAGCACCTCTTCCCGGCCGCCATCCCATCTAGGAAGTGAGGAGCATCTCTGCCCGACTGCCCATCTTCTGAGATGTGGGGAGCGCCTCTGCCCCGCCACCCCATCTGGGATGTGAGGAGTGCCTCTGCCCGGCCGCGACCCCGTCTGGGAGGTGAGGAGCGTCTCTGCCCGGCCGCCCCGTCTGAGAAGTGAGGAGACCCTCTGCCTGGCAACCGCCCCATCTGAGAAGGGAGGAGCCCCTCCGCCCGGCAGCCGCCCCATCTGAGAAGTGAGGAGCCCCTCTGCCCGGCAGCCACCCCGTCTGGGAAGTGAGGAGACCCTCTGCCTGGCAACCGCCCCGTCTGAGAAGTGAGGAGCCCCTCCGCCCGGCAGCCACCCCGTCTGGGAAGTGAGGAGCGTCTCCGCCCGGCAGCCACCCCGTCCGGGAGGGAGGTGGGGGTCAGCCCCCGCCAGGCCAGCCGCCCCGTCCGGGAGGGAGGTGGGGGGTTCAGCCCCCCACCCGGCCAGCCGCCCCGTCCGGGAGGTGAGGGGCGCCTCTGCCTGGCCGCCCCTACTGGGAAGTGAGGAGCCCCTCTGCCCGGCCACCACCCCGTCTGGGAGGTGTACCCAACAGCTCATTGAGAACGGGCCATGATGACAATGGCGGTTTTGTGGAATAGAAAGGGGGGAAAGGTGGGGAAAAGATTGAGAAATCGGATGGTTGCCGTGTCTGTGTAGAAAGAAGGAGACATGGGAGACTTTTCATTTTGTTCTGTACTAAGAAAAATTCTTCTGCCTTGGGATCCTGTTGATCTGTGACCTTGCCCCCAACCCTGTGCTCTCTGAAACATGTGCTGTGTCCACTCAGGGTTAAATGGATTAAGGGCGGTGCAAGATGTGCTTTGTTAAACAGATGCTAGAAGGCAGCATGCTCGTTAAGAGTCATCACCACTCCCTAATCTCAAGGACCCAGGGACACAAACACTGCGGAAGGCCGCAGGGTCCTCTGCCTAGGAAAACCAGAGACCTTTGTTCACTTGTTTATCTGCTGACCTTCCCTCCACTATTGTCCTGTGACCCTGCCAAATCCCCCTCTGCGAGAAACACCCAAGAATGATCAATAAAAAATATATATTAAAAAAAAAAAAGACTTATCTCAAATCCATCCAGACCTTTCCATTTCCACAACCACACACATCCATCTTCTGAACTGGAATACCTGCTAACAAGTGTCTTTACTTTCCTGTTTTCCCCCACCCAACACTCTCACCTTCACAATCCACAGTCCATTTCTCACACAGCAGCCAGAATGATCTTTCAAAAATGTAATGCCATCATAAGACGTACCTGCTGAAAACCTTTCACTGGCTTTCCCAATGCTCTTAAGATACAATTTAAAATTCTTAACACAGTTTACAAAAATACTGTGATAGTAAGAAACCAAGATAGAGTGACAGAAAGAGAGAGAGAGACAGAGAGTTGTATTTTGATAGATTAATCAGAAAAGACTTCTCTGAAAAGGCTCCATTTAAACTGAGGAAAAATGTGCAGGCTGCCATATAATGGTGGGTGCAGAAGCATTTAACAGAGGGGAACCTGCATGAACAAGAGTCTTGGGGGAAAAGTCCACTCTAACTGCAGGGCAGAGTAGCAGAGGTAGGCCACAGCTTGTAAACTATAGGAGAAAATGAAGTCTTTAAATAGCATTAGGAGATATACCTAATGCTAAAGGACGAGTTAATGGGTGCAGCACACCACCCGTGGCACATGTATACATATGTAACAAACCTTCATGTTGTGCACATGTACCCTAAAACTTAAAGTATAATACTAAAAAAATAAAATAAAAATGAGTATGAAGGCTGCAATAAAATGAAAACACACACAAAAGACATTTTGGAGGAAGGCTTGAAGAATCCAGGAAACTGAATATATGAGTTAAGAAATGAACCAATCAGCACAGAGTCGAAACAGTGGATAATTAAAAGACAGATGGTGCCAAAGACAGAGAAAGAAAAATGAGTTAAGTTATGGACAAAAAATCCTAAAACTGTAGAGCTAAAATAACCCCTGGAGATCATTTAGCTCCAAACCTCTATACTATAATGAGAATTTCTAAGAACCAGGAAAGTTAGTGACCAGCCAAAGGTCACTGAGATAGGCACCAGCATCCATGAGGTCGAGAAGGAAGGCACTATCTAAACACAAATGTTCAGACGGTATTAATTCGAACACATGAGGAAACTTTCAACTGACGGATATTTAAAGAGAAATGCAGGAATTATTCATTGACCACCAGCGTATGTTTGTAGAAAGAACAGGGCAGAAGAAGTCTGACTATTAGGAGAGTAGCAGATGGCAAGCTATGTCAGAGAGATGATTAAAACTTGATCACATTTTAGTTTTCAATTAACGTAATTCAGCCTCTAAGACACTAATGAAAGCTTGCAAATGAAGAGGTGTTAATACACTTGCACTTAATCAAATAGCAAATGTTTTCTGAAGTTCTTATCATGCCACGCTGAGCCCTAAACAGAAGTGATTATTTTATCTACACATCATGAAAAGTAAATGAAGTCTCCTTCCTTTTTAAGAGAGAAGGCCCTTAACTATAAGAACTAAATAAAATATCTCCTCCTTCTAACAAAATGCAATAAGGAAATGAATCTAAAACCCTGTAACAAACTCAGAAGATCATCTGAGCCAACTAAAAAGGTGCATCATTAATGTAGAATAATAACTATACTTTTAGAGGCAAATACTTCCTAGCATTTTTTTCAATTATAGTAAGTTAGGAATTTTCCTCAGCATCATTTGATATTCACTACAAAAGAGAGCCCTGGGTTCACAATCAGGCCTCATTTCTCAATCCTTTCTTTTCAGTAAATTTTTTTCTTTTTCTATAAATCACACTATTTTTGAAACGGGGGAAATAAAAGGATGGGTACATATTACCCAAAGAAAATTTAAAAGAATAAGTAAATTCTCTGAATCTCAGAGGATGGAAAAAAAAGATGCTATGTCAATTCAAGACTAGTATCATAATATGGGAATTAAATAATATTTTTTAAAGAAATCTGTTAAATGAGAATGCCAAAACAAATCAAGAAGAAAAATGATAATAATGATAGCTGTTGCTTGTTGAGTGTTTATTAATGTCATTTTAGATACTTTGAATTCATTATCTTTATGAAGTTGGTGGTTTTAACCACATTTTGCAGACAAAACTGTGATTGAGAGTTTAAGTAACAACCCAAAACAAGTAGCAACAGGATGAATTTAAGGTCCATCCAGAGAAGCTTTCTTTCTCTCTGAAATGTAGTTCTTATAATTTTGAAATCTACATGTATGTCTTGGTTGCTTGGTCACTAGAATGTTGAACCAAGTGACTTCTAAGGTCCAATTCTTAAGATTCTCTCATCTTATGAATTACAAGGACTGGCTAGACTAAAACAGAATGAGATTAAATATGGATTGATTCAAACAGTAGAACTAAGGAAGAAAATAAATTATGATTTTATTTCTCTCTTTAAAAATTCATTTATATCCTGATGAATGAAATCATCGTAATCCCTTCATGAAAAGCTCACCAAGTAGTTTACCATACATTACTCCTCCTAAAGGAAAGGGAAAATAAGGCTTACATTTTGATAGCCCTTGTGAGATATATAATGGAAAAAAAATCTTTTCTCAATGGCAAAAAAAGAAAGACAATTAGTACTTAGAAAAAAAACTAGGCTGATATGAGAAAAACCATCTTTAGCACATGACAGAAATAAAAGCTGGCAACCAGATGATGTGAAAACATAGATTCCCAGCATGTCATGCAGCAGCATGAGCAACAGCCCAGTTTTGCTGGGTGAAATAAAGTATTTTCCTTCTTAATAAAGTCCATTGAGTTATGGTGTTCTATTACACACATGTGACAGAATGCTAACTGCTAAGCTGAACTTCTTATGCAAATGTAAGCTGAGAAACCAAGATGTTCTCAGTCAAGAAAAAAACCCTCTAAAAGTGTTTTTATCTAGTACCTAGGAGAAAACAAATACGGCAAGCCAAACATCTTAATAAAATGTTACCTGTACCTGTATATTAATTGCCTCTTCTTCACATTCTTTTTTATATTTCCTTGGGAGTGTCTCTACCTCACGGATGGCGTCTATGGTGACTTGCTGAGGTAGCACCTCAAACAAAGATGTTAAATACATAATTATGGATTTCTTGTCAGGAAGCTGAACGGCAACATCTAAAAGTGGAAGAATATAAGAACCAGCTTAAATTAGGTGTCCAAAATATGTGAATTGCTCAATATTAGATATAAAATAACTCTCCTTAGTACCCATAAACAATACCTAATATATAATCTTTGCAATACCAGTAAATTGCCACTTCATAATATATGAGACAAAGGCAAAAGGGATTACTTATTTTTGTTCAGTATCTCATTTTTTAAAGTCTTCCCTAAAAGCCTCCCCAAAATGGTCAAAGATAAGCTACCATATGTTACCATTTAAGATAAAGATACAGACTTTATTCATACTATGAAAATAAGTCTAGAATTCAATCCTGCAACATTTATAACTAAAGTCTTTACATCACATGCAAGATGCTCACATAAAAATGCATTTTATTGGACTAACCAGATACTGAATTTATCTAATAATTACATTTTCTTAAAACTTTAACTCTTACTTAATTTAGATTAACTATTGTCCAGTGCTGTAGTTAAATTTCTACCTAAAAGATCCCACAAACTGCTAAGTACAAAAGTATTAATAAGTGTCAGTAATAAAATGACTCGCACCTATACTCCAAAAAGGAAAAGGTTCTTCAAGTCTCATAATTCATTTTTAAAAGGACAAAGAAACACTGCTTTTCAAGAATGCAAAACTGTAAAGCAAAATCAAGGTGGAAATTAAATACTGGACAATACCTTCAGGATCTAACAGCTTTTCAATTCCCAAATAAGTTTGAGCCTTGCTGAAGGCATGTTCAAGTCTCTCAATTGGTGACATTTTGACAACTTTATCCCAGCTGAAGAGATCAGGTCTGAAAACCATGCAAATAAAATGCAATGAAGATGAAATATGTGGAAACAAAGTAGGCATTGTTATAATCTAATACATTTTAGTTTTAGATTATTTTTATTTGTGAGGTTTTTTTGAGTTTATTTTTATATCCCAAAGGCTTGTCAAATACATACTTGAAATTAATTCACAAATATGAAAATAACAGATAATACTTTCCAAGGGTCTTGTATTAGCTAAATAGGACTGCTATTTTCTGTGGTAACCATTAAGACTAGAAGTAGTATATAATGTTTCCCAAAGAGTAGAAGAAGAAAAGGGGGTAAAGGGAAACCTACCGATACAAAAAGAGATAAGAAAGTAAAAAAAAAAAAAACCACAGAAAAAATAAGAAAAATGAGCAGCTCACACTATGCGGTAAAAATGAACCTAAATATATAAATAATCATAATCAATGTTAATGGACTAAATTCTTCAATTAAAAGATCAAGATTAGCAGAACACAAAATCTAGCTCTAATCTGTTCTCAGGATATTCCTAAAACAAAAGCCTTGGAAGAGTTTCCCTCCAATCCCCTGCTTCCATGCTACTACTATATTGTCTAGGACTGTATTTCATTTCTATCTTGATTTTCTTTTAATCTCACAAATTGGACATTATTGTTGCTTTGACTTATCCAAAAGTTAATCATTTTCTTTATTCTGTGTCTGTTCTTGCATGTTAGACCCACCCACCTTCTGGGATGCACTTCCCCCACTTCCCTCCCTGAATTCATCTCCCATTACTCCCCCCACTCAGGTCACTGCAGCCACTGCCCTCTCCGATGCCAAGTGCCTCCTCTGCTCTTGTCTGATGTATTTTCCTTCAGTGTGTGTACATTTCTATATACTACACAACTTTATTATTGTCTTGTCTCCCTCTGTTGGAACATAAGCTCCACGAGAACTAAGATTTTTGCCTGTTTTGTTCTCTGCTGTATACCCTGTGTCTAGCACATAAAAGGCACCCCACACGTATTTGTTGAATCAATTAATTAATAAATGGAATGGTATATTGGCTAAAATTCTACAGTTTCTTGATAAAATCCCTTAACCAACTAAAAACCTAGGGCAACCTCCTTTAACCTCATAAAAAGTGTACCAAAAAAGCTACAAAAACTATCATTCTTATGGTAAAACACTAAAAGCACTCCTTTTATTATCAACAACAAAAATTCTGCCCACTATCACCAATTCAAATCAACATTGCATTGAAGGACAAGGCACAATAGAGAACAAAAAAGAAAACAGAAGAAATAAAAGGATCATAATTCTAGGACATTCTAATCCCTCCTCCTCCAAGAAACCTACAATCTAGAGACAAACTTACTAAAATTTGTAAGAACTGATTAAGTTTCCAGATATAAGACGTAGAAAAGTCTATTGCACTTTTATATACCAGCAAAAAAACATAGAGGAAGTGAAATTTGAGAAAAGTAATCATTTACAACAATAAAATATAACAAATTTTGCCTTTGGCATTTAAATCCCTGATCCATGTAGAAATTATTATTTTTTTTTTAGTGTGGTGAAGTAAAGATCCAATACATTTATTTATATATGGGTAATCAATTGTCCAAATCATCTATTAATCTGCAATGTCAGCTCAAGCGTATATCAGATTTTCCTGTGTAATGGAGCAATTTCTGAGTTCTTAATTTTATTAGGTTGAACCATATGAAAACACCATTCTTATATAGCAAAAACACTCACATGTCGGCAATTTCATATGGTTCAGCTTATATTGGTGTGTATATTGATAGTACTGCATAGTCTTAATTAATATAGCTTCATAGTTTTGGTTTCTTTTTGGAAAGTATTTCAGCCTGATTCTTCCTCAGAAGTCTACTGGCTATTCTTGGGCCTCGTCTTTTATATAATTAGAATCTGTTCACAAGTTTCATTAAAGACAATTTGGCTATTTTTAATTGGGAATGCATTGAATTTACAGAGTTTTACTTTCAGTTTGAGAAGAAAAGCTAACACAATTTTTTGTATACATTATCAGTTAGTGCTGAATGAGTGGGGTTGAACTTTGTGAATTATTTCATATTTTTTAAATTCATAAATATGCAGGAGAAACTATGGACCTTGTATTGCAGCATTTAAGTCCTAAGGAAATAAAAACCTGATGGGTAGTTTTCTTCCATGATATTTCTTTTCTTAAGGTTTTGGTAGAACATGTGCAGAAAGGAGAGCAGTGGCACTGGAGAAGGGGCTTCAGGGAGTAGTGGTGGCAGCAAAGGGACAGAGAGGAGACATGAATTTGTAAAGCCCACTTCTAGATAGAGTAATGTCTCACTTATGTCGGTGGAGGACAGCATTAAAGGCGAGTCCATCTGTCCAGCTGGTGGTGAAGTTGAGGACGTTGACTTGGCTGTAGGGCCTGGTGGTCTGACGCACCCAGCTGAGCAGGATCTTCTCACTGTTCGTCTGCTGCAGGTCCGACATGACATCCTTCATGACATCTTTCACCTATGTAAGAGAAACCAGGCCTGTCCATAACTAATACTTCAGTAATTTACTTCAACTTACTTCAATGAAGTCCTTGAAAAAGCAATATTGCACTAATTAACCATTATGGATCAGGTAACTGGCATTCATTTTACTTCAGATTTTTCTGTAGACACTAGAGCAATACATTTTAACAGTGATTATTTTGGGGGACTAGAATTTGAGGTGATTTTTACCTCACTTTTATACATTACTGTGTTTTCTATATCTTAAGCAATACTTGTACTATGTTTGGTTACAATGAACATAACTTTCACAGTCATAGAAAGTCATATTTAACTCTATGTGTTTACAAAGACCTTTTCAATTAAATTTTATTTTCTACAAAAATGAGAAAGGAAAAACTTTTGAGTGACTACAAAATAAAGTATCTTTCCTGACTGCAATCACGATTATACTCTAGAACTAACATTTTATAGTATTATTCTAAATTAGTAAATATGTTTTAAGAAAGTGCTCAAAGAATGACATAGATCTATCTAAGGGACACAGGAGCCAATTTAAGGGGCTCACACTGGCCAAATCTAGGATGACTTGAACACTGAAATGAGTACTAGTAAAAGATCATAAACCTATGCAAATGTCCATGAATCTATACTGATACATAAATGAATAAATGAATGGAGAGAGAGATAAGATAGAGAAACAAGAAACAAGGGGAAGCTCTTCTTTACAAGTAGAACACCAACTAATGTAGAAGGATTAATGAAATTAGAAAATCATTATCTATCAAGCATCATAATAATAGCTGGTCCAGGCAAAAATTATGAACGGGTGCTAAAAGTTTGATAAAAACTAAATATTTATACAGTCTCAAAGTATATCCCCACCCGATACTTTTAATAACAAAGGGTAGTCAATTTACAGGGAAGAAACTTGGTAAATACCACCTTAGCCAAACAATCAAAGTTAACACTGCCAGAAAAAGAACAGATATCACCTATCCCCGATATGATGCACTAAGAAGAACTCACGTCACTTTTGTGACGTCCCTGCCAAAAGTGAACAACCTGAACTTAATCATAAGGAAAGCTCAGCCAAGCCCAAGCCCACTGAGAGAGACATTCTACAAAATAACTAGCCAGCACTCTTCAAAAATATCAATATCATGAAATACAAAGACTCAAAAACTTCCAGATTAAAGAGGACTAAAGAGACATGAAAAATAAATGTAATGCATGATCTCAGATTTTCTTTTGCTACTAAGGATATTATTGGGACAACTGACAAAATCTTAAGATCTGTAGATTACATAATTGTATTATTTCAATGTTATTTTCTTGATTTTAATAATTATATACTAAGTTTTCATATTTAATAATCAATAATTGGCATTTTAAATATCAATATTTTACATCTCATATTATTATACCAATATGCTATTGTGTTTACATAAGAGAGTTCTTGTTTTTAGGAGAATGCCATGGCGTTAGAAAATACACACTAAATATTTTAGGCAGACTGAGAGAGAGTACAAATGAAATATAGACAACTGGTAACATTTAGGAAATGTGAGTGAAAGGTACTTGGGAATTCTTTGAACTATTCCTGCAACTTTTCTAGATGTGAAATTATGTCCCTTTTTAAAATTTAACATAAGAAAGGTAGGTACTTTTTTCCCTATGCCAGGAAAATAGGGCATTTTGTCAGCCTCTTCCATTGAAAATTGTTATGAGTTGAATTATGTTCTCTAAAATTAATATGTTGAAGTCCTAACCCTCAGTACTTCAGAGAGGGGCTCTATTTGGAAATAAGGTCATTGCAGATGTCACTAGTTAGAATGAGGTCATACAGGAGTAATGTGGGCCCTAAATCCAATATGACTGATGTCCTTACAAAAAGAGGAAATTTGACAGATATGCACACAGGGAGAACACCACGTCAACACTGGAGCTATGTTATCACAGGCCAAGGAACTGCAAAAATTGCAGACAAACCACCAGAATTTGGGGGCAAGGCCTGGATCAGAGTCTCCCTCAGAGCCCTCAGGAAAAACCAACCCTGCTGATGCCTTGATCTTGGACTTCTGGCCTCCAGAACTGGGAGACAACAAATTTCTGTTGTTCAAGCCAAGCAGCTTGTGGTACTTGGTTACGGCAGCCTTAAGAAACTAAAAGACAAACAACACATTTTCCATCTCTATTAAAAAGTGATTGGAAATTTCCCCACCTGCCAGTGCAAAATGATGCTCCAAAGTAACCCCAAAGTCAGTTTGTGATTTCCATCCACAATGTCAGTTCCCCCTATATTCACTAATTCCACCTATTAAGACAAAACAAAAAACAAAAACAAAAACGCTTTTAAGACAATTTCTTCACAGAACTCCAGGTTTTTATTTTAGCACATTTGGACAGCAGTATAAGTGAGAGATAAGAGAAATTTCATTTTAGAGAATCAGGTAAGCTTAAATCTCAAAAATGTATTATTTATACTACAGATCAATACAGCCATCAGAAAAAGCACATGACTGTTTCTTCACTCACAGAAAAAGTTCAGTATTTCTCATAAGAAAAAATGTTTGCAAGAATCAGTGGATGCCAATGCATCAAGCAGTTGGTGAGTTTCACAATAAATAATGCTGATGGCAGCACAGACCCCCAGAACTCACATTACACACTTACATTGTTCTGATGTAAAACCTGCAGCACTCTGTTGACGTTATTTAAGGCATGTACCCTTGTGGAACCACGTTCCTTTGGCTGGAAAATAAAACAAAAAAGCAAGTAAAACTGATTGTCCCTCCATATGCCTGACTAACACTAGCACTGAGATACACACAGAAGTGAAGCTCAGCGTACAGGGCCCCTCAGAGGCAGGAGATCTGGCTGAGGTCTCAGGTTACCACCCTGGAAGCTGGTGTTCACAGTATGAAAATCCCTCAACTAACAACATCTTAAGATACCAGTTCCCTAACTTGCATGCACGTTGAAATCTCCTAGGCAGCTTCATAAAAACACCAATACCTCTGTCCAACCCCACCCCCAAAGAGTGTGGCTTAATGGGTCTAGGGTGTGGTCTGGACTTGGGATTTTTAAAAGATTGCCTGTAGTTCTAATGTGCAGACAAGTTTGGAAACCAGTGCTCTATGAACAAAGCTTCCTTTCTCTTAATTGGTCTGGCTGCAGAAGGATTTTAGAGAAATTGTGTCCTCTTTATTCTGCACAGATGTGAACAGAGCAAGGAGGATTCAGAGGCACCATCCCAGGCTCCAGGTAGCATTGCAAGAGCCCTCGGAAGGCAGGGAATTCCCATCTGGGGAAAGATAACCTATGCAGCTTCTTTCTACTTCACTGGCCAGAACCTTATCTGAGAGAGGAATCAGCCTGTCTAACAGTTGTCTACCCACTACCTGGAGGGCAAAGAGAGAGAATGACATCCCACACTTCTGCAAGAAAGAAATTCATCTTCAGGAGTGCATCTCTCTGTACTGTGATAGTAATTCTACCTCTAGAGTTAACATTTGTACCCATACATGCATCCTCTTTATTGGCAGTTTTATCTGCATGAGTTTGGAGTACCCCACACATAAAATAATAGAGTTGTATTTAAAAAATAAATCAACAAAATATAATCCTGAAAATCTGAATAAAAAATAGATGTCATAGTTTTTAACAACTTTTTTTTTTTTTTGAGACGGAGTCTCACTCTGTTGCCCAGGCTGGAGTGCAGTGGCGCAATCTCGGCTCACTGCAACCTCCACCTCCTGTGTTCAAGCAATTCTCCTGGCCTCAGCCTCCTGAGTACCTGGGATTACAGGCACATGCCGCCACACCCAGCTAATTTTTTGTATTTTAGTAGAGATGGGGTTTCACCATGTTGCTCAGGCTGGTCTCGAACTGCTGAGCTCAGGCAATCCGCCCACCTTGGCTTCCCAAAGTGCTAGGATTACAGGCGTGAGCTACCGCGCCCAGCCTTAACAACTGTTTTAAAAAATATTTAACTCTTAAATGTGTTTGTCTCCAGACTCTACTGTTCAAAACATTGTGTCCTCTCTATAAATCCATTCTTTTTTGTAATTCTCTCATCCTGGGCTGTCTCAGAGCAATAAACATTTAAGGTAATTTTATCTTCAATAAAAACAGAGCCCTCAGAAGAGCCAAAATGTTGTTGTATCAAAGCACTCATTAAAATGCTTTGTTAAAAATGTTCCGAATTTCAGCCTTTACATTTGAACGTAAAGTAAAATGGATACTTTCACTTTAATGGGTACCCACACTGGGTCATCAAGTATCAGCAATGACCGGAGACTCCGTTGTTTACAAAGATGACTTGCTCACCAGTGATGTTCCTGTGAGGCCTTCTAGAAGATCCAATAGCTTCCTTCCATCTTTGAGGTCTGTGAACATATCATTGATGGGTGGTTTCCCACTCTGTAAAAGAAAAACACAAATAAAATATGGGGTATGCCAACAGCAGAAACTCCATATATACCTGGGCAAATAAATGAGTGGCTTCATTTTTTGCTCAATTAAAATGTTGTGGATGATCTGCAGACTATCCAAATTTGTCTTTTGGGGGTTTTTATTTATTTATTTATTTTAATTAATTAATTTTTTTTTTAGACAGAGTCTCACTCTGTCGCCCAGGCTGGAGTGCAGTGGAGTGATCTCAGCTCACTGCAACCTCCGCCTCCAGGGTTCACGCCATTCTCCTGCCTCAGCCTCCCGAGTAGCTGGGACTACAGGCGCCCGCCACCACGCCCAGCTAATTTTTTATATTTTTAGTAGAGATGGGGTTTCACCATGTTAGCCAGGATGGTCTCGATCTCCTGACCTCATGATCCGCCCACCTCGGCCTCCCAAAGTGCTGGGATTACAGGCGTGAGCCACTGCACCCGGCCCAAATTTGTCTTTTATAGAAAGAACAAGTACAAATACAGAAATTTTTAAATCCCATAAAGAATATTTTAAGCTGAAATAAATTGCATTTTTCCTTACAAAGAAAGCAAATCAAGCTGTTGGGCATCGTGGTTCATGCCTGTAATTCCAGCACTTGGGAGGCCGAGGCAAGCTCAGAAGTTTGAGACCAGCCTGGCCAATATGGTGAAACCTCATCTCTAGTAAAAATACAAAAATTAGCCGGGCATGGCGGTAGGCACCTGCAATCCCAACTACTCGGGAGGCTGAGGCAGGAGAGTTGCTTGAACCCAGGAGGTGAAGGTTGCAGTGAGCCAAGATCGTGCCACTGCACTCCAGCCTGGGCAACATGGCAAGACTCCATCTCAAAAAACAAAAACACTACAAAGTCTGGACATAATTTCACACAAATATACAGTAAAGTGGAAGAAAGAACAATAAACGACAAAATAATAGGCCTTGAGTATGGCATATGTTCCTGAGAAAGCAATGATAACGAGACGCATTAAAAATGTAAATGAGCCTACAACATCCGGGTGCAGAGGCCAACTAAAAGTATAAGGACTGTCACTTCATCACTGCGTCTCACATCACAGTGTGACAATGTCTTCCAGCCTTTCCATTATGGGAGTACGTGATTTGGTCATCAATTTCAGGGCTGAGGTGTTCAGTCTGTATTTCTGGTTATTAATTTCTTAACACTTAAGGCACTTTGGGCTTAACAATTAAATACTTTTTGTGCTTAAAACTAGTACCAGTCCAAGATTTTAACTGACAAAGCTTATAGAATTTCTAAACTCTTTTTCCTGATAAATAGCATCAACTCCCACAGATAATCCTGCTCTAGTGTCTGATGCCAGAAAATCCCACTCCATTCACTGTAAGTTTGGTAGATCCTTGCCTGTCTGTGATACAATGAATTATTATGCAATGGGGTGATCACCGCATAGAAAATCAGGAAGCCTCGGCTTTAAGTCCAGTTTGACCTTTAACTACCTGGTGAACCTGGCTCAGCTACCTAACCTTTTAAATCAAAAGTCACTGTAAAGATCAAATAATAGAATATTATAAGAAAATGCCCTGAGAACTACAGAATACAATGTAATATTTAATAAATGTTGTATTATCTTGTATCGAATTACTGCCTTATATAATAAAATCTCCACAGAGATGAACAGTCCCACTTCCTGTCAATAATAGATATTTTTTAACCAATACTTCTTTTATCTTCTTCATTTCTCACTTTAAAAAATATATACATATCATTCATATGAAGCAAAACTTTACTCTGAGTTTGAAATGGAGGAGGGGGAAGAAGGAGCCATTCTGAAGTTTCCTAAAATTTGGCATTATTCCTTCCTTCCTTCCCTCGTGATTCCTTATCTGTTTTTATTGTGTGTGTGTGTGTGTGTGTGTGTCTGTGTCTGTGTGCGCACAAGTGTGTGTACCTGAAGAGACCTGAATTACAAAGATGAATAAAGATTCCATATTTCTGCACACTCAACAGCTTACCATTCAGTGGAAGTGATACTCTTTTTTAGAAAATAACAATTACAGTGCGATGTGTAAGGTCTGGAATAGAAAAGTGTGCCAGTGCTATAGAAGCACAGAGGAGAGAGAGACCCCAAGACCACTGCAAGCCAGGGAGTGGGCAAAGGCTTCAGACAGGAGCTGACCCTTGAACTAGACTTTATTTAGTTTTTTACAAGGCATAATTTAATTATCTTTTAAAACATTCAGATTCAGGGAGTTCATATGCAGGTTTGTTACATGGGTATGTTGTGTGACACTGAGGTTTGGGTCTCGAATGACCCCATTGCCCAAGTAGTGAACACAGTACCCAGTAGGTAGTTTTTCAACCCTTGTTCCCCTCCCTCTATCTGTTTTTAAACAGGTATTAGGTATAGCCAACTCATAATTTTTAGCATGTGCCTTTTTCATCATTCATATACTTCAGATGAGGGAAAGTGCAGTAAATTTTCACCACAGAATCAGTAAAGAATACACTGTTACTTATTCATATCTGAAACAAAGCTGCTTTTCTGTTCCCAGCTGCCTTTTTCACAGGCAGCGATAGATTCAGGGACAAAGAGATTTTCTCCATCAATCAAAATAACACAGAGATGTGCAAGATGCAGGGGCCACTTTCCAGAGGCAGAACTTCAGGAAGCCGGGTAAGGGGTAATTTCCCCTTGAGGGGAAAGTCCCCTGAGGACTTGCTACCCACTGTCAGTAAAAGCAATGGGCAGAAGTGGCCTTCGTCACCTGCCTACGTCTAATCCCCCTCCCCCACCCAACCAGAAGTACAATTCTGCAAAATAGCCAACAAATAACCGAATTCACTTTCAGGTCTTAGGCATAGCAAAAATATATTATATAGGTAAAGCGCATGGGAGAAACAAATGGGGTTATATAGGCATAGAAAGGATCTTAGAAAATACTGATGATGGCAAGGGCAGCTAATATAACACCTGGGCAGCCTGAAACCCTTCTCAAATCCACTCTCCACTTTCCAAAAAATAGTATAATATAAAACAACTGGCTGGGCACGGTGGCTCATGTCTGTAATCTCAGCACTTTGGGAGGCCGAGGCGAGAGGATCACTTGAGCAGGAATTCGAGACCAGCCTGGCCAATGTGGCAAAACCCCATCTCTACTAAAAATACAAAAATTGGCTGGGTGTGGTGGTGCACACCTGTAATCCCAGCTACTTGGGAGACTGAGGCAGGAAAATTGCTTGAACCCAGAGGAGATGGAGACTGCATGCCACTGCACTACAACCTAGGCAACACAGCAAGACTCTGTCTCAAAAAAACAAACAAACAAACAAACAACAACAACAAAAACAGCATTATATAAAAGAAATACAGGCCTGGCACGATGGCTCACGCCTGTAATCCCAGCACTTTAGGAGGCCGAGGCGGGCGGACCACGAGGTCAGGAGATCGAGACCATCCTGGCTAACACAGTGAAATCCCGTCTCTACTAAAAATACAAAAAAAAAAAAAAAATTAGCCGGGCGTGGTGGCGGGCGCCTGTAGTCCCAGCTACTCGGGAGGCTGAGGCAGGAGAATGGCATGAACCTGGGAGGCAGAGCTTGCAGTGAGCCAAGATCACGCCACTGCACTCCAGCCTGGGTGACAGAGCGAGACTCCATCTCAAAAAAAAAAAAAGAAATATAAATATTTATTCATATTATAAATAATTATGGATGTCCATTAATGACCTCATCTGTAAACAAGAAGCCTCTTATTGGCCATAGAATTTTGGGCAAGTTACTTGGCCTTTCTGCATCTATTTGTTTACCTGTTAAACTAAGATGACAGATGTTCATTAAATGGTTGATGTGACTATATCACAAGCATAACTTTAGTGTTTTCTATTGGCAGAAAAGTGTAATAAAATATCAACAATATCTGAAAGGACTGAGACAACAACTAAGCACTTCTTCATCTCAAGCAGGAAGGCAAAAGCAGGCCCTGAACATGAGAACATGGTAGTGTCAATTCACAGAGAAAGATCTCACAAGTCTCAGGTTTCATTAATATGTCATATGATGACCTGCAGGAACATATCTCATTCAAAAACAATTAACTACCTTTTGTTGTAAAGTGAAAGCAGCCATAGAGAATACATAAACAAATAAACCAATTGGAATGACTATCTTCCAATGAAACTTTATTTATAGACACTAAAATTTGAATTTCACATAATTCCCACATGTCACAAAATATTACTCTTCTTTTGATTTTTTTGCAACCACCTAAAGCTGTAAAAACCATTCTCAGCTCATAGGCCATACGGAAACAGGCAGTAGAAATATGAAATGTTCTTAGACATAATGATAGCAAGCATTTACTATGTATCATATGTTCTAAGAGACTTATAAAGATTTAGTTGTATTATTTAGATGTATTATTTATTTCCTTATAATAGTATTTCGAGAAAAACAGCATCATCTTCTTCATTCTACAGGCGAAGAAACTGATGTGGAGGTGACTTAACAAATGAGAGGCAGAACCAGGATCTGATACCACAAAATCTGGCTCTAAATCTATGTTTTCAACATCTGTGCTATACTGCTACTAAAATTATGAAGACACAGGACTAGGACAGATAGGGAAGAAAATATTTCATCACTGGACTGGGATATGTAGGGAAAAAAATATTTAATCACTGGAGTGGGTGGGATATATTTAGTGGCCCCCCAAAGAGAGCAACAAGATATATACTACATTTTGATGAATTCAAAATGCAGACTATTTTTTTTTCTAGTACACCACTTTAAAGCGTGTCTGGTGCTTTGGTATCACAAGCTGTAAACTTGGGATCCACTCTGTGAAACAGCTTGGAAATGTCAGAAGTCATCTATGAATAAAAATAAAAACTGATTCATCCTGACAGTTAACCTCTTATTTCAATTTTGAAATCTTTGCAAAGACTCATTTGCAGAGACTTCTCTGACAAAGAGAATACAGTTGAATAATGCATTTGGACAAATATTTAGTGAATACCTCCTTTGTGCTTGGCCCTGCAGAAATGCCAAGTTCAGGTCATTCTCCTTATTCTCAAGAGAGTTTCCATAGTTTTCCAATAAATACAAAATGGTATAAATGAACAGTCTTGAACTTGAAGGGTATATAAGCCTTGGGTCACATTTAACTTTAAAAAAAGTAAACAACCACATGACACAACTCTAGATGACAGATACTACAGCCCTGGCGTGGCCAGCTTTGGCTGTCCCCAAGTCTCATCTCCCTCTACCATCACCATTTTGACAAGTGAGACCAGCACTCATGCTTGCGGCTGGGACACTACTGCTGCTGGATTTTAAAATGTTAGAGCACAAAGGCGAACGGTCAGCACAATGCAAGGGGAGAAGCCAGGGGGGTCTAGCGGGGAGCAAGGGCTGCAAACAACTGCAGTGATGACACATGTGAGGGAAGCAAACCTGATGAGCCCCAGGCACATCTGGAGAATCAGCTGGCTCTGCAGGCTCAAGTGGCAGCTCCTGCTCAGTTCTAGCTAAGGGTGGCCATATGGGAATTCAGGTTCACTGTGGGCAGAACTTCTCATTTTTAAAAAGAAGGTGGAAATCTGAATTTATATGTATAACCTCCTGGTAACTGTAATTTCCTAAAACACTGTGCTAAACAAATAGATCTTGTCTACAGGCACACCAGGTCATAGGGTGACCGATGAGCAATTTCTGCATAGAGCATGACCACATATAGGTGAAATATAGGATTAATCAAAGAGGAATGCCTTAAGGAACTGGTCAACTCTGGAGAAAGGCCACACACAAATATGCACACACCCACACACACACACACACACATACACACACACACATCCACGGACTACAGAATATGATTAATTGCAAATACATCACATATCAAGAAATAATGACTCTTGCTCAGGCCAAAAACAAAGGAGTCATTCCTGATTCATTTCCTTTCACTTCTTCTCCACCTCTAACCTACCCACCAGCCCTGTCCTTCCACTTCCAAAAACACATCCCAAACATGACCACTTCTTACCATGGTCATTGTGTCAACTCTAGCCCAAACCGCCATTATCTATTGCCTGAACTCCAGCTCCAGCCAACTGATCTCTTTGCTTCTACGTAAGAGCCAGAATAATTCCAATTTTAATGTGCAGACCACATTGTGTCAATTTCCCTGATTTACCCTAATGGGCATCCATTACAGGCAAATCCAATCCAAACTCCAAATAAAAATCTTGTGAGATCTGGTCCCACCCTCTCTCTGATCTGATACTGTATTATTCTTACCCTACTTCAATACTCTCAAAGCACAATTATTAATATTTCTACCACAGATCATGTTTTTCAGCAATAGTAGTAGTAATAGAAAAAAATCTACAAAAAATTGAATAAGAAAGTAAGATTTAGAAAGTGCAGTTTGGATTTCTTAAAAGAGTGAAATTCTAATTCTTTGTATCAATAACAAATCAGATGCAGAATTGGGCCTTGGATTTTCCAGTAGAGAGATAGATCAGTGCCTACTTTCTGTCATACAGTATGCGAAAATCAAGGCTGGTGAAAGCAGCTCTTGACTTCACGGCACTCAGATTCCAAATACAGTCATGAGTCACTTAAGGACAGGGATACATTCAGAGAAATGCATCCTTAGGTGATTTCATCATTGTGCAAACATCATAGAGTATATTTACACAAACCGAGATGGAATAGCCTACAATATACCTAGGCTAGATGGTATAGCATATCACTCCTAGGCTACAAACCTATAGAGCATGCTACTGTACTGAATAATGCAGGCAACTGTAACACATGGTAAGTATTTATGTATCTAAACACAGAAAAGGTACAGTCAAAATATGATATAAAAGATTTTAGGCTGGATACAGTGGCTCATGCCTGTAATCCCAGCACTTTGGGAGGCCAAGGCGGGTGGATCACCTGAGGTTGGGAGTTGGAGACCATCCTGGCTAACGTGGTGAAACCCATCTCTCCTAAAACATAAAAATTAGCTGGTTGTGGTGGTGCACACTTGTAATCCCAGCTACGCAGGAGGCTGAGGCAGGAGAATCGCTTGAACCTGGGAGGCGGAGGTTGCAGTGAACCAAGACTGCGCCACTGCACTCCAGCCTGGGCAACAGAGAGATACGCTGTCTCAAACGAAAAAAAAAAAAAAGATATAGTACACCTGTATAGGACACTTAACATGAATGGTGCGTACAGGACTAGAAATTGCTCTGGGTGAGTGGTAAATGAATGTGAAGGCCTAGGACATTACTGTATACTACTGTTGACCTTATAAACACTGTACACTTAGGCTACACTAAATTTATTTTTAAAATATTTTTCTTTCTTCAATAATAAACCTTAGATTACTTTATAAATTTTTCAATTTCTTTAATTTTTTGACTTTTATAATAACAGCTTAAAACACAAACACATCACACATCTGTGCAAGAATATTCTGTTTCATTTTGTCCTTATTCTACAAGGCTTTTTCAATTTTTAAAACTGTATTTTTTTAGTTTTCAAACTTTTTTGTCAAAAACTAAGACACAAACATACACATTAGCCTAGGCCTACACAGGGTGAGGATCAATAATATCACTGTCTTCCACCTCCAGATCTTGTCCCACTGGAAGGTCTTCAGGGGCAATAACATACATGGAGCTGTCATCTCCTATGATACCGATGCCTTCTTCTGGGACACCTCCTGAAGGAACTGCCTGAGGCTGTTTTGTAGTTAACTTTTTTTTTTTTTAATGAGTAGGAGTACCCTCTAAAATAATGGACCAGACACAGTGGCTCACACCTGCAATCCCAGCACTTTGGGAGGCCAAGGCGGGCAGATCATGAGATCAGGAGTTCGAGACCAGCCTGCCAATATGGTGAAATCCCGTCTCTACTAAAAATACAAAAATTAGCCAGTCGTGGTGGCACATGCCTGTAATCCCAGCTACTCAGGAAGCTGAGGCAGAAGAATCGCTTGAACAGGGGAGGTAGAGGTTGCAGTGAGCCATAATTGTATCTCTGCACTTCAGCCTGGGCAACAGAGCAAGACTCCATATCAAAATAAATAAATTAATTAAATAATGATAAATTTATAATAAATACATAAGCCAGTAACACAGTTGTTGGTTATCACTACCAAGTATTATGTACTGTACATAAGTGTATGTGCTAGACATTTCTACAACTGAAAGCACAGTAGGTTTGTTTACAACAGCATCACCACAAATACCTGATGACACAGTTTGGCTGTGTCCCCACCCAACTCTCGAATTGTAGCTCCTATAATTCCCACGTGTCATGGGAGGTGCCCAGTGGGAGATAAGTGAATCATGGGGGTGGGTCTTTCCTGTGCTGTTCTCATGATAGTGAACAAGTCTCATGAGATCTTATGGTTAGTTCCCTGCACATGCTCTCTCTCTTGCCTGACGCCATGCAAGACGTGACTTTGCTCCTCCTTTGCTTCTCACCATGGCCTCCCAGCCATGTGGAACTGTGGGTCAATTAAACCTCTTTCCTTTATAAATTACCCAGTCTGGAGTATGTCTTTAGTAGCAGCATAAGAACAGACTAATACACTCGAGTAAATGGCATTGTGCTATGCCCTTATAACAGTTACAGCATCACTAAGCTATGGGAATTTTTCAGCTTCATTATCATCTTCTGGGACCACGATCATATATGTGGTCCATCAATGAGTAAAACATCCTTATGTGACACATGACTGTAGATTTAAACAAAAAACAGTACTAACATAATATGGCAAACACGTTAAGGTGAATTTGCAAATCTAGCTTGGTGCTGCCAAAATTGTACAAAGAAACAGATACAGCAGGGAGACAGAATCTGTCCTATGACTTACCTAAACCCATTATCAGCAATCAAGTTATAACTGCATATAATAAAAACAGTTGGAAGATAACAGATTTTAAATGCTTTCAAAAGTAACATGTCTGATGAGTGTCATCTTACAAACGAATAACAAATTTGAGCCCTTCGACACTGATTATTCTATTATTTATTTACACCCTATTTTCAAAACAGGATTTGAGACACTCTAGTTAATTCAATTACCAGTCCCATTGTTTACTGTGTGTGTGTGTGTGTGTGTGTGTGTGTATGGTGTGTGTATATATATATATATACACACACACACACACAAACATATATAGTGTATATACCATAATATATTCACACTCTCCTCAGATTAATTTGAGATTAATCTGATGCCCCTGATAGTTCAAAATGATGCCCAAGCATCTGATAACATTGTAAATTTTATGGTCTCTCTCTCTCCCTCCTCATCTGTTTTTTGCAAGAAGTTGGTTAATTTAAAAATTCAAAAAGAAATAATTTAATGCAACATTTCTAAACCTTTTCAAATTAGAATCTTTAACTCATGAACCCCAATTTCAACACTGACACAAATGTAGCATCTTTTACATTCTTGTAATTTTTCAATTTCTTAATAATCAATAATGCATCAGTAAGCACTATGTACATCATCTTAGTTAATGATAATATATTTATATGATAATACATTTTTAAACCATTATACAACAAAATGCTACACTTTTTCTCTTGGTAGTGGAATTAAAAGTAGTTTGAACAATTTTCTTTGGATTTATTGATTTATCTAATTTTTACAAAGTTTATGTATTACTGCATAAAACAAATAATAGATGTTTTAAAAAGAATGCTGTCTCTAGTCAAGATTAAGCAAAATGATAAAATTAGGTTCATCTCAATTATAAAATGTGTAGTTGAATCAACGAAATGAAGACTGTATGATATGTAGTATTTACTTTTATGATTCAACTCTGTGGTAAAAGAACAAACACAGCATTGCTTTCCACAGAGAAGACTGAAAGTAAAATGAGGGCACTGCAATAATGCCTAATGAGTTCCTTCCACACCTCGACAACAGAAAACCAGCAAAATGTGCTCCAGTCACTTAAACAATTAGTGACTGCAGATCTCTCAGCCGTCCTCTTTAAGAATTCTGGGTGGTCAGCATAAGTTGCTAAGAATTGAAAAAGATTCCATTTAGAAGCTTGCTTGGAAGGAGGGAGGGAGAGAAGAAGAGGAAGAGAGAAAGACAAGAGAAACAGATGGTGCTGGTCATCACAGAGTATGCCTCATTAACTACAGAGCAATGATTTACAGTGTTTACTGTAAATGTGCAGAGAACACTCCGAATCAGTAAATGTGCACCTACCTTCAGAACTATAAAATACTGTAAAACACATGCCAAACCAAGTAATATCTTTCAGGGAATCACAAGTCATACAGACATGTAACAGAATGTTTACCTCGATTTTGGTAAGTTACCGGTATAGTGATGATAAAATCTGGGATGATAAGAAACCACTGTGGGGCTCAGATACCTGGCGGCCAGAGGCAGGGGCCACTAGCATACTCCACGGACAATCAGGTGAGGGCTGGAGGCTGAATAAGCTCTGACTCCAAATTAGCAAGTAAAAAAGAAAATGGGCTAAGGACATGAATGGACAATTCTCAAAAGCAGATATACAAATGGGCAACAAGAATATGAAAAAATGCTCAACATAACTAATGATCAGGGAAATGCAAATCAAAACCACAATGCCATACCACTTCACTCCTGCATGAATGGCTGTAATCAAAAAATCAAAAACCAATAGATGTTGGCGAGGATGCAGTGAAAAGGGAACGCTGCTGGAAATGTAAACTAGTACAACCACTATGGAATACAGTGTGGAGATTCCTTAAAGAACTAAAAGTAGAACTACCATTTGATCCAGCAATCCCATTACTGGGTATCAACCCAGAGGAAAAGAAGTCATTATACAAAAAAGATGCTTGCACACTCATGTTTATAGCAGCACAATTCACAATTGCAAAAACATGGAACCAGCCCAAATGCCCATCAGAGGTAGGCATTTGGAAAAGGAGCCATTATACCAAAAAGATGCTTGCACATGCATGTTTATAGCAGCACAATTTGCAATTACAAAAATATGGAACCAGCCCAAATGCCCATCGATCAATGAGTGAATAAAGAAATTGTGGTGTGTATATACACACACACACACACACACACACATATACACACCATGGAATACTATTCAGCCATCAAAAAGGAATGAAATAATGGTATCTGCAGCAACCTGGATGAAACTGGAGACCATTATTCTAAGTGAAGTAACTCAGGAATGGGCAACCAAACATCATATGTTCTGACTCATAAGTGGGAGCTAAGCTGTGAGGATCCAAAGGTATAAGAATGATACAATGGACTTTGGGGACCTGGGCGGGGGGTGCAGGTGGGAGTGGGGGTGAGGGATAAAATTTTACAAATCGGGTACAGTGTATACTGCTCGGGTGATGGGTGCATCAAAACCTCACCAAATCACCGTTAAAGAACTTACTCATGTAACCAAACACCACCTGTTCCCCCCAAAACCTATGGAAATAAAACAACATAAATAAATAAATAAAAAGCTCTGACTCTTTATGCATACCAGGCAAGGTCTGTAGGCAAACTCAGGAAACAATATAGCTTATTCCATGTATACACAACTGGCAATACAGTAGAAATGTTTGAAGAAGGCAGTCCTTCAAAAGATAGGCTTCCATGAGACTAGGGTGAGGCACTGGTAATAGCACTGATTATGATAGTGTAAAGGTAAATAAAATCAAAGTTCCTTTGTTCAATATATATAAAGGAGAGGCAGGTACACTGCTCCTTCCCTTCCCTTAGGGTGTCTCCTTAAAACAAAATAGACCCAATTTTTTTGGTCAGGAAATAGATAAATCCAGTCTCCAGTTTTTCAAGCTAAGTTAAACACAGGAGTTGTTGAGAAGGTGGACAAGAGACTATCACAACAAGGCACATCTAGTTGTCTCTCACAGAGACAAGTGTTCATTGTTCTTTCTCCCACTTTACTGAATATTTGTGTGAAATTCTGTCCAGACTTTGACGTCTTTAGCCAACTGCCTGCATGCACTTAACCATACATGCACACTTAATTGTAAATTGTGTTTTCTCTGTATTCTATGTTGGTAACCAGAGGTACCAGTGTTGGCAGGGTTTTTTATTTCTCCAACAAATAATAACAAAAATAAATGTCAGCTTCCCCCTAAGTGTGACTCCCCTCATGGCTGGTGGATGGTTACCTGTGGCAATTGCAGCTAAAAGCTTCCCAGGCCAGATACAGCTGGAAATGGGTCCAGTGTCTCCTTGCTCTGTGTAATAGGTAGAGATTCTCTCCCCTCAACCACTACCTCTCAGCAATCCCCTCTTGATACCTTACTTCCCACCCTGGCATAAGCCCACCCTTCCCTGCACCACCAGAGCCCATCTCTGAAGCTAGAGATGGTGGGGCCACAAGAGGCTGAATGGGAAAGCACAAGGAAGGTGGTCCTGCTCACTCCTTCCTAAGTGAAGGGTGAAAAGTCATTTCCTCCCAGTTGATCAATTTCTAAACTGATCGTCAATTACAAAGACTACCAAATTTGCTTCACAATTATGAATACCAATAGGCTGAATCAAAACCCTGTATTAAGTACTCATCAAAGCATAGCATATTAAATAATACTTGACAGTTTTAATTTTAATCATTTGTTTTTAGTTTTAACCAAGGTGAAGTTCATTTTACAAACAATTTTGAGACAAAAATCAAATTTTAAAAATTCAAATTGAATGAAAACAAAACAAACAGCAACAACAACAAAGCTTGCATAAGTATAGCCAAAGTATCTGGAAGCTGGTGTTTAAGAATATGGAGTACATTTTATTGTTTTCTTTTTAGAGGTATTAGTGAATAGACACAAATTCACATTTCTTTTTAAGGAACCACTTGAATGTGTATGGCTCCTAAAACAATCAGTTGAGTTGCCATATGCATACTCATGAAATAAACCAATGGCAGACCCAATGTGTAACTCTTCAAGCTCAAGCCTCTACTATAGATGGGATTTATCTTCACACAGGAAGCCTGTCAGCCTCTTTACAGTACTAAAGAGAAGACTGAATATCTAGAGGTGGAAAAGGGTTTGGGCTCCTTTTATTGCACCTCCTGTACAAATCTCCCTCCACATCTTTTCCCACCCTTATTTTAGTGATTATTAACTTCCAACATGAAAAAAGTAGGAAAACAATCTAAAAGCAATGTCTCACTGTCTCCTAAAGGAAAACATCTTAATAGCTCTCCATATTGGAATCCATAAAAAATGCTTCATGGCTTTCCTCTCTTACGTTCTGTCAATTTGAATTTCAAGGTTGGAATTGTAACTTACATGAAAACTTGGCTCATCTGTGTCTTAGAAAAGAGAAAAGCAGGGATTTGCACAAACTCAAGTTCAGCATTTTTAATTTTGCATATTTTCTACCTAACCTTTATTTGTGAAGCCTCTTTAGAGAACCATCTCACCAAATGGATAAAAGAACTTCTGCAATTTGTATGTTTTCAGCTCTGCCAGATGAGCAGCTCTGAAAGTCAGCCAAAGAAAATGCAGGCTCAAAGTCAGAGCAAATTTCCCAAAGCAAAGCAATGAGGCCTTTGCTGCCTCCCTTGGGAGACCGGCCGGCTAACAAGCCAGAGGCTCTGAAATTTAGAAGGGGCAAAACACTCAAGTCATACACACCATACAATGGAAGAACGCGGGCTTAATGAGCCAGTGCTTTTTCCCTTTTCTGTTTACGTGTGGCACGGATCCACAGATCAGGACTATCACAGATTCGAGGTATATGATAGGGTTTTTATTTTGCATTCCTAAGTAATTATCATCTCCTATACACTTCTCAGCAATGCCTCAATATTTCTTCACGATATAAGGAAGGTAATAATGATCGATTGCGTCTTATGGCTATGGAAATGTAGACCAGGTGATCTGAAAAAATTGACTAATAATTTGCCTGAGGTCATAAATAAATGAGCAGGATATCCAGAAATAAGTGTTTAATTTCCTAATTTTTAGCTTTTTTTAGATAATCACTTTTTCTGAGCTCTTCATAACTTTTAAAAATCCAAGAGCCATAATTTACTCTACACTATGACTTCTCAGGATCCTGAATTCCAAAGCACTGTATACTCCATGATATGTTCACAAGGATTTGCAGCAAAAAGAATACATATTTTGAGTGAGCACTGTCTTGGTTACTGTATATTCATTTACAGTTACAAATTAAAAGATGGTTTTAGACTGATATTATTCTCAAGTTCTTTACCAAATCCCTTATCAAGAAAAGAATTGTTCTGGCTTTAAGTTTTAAGTCTTATTTTTCTTCACAGTGAATTTAATAGTTAGACCCTATGTGAAGAATTGTATTGGGTAAATAAAACAATAATATGCATTAAGTCCAAGTGGTTATTTAACAATCACTGCAGCACAACTCCAAGAAATCAGGTAAATAGGGAAAGTTTGGATAGCTGGATTTGTTTATTTTTGTCAATAATGCAGCAAAAGTCCTGATGCATTGTATTCATATCCAGGACTTAGCACAATTCATGCCATGTTGCACTCAGTCCTAAACTCTACTCCTGTCTCTCCAATGCAACCATCCCCAAGTGGCTTATGAACATATAGAATTAGGCATATTCAATGTATGTCTATGTCATTGTCATTCATTTATTTATTAAGCCTACAAATAGTTTACTGGATACCTACTAAATGCCAAAAGATATGCCAATAAGCAAATAGAAAGTCCCTGCACCCACAGAGTTTATGTCTAACCTAGGAAAAAAGGCTGGCAACTATTTAAATTACAGTATGGTAAGTGCTTCAAATCATAACACTTTGAGAGTATACAGCTTATCTACCCTAGTCTGGGAGCTCAGAAAAGAGATCCTTCAGGAAGCAACATTTAAGCTCAGACAAGCAGGAAGGGGTAGGAGCTGGCCAGGAAGAGATAGAGAAAGGACTGTGTGCAAAGGCCAGGGAGGGCCCACCGGGATGGTAAGCAAAGGCCGTGTGGCTGGAGCAAAATGAGGGAGCGAGAGGAAAGTAAAATAAAATTAGGAGTAAATTGGGAGGCAGCTATTTAGAGCTTTAAGAACCAAGTAAGACCAAAACATCACACTATATACCAAAAATTATACAATTTCAATTTTTAATTGTGTTTTTTAAAAAAAGGAAAATGGGCACCCAACGAAAGAGCTTACAGAAGAGAAAAAGGTATTCAGGTTTACCCTTTAGAAGCACCGTAGATACTCTCTTGAAAATGGAAGGGGAGGCCGGGCGTGGTGGCTCACGCCTGTAATCCCAGCACTTTGGGAGGTCGAGGCAGGCGGATCACTTGAGGTCAGGAGTTTGAAACCAGCCTAGCCAACATGGTGAAACCCCATCTCTACTAAAAATACAAAAATTAGCTGGGCATGGTGACATGCGCCCATAATCCCAGCTACTAGGGAGGCTGAGGCAGGAGAATCGCTGCAACCTGGGAGGCAGAGGCTGCAGGCTGCAATGAGCCAAGATTGCACCACTGCACTCCAGACTGGGCAACAGAGCTAGACTGTGTCTCAAAAAAAAAAAAAAAAAAAAAGAAAAGAAAAAAAAAGGAAAGGGAGATGGAGAAGGTGGAGCATGGAATGGAAGAACCAATTAGCAGATTATCACAGTGGTCCATGTATTCAAGGATAATTTTCCAACAAGGTAAAGTCATAACTCTCAAACCAATGTGATAATAATGTCTGTCAAAGATTTATTTAACTCATTAATTAATGAGGGACCCAGTAAGCTGTTACAACCAGTTCAGGGGAAAATTTTTAAAAACACATGTTTTACACAAGAAAAATGAAAACTGAAATAGATTTGCAATAGATGCAAAAACTGGTCTATCCAAGGAGTAATAATTAACTGCTTTACAAATAATTTTCATTTTTATGGATAAGAATCATTTGCATACCTATTTTCCACAACTTACCTAGTCGTAAAGTAGCTCAAAAGTAATTAAAGGCAGAGATAATTCAGATGCCTGAGCTAACAGGACACCCACTAGTTTTTTGCCCATTGTAAAGTCTCTCACCATTTTTTCTAATACAAATAACAATGCCTTGGAAAAGAGACGTGTCACTCTACATAGAGTAAGTGGACAATTTTGAATATATGTAGGTATTGGAATTAACAAGGCTCGATGTTTGATTGACTTTTGATGGGGAGGAGGCCACAAAGGAAATATCTAGACAAATGTCTGTTTTAAAACAAATTCCTAAATGGCAGAAGGTGCCATCAGTGTCTGTTTGGATTTCTCAGCACAGAGGTCCTGTTGCTCTGTTTAGGAACCCACACTGTAGGGAAGTAGTGGACCCACTGAAAAATTATATTGTAAAACCCACCACAATGTACCAAAGGACATGGATTTTTAAAAATGAAAAAAAAAATTCGTTCCCTTCAACGGGATTTATTTTTTTTTCTTGTTCTATCCTCGCATTACCTAGTAATACCAGGCATGAATACGGTCTTTCCCCAGCTCAGCAAGAGTTAAGCCACATGGGAGTCTATGGAAATCTCCCAGTCTAGAAATGTGTTACTCCCTCTTTCACTATCCCCAATTGGAAGCAATCCAACTTATGGTCTTAAGACAGCCAGAAGAAAGAAAAAATAATGTGGATGTTTAGTGTCACTGCCATGAGCTTCCCATCTCCAAATATTCATAATTTCTCAGATAAATTCCTTCTAGGTTTTGATTTCTTGCTAGATGAAAATAAAAGTTTTCAGAGTCATCCCACGTTTGGTAGTTTTTCTCCAAACACCATCTCCAAACACTAACACAGAAGCTGAGCTTAGAAACTACCATCTCCAAACACTAATAGAGAAGCTTTTAGCTAAAACTAACTATAACTTTTACTAAAAATGATAAAAATTACCAAGTCTTTTCCAGTATCTTGGTAAGAAATACAAATATTCCAGGGCAAACAATTTACATGGGACTTAAAGCCCCATTTAATTGCAAAATAATAGACATTATAAATGCACAAATTTAAATATCAAGTTCATTTAATAAACTAGTCTGGTACTACCAGATTTTGTTTTCTTTGAGGTCTTTTTAAAGGTGTCAATGACCCACCATAAATATTGAGAAATTTCTTTTCAATTATTCTGTCTCAGTTGTCATCTCTCTTCCTCTACAAACCCTTTCCATGTCCTATTTTACTACCTATTTCTCTCCATTTTCATAAATAGGTAAAAAGTAATTTACCCAGTTTCAAATGCTCTCTAAACTTAGGTCTACCAAGTTTAATGCTTTCAAAACAATCTTCAAAATTAGTTCTAAGGCAATTCTTCCCCAAAGACTAAATTAAGCTGCTAAAAACTGCTTCACTTGTTCTATCTAAACAATTACTGTGTTATCCTCGTGAATAACCAGGAAAAATAATCTTACTTTTATGAGCAATCATAAGACCACTGGAATAAAACACCTCATATCCAGACTCCCAGTTGCTAAAACTACATTCTCTGGAAAATGGTCACATGCAGATGAATAGTTCAAAAGTTTTTATTCATGTCAAGCCCGAGATGCACATATGTTACCTGTGTCTCTGGAATAAAACAAACTAAAATTTACCAAAACACACCTGCATGTGATTTGGAATAATCCTACACATATAACTGCCAATTATGCAAGCACCTTTATGTTCTAATTCTCTGTATTTTTAACCCTCTGTCAAAGTTGGTTTTCATGTTCCTTACATACTCACAGGCAAGATAAAATACCCCTCAAGATAAACTCGCAAAGCCCAAAAAGCAGTGAAATCAAATAACCAACTATAAATATTGGGACGTGGAGCATTTTTTAAACTATGCTGCTACTCAAAGTAACCTTAAGATATCCTCATTTTTCCTCAAGAAATACCAATGTTTGTCTCTCTGACCTTTACAACTTTTGAAAAGCAACCAAAAATTTTGAAAAGCAACTCTTCATTAAAATAGCTTTTATACTATTTAAAAGACCACAACAGTGTTTCTCTGAGAAACTTCTATTTTTCATCTTGTTGTAGAAGAGTCCTAAACAATCTGTTATCCTGAAAACTCTCCTCCTACCTCAGGCTTAGTGCACAAAATTCCAACACCAATAACTAATAGATAATCATATTAGAACAGATTTGAAAATAGCACTGACAATTCCTCTCTTCAGCATGCTCTGCCCCTATGAAAAAATATTGCTCAAAGCATTGATTATGTTCTAAATGGTTAGAAATGCTAAGAGTAGATCTTTGGGGTGGGGGAGGAATTAAGGAAGTACACAAGAAAAAACAACCCACAAGGCAGATAAATATTATTAGCCACATCCACAAGAATAAAAATCCATAAATATTTCTGACAGGGTAGAAAGACTGCCTGAATTATAACATTTGGTTTTAACCAGGCAAAATGAAATCATCATCCTCTTAACCAAGAGAACTCAAAAATTTTCCCAATGATATATTCTTTTCCAAGATGTACCCAGGATTCACAGAATCGAAAGCAGCTAACTGCTGCCTTAGATATCTGGAGAAGGCCAGGTAAAAGTCAATAGCGTCCCATAAACTATGTGCATGAGAATTTCCGTTTAAACATATTTTAGGACAGAATAAAGGAACAACAAATGTATCTGCATACTCAGAAGACTTCGGCTAGGTGACATTTCCTGGGGAAAATTCACTGCACTTCCAACCAAACTCCTTCAATCAGAATGCGGCATCTGAACCATCGAAGTTTTTGAAAGTCTCAGTTACCTTTGAAAATCGAGCATTTATCCATTTGGTAAAGGTTTTCTTCTGTACGTCATTGTGTTCATCTGTGGAATGGAAAAAGAAAGAGAAGGAAAAAGTATGAGAGTCTGTACCTTTAGTAAAGCACCAAATAAGGTTATCTCTATCCTGGAGAGTTTAAAATAGTCCTATTAGTCGAGCTCCTTGAGCACAATGAGGCGGAGCTAATGCAGAATGTGATGACTGCCCGGTACACTTATGGAGCCCAACACTGCCTACAACAGAGGGAGGCTCGGGCACCTTTCCCAAGGGACCAGGTTGTCTCACCCTAAACCCCGGAGTCCTGCCATCAGTGACCAAATCCAGGTTTATCGGATCAAATCAGAGCCCTACTTTCCAGCTAGTACCCGTAGCACTTTCTGCTACATTTTGTGCAAGTAAAATTTCAGCATAATCAAAATGTCAGCATGCTAAAAACAAAAATTAAAGTTATCCAATAAAAACTCAGGAATTCGTGACTTCCTCCCTCTTCATACTGGTCCTACACCCTCTAGAATGACAGTATAAGGTTTATGGTCAATCTTGTAACCCATTTTCCTGTAGTAAGATTGGCATGAGGTTTTAATGATCTTGATCTATACGAACTTTTACAGGTAGAAAAATCAGAAGAATTTAAAACCATTATCCGTTTTGGTTTTGATTACAAATTCATTTTCTGAGCCATAAAAAAAAGAAAAGTTACTTTAAAAGACTGACCACCCTGAACTTTTGAAATATGGGTAGAAGGATTTGGTTACATACAAGGAGTCCATGTGGCTAACAAAAAGAGAAAAGGACTTTCTCTTTAGAACCAAATAGACGGTGTCCCAATCCATTTATTGTGTGACCTTGGGTCATTATAACATCGCTTTTCCTCACAGTTCTCATCTGTAAAATGGGGATAAATAATACCTAGCTTGCAAGAGTATTGTAAAGGTTAGTGAATATAAATGAAAAGCACTTGACGAAGAGCTGGTGTTCAGCTCGTTGTTATAATGATTACAGTAAAAGTGTAAGCAAGGTAGATAAATAAATATTCATTGGACCTCTTCAAATCATACTCTTCCATCACTCCACGATTTTCTATTAAAGCCAGTAAAAGAGTCATTGTTGGCTTAAATCCTACAAAACAGCATTTTCACAATCTCTATCAGTTGTTCAGAAAGCTGTCCAAGGCGTATCTGCGACAGTGCAGAAAGGTGTGGCTCCATCCATATGTGTGTCCTGCCTCCTTTGCCACCTTTTATACTGCTGGGCTGCCTCCCACATCAGAGCAGCAAAATAATAATGGAGGAAGCCCAGGTGTGCTTGGCCCTCCAGTGTCAGTTCCACATTAAATACAGACCTGCTCACGAACCTCTGCTAGGATCATTAGAGGTTCGCCTACCACTTCACCCAGTTTGTGGTCTTCGGTCCTTACCCCCTTGTGGAAGGAGAGTTTGTAATTAAAAGGTCATTCCCAGAATAAATATAGCAGCAGCTTCAGAAAAAAAAAAATGCACTTTTACAAATCCATAAAGGTAATTGGAGACCAACTCCAAGACACTAAGGGAGCAAGTGGTATAGAAAACAAAACTGCTGTTTAAGAAACTCCTTGATATTAATGGTGCTCAGAGGTGACCTTCCTTCAAGAAAGGACAGCAAAGACAGCAACGATCCCTATTTCAAGCTTTATATTATCTGATCAAGGCCACATAAGCCATTTATTAACCAAGAGAACTTGCTTACACAGTGAATGACCCTTTACCATCTTCATATCAAAGAGGGACACAGTAGAGATTATACTCAGAATATAAGGCTACCACCACACATCAACCTGAAGGGGGGATATACCAGCCTCACCAAAATGAATTTAATATTAAAAATCAGTGTTTAGGGCATTTGGAAAATCCAATTATTTGTCCCACTACCTTAAAAAGGATTTATTTTCATAAATCTTGTTATATGCAGTTTCATTTAATCCCATGAATAAAAAAATATAGAAAGGTCATAAATAAGTATTAAATTATCTTAATTTGATAACATTCACACAACTTAAGAATTTGGGGCCATAAAAATGGAAAAAATTCTAAGAGAGAAATCTTACTACATTTTACATTTTCTTAACCTGTTTCCGGAGCATTTAACTTTCTTATTTCAAAAACATATTAAAATATCTAATACTATGTAGGTTTCTCCCCAGATATAAAGTGGGCAAAGAAATGAGCACTATTACCCTATCAATGATAATAATCTTTCCATTTTATCACATATGAAATGAAATAAAATTTATGGATTCCCATTCTTATGTTTGTAAAAATGAGTAAGATAATATTTCAACAATAGTCTTTATTTTATGGGTCAAGTCAATGTCAGAATATAAGTCTAAGTAACAGACAAATTATTTGCCTGTAAACGATACATTTTCTAACATCCAAATGTTTCAAAAATACTTCAAAGTTTATAAACACACTTCCGCATTCATTCTCTTGATACAGTTAAAAATGGGGAAAAGGGAGTACATATTTCAAAGACTAGTTTGCATTTTCCTTTTTTCAGACACACACACACATACAAACACACATACTTCTTATTTTCTACTAGACAGGAATTCAGTAAAAGAACAAGAATTTGCCTGTGGCTTTTCAATTATGAGATTGAAATGTAACAAATTTCACACACTTACTAACCTCCACATCACAACAATTAAGGTAAACAATCTTGGCCCAGATCTCGGGCACGTAAAAATAGCAGACGAGTAACAGGACAACTAAAACTCCGTCATGCTATTCTGATCAGCCATTTTGTCTGCCTAGAAATTTATACAGAACTTCCACAGTCTGAAATTATTTCAATCTTCATTATCAAGCCAATTCGTTATTTTAACTTCTCCAAAACAAAAATGTGTAAGAATGCAACAAACATACTATAACTTGATTATAAATATATATGTATAATATTAAGTGAATGAATATAATTTACACTGCATATACACCTTCTCTAAATGTATTCTTTCAAGCTCCCAAATTCAAACCCTGTTTTCCTTAGGCTTGGATTTTTGAAAACCATTTTGTTTCTAAAAGCCTTTGCTGGCTTAGCAAATCTTATCCATTAATGACCTTTCTCCATTAGAGGGATGAACACGAGACTGAATTAGAAGAAGAAAAATGTGTTAAATCCCTTAAGGCTGCTTTCCCAAATTCTTCCTCTAAATATTTTGCTCTTCTTAAAATGCTTTTGACATGCTCACACAGATCCAAAGGCCTTCACTGCTGCCTAGCCTGGGATTTTATTTCTGTGATAGGTAAAAGAAGTATAGCAAGACACATCAACAAAACTGCTTGATAAATCTTCAAGGAAACTGGTTTCAAAATGTTTTCACTTCACCAGCTCAAATGGGTATGGAAAATTGTTTTAGCAGAACGTAGCAACATATATCAATTTAAATCCTAAACTGGAAATGTGGCAGAGAAATTAGGAGTTGTTTCCCCTATGAAAGCACACAAATCACCTCTAAAACTCTACTGTTATTAGAGAGAAAGCATTATCCTCTAGTACACCATTTGAAGCAATTTAAGAGTGTCCAGTTGGCTGACACTAACATAACATGAGTTCCCTAAAGTGCAGCTTATTATTCAGGAAAGTAGCACCTAGACCTTTAGCCAAGAAAGAAATCTCTTATTGGATGATTTTAAACTTGGATTGATTTTATTAAGGCCTCTTTCACAAATGCAAAACTTAACACACCCTAGAAAGCCAATCTCTCGTTAGCAAAGATTATTATTTTGGAAGTAACAAAAGCATTTCAGATCATATTCTCATTTCTTCTTTTTGTGGGCCCTACATGTGAATCACTCCCAATATAATTCTGCCACTCACACTTAGTTATGCCATTATGCTCTCTTGTTTCATCACACCCAATCACACCCAAACACTAATTCATTTATTCAAACAATATTTATTAAAATGTCAAATGGGAATAATAAATATTATATAATAATCTGTAAAATATTATAAATATGTATGTAGACAAAGAAACAAAGCCAACAGGATACAGACTGCTCTCAAACAGAAATGTTTAACCTCCCTGAGTTTCTTTCAAAATCCGACATCCTCAGAGGACCTTAAAAAAGCCAAAATTAAAAATGTAGTTTTCAGAATTGTCAAAACTACCTAAGTGTACAAGAAGTTTAGATAATTAACATTTCAAATGATATTTTTGTGAGTTTGCCACATTTAAACCTTGACGTTATTAAAGCTAAAAACCGCATTTAAAACAGAGTTTCACTTCACTCTGTAAAAAGCTAAATACAAGTTGATTTTTTTTTTTTAACGATATGTTTTGCTTTAGTTTACAATGAACTAGTTGCTTGGGGAATGAATCCGATGGGCAATAATAACACAAGTGGACCATGTCTTCCCAAGATGCTGTGTCACCTCACTGGCTATCAAACCTGTGAAGCCATTATAGTCTCATTTCTTCTGAGAGAAGAAGCCCGCAGGGCAGTGAGCTATTCCTGGTATTTTCTTGATCCCAGGGGCTGGCTCTTCATGCTCTCACAAGCTGTTCTTTTTCTCTCCGTACTGCTGTGTATGTATCATAGCTCCTGGGTGCTTCTTCATAATAACCTGGCCTGCCATAAAGATAATGATCCTGATATCCAGACTAGCCTGAACAATTGAAGTAATATCACTGTCCTGGATAACCAATAATTGGAGGGAAAAAAATGCCAGCACATGCTTCCATGATGTTCTTCAGAGGCCCTTGAGTGTGCATTAATGCAAGAAGAATCCCAGCCAGATGCCCAGTGAAGGAAGTCCCTGGTGAGAATAAGTGAAAAGGCACAAGTGTGGCCCAACAAGCAAATCTATTGAGGACAAGGAAGCCCAAAATGTTGACAAAGCCTCCAAGGCAATGATGGTTGTTAAGAAACTCCAAAGCAAACAAAACTCCTGGAAAAACCTACAGCACAGTACCTTCCAAAGCCAGGTTCATCCAGAAATTAGAGAATATTGCAAGAGCAGGTACACCACCCCAGGGAACAGGGAAAACGTGGTGATGACACAGGCAAACCATCTACTTCCCAGTCATCTTTCCAGATTATTCCTTTCCAGAGCACGGACGCCATATTGAAATACAAATGCCAATCATCAGCAATGGTGAGCAGGAGACAGCAGGCAATGCTGCCAGTCTTTCTGCTGGTAACTCCTCTCTGCCCTAAGGCAAGGAGAGGTGGAAATGGTGGAAGTGAGAAGGGAAAGGAAAACAACTCCACTTGTCAAAGGAGAAGGCTGAGGCAGAAGTTAAATGAATTGTCCAGCATCACCCACCCAGCAAATGCTGGGCCACAGAGAGAACCAGGTCTAACTGACTGTGGAGCCTGTGTTCAATGCACTTCCATGTAGGAGGAGGTTAAAGATAATTTAATGGAAAGAAGGCTTTAAAATATATCTTGAAAAATAGATGAAGTATGGTTCATGCAAAGATGGGAAGGACATTCTAGATAGAATAAGCCTAGTCAATACCTCTTCATTTCAGCCTCAGACTCAATACCTCACAAAAAAGAACATGTTTAATATAATTTTGGTATCTACAAGAAAACACAGAGGGCTATAACATCTAATGATGTCAAAATAAGGCTAAGACAATCCAAATTTCAGAAGTTTTCAATCCTGAAAACTGTATATGCCCATAAAAGAGAAGAAGGGTATGGAGTTAAAATATATGCTTTAAAAATGTTCTTGTAATAAAATCGAGATTATCTGAAAAAAATCAACCTCCTTAAGCAAGCACATGCTCTGCTAGCATGACCCAATGACCCATCCACTCTGCCCAAAACTGAAGGCAATTATGGAGCCTTGGGATCCTAGAATGTCTACAGCCACATCTGGACTGCATTTAGAATTTATATCATGTTCAGCATCAGAGGAACATTTTTTTTTTTTAAGACCGAGTTTCGCTCTTATTGCCCAGGCTGGAGTGCAATGGTGTGATCTTGGCTCACTGCAACCTCTGCCTCCCAGGTTGAAGCGGTTCTCCTCCCTCAGCCTCCCAAGTAGCTAGGATTATAGGCGTGTGCCACCAAGCCTGGCTAATTTTTGTATTTTTAGTAGAGACGGGGTTTCACCATCTTGGCCAGGCTTGTCTCGAACTCCTGACCTCGTGATCCACCCACCTTGGCCTCTCAAAGTGCTGGGATTACAGGCATGAGCCACTGTGCCTGGCCAGAGGAACATATTTGTTCCAGCTGAGAACCAACCTAACCCACCAAAACTATCCACCTTACTATCACGGAGCCACAGAGGACAGGAGTAGGAAGTATATAAGAGGGTGCCTGATGGGATTCCATCCTGTGACCAGAGAGGTCAAGGACTTACCCCTCATGACATGCAGTTGGATGGTGCCATAAATCAAATCAAGATTCATGTCTCCTTACCTAGCTCTCCTCCTACTCACAAGACTGCCTCTTTTTAAAAACCTGTTTTATGGAGGTATAAAATTCACCTACCATACAATTCATCCACACACCTACCATAGAACTCACCTACCATACAATTTACCCATTTAAATTCACCTACTATATAATTCACCCAATTAAAGTTTACAATTCAATCGTTTTTGGCATATTAATAGATTTTTTTTAATTGTGGTAAAATACATAACAATATTTGTGATTTCAGTCATTTTTAATCATACAATTCAGTGGCATTAGTTACACCTACAGTGTTATACAACCATAACCACTATCTAGTCCCAAAACTTTTTCATCACACTGAACATAAACTCTGCTGTCATTAAGCAATAAGTCCCCATACCCACCAGCCCCTGGTAATAGCTAATCTACTGTCCGTTTCTATGCATTTGCCTATTTAAGATATGTCATGTAAGTGGAATCATACAATATTTGTCCTTTTGGGTCTGGCTTATTTCATTTAGCATAATGTTTTCAAGGTTTCATCCATGTTGTAGCTTGTATCAGAACTTCATTCTTTTATAAGGGTAAAAAATATTCCATTGTGTGTATAAACTACAGTTTCTTTATCCATTTGTCTAAAGATGAGCACTAGTTGACCACTTTTTGGCTATTATGAACAATGTCACAATGAACACTGGTGTACAAGTATCTGAGTTCCCGATTTCAGTTCCTTTGGGTGTAGATGCAGGAGTGAAATTGCTAGGTTAATATACAGTAATTCTATGTTTAGATTTTTGAGGAACCAGCAAACTATTTCCCATAGTGGCTGCATCATTTTACATTTTCACCATAATGCATGAGAGTTCCAATTTCTCCATATCCTCACTAATATTTGTTATTTTCCTTTAAAAAAAAATGTATAGCCATCCTAGTGTAAGACTGACTTTGAAAACACAGAAACTACCTAACAAAACCCCCAAACTTAGACACCTCCTGAAGACTTTCTGAATGAGTTCAAGTTTAACAGCATGCTAACCTGAAGTAGCTGGGATTCAGAAATTGCTTTTTCACATTTAATCCACACCATATTGCCAAATGATTGATTTACTCTCAAAATAGTTATTTTCAGAATTAAATGTAACCATTAATTCCATCTTCTAATTTTAGTTTATTTACTTCTTAACCTGTTTTCTTTTCAACAAACTCAAGTTTTTTTAAACAATGCATAGGAATATAGGAGATAATGTTTTTCTACTTGCACTTTCTAGAGCGCCTAAACTTAAACTGAAAGAATGTTTCTAAGATTTACAGGCATCCGACACTGTTTGAAACTTTTCCTCTAGAAATATATTTTGCAAAAAAAAAAAAAAAAACTCAACATCTTTTCTATCAACCATATTATATGTGTTGCAAATGCAGAAAAACAGACTCCATTTATGGTGGTAGAGATTGTAAACCTTACATACAAACACTTCACTTTGAATTTTTGTCCTGGAGTGAAGATTTTCATTAAAATTGCTAGAAATGTCATAGAACAAGGAGGGATTATTTAGGACACAGTGAATTAGTCATAATGATATGAGTCACTGTCATGAAAAGCCAACAGAAAACATTTTTTTATTGATTGACAAAAGGCTAAACTTATGAAAGAAAATTTCTATGAAATTAAATTCCTCACTTTATTATTATCAAATAAACATCTATTATGTTCTACAAACTGTCTGCAGAAATCTCAAGAAAAAGCAACTATCTCATTAACATATAATTCTAGATGTATAAGCCTGGAAAAAAAATGGGGAAAACATTTTGAATGTAAAAACCATTCCAGTGATTTGACCTTCAGACTTTCTCATGACAAGTTCTACTTGTCAAAATAGCAGCAAAAATATGTCCTTGTAAGACTGCTAATTATTCAAATAATATTTTTCTCATTTTAATTACTTTATTTATTTCATTATTTTCCTCATGTTATGAGGGATCTTCCTCATAAATTCACAGAATAAAACAATATAATATCCAAGAAACAGCAATTTTCAAACAAAAAAATGTATAAAATATCCAAAGAAAAAGAGAACAATACTTTACCCAAATATCTCTCCAGATGCATATATAGGAATGCTATGTTTTCTATAGAGCTAATGTAGGAAACCTTTCACTGTATGCCATGTGTCTTCTAAGATCATGACACCGGGTCATCATAGTCAAATAAAAAATATATTGTGAGAGAATACATATTGATATGGTTTGTCTGTGTCCTCACACAAATCTCATTTTGAATTATAGCTCCCATAATTCCCATGGGTTATGGGAGGAACCTGGTAGAAGATAAATCATGGAGGTGGTTTACCCCATACTGTTCTTGTGGTAATGAATAAGTCTCATGAGAGCTGATGGTTTTATAAGGGGTTTCCCCTTTCCTTTGGCTCTCATTCTCTCTTGCCTGCTGCCATGAGAGACGTCCCTTTGCCACGTGGAACTATGAGTCCGTTATACCTCTTTTTCTTTATAAATTACCTAGTCTCCAGCATATCTTTATTAGCAGCATAAGAAGAGACTAATACACATATATATGATAATTCAATAATAAATTGAAAAGCATCAAGCAGTGAATGAGCATTGTAAAAGCCAATGATGACATTCTGAAGCCAACAACTCCAATGGATAAAATGGACCAGCAATAATACAGTTTGGCTTGCTTCCTTACTTCAATTTAGTCCTCTGTGTGTCAGAGCCCATACAACACCTTGAGATAGACAAGACCCAGACAACAGCAATCCACATACATTAAAGCACTGATCTTTCCATTCTTCCAGACAGGAGAGTCTCCAGGTAGCATCAAAGAACAATGCAACCTCAAAAAACTCATGGGTCAAAGAGAAAGTGTCTCCAGCTCGTCAGGATTAGACATCTACAAAAGTTTACATAACCTTAAGGGCCACAATGAACATCCCCTCAAACAAATCTGCCAAGCCTTCTTTACTACACCCCATCATTTGGAGAATCATTGGAGCAAAGACTCTCCCCCTCTTTCTCTCCTCTTCATTTTCAGAACCCACCTCCTTCTGCCTGTTCTACTTTTTTGAACATTCAAACCTCCCTCCATCCTGCGTCACTGAATATTCTTTTTCAACACCCTTCTCTGACGTGTCATGACACAGGCCGCCATCTTGGAATTCTCAGCCACAGAGCCATCCTGCTGTACCAGTCTGGGCTCCCTGCACCATGTGGGTCAGTCTCTTTCTACCATTTCTCTTCTGGATTGCCTTTTTCCATCGTTTCTTTTTCTTCTTAAAACTTCCTATATAATGTCTATAATATACTTTAGAAGATTTCAACATACAAAGTGTAATATGCTTGTGTTAAACTAGTTTAAGTCAGAAGCTTCAAACACTCTTGTTCGTGAACTTCCAAAAGAATTTCCATGCACATTTTAAAGTTGAGAACTGATATTTATCATAAATTTAAATCGTGAAAAAGATGTAATTTCTAGCATGTTGTTAAGGAGTTGCAAATTTAGCTCATTCAATTAATAGAAAATGCCTCCTCTGGTACCTAATTGGCAAAACTAGTCCTCACTGTCAAACTAATCAGCCAAAGCAGATTTATTTTCTGACAAGAGGAGTCTGACTTGGTTTTGGATTTAAAAACCATGTTATAGGTGTTTCCAAATAACATCTCACTTCAGAATTCTCTTTCTAAGATAAAGGGATGGATGGATGGATGAATGGATGGATGGATGGATGGATGGATGGATGGATGGATGGATGGATGGATGGCAGCTGGACACAAAGCCTTGCCCTGGATGCAACAAGCACCAGCCATTTAAAAAATTTGTAAAGGATTGCTCTTTGTTTTGCATTCTTAAATTGTCCTCTTGTTTGATGCCTCACAGCAATGCAGCACAGTAAAATTTGAGGAGAGTGAGAGGTATGACTTTCTTTTATAAAGTCAAAAAGAAGAATTATGAAAGGAACGCTAAGAAAAGAGACAGGTAGGATGCTATCTTGGGTGCCTTAACCACTACAAAAGCTTGCCAAGATCACAGTAAGACACACATATTCCAGTGTGCAAACCACACTAGAGGCTCACATTTGTGCCAAGCCAGTATAACATTCCAGAGAAGTTCAGCTATAATTTAATTAGAAAGGCTAAACTCCAGAGTGGACCACTACAAAGGCATCAGTTATCTTTATTTTCATCAACACCAGAGACTTTGTTAATTAATGAATATGAGAAATGTGCTTTTACTGTGGCTTAATAATTGGCATAATTAGAATGTTAGAAATATTCTCCCACTGTTGATTTTAGTGTTATTCAATGAACAAGGATTGGTCAAAATATTTTCTAGACATGCCCCACCACTGATTAAACAGAATATAAAAATCTAGTGAGTCTGGGAGGCTAGATCCCTAAAGGTCCTATGTTCAGCCATTGGCTGGAGGATTTTAGTTATCTGCTGCTGATTATAAGACTAAATCCTCTCCCTAAGACAACATTGTCTAATAAAAAGATAATGAAAGTCACATACATAATTTTAAAAGCCGCATTAAAAAACAGGTAAAATGAATTTTTAGTAATATGTACTATTTAACCCAATATCTCCAAAACATTATCATTTCAACATATACTCAATATTTTAAAACATCTTGAAAATATATTTTATAGTCTTTTTTTCTTACTAAGCCTTTGAAATCCTGTGTGTATATTACATTTACAGCATTATTTCAATTCAGACTAGCTACAGTTCAGGAACTCAGCACCCAATGCACCAAATTATACAGCTCTAGAATATTGCTGCATTTACTTTAACTATGACCTTCAAAAGGACACAGAGCTGTCGGGCACAGTGGCTCACGCCTGTAATCCCAGCACTTTGGGAGGCCAAGGAGGGCAGATCACGAGGTCAGGAGATCGAGACCATCATGGCTAACAGGTGAAACCCTGTATTTTTGTAAAAATACAAAAATTAGATGGGTGTGGTGGTGCATGCCTATAGTCCCAGCTACTGGGGAGGCTGAGGCAGAAGAATGGTGTGAACCCCGGAGGCGGAGCTTGCAGTGAGCCGAGATTGCACCACTGCACTCTAGCCTGGGCGGCAGAGAGAGACTCTGTCTCAAAAAAAACAAAAATGACACAGAGCTGCAGCTTACCAACTTTACATGCAAGCTGTATGAACTGTTTTTCGAGCCTACTTGCGAATAATGATTGCTTAATGAATGCCAATGTTAATGGCAGGATTTGGTCTGAAACTTGCCTTTATTATGACCCTTATAGGAAGACAGTGGCATTGGGAGCCAACATTACCAATCAAAAAAAAGCCATAATTTATAATTACGCATAATCAAATTGGCTTAGGTCATTTTGTAAGACTTCTAGTCAAATAAACTGACATAATAAGAACTGGGGACCAGGCAAGTGGCTCACATCTGTAATCTCAGCCCTTTGGGTGGCCTCCAGGAAGGATCTCTTGAGCTCAGGAGTTCAAGATCAGCCTGGGTAACACAGGGAGACTCTGTCCCTACAAAAAATCAAAAAAGTGTCTGGGTATGGTGGTACATGCCTGTAGTACCACTTATTCAAGAGGCTGAGGTGGAAGGATTGCTTGAGCCCAGGAGTTTGAGGCTGCAGGGAATTGTGAATGCACCACTGCATTCCAGCCTAGGTGACTGAGCAAGACCTTGTGTCAAAAAAAAAAAAGAACTGGGAATATTTCCAACTCTTTGTTATGTTTGTTGTCTTAAGTTTTATATTTTCTAGTCTAAATGACTAATTGTTATTAAATATAACAATTAGTTGTACAACTATTTTGTGAAAAACACTGTACAAAGAAATAGTAACATTTACAGAGCATCTACTATGTGTCAGTCCCAAAAGAGATCCAGATGTTGCTTTCAAGGAAGCTGTGGTCCAGTGGCCTGGGATGAGTGGGGAAGGGACTAAGACAACAGAAAATTATAACTAATATATCAGGTACAGATACATTCATAAATTCATAGACAAATATGTCTTGATGGGGATGAAAAGGGGATCACGGAAAGATTTGAGGAACAGGTTGCATTTGAGCTAGATCTTGAATTACTATGTTTGGGGCACGTAAAAATGGTTAGAAAGGCATTTGTAGAAGAGAGAACAGCTGCAGCAAAGTCCTAAAAACATGATGCAGACACAACTGTGAAGAGGTTCCTTTGGCTGGGTGGTTTTTTATCAGAGCTGTGATGCCACTGAATTTTGGAACAGGCTGCAGTTAAATTGCAGAGGACTTTGAAGGCCACAGCAAGGGGTTAAATGAGCAGGTAATGTGGGCCATTGGCTTTTCCTGAGCAAGAGCGTGACATGATCAGAAGGGTGCTTTAGTGAGATTAACATGAAAAATGGACTCATGGGGAGGGAGGCCGGAAGAAAGTAAGCCAGTTTGAGGCTTATTAGAATTGCCCGTGCTAGACATCAGCGAGCCTGAAAGAGTAGAGAAGTAATGAGACAAGAAAGGGGGAGGTGGATGCAATAGGTATTGAATTGAAGAGAGAAGGTTGCTGCTGGGACGTGGTGAGGTGGATGGGCATGATCATTATTATACAGCGTGTCTCCCGTTCTATTCTCAATTAGACTCTATGGCTCTTAAGAGACAAAATTTTATTTATTAGTGCTTTTGCCTCACATATTTACCATTTATTTGTGATGAGAAGACTTAAAATCTGCTCTCTATGCTATTTTCAAGTATACACCAAATTGTTATTAACTATAATCATCACCTTGTACAATAGATCTCTTGAAGTTATTCCTCCTGTCAAACTATATTCTTTGACCAATATTACTCCAAGTCCCCCACCCCCATGCTGGGACTGGACTACTGAATTATTATAAGAGTAATGAAGGAAAGGCTGGGCACAGTGGCTCACACCTGTAATCCCAGCACTTTGGGAGGCCAGGATGGGCGGATCATCTGAGGTCAGGAGTTCAAGACCAGCCTGGCCAACATGGTAAAACCCTGTCTCTAGCAAAAATACAAAAATTAGCTGTGCGTGGTGGCAGACGCCTGCAATCCCAGCTACTCAGGAGGCTGAGGCGGGAGAATCGCTTGAACCTGGGAGACAGAGGTTGCAGTGAGCCGAGATCATGCCACTGCACTCCAGCCTGGGCAACACAGCCAGACCCCGTCTCAGGGGGGGAAAAAAAAAAGAGTAATGAAGGAGAAAGGGATGTGCAAAAACTTCTCAGACTTTGGTAACTTAAAGAATGGTGTCTCTCCATTAAAAAATAAAAAGTGCAAAAAAAATTTTTTTAAGCACAGAAAGAAATTGATTAAGGAAAGAAATTCCTCTTTGCACCAAAAAATGTGAGAGATTAGCAGCATACTCAGGTAAACTTATCAAGCAAGCCCAGTGTGAAAGGAAAATAAACGGTGGGGCCCCAAAAATCACTAAGCTAAAGGGAAAAGTCAAGCTGGGAACTGCTTAGGGCAAACCCGCCTCCCGTTTTATTCAGTCACCCCTCTGCTCGCTGAGATAAATGCATATCTGATTGCCTCCTTCGGAGAGGCTAATCAGATATTCAAAAGAATGCAACCATTTGTCTCTTATTAACCTATGACCTGGAAGCCCCGTCCCCACTTCGAGTTGTCCTGCCTTTCCAGACCAAGCCAATGTTCATCTTACATATGTTGATTGATGTCTCATGTCTCCCTAAAATGTATAAAACCAAACTGTGCTCTGACCACCTTGGGAACATATCATCAGGACCTCCTGAGGCTGTGTCACAGGCACACACTCTCAATCTTAGCAAAATAAACTTTCTAAATTAACTGAGACCTCTGTCAGATATTCAGGGTTCATACCAGGAAAATGCAACATTAGAGCAGACAGGAGAGGGTCTTCACACTGAGGAGCTCAAACTCTCACAGGCATCTAGCTTTCCCAGTGTCCATCCATGAGAACTGTTTAAAAGTATATTTTCATGCATTAAAAAGGATACTAGCGGGTAGGGCAAGGTGGCTCATGCATGTAATCCCAGCACTTTGGGAGGCCCAAGTGGGTGGACTGCTTGAGCCACCAGCCTGGGCAACATGGCAAAACCTCATCTCTACAAAATGATACAAAACTTAGCCAGGTGTGGTAGCACATGGCATGGTAGCACACGCCATGGTCCCAGCTACTCAGGTGGCTGAGGTGGGAAGATCACCTGAATCTGGGGAGGTGGAGGCTGCAGTGAGCCGTGATCACACCACTGCACTCCAGTTTGGGTGAGTGAGATCCTGTCTCAAATAAATAAATAAATAAATAAATAAATAAATAAATAATATTAGCCAGGCAGAATGGTCCACACCTGTAGTCCCAGCTACTCTGGAGGCTAGGGTGGGACAATCGCTTGAACCCAGGAGTTTGAGGCTGGAGTAAGCTATGGTTGTGCCACTGTACTCCAGTGGGACAACAAAGTAAGACCCTGTCTCTAAAAAAAAACACAAAAGGTTAAAAAAATGATATTCAGATACATATAATGAATATGGAAAGACATGGAAGGATTTTCACAATGTATTAAGGGGTAATAAAGCAGGTCATTAAAGAATATACACAGTGCTTCACTTATACGTAAGTGTACGTATGACAGAAAGCCAAGAGCCAAAATGTTAGCACTGTATCTGTACGTTAGAAGATTCTGAGTGACTCTTATATTCTATTATTTGTTAGCCATATTTTCTAAGTTTGTAATAAATACGTAATACCTTCTGTAACATTTTTTCTTTAATGCACCCATCTTGTAAAAGGTGTATTTTTCTCCACTTTAATGAGGACAAGTAGGAAAGGAAGAGAATTTGTCAGCTAAAAAATAAACTGGGCTGACACAAGGTCTGTCTGTCTGCGGGTCTGTCTGCTTTGGTGGAGGATGGTAAGAATAAGGGAGACTTCTGCATATCTGTATTTACATGCAGACAGGAAGGATCTAGGAGGAAGGGAGATACTGTAGATGCCAACACTCAACCAAAAACAAAAAAAGCTCCCAAATCCCAAAGGATGGGAGACAGAAATGTATCGGGAGCTAAGCTCCTAAACTGGATAAAGCCCACATATTTCTAAAAATGAAACTTGCCGGTTTACATTGCTTTATTTGCACCTGCCTGTCCAGTGGGTTTTCCACTTGGAAGTGAAAAAGAGTGCTAATTCTCTCTTCAGAGAGAGAAATAATGTAAAATAACTGTGTTTATGGAGGTCACTTTCTTCCCAGCTTCCAGTCTATTCACTACAGAAACACCGTGGAAGAGGGAGCTGAATCATTTAAAATACACCTTTTGCAATAAATTCAAGTATTTTAAGGCAAAATCATTAGTTATTAAAATGGGAAGAAGGCCGGGCATGGTGGCTCATGCCTGTAATCTCAGCACTTTGGGAGGCCAAGGCAGGAGGATCACTTAAGGTCAGGAGTTCAAGAAGTGGACAATATGGTGAAACACCATCTCTACTAAAAATACAAAAATTAGCCAGGCATGGTGGCACGTACCTGTAATTTCCACTACTCAGGAGGCTGAGACATGAGAATCTCTTGAACCCAGGAGGCGGAGGTTGCAGTGAGCCAAGATCGCGCCGCTGCACTCCAGCCTGGGCGACAAAGTGAATGAGCCTCCATCTCAAAAAAATAAATAAATAAAATGGGAAGAAAAAAATAGAAGATTAAGGCAAAACAAAATGCTACCAACAGATCACACCAAACTACCTAGACTTTCTCCAAAGCCTAATATTTTACTCACTTTCAGAAAAAGAATAGAAACCTGGGAAAAAATGAGGAGTATCTGTCCTTTGCTTATGTACTTTGATGAAATGCCAACTACTACTATAAATAGCATTTTTTTAAATAAGAAAAAATGGAGTATTTCGGAAGTGGTTTTTGGTTTTTTTTTATATTGAGTTTTTTTGTCTTTATTTGGAGTGTTTTAATATCCGCCATGACAAGTTAAAAACAAAATGTAAGATCATAAAAAAAGGAAGAAGAGTCATTTTAATAATTAAATTTGTAAAATTGCACATCCGCTAAAATGCAATCCTTTGTCCAAGATAAATATTTATAATAAGCAGGAAAAACAAGTCAGAAAGGAACACTGCATTCCCCTTCAAAACTCAGGGCTAAAAATTTCTTCCCATGGACATCACAGTTTAAAAATTGGCCCATAAATCACAGAACTCTTTGCCTAAAAGGGTATAAATTGGAAGTTAATAAATAAAATAATTGAAAGGTTTAGTCTCATATTGAAAAATACATATTCTTATTTTTAATTTTCATAACTATGAAAAGGTTCACATAAACTACTAATACTTTTTGTTTGTTTGTTTGAGACAGAGTCTCACTCTGTCACCTAGGCTTGAGTGCAGTAGTATGATCACGGCTCACTGCAGCCTTCAACTTCCGAGGCTCAAGCGATTCTCCCACCTCTGCCTCCCAGGTACCTGGAGGGCATGTGCCAACATGCCTGGCTAATTTTTGTATTTTTCTGTAGACACGAGGTTTCGCCATGTTGCCCTGGCTGGTCTCGAACTCCGGGGCTCAAGCAGTCCGCCCGCCTACACCACACAAAGTGCTGGGATAACAAGCATGAACCACTGCTCCCAGCCTTACTAATGAATTTTTTAATTAAAAAGCTCATTCAGGTAGGGTTGGATGAGGGGGACAGATAAAATCCATTGCCTGAGCAAAAGCGCAAGAAACTTCATTTACAGGCCACTCACTTTCCTAATGACTTCCTTCATGTTAACTTCTTGTCACTGTTAAAAATTAGGGTTCTGGGCCGGGGACAGTGGCTCATGCCTATAATCCCAGCACTTTGGGAGGCTGAGGCAGGTGGATCATCTGAAGTCAAAAGTTCAAGACCAGCCTGGTCAACATGATGAAACCTTGTCTCTACTAAAAATACAAAAATTAGCCAGGTGTGGTGGTGTGCGCTTGTAATCCCAGCTACTCAGGAGGTTGAGGCAGGAGAATCACTTGAACTTAAGAGGCGGAGGTTGCACTGAGCCGAGATCGCACCTCTGCACTCAAGCCTGAGCGAAAGAGCAAGACTCCGTCTCAAAAGAAAAAAAAAAAAAAATAGAGTTCTGGCAGCACTGTCTTTATTTAATAGTCTACTGTGAGTCTGACATTTATTGCCTTTAAAAGAAAAAATTTGTAAATTCAGTCTATACTATCACTGGGTACTGCAAACTTGCTAATTATATCTTCAGTGTAAAATAGCTCTTCCTCTCATTTGTCTTGAACATTTGCTGGTCTTTTAAGCATCAAAAAGTCCAGATAACTGTTGAAGGTTAGAAGAATAAGTTTATGTTTGCTTTTCTGAAATAAGCTTATAGCTGGTAAGTATGTCTTCTTTCCACTTTCATATTTTTAGACTGAAGAGTACTGATCACCTTAGTCAGTTTTACAAAAGTAACAAATGCATTCGCTCCGGGACTTGGGTTTCCTTCACTAGAATACCTTCCACTGTTAAATCATTTAAGTAGGAGACCAGAATCTCAGATCGTAATCCATGTGCACAGTCAACATGGCTTTGCAAAGGAAGGATAACGTTCTCTGTTTTCTTTCTTGTCTCCTTCCTAAGGACACCCCAAAACCTAGCGTTTTTCTGCATTACAGCACTGCAATGGCATCTTTTAGGAACACTAGAATTACTCCCTTCCCTGAACCTATGGACTGTATAAAATATAACTCGTGATCACAAATTTTTCTTGGAGGTTAGCAAGAGTCAATCAAACAAAAAGATTTGGATGAATGATCTTTCCTCAAAACTTTAGCATTTCCCTCAAGATAAGAGTAAGCTAACTACCATTACCTAGGGTTATGTCAAGGAGAAACGGGATCTGAGTAAAAAGCATATGCAATGATATAACCAGAAGAACTGAAAGCAGAATCTCAGAGATATTTGTACATCCATGTTAATAGGAACGCTATTCACAAAAGCTAAAAGATGGAAGCAACCCAAGTGTCCACAAACAGATCAATTAATTAGCAAAATGTGATATTTACATAAAATGGAATAATAACCAGCCTTGAAGAGAAAGGAAATTCAGACACATGCTACAACATGGATGAACATGGAGGACAGTGTGCTAAGTGACACAGCCAGTCACATAAAGAAAACTATGGTATGATTCCACTTACATGAGGTACCTAGAATAGTGAAAGTAAAATGGTGGTTGCCAAGGGCTAGGAGGAGAGAGGAGTGAGGAGTTGTTGTTTAATGTGGCGGTCCCTAACCTTTTTGGCACCAAAAAGGAACCGGTTTTGTGAAAGACAATTTTTCCATGGGCGGGGCAGTGGGGGAGGCAGTGGGGGAGTGGTTTCGGGATGAAACTGTTTCACCACAGATCATCAGGCATTAGTTAGATTCTAATAAGGAGTGTACGACCTACATCCCTCACATGCACAGTCCACAATAGGGTTCGTGCTCCTATGAGAATCGAATGCCGCTGCTGATCTGACAGGAGGCAGAGCTCAGGAGGTAATGCTCGATTACCCACCGCTCACCCCCTGCTGTGTGACTCGCCTCCTAACAGGCAACAGACTAGTAGCGACCTGTGGCCCAGGGCTTGGGGACCCCTGGTTTAATGGGTATATATTTTCAGTTTTTCAACAAGAAAAGAATTCAGGAGAACGATGGTAGTGATGGTTATATAACAAGATGTATGTACATTTCAAATGGCTAAAATAATAAATTTTATGTTATCTGTATTTTACTGAAATAAAACATAGAGGAAAAAAACCAGATGCAATAAACATTTTTCATGTTCATTTCACAGTGTTATTTTTTTGAAGAAAAGAGATTAATTTATCTCAACTTTTCATATATTCCCCTATAAGACAAATGGAGAAATTGTACTTGGTTCCAATTTTGTCTTTTAATACTCATATTTTCAACCTATCATTCTTTCAGAATATAATTACAGGTAACCTGAATTCTAGAATCAGAATTGTTTTCACTCTGATCATGCCTCTAGACATGGTATTTAAGATAGAACTATTTGCTGGAACTCACTATGGTACACACTGCTAGTTGCCTACTCAAGCATCCTTTCTCTCCTTCTCACTTACAAGATTAATCCCATTTTTTTTCCCTGTAGCAAGGTGGCCAGTTAAAATATTCACCTTGCCTTGCAACTAGAGATAACCATTTGGCTCAATTCCGCCCAGAGGAGGGGAGAAGTATATTGGGTGGAAGACCCAGGAGAACTATTATTTCCCTGATAAAAATTAACAGACTTGGCTGGCATGAACATCTTGCCCTGGGCCTTTCTGCTTCCTCCAGGAAGACAGAAGCTGCCAGTTTCCCTGAGCAGGTAACCAGCCCTGGGTTGCCTACCTACAGACTGAAGCTTACTTGAGAAAAATGAGTTCTTTCTTAGTTAATCTATCGTAAAAGGGTTTCTCTTACTTGCAGCTAAACTCAATCCTAACTCAATCTGGTGCCACTGAGATAAGTCTGAGGAAAGAAATTCAGGAGTATTTCTGGTCTACAAGTTGGAGTTGGATGTTCCAGCTCTGCAAAAGGAATGTTAAACAGGCTGAAATGGCCTGGGCGCAATGACTCATGTCTGTAATCCCAACACTTTGGGAGGCTAAGGCGAGTGGATCACTTGAGCCCAGGAGTTCGAGACCAGCCTGGGCAAAATGGTAAAACCCTGTCTCTACAAAAAGTACAAAAATTAGCTGGGTGTGGTGGCATATGCCTGTGGTCCCAGCTACTTGGGAGGGTGGGGTGGGAGGATCACTTGAACCCAAGAGTTCGAGGCTGCAGTGAGCCATGATCACACCACTGCACTTTAGCCTGGGAGACAGAGTGAGAACCTGTCTCATAAAAGAAAATAAGATAAAATAAGCCTGACATGTCCTATAACTCTGATCTAAAACGTAACACTGAAGGACAGATGACTGGAATAGGGAGATGCATGCACTAAGGATGCTATCAGAGTCTCCATCCATGAATCATGTTTTCTCATAATAAAACTGACATTTATTAAACACTTTCTATGTGCCAGACACAGGGCTAACCACTTTGTACACATTATCTCATTTGATCCCAACAGCCTTATAAGGTAAAACTCAGCTCCCAACTACTTTATGGAACTGCTTTTTGACTGCTTTATGTCTTGAACAATTTATTTTTCTCCTATATACAAAGAGGGTAAAAATGCAACCCTTAAACAATTGTTATGAGAATTAAAGATAATAATCAGCATGCGGCAAGAGCCACATGGTTAATTCTCAATAAAACCCAACTGTCATCATGGTCAAAAAGAATAGTACACTGCACAAATTCCCAGATGTAGCAAAACATCAGAATCCCCTGGAGAATTGTCTTAGAATACAGACTCCTTGACTCCAGCCAGGCTTAAGGAATCAGGTGCAGCCCAGTCATCCAGAGATGTGAAGGAATCTGGTCTAAGGGAATACCAACTGCTGTATTCTCAAGATAATAAAAACTTTACCACTTTGTTATACCAAATCATCACAAAGCTTACCTAAGCCACATATAGGAATCTACCCTGTGCCTGCACAACTGCCTTCACAGAACCTACATTTTAAAGTATGCCCTCTGTTTTCCCAAGACTTAAGAACATCGCTGTAGCTTATGTGAAATTGCTTTAAATAAAAGAAGACATACATGTGGCCAAGCATATTAAAAAAAGCTCAACATCACTATCATTAGAGAAATGCCAACCAAAAACACAATGATATAAATTTCACACCAGTCAGAATGGCTATTATTAAAAAGGCAAAAAATAAAAGATGCTAGCGAGGTTGAAGAAAAAAAGGAACACTTACACACTGTTGGTGGGAGTGTAAATTAGTTCAAACACTGTGGAAGACAACATAGCAATTCCTCAAAGACCTAAAGACAGAAATACTATTTGACCCAGCAATCCCATTACTGAGTATGTATTAGTCTGCTTTCACACTGCTGATAAACATATACCCAAGACTGGGCAATTTACCAAAGAAAGAGATTTAATGGACTTACAGTTCCATGTGGCTGGGGAAGCCTCACAATCATGGTGGAAGGCAAGGAGGAGCAAGTCACATCTTACATGGATGGCAGCAGGCAAAGAGAGAGCTTGTGCAGGGAAACGCCTCTTTATAAAACCATCAGTTCTCGTGAGACTTATTCACTATCACAAGAACAGCATGGGAAAGACTTGCCTCCATGATTCAATTACTCCCACTGGGTCCCTCCCATAATACCTGGGAATTCAAGATGAGATTTGGGTGGAGACACAGACAAGCCATATCAGGGTATACACCCAAAGGAATATAAATTGCTCTGTTACAAAGACATTGCAGCACAGTAACAAAGACTTTGAATCAACCTAAATGCCCATTAGTGGTGGATTGGATAAAGAAAATGTGGCATATACACACTATGGAATACTATGCAGCCATAAAATGGAATGAGATCATGTTGTTTGCAGGGACATGGATGGAGCTGGAGGCCATTATCCTTAGCAAATTAACATATGAACAGAAAGCCAAATACCACATTTCTCACTTTTAAGTGGGAGCTAAATGATGACAACACATGGATATATAGCAGGGAACAATATACACTGGGGTCTATTGGAGGGTGGAGGTTGGGGGGAGGGAAACGATCACGAAAAATAACTAATGGATACTAGGCTTAATACCTGGATGATGAAATAATCCGTAAACAAACCCCCATCCTGTGACACACATTTACCCATGAAACAAACCTACACATGTACCCCTTAACTTAAAATAAAAGTTTAAAAAAGAAATCCTTCAAATGAAAAAAAAAAAGAAAGAAAAAAAGAAAGGAATTGCTTTAGAGGGCAAGGTGCCTCACTTCTGCTCACTTTGGGGACCAGGCATAAAGCAGGGTGTCTTGACAAAGATCAGAGATCTTCTTTGTATCATTTTGTCTTGGCTGCCAGGAAGTTCAGAGCCAAATGTTGTACTTTAATTTTTCTCAATCAAGTTTTTTTTTCTTTTTTGAGGCTTCAGGCTGGAGTGCAATGGCACAATCATAGCTCACTGTAGCTTTGACTTGTGCTCAAGTAATCCTCCCACCTCAGCCTCCTGAGTGGTTCAGACTACAGGCATGAGCCACCAAGCCCAGCTAATATTTTAAAAAAATTATTTTAGAGATGGAGTCTTGCTGTGTTGCCCAGGCTGATCTCAAACTCCTGACCTCAAGCAATCCTCCCACCTCAGCCTCTCAAGGTGCTGGGATTGCAGGCATGAGCCAATATGCCGGGCCCCTCAATTGAGTTTCAACTATCATTATTTTCATTATTTTTCTTTATTTTGGGAGGGGATATTTTCAAACATTTTATTACAAAAGCAATTTCCATTTATTAAGGAAGATTTAGACAAACCAAAGGAAGGAAACTTAAACCACCCATTTTCCCTCTGCCCAGAGATAACCAGTATTAACAGGTTTATATACATCCTCCTAGACATTTTTGTCTGCTTCTTCCTTACATAGTATTTTATATTTATTTAAAATACTTTATAAATCTGTTTTTATTACAGTGCACATTCTTTAATAATGTCATTTTAAAGCTTCATAGGTATTTTATTGTCTGGACATTAAATAATTTTTTACCAATATCTCCCACTCTGTTATTATGCATTCCTAATGCTGATTTCCATTCTTAATTTTATAAGCATTTCAATAACAATCATACTTAGAATTAAAATTTTGAACATATACATGACATTTATTTATTCATTCTTCATTCATTCAGAGAATAAATTCTTAAAAATGAAAGTCAAATACACATTCCAGTAGGCTTCCACAGAATAGAACACTCCCTGCCTGAAAAATTCTTCTCATCTTCCCAGATTCCATTTCTTCCTTCTCCTCCACTCCTCCACAGCAGATCCTCTACAAGTTAGATTTCCTAAAGGATCAGTCTTGGACCTCTTCACACTTTTACTAAGTGGTCACGCATCTACTCACTCCACAGCATCTATGTGCAAAACTCCTAATGTCTTATTTCCAGCCCAAACCTTTCTTCTCAATTACAAAATCATGTGTGGTGGTTTTAAAATACATTCAGAAATTATTTGGTGGCTGTCTATTCAAGCGGGGGGCTTAATTCCCCACCCACTGAGTATGGGCTGAAATTGGTGACTCACTTCTACTGAATAGAATATGGCAGAAGTGATGAGTCGGACTTTTGAGACTAAAAGTATTACAGCTTCCCCTTTGCATTCTTTCATATCTCTCTCACTCTAAGAGAAGCTCACAGCCATGTCATGAAGACACTCAAGCACCCTAGAGAGAGGCCCACGTGGCGAGAAACTGTGGCCTTCGACCGAGAACCAGCAGGGAACTGAGACCTTCTGCCAAAAGCCATGTACATAAGCCATCTTGGAATCAGATCCTCTAGCCTCGGTCAAGCTTCAGATGATGGCAACCCTGGCCAGCATCTTGAGTGCAATCTCATGACAGACCCTGGACTGGAATCACCTAGCTAAACCACTTCAAAATTCCTGGCCAAGGAAACTGCATGAGATAATAAATATTTGCTGTTTTAAAGCACCAATGTTGGGGTGACTTGTTACAGAGCAATAGATAACTAATATAGATTTGCTGCTAAGTTTCATAATAATTTATTATGCAGCAAGAGATAAACACATACTATGTAACTAACCACCTACTTGACATCTCCACTGAGATAGCTCACAGACTCATTTCAACCTTAACCCATCAAAAAACTGAACTGTTGCTTCTCTCTCAAATCTATTCTGCCTCTAGTCTTTCCCAACTACGGAAAAGCACTTTCATCCATTCACTGGTTCATGCCAGGATGCTGAAATGAATCCTTTCTTCTAATACCACAATCTAACCCTTCTATCAACTTTTGTTGGTTCTAATTCCTAAATACAGCTTGAGTCCATCCACATCTCTTCAGTTCCACTGTCAACCCCCAGTCCAAGCTACTGTCATCTCTTGCCTCCAGCCTAAAGCCAATAACCTTCTGACACTGTCTCCTAAATTCTCTTCTTATTCCTTCTAATCAACTCTCTGAACTTTGGAACAACTAAATTAACATGGTTCATATGGCCCTGAATCATCTGACCACTCCTATGCCAAGCCTTGTCTTGAAACACTCACCCTCCTCAGTTTGCTCCAGCACACTGACCTTCATGTTACTCTGACAAACCCAGCCCTTTCCTGCCTCGGGATATTGGTTCATGCTGCTATGCCTGCCTCCTTCACCCTGTTCTCAACCTGCTTAATTCAGACGAACATTGCAGGTTTAATTTTAAACATCTTCTCTTCAGAGCGGACTTCTGGACGACTCCTCCAGTCTCTAAAGGCAACCTGTTTTCCTTCCTTGTGCACCCAGTACTTATCTTAATTTGATTACATATTGTTTTGGGTAAGCCCAAGAGGGCAAGAAATGTCAACTTTGATCTCTATAGTATATGCAGTTCCCAATACAGGTTGTCAATTTAAAAAATATTGAATAAGCTTATTGAAAGTGTTTATTAAGTCTAAACACAGAGTGTATTCAATCTAGACCTCTAACTTGTCCATTTCAATAGAAAGAACATGAATCTGTTATATGTATTGCCTTTTCAACCTTCTGCAAAATTGCAAGACCATCATCATCAAGATGATCCACTGACTGTTTTTCTCATCTTTTCCACATGTTTAAGGATCCTTTAATTCTTGGCAAAGATGAAAATTGACTTCTAGAAACATTAAAAAGAAGAAAAGCTGGTATAATAATAGTCCCTAAAGGCAGACCACAAAAGCAATTCTAAAGTTCATTAGAAAATTAAATTGGCCCCTGATTGATCTAAATGGGAACATTTTATCCTAGTGTTTAGAGTTGTGATGAGTAATCATTTCCCTTTCCAAAGCTCAGTGTTTTATAAAAACAGGGTTGATCATGACTCTCTGCAAGATTATTTTTTGGTGAAGAAATCAGAGACTCACTGATGGAAGAACCAAGAAATACTAATAAGGGCATGCTGAAGCACAGTGTAAATCAACAGTGCCCTGTCTTTTAACTTCCAGTAAATAAGACACTGACTTGTAACCAGAGACAGAGTAGGTCTGGGAGCCAGCCGACTCTGTGGGTTCTGAGGCAGAGCCACACACAGGGAGCAGCCCCACAACAGTGTTCACAGTGACTATACAGAAAAGAAACTGTTAATAATGGCACTCCGGTAGAAAAAATAGCAACAATCCATGCCTCACTCTTGCCACCTGCATTCATACACACAGACTCTCAGGCTAGCATCAAGGCTCTGAATTCAAAGATCATATAGGGTTATGTATATATATGTAATCACTCCAAACTTTGATAAGTGGCACAGATTTTAACTTAATAGATTTATGGGAAATACATGGTGATAGAATATGATAAACTCAACTCTGTAACAAGCACATGTATATTCCTGCACACAGAAAGAAATGTTACTTGGTACAGGCCGGGCACCGTGGCTCACACCTGTAATCCCAGCACTTTGGGAGGCTGAGGCAGGTAGATCACTTGAGGCCAGGAGGTCAAGACCAGCCTGGCCAACATGATGAAACCCTTTCTCTATTGAAATACAAAAATTAGCCAGGTGTGGTGGTGCACGCTTGTAATCTCAGCTACTGGGGAGGCTGAGGCACGAGAATCACTTGAACCCAGAAGGTAGAGGTTGCAGTGAGCTGAGATCACACCATTGCACTCCAGCCTGGGTGACAGAGCAAGACTCTGTCCCAAAAACAAACAAACAAAAAAAGAAGTGACTTGGTATAGAAAAATATATAATAGTCACAGATTTGAAATACTATAGCTTTGGTCACTCCATTTATTGTGACAAACAGGGTGCATATTTTTCTAATCTGTAGCTTAGAGCACAGTATTATTAATATACTGTACTATTAACTATGATTTATTCATTTCTATAAACCAAGTAATAAAGTTAGACCATTTTTACTTTGGTAAATTCTTCAGTTCTCTAGAAGTGAAATCTTGGTAAAAGAATTTAACCACAGGCACCTATAGCAATTTTATACATAATTCTTTAATTTGCAAATTACCAGTAGTAACTAAACTATTTTTTTCTAAGCAATAAAAAGTAAAGAACATAATGCTATAAATGTTTAGGATACAATAATCATTCTAGAAAAATTCTAGAAATCTTTCTAGAAAAATTCAAATCAGAATGACACTGGGAAGCCTGGGCATGGTAGCTCACACCTATAATCCCAGCACTTTGGGAGGCCGAGGAGGGCGGATTGCTTGAGTCCAGGAGTTCAAGATCAGCCTGGGCAACATAGTGAGGCCTCTGTCTCTACAAAAAACTTTTTTTTTTTTTTTGAGACAGAGTGTCGCTCTGTCACCAGGCTGGAGTGCAGTGGCATGATCTCAGTTCACTGCAACTCACGCCTCCCGAGTTCAAGCGATTCTCCTGCCTCAGCCTCCTGAGTAGCTGGGATTACAGGCACACGCCACCACACCCAGCTAATTGTTATATTTTTAGTAGACACCAGGTTTCACCATGTTGGCCAGGCTGGTATCGAACTCCTGACCTCGTGATCTACCCACCTCGGCCTCCCAAAGTGCTGGGATTACAGGCGTGAGCCACCCGGCCCGACCCAAAAAACTTTTTTAAAAAAAGCAACTGGGAATAGTGGTGCACACCTGTAGTCCCAGCTACTTGGGAGGATGAGGTGGGAGGACTGCCTGAGTCCCAGAGTTCAAGACTGCAGGAAGCTGTGATCGTGCCACTGCATTCAGCCTGGGTGACAGAGTGAAACCCTGTCTCAAAAAAAAGAAAAGAAAAATGACAGTGGGTATCAAAAACCCATTACAACTTATAAAAAGGCTGCTACCCTATGTGGGGGGGAAGAAAACATGCCATAAAACGCCAGGCAGAACGTGCTGATTGACAGAGACCAGGCTGTGCACTAGACCAGAAGAGTGGTGCCCTGAAACAAAGAGGTGGAGCTAGGAAGCAAGGACTCCAACATCTAAGGCCTTCAATGGATACATTCCAACCAGCAAGCAACACCCAGGCAGCCGCCTGGCAGGGCAAGGCTAGATTCCACCAACGAGGTGAATCCCCCCTAAAAATGAATCAGAGTCACAGCTTTATCAAAGGTCAAAGTGAAACACTGAGAATCAGTAGCCAGGCAAAAGCAAACAAGGGTACAGATATATAGCAATCAAAGACAACTCAAACAAGGCCACATATCCAAACAAAGAGCCTGGAAAACAAAAAGTCACCATGACACCCAACCACCAGGAAACTGTGAAATGATCTTGAGATTGATAATAATGAAATTAGAACACCCTTTAAGCTTAAGGAAAGAAATCCAGAAATGAAAGGTATAGCCCAGATCACTTTTAGATCTGTGCTAGATAGCTAATATGCATTTCCCTAGCCATAATCAAATATTCTAACATGCTTATAAACGCTGAGTTATTAATGTTTACACACTTGCATAAATATCATTTAGCTCTTATAACCATAAAATGCCCCCCAGTCTCATCTGTTAATAGTTCTAAAAGGATCACAGCGCTTAGGATATGGCTGACGCATTTAGCAAACATAATCCAAATGTTAATTCTAGATAACCAACTAAAGAATAGAGTCCATCTGGGACATGTATTTTACGTAAAATATTTTCAAAAAACATTCAAGTGTGATGATGTTAGCATAGTGCACTACTAGAAGTCTCATACTATGTAGCTACTGCCCAAAAGAAGTAAAAACTCCTTGTTTAACTATGGGAGAAAACATGGAAAGGATAGTTCATCAAGATTGAGGAATTCCAGTATTTTTTAAGTATTTCCTTTTAGTTACTTTTTTTTTTTTTTTTTTTGAGATGGAGTCTCACTCTGTCACCCAGGCTGGAGTGCAGAGGCACAATCTCAGCTCACTGCAACCTCCGCCTCCCAGGTTCAAGTGATTCTCCTGCCTCAGTCACCCAAGTACCTGGGATTACAGGCGCAGGCCACCACACCCAGTTAATTTTTGTATTTTTAAGGCTGGGCGCGGTAGCTCACAACTGTAATCCCAGCACTTTGGGAGGCAGGGGCGGGCGGATCCCGAGGTCAGGAGATTAAGACCAGCCTGACCAACATGGTGAAACCTCATCTCTACTAAAAATACAAAAATTAGCTGGGTGTGGTGGCACGTGCCTGCAGTCCCAGCTACTCTGGGAGCTGAGGCAAGAGAATCACTTGAGCCCGGGAGGCGGAGGTTGCAATGAGCCGAGATCACGCCACTGCACTCCAGCCTGGTGACAGAGTGAGACTCCACCTAAAAAAAAAAAAAATTGTGTTTTTAGTAGAGATGGGGTTTCACCATATTGGCCAGGCTGGTCTCAAACTCCTGACCTCAAGTTATCCGCCCGCCTTGGCCTCCCAAAGTGCTGGGATTACAGGAGTGAGCCACCGTGCAGGGCATCTTTTAGTTACATTTTAACATCCATGCTCTTTTTGTCTCTACTGATTCATTTTTTAATTTTGTTTTGTTATACATATTTTTGTAAGCCACTGAACCTAGAACAAAGTATGGAGTTATTAACAAATGTAAAATATTTACCTTATTCCATGAACTAAACTAAAATTATTCAACCAAAAATAAAAAACTAAAAGAAGATTGAGGCATTCCATAGCGTTATCCTATTCTTGGTTTCTTTGCTTTCTCTCCATCACGGGAGTTGAGAGTACCCAATTATATAAATCAAATAAAAGAAAGTAAGAAGAAAAATCTATAAATGCCATATGATCTGCCAAGAAGTACTTTATTTTATAGTAAGAAGATGCAGTGTAAGCAAATGGATAACACATACACCCACGGTAATTCAAAGGCTCTCCATCCCAGGACCTGTTCACAAATGCAGACCTTTGAAAATATTCTGCAAGCACTGAGTGGCTAATATTTGTGTAATTTGAAGAAAAGAACTAGAAATAATATAACCATAAGAAATTGATATTTTTAGGAATAATGAATGGAATTGATTTTGTAGTAACAATGAAAATGATGACAGCAGCAGCAGAAATAACTAACACATAGAGTGCTTACCATGTTAGGGGCATGGTACCACCTCCCAGCTATTATCCTATTTTTTGTCATTGGGATGTAATTCACACGCCATAAAATCCATCCGGATTTAACGGATGTACGATTCTGTGGTTTTTTACTGTATGCACAAAGTTGTGCGACAATCATCCAATCTTAATTCCAGACACTTTCATCACCCCAGAAAGAAACCCATTAGCAGTTACTCCCCCATTCCCTGCCAGCCTCTGAGCCCTAATAAACCACTAGCCTACTTTCTCTCTTTATGGATTTTCCAGTGGCAGACATTTCATATAAATGGAATCATAGGATATGTCACCTTTTGTGCCAGACGTCTTTCACTTAGCATTATGTTTTCAAGGCCCATGCATGTTGCAGCTTGTATCAGTCCTGTATTTCCTGTATGGCTGAATAATACTCCATTATATGAAATGACCATATTTTGTTGATCCATTCGTCGGCTGATGGGCATTTTGGTTGTTTCCACTTTTTGCCTATTATGAATAATGCTGTTATGAATATCCATGTACAAGTTTTTGTGTGAACATATGTTTTCAGTTTTCTTGGGCAGAAAACTTAGAGAGAAATTACTGAGTTATATGATAACTCAAAGCTTAACTTTTTGTAGAACTGCCAAAATATTTTCCAAAACTGCTACACTATTTTACATTTTCACAAGCAATATAAGGTTCTAATTTTCCCACATCCTTGCCAACACGTATTTCTTTCCATTTTTATTACAGCCATACCAGTGGGCACAAAGTAGAAAAATTTCGCTATGGTTTTGATTTGCATTTCCCTAAGTGACTAATGATGTTGACCATCTTTTCATGGGCAATAATTATTAGCCAATTGTTTATCTTTTCTGGAGAAATATCTATTCCTTTGCTCATTTTTCAATTGGGTTGTCTTTAGATTGTTGAGTTATAAGAATTCTTGGCTGGACATGATGACTCACGCCTATAATCTCAGCACTTTAAGAGGCTAAGGTGAGCATATCACCTGAGGTCCAGAGTTCAAGACCAGCCGGGCCAACATGCTGAAACACGTCTCTACAAAAATAGAAAAATTAGCCAAAATTAGCCAGGCATGGTGGTGCATGCCTGTAATACCAGCTACTTGGGAGGTTGAGGGAGGAGAATCGCTTGAACCTGGGAGGCAGAGGTTGCAGTGAGCCGAGATCACACCACTGCACTCCAGTCTGGGTGACAAAGCAAGACTCCATCTCAAAAAAAAATAAAATAAAAAATAAAAAGACTTCTTTATCTATTGCGGATACTAGACCTTTAGCAGATACCTAATTTGCAAATATTTTCTCCCATCCTCTGGACTGTCTTTCACTTGCATTTTCTTATTTTAATCCTCACAACAGCCATGAGGTATTATTGTGGCTATTACTATCCCATTTAACAGATGGGAAAACAGAGCTGACATACACAACTAATAAGAACTGGAGCAGAGTCCAACCCAGGCAATCTGCCCCCAGGCATCCATAGGACATACTGTCAGAAGCGCTGAGCTCATTAGATGCTATAGCAATAGGCACTAAATAAAATAAGCAGGATTAAAAATGATTAACTTAAAAAGAAACAGTATTACTGGTGCTTTGCACAGAAATACCAGAAGGCCCTTCTTAACTTGAGGAGGAAGAGTGGCTTAAAATAAAGCACATTCAGCCTTAAAAGGAAGGCAAAACTTGGCCTTTAAACACTGTCTATTCTTTTCAATTGTAGGAAACTTTCTTTCTTATTGAGTTATGTAGTTGAAACAAAGGAATTCAGAATACAAATGGTATTTTTGCTGAGATGCAAACATTGTAAATAGTCACAGTGGGTGTTTTGTTAGGTGGAGGCCTATTTCTTAGTCAACAACCCCCTCTTTTCAGAATGTATGCCTCCCCAGCCCTACGCACCCACTCTCTGAGATGATGAACAAAGCAGAGTTTTAGCAACTAAGATATCACTCCAATCTGTCACTCCTTCTTCTACCCTTATTTCTGCCACCAGCTATGTGAAATATAAAAGTTAATCTGCGGCCAGGCGCAGTGGCTCATGCCTGTAATCCCAGCGCTTTGGGAGGCCGAGGACGGCAGATCACCTGAGGTCAGGAGTTCAAGACCAGCCTCAACATGGAGAAACCCCATCTCTACTAAAAATACAAAATTAGCCAGGTGTGGTGGTGCGTGCCTGTAATCCCAGCTACTCGGGAGGCTGAGGCAGGAGAATTGCTTGAACCTGGGAGGCGGAGGTTGCGGTGAGCCGAGATTGCGCCATTGCACTCCAGCCTGGGCAACAAAAGTGAAACTCCGTCTCAAAAACATAAGCACATAAATAAAATAAATAAAAGTTAATCTGCAAAGAACTTTAGTATGTCTGTAGAATTAGGTTCATGGTAAATAATGGGTAATAGGGGGATTTAAAAAAGCATGCTAGATCTACTAATACTGGCATGGAAAGGAATTCAGTATATTTAGCTAAGGAAAAACAAAACCTGTAAACAATATAAATAATATCATCTTGTATTTATTAAAAATAGGCAATATAAATTCATATTTTAATACTCACGTTAGTAAATGCACATAAACAAAAAAAGTCAGTGGGGAGAGAAGACCCTGTTGAACTTGACTCTATTCTGGCACAGTGAAGAGACATGAGAGGTGTAGAATAAGTGGGAGGCCCCCTTGCAGGGATGAGTCAGGGGACTGGGGACAGTGCTAGGTGGGGAGTTTGACTGGGGCAGTACACCTGTCAAACAGTAATGCAGGTGTCTTAAGGTGAGCTCAGGGAGGACAGAAACATCCCATGGAGCAAAAGGGCAAAAGCTCACTTGATCTTGATTTTCAGTACGAATACAGGCCCCATGTAAGTCTGAAATCCAGGAGGACAGTCAAATCATAAAGCTCCAAAATGATCTCCTTTGACTCCATGTCTCAAATCCAGGTAATGCTGATGCAAGAGGTGGGTTCCCATGGTCTTGGGCAGCTCCGACCCTGTGGTTTTGCAGGGTACAGACCCTCCTGGCTGCTTTCACGGGCTGGCATTGTCTGTGGCTTTTCCAGGTGCACGATGTTAGCTGTCAGTGGATCTACCATTCTGGGGTCTGAAGGATGATGGCCCTCTTCTCACAGCTCCATTAGGCAGTTCCCCAGTGGGAATTCTGTGCGGGGGCTCCCACCTCACGTGTCCCTTCCACGCTGCCCTAGCAGAGGTTCTCCATTAGGGCTCTGCCCCTGCAACACACCTCTGCCTGGACATCCAGGCATTTCCATACATCCTCTGAAATCTAAGTGGAGGTTCCCAAACCTCAATTCTTGACTTCTGTGCACCTACAGGTCCAACACCATGCATAAGCCTCCCAGGGTTGGGGCTTGCACCCTTTGAATCAACGGCCTGAGCTATACGTTGGCCCCTTGTAGCCATGGCTGGGACACAGGGCACCAAGTCCCAGGACTGCACAAAGCAGCAGGGCCCTGGGCCTGGCCCACTAAACCATTTTTCCCTCCTAGACCTCCTGGCTTGGGATGGGAGGGGCTGCCGTGAAGACCTCTGACATGCCCTGGAGCCATTTTCCCCACTGTCTTGGGGATTAACATCTTCCTGGGAAGCCCTCCAAGTTCTTCAAAGCTCTGCCTGTTACCCAGTTCCAAAGTCACTTCCACATTGTCAGGTATCTTAATTAGCAGTACCCAACTCTACCAGTACAAATTTCTTGCATTAGTCCATTTTCATACTGCTGTGAAGAAATACCCAAGACTGGGTAATTTATAAAGAAAAAGAGGTTTAATGGACTCACAGTTCCACATGGCTGGGGAGGCCTTGCAATCATGGCAGAAGGTGAAGGAGGAGCAAAGGCATGTCTTACATGGTGGCAGGCAAGAGACCATGTGCAGGGGAACTGCCCTTTATAAAACCATTAGATCTCATGAGACTTCAATATCACAAGAATAGCACGGGAAAAACCTGCCCTCATAATTCAATTACCTCCCACCAGTTTCCTCCCACAACATGTGGGAATTATGGGAGATACAATTCAAGATGAGATTTGTGTGGGGACACAACCAAACCATATCAGAGGGTTCCCCACTAGGAGTAGGGTGTAATTTGTTTTCTGTTTTGTTTTCTTTTTTGAGACAGAGTCTCGCTCTGTTGCCAGGCTGGAGTGCAGTGGCACGATCTCAGCTCACTGCAACCTCAACCTCCTAGGTTCAAGCGATTCTCCTGCCTCAACCTCCCAGTAGCTGGGACTAGAGGCACGCGCCACCACAATCAGCTAATTTTTGTATTTTTAGTAAAGACGGGGTTTTACCATGTTGGCCAGGATGGTCTCGATCTCTTGACCTCGTGATCTGCCCACTTCAGCCTCCCAAAGTGCTGGGATTACAGGCGTGAGCCACCATGCCCAGCCCAGGTTATAATTTTTATGTGATGAAATGTTTGACTTTTAAAATACAACTACACAATATTGTATTTAAAAAGAAAGAAAACAACTAAGGGTAGCACTCTGTCAGATGGTCCTACAAACCTTATAAGCCATAGAAATGAATAAACAAATATGAATCAAATGAACGAATGAACAGATCTGGGTAAGTTTTAGTGACTTCCCAAACTTCTTAAAGTTATGAGAAAAATAATGCATGTCCTCACATATGTGAATTTGAGCACAGGCAGAAATTCTATAACCTCCACATCAATTTTTTTAAAGACCTCTCAATCCAAAAAAAGTTTATGAACACTATCTTAAGAGAATTCTATAAGGTCTCATTTTATGAAAGGTCAAAACAGAAATTAAAAGATAAACCAAACAAAACAAAATCCCTTAAGTCAAACACAGTAAAAAGACACCTTGTAAGTCACAAAAGAACTGTCATTAGAGCTCTCTTAGATCCTGATCTGTAATTTCCAAACTGCCACTAAACGGACCCTAACTTTAAAAAACCTTATCATTTATTCATTTATAATCCTTTTTTTTTCTTTTTTTGCGACGGAGTTGCCCAGGCTGGAGTGCAAGGGCATGATTTGGGCTCACTGCAACCTCCTCCTCCCAGGTTCAAGCGACTCTCCTGCCTCAGCCTCCTGAGTAGCTGGGACTACAGGCGTGCACCACCACACCCAGCTAATTTTTGCATTTTTAAAGTAGAGATGGGGTTTCATCATGTTGGTCAGGCTGATCTAAAACTCCTGATCTCAGGCAATCCGCCTACCTCGGCCTCCCAAAGCGCTGGGATTACAGGCCTGAGCCACCCAGCCATGCTTATCATGTATATTCCTTAATGGTAAAGATATGTTTCTCTTTCCTAAGGCCAAAAAACAAGGAATCTAGCATATAAAAATTAACAAATTAACATATACCAACAAATTATTTGGTCCATTGCTTTAAAAAATATTTATTGAGCATCTACTCTGTGCCAGGCTTGTTATTCCTTTAATGTCATATGTCTTTCTGGTTTGATATATGTCACAGTTTTCTTTCTTCTACACACTGCAGGATAAAGAAACTGAAGAAATCAATGGCCAGAATTAGGTTATCTTCAATGTCCACGTGATAATTCCCAACAGCCTGTACCATGGCTTTTTATGAGACATGAAAAGGGAAAGTAGCAACAAGCTTATAGGATCTCAGTCTTTAGATCACTAAGGATTATCAGTAATAAAGGAAACAGAAGGCGGGGTGCAGTGGCTCACGGCTGTAATCCCAGCACTTCAGAAGGCCAAGGCAGGCAGATCATGAGGTCAGGAGTTTGATACCGGCCTGGCCAACATGGTGAAACCCCATCTATACTAAAAATACAAAAATCAGCCAGGCGTGGTGGCGGGTGCCTGTAATCCCAGCTACTCGGAAGGCTGAGGCATGAGAATCACTTGAAACCAGAAGGCAGAGGTTGGAGTGAGCCGAGATCGCACTACTGCACTCCAGCCTGGGCAAAAGAGTGAAACTCCATCTCAAAAAAAGAGAAAGAAACAGAAACTTCTCCTTATATAGGGGTTTTCACATTCTTAGGATTTTTCTCCTGGTCGCCCCCCGCCAACAAATTACTGTCTTCTTGAAGATAAGTTTCTCCTTGAAAAATAAAAGCTCGTAGAATTTATCCATATAAGAACAAAAGATTCAGGCAGTATCTAACCTAGTAGGTTACTATGCTATCGCTACATCTGTTTGTCTACGACAAAATCCTTACTTAATTCTAACAGTAACTTGAGTTTTTCAGAAATGCATAATAGAAAATATTCTATTATTCTAAATAATTTAGATATTATTCAACAACTGCATTGTCTATATAATAATTGAGGAAAGTCATAAAAAGAACATATCTATAAAATAAAATTCACATCTGTAAAATTAACCAAAAAAAGTGACAGTTCTGAGTAATGTATGTATAATTATCTTGGAAGGATTTTTTTTTTTTTTTAACAAATCCTTGACTCATGTATAATCCTTTATTAAAAACGCAGGTAGAGGGGCCGGGCACAGTGGCTCACACCTGTAATCCCAGCACTTTGGGAGGCAGAGGCAGGCAGATCACTTGAGGTCAGGAGTTCAAGACCATCCTGGCCAACATGGTGAAACCCCATCTCTACTAAAAATACAAAAAATTAGCCGGGTGTGATGGCACGCGCCTGTAGTCCCAGCTACTCTGGACACTGAGGCAGGAGAATCACTTGAACCCGGGAGATGGAGGTTGCAGTGAGCCAAGATTGCGCTACTGCACTCCAGTCTGGATGACAGAGCGAGAGTCCATCTAAACAAAAAACAAAGAGACAAAAAAAAAATGCAAGTAGAGATACCATCTCACATCACTCAGAATGGCTATTATCAAAAAGTCAAAAAATAATAGGCACTGGCGAAGTGGCAGAGAAAAAGCAACACATACACACTGTTGGTAGGAGTGTAAATTAGTCCAACCATTGTGAAAAGCAGTGTGGCAATTCCTCAAAGACCTAACAACAGAAAGACCATTCAACCCAGAAATGCCATTACTGGGTATAAACCCAAAGGAATATAAATCATTCCATCATGATGACACATGCATGTGTATGTTCACTACAGCACTATTCACAACAGTAAAGACATGGAGTCAACCTAAATGCCCATCAATGGTAGACTGGATAAAGAAAATGTGTTACATATACACCACAGAATATGTGCAGCCATAAAATAGAATGAGATCATGTTATTTGCAGAAACATGGATGAAACTGAAGGCCATCATCCTTAGCAAGCTAACACAGGAACGAAAAATCAAATACCGCATGTTCTCACATTTAAGTGGCAGCTAAATGATGAAAACACATGGACACATAGAGGGGAACAACAGACATGGGACCTACCAGAGGCTGGAAGATGGGAGGAAGGAGACAATCAGGAAAAATAACCAATGGCTATTAGGCCTAGTACCTGGGTGATGAAATAATCAGTACAACAAACCCCTATTACACAAGTTTACCTCTATAACAAACCTGCACACGTACCCCAGAACTTAAAATCAAAGTTAAAATATATATAGGTAAAAATTTATTGATAGCAACATCTCCCACGGGTATACTCTCCTGGCTTTCAAGTGAATAAACATGAGCTGTACTGCTTTAACACATCAACTTTTATATTCATGTGACGATTACGCTGTTTATTGTGTCAGAAATAGAATGCGATGCACATACATCTCTATCAGCTGCCATAATATTTTAAGTTAATGAAAATAAATTCCCAGGCCAGGTGCGGTGGCTCACGCCTGTAATCCCAGCACTTTGGGAGGCCGAGACGGGTGGAACACCTGAGGTCAGGAGTTCAAGACTAGCCTGGCCAACATGGCGAAACCCAGTCTCTACTAAAAATACAAAAATTAGCCAGGCGTGATGACACATGCCTGCAGTCCCAGCTATGCAGGAGGCCGAAGCAGGAGAATCACTTGAACCCAGGAGGCGGAGGTTGCAGTGAGCCGAGATCACGCCACTGCACTCCAGCCTGGGTGACAGAGCAAGACTCAGTCTCAGAAAAAAATAAAAATAAAACTTCCTTCCATGAACGAAATGATCATTGAATCCACAGATCACCAAAAAAATACCTTAAGTAATCTCTGAACTTCTTCACTTTTCATAAAATTGGAGTTATTTAAATCCCACTTTTAGTTTGGCTACTCATTTTCTTCCCAAGTACATTTGAACACTGTGGTGAATGTTTGTCGCTTAGTAACAATCCTGCCAATGACACTGAGAGAAAACCATTAAATCACATTAACTGAAGCATGCAATTTCAGAATAAAATGTGAAAAGTGGAGAATCCTAAGTGGTTTATGTACATGCTTTTGTCACAAGAAAGTTGACCATCTCCTCCTCATGATCTACTCCAGAATTCCAATCCTAGGCTGGCCCTAAAGTTGAAAGTACTTGAGTCATTCCTTCCCTTTTTCCCCTTCATCAGACAAACATATGCATCATAACACACACATGAACAGGAAAAGCTTCTTCTAACATTATTTTTAAAATTAATTATTAAATCAACTGCTAAAAGAAAGGCATGAAATTTATTTCAGGAGAAAGCAGGAATGATTGGAGAATTATCCACCACTCTCAATTCTTTCTGCAGATGTTCTTTTTTAAAAGAAGTGAAAATCAAGAGCTACGCAATGTGGCAAGCAGAATAATACATCTTCTTCCTCTCCACTTGCAAAAGAGGCCCATGTCCTGTGAGTACCTTAGGTTACACAGCAAGGGGTAAATTGAGGTTGCAGATGAAAGTATTGTTTGCTAATCAACTGACTTTAGGATAGAAGGTTATCTTGGGTTAGCCTGGTGTGCCCAGTGAAATCACAAGGGGCCTTCTAAGTGGAAAAGGAAGAGAGTTGAATAGCAGAGCGAGCAACGAGCCACATGAGAAGGACTCAGCCCACCACTGTTGGTTTTGAAGACTAAAGAGAGCCATGAGCCAAGAAACATGGGCAGCCTGTGGAGGCTGGAAAAGACCAGGGAAAGGAGTCTCCTCTGGAGCTTCCAGAAGGAACATGGCCCTGTCAACACCTTCATTTTAGCTCAGTAAGACCCGTGTCAGACTTCTAACCTTCAGAAATGTAAGATAGTAAAGTTGTGTTGTTTTAAGCCATCAAATTTGTGCTAATTTGAAACAATCACAAAATGAAACAAATACACGGACTCATCTGCAACGCTTCTCAGTCAGTCATCCCTGCCTGTGAATCACAAATTGGGAAACAGAAAATCAGAAGTAAAAACGCGAAGTGGGGAGAGCAAAGCTGTGGGTGCCTGAGCTTCTAGCCCCAGCTGGCTATAAGTACATTAGCACCCACACACAAAATCTACACCAGGAGTCATCCCACACAAACCAACCCAAAACAAAGGACATTTGACCCAAATCACTCCTTTTACCTCTCAGGGGGAAACATAAGGGAGACAGTGGGGAGAAGCAGGTCCCAATCAGAGGCAATTTCTGCAGGTACCAATTGAGTTCCTAATCAACAAACCAATAGCACAGACCCAACAAGAGGGAGACTCTCACACGCAAGTTCCTTCCATCACAGTTACACCGAAAAGAAGAGTGAGCTCAGCTTTAAGCAGTGGAATCGCAAATATTGAAATCCACGAAGAGAGCTTTGCCATAACTCAATTTAATTCATCAACAGAGCCCAGATATTCCCAGGCTACCAACCTCAACATCCAGGTCCTCAATAGCATTCTCTCAAGGTACTACAATAACCTCCCATACTATCTACCCTTGTATTTGCTTCCTAAACACCTCTGACAGATTCACCTTCTTCTGATCACAAAATATCTTATGCTCCAAACCTCCGAACATCACCCACTGCCTTTAAATTCAGATACATCTATATGCTACAGGGCTAAATGCCTACCTAGCATGGTATTCAGCATGCTTTTTATAGCTACCCCCTATTAATTCTGTGCCCTCTACCTGGAACATTTTCCTCCAGCCCCAACATTGCCATCAGTATCCACAGCAAATGGTACCCCCTTTCATGAAGGCTTTAGATGGTTTCTCTCCCAGCTCTAAACCCATCCCACCCTCACCTTTTGAATTCATATGGTACTTTGTTCCTTATCTATAACAAAATATTGTATATATACACGCCTATATGATCTCTCCCTTTTTTGTTTTGTTTTCTTGTTTGTTTTAGACAGGGAAAGACTGTAATGTGAGTTGAGTGAGTTTGTATCTCTGCCCATCTGCAGGTTTGCTACTGCACAAATTCCTACCAACTGAGTTGGGACCTAGACGCTGTCTTGAGAGGGAAGATGTAAGGCCCAGGTGGAAAATAAACAAATAGTAATAATGCTACAAAGAAACAGGTCCGACCAGGCCAAGTCAGTCCTCAACCATCTTACACCTCACCAGTTCTGGAAAACCAAGCTCTCTGTGCGTCAATTTCAAAATGATTTTAAAGTTGTGTTAGGTCGCTATACCAATGGACATATGTATAGAAATATTTCAGTGCTTCTCGAAGTGAGAAAATTAAAGATGGACAGACTCTTTCCTAACATCTGACTCAAAAGCCTAGAAAACACATAGAAAAGAAGCAAATAATACAGTTCTGTAAGATACTGTGTTTTGTGTGCCATGGTTTCTCTATTTTTAGATTTAAATACTATTGTGTGTCCATCAATTATTATGTATAACCATTAAAAAATCTTTTAAAAACATAAAATTAAAAGTGCTATGTACTGAGAAACTTATTCAAAATCATATTTCAAATAGCAAACCATACCCAAAAAATTAAAAATATTTTTTTAAAAAATAGCAAACCCACATAATACAAAACCTAAGAGAAACTGAGCACTTAACAAAATAAGCATAAATATAACACATTACTTAGCATAAAAACTCATTCTAAATGACCTGGCACACAGTAGGTCCTCAATACACCTTTGTTTTAAAGTCCTGACTCAGTGCAAACTCATCAGCCTCATAGGTCAGATGTTGTAAGGACCCAAGATATTGCATCGCGTGGAAATCAACTTTCACATCACATAACAAGTGGCATGTCATTTTTTTCCTTCTCTACCGTATTTCTAAAACTATTCAGGTGTTGATGCAGACCTTTTTCCATGTCTTGGCAAAGTGTAATTTGAACAGGCAGTTTCTCATGACCTTCAAGTCTGTGTTCAACAATGAAATCATTTGGCTTTATATCCCATCCAGTTATTAATCACAAACAACAAAAGAAGAACTTTCACACAGAAAATGTGAAACCTATGCTGGCCAGCACTCACTCTGGGTCACTCCAGGTCACATTCACTTGTAGCTAAGTTCACTGAAGACCATGCAATGACCTCAGCTATTTAGAAAATACATTCAAAATTTTTCTGGAGAGGAAAAATACAGCTATGTGACTTTAAGACAAGTGCTCCTGGAGGTCAGCAGTCTGAAAAGGGTACAATGAACAACATGGCTGGGTCCTGGGCAGATGGGGGGTGGTGTGCACAGGTCACTGGGTGCCACCGGATGGGCGGGCACATCACCTATCCTCCCTCAGTTGGCTCCTTCACTAAGTGCCTGAGCAGGAAATTTCTACCCTGGCATGGAATGCCCACACCAGGATCTCAGCATTCCCACCCCACCCATGTAGGAAGGAATCCAGCTATTCTAGCAGGATTTAACTTTATATAAATCAGCTCCAATGAGTTGATATGTTTAATAACAAAGCAAACATTCACAACTCTATTTTACTCCTTTTTTTGTTGTTGTTGCCATTATTATGATTACTATGATGAATTTGGCTTTGATTTTTATTCTTTTAAGTAAGAAAGTGGCAGCAAAAAGGAAAAAAAAATTCCAGGAATTGACTTGTGTCTCTCTAATGAAACAGGCAGTTCTGGCTGGGTGAGGTGTCTCACATCTGTAATCTCAGCACTTTTAGGAGACCAAAGTAGGAGGATCACTTAAGCCCAGGAGTTCAAGACCAGCCTGGGCAACATAGCGAGACCCCATCTCTACAAAAAAAAAAAAAAGAAAGAAAGAAAGAAAATTAGCCAGGTGTGGTTTCAGACACCTGTGGTCCCAGCTACTTGGGAAACTGAGGAGGGAGGATCACTTGAACCCAGAAGGTTGAGGCTGCATGAGCCATGGTCATGCCATTGCACTCCAGCCTGGGTAACAGAGTGAGACACTGTCTCTAAAAAAGATAAATAAATAAATAATTTTTTTTTAAAGAACAAGGGACTTATTTCCTTATCAGCCCCGCAATGCCCCTTTTAGCATCCAGAAATAGATCCACCTGGTCTTCCCTGGAAGATTCTGGACTTCCCTGGAAGACTCCTGGATGGTTTTAACTCAAACATAGCCCTCTGGATTAAGCTCACAATTGAAACTAATATTTCCCTGCCTGCCAAGCTAAAATTTTTCCCTGGAGCATTAATAATTAGCTCAAAATCAAGGACAAAATTAGTAGAGCAACACATAAGGTGTTTCTCCCCCTTCCTAACATCAGCCAGTCTTTTTAGCCACAAACTACAAGCTAGTCTTTCTGAAATCCAGCAAGCCCCTGAGTCAAACTATGGTGTAAAGAAAGTGGGTGGAAAGTCACATTAGTCAGGGACATTAAGTGCCATCTGCCATGGCTTTAATCCCATAGTACAATCTGAAGACTCTTTCTTAGGACACCCTGGGAAGCAGCATAACAAGAATATTTACTGTCCTGTCTCTTGAATCGGTGAAGTTAAATTCATTACTTTTTATACAGAAAGGTCTTCAAAATATTTCTGTTCTCCTGGTCTGATCTTTCCTCTTCTTTCATCAATCAAAGTCAAAAGAAAAGTTGGCTAATAATATCTTAGTTTGGTCCTTCCCCCAAGAAGCAGACCCTGAGACAAGGATTCAAATATAAGTAGTTTATTTCAGAAGTGATCCCAGGAAACACTGCTAGGGAGTAGAGAAAGGAGACAAAGAAGGAAAGGTGGCCAATAATAAAAAGGTCATTATCAAGCAAGTTACCATTCGATCACAACCCAACTGGGAACTTGGAGATGCAGTGTAAAATGTTCATCTCAAAAGTAGGCGACCTGAGATGCAAGAGAGCTGGAGAATTTATACTACAGCAGCAGTCACTGGCTATGGGTTGCTGGGCGCTGACACTTCCTGCCAGCCCTGAGTGTGAACTTTCCAGCCAGAGAATGCCCTCAGGCAAAGGCATGCCGGTGTGGGCAGCTGGAAGTCCCAGTGCACCAGAAGTACTGACAGCAGGGAGTGGGGTCAATAGCAGCCTCTGCTACAGCTAGGATTGGGGTTATCTCCAAAAGGGTACTTAAACCAGGTCTGGTGCAGTGGCTCAAGCCTGTAATCCCAGCACCTTGAGAGGCTAAGGTGGATGGATCACTTGAGGTCAGGAGTTTGAGACCAGCCTGGCCAACATGGTGAAACCCCGTTTCTACTAAAAATATAAAAATTCGCCAGGCATGGTGGCAGGCACCTGTAATCCCAGCTACTCGGGAGGCTGAGGCAGGAGAATCCCTTGAACCCGTGAGGTGAAGGTTGCATTGAGCCAAGATCATGCCACTGCACTCCAGCCTGGGTGACCAAGTGAGACACAAAGAAAGGAAGAAAGGAAGAAGGAAAGAAAAGAAAGGAAAGAGAGAAAAGAGAGGAAAGGAAAAAAGAAGGAAGGAAGGAAGGGGGGAGGGGAGGGGAGGGGAGGGAAGGGAAGGGAAGGGAAGGGAAGGGAAGGGAAGGGAAGGGAAGGGAAGGGAAGGGAAAAAAGAAAAGAAAAGAGAAATAAAAGGGTACTGAAACCAGAGGCAATCATTTCTGTTACAGGACATATATCACTGAATACAAAGTTGAATTCTTTTCCACAAAATTATCCTTATATTCAAATTTTGGAAGGTTTCATATTATGCAGCAACACTGGGAAAAACACAATAATCCAAAAGGATCTCAATCAATGTTCTACTCAGAGGCTGTTAAACATCAAGCGATGAAATGTAATACAGGCTTAGCTACTGAGGGATGAATTTCAACTTTAACTGTTGAATGGCAGAGTAACTAAAAAAGAAAAAAAAAAAAAACGATGCGTAGACAAAGGTTTTTACCAGAATCTTCAAATGTGGCAATGCAAATAAAAAAAATATAATAGATGCTCATCATGGCTAGTAATTACAGAAATTGAAGACAAAACAGTATTTTGGGTACTCACAATTCAATACTGGCTGGGCCTCAGAGATACTGGCATATTTGTATAAACTGATGACGTTAAACGTGTTACAGTCCTCTGAAGGGCGTATCAGAAACCCTAAAACTAACCTCTCATCCCATAAATTCTATTTCTGGGAATTTATCAGAAATGAATACCTGAAATGAAGGATGGTGCCAACAACAATAATAATAGTAGCAAGTATTTACACTGCACTCATCAGATCAGTGCCAGGCTGTTCTACTGACTTATATCAGGGGTTCTCAGCTGGGAGTGGTTTTGCCCCTGCAAGACACCTGGCAATGTCTGGAGACATTTTTGTTTGTCACCACTGGGGAAAAGCGGCCAGGTATGCTGTCCAGCATCCCCAAAGCACAGGACAGCTTCCACAGCAAAATGGAACTGTCTCACGGTGGACAAACCTGCCTTATATCTATCCCCTCATATAATCCTTACAACAGCCCTGGAGTACTTGTATTATCTCCATTTTACAGATCAATAAAGATAATTTTCGCTGTACTATTATCCATAATGTTGAAACTAGAAGTAAACTAAAAACAAAAACAGGAAAACCATTAAATAAATGATGGTATAACTACCTAACAGAAAAAAATGGAAAATGCTTATGAAGTAATGTCAAACGAAAACACCAGAACTAAAATTAGAAATATTACATAATTCCAATTATTTTTAAGTATGAGTATAAAGACTAGATGGGAAAATAACAAATGAAAGTTACTGTTGTATTAATATGGTAGAAATAGAAATGGATGCTTCTTTCTTTTCTAATTTTTAAAATGTTATTGCAATTTTTAAAAGAAAAAGCACTCAACAATGAAGATAAGAATACTGGAATCTTCTTCTGAGGAGACTGAAGTGGGAGGATCACTTGAGCCCAGGAGTTCAAGGCCTTCCTGGGTAACATAGTGAGACCCCCATCTCAAAAAACTAAAGAAAGAAAGAATACTGGAATGTTTTTTAAACAACACAAGAGTTAATAGAATATGAAGAAGATGGTTAATATTAAGAAATTAGGAATAAAAATTTCCATGGGACCCCACCAAATGTTGGTGCTTTAAATTCTGAAGCCATAACTGTTTCACGTAAGGCTAAAAAATCTAAATGTTGTATCTACCTCCTTCTGTATTTTACTTATTTCATGGCTCACTATCACCTATAGCAAATAGGCAAAAAGAATCAAATTTCAATTCAGCTAAACCTGATTCATTTTAGCAGCTCCATTATACAAAGTGTGTGTGTATGTATGTGTGTGTGTATACACACTGTTATGGTATTTCAACTGTTAAGATAATTTAGACTGTCACATAGTTTTAATATATATGGTAATTTAAACTGTTATTCTAAATTTATCAAAAGTAGCAGTCATATTAGGAGTAGTAACATTATTGCTGTTACTATGAGCAACATTTACTGAACGTTTCTTAAATGGACTACCATATAGTCTAATACCCACAATATCCATATAAGATAGATGCTTCTATTGTCCACATTTTTCAGCAAAGAGCACAGACATTTAAAGTTAAGCAGTTTGCCCAGGTAAAAGTAGCTGAATCCAAATTCAGGCAGTCTGGCTCCAAAGCTCAAGTGCTTGAATCAAACTAGTGTATAAGAATGGTTGGGGACAAGATGGCGGGGAGGGAGCCACAGGCTCCTACCCTTCCTCTCCCTACAGCAAGGAATTGACTATCTCTGTTCTACCAGATGTAAAACCTGGCTTTTGATATAAGTTTACTAAGTTGAGTAGACTTCACAATAATTTTACCAGCAGCATCTTATTTGAAATAAAAATAACAATTATTATTACCAACCAATATCAGCAAATAAATGTTTCCCAAAAACACCTACGTGGATTCAAAGGAGGAAAAAAAATAAGGCTGTCAGAGTTTCTGCAGGAAGTACTAAGATCAGTGATTCTAAAGTGGGGGGATTTTTATCTGATCCTCATATCCCACTGACTATTCCGTTCTTGTAGACTTGAGGATGAAAAAACAAAATCTTCATCCTGTTAATAGGAAAATGGATACCATAGAATCAGTAACAGAAGGAGTGTTTACACAATGTAAGCATCTGTTTCTAGAACACCGAAGAGGAAAGGATAGGAAGACTACAAATAAAACACTATTTGTGGATATTAAATTGTTGGGCTTCAATGTCTCTAAGTCTAGTCTCACCTGCCCAGAGCATATATTATGAAATGAAGTCACTGAAAACAAAATGCTGTGATCTTCTGAGATTCCTGAAGCACAGCTTAACTTAACAAATAACAGGGATCAGAATACTAATAACATATCATCGTGCGGAAATGAGGGGAATTTGGTATGAGCCAAAGTACAGGCTCCTACCCTTGCTGAGCCACTATCAACTAAAAGCAGGCTATGGGTGGGTGTGAGGAAGTCTGGAAGAACAAGTGGTCTACAAATTCCACACCCATGTGCTCCAACAGTCTCAAACCTTTCTCGAGGCTGCAGTGTCAGGAACATGGCAGGTGAGGGCAAGTAAAAAAGGCTGAAAATCTCCCTCAAAAATAGAACTTACATTTCTTCCTACAACAGGCTATGGGTCTCCAACAAATTCTGAGTAAATCTTACAAAAAAATGTAACTTTATTTTTTATGCATGTGGTGATTTAACTATAAAGAAATCCTAATATGTCTTGATAAACAGTATGTGTGTGTGTATATATACACACACATATGTATATATACACACACATACACACACACACATATATTTATTTATTTATTCATATTTTAGACGGAGTCTTGCTCTGTCGCCCAAGACAGAATGCAGTGGTGCAATCTCAGCTCACTGCAGCCTCCGCCTCTGCCTCCACCTCCCAGATTCAAGTGATTCTCCTGCCTCAGCCTCCCAAGTAGCTGGGATTACAGGCATTCGCCACCACACCCAACTAATTTTTGTAATTTTAGTACAAATGGGGTTTCACCATGTTAGCCAGGCTAGTCTCGAACTCCTGACCTCAAGTGATCCACCCACCTAAACGTCCCAAAGTGCTGGGGCTAAGCAGTGTATGTTTAAAAGTTATCAGAAATAACAAATGAAAGATACCAACAACAATAATAATAGTGAATATTTAGAAAGCAGTTACTAGAGCAGTGCCAGCCTGTTCTAACTGCTTTATATCAGGAGTTCTCAACCAGAAGTGATTTTGCCACCTACGAGACATCTGGCAATATCTGGAGACATTTTTAGGACATTTTAGACATTAATAGAAATGTGTCAGTTAATAGGACTGACACATTCACCAGCCAGCATCCCTTCTGATTACTTGAACAGCAGTCTGGGTGGTTGAGGCCTATGCCAACCTGTTAAATATTTTGAATAGCACCTCTGCCTGAATATACCATAAATAATTAAAACAAATATCATATCTAACAAAACCTGAGATGTCGATAAGTAATGATTGTCATTCATATGGAGTACTACAGATAGATTAAATGAATGTTAGCCTTTGAAAGTAACCTTCCCCCTTTTGAGGTTCCAGAAGGCTAATGACAACTGAAAAACCTGTTTCAGAATCATTCTCACAAGAATTGGTCTACTTGCTTTGTGGATATATTCCCAACTATGACTACATATAAGAATTCAAAAGTTTTAATTCTTAAAATCAAAGAATTCAAATTTTAAAATATTTCTAATTCAAAATTTGGTATGTTCTAAATATTATTTCATCTATAAATTTATAAATCTTCAACAATAACTCTTAAAGCCTTTAATAATAACAATCCTGATATCAGTTCACTAAGTGTGATCAACGTAACATAGTAATGTAAGATGTTAACAGTGGGGAAAACTGGGTAACAAGATGTTAACAGTGGGGAAAACTGGGTAACAGTGGCAAAAAGTGGTAACTGGGGAACTTTACATACCATCTTTGCAACTTTTCTATAAATGTAAAATTATTCTAAAATAAAAGGCTTATTTCAAAACGGCAAAAATATAAATAATAAAGATACAGTTTATTTTCTTGGGCAAGAAAATAAAAAAGCTATTTTTGTATATCCATATTAAATTTTAGGTTTCACATAATGTTGATTTACAAAACAATAAGAAAAAATGGGCCAGGCATGGTGGCTAACGCCTATAGTCCCAGCACTTTGGGAAGCAGAGGCAGGTATATCACTTGAGCCCAGGAGTTCAAGACCAACCTGAGAAGCATAGGGAGTCCCCATCTCTACCAAAAATACAAAAACTAGTGGGACATGGTGGTGCATGCCTTTAGTCCCTGCTACTCTGGAGGCTGAGGTAGGAGGATCCCTTGAGCCCAGGTTGCAGTGAGCCGAGATTGGACCACTACACTCCAGCCAAGGTGACAGAGACTCTGTCTCAAAAAAAAGAAAGAAATGAAAAATGTTCGAAAATCCTTCAAGCGGCTTTTGATCACATTGCTGGATTTGGATTCCATAGGCATACCTGCTTTCCACACATTTTTTAACAGGAATTATATCTCATTCACCGAACAACAACAAAAAAATTACCAGAATTCTACCTCATTCACTGAACTACAACAAAAAATCTGAGCAACTAAAAAACGTGCCAGGAGCTAGGGAAGGTTTAAAGATTCAAAGACAAGAACAGGACTTTCTTCAGGCTCATGGTCTAAAGGAGAGGTTCTCAAACATACACAATGACCACCTGAAGAGATTATTAAAAGATAAGTTCCACCTATCTTTCAACACCGTGCAGAGATAGACCTCGTTTTCAAAAACACTGATGGGTAACATCCATCATGAATGTTGTGACAGATGAAGACATCTTAGAATCTCTGAATTTAATCCAAGCAGGGAAGGAGAAAGCAGAGAAGAGGGGCACCCAACCCACACTTGGAAGTCAGCAGAGAATTCCTAGAGAAGGTGTCCTTGACCGACCATAGGAGTGAATGGCTGATGATCTAAGGGCAGCATGAACCATGAGGACAGGCCCGGCATCCAGCAGAGAACTGCTCAATACCAAGAACATTTACCCTGCTTCTGAAAGTCACTGGACACTGGCTCCAAAGTACCAATTAGAGCACTGGAAACTGCCTAACTCGGGCCACTACCCAGCCAGAGAAAGGGGCTTTGTTTTAATCCAGTTGGGTCCAACAAAATATGAAAACAGGATTCTAGAACGTGGTTGGATGCTGCAGCACAGAAAACCAGACTACCTGCCTTAACTTGCATTGTCCTTTCGGTGGAAGAACTTTTTCACTTGCTAATTATTTCTCCAATGTTAGTCTACTTGAGTAGCAAAATACAGCTTCCTACTGACGCAGGGGGCAGAGCTTTGAGACTTTTTTGTTCTGCCCTTTATTTTTTCATCTCCTCTGCAATCAGCCTGTCAACAAGCATATCGTTATTGTCAGGGTGTCAGTTTATAGCAGCATTCACACCCACTGCCTTTCTCATTTACTGCTTTAGATCTAGAAACCGATACCCAAGTGTGAAAACAGTTGCAAAATGAGAATCTAAGGCTCTTCACTGATGTGCCTGCACTGCACAGGTGAGGACACAAGTGTCCATCATCATCTCTGCAAGGCATATGCAGTGGTTCTAGGCTGCCAGTAAGTAGAATCCTTAAGTTTAAAACCAACTTTAAAACATCCCAGCACCTTCACAACAACGACCGCAGCACCCAGCAAACCACAGTTGCTCAATAAATGTTCACTGAGTCATTTATTTTTGGCTCCTTGGTTTTTTTGTTTTTGTTTTTGTGTGTGTTTGTTTGTTTGTTTTAGACAGTCTCGCTCTGTTGCCCAGGCTGGAGTTTAATGGCAGTATCTCAGCTCATTGCAACCTCCGACTCCCAGGTTCAAGCGATTCTCGTCCCTCAGCCTCCCAAGTAGTTGAGATTACAGGCACTCACCACCACACCCAGCTAATTTTTGTATTTTTAGTAGAGACAGGGTTTTGCCATGTTGGCCAGGCTGGTTACTGTTTTCTTATTTCTAATTCCTAGTCATGTGTGGCATAGTTGAAGCTGACAGAAACATGAGCACTGCAGTAATTAGGAAACATAAATAGCCAGGCACAGTGGCTCACGCCTGTTATCCCAGCACTTTGGGAGGCCAAGGCAGAAGGATTACTTGGGCCCAGAAGTTCAAGACCCTAACCTGGGAATAGTGAGACCTTGTTTCTATTTAAAAAAAAAAAAAAAAATCAGAAGGGCCGGGCACGTTGGTTCACGCCTAAAATCCCAGCACTTTGGGAGGCAGAGGCAGGTGGACCACAAGGTCAGGAGATCAAGACGTTCCTGGCTAACACGGTGAAACCCCATCTCTACTAAAAATACAAAAAATTAGCCAGGCATGGTAGCATGCGCCTGTAGTCCCAGCTACTCGGGAGGCTGAGGTAAGGGAATCGCTTGAACCTGGGAAGGGGAGGTTGCAGTGAGCTGAGATCGCACCACTGCACTCCAGCCTGGGCAACAGAGCGAGACTCTTACCCAAATAAAAAAAAAATCCGAAAAATGAGCTGAGCGTGGTGGCACATGCCTGTAATCCCAGCTACTCAGGAGGCTGAGGTGGGAGGACTGCTTGACCCCCGGAGATCGAGGCTACAGTGAACCTAGCTCATGCCATTACACTCTAGCTTGGTTGACAGAGCAAGACCCTGTCTCAAAGAAAAAAAGAAAAAGAAGAAGAAGAAACATAAATAGATGAGAAAATTTAGAAAACTACTGGAAAATCAATGCTGACAGTCTTCCTAACACAAACCCAATATGATAAAAATGATTCATTATAAAACACCAGGCAAATATTATTTACTGAATAACTTCCCAAATTATGGGAAATAAATGTCAATACTTTATTTCAGTAATCAAGACATAGATTTACCTTGAACGACCTTTTATTTTTATTTAGATTTGATTACTCAGAAATGTTGCAGCGTAAGGCCTAGTAACAAATTCAGCAAATATACAGAATGCAATCTCAAGGACTTTTTAAAAGAATAGTGCACACTTCACTTAGTCACCAAATAAATTTTCATCATAAAACATAAGATTCTCCTTGCAACAGCAGGAGAAATGCATAGGAGGGAGGCAGACAGATATGACATGTCCCGTGGGACATGAAAAGGGAAATGAGAACTATTGCCTCAACCAACTTGCAAAATGTCCATAACCTCCCTCTTTAAATACCATCACTATGAAATTTTTAATGCATATAAGCAAAGTGAGAATTTAATAATTATTTTAAAGAATTCACATGGGCAAAGGTAAAATATAATAATTCATTTCAAGGTGTTTATTTCTCCTCTATCCCCAAAAGTCCCTTAAACCACATTCGTACACACACAAAAAAGATTCTACTTTTCCTGCTATAACACTCGTTACTCAGAGTTAGATAATAAATACTGATTAACAATCAGTGGGTCTCAGAGTATTGGCAGATGCTAGATTGCATGGGTGGGTTAGAGTTACCTCAGTAGAAAGTGAATTTGCTAGGGGAATAAATTTCTTCTGTCAAACACAGTCTAGGAGCTACTAACACCAGAAAGAGAGTAATGGCCAATGAGTCCAAGGAGAAGCTAAAGGCACAGAATCCAGAAGTCAACAAGAAAATAGGCCAGGGCAGAAGCCAAGTGACTAACTCTGGCAGCAGGTTCCCAGCAAGAGACTGGCTGAGCCAGGAGAAAAGTAGCAGTGTCGGTGTGATAGGAGTTGCTTCTCAGAGTGCCAAGTGGATCGCTATCTGATGAGGTATTTCTACTGGCGATATGTGCAAGTGACCTGGAAGAATCTGTGCAAGGTGCCTATCTTACAAGTGCCACACAGCCCAGCCTTTCAGAGTATTTGGATCAGCGGCATTCAACTGAAATCTATCACGTTTCCAGACTACTATGACAGTTCACCTCTATTTGGAGAAATAACCTCTCTGCAGACTAAATAAAGCTTTTTATATAAGGCATCAAAGGCAAAGAGCACAGAATCATAGGGGAGGCGGCTGCGTGCCCTTTTCCTTTGCTTGCCTGCTTGCTTGCAAGCAATGAAAACCTTTCTGAACAAATGATAGCAAACTTTGAAAACAGCAAAACATCTGGGGCATCTTGCCACAAAGATATCCTCCACACAACTGCAGGCCATTTGCTGTCCTGTATAGCTCTCTATTTCCTGCCATTTACTGGATCTGTGGTTAAATGAACCCAACATAGAATTACAGCTTCAATGCTTTGATGTGAAAAATCACTAACGAATCTAAATTGAAGGACGAGGACACACTGGTAAATTTTCAATATGATGGTGCATACGGGGCCTCATTTAAACTAATGTCTTATCTTCACTTAGCATCTAAATGTATTTTTTCCTGTACTGACTTGAAATACTCTAACACAAACAGACACCATTTATTATAATCCTTCTTGCAATCTGTCAAGTTATGTTCAAAAAATTTTACAAAGATGTACCTTTAAAGACTGACAACAGCCCCAAAACAGGAGGCAGAATAGTTAGGGCTTAATTTTAAGCCTAACTCCACAGCATCTTTCTGCTAACTCCATGTTCCATAAAATATATAAAAAATGGTTTTTTTCATAAATAAATCTGGGACTTACCATCCATATGGAAATAATTTATCAGTATACGAAAATGTAATAAAATAGTGTATCTAAATAACTACTAGTCTCAGCACAGTTTGGGATGATGACGTCTTCCATATCAGCCAAAAAAAGAAAGAAAATACTATAGAATCTAAGTCCAAAGACTCAAACCTCTGTCCTAGATATCTGAAAATAATATCTATCTTTTAAGGTAGCAGTTAACCATTTTAGAACTCAAAAGAAATTCAAATAAGTCCTCCCAAATCTGCCATTTTGTAGGAATTTCCCTTGGAATCATTAAGAGTATAAAAGTCAGGGATCCAAGCAACAAAAGAAAATGAGCAATGCATGAAAAGCCAAATCACTGACGAATTTGTCCAAAGAGCCAATAAACATATGCAGAGAAGTTCAGTTCCACAAAAAAAGAAATGCAAGTTCAAACAACTATAGACTACATTTCATCTCTCTACATGTCATCTGTTGTAGATGACGATTTAACAGTAAAAGCATATTTGCCCCAGCAATTGCCCAAGTAAGCGAAGATACATGTACACAGGTAGTTTTTAATAATGTTTTAAGTGGGATGCCACTAAATCAGGATGGTTTCAATTTTGGTTCAAAAAAGAAAAGCCATGCTCACCCATAGAGGCATACATTTTTACATTCATAGAAAACAAGGGTAGCAGAAGAAACGAAACTATTAACAATGGTTTTGGAGAGAGGAAGGAAATGACAGTTTTCTACTTTGTAGAATTTTCATTTTGCATTACATTTTTTTTTTTTTTAGAAAACAGTCTGATTACTTAAGATATTTTAAAGGACATTTGAACTATATTACTAAAAATTAAATTTGGAGTCAAAAACGTATTTAAATGCTCCTTTTCCTTGAGAGCAACTCCACACAGAGGGCCACAGGAATTCCTGCCCAGCTCACAATCTAAGTTTCAATACTCTGCAGCTCAGACAGAAAGTTTGGCCTGTGTTCCTTTAGTCCTAGACTAAAATTTCACTTTAGCACAATGGTAGAACCTGGCTATGAGTCATCTTCCTCTGCAAAACAATGAAAGGTCTAGTTCAGTGGGAAAAAACGACTTCAGTTGCCAGTTCATTGAACTGTTCAAATTAAGGTCAAAATACTGGAGCAGGAGCGAGGGAGTCGCTGTGTCCAGATCCTATCTAACCCCACACCAGTCCCCTGAATGGCCCTCCAACCAAGTCTTGAATTTGCAAACGGTTAGAATAGGAAGCACCTGGTGCCCTCTAAGTAGGGGTCAGAGAACGCAAGTGAAAACATGAAACAGATCCAAATCCAGTTTCATGAGCATGCCTTTCAAGTAATGCCAAGGAAAAATATATCAAAAACATGATGGAGTGCACAGCTTCAGCTTAAATATATTTCAAGTACCATGATGAATATAATGTTTGATTTCCTACCCTAGACTCTACCTAAAAGAGCCCATTATCAACAGACTAGGTTTTTATAATTTTTACAGAATTTATTATTCCATTTATTTACCTGGAACTATTACTATAGCTTGCAAAGAACTTTAAAATGTGTAACATCATGAATCCTGACCACACTCTCCCGGGGCATCCTCCCTGGTTGGGAGATCCTGTGATCCTCCTGGTTGGGAGTCCCCTTCTCAGAGGTTCAGTGACTTACCCTGACGATGGCAGGGGTAATGGAAACCCAGATCTTGAGGGCCAAGTCTCATCCCTTAAAGAACTGCTCAGGGCCAGGCGCCGTGGCTCATGCCTGTAATCCCAGCACTTTGGGAGGCTGAGGCGGGCGGATCACGAGGTCAGGAGATCCAGACCATCCTGGCTAACACGGGGAAACCCCGTCTCTACTAAAAATACAAAAAATTAGCCGGGCGTGATGGCGGGCGCCTGTAGTCCCAGCTACTCGGAAGGCTGAGGCAGGAGAATGGCGTGAACCCGGGAGGAGGAGCTTGCAGTGAGCCGAGATCCCATCACGCGCTCCAGCCTGGGCGACAGAGCGAGACTCCGTCTCAAAACAAAAAAAAAAGAACTGCTCAGTACCATGTTAATCCCATTTCTCATTTTCTCCACCCAAGATTCTTTTCTTTTGTTTTTGTTTTTTTTTGAGATGGAGTTTCGCTCTTGTTGCCCAGGCTAGAGTGCAATGGCGCAACCTCTGCTCACCACAACCTCTGCCTCCTAGGTTCAAGCAATTCTCCTGCCTCAGCCTCCCTAGTAGCTGGGTTTACAGGCATGCGCCACTAGGCCCGGCTCATTTTGTATTTTTAATAGAGACAGGGTTTCTCCATGTTGGTCAGGCTGGTCTTGAACTCCCGACTTCAGGTGATCTGCCCGCCTCGGCCTCCCAAAGTGCTGGGATTACAGGCATGAGCCACCGCACCGGCCGATTCTTTTCTTTCACATGTCGCTCTTTCTACTCTTTTTCTCCCAACTTAACAATTCTCATTCTCTCACCTCTGTAAGTTATAGTTACCTGGTCTTCCTAACCACCTACTCATTTTCTCTATAATTATTAAGATCTGCAAAAAATTCACGAGTCCTAAGATATCTTCCCAGACAAATCTCACTGCCCTGTGATCACTCCAAATTCTGTGTTCCTTTATTTGGATATAGTCAACTGGTGGGTCTGGCAATCCCTAACATATGACAAAGATGACAACGTTCCTTCCTTTCAGCCACCAGCAAACCTAGCATTCACTTCACACACCATCCTTTCCAGGTCCTAACCTCCACGGGGGAAGAATCAAATCACCTTCATTTTTATATCCCCATACCTCCCCAGAGCTGGGCGTGTGCTAGGTACCTAGCAAATGCTGACTGAATAGATGAGTGTGGTCGTCAACCTCCTGGAGTTCCAACACAAAAGACTTGAGCTCCTTTAAGAGTGAGTCACGGCTGGGCATGGTGGCTCAGGCCTGTAATCCCAGCATTTTGGGAGGCCAAGAGGGAGGATCACTCGAGCTCAGGAGTTCAAGACCAGCCTGGGCAACATAGTGAGATCCCATCTCTACAGAAAAACTATTAAAAATTAGCCAGGTATGGGAGCACATACCTATAGTCCCAGCTACTCAGGAGACTGAGGTGGGAGGATCACTTGAGCCTGGGAGGTCAAGGCTACAGTGAGCTAAGACTGTGTCACTGCACTCCAGGCTGGGCAACACAGCGAGACTTAGTCTCAAAAAAAAAAACAAAAAAAAAAAACAAAGAATAAGCCACAGTTCAGGAGATTCTCCCAGGAGTGTCCCCATCTGGCCTCACATCCACATTCACACACACACACTCAGCCCCTGATGAAATTCTCTTTCCCAAAGTTCTCAACCTGCCTTGCCTCATAAGGACACCACTGCCCTGGAGCCTTGTCTCTTCTGAGAGGTCTGTTCAGCATTCCCCCAGATCAGCCACCTGTTCCCCTGTGACCTTTTCCTGGAGTGTCTTCCAAGATGACAGCCACTGTTCAGCCTAACATAGCACACTCTCCTACATCAGCAAAGACCATAACTAAGCCTCTGTCCAATCTTCTTCCAACTTCCTGTTACTCAAAGGAACTAATTCATTCATTCATTCCACAAGCAGCTACTGAGCCTCTTCTGCACATCAGGCACACATTCAGGTGCTAGGAGGCAGCAGTAACAAAGCTGCCTCTACTCCCTCCCATGGAGCTTTCAGTCTAGTGGGGGACGAATACATTCCCCTGTACCCTCCACATTGGACACCCTTGGCTGGCTTTTGACAAGCTACAGAGCAGGGCCTCAGTCCAATCAAGTCACGATCTCTGACTGTGGGGCACAAGCATGTTGGTGATTCTAATGGGGGACCCAAGTAGTGAATCTTTTAACCCTTCCATCTAAAAAGGAAACAGCTGACATAGAGTCCTGTCAGCAGGCAAGAAAGCAGGAAGGATGGCAAAACGAGCAGGGCTCCCAGGAGTGGTTTCCTGAGCAGTGGCAATTTCCAGACATGAGTCATCTGGGCCTTCATAGATGCCTAAATGGCCAGTCCCGCCTCCAAATTATTCATTTCACATTTTCAAGCTTGTTTTGAAACTTTGGTTTATCTCAGTTATATTATTGTTAGCATCTAGTGAAAATGATGATACAGCTGGATAAAGATAGAGATCGATAGATAGATAGATGATAGATAGATAGATAGATAGATAGATAGATGATACATAGATAGACAGAGAGATAGTGATAGAGATAGAGATCTATTTTTTTTTTAAACAGAGTCTCGCCCTGATGCCCGGGCTGAAGTGCAGTGGCGCAATCTCAGCTCACTGCAACCCCCGCCTCCCGGGTTCAAGCGATTCTCTTGCCTCAGCCTCCCAAGTAGCTGGGATTTCAGGCACCCACCACCACACCCAGCTAATTTTTGTATTTTTAGTAGAGACGATGTTTCACCACATTGGCCAGGCTCCTGGCCTGAACTCCTGACCTCAGGTGATCTGCCCGCCTCGGGCTCCCAAAGTGCTGGGATTACAAGCATGAGCCATTGTGCCTGGCTGAAAATATTATTTTTAACATTAAATTTAATGTCCTTATTTCTAACAAGATGACTAAAGAGCCTACACTATGGACACACACAAAAAAATCAGTTCAATAGCAACTGATGAGAGGAGAATCTAGGCCCTTGTGAAATTGGAAATCATGTACACATTGGTTTTCTATTTTTATTAAAATAACATGCACTGAAATACATTTTAATTTTAAAAATGCTATTTTCCTAAAGCCTTTTGATTGGTCATAGGGCAGGAAAGAATGTTATCTAAATGAACCAGAACTCAACCAGCACAGCATTTAAATATATTTAACACTGTAGCTACTCATTTAAAAGCCTGCTTTTTTATTTTATTTTTTTTTTTTTTGAGACAGAGTTTTGCTCTTTCACCCAGGCTGGAGTGCAATGGTGTGATCTTGGCTCACTGCAACCTCCACCTCCCAGGTTCAAGTGATTCTCCTGCCTCAGCCTCCCAAGTAGCTGGGATTACAGGCACGTGCCACCACGCCCGACTAATTTTTGTATTTTTAGTAGAGACAAGGTTTTACCATGTTGGCCAGGCTGGTCTAGAACTCCTGACCTCAGGTGATCCGCCTGCCTTGGCCTCCTAAAGTGCTGGGATTACAGGCGTGAGCCACCGCCCCCGGCCAAAGCCTGCTTATTATTTAAAGGTTTGTTTGTACTTTTCTTCTAGCTGTCTTCTGATTTCAATCATTAAGGTTACCCTAGACCCTTTGTAGCAAGACCCTTTGATGAAGACTAGCTGACCACAGAGACTCTTAATGGTGGGGAAAGAGAGAGGATTTAGTGACAATCAAAGGAAATCTTCGAAAGGCCACAAGCCTGCAATTGCTGCCCCTATGCAGGTTTTTGAGACAAGGTATCCCTCTGTTGTCCAAACTGGAATGCAGCGGCATGATCGTGGCTCACTAGTCTCAAACTCCTAGGTTCAAGCTATCCTCCCACCTCAGTCTCCTAAGTAGCTGGGACCACAGGCACATGCCACCATGCCTGGCTGATTTTTAAATTTTTTGTAGAGATGGAATCTCCCTGTGTTGCCCAGAGTGGTCTCGAACTCCAGGCCTCAAGTGATCCTCATGCCGCAGCCTCCCAAAGTGCTTGGATTACAGGTATGAGCCATTGTGCCTGGCCCGCGTGGAGTTTTAATTCAGGTCCCTGAGAGGTATTTTGATGTTGTGTTGGGATCACATGGTTATTTAAGAAAGAAGTAACAGTTAATGATGAGAATTGTAGCACACCAGTCTCCTATGCCACTTGTTCAAGAAACCCAATTCACTAAGAAAATATGGGCTGCTCCAATCATTTTGGTTTGAATTTGCTCTGCAGAGACAACGCTACAACCCCTTACCACCTCATTCACTGAAGCTAAGAAGGAAAACATTAAGAGGGAAAGAGTAATTCCACAAGAAAGGAAAACATTGAAAAAGAAAACCAACCAGTCTCAAAGTTTTTTCATAGTGACAACATTCATGCATGATATGTATGATCGAATAAAACACATCACTTGGGGTTTTTCCCCTCCAAAAGCTCATACAACCAGTACACACATGTATACATTAAACAAGATATGAACATCTAAACTGATCAGAAAAACTAAGTCACCCCGGAAGTAAACTTCAGCGAGAGAAAAGTGCACGACACTTTCCCTGCATGAAGTTATGCATATGCATGTCTCATAGACAAGCCTGCACTGAAACAGAAACCCCAGCACTCATACTGTCCCCCAAAGTACAAACGTTTTATTCTCCCCTTTCTCAGGTCAAAACTAAATATTTCAAGAAGTAAAATGCCTTTTTAGCCAACAGAGTAAATCAAATACAATATGGGATGAGGTCTACCAATACTCAACACCACAAAGGAGGCTTCTTCTCTAGATGGCAGTAAACAGCACAGAGTAAGCTATTTTGAAAATACAGGGAGGTAAAGTGAAGCATATTTGCTACCACAAATATAGGGATCCTGGAAGGCTTCTTCCAAAGAAACTAATAACTCTGGTGAATTATCACTTCCTGAAGAGAAGTGTGAAGCAGACAGCGTTGGTCTCTACTCTTGAGGGTCCACAACAGACGTGGCAGCAGGAAAGACAGGCTGTCTGTTCCCGTCACCAGCCTGGTCCTAAGCTTTGTTACTTAACAAAACTGAATGAAAGAACCCTGTCTTCATAGACGTTTCTTAAGAAAACCTCACTGGCTGGGAGTCGTGCAAGTTGACAAACTTACCTGGTAATCGCTTGCAAGCCTGGAGAGCTACATGCCCTGGCAAATCCAATCTGCACTTTTTCCAATGAAACGTGGTGGCTGCCAGGCCGCTCATCACCTACATCTGCTTAGATGATGAGGAAAAAGATGTGGAGGAAGTGGACAACAAAAGCAGCCTTCGAACTGCACACTGGGATGTCCTGTGTTATTTTGGGTTTTTTTTTTTTTTTTTTTTGGTGGCTTTTATTTTTCCCATGAGAGGATCTGACTAAACCTAACCCCACCTCCTCTAAACACCAGAGAGGAAGTTACACTTTGTAGTCAGTGAAAACTCCTTAGGCAGGTTTTTTGTTTTTTTAATAGTCACAACTAAGGGCCTCTATTCATGTTCCTATGACAGAGATTATAACTTTGCTTCCTGTTTTGACAGTATCAGCTGGGAAGGGGCACTCCACCCACCTCCCTACCCACTGCGTAGATAAATAAAGATGTTAGAAGGCGTTTGCCCTGGGTATACAACTGGCCTTAGGAGTTTCGTTACATATTAACTATACTTCAAAGAATAAATTGGACTTATTATTTCACTATAGTAGTTATACACACCTTGGGGAAGTAAAACTGAAAAGGATTTCTTCTTCATCCCTTAGAATTCGCTACTAGGGAAAAAATAAACTTAACCATATGCAGCTATAAGAGAAGAGGCCACCATTTAGACAAATTTTTCCAGCCTATTCTCTTTTGTGGTCACCTTGCTCTCTTTATTATCATTATTTTTTTTTCACTCGTCACCCAGGCTGGAGTGCAATGGCATGATCTCAGCTCACTGCAACCTCCGCCTCCTGGGTTCAAGTCATTCTTGTGCCTCAGCCTCCCAAGTAGCTGGGATTACAGGTGCCCACCACCATGCCCGGCTATTGTGTGTGTGTGTGTGTGTGTGTGTGTGTGTGTGTGTGTGTGTGTGTTTAGTAGAGACGGGATTTCACCATGTTGGTCAGGCTGGTCTCGAACTCCTGCTGTCACTTCTGCATGTGTCCACCACATACATGCAAAAAGCAAGGAAAATCATTATTCATATGATCACATCTACTTTCTAGTCCTTCTCTCATTCTTTTTCTTGCTTGTTGTGAAATAGAAATCTTCTACTTATTAGCAAAGACTTTTCATAGAATATGTATCTTTGTCAGGATACACACAGGTTTGAATTCAAAGGTGTCTCTCATCCTGCTACTGTACTATGATACAGAAAAGAGAAACTAACAGTACCTCCCCTATGCTCCTCCTCCTCATCTCTGCATTTTCCTTAGACTAGTAGCTGTATGACTCTGGCAAAATACTCTCTCTCTCTCTCTAAGCCTCAGTCTCCAAATCTGTAAAATGGACGGGCTGACTTCACCTGTCTTCTAGGACTGTCACAGGGAGGGAGACCGGGAAAAGCACAGTGATACAGATGATGTCCCATAGTCAATACCCATTGATCTTTTTTTGCATCAAACTTTATTGATATATAATTCATATATTATACAATTAGCTCATTTACACTGTATAATTTAATGATTTTTAGTATTGTCAAAGAATTCTACAACCATCACCACAATCGACCCCCATCCCTTAGCCCAAGGCAACCACTAAAATCTACTTCCAGTCTCTATAGAGTTACCTATTCTGTACATTTCATATAAAAGAAATCATACAGTATATGGTTTTTTGTGACTAGCTTATTTCACTTAGCATAATGCTTTTGAAGTCCATGCATGTTGTATTATGTATGGGTATTTCATTTATTTTTAAAATATTCCATTGTATTGATAGACCATATTTTATTATGTATTTATCAGTTCATGAACATTTGGGTTGTTTTTATCTTTCAGCTAATATCAATAATTCTGCTATGAGCATTTGTGTACACGTTTTTGATGTGGGCATACATTTTCATGTCTCTTGGGTGTGGCGGGTGTGTGTGTGTGTGTGTGTGTGTGTGTGTGTATGTGTGTACCCAGAAGTAGAATTGCTGAGTCATATGGCAACCCTATGCTTAACCTTTGGAAGAACTGCCAGACAGCTTTCCAAAGTTGCATCCTTTTACATTCCCACTAGCAGTGTATGTGGATACCCATTTCTCCACATCCTCACCAATATTTGTTATTATTTGTCTTTTTTATTATTGCCATCCTGCTGGGTATGAAGTGACATTTCACTGTGGTTTGATTTGCATTTCCTTAATGGCTATCGAAACCCATCTTTTATCCATAGCCCAAAAATGTCATTTCTAGAATCAGGACTAAATATTCAAAATACAGAACAGCCAGTGAGGCGTGGGCACCACCTAGTCAGAACGGATACTGGCTACAATGCTGAAGTGAGGTCCTGAAGGTGTCCATCTTTAACAGTGGCTATTTTCCAATAGGAATCAAAGACTTTCAACATTGTTCCTGGTACAGCTGTATGGGTTCATACCAGCTAAATATTGCTGGCCTTCATACTTCTATCTATAGTAAGAGGCTGTGAAAGAAGTTGGCCCTGCTTCCTCTACCAAAGGGTTCTTCTGAAAACTGGTAAGGAAATGAAATTCTGAATGTAAATATGACATTTCAATCTTTACAAATCAGTTCTTTCCACCTGTCTTTATGTGTCTTCCTCTGAAATAGAAACAGGCACAATAAAAGCAGCCTTTTGTCAGTAAATAGTCATAACTGTTTATAGGAAGAATTGTTAGACCAGATGTGATTTAAGATTAAGGATCTCAAATTTTGAAGGTAGCCAAGGAAGACAAGTTAAAATTTAGACACTAGCAACAATTTCTCCTTCCCTCTCAAAAGTGCAGTACTGGGAGAATAGTAATTATTCAAACAAATCAACATCAAAGAGATCTTTTTTTTTCAGACCTTACTGTGTTTGAGCAAATTCATGTACAATGATGTTAATTACCTTTTTCCTAAAACATTCTATCTTAGGATTTATTTTTTGATCCCCCCAAAACTAAACAGAACAAAAACTATACAAAGTACAACAAAGAAAATATCAGAAGGCTATTAACTTTAAAAAATAAAAACTTTTTTCCTTATTTTTTGATGTAAGGCCTTGGGCCTTGCAACATGTATTAATAATATGACTCATCCATCTTCTAAAAAATTTCCCATGTCCCAAGGCTATACTCTGTAATCCATTGTCTTATTTATTTCTTGCCGTGGAGCTGACTATGAAATTGACCGTTGAACTTTCATATGTCAAATAGAACTTTCCATAGTGGGAAACTTCTAAAACATTCATATTAAGCTAAGTGGAAATATCATGATAGCTCAGGAGCAAACAAGGTCTGTAACAGCCAATATAACTTCCAAACTAGATTCTATGTAGGAAAAGCAAACCATTGAACACACACAAGTGCAAAGGCTTCATTGAAGTTTCTGTAAACACTTGATGGTGAGGAAAATCAGAAGCTAAAATCAGTTTATCTGAAGATTCTTCTAAAAAGATCAATAGGGGGGCGCTTTTGAAAACTGTTGTGCAATGTCAGGACCCACTCTATTCACAGATCCATTCTTCTGCTAGATTACACGGTGGCCTCATTTTCTAGTTCTTGTGAAATCAATAGACCATTTATGTTGCAAGTATCTGTCTAGGGTATGCGCTTTCTTATTCAATCTAGTGTTGACAGCAGTAATCAAATTTTGTTCATACCACTAGCTCTATTATAGCTCAATAGCAACTGGCTGCCAGCCTAGGTCTACTCTCATCAAAAAAGGAAAGAAAGAATTGGAGTGGAGAGAGAATTACAGAACAAATTAGCTGAAACTACAGGAGGTAATGTTGAAGTTAGAGAGGGAAGCAAAGGAATTCAGAAACTAATCCTCTCTCCACGGAGGAAATATACACCCAGCAGCATCAGCCCCACAAAATCCAGGCAAGCTGACCTTGGCCATGAAGGGTACACATCTTCTTCATTCTTCCCTGTTATCTGTAAACCTTCTTGGCTTTGAACATCATATTATAACTGTCAGTCCTAACTAATACAACTATACCTCGCCCTGCAGAGCTACCAACAAGAACTAGAGCCAAACCACACCCTCCAACACCAGGGAGACTAAATGCAAAGGACAAGTTATGGCACTTCCCATGAGCTCTCCATTTTATAACTCTTCTTTTTTTTTCTCTTGAGACGCAGTCGCAGTCTTGTTATGTCGCCCAGGCTGGAGTGCAGTGGTGTGATCTCAGCTCACTGCAACCTCCGCCTCCCAGATTCCAGCAATTCACCTGCCACAGCCTCCCGAGTAGCTGGGATTATGGGTGGGCACCACCATGCCCGGCTAATTTTTATATTTCTAGTAGAGACGGCTTTCACCTTGTTGGTCAGGCTGGTCTCAAACTCCTGACCTCAAGCGATCTGTCCACCTTGGCCTCCCAAAGTCCTGGGATTATAGGCGTGAGCCACCACGCCTGGCCTAGAACTCTTCTTTATATGATTACGCTACAGTCAAGCATTTTTCTCAGATCAGAATATAAAAAGATAATCTTACAATAGAAACCAGGTCAGCTTTTTTAAAAAGAAAAAATTGGGAGGGGGTGAAGGCCTGACTGAAATTCTACTCGATTTGCACTTCTAGACTTTGAATTCTCCTAGAAAACTAGACTTCTGCTCATAGATACTCTCTACCTAAAAGCATCATGAATGATACTGTTCCCTGATATGACAAACACCTCTTTTTCTTATTTTTCAAAGTTTTATCTTGAAATAATTTTAGACTTATAAAAGAAGTGGTTAAAAAAAAAAGAAAAGAGTACACAGAGTTCTCATGTTCCCTTCATCCAACTTCCTCAAATATTACCATCTTACATAACCAGAGTACAATGATGAAAACCAGACAATTCACATAGATGCAAATCTATGAACTAATCTATAGGTCTTTTTCAAATTTCTGCAATTGCCCCCTTTTTCTGGTCTACAATTCAATCCAAGATCACATACAAGCAATACTTCAAAAATTCAAGATGCATCCTTTTCAATGAATCATGCCTATCTAATGAATATTTCTGACCCCTCCTAAAGTTCTACTTCCCTTCAGTGTTAATGAGGCAGTGTCATCATTAACTTTTGAGTCTTTCCAGAAATGTTCTTTTCTTCCATAGATCTTGCCTCCATTTCTTATCAGTCAGTTTCATCAACCTTATCCTGTAAACACATGTCAAAGAGTTTCACAACCTCTTTTCCAAAACCCTAGGGCCAGAGGTGCTGCTGAACCAGAACTCTTCCCATTTGAGAAAAGTTATATAGCACAAGTCATATATTACAGTGAAAACAAAAAACAGCAAGATCCAGGGCAATTTCCCCTAATCAAACACATTAATAGCCCTGCAGTAAATACATATGTTTATGAAGGATGCCTGACATACATAAGGACTTTAAAAGAGTCCCAGCTGTTCAAGTCAGGCTTCAACACCAAATGAGTTCAGGTCAAACTCAAGTTTTCTTGCCAAATGAACTACAAATAAAACACCTTCTGGTTTTCGGAGGTCTTCTTCAATAGTGTAGCTACAGATGAAGGATGATGAATCTGTACCTACGAAATCCACAGTTTCATCCATCTCCCGCCCACCCTCACCACATCTTCTACCTGGTCTCCTGGCAGAGCCACCTGCAATGTTCCCTGGGCCTCTAGGGGCTCTTCTCTCCAAATCACTCTCCTACAGAGCCCAGAGTGATCTTTCTATTAACCTGCACCTGCCCAGCTTCAAAATCCTTAAAGGTTTCCCATGCGAGGATGGAGTCTCGTCTGCTTCATGCAGTTCACACAGCTCCCTACAATCAGAACTAAGTCCCATGACTATACTGATCAACTACACGGCACCCAAGAAGAATGCAAAAATGAAAAAGGCATCAACTGTCCTCAAGAGTCTCACAATCTAATTAACTCCCCTTAATATCTTCATCAGAGTAATATTGTTTAGAATACAACTTATCCAATAATCAAAGAGCATGTCGGGTTTTTTTTTTAACCCATTTGTGTCCAGCTAGGAAATTCTACCTCAGTTCTTGATCACAGCAATGATTATAAACAAAACTCTTCATGTTGACATTAAAAGAATTTTCACATGATTTTAAAAGCACATGTCTAAAAATACTCATTATGCGACTGTTGGTATGGTTCAAAAAATTATAAAAAGCAAAAGCCAATAAAAACTGTTTTAAAAACAAGCAAACCCAAAAAAGTAATGTCAAGGATGGTACTTCATGGGCTGAGTGATTTCTCATGAAATTGTTTTTCCAAAGCATGAAGATATAAATAAAATCTGAAATCATGCCTTTGTTTCCATATGAGTATACTAATGGGATTGAATGACATTATAATCAACAGAATTAAGTCAGAGAGAGTTAAATCGAAGCCGCCATCATCAAAGAGCTTAGAAAATATTCCAGGCTGGGCGCAATGGCTCATGCCTATAATCCCAGCACTTTAGGAAGCTGAGGCGGGTGGATCACCTGAGGTCAGGAGTTCGAGACCAGCCTGGCCAACATGGTAAGACTCCATCTCTACTAAAACTACAAAAATTAGCCAGGCGTGGTGGCGTGTGCCTGTAATCCCAGCTATTCAGGAGGGTGAGGCATGGGAATCACTTGAACCAGGGAGGCAGAGGTTGCAGTGGGCTGAGATCACACCACTGCACTCTAGCCTGGGAGACAGAGCAAGACTCCATCTCAAAATAATAATAATAATAACAATAAAGTATTCCAAACCACACGGAGCCAGACCTCAGACATAGATCTTAAATAGCTGCCAATAAAAGCAGGGAAATCATATTTAAGTATTGGTTTCATTTTCTAATGTGGAAACAGACAAAGACACCTACTTGGAATGATGAATTAAAAAGAAAACTCCTAGAAGTTGTATTTCAGGATTAAATTATAACCTTTCTCAAGAAAGCTGCATGCAAGTAGTGAGATTAAAAGGGAGACAATAATCGCACCAAAGCCCTTAATGAGGAGGTAAAGAGAGGTAGTAATAGGGGCACACAGCTTCTCCCTCTACCAGGAGATAGAAGGAGTAGATAGAAGGAGTGTGCTAAGAGGGGAGAATTCAGGGTTTCCTCCCAGGGTGGCCCTCCTCTCACATGTGTGTGTGTGTGTGTGTGTGTGTGGTGTGTGTGTGTGTGTCTGTGTGTGTGTGTCTGTGTGTGTGTGTCTCTGTGTGTGAGTCTGTGTGTGTGTGTCTGTGTGTGTTGTGTGTGGCAGGGTTTCTCACTGGCAGTGTTGCTTCTAAACAGAAGTGGCAGCTGTCTGGAACCCAGTGGGTGAGGCCTCCAGTGGCTGACAGCGATCTGCAGGAGAACAGAAAAACACTACATGGAAGCCAAGTGATGCCACCACTTGGTAGAAACAGGGTCCAATCTGCCAGGGCCACAGGCGCAACCCTACATGACTGGCTGCTTAAAGCAGTCATCCCTGGGATGGCCCTTCCAGCTTAGAACTTCTCACTGTAGTGGCAGGAATGAAGGCCAAGAGTTCTTCAGGGAGGCAAGAATTGTCATTTAAGGCAACAGTGAACGAAATTGATAAAAACAACCCAAATACTTCAAAAAGAAAGGAATTTTAAAATATTACTTTAAAAAAAAAAGAAAGAGGGAGTAATTTTTCTGGACTGTCTCCATAATCTGTTTTTATAAATCAGGTGGCAACCTGCTGGGCTGTGGAACAAAGGTCAGCAAGTGAGTTTTCTCGAAGCACACTTGCTGTCATAGTAAGGAAAATTTTTCTAGTTTCTAGTGAGCTCTAGAACTTTCAAGCTTCATGGGAAGGTGTGAAGAAGAGACACCTAGAAATTATTCTTTGGTGTTGGCAGGAAAAAAAATGTGTCCAAGTGTCCTACAGGGCCACCAGCCTATGAACCCCAATGTGGTCTTCATAATATTTTGTTCCTTGGTCACCTACAGTCACAATCTCTACCTCAGAAAACTTGTGCCACTGCCTGTCTTCTGGCTGGCTCTCCACAGGTGAGTGTGCTGACGTCCCCAAGCCCTGAAGGTTGTTTACTGTCATTCAGCTTGCCCGTGGCGATGTCGGAGTCTGGATTGAAGTTCCCACCATATCAGGATCACCCTCCATGAGGCAACACTTTCCCTACCTACAACCTGTCTTCCACTGGCCACCACCTGCCGCAGCCCAGCAGACACACCTGTAGGCATCTCAGCCCTGATCACAGCATCTGTGTGCTTCCTCTTGCAAATGCCCACATGCAAATCTGAGGATGTTGGCCACTCAGAAGATGTGGGTATTAACATGTGTGAGTCATCTGTAGATCCTGCCGCAGCTGGTACCACACAAAGATAGTCCTGTCTAAACTATGGGCACACCCACCCACTCTCATGTGTCCTATCTCTACTTGGGAATGAGACATAATCATCTACTTGTGACAACTTAGAGCCAAGAGTGAGGAGACAATGAAGAATATAGGTGTTCATTAGACAGAACTGATGCTGAGGAACTGACCAGAGGTATTTCAAATCAGCTCCAGGGTTTCCAAGATGATATAAAGACAGTTCCAGGATGATATTAAGAGGTGGTCAGGTAAGAACTAGAGAATTCAAGTCACAATTATCACTTGAGAGTTTATTTATGAGCCACGAGATTCAGCAGTGGGTTCACAGTGCCAGAGTTCCTGGAAAGAGCATTTGAGAGAGCCAGGCAGCTGATAGGTTTAAGCAGTGCCTACTCTGTTCCATGCAGTACAGCAGTGAAAGAGCCGGTTCCCAGGCCAGGCAAGGCAAGTGCTATAGATGGAGAGTTGAGGGACCTGCCATATCATTGCCTCAGGAATCGGGTTCAACTACGGAGGCAGGTCAGAGCATGCCAAAAAGGGGAAAGGAGAAGTCAGAGGCTGAGGAAACAGGTGGGAGTGAGTGCTGCAGAGGCAAGACAGGCACAAACAACCTGTTATTAAAATGCTCTACAGAGTTGCAAAGGAGCGGGTGGCAGATGGGAGGAGGGAACTCAGAAACAATGTCAGAAGGTACAAAGGAGAAAGGGCGATCCAGAAATAAGACAAGAACAAAGCTGGGCTCTCTTATTCCAGGACAGTGGTCAACAAGCCATTCCTGAGTTTGCAAGTCAGGACCACTTATGTGCCATTTCACATTAAACTTCACTTTCCATGAAATTTTTCTCTGCCAGAGAATGTCCAGTAGTAAATCTGTCTATCTATAAAAGTATAAATAAATTAAACATGGCAAAGTTGGTTTTAAATAAGGAATGTTAGACTACCGTAACTTTCTGGAGGTTGTCAATGAACTATAGTACTGGAACTACGGATGTTCCTACTTGATCATCAGGATATAATTTGGTCTGTATTCACTTTTAGAGATCTCTGAACTTCAAAGTTCGTTCAATTTATTTTCACTGATGCCTTCAAAATTCTTAAAAGTTAAGTTGTGTCAATATTTCAACTCTCACTTGAAAAATGAGGTTATTGAGGTTTCAGGACACAAAGTAAAACACCAAATTCGTGCTGTGAGTGGATTTAAACCTCAGGGCCAGCTCCCAGCTATTGAGCCGTTCCTTCAGCCATAGCATGCATCTTGCAAAGCAGCTCCCTGGCTTTCGAGAGCATTGCCTGAACCAACATGAAGCCTAGAGATGTCAAAGTTATGTTTATGAAAGTAAATGATACTATGCAATACCTCCTGTCTTCCTCAGTCATAGCCAAACAGCAAATGAAGCCAAGAGGAAATACATGTTCCTCAATAGCAGTAAGGTTCCAGGTATCAGGTGGCGGCAGCAGCTGCTGAAAGCCTGTTCCACTTCACCCCTCCCCTAGAACCCCAAACTCGGGCACAAACCCACGCCTCAAACTCTTGAGGCTGCCCGGATTATGAGTCTTTCGGCGACAGATGACAGAGTGACGCAACACTACCACTCCCGGGGGCGCTAAAATCATAGCCTTGACGGAACAGGAAGGTGGTTACTCTTCACAGAAGCTACTAATCTGCTGCCCCCACCCTGCCTCACCACCCCCACCCCCCCCAAACACACACCGGAAAGAGGGAGGAGGAAAAGGAAATGAAAGCAAGTGACTCTAGGGTCTGGATTTCATATGCAAGAATAGCCAGCAACAGGTGCAGCATTCCGGTGAAATTAAGACACTCAAAGCACCATTTGCCTCCACAGCATAAAGAGCCCAGGCACAGAAACCCAACATTAGGCAATGATGTCAGAAGTGCAAATCATCATCATTCTCTAGCCAGCAGCAATTTTGTAGGGAAAAAAATAAAAGGGCATTTGTCTGTTGATACATAATTTCTTTTAATTTAGGAGTCCTCTCTTAAAATAGTTTGAAAATAATCTTAGCATCGATCATCAATGTACTTTTTTAATACCTAGTGACTATCACAGTGCCTAGCACATAGTAGGTGGGTGGATAAATATTTACTGAACGAATGAATAAAATGAGATATTTACTGAACGAATGAATAAAATGAGAGGTAAACAAAAAATTTTCTTCACAAATAAAGATAACCAAAATCTACACTAGTATATAAGTGTATCTTTTTCCCCATTTCTCCAAGAACAGAACAAAAGGTTGGAATCAGTAGCCAAGGACACTGGCTTCATCATGTTGTTGATGAACACATCAGGAGATGCAAACCGTCCACCCCTGGCTGAAACTGAGAAGCCCGATCTGCCACCCCTTGGGTGATCTATGCAGGGAATTCTCATCTGCAGAAGATCCAATGGGAAAAACAATCACAATCATTTAAGCAATCCACCTTTAGATTTTCCTTTCTTTCAATGTGCCATTTCACATAACATTTTTTTTACCTGGCATTATAAGAGAATTTACAAGATAAGTGTTGCTGTATGATCTTCTTCAACATGACAGAAATCATCAACTCATAATATGTTATGGAAAATGTCTTATACTGTGTGTGACATGCTATATGAAAAATCTGAATGTGAATAAGACGGTATAGAAATGAAGCTATTTTATGGGCTCTAAAAACTGACAGAATCAGTAGAGAACAAAGAGCAATAAAAATGAGCCCATCAATGGGAGAAGGTCTGTTATGGGAAGACTGTATTGAATTAAAAGGTTAATATCAGGCTGAGCTCAGTGGCTCATACCTGTAATCCCAGCACTTTGGGAGGCCGAGGTGGGTGGATCACCTGAGGTCAGGAGTTCGAGACAGGCCTGGCCAACATGACAAAACCCCATCTCTACTAAAAATACAAATACGAAAATTAGCCACGTGTGGTGGTGGGAGCCTGTAATCCCAGCTACTTGGGAGACTAAGGCAGGAGAATTGGCTGGAATCCGGGAAGTGGAGGTTGCAGTGAGCCAAGATCGCACCACTGCACTCCAGCCTGAGTGACAGAATGAGACTCCATCTCAAATAAATAAATAAATAAATAAATAAATAAATAAATAAATAAATAAAAGGTTAATATCAGCATGAGAACATTACTGATTACGTAAGTTGAAAGGTTTCAGTAAGTTAAAAATAATGATATTAATTATAAGAATAAAGTGTTCAAAGCACAGATAAGAGTAAATCACCAAAATTATCAGGTTTTAGAGAACTGAGAATATACATAAAAAATAGTGTCATAAATAACTTTACAAAATTACTATTAAAAACGGTTTGACTTAATGATACTCTTTGTTCAATTTTTTTAATCTATGAATTTTTCTTGTGTTTGTAACTTAAGTATTCTGAGTAGGAGTTCTCTCTTCCCTATATATTCAATTTAAAGAATCCTTAGATTTTTTCAAGTTAACTTCCAAAGATCCAAAATACTCCCACTTTGTTTTACTTTGAGGTAATACCCAAAGGTCTTGACTAGGGTTCTTAATGGAGATCCTAAGTGGCTAGTTAAGAATTACCTCAAATTTCAAAGAATAAACAGGAATAGCAAGTCTATTACAAATGCTTTTGTTCTTTTAAGTGACTCCGCCTTTTCATTCATTCATTCACTCATTCATTCATTCACAAGGATCTATCATCCCTACAGAACAGGCACCGTACAAGGCACTATGGACACAATCGTGAACAAGACAACCTTGGTCCCTGCCCATATGGAGAGCACAGTCTTGGGGACCTATCAACACTAAAGTAAACAAACAAGTGAACAAAAGCAATGAGCAATGGTGACAAGTGTGGATGGTGGAGACAACAGCACAAAATCTACTTCAGGTGGGTGTCAGGACAGGCTTCTCTAAGCAGGTGCAATTTCATCCAATGCCCAATCCCAGAAGGAGGAGAAGGAGATAGCCAAGAGCTGGGGGCCGGTATTCCAGGTGGAGGAAAGACCCTGTAAACAGAGGTTGTTCCCAGAGCTGAAAGCTGACCAGTGTGGCTGGATGGGGCAATGATGGACAGTGAGCAAGGAGGTGCATTATACATTTGAAAATGGCATCTCACCATATGATTCACTGAATATTTGCCTTTCCAAACACTTTCTCCTCAGCCTGGAATTCTTCCCTTCCACATTCCTCTCTACCACTTTGCAAGTCACTTCTCTGGGAAACATTCCTTGACCCTCTGAGGAAGAGCAAAACTCCGGGAGTTTATCCTTCCTGACCTGTGGTCCCACAGCACATAGTATGTATCATGAGCACACGTCTTACCACGCTGCTGAATCGCTGCGTTTGAAAGCCTGCAAGCAGAGATCTTGCTTGTCTGCCTCCCAGCAGCCTATCACGTAACTTGGCACCAGCAGAGAGAAATAAATGACAGTGAACGAACCAAGAGATAAATGGACAAATTAAATGGATGCAGGGGCACTAATTAACTACTCAATTGTTGGAGATTTGGAATAGCGCCAAGGTTACAGCTCCTTAACTCATTTACAGTTTAATTTCTACCCCATATGACTTTCATACAACAGACACTTTTCGGTAAATCTTTTTCCATCACGGAGAAGTGATGGAATAACTTTCATAGCGTATCATTAGACACTGGACCCAATCCATTCATATTCAACAAACACGCATTAAGTGCCAAGTTCTGTGCCAGGCTCTGAGGCTGACAGTGGTCCTATCCTAGATGATTTACAAGGTTAGTAAGCAAAATAAATCATATTTAGAAAATGTTTTTAATGACTGACCTTGTTAGATTCTTTACATGTAACTATCTTATTTCATGACATTATTTAGAAAAAACGTCTTTTAAAAACTTCCTAGGTCACCCAGAGGACAAAATAATTTAGAATCTGTTAACTCAGTAATTTTCACACTAATTATTGGCGGAGAGTCATGCCTCGGCTTCCTTTCAATGAACAGGTGGACAAAATTTAAGTAGCCACATTCTCAATGAGTCTTTACCTGCCTGTGACTGTCTGCCGTCTCCGTTTGTGGATTCAGATCTCACTTCCATTTCTCGTCGGCTCAGCGTGTCCTCCAAATGTAGTTAAGACTCCCAAACCAACAGTGCATGATTTCTGAAGTCACAAAGGGATGTGTACCCCTCGGCTGGAGAATGTGCTTTGATGGAGTCAAATTGAAAAACAGGGCCAAACAGTATGGGAACCGTGGATAGATGAGTTCCTCCCCAACTGCCCGGACCAGAATGGTCACATTCCTGCCTCTGTGAATAGCCCAATCCTGGTCTGCTCTGTCTGAGCCTCTGCCAGGTGTGGAGCCTGTCGCCTTAAAATCTGAAGACGTGTGACAACACTTATCTGCCTAGGAACAGCAAGGTATGCATTTCTACAAACACCACTGTTGAAACTGCTTGGTATACAGAGAAGCCAAGCACTTCCTCTCTTCTCAGGTTTTCCTTAGATTCAAGCCAAATAGAAATCTGAGTGAGGAAAAATGTTAAGGAATTTAGCTTTAGAAAAATTTGTTTTTATGTTTCTAACTCTTGCAAGAGAGCTTGTTCTCATCAATTTTATAACCTATTTTTCAACCTACATACTCCAGACTAATTCCTAATGCTTTTAGGGATCCATCCATTAATGCACTAAATAATACATGCCCTCAAACTAAGAGGTAAACCATGCCCCTTCAATCAGGATAAGAAATACTACTGAGTGAAATGCAGACTGCATCTTTCTGCCAATTTTAATCCACAGCCCTCTGCTCACTTCACTCCCAATCACCGGCCTCAATCAGGCTTTCTGTGGGCCAAGTTCTGCCAGCTTAGAGCCTGCACACAGCTCTGCCTTCAGCCAGTGCCCTCCACCACCTTGAACTATGGACTTGAATAGATTCCTCAAGAAGGCCTTCCCTGACCACTCAAACTATCACTCATTCCAGGTCCCTATGAAGTCCCCGAGTGATTTGCCATGACAGCACTGCAGAATGTCTACCCTCTAAGCAGTTAAACAACTATTTGTATGCTCTGCAATTTGATGTCTGGTTCTCGTACTAGTCTACACACTCAAGAGGCCAGATGCCATCATAGAGCTCATCAGTTTTGTCAACTACACCCAGTGCAGTGCCTGCCATATGGGGCATTCACCCAAGACTACTTTCCATTTAAAATTGTTGTCTCTTTTGAAACACTCTGTGGCACACTGCTGCCACTGCTGAGGTTTAAGGAAACAAATACTCATTTTAAGCCATCATCTTTATCAGGGGTTATTACCAGGCAGGGGGTCCATGAACTTGGACAGGAAAAGCAATTAGATCTTTTCACTGACCTCTAACAGAAATTTGCATTTCCTTCCATTGTGATGGCAGATCACAAAACACATTATTAGTGGTAGCTTTGACTGTGTCACCAGCAAAAATCATAACCATTTTCACATCACCTTACAACTCTAGCAGGTATCTTGAAAATACCATTTGGCTCGTTGTTATTTCAGAAGAGTAGAGAGGTTAGAGATGCTAGAAGTTCTTACTGAACACACTAATGAAACAGCAAATACTACTCTCTCACAGACTTTTTCAGTATTTTGGTAACTGTATGCATGGAATACCATGTACTCTATTTTATGCATTTAAAAATATTTGTCAGGCTGGGTGCGGTGCCTCATATCTGTAATCCCAGCACTTTGGGAGGCCGAGGCAGGCGGATCACAAGGTCAAGAGATCGAGACCATCCTGGCCAACATGGTGAAATCTTGTCTTTACTAAAAATACAAAAATTAGCTGGGCATGATGGCGTGCGCCTGTAGTCCCAGCTACTCGGGAGTCTGAGGCAGGAGAATCGCTTGAACCCGAGAGGTAGAAGTTGCAGTGAGCCGAGATCGCCCCCCTACACTCCAGCCTGGGTGACAGAGTGAGACTCCATCTCAAAAAAAAAAAAAAAAGGCCAGGTGCGGTGGCTCACACCTGTAATCCTAGCACTTTTGCAGGCCGAGGCAGGGGGATTACCTGAGGTCAGGACTTCAAGATCAGGCTGGCCAACATGGTGTAACTCCGTCTCTACCAAAAATACAAAAAATTAGCTGGGTACAGTGGCTTGCAACTGTAATCCCAGCTACTTGGGAGACTGAGGCAGGAAAATCGCTTGAACCTGGGAGGCAGAGGTTGCAGGGAGCCAAGATCGCACCACTGCACTCCAGGCTGGGCAACAGAGTGAGACTTTGTCTCAAAAAAAAATTTGTCTGGCTTCACTAAACTGCCAAAGGAGTCTATGGGGGCAATGAAGGGGGGATGAAGATAAAGAATAAAAACCCTGATCTATTAACAGATCACTATCATGAGATATAAACATCTGATGCACCAAGAAACAATTATATTTTGTTCTGAATGAATGTATTTTTACTCATTGTAAAAGGAAATAATATTTCCTTAAAAAGACTTTGCAAAATAAACAAAATTAATAAATTAAGATACTATTTTTAAAACAAATAAAGATATTTATTTCCTTGGTTTTAATACAAAACAACTCTAAAAGAAGAAATTCCCAAGAGACATTAACAAGTTTAAGAGTTACTTAACAGCTCAACTATTAGACACCCCTGACACTCCTAAGAATATTCTTGATTTGATGAAACTTCTGGTAACACCTGGAAGCTTAAAGTCATTTTCCTTTGTTTCATCACCTCTCTAAAAAGTTATCGTTCCTTTGTTAAGATGCTAGATAAGCCCAGTTCTAACCAACCCTTTGAATTACTCATGTCTGGGTACTCCCATGTGTATGCACTACGCATATCTTAATAAACATGTTTGTTTTTCTTTTGTTTAAAAAAAAAAAAGGAAAGAAACTTCTCTCCCTTTTTTCTAGAAAGACTCATCCTTGAACCATCAAGGCCCTGGGCTTGCAAAGGGAGGATAGCAGACAGGTGGGGTTGCGATAGTAGACAGGTGGGGTTGCGGAATGTATTACACTCCGATTTCCCTCACAGTGTTGTCCTAGTTCTAGCCTAGCAGTTGGAAATTCAGCCCCATCTAACTTCCGTTGTTTTTTGTTTCGTTTTGCTTTGTTTTGTTTTGTTTTGTGTTTTGAGACGGAGTTTCGCCCTTGTTGCCCAGGCTGGAGTGCAATGGTGTGATCTCGGCTCACTGCAACCTCCACCTCCCGGGTTCAAGTGATTCTCCCGCCTCAGCCTCACGAGTTGCTAGGATTCCAGGTACCCGCCACCATGCCCAGCTAATTTTTGTTATTTTTAGTAGAGACGGGGTTTTGCCATGTTGGCCAGGCTGGTCTCGAACTCCTGACCTCAGGAGATCCACCCACTCGGCCTCCCAAAGCGCTGGGATTACAGGCATGAGCCACCATGAGCAGCCCAGTCCCCTTACTTCTGTAACAACTCTGTGAATATATGCACATAACCACCGGAAAGAGTTATAATTAACACCTTACTATGAACTACTTTAATCAGCCAACCATTAAAATCCAGGGAAAAAAGAGCTTTGATGAGAGGCGAAAGGCCGAGCCTGGAGGGAGTTAGGCCAGTGGGCAACACCCAGGGGCTGCCTCAGCAGAAAACAGGCTCAGAGAAGACACCAAAACCAAGCTCTGCAGAACCTCAAGGGCAGCCAGCAGGCCCTGGTTGCGTTATGTGGGCTTCTCTGGAAGAATAAATACCACAGCATTTCTTTTACACAAATTAGGACAGGTTCTGACCAGTTCAGTTCAGCAGCTCCAGTTACATTCAGGAGCTTTCTCACTCTCTCCCGCCAAAAGGAAAATGCGTAACAGGAAAAGAAATGATCCTGGCACCCCTCCTCCTTCTCCTCCTCCCATTTCCCCTCTCCTTCACCCCCTCCCTGTTTTCTGTCTCTAAAACTTAGACTCCAAGCCAAGGTCGGCCTGATCTGTCTGCTTTCATCCACAGGCGTCACATCTCTTACAGAATATTCACAAAACCCCCTCGGCTTCACACAGCAGACAGAAGCCTAAAATCCCTCCCGAAACATCCCTTCTCAGGTACAAATCCACCAGACGAGCATCAACAACGGCATGAGATTTGAAGGAAAGTCAGAACTGTCCTTCAGGTCCAGGTGGCCTAGAGACGCAGAAAGAATGCCAAGTTTGGACCCCTAGTCATCTCATAGGAACAGGTGCATCTTGAGAAAATCATTTTCTCCCTCCTTGAGTGGGATTCCTCAGGGATAGGGGAAAATAACTGGACTGGTTGGCCCCTTAAAGCATCTACCAGATCTAAGATTCTGTGAGGGTCCGTGTTACCACAACAGCCATCCATGGTTGCAAGTGATGGAGAAGAGCAGAAGGAAGCCACTTACTATTAAAAGTGGTGTATCAGCCAGAAAATGTTGGAAAGAGACCATTTCAGCTTGAAAGTCGGCTCGCTCCTAGTATTCATTCAGGATTCCAAGTTCCTTGCATTTGTAATTCATTACTAGTGAGCTAAATATACCACAAGTGTAAAATGTCTCAGAGAAAACACTCCCATCATCATCAGCAATATGGAAAATACATGGCCGTCACATCAGAGGAGAAACTTGCCTCAAAATAATTTGGATATTTACAGCCACACACACAATGTGATGATTTAGATGATTTCTAAAGCCATGAAGCTTCTCAGGCCTGGCAGAAAGTATAAAAAATATTAGGATGACTATGCCTAACAACAGCAAGAATTTGGTGCTGAGAAAAGAGGGCTACTAAAAAAAAAAAACTAAGGGACCATGTTATTCACAGAGCTTTATGAAATTGCCAAAAAAAGTAACAGTACAGCATTTTCTGTACTATCAATAAAATGTTTTAATAAAATGATTTCTACAGTCTATCTCATTATATATTTCTCAATTTTTATCCAAGTAATAAATGCACTTAAGTTTGTTTTCAATAAAATAAGATGATAACACAATGCAGCAGGCTTGGGCATCCCCTTTCCTCTGTTATCTGTTTCTTCTGACAATAGATTATGCATTTCTAAATACTATGCTTATAAACTCCTTCCTGATTGCAAGTCAGACATTATCTATAAGACTTTTTTTACTTATCACTTTTATATCCACTCTTCCAATCTCTACTTGAGATCTTATTTCTGATATCACACTTTTAATTTCCAAGATCTCTTTCTTATTCTCTGATTTTTTTTTTATCACATTCTGTTCTTGTTTCAAAGACACAATTATTTTCCTACTTCTCTGAGGATACAGGCCACATTCCTATTTCCCCTAAGTGGCTCCTTCCTTTTGTTTGTGTTAATATAAGGTCTACTGGTGGAGGCTTTCAAACATCTGCTGACTCCTAGCAGCCCCTCCCATTTCAAAATGAGGCTCAACAATGCATAGGCTTGGGTGTCACCTACCAACTGGTGGGCTCAAAGTAAGGTAATCAATTTACGTGCTGTAACTATACTGTACTCCCAGTAAAAGCACTCTTTAATTGGTGGCTGATCAGCGATGGGAGGCTGTCTTAGTCCATTCTATGCTACTGCAACAGAATGCCACAGACTGGGTAATTTATAATGAACAGAAATTTATTTGGCTCAAGGATCTGGAGGATGGGAAGTCCAAAAGCATGGCACTGGCATCTACTGAGGGCTTTCTTGCTACATCATCCCATGGAAAAAGGTGAAAGGGCAGGATACACTGACAGCAAGTAAGCAAGAGAGAGTCAAACTCACTTTTATAACAAGGCCATTCTCAAGATAACTAACCCACTTCTGCAATAATGACATTAATCCATTCAAGAAAGAGAGCAGAGCTCTCATGACCTAATCACCTATTTTTAGGCCCCACCTCCAAACACTGTTGCACTGGGGATTAAATTTCCAAAACATGAAATTCGGGGGACACTTCAAGCTATAGCAGACAGGTATAGCTTCAGGAACTGGGGCACCTCCTGGTGTCAGTTAATCTTCCTGATGTCTATTCAGAGCCTTGCCATGCTCTCTGGGCTAAGGATCCCAAGTTGGAATTCAGTTTTTCCAGAAAAAATATATAAATCTCTGTTCTCCTGTGCAGGTGAGGAAGAAGGGGAAAGCTCTGAGAGTCAAAGTGTGCTGTTTAAAGATTCTCAACCAAACTCTCAGTTTTCAGCTTCAAACTTCTCCCACTTTCCCCTGAACCAACCTCAAACAATCCTGGCAACTTTCAATCAGAGGGCTTGCAAAATCTGTGAGATGCATAAGAAAGCCACTCCACCATCGTCTTTCTTCCCCATCAATGGTTATTTCATTTCCACTTCCATTTGACCACAGGAGTTTATTCCTTTTTGTTCTCTTATTGTAATTATAGTAGCAACATGACAGCAAGCAATGATAAACACAAATTGCTCTACCACTTTTAACTGTAAGTTCTGCTCTCTTTAATTTATACACAGGAAGACTCCTAAAATGGTCCCATTTCCATGAGCCTGGCACTGAGTTTCACATGGAGCAGTGTGCAAGCAAGACGTGGTTCTCATAGTCTTGAATTCCAAAAGGTAGTCTTGCTAAATACTTTATGGCCAAACCCAGACTTTTTACAGTAATATTAATAACATCAGCTGTAACTGTCAGTTAATTATTCTCTTTATGATTAAGTCCAATTTGAAATATGCAGTGATTTCCTATAGAGAGAAATTTTATAGTCATAGCATAAAATTACATTTCCTTTCCTTTATTTTCAAATGTGAAATTTTACTTTAGACTTGGTAAATCAATACAGCCAAATTACAGTTGCTTTTTGGGGACCTCGATGCAGACTTACTTTTACTTCATGTACTAAAAATCCTAAATTGCATTAATGTTTTATTAAAAATTTAAATAAATTTAATCTCTAAAAATGTATGCCAAAATAAATACAGAAGCTCAAAGTTCACCTATATGTATTAAAGCAAATCTATATCGAGATATTAACAATGAAATAAAAATACACCCAGTGTAAAGGTTTCTAGAACCCAAATGCTCAGCTTTCTCTGACCCCTAAAGGTCTGCCTCCAAGTTCTGAAAACAGATAGCAATTCTCATCCTGGCTGAAAGGAAAACAAATGTTGTTGATAGTAATATGGTGAAATACAGAAATAATTTCAAGGCCACCTTGCAGATCAGAAAGAACTTCACCTCTGATACCAATGTTCCCCACAAAACCGAGTAAAATTGTCTTTGGCTACCTAAGGATGGAGAAAACTTCTCAAGCTAATAAAGGTAAGATTTTCCAGCATATTCATAAAATTGCAAGCTTTCGCCCAAATTACTTGGTTTAAAAGGACACATACAGCCAGTTTGATTAATCCCCTGGCAGTCAAGAAGCTTGTAAAAAATATTTTGCCCATATCGTGATATATGTTTAATATATGACCAAAAAAACAAGCAAGAGAAAGAGAGAACAAGGAAGAGAAAGAGAGAAATTTTAATAAAGTGTTCTTTTATTTTCTTTAAACCTTAATGTTTTTGAGAAAGCTTAAGGAAAAGATAAAAGTAATTGCTACTAAATGACTGCAAACTTTTAAGCAAAATAAATATTAATGTTGTGCTTCATGGATTCTGATGTAAGAATGTTTAAAATCCCCTAACATTTAAAACAGATTATCACAAAAAGTGATCTCCTTGCTCTTTTCCAGCCCATCATTAATTGGAGGGAGGGAGGGCTCTTCTGGCTCTCATTCAAATGATAATAATTTGTCTATTAATCTTGATAAGGGGATGGAGATGAATGATGTTGGAATACTCATAAATAATCTTTATAGTAGTTAATCCACCATTTACCTAGTGGTCATGATGATTTAATAGCTTACTGAAGGGCATATATATAGTCAATCCAATCCCCAAATTTAAGAATTGCCAAGGTTATGCTTCATCAATGCAAACATCTTTGTTACTTAAATGTAAGCATTAGACCTGGAATTGCTAGGAAGCCAAAATAGTGCCACTCTCCACATTTAAACTGGATTTGCCTCTAAAAAGATCAGAATCACACACTCCCTACACATTTCCCTATGTGTATCCTGCTCACTAATCCTTTACACATGGATGGAGTCCCCAGGTACAAAGCACTGCTTAAGACAGTGACTTCCAATGGCCCATGAAATCCATTTTTTTTTTTTTTTTTGAGACGGAGTCTCACTCTGTCACCCAGGCTGTAATGCAGTGGCGCAATCTCGGCTCACTGCAAGCTCCGCCTCCCAGGTTCACGCCATTCTCCTGCCTCAGCCTCCCGAGTAGCTGGGACTACAGGAGCCCGCCACCACGCCTGGCTAATTTTTTATATTTTTAGTAGAGACGGGGTTTCACCAGGATGTGTTAGCCAGGATGGTCTCGATCTCCTGACCTCGTGATCCGCCCACCTCGGCCTCCCAAAGTGCTGGGATTATAGGCGTGAGCCACCGCGCCCGGCCGAAATCCACTTTTACTATTTCTCCTACACTTTGCCCACCAGGATGTTAGTTTCATTTAATGAGTCCCTGTGTGGAAGATATTTCTGAGTCAAAGTGTCTTTAATTTCCAAATCCTGCTAGAGAATGATAGAAGCTCTTGGTGATGAGTCACAAGGGTAGTTTGCTGGTCAAAATAAATTCCTGCTCCACAAAGTCCCCTGCAGGGCAGCTGAGAAGGGCCACTCACAGATTTAGGGGGATTAGCTGAGCTACAGGTTCACAGATGAGTGTGGTAAATCCATCAGACACATTCAGTGAATGCTCACCAGGTGCTCACCAGTGCAGGACACACTGCAGGGAGCCACCAAGATCACTTGCTACACAAACACCCAACTAAAATATTTATTTAACAAATGAAAACAGCCAACTCCCAAACAAACATCCATCCAAGGTAAACAAAAGAAACCAGTTTCCATGTGAAAAAAAACTGCATCATTTCATAAATTTGCTTGTAATAAAATAACTTTGGGCATATTGTGGTAATTATTTAATTATCATTTGCTTGGAGTTAGAGGCTCAGCACTGAGAACTACTCCAGGGTAGTGATTAAGAGTATGGGCAGCCGGGTGCTCACGCCCGTAATCCCAGGACTGTGGGAGGCCGAGGCGGGTGGATCGCTTGAAGTCAGAAGTTCAAGACCAGCCTGGCCAACATGGTAAAACCCCATCTCTACTAAAAATGCAAAAATCAGCCAGGCGTGAATGTAGGCACCTGTAATCCCAGCTACTCGGGAGGCCGAGGCAGGAGACTCGCTTGAACCCGAGGCGGAGGTTGCAATGAGTGGAGATCACGCCACTATACTTCAGCCTGGGAAATAGAGCAAAACTCCATCTCAAAAAAAAAAAAAAGGCCAGGCACAGTGGCTCAGGCCTGTAATCCTAGCACTTTGGGAGGCCGAGGTGGGCAGATCACGAAGCCAGGAGTTCGAAACCAGCCTGACCAACATGGTGAAACCCCCTGTCTCTACTAAAAATACAAAAATTAGCCGGGCATGGTGGTACACACCTGTAATCTCAGCTACTCAGGAGGCTGAGGCAGGAGAATCGCTTGAACCCGGGAGGGAGAGGCTGCAGTGAGCCGAGATCACGCCACTGCACTCCAGCCTGGATGACAGAGCGAGACTCTGTCTCAAAAAAAAAAAAAAAAAAAAAAAAAAGATATGGCACAGCTACTTGGGTTTAAACTCCACCTCTGTCCCTCATTACCCGTGTTGGGCAAGCTACTTACCCACTCTCTGCCTTGGCTTCCTGACTGTAAAAAGGCGAAAATAGAAGTGCCTCTTTTATAGGGTTATTGTGAGGATCAAATGAATTTATATATGTGTGTACATGCACATATATGTATGTATATAGACAAACACATATACCCAGATATGGGTGTATATGGTTGTGTGTGTGTGTGTGTGTTTGTAAATAGTAAAACGGTTAAATAGTGGCTGGCATAGAAAACATGAAAAACCATTAAGCTACTCTTCTTATCACTACAATACTTCTTATACATCAAATTATTTCATACAGTGTTTCAGGTTAAAATTAAGCAACCACTAAACGTGTGCAACTGTGTTTAATATGATGAGCTAGAGATGCTTGAAAATGATCAGCTGATTCCAAACAGCTGTGCCCTCAGAGCCACTGCTGCACAGCGAGCTTGTCTGAGTGCCTGCCACGAGCACCTCCCCCCACTCCATCCCCATTAGCAGGGAAAGACAATAAGTAAATCTGGTGAATAAGGTGCAAATAGAAACTCAACACTTAACAGATTTCAAAAAGCAGACTCAGGTAAATAAAAGTTCCCAGTATTAAATGAGGCACATGCTAGTTCATCTTCAACCTGAATGCGAAAGCTCAGACCACGACTGAAAGGAAGGGGTGGAAAAATCGAGTGAGTGGTGCACTAGTTTTTTTTGATTAATGGTTTTACCTCTGTAATTCTACCTATGGAAACTGTCCTTTGCCCCAGAATACCCTTCTCTCCTTTGATTTCTCACTGCTCTGTTGTTCCCTTGCTTCCTGCACAGAGAAATCTAACCAGAATGTCAAATTGTGTGTGTATGTCTGAGCATCAGACACATTCCAACCAATTTATAATTGATTATTTCATAATCATTCTTTGTATACATATTACTATTTATAATATTCACAAAGGCAAAATTCCAGTGGCCAGAAAAGTGGGTCAGAGTCCATTCATCCAGACCTGGTAACCTGGATTGGGAGACGGCCCCTCTCACTATCAGCAGCCTGGAGATAGTCAGAGGCAATGATGCAAAGAGGGAAAGAGAGAGCAGGAATGAAGCCAGGACGTAATAGTAATAGTAATAATAATAACAAAAGCAACAGCCCCTAACAATATTAGCCAAATACTTTGAACTCATTTAATCTTCACAATTATAACGATCTGTTAAGACACAATAGAATAATTATTTTTATCCGAGTCTGCAGAATTTACACCTTTAAAAATTTACTTAAAGACCAGGCACAGTGGCTCACGCCTGTAATCCCAGCACTTTGGGAGGCGGAGGCGGGCGGATCACGAGGTCAGGAGTTCAAGGCAAGCCTGGCCAACACGGTGAAAGCCCGTCTCTACCAAAAATACAAAAACTAGCCGGGCGTGGTGGCACGTGCCTGTAATCCCAACTATTCAGGAGACTGAGACAGGAGAATTGCTTGAACCTAGGAGGCGGACATTGCGGTGAGCCAAGATCACACCATTACACTCCAGCTTGGGTGACAGAACAAGACTCCGTCTCAAAAAAAAAAAAAAATGTACTTAAGTCTGGGCATGGTGACCCATGCCTATAATCCCAGCACTTTGGGAGGGTGAGGCAGGTGGATCACTGGAGCTCAGGAGTTTGAGACCAGCCTGTCGCTACAAAAAGTATAAAAATTAACTGGGCATGGTGGCATGTGCCTGTGGTCCCAGCTACTCTGAAGGTTGAGATGGGAGGATCATTTGAGCCCAGGAGATCAAGGTAGCAGTGAGCCGAGATGGCGCCACTGCACTCCAGCCTGGGCAACAGAAAAAGAAAAAATTACTTAAAATAACTTGGGACCAAAAACTGAAGATAGAAACATACAATGTTTCAACTAAATCTTATGGTATATAAGATTCTACCAGAAAATGTACTAGGCTTCGTCCTTTGCAGAAGTGATCATGACGACAGGAAGCAGAAAGATGTTAGTCAACCAAGTTATTCCGAGAAACAATCATCTAAATGTCTAGTACCAAGTAAATGCCTCATGAAACAATTTGTCATTTTATCAACAAATCCTTAAGTGTCGAAGTCTCTGCCAAAAGGCAACACACAAGTACAGAAAGTCTAACATGCCCAGAAACAGCATTTCCAAGGAAAATGTCAGACCCACAACTTAACAGCCTGATTGGCAGACAGACTACCCTGGGCCACAACATTAAAAGAGTAAAATTCATGTACCTTAACCTGGAAAAATGTGAAAGAATAATGAGGAAAAAAAAAAACCTAACTAAATATTATAAAAATTAACTTTAATTCAAAAAAATTTTAAGCAAATTTATTTTTGTTTGTTTTATTTTGAGACAGGGTCTCATTCTGTCAACCAGGCTGGAGTGCAGTGGTACCACCATAGTTCACTGCAGCCTCGACCTCCAAGGCTCAAGTGATCCCTCCACCTCAGCCTCCCAAGTAGCTGGGACCACAGGTGCTGGCATCACACCCAGCTAATTTTTGTATTTTTTGTAGAGAGGAGTTTCACCATGTTGCTAAGGCTGGTCTTGAACTCCTGAGCTCCAACAATCTGCCTGCCTACGCCGGCCAAAGTGCTGGGATTACAGGTATGAGCCAACATGCCCAGCTAGATTTATTTTCAGTAGACATTATAGGCCAGGTGCAGTGGCTCACGCCTGTAATCCCAGCACTTTGGGAGCCCGAGACAGGCAGATCACTTGAGGTCAGCAGTTCAAGACCAGCCTGGCCAACATGATGAAACCCCATCTCTACTAAAAATACAAAAATTAGCCAGGCGTGGTGGCAAGTGCCTATAATCCCAGCTACTCGGGAGGCTGAGGCATGAGGATCACCTGAACCCGGGAGGCAGAGGTTCCAGTAAGCCAAGATCACGCCACTGCACTCCAGCCTGGGCGATAGAGCGAAACTCGGTCTCAAAAATAAAATAAAATAAAATTAGCCAGGCGTAGTGGTAGGCACCTGTAATCCCAGCTACTCAGGAGGCTGAGGCACAAGAATCACTTCAGCCCAGGAGGTAGAGGTTGCAGTGAGTTGAGATCCCACCACTGCATTCCAGCCTGGGCAAGAGAATGAGACTCCATCTCAGAAAATAAATAAATAAATAAAAATAAAGACATTATAAAGGAATTAAACTAAGCAACACTTTATTTCTTGGTATTCCCTAAATAAACTTGAAGAAGTAAGAAAGATGGAATACACTGAAGGAAAATTTTCCTTTGAAGAATTGGGAGTTACAGAGAAGTCCACAGCACTTCATCGTTAACAGTATTATTGTACAGGCTCTTAACAGTGCAAAGTATTTTCAGTATATATCACAGGGTGTTAAAAAAAAAATCCTACAAGCAGAGTACCTAAGCCGAAAATGAAACTCAAAAAGAGATAATAGGTCAAAAAATGGTGAAACATACAGTCGTGAGGTTTGTCAAAAGAAAACAATCCCATCTGGAAGCTATTTCCAGGAAAGGAAAGGACAGAACAAAGCCCAGAAAGAAATGCTTATGTTCAGATTTACTGACTGTGAGAGCAGAAATTTACATAAAGCAATGGAAAAAGTACCATGCAATATGATCAACTATCAAAGGGTTCCTTGACAGGAAAGTCTGAGGACTATTTTAAAAAATTAATTTATAAAAAGAAAGGTAAGAGAAGGTACTAATCTCTATTACAACAATTTGGTAATTTATCAAGATACCAGATTGGGGCTGGGCGCGGTGGCTCATGCCTGTAATCCCAGCACTTTGGGAGGCCGAGGTGGGTGGATCACTTGAGGTCAGGAGTTCGAGACCAACCTGGCCAACATGGTGAAACCCCATCTCTATTAAAAATACAGAAATTAGCTAGGCATGGTGGTGGGTGCCTGTAATCCCAGCTATTTAGGAGGTAGAGGCAGGAGAATTGCTTGAACCCGAGAGGCAGAGGTTGCAGTGAGCCGAGATGGCCCCACTGCACTCCGAAAAGAGCAAGACTCCATCTCAAAAAAAATAAACTAAAATAAATATATATATCAGATTGGAATGTTTAAATTGGCTTCAGGATTAAGGCAAATCGTTGGCGAACTTCCTGCAATCTCTCTTTTTTTAAAATGATTTTCTGTACTGTAACTGGTTTACAATATGGGATGCCACAAATGAGAGTTCTATTCATCTAGATTATCACATGTAGCTGAAGAAATAGCTTCCTCCATATCATTCGCTGTCCTATTTATGAGGTTCTGAGTTTTGGGGGTCCTCAGGACCAGGAGAAACACAAACTGCCTTATTTCATCAAATGTATTTGTGAGAATTTATGAATTATGTCAATCTTAAAACTAACCATTTTCTTATTGCTTTGTCTAATATGACACTTTGAGACAAATATGCATCCAAAGTTTACCAAAGGGAGCAAGCATGTTAGAGAAAGCAAGCAGTTTCTGTGAACTACCCATGGCCTTATCTTACCAATCCACTCATTTCTTCCTCTCTGCATTGTTGTTGATTTTTGCTTTTTCAAAATCCTACTTCCTATGTGGCTCTCTGTAAGAATTCAGAATTAGATGGGGCATTTTTTAAATATGATAAAAAACTTACTCTAAGTCCTAACTAATAACAAGCATATCCTCATCTATGAAACACTGACAATTATATCTTCCCCATAAAATTATGGTAGGGAGTAAATGAAATAATATATTTGAAAGGCCCAACACATACACCTAGCTCTCTGCCTCCCTCTGTTATTTTAGGAAATATTTTCTCCATCTAAAATTAATTTCCCTTGTGTGCTCCAGATTAGCAAGCGATCAATTCATTCACACTTTGCTAACTTTTATAGTGAAACTAACTGGTTACAATTTTAAAAGTTAATGTATATCCAGATACTTCCTGTGAAAAACATTGACTTTGGCTAAGACTCCTGAACCCATACATTATTGGAAGTAAAAGTTTAACAGATTATGGTTAATTTTAAATGAAAGTAATGTAAGTGAAGAGACTGCAAACAAAGCAACAGCTATACTACTAATATATTTACCCAGACCCTCTCATTTCCGATGTTTTCTTTCAACATGACAGCATTTTCAACTCAATTGGCAACAACATTGTGCCCACTATCACACAAACCACCTGAATGAGAGCTATGGGGTCAGTAAGAGCCACCAATTGCCACACATATCCAAATAGGAACCAACATCAGTCTATCCGTTGTTTTGTTTTTTAGAGACTTTTTTTGTTTTCTTGCAGAGACAGGGTCTCACTGTGTTTCCCAGCCTAGTCTCGAACTCCTGGCCTCAAGTAATCCTCCTGCCTCGGCCTCCCAGAGTGTGGGGTTACAGACGTGAGCCACTGTGCCAGGCCCCACTTTTAATACAACCATGAAAGATGAGAAGGTAGTGCAGAAGGAAACAACTGAGGGAAATGTATCCTGAAATCCTCTAGCTGCCTCTTCCATTTTGAAAGAGGGAGTGTACAGGGAACAGTCCTGTCCAGATAGCAATGGAGCCGAGGCGACCTTCAGCAGTTCACAGCGCCATGACGTTCTCATCTGGCAAATCATGGTAATACCTATTCTGCCAGATCATCACCAGATCATGCCAAGGATTCAAACACATATAAAGTGCTTTTCAGGTAGATTCCTACTAATGCCAAGCTGCCTGAAATCTGTCCACTGCATAAAGGCACGAGGCCAAGGTGAAAAACGACGCTGAAATCCAGCCAGCACAGCGGCACGGAGGAAAGAACACCTTTTGCTTTGCACAAAGGCACAGCCCACGAAGTAGTGTGTCCATCAGACTGTGTCTCTCCAGAGTGGGCGCCGTTATCTAATTGCCCACGCAAAAGGGCTGCCTTGGTCTAAGTTAAAATAATGCCCAGCAGCAGCACTAACTAATGGCAATTTCTAGGTGAGAACAAGAACAAGAGTTTGGCATCGGGCCCTGTCCAACTAGTGTCAGAACCTCAGCCAGTAGCCAATTCCCCCTTCCCTGACCCCTTCAATGCACATCAAGCACCCGAACCTTCCTTCCTCTCTTCCCATCTCACCACAGTGCTGCCCACACTGCCACTGGGTCCTGGAACAGTGCCCTGACTGACCTACTGCCCCTGCCAGCCATCCAGGAAGGAAGATAAGCCACTGTTCAGGCCAGGGACCCCACTTCCTGACCCCGCTGGTTGAACTTAAGATGTCTTTTCTTAAGAAACAATGTTAGGATAATTACATCCTATGGCACTTTTACTGCAGTATTGTCTTTCAGCTACCATTAAATGTGAAACAGGATTCTGCAGGCTGGCTTATGTTCCAATGCTTCAAACAAGCAAATTAGAAACTCTTATAGCCCACTAAGTGCCCAGGCCCTGGGTCCTGGCCTCTGTTTGCAAAGGAGATCATCTCCTCTTGATCTTGTGTAAGCCATTCGAGCTCATGAAACCTGTTTCCTTAGCTGTTAAATAAATAAATAAATAAATAAGGAAAAAAATATATAGAGAGAGGTATATATATACATAGGTATTTTTGTTGTGAGTACTTCAAATGCAATACATGTAAAATGGCACCAAATGGACACTGAGAAAGCAGTCACCATACCAGGTGCACAATCCCTTATCCACAATGCCAGGATCTGAAAAGCTCTGGAAACCAAAGGCTTTTTCCATAACCCATTTGGCAGCAAAACGTGACCTGAACTGACCTGAGGCTATTTATAACCCTGTTTGTGTTCCACTTAGTGTAAATATTCATACATTTTCTGCAGAATGATGAAGATATTGGATGATAGGGTACTGTCCCAAACTCCTCTGGAGGCTTTATGTAACATAGGGCATATGGGCCATAGCCTTTCTGAAATGGGAAAAAGAAAAATCATAAATTCTGAAGCATATCTGGTCCCAAGGATTTGGATAAGGGATGGGGAGTTTTACCATGAAGGAGGTTCGCTGGCCAACCCAAGAGCAGCTTTTTGTGCTAGACTTTCAGCTACATTTCCCATCAACAAGTTGTCACGATGTCTGAGCACAGCAACAGCTCCGCCCTGAAGAGGTCAGCATCCAGGTCCTGGGTCTGGGCTGGCCAGCTCTAGGGAGTGGATGGGGTTAGGAGCTAAAAGGCTGAGCAGACAGGGAATGCGGAAACCAGGCCTGCGCCCTACTTCACTTGCACTCAGACAACCCAAGCCATCAAGCACATTCTTATGACTTGTGTAGTCATTTTTTTTTTCTAGATTTTCAAAGTGAATCTTAGTTTTTATTCCCAACGCTGGCTCCCTCTAGTCTGGGCAAACTGCCATTTAATCACAAGGGCCACTCAAAGGTTGTTTTTTCTCTTTTTTTAAGCTGTTGAAAACATTAAGCTAAATAAGTGAATATTCTCCAGCCTCCCTCTCTGAGCCCCTCCCTACCTTTCTCATCCATTAAAACAGCACTCCATTTCATTACAAATATTCTACTCCTAGTGTATTAAAGACATAACATGTATATTATAAAAAGTAAATATGAATATTAATGAAACAGAAGCATGAGGAAAAGGGAAAATTTTAAGAACTGAATCAATGTAACATTCTCTTTGTAGCATCACCTGTAGACCTAGACAAGCAAGGACCTTGCCTTAAATCCTGACTTTTAGAGGGCCTCACTCTACCCTCTTCCATCCCCATCTCTCCCCCAGAAATAGAGAAATCAGAGGACCAAGGGGATATGCAAGTCCTAAAGCACGGTCTAGAGGCACAGGGTCCTAGTACTCACTGCTCAAATGAGCACTGGGCTCTTTCCCAAGCAAGGGTGGACCACACTACTGTTTGCAAGTGGGGAAGAGTGGGAGACCATGGGTGCTTGGCCAACTGACCACAAACTTGGGTGCAAAGCCCTTCCCAGTGCCAAATGGAGCCAGCATGGGCAGACAAAGGGGAAAGTCTGCAAACTGGAGCCAGGGGGCAGCTCTCTCCACCACCATGTTCTGTCATAGAATCTGAGGACTTGGAAAATTCCAAACTCAAACTTGGCCCATGAAATTGTGATCAAAGCATATGTATATTTATTATTATCCATTCTCCTTTCTATTTTCTTTTCTTTTTTTTTTTTTCAGTATCAGAAACCTGCTCTTCTCCTCCATCCCCACAGTTCTAGCTCAGCACAAGCCATATTTCTCAACCTCCCTTGCAGCAAGATGAGTCCACGTGGCTAAGCAGCAGCCAGTGGGATGTGAAAAGAAATCAGGAATGCAACCTGAGGGCCATGCACGTTTTAAAAAATTGCTTATTTTTTACTTCTCTTTTCTCTTTCCTTGGACTAGAACTTGACATAGTGTTGAGGGGCAAGCCTCATCAAGAAAATGGAACAACACTTTGGAAAGGCAGAACAAGAGAGAAGGAACCAGGATCCCTGAGAGACCATATGAAGCGGAGCCACCTTCCCACCCTCCATCACCCACCAACTCTGAACTGTAAGGAGAGAAAGAAATAAACTCTGATTTTATTTGAGCCACTGTATTTTGAGGTTTCTTTGGTACACCCCTGGAGCCTCTCTGTAACTAATACATTTGCAAATGATCTACATAAACTGGCTGGAAATTAGTTGTATGAATCCACTATGGTGACTTCAGCCAAAAGAATATAATATCCAGCCTCAGCAAGTAAAATAAAATAAAATGGGAGAGGAGAGCTACTGTGTGATGCAGTTATTTTTTCAAGAATTCTACCAGAAAATCATATCAAATATATAAACATGGAAGAGAAAAACTAAAAGAATTCCACAGGACAATTAGCCATGAAAAGGCTTAGTCTATCCTAGAATGTCTTGTTATTAAATATAAAGAAGCAGAAAAAGGGAAATTCTGTATATATTTAAGAAACAAAAACAAATCTTCCTAGTGCAATATGATTAAAACTATTTTTACATGCTTATTTTAAAAGACTGGAAAGAAATAAACCCACATTATAATAATTATTTGTATGGAGGTAACGGCTTACATTTCTTGAGTGCTTCTATGTTCCAAATTGCTTTTTTTTTTTTTTTGAGATGGAGTCTTGCTCTGTCACCCAGGCTGGAGTGCAGTGGCGCAATCTCGGCTCACTGCAAGCTCCGCCTCCTGGGTTCACACCATTCTCCTGCCTCAGCCTTCCGAGTAGCTGGGACTACAGGCGCCTGCCATCAGGCCGGCTAATTTTTTGTATTTTTAGTAGAGACGGGGTTTCACCGTGTTAGCCAGGATGGTCTCGATCTCCTGACCTCGTGATCCACCCGTCTCGGCCTCCCAAAGTGCTGGGATTACAGGCATGAGCCACCGCGCCTGGCCCCAAATTGCTTTATATATGTTAATTCACTTACTTTTTACAACACGAGGAGGTTGATGCTATTACTATCTCTACTTTACTCAGGCACAGAGCAGCTAAGCCATTTGTCCAGGTTCACAGAGCTAGCAGGTGGCCATGCTTACACCCACAGCACCTGATACTGTCTGAACCATTCCCTAAAGTATTTCTACAGAAGAGTACTAATAAGATTTTTAAATCCTGCAGGATTTTTCTTATTATTCTTTTCAAATATTGTGTAATCTAATACCATGCCATCCTTGATATCTAACTCATTTTAGAGATAAAAATGCTTACCCTAAATACCATCATATAATCTATATTTCTATAACCCCAACAGCAATATTGCAGGTTAGAATCCAAGTGTGCAGAATATTTGTGAAGATCAGTGTAGATAATACTGAAATGACAGTGATGAGGAAGAAGGTACTAGAACACAGCCCTTCCCGAGCACAGCTCGCACAATTAAGCATTAACAATTAGGTTTTCTGGAGCTTAGAAAGTGATCAGTGTGAGGTCATCTAGTCCATACTCCTTACCTTACAAACAAATCAATTAATTGTGCAGACAGCTTGAGTGACATATTCAAGGTCACACAGCTGGTGATCTGCAGAGCTAAAACTGGAACCTAGTTCCTCTTTGACACTAAGCTAAGCTCTTTTTTTAAATAGGGCATCCAGGTTTTCTAGAATTTAGCAATTAAAGCAGTGATTTTCAAATTGTGTTCCAAAAGACATGAAGGACCCTCAGAAGCCTGGGTTGAGCTACTCACCTGCCAGTCCCACCCCCCAAACTCTGCTGTATAGAAAGCCACATCCTACCTATCAGCAATGCATCGTCACATTCCTAAAATGAGCCTCCACTGGAAGACTTGTTTGCAGAAAGACTTCCAAGGCAAAAATAAAAATCACATAACCAAGTGAAGTATTCGCATCGTTACTTTCCAGAGCCCCATAACCTGGGACCTTTTAGAGTGCTTAGTAATCTGAAGAAAGCTTCTTACGCCAGAATTCTTCCCCCAGGAAGATCCTCATCATTTCACTAAATGGGCATTTTCATGCCAACTAAAAATGTAATATAATCACACAATAAAGGGCAATCTTAGAAGAGGAAAGGCAGTTGGCAACCACGCTGACAAATATCTATACTACACTGACCTCAGTCTGCTCATTTCATGACTGCCTGTTGAAAACAACATCAAGTGATCGATCTGTCGTGAGCATCTGGGAAACACAGTCAAAGGCTGACATGCAGCTAATCAATCGGGACAATAAAGATCAACAAAGATTGAACTGATATTTTTCTCAGGGATTGCACACTTGTTTGTTTTTTGTTTGTTTGTTTGTGTTTGAGACAGCATCTTGCTCTGTTATCCAGGCTGGCGTGCAGTAGCACGATCTCAGCTCAATGCAACCTCTGCCTCCTGGGTTCAAGCGATTCTTGTGCCTCAGCCTCCCCAGTAGTTGGGATTACAGGCACGCCCCCCACCCCCCGCCACGCCCAGTGATCCCTGTCTCCCCACCTCGGCCTCCCAGGTAGCTGGGACCACAGGCATGCACTACCATGCCCAGCCATTTTTTTTTTTTTTTTTTGAGACGGAGTTTCACTCTTGTTACCCAGGCTGGAGTGCAATGGCTCATCTCAGCTCACTGCAACCTCCGCCTCCCAGGTTCAAGCGATTCTCCTGCCTCAGCCTACTGAGTAGCTGGGATTACAGGCATGAGCCACCATGCCTGGTTAATTTTGTATGTTAAGTAGAGACAGGGTTGCTCCATGTTGGCCAGGCTGGTCTCCAACTCCCAACCTCAGGTGATCCGCCTGCCTCAGCCTCCCAAAGTGCTGGGATTACAGGCATGAGCCACTGCACCCAGACCAATTTTTATATCTTTTGTAGAGATGGGGTTTCACTATGTAGCCCAGGCTCACACTTGTGGAAAGCAATGAAAAATGTGATTTGCTTCTGCACACGTGTATTTATTGAGCACATACTATGTGTCAGGCACTGTTCTAGATACTAGTGATTCAACCTAGACAAAATACCTGCATTCTAGTGGAAAAAGACAATCAGCATAATCCAGTAAGTGCTATGGGAAAAAATGAAACAGGATAAAGTGGGTGGAGAGGGCTAATGAGGGAAGGATTTGCTATTTTAATTGACTGGCACAGTAGCTCTCTGAGAGGAGGGAGTTAGCCACAAGGTTATCTGCTAGAAGAGGGCTCAGGCCCTGACCTGGGAGGTGCCTGCCTCATATAATGAGCACAAACTAGTAAGGGGAGATGAAGCCAGGCAGGATAAACAGGGTCCTGTAGATCACTGTAAGGTCTTTCGCGTTTATTACAACTGGAATGGGGAGTCACTGCAGACTTGGAAACCTGAAGCAACATATCCACTTCTGATTTGAAAAGGATCCCTCTACTGTGGGGTTCAGACCAGCCTCCATGGGCCAAGGGAGGAAGCAGAGAGACAAGTAAGGAGGCAATTCCAGAAAAAGCAATGGTCCCCTAGACCAGGACAGTAGCAGTGGAGATCGTAAAATATGACCGGATTCTGTATAAATTCAGTATTAGGAAAATAGAACCAGCAGGATCTGCTGCATTGGATGTGGGTATACGAGAAAGAAAGGACTACAAAGATGACTCCAAAACTGGGGCAATTGGAAGAATCACATTGCCTTTATCTGAGACAAGCAAGACTGTGGGATCAGCTTTGGGGTTTACGGGAGATCAGGAGTTCAGATTTTCAGATCTGAACATAGAAGATGTGAAGTAAACAACTGGAAATGCAAGTATGCAGTTCAGAGGAAGAGGTCTGGGCTAGAGATAGAAATTTGAGCCAGCATTCAGATAGTATTTAAACCAGGATACTGGTGAGATGACAAACGGCAACAGTGGGGACAGAGAGGAGGTCCAAGGACTGGGTCCTGGGCCCTCCAACGTTAAGAGGAAGAATCAGCAAAAGATAATGGGTGGGAAACCAGGAGCGTGTGGGGTGTCCTAGAAGCCAAATGAAGAAAGAGTCATGGAGGAGGGAGTGATCAGCAGTGTTGATGCTATTGAGAGGTGGAATAAGGTAAGGACTGAGAACAGGCTACTGGATTTAGCAACAAGGAGGTCCCTAATAACTTTGACAAGAGCAGTTTTACTGGACTGGTAGGGGGTCTGCCTGATTTGAGTGGTCTTAAGAGGGAATGAAAGGAGACGAACTGCAAATGTTGGTACATACAATCTTTGAGGAGCTCTTTCATAAAGGGGACCAGAGGAATGGCGTGGTAGCTACAGAGACAGGTGGGATCAAAGTAAAGTTTTGCTAGAAGAAAAACAATAGCATGTTTGTAAGCGGATCCACTAAAGGGGAAATCATAGGGATGCAGAAGAGAGAAGGGAGGTGACTTTGAGTAAGTAAAGGAGGATGGGTACAATGTACACGGTTAGGGTGGCCTTGGGTGGGTTCTGGTTGAGGATAGATGTGGTATTGAAGTTTCTGGATTCCTCTTTGGTTTGCTTCAATTTTCTTAGGGCAAGAGTAGGCAAAGTCAGCCGGGCATGGTGGCTCACACCTGTAATCCCAACACTTCGGGAGGCTGAGGTGGATGGATTGCTTGAGCCCAGGAGTTTGAGACCAGCCTGGGCAACATGGTGAAACCTCTTATCTACAAAAAAAAATACAAAAATTAGCCAGGCGTGGTGGCACATGCCTATAGCCCCAGCTACCCGAGGGTGGGAGGATTGCTGGAGCCCAGGAGGCGGAGGTTGCAGTGAGCCATGCTAGTACCGAAAAAATGGGACGCTTAAATTCAGATGACAGAGGGGCTGCCACCATAAACAATGACCTGGTCTAGCCAGAATATACCCACCACACTGGGAGACAAGATCACTAGAAAGAGAACTTAGAGAAATTAAGAGGACAGAGTATTAGAAGGATCATCAATGTTTACACCCAAATCACTAAAACAAGAGTAACTTTTAGAGAGAGTGACAGAGCTAAACTCACTGAGAAATGAGAGTGAGCGGTGGAGGGAGGGAGTGACATCTCACCAATTAGGTTGAGTTGGTGATGCAATCCGATGGCAGGAGATTGCAGCTGGGGAATCTGGTCTGAATGCGGAATGAGGAGCAAAGGGCCATTATCTCTCTCTCCTGTAGTAGGAGAGGGCTGGGAGAAAAGAACCCACACAAAAGGCAGTCACAACAAACATGTCTACACTTTGACAAAGAAATTTCTTTTGATGTCAGAAAAAATAAAGCACTGTGATATCCATTCCACCTGAGCTTGATGAAGCCCAAGTTTCATTAATTAAAAAAAAAAAAAACTGAGGCAGACTGTTAATTAGTAATCTATGTCTGATTATTTGCCACTTTTAGCAACAAAAGGGAAATATTCATCAACAAATAAAAATACATTATATGCAAAACTGGGTCAAACATTATCAGAAATTTTGCCCTTCAAACTTTGTGTCTTCTCAACCTAATTCTAGCAATCAGGTCTTTTGTTTGAGTGGCTTTAAGGCAGTAGAAGTAAAGTAAGGACCAGAATTTGAGTTACAGCAAAAGTGTGAGACCCTCAGTTCGTGCCAGCGTATTGGACTGCCAATCTAATTTCAGAAAAAAAGAAACATTATGAAGACATAACCCTATAATATGTCACTCTTCCTCTAACAAGACTTAACTTTTCATTAAGTCATAGGTCTCCTTTGAGAATATAATGAAAACTGTGGACCCTTTTTCTAAGAAAATATGCAGAAACACAAGTGTAAAAACTTCTGCACATATTGCAGGATTTATTGTTAACCTCTTCTCTCCCTCCCCAAACACCCAGTCAGGCTAGGTAGAGTAATATCTGCAAGGGGGCTTCCTATGCCCTTGGGAGATAAATACAGTCAACAACTGCGGCATCAACTAATAATATCTACTAAAAAATATTACAAATCAAAAACCACTTCTTAATTCTTCATCTTCCGCTGCCGTCATCTACCATCCAGATGCTCATTTTAGGGTCAGTCAAAAATATCTCAGAAAATACAAAGATAAATAAAATATGCAACAGTTCTTGATTTTTTTTTTTTTCAACAGAGTCACACTCTGCCACCCAGGCTGGAGTGCAGTGATGTGATATTGACTCACCGCAGCCTCCACCTCCCAGGTTCAAATTATTCCCATGCCTTAGCCTCCTGAGTAGCTGGGACTACAGGTGCGCGACCCCATGCCCAGGTAATTTTTTTTTTTTTTGTATTTTTAGTAGAGGTAGGGTTTCACTATGTTGGCCAGGCTGGTCTTGAACTCCTGACCTCAGGTGATCCGCCCGCCTCGGCCTTTCAAAGTGCTGGGATTCCAGGCATGATCCACCACACCCGGCCTCTTGAATTTTTAACATTATCTTGCAAAGAGCTCAAAAAATGACTCAGGAAAGTACTCAAGACTCCAGCTGCCAGTTTTCAAGGGCAGACCCCAGCCCAAGCCAGTCTCATACATGTAAGAGAAATATATATATTACATATTTTTCCCAGATATCTCCAGGCACCTCAAAACTCAATCTAGAACTTCACTTACTATCCCCTTATGCACTGCCCTCTCCACAAAACCTAGAAAGAAAGGCTTCATTTGCGAGTGTTAAAGTCAAAAACCAGGCTTCTCTCTCCATCCCATCCACCACCCATCATCTGAAGACCACCACCATGTCCTATCAGGTCTGCCTCCTACCTAAAGCTTCTAAACTCTCCCCTCTCCTCCTTCCCAGCTACCTCAATCTCAGTTTTGGCTTCAATACCTCTTATCCTCTAACTGTGACAGCCACCCAAAGGTCCTCCAGAACCCCAGGCTTGCCTCATCCAGCACACACCCCACACCATCCATGCTCCACGTGGCTTCTAGAGCACCACTCAGAAGAGCAAATCTGATCAGATCAGCCCTCTGCTCACAAGCTTTCAGAGGAAGCAAGGCCTTCCCAAACCAGGAGTGAGAGAGAGGAGGCCATCTCAAGTAACCAAAAACACAGAGAAAAGGGAAAATAAAACAGAAAGTATGTAACCTGATATTACAGCTACGGTTTGTGGTGTGTGGTGTGTGCAGGGTGTGAGGTATGTATGTGTCAGGGAAGTAGTTCGGTGAATACTGCTCCTAGAAATTGGAAGCTTTTTTTATTTAATATGTCATATCTTTCAGACATAGAAATAGACAATAATAGGCAAAAGAAAATGGTACAAGGTCCATGACTGCAGTGAATCTCCTATCCAGATCTGCCTTTCAGGCAAGGCAATGCACAAATTCATTCCCCCAGCAGCTGAGGGCTCATAGCTGAGCATCCGTCCAGGAACTGCCCTTGGCCAAGTTACCTTGCCCAGATTTTCACCTCACCTCCTTCCCAGGGTCAGCCAAAAGCCTACTGGTCAAGGCAAAGGTCCCCAGGCTCAACACATTGCCTCAAGTTGGGAAATCTCTGAAGGGCCATCCCAGCACCAGCATTCCCTATGGATCCAATGGTGGCCCTGCTGTAACTCAACTACACTTCAGCTTTTCCCTGGCCCAGTCCTTCTTCCCTCATTTCTTTCATTAACAGGAATTGTTCTCAAGTGCACACAAATCTCTGTCTCAAATCCTACTTCCAAGGAACTGGGCTTAAGACAGTCATCACTCAGTTCACAAATCAGCATTATTTCATATTAATTTAAGATTCTATTTCTATTTTCATTGAGGAATTAAATATTATAGATAAAACTGAAGAACCTCCTCTCTCACTATCTCTAAAGAAATCTAGTGTTTATAATTTCCATAAAAATTTTTGTATTTTGCTATATATTTATAATATGAATACATAAACACTGCAGGGCAATTTCTGCAGGTATATGAGCTTTATATACAGTACCATTCAATACATTGTGCAACCTGATTTTTGTTTGTAGTCAAATTGTTTTTAAGATTTATCTATGCTGACATAATTAGCTCTTTAAAATACAACCTAAATCAAATACGTCAAAACATTACCAGCCTGGCCAACATGGTGAAACCATGTCTCTACAAAACATACAAAAAAAATTAGCTGGGCATGATGGTATATGCCTGTAATCTCAGCTATTCGGGTGGCTGAGGCACAAGAATTGTTTGAACCCAGGAAGGGGAGATTGTAGTGAGCCGAGATCGCGCCATTGCACTCCAGCCTGGGCAACAAGAGTGAAACTCCATTTCAAAAAAAAAAAAAAGTCAAAACATTAACAGCTGATAAATTTCAAATGAGGGCACGAGCATATCTGATATATCATTTCCTGTACATTTTTTTAGATTGAATACTTCAGAATTTTAAAAATGATAAATATATAAATATAAATTTTTTTAATTTTAAAGCCCTTTCAAAGATTCACCATTATGCTTAGGATACAACTCAAACTCCTAAAGATGGCTTATAACACTCTTCTCAGCTTCATTCTCCAGCATCCTGCTTTAGCCATATTGAAAACCTCACAATTCTCACCTCCAAACCTCTTGTCATCAACTCCCTCTGTCTTAACAGCCTCCCCACATCCCCACTCATTCTTTCAGATCTCAGCTTAGATATCCACTCTTCCAAGATGCCTTCCTTGAAGCCCTGGGATGTCAGGTACCACTCCCGTGAGCTCACACAGCAATCTGTGCTGTTTTTACTTTTACAACTGTGTAACTGCCTGTTTAATCTGTTTTCTTAAATTCCTGTGTACCTGCCCTCTCTAGGTGACAGACAGTCGACAACTGGAACTGTGTCTTATTCACCATGCGCCAATCCACAAGCCTAACATGTTGTAGAGGCAAGGCAACAAAGTACTATGCAAAAGTCTCTTACCGGCCAAAGCAAAAACTTGGGTACCACCAAGAGACAACCCAAGAATGCTTGCAAGTGTTTACAAATGAGAGCTTTTGTTTTTTCTTGAAGGTTAAGGGAACCACCATTTCTGAAATATCAGCATATATAGTAGATTTTAGTTATCCACTGAATGTAAAGAAAGATGAACTTACAAACAGTATGACAATAACAGCCTCTTCTTTCTTCTATTCCCAAAACCTCCACAGCAGAGCATCACATTAAGGAAAGCATTTGTTACCTGAATTATTATAATTTCTGAGCATCCCAGCTTTATTAACTGAACTCCAGGGCCCTTCTACCACTTAAGAATTCCCTAAATGTAAGATATTTCTCAACATCTGCTCCTAATTTATTTTTAATTTGCATTTATTCTATCCTATTTGTTGAAGCTGAAATTACTAATAGAGGATGGCATTATCTTCACAGCATCACATTAGACTACTCTTTAATTAAAGTTCCTCTGAAGTAGTTTTCCAAACTCTTTTAGTATATAGATTTTCTCTTAGCTGTGCAAGAGTTTTACCTTCATTTAAGATGAGATTAACATTACCTTTCTTTGCTACTTTTTCAAAGAACTGTTAATAGTATACTGCATAGACATGAATAAACCATCTCTTTTCTCATTTTCATCAACTTTTTCCTAAAGCATGACCCTTCTCTCAGAATATATATAGAAAAAAATACAGATCCTATTGCAGCTGAACTGAATTTGAAGTTCCCCATATAAACTGACCAAGAGGTACTGTGAGAAAAACAGCAGTAGTCAACTTCAGTAAGAAGTAGAAGTAACTGTAAACGGTTAAGAAATTGATCAAGAAAATTCTAGAGAAAAAGCTAATAACCGAAAGTGTTGAAAATCTGAATTACAGTACGATTTGAAAAACTACATACCTCATTGAAAACATAAAGCAAATCCCACCAAGGTGAAGTTTACATTGCGGCTTTATAGATACTGTTACTAAAAAGTCCCACAAAGGTGAAATTTACCTAGAGGCTTTAAACATACTGTTACTAACTAACAAATCCCACAAAGGCGAAGTTTACATTGAGGCTTTGCACACCCTGTTACTAACTGCTAACCACTTTTCACATCCTTTCCCCTGCTCAGTCTCCTCTTGTACCACTCTGGTCCAAGTCCTTATACTCCTTAACCTCAATTTTTTCACAACTCTTACCTGTTCCCTGCCTCCCCCTAACTCTGCTACCTTCCAAATCTATCTTTCCTGCTGCCAGCCAAGTTATCTTTCTGAAAAACAGTTCTGAGCTAGTCATTAACTCACCTAAAATCCTGTAGTGGCTTCTTACAGGGAAAGATCAAATAAACCCTGCTTCAAAAGGGCTTTCGAAATCTGACCCCAGCTTCTCCCATCATCCCCATTACCCCAGCCACACTCAGTTACCAGGGACAGACTTCAAATGCCTTGCTCTTTTCTCATCATCTGCAATGTTCTTCCCACACTGTCCACAGCGTTGCCTCTTACACATCCTTCAAGGCACACCTCAAATTCCTTGCCTCTTTCACGCTCTCTTACTCAAACCTACCCTCATTCCAACCAAAGCAAGACATCCTTCCTCCCTCCATGTGTCCCTGGTTTGTGTGGGGATGTTTATTGATGTCTTTCTTTCCAACTAGCCTGAGAGCATCTTAAGAACAGAGGTGGGTCTTGCTTATCTCTGAGCCCAGCATCTAACAATGAATGAACAATAACCATTTGCTGAATGAATGAGGTATGTATGTAAGCAAGTGTAATTTTTAAAACCATTAAAAGGCATAGCAAGTCTTTTTTTTTGAGACAGAGTCTCACTCTGTTGCCCAGGCTGGAGTGCATTGGCACAATCTCGTCTCACTACAACCTCTGCCTCCCAGTTCAAGCGATTCTCCTGCCTCAGCCTCCCAAGTAGCTGGGATTACAGGTGAGTGCCACCACGCCTGGCTGATTTTTGTATTTTTAGTAGAGACGAGGTTTCAGCATGTTGGCCAGGCTGGTCTCGAACTCCTGACCTCAGATGATCCACCCACCTTAGCCTCCCAAAGTGCTGGGATTACAGGCATGAGCCACTGCACACGGCCACAAGTCTTTGTTAAGCACTTACTGTGTGTGTGGAGACTAAGCTAAAGGCTAGCATCAGAAAGTCAGATGAAAAAAGGCATATAGACATACACAAGCCAGAAGGGCCACAAACAGAAATGAAGAGTGAACACGTGGGAAAGATTGATTCTGGCATGCAGATAGCACAGAGAGCAGAACACCTGGTGGCACTGATGCTGATGTTTTAAAGATGGAGGTTGCAAAACTGGGGACGCAGGGAGAAGGAGAACAATCAAGCCCAGAACACAAAACAAGCGAAGTCACAGAGGTAAGAAAAGGACCATGGGCAGTCTTCACCTGGTGCCCTCTGCCTCCTTCATGGTGGTTTTTGGGGCGAGGGGGAGGGTGGGGCAGTGCTGTTAGAAAGTAGGATGGTGGCCATGAGCAGTGTCTCACGCCTGTAATCCAGTATTTTGGGAGGCCAAGGCAGGCGGTTCACTTGAGGTTAGGAGCTCAGGACCAGCCTCGGCAACGTGGTGAAACTCCACTTCTACTAAAAATACAAAAAGTAGCCAAGCATGGTGGCAGGCACCTGTAATCCCAGCTACTTGGGAGGCTGAGGCAGAAGAATCACTTGAACCTGGGAGGCGGAGGGCTGAAATTGAGTCACTGCACTCCAGCCTGGGCAATGGAGCAAGACCCTGTCTCAAAAAAAAAAAAAAAAAAAAAAAAAGAAAGAAAGAAAGATAGGATGGCATGAGACTTCCCTAAATGTCTCCCTTAGACATATATGCAGAGAGACCCCCTCTCTGAGCAATCTGCCTTGATGCCAAGGCCCTCAGAATAAGGTATGTCTGACACCAAATGCCCAACAAGGCTGCCCTGAGACAGCAAGCATATGCATGTGTTCCGAAAACACCAACACTCTTCTAATTTACAACACGTTACGTATCTTGAAAAAGCGTATGCAAGTTCAAATAATTCAAGTCAACTCTGATTTTTCTATACAAACTATCAAAATGGGAGTTAATATATAATTAAGGGTCTGATATGTTAACATTATAGAACTGGCCATTGATTTCACATGTAAAAACACAAAAGTAAACCTTTTTATATTTGCTAATACGGCATTTTCTAATCACCTAAAGGAACTAGATGAGGTAACAGAGTAAACTAGAACACACACAGTTTTATTTATGAGCCCCCCACCGAAAAAGCTGGGCTTTAGGGTAAGTCCAGGAGCCTTTAACACTAAATAAGATGGAGATTCATCCTCCCACCCCTGAGACAATATTTACATTTTAAATTTTAAAAGATAATATAATTTCAAAACTGGCAATATAACAATCACTTTAAGAAATTGGTCATATACAACTTAGGACCAAATGTTGTTTTAAAGTCTATTTGCTTCGGGGTATTTTATTACTTTTATTTTGCAGTTTCTTAGTTTCAAATAAGAAAAGGCTTCCTCCTGTTTCATGAAAACTTACTCCACATATGAACATGGCCAACCTCTGCACCAAAGTCTCTGTTCTAACATAGATTACCAGCCACTCACACCTTTCCAGTGGCTCCCTTTTTGATCCTTAATCTTAAAACTGCCTGAGGAGCAGGTCTCATTAAATTTTGAGATGTGATCTCAAATACCACACAATGATATACAAAGAAGCAATTCCGTATCTCAAGTCACTCTGAAGGTTATTTTATCAAAGAAGAAATAAAGATCCCTTCCTGTATCTTCAAAGAGGTAAAAGATTAAAGCTCAAAAGACAGGTAAATAACCCCAAAGATCTGCAAATAACTCAAGGTCTATAAAAGGTTTGGGGTTTGTTATTTGACTTGATTTGGTTTGGTTAACTGAATATAAGGATATCACAAGAGGCCGGGAACCATGGCTCATGCCTGTATTTCCAGCACTTTGAGAGGCTGAGGTGGGTAGATCACTTGAGGTCAGAAGTTCGAGACCAGCCTGGCTGACATGGTGAAACCCCATCTCTACCAAAAATACAAAAATTAGCCAGGCATGGTGGCACACACCTGTAGTCCCAGCTACTCATGAAGCTGAGGTGGGAGAATCACTTGATCCTAGGAGGCAGAGGTTGCAGTGAGCTGAGATGGCACCACTGCACTCCAGCCTGGGCAACAGAGCAAGAGGAAGACTACGGCTCAAAAAAAAAAAAAAATCACAAGACTTTTGGGCTGTTTTTACAGATCCATAGGGAAAATGCTACGGTGGTCTATGTCACTTAACTCTTTAATTCATCTTCACATAAAAATCACTATACATCTTTTAAAATTCACTCATTTTAAAGAATGGTAGGCAAATTATTTCAAAAGCAAGCATAGTTATATTAAATATGTCACCTATTTAGAATTAAAAAACAGGGAGGCAAATATTAATACATATATAATACATTTCTCTAACCACCCCCCCTTAAGATAAGAAAACTAGCATAGAGGTTGAATGTGAGGAGTTTTTTTCCCACCATGATTCAAAAACACGTCTGTCTTTGAAATAATGTAATAGAAAATATACACAATACATTTTTATAATGAATGCATCAGCGGACTCTAAGCTGATGCATTCCCTAGAAAAAGAGTTCAAGATGTGATGTTACACTCACAGCAAGAAGACCTTGAACACACTGCAGCAATAACTAAGGAGCGCAGTGGAGAAATATGTCGGCACTAGATATATTGGTATCATCTTCTGGTTCAATGGGCCAAAATAAGAAATGCACCAGGTTTCATCACTCTCCTGACCCACTTTCCTCACTTTTAACTTCACCCAACACAACCCAAACTCTTCAAAATACAGTGTAAAAGAAAAAATGCCCAACATCATGAAATCTATTATCTTTTCAAATTATTTAAAGGGAAGTGTTTATAAGTAGAAATAATAAACGTTGTAGCTTTCCTTGCTCCTCTAAAATGCAGATCATTTTCACTTTGGTTCTATGACTTTTAAACCTGCCTTCCTTGTCTATAAATTAAGAGCACTAAAGAGAATAGCCCACAGAACTTGTTAAAACTCCAGATGCTGGGACCCCACCCCACATATCTGAGTCTGGACCCAGAAGGGTGGTTCTGACATAAAGCTTGAATTAGGAACTCCATATGTGAGAAGCTCAAAACCTAGTTTTCAAAATAAAAGCATGTGCATAAATCTACATATTGACTGGATCAATGTTAAATAACATGACTCACACGTAGCCTTTGAGGGGCAAGTGAACAAATCAATTAGTATCAACCTCAAAATGTTATTTCCTGCACCAAAAATCTTTTGCATATAAATATTGTATACCAAAATCTTAATTAGAGAATGGAGTTGAAGAAATTTGCAAAAATTAAGACTATGAAATTAAAGAAAAAGATCTAAAGAGATCATACTTTTGAAATTATACAGATGTGTTAATTTCAAAGCTGTACCACTTTAGAGACACAAAGTCATATTTTTTATTGGATTCCTCTGCTACATCAGAAATGCCCTTATATGCTTTTCTCTACACTTTGAAAAAAGATTTTGTTCCATAATTAAATGTTAAAAGGATTGAACTGAATGTAACTAGCCACCCGTCCACATACCAAAAAAGGCTCATTCGAAAATATTCACACAAAAAATGTGACTCTCATGCTCTATGTGTTGTTGAGCTCCACTGCTATGAAAGACAGATCTGCATTTTTTTTAAACTTAATTTCTTAAAAGTGAAGGTGAGGTTATACCACTGTAAACCTTAATCTTAGCTGCCAGATGCGCATACACAGACATTTCCCTTATGAACCGGGCCAAGAGAATGTGCTTCTGATAGAAGAGCCCCACAGGATATTAATAAACGTCAGGTATTTGGTTGTTTAAAGGCACAAATGCAAAGATTGGAAAACCACATGGATGCTGGAAACTACCTGCTTCCTGGAATTGACATGTGCAAATCCAGTGTCACAGGAAGTAAAAGCGAAAGGACTGGGACCTGGTTTCAATTTCTCAGTCCAAGAGCCATCATCTCGAGAGTAAGTATACATTAAGAACTCATACTGCCTCACATTTCAAATATTGAAATAAGTCTATTTATTATTAAACAGTTAAGGCATATAAAAAGATAAAAATATAACATAGTAAATGTCTATGCCTCCACACAATTTAAGGGGAGAAAAAAAAATCCAGCCAATGCATCTGAAACCACTTCAGCAGAGTACCCTTTCTCCATTGCTTTAGATTAAATTTTAACTAATATTTACAGCTGCTCAAATAGTCTTGCATGTTGACTTGTTCCCAGAAAAATCATCATATCAGCATCTAGTTCAAACTTCTGGGTACAAATAAGGTTCAATAAAATTGAGTTCTCTGTTCTGTCTATATAATTAACGTACTTCCTTTGCTTAGAATCATCCTCAGCAATTCACGTTTTCCAGTCGGGAATGGATCTCCTCTAAAAGTTTCACAACCATAGTAACAGGTCATGAGAATCACATTAATACAAAAAAACTTTCTCATGATTGCACTACTTCAGCATAATGAGGTAACAACATGGAGAATATCTTTACAAGCAGGACAAGAATAGCTGCCCTTCTCTGCCAGAGTTGAATTTCCATCAGGGTTACTGTCTATCACTACAAATCCCCAGGGCTCATGGAAAAAAACAAACCTGCTCAAAGACCTCCCTTCAAAGCACAGGTATTCCAGCCAAGGAAAGCTTCAGGAGAAACAAAAAATGAACTATTTTTTCACAGTCCCTTGAGCTGTTTAGAAAAATCCCCTCACAGATACTGCTTTAAACATAAAAGAAAGAAATAGACCGATGACTGCCTAAATACAACTTAACCACTGTCTTTCCTCAAGAAAGGCCTCAGAAAGATAAACAAATAAGGTAATCCTCCTCAGAATTTTCATAAAATTGAATCTTGTTAAGCAAGTTTACTTTCCAAACATAGCAGATTTTCAGGAGGCTTGCTATAAATGTAACCTGGTATAATATTTCATATTTAATAATTTGTTTTATTTTTATTTCACTGGTCTCTCTTTGCTTCCTTCCCCTACACTCCTCAACCAACCCTTTGCTTCCTTCCCCTACACTCCTCAACCAACTCTTTCAGTACCACAGATACCTATCTGGGCATCGGACCAGGACCTACACTGTGCCAAATGTCAGTCCTTATGAAATCCACTACCTTTTTTTTTTTTAACTTCAGCTCGTTAAAAGCCTTGAGCAGTAGTCAGAAGAAAAGAGAAAAAGGAATTCATGTCAGAAACACATTATCCATTTCTCTATCTTCCACCCAAAGGACTGTTTGTCCTCTGGTATTTTCCCCTTTGCTAACTCAACAGAGAATGACAGAGACTAGAGCCAAAAATCAAGAAAGGATGCAACTGGCCCAGAAGCAGTAGGCTGTGTCTCTTACAATTGGCCTTCCCTTGTCAGGGCTCTGAGATACTAACCTGGGGTCCAGAGGAGCTCTACCTCACAGTCCAGGGTCCCACCCCTGAAAACTACAAAAAAAGAGATAGAAGAGCTGTATAAATACAATTAATACAGTGCAAAATGTGTAAGGGACAGAATTAGGCACAAAATGAAGAAGAGTCACCGAGCAGCAATGGAATAAAATGTCTTGTGAGTTAGGAGACTGGGCACTCCATAGAGGTCAAATGCAGGGTTTCTAGAGTCAGATCATCTGAGTTCAAATGCCAGCTCTGGCACTTCCAGACTCTGTAGCCTTTATCATTGAATAAACATTTATTGCTCACCTATTATGAGCCAGGCATTGGGCTCAGTACCAGGGATGTATTGGTCCCTGCTCTTGGGGAGTTAATTAAAGTGCAGCAGTCCCCAGCCTTTTTGGCACCAGGGACCAGTTTCATGGCAGACAATTTTTCCAAGGGATGAGGGGGATGGTTTTGGGATGAAACTGTTCTACCTCAGATCATCAGGCATTAGATTCTCATAAGGAGCAGGCAACCTAGATCCCTCGCATGTGCGGTTCACCATAGAGTCTCACTCCTATGAGAATCTAATGCTGCCGCTGATCTGACAGGAGGCAGAGCTCAGGCGGTAGTGCTTGCTCAGCCACCACTCACCTCCTGCTGTGCCACCTGGTCCCTAACAGGCAACGGACTGGTACCAGTCCAGGCCCTGGGAGTTGGGGAGCCCTGTTCTAGTGGGAAGGCTATTAATGAACACACAGTACCAGAAAAGGTACCAGAGAGTGCTAAGAACAACACAGGGAACGTAAATACAGAGATGCAGTCAAGAGTGACTGGGAGAGCTACTTTCTAAAGTCAGCAAGGAAGATCTCTGAAGAGGTGACATTAGGCCTACATCTAAATGACAAGAAGGAACCAGCCAGGCAAAGATGGAAGAAGAGAGATGTGCAAAGGCCCTGAGGAAGACACACTGGGCCTTTGGAGAAATAGAAAGAAGTCCAGTGCCACAAATCACTTCAGTATGGCTCACATTTATCATCTGCAAAATGGCGGTTGTGAGGATTAAACTGTTAGCACCACATCTGCACACAGAATGTGTTCAATTAGTGTAAGTTGCTAGAATCGTCATCATCAGCAGCAGCAGTGAGATGCCATCATTGGAGGTGTGCAAACAGAGACTGGGTGAGCACATCACAGGAATGGCTGGGTTATAGGGCGTTTAAGGTTCCCTCAACAATTAGATCCTAAGATTAGACAAGAAGAGAAAATGCAAAGGAAGAAATGATAAAATTGTTACACACAGGCTTCCAGCCCAAGGTCGCTTGAAGAACACATTGAATTATCCAAAAATGTGAAGCTTGCCCAACTATTTCATTCATCAAACAGTTCTTTCCCAGCTGAGAGTCTATAATCCCAAACTGTCAAGAACTCCACATGGAGCCAGCTGACACACTGTCCTTAGCCCTGAGGTCTACTCTTTCTACAGGGCTCTGGGATAAAACCACAACAACACTGACAGCAACAGAAAAGGATGACTTATTCTGTGTTACTAGCTTTAATGTATGTTAATTATTGAATGAAATAGCAGTGAGGATATTCTTCGATTGTATATGCATCCCAAACCATTTTATTATTTCATGTTTAAAATGTTCCAAGCAGTACTTTCTGCATCACACACTCTACTGGCAATAAATTTCACTTTTTAAAAATTCTTAGTCTTGGCCTATTGTTTCAAAATATTTACTAACTTGTTGAACTTTCTAAAGCCTACTAATTAAGGCTGTTAATAATACAGTACTTGATGATGAACTTGGCATATGTGCTTTTAAGTTAGAGAAAGACAGGTCTACTTTTACCCAACACCAAATCCTTGGTCATTATAGATCAAATTCTTTCCAGTTCCTTTCTAACACTCACCCAAACCCAAGGCAAGTATACTACAACCATAAATAAATACATGGCTTTGTATTTATGAAACTACTTCATTACGTACCCTTGACAACTTCCTATTTCTGTTTAGATGGTAGAAATGGCTTTAAAATTATAAAATTTAAAAAATTATAATATTCAAAATGGCATGAAACAAAGTAATACTAAGTGAGGACAATAAAAATAATCACAATAACTTAACATAAAATGCATAGACATTTTTATTATGCCAATTTAATTATGCCAGCCTTTTGGATTGTCCAAACTCGAGGATTTGGAGAGCAGAAACCACACTCTCCGTCCCCCCACTTTCATCCAATTTCCCCCCAAAAAAGAAACCTGGAAGAGCAGATGAGGATCAAAATTTTCCTAAAGGAAAGTATTCCCTTTTAAAAAATGGAAAAGCAACCAATTTGGCATACAGCATGTAGACAGAGGATCTTTAAAATACATATATGATATGTAGACAATTCCTATGACTTAATCTAAACTAAAAATCTCTTAAAATATGTAAGTTTTAGAGTACCATGAAATATTACCTCTGTATAGTAAGCATTTGCCTTAAAAGAATCAAAAAAAGTCCCTTAGAGGAAGCCAGATTGGGACTAATGGGTCCATTCAAATCCAAATTTATCTACTGGCTTTTGCAACATAATTCAGCCAAAAGAATGTGATTCATATCTGAGCTATGTAACAACTAAATTTTCAGTGTGTTTTGAAGTAGATGCCACCACAAAAAAAGTAATAGTCATAACCTTGGCATCTAAACACTCTAAGCAATTTGATAATCTTTAAAAATATAAGAACTCAGTAATGTGGGTTCATTGAAGAACTTTAGAAAATATAAATCAGCAAAAAAAAAAGTAATAATCTCAAATGCCAAGATGACCACTATTAACATTTATTGTATACTTCACTAAATTTTTAAAAAACATTTTTCATATAAATGACTTCATATAATACATACTTGTTTACTTACTATATCAAGAACACATTTCTATATTCATACACACACACACACACACACACATCACACACATCTGTATCACTTTTTATGAATGCTTAATCTTCTACTTTATGGATATACCCTAATTTAGTTACCTCTACTGAGATCATGTATGATCTGTTCAGATGTGCTAGAGTAAAGAAACAGAATAATAGGTTTAAACAACTATTTCCTAAAGCTATTTGACCATAACATCCTTTTGTGAATTACACATTAACAATCCTAGAACTTTTGATCTTTTCGAAATACTTTGGGAAATAATGATCTAACCAATTCCTAATATTAGATTTTCATGGTGTTTACAATGTTTTCTATTATAAATGATACTGTGATCAATTTCTTGAGTGTACCTTTTTATGTATTGCCTAGGGAAAAACTCTAGAAACAGAATTACTCAGTTAATTGATATGCATGTGTTAAAAACATGTTATCATTTTTGCCAAATTGTTCTCCAGCAATATTTTAGGTTCATCAGCCTTTTTAAAAGATAATTTTAAATTAAAATAGTTTGGGAGTTTATATGTTCATTATATATACACGGTATTTCTGAAATTAGATAATTACTCTTTTATGGACACGGCTAAAGTACAAGTTATAAATATCAAAGGTCTTACTAGAATGAAGGCTGACTCAGAAAACTATTTAGGAATATACCTCCTCACAATTTATAGAAAATGACTAGTATGGAGACATTAAATCGTCTCTCTTCCATTTTCCTCTGTTATATTTACATATGTCTGAATATGTATTCCGTACTCCTAAGATGATATTAATAATCCCTTACATTTTTGTAGTACCTTATACCACTAAAACATTTAAAACAAAAAGAATTTTACAGGAAGAGAACATCCTCAAAGCATATTTTAAAACAAGATATTAAGCTATACCTTCAAAAGACCCGTCAAGCTACACAATAGTTGCTACATATTTACAGCCAAATCTGTAATAACTAAAATCTTTATCAATCAACCAACACCGGTATCATGGAGGAAAATGTGTATTTTAAGACAGTTAATTTAGATCTTATTTTCACTGTGTATTTCTACAGTTTCACATAATAAGAAACAAGCTCCTAACAGAACATAAAGATGGTTCACACAGCAAAAACAGGCTTTGGGTTCCTTTTTTGTCTTTAAAGTGACACTGGATGTAATTTTATACCTCAAAGTAACTTTTCAAAGTTACTTAAGTATAGTGTTCACACTCAGGGTGGAGTTCTGTGTAATTTTCAAGGCTGAGAAGTGTTCTGCCTGTTCAAAAATATCTCCCCTTTGAGTTTGTCTCAGAATCATATTTGAAGCTTTTTAAAAATACAGAAATTTTTATTCAATGGGTCTGGAATGGAGCCAATGCATCTGCGTTTTTTAAAACTCCCCAGTTGATTCATCTGTACAGCCAGAGTCAAAAAGCACTCGGTTATATAAAAAGATTGGAGGAGGGGGTGGTATCCTGAGGACCCCAATTTAACTGTTCGTGTGAAAACCATGAATCTGTCTGAGTCTGGTTTATTAGATTACCTAGGTGAAAATTTTACCTTGAGAAGGCTCATAAGATATTTCAAGGTAGGACACCTGTTGGCCTATCAATGGCTATGAACAGGGATGGGGGTGAGGATATATGGTAATGAAATCAAACTGTGAAAGATCTTTCCTGCCAGAAACTGTGGCACTTCCTACATTAAGCATATAATCCCTTCAATTTCCAGAAAATAGAAAGAGAAATGTTCGGTCGTATTTTATTTTAATGGAGTAGTCTTCCAAATGAACAACCTTTAGCTACAAGCAGCAGTTTCACTAAGCACAAAATTGGGTTGAGAAAGGATAGGACACTCAGAGATATTATACCTTTTACATATACCTTTTACAAAATTATAGTCATTTGTCAGAATTCAGTTTCTTAAAAGAACTTCACCTCCAAGAAGTTCTTGCAAGAACAATGCAAATCAATCCAAGAAACATAGGTTTTCTAAATACATAAAAATCCATAGCTTTCTTGAGCTTCCTTTACCTACCAGATCTGGACTTAATGATATCACTGAATTCGTTCTGCCCATTGTCAGGACTGGCTTCATGTTCTCCATACTTGGCCATCTTGCCAGAGTTTCAAGATAATCCAAAAACTTTACCAAGTCCTCTTTCTAAGGCTTTCAACTTCCTACGATGGTTCAGCTTGACATCAATACCTAAAAGGAAAAGGGAAAGTACTGACTTGAAAAAATGTATTTATATATTTTATATAGTTATTCGTAGTAACTATTCATTCACCAAATATTTATTGAGTGCCTACCACGTGTAAAGCACCAAGCCAGGCAATGGTGTTATGACTATGAACAAGAGACATAGCCTCTGCCATTACGGCGCTTATGCACACTAAGCAATTAATTACATAATGAATTATTTCATTACAATACTGACAGACTACAAATCATACAAAGGAGAAGCACAGAGTATTAAGAGCACACAGCAGAGGAGTCTGACCTGCCCTGGGCAATTAGAGAAGGCTTTCTTGAAGAGACATTTGAGCCAAGCCTTTAAAGATGACAAGAATTTAATTAGCCAAAAAGGGAAACAGAAAGAGAAAAGGTAAGAGCTTCCTATGTGAAGTGGCAGAAAGAATCATGGAGCAGTCAAAGAATGGAGCACAAGCCAGTGTTTCTGGAAAGAAGACAGCCAAGAGACAAGTGTACCTGTTGAACCAGGTGAAGAAGCTGGGCAGGACCAGGGATAGGACCATGGAGAACAGGTCAAGGGTTTGTGTCTTTATCTGAAGAGCAATGGGGAGCCAGTAGATGGTTCGAAGGAGGGAACCAACATGGTCAAATTGGCCTTTTTAAAAGATCGTCAAGGGACGGGCACGGTGGCTCATGCCTGTAATCCCAGCACTTTGGGAGGCCGAGGCAGGTGGATCACGAGGTCAGGAGTTCGAGACCAGCCTGGCCAGCACAGTGAAACCCTGTCTCTACTAAAAATACAAAAAAAAAAAAAAAATTAGCCAGGCATGGTGGTGTGCACCTGTAATCCCAGCTACTCAGGAGGCTAATGCAGGAGAATTGCTTGAACCTGGGAGGTGGAAGTTGCAGTGAGCTGAGATCACGCCACTGCACTCCACCCTGGGCAACGAGAGTGAGACTCCATCTCAAAAAAAAAAAAAAAAAAAAAAAAAAAAAGACGATTGTGGCTTGTAGGTAGACCACAGTAATATGTGGGGAACCAGTGAAGACTATGGCAGAATATAGCAAAATGCAAATTAAGGAACCTAGCTCATGGGTATATGAATGCTGAATGAAAATTTCTTGCAACTCTTCTGTATGTCTGAGAATTTTTTCATAGTAATATGTTGGGGAAAAATTCCTAATCTTAACCAAGTGATCAAAATTCACATAACCAATCATGGGGCATCATGCAATTGAATGGAAAATCACCACATCATCTACACAATATCCTTGCCAAGATGTTGAACGTGAATCTTCTCATGAGCAGACAAATCTAGACTGTGGCTAGTTTTCAAAAGAAATGGCCTGGTTTCTTCAAAACTGTCAGCGTCTTGAAAACCAAAATTACCTGGGAGAGGGGGAGCTTTGTGAATTAAAGGAGACTAAATAGACATGACAATGAAATGTAATCTTTGATTGAATTCAGAATTTTAAAATAAAACATTTGAGGATCATTTGAAAAATCTGAATTTGGACTATGTATTAGACAATATTATTGTATCAATGTTAAATTTCTTTAACATTAATTATGGTATTGTTGCAGGAGAATGTCTTTGATTGTAAGAGACATGTGGTGAAATATTTAGCAATGAAGTGTGATGGTATCTTCAACTTAAGTTCAAACAGAATAGCATATATCTGTCTATACTGATATAGGTATATTTAGGTTGATATATGTATGTAGATGTATATATGCATACACACAGACAGACAGAAAAATGCAGTAAGTATTGTAAAATAAGTGGGAAAACTAGGCCGGGCAAGGTGGCTCACGCCTGTAATCCCAGCACTTTGGGAAGCCAAGGCAGGTGCATCACCTGAGTTCAGGAGTTCGAGACCAGCCTGGCCAACATGGTGAAACCCCATCTCTACTTAAAAAAAAATACAAAAATTAGCTGGGTGTGGTGGCAGGTGCCTGTAATCCCAGCTACTTGGGAGGCTGAGGCAGGAGAATCACTTGAATCCAGGAGGCGGTGGTTACAGTGAGCCGAAATTGTGCTATTACTCTCCAGCCTGGGTGACAAGGGCAAAATTCCATCTCAAAAAAAATAAAGTAAGTGGGAAAACTTGTTAAAGGGCATCTGGGTCTAGGCGAGGTGGCTCACACCTGTAATCCCAGTACTTTGGGAAGCTTAAGCGAGAGGATTACTTGAGCCCAGAAGTTTGAGATCAGCCTAGGCAACATGGTGAGACCTTGTCTCTACTCCATGTAAATAAAAATTTTAAATAATAAAATAAAATAAAATAAAAAGGACATCTGGGTGTTTATTGTGCTATTCTTTCTATTGTAATATTATATGCAGGAAACAAGTGTGGTCTAAACAAGAGTAGATAGAAAGAAATGGGTGAATATGTGGGATATTTAGATATCAAAGAAAGTCAATAGGATTTGGGAATTGATTGGATATGAGAGATTCATATCCAATGTGCAAAATGTGCAAAATGACTCCCCAATTTTGGCTTAGGCAATTAGGTGAAGTGTGAGTCATTGAGCTGGGCAACACTGAGGATAGCAGGCTGGGAGAAAGGAATCATCAATGTGATTTGGATTTGCAGAGCTTGAAATGCCTCTGAGTTATATAAGCGGAGATGACAAAAAGAGAGTTGGGCCCAGCATGGTGGCTCATGCCTGTAATCCCAGCTCTTTGGGAGGCTGAGGCAGGCAGATCACTTGAGGTCCAGAGTTCAAGACCAACCTGGCTAACACTTGAGGTCAAGAGTTTGAGACCAGCCTGGCCAACATGGCGAAACCCTGTCTCTACTAAAAATATAAAAATTAGCCAGGCATGGTGGCAAACACCTGTAATCCCAGCTACTCAGGAGGCTGAGGCAGGGGAATTGATTGAACTCAGGAGGTAAAGGTTGCAGTGGGCCAAGATCGCTGCCACTGCACTCCAGCCTTGACGACCGAGTGGGTGAGACTCCATCTCAAAAAAAAAAAAAAAAAAAAGAGAGAGAGAGAGAGTTGGATATAAAGGATTGGATCATCAATCTGACAGATTTTATGAGAGTCTAAAAAACTTTTTTCATTTTTTATAGGCTCTACTACTGCTAAAAATTTATGGATTATTATATGATTACATTCTTTCATTCAAGTACATAACTATAAAGGATTTGCTAAATTCTTAAGTGTATTTTATTATATTCAAGAATCAAAAACTTTGTTCAGAAGAATGTCTATAAAAGTTTATCATGGAAAATTAAGTTTGCCCAGGGAAAAATTCTCTTTCCTGGAAAGAACTACAGTGTATCACTTTGGAGCAGTAAGTCTAATGCTTTTCTTCACTATTGGTCTTAGCCAAGATCTCCACTTCTATGCTACCCAAAGCCTTTATTCACCCATAAAAGAGAAAAGTCAACTGTTTACACACTACTTTATTCCATTTGCCCATTATCAGTAACACTTCTTCACTATAATGTTTCACTTGCCACTCTCCTCAAGGTGATTTTTCAAATTTTTCTCTTCTTGATAATGAAAATCCCTTACAGGTTGCAAAGATACAGCAGAAAAGGTGATCAGAGTACAGAGGAAAATGGGGAGAAAGAAGAATAACAGAAGGCTATTTAAATAGTGATAGCCACTGAGGTTACTTGCCATTAATGGCCAGAGGAATTTGAGTACACTTAAGGCAAAGGATGACTCCTTCTAATTGCCAAATGCAGAATCTTTGGTTCTCAGGAGACAGAATCAAAGTTTCACCACGAACAATGCATCCCAGTGTGACCCTCCGTCTTCCACACCTATAAAATGGAGGGAACACCATCTTCACAGAAGGCTAGGTGAGAAACTGAGAATCAATGAATGAGATGTTGCTTTAGAAGCTTCAAGCCCTATACAAATGCAATTTATTGTTACCTCTGCCCTAGATTTCCCTTCCCTCAAATGATATTCTGTAAAAGCCAGATGTTCTTACTGAAACCAATCCAGTCAAGTCGATATTCACTAACTCTCCCTTCAGAACGCTTCCGGCTGTCATATGGACCACCAAGCAAGAGTGTATGAAATAAACATAAGGTGTTTAAAAAATAAACATAAGGTGACAGCCTTAAAGACAAAACTAATGTTTCAATTTTTTAAGATTTTAGGAATTATACAATGAATATATGTATATAATTTTTATTTTGTACTATATTTTATGTATATAGCACATATATATCCAACAGTGTGCATTATGATGGAAATGCTGTGTAATGCAAACACTATTCATTAATTTACTATAGGAACCAAAACCTAGGAACGATTGAGATAGTAGAAAAGGAAGCCAAGCGGACAAGAGTTTGCTGCTCTGCTTGAAACACAGTAAAAGAAAACGGTGAGTGCCAAGAACTGCCATTTACACTCGGAAGCGCTCCAGGGAAGGTTAATACTACTGTGATTAATACTGTTTACAGAGCCAATAAATTTTAGGTAAACACCCAAAGGAGAGTTAAAGAGTTGTCTCATCGGTCCCATAAAGGCTGGTAAAAGGGGCGGGGAATGGTTCCACGCCAACCCTGTCCGTCACCGCAGAACTACCCACAAGCTTCGCATTCCTCCACCTCTCCCCTGACCCTGAGCTATCCGCAGGCTGCGTCTCCCACGCCCACCGCCAACGAACCGGGAGGGCCCAGATCGACTTCCTGAGGCCGGTGCAACTTACAAAGGAATGGATGCGGTCGCTGCCGCCCGGCCGGGCGGCCGGGAGGGTCGGCTCAGACCTAGGGAATCCGGCCTCCCCCGAGCTCCGCGCGCTCTGGCCGCGGCGACCGCTGCACTGACCCTCCCAACCGCGGCAGGGGGAACTGGCCCGCAAGGCCCTGGTGATCCGGCTGACCTGAAGGCTGGGAAAGAGGAGGCCCTGTCCTGAACACCTCAGAGAGCGGGGCCGTGGAGTTAGAACCCGAGCTCTGCAGTTCCTTGTAAAATAAAGTGCTGGTCCCACAGCTCTCTCGGAGGTCGGGCAACGTTTTCTCCCTCCTCCTCGAAAAACGCACTGGAATGAGTCCCTTTCATAATCTGAGGCTTGGAGGAAAAAATCCTTTGAACAACCTGCCATCTGAAAGTTGCACAGCCTTCAATTGGTGCTTTGTTGGTTTTTAAGTGGCCTTGAGCAACCACAGCCTCGGACCCCGGGCCAAAGCGGGGCATGAATTACCTTGTCAGTTGCAGCAAGAGATCCCCAGAGTCCGGAAAAGGAGAGCCGGCGACTGCGCGGGACTACACACCAATGGGGCGCCCCCCTCCTCCTGTCCCCTCAGTCTCTCCAGGGCCGCTGCCAGGGAGCTTGGCGATCGCGCCACACTCTCCGGAGCCCCACCCTTGGGAGCAGCAACCACCCAGAGGTCAAGCACGTTCCCCGCCGGGCGGCTGGCTGGGAAGCGCTCCGCTGGCCGCCGACCACACAGCCACCCTCTGCCCACCCTCTCCTGTGGACACCGCCGGAGCCCCGCCTTCCCCGGGCCCGGGTGTCTGTGACAGACTCTCCTAAGAGGCCACGTCCCCTCTTGCAAATCACTGGCCCAGCGCCCTGCACCGCGCGATGCACGGAGGGCGACTCTGTCACCCCGGCGGGGAGGAAGATTAGGGGAGCAGGGAGGCAGCACAGAGCTGGTCAGATAAGTTTGGATCGTTCACAACTAGTACGGATCCCAAGGACCTCCACGCCCGAGCTCTCCACGCCTCCGGCATTCTCTCTCGCACCGCGGGGAGCTAAACTGAGGCCCCGAGGAAAGGGCACGCAAAAGTTACTCCCATCTTCGACTCTGGGACTTGGGAAGCAGCTCGGGACGCCGATCCCAGGCGGAAGAACCACAGAAAGAGCCATCCTCCTCCCGGCCCCCGCCCCATTCCCTCGGGGGCTGTAGTCACATTACCAGCCCGAGGCTTCAATAATGCATGGGCTTACCTGCTGCCCGCGGGCCTCCTCGCCTGCCGGTCGCCACCGCCGCACCCCGAGCTGGCCAAGGGCTCCTCTAGGAGTTTGACACGGAGTAACCGCGGGGGTGTGTGCGAGTGTTAGTTTGGTGGTGCGATGTATTTAAAAAAAAAAATAAAGCTTGGAGAAGCAGACACGAACCGAAATTTTAAAAAAAGAAAGAAAGAAAGAGAAATTGACACCCGACTGAAAACGCCCCTTACTTGTGCAATCTTCCTGCCTGGTAGTTCCGCCAAAAACAAAACAGTCAAAGCGCAAACCTGGAAGGGGCGCGCAGGCACCAACTTTGCCAAACGCTACAGAGTTTTCCGTTTGCAGAAATGACCCAAAAGAAGGGGGGCGCCGCTCCCCGTGATTCCCCAATCGGCTTCTGGAGCCAGAGGCTCCTCCTCGCCCCTCGGCGGGAGAAAGCCCGCGGCCGGCTGCTGCTGCCCGCTTCCCTGCTCCGAGGAAAAACGACTCCACAACTTTGTGCGCGAGAGAGGCTCGCTCCTTCGGCGGCTCCTCCTCCTCCTCCCCGCTGCGGGCCTGCCCCTTTGTTGGAGCCGAGCGCTGGAGGCGGAGGAGGGAGGGTGGGGCGCAGGACCGCTGGGTCGCGCGTTGCCGCCCCCACCCCCCGGGAAGGGGCTCGCCTCCGGGCAGCCAGGGGTCCGCTCTCCAGATGAGAAGGGTGCAGATCAGCGCCAGCCCTCCGGCCCGCGCCTCTGCAGCGCTCCGGCTCCCCCTCGGCGCTCTCGCCCCGCCGCCGCCGGCCCAGCAACTTTGTTCCGGAAGATCAGCCCCACTACGTTCCCGGGTCAGCGTCTGCCGGGCCTCGGCGGTCACCGCGGCCACCGCGTCGGGAACTTGGCGCCCCAAGTCACCTGACTGCGCGCCCCGTCAATCAGCGCCGGCCCTGCGCGCCCTCCCAGCCCGCAGCAGCCCGGCTCGGCGCTTGGCTGGCCTGGGGCGCGCGCTCCAGAGTGAACCGTGCGTGCCGGGAGCCGGGAGTCCGGAGACCGAACCAGAATGGATGCCTCGAGCAGACACAATTCCCCTTATTCAGATTATCCGAAAATGTGAGTCACGTCCCCTTAGGCAAAACAGGTCTCTAGTTAGGGTGATATTTTTTTAAGAGATAAATTCCAATCTGCCTTCCAACTCACCCCATCTCAGTTTGCTGACGTTGCTGATTTTTTTTTTACCCCTAGTTCCAACCGTATATTTATTTTACATTATTTCTCTAGTGTCGTTGTTAATATTGAAAAAGAAGTTTTCTCTTACATTAGTTTGTATTACAAGTAGTGTTTGCGCTGACCTTATTTTTCTGTTTTCCAATATGCACACACAAACGCACATCTGTTATAGAGCCTGTTCCAAGCTTGAGAGGTTGACCAAAAAATATCTGGGAAGAAATGAGCTCGTGATGTGTGTGCATTTTTCTTATTTACACATTTCATTGCTCGTGTGTTCCTGTGATTCTTTTACACGATCAGCACACGTGGGAGGGGAAAGAAAACAGCAACCTGAGTTCCTAGTTCGTATTAACAGAGAAAAGGATGGTTGATACTGGAGCGCCGGTTTATTGCTGGCTTAATATTTGAGTTAATTTACGCGGCAGTAAAGATTAAACCACTAGGGGCCTTAAACTAATTTTCAGAAAGAGTTTACTCGCCTTTTGTTATAGTGAAAGTTTCCCCCATCCATCCCTAAGTGCTCCAGGGAGGGGGCAGGTAGGAGATTCCCAAAAGAGACTCTTCCTTGTAAGGTTTCTAGGACAGTTTCCTTCCTTTTGATGATTTTCTACGTATAAGCCAAATAAAATCCAAAGGATTAACTTGAAATGGGTATGATTTTATTCATTCACTTCATTCATTCATTTAACAAGCATCAGTTTAGGGCTGTCAGGTTTGCTGGTTCTGTGGGTAAAGCAAAGATAAATCTGATAGTGATCTTACCCTTAAAGAACTTGGAATGTAGTAGGTGAGATAAGACATGTAAACAAGTAAGTATATACAAGATCCGGGAGATAAATGCCATAAGAAAAGAACAGATCAAGTGCTAGCTGAGTATGGTCACATAGAGGGACTCCAGGATTTTTTCTTTCTTTCTTTCTTTCTTTTTTTTTTTTTTTTGACAGTGTCTCTCTCAGTTGCCCAGGCTGCAGTGCAGTGGCGCGATCTCGCTCACTGCAAGCTCCGCCTCCTGGGTTCACGCCATTCTCCTGCCTCAGCCTCCCTAGTAGCTGGGACTACAGGCGCCCACCACCACGCCCTGCTAATTTTTTGTATTTTTAGTAGAGACGGGGCCTCCCAAAGTGCTGGGATTACAGGCATGAGCCACCGTGCCCAGCCCCCAGGTTTTTTTTAACTGATCATTTTGCAGACACCAAAAGTTGCTTATCACTCACTGTATCCTGGTTGAGTTGATGAAACTCAGATTTTCTCCTTCAAAATAGATAATAAGGCCACATTGGAGTGTTTGATGATGTTGTCACTTAAATTAATATTTGTGACACTTTTCACAATTTACAAAGTAATACATCATTTTAGCTCAAAAATTTTGAAAAACGCACGTTTAGGGTCCTATGATTTCTGGGATTGTAAGCTGTGAGGAGATGTTTAGTCGAGCTTCCTCAACGCCTGTAAGAGATGGAACAGGAGGCCAACAAGCCACCTTCTGTGCAGGAGTGACCTGCCCCGCATATCAGCCATAGTGGCTTACAGCCAGTTACCTGGGGACCTGTGCCCTATCTGTTTCTAGCCCTTCTCTCCAGGCAGAGACTGATGCTCTTTGTAGGTAATGAGCAAAAGAGGCTAAAGAAATTCTTGTTGACTGGGTGCAGTGGCTCACACCTGTGATCCCAGCACTTTGGGAGGTCGAGACAGGTGGATCATCTGAGGTCAGGAGTTCGAGATCAGCCTGGCCAACATGGAGAAACTCTGTCTCTACTAAAAATACAAAAATTAGCTGGGCGTGGTGGCACATGCCTATAATCCCAGCTACTCAGGAGGCTGAGGCATGAGAATCGCTTAAACCCCGGGGCAGACGTTGCAGTGAGCCAAGATGGCGCTACTACACTCCAGCCTGGGTGACAGAGCAAGACTGTCAGAAAGAAAGAAAGAGAGAAAGAGAGAAATAAAGGAGGGAGGGAGGGAAGGAAGAGGAAGGGAGGGAGGGAGGGCGGAATTCTTGTTGATGGAACGATCAAGAGATCTCAAGCTGGTCCTGTGCTGGTCCTGTCCCCCAACACTTTCTTTATTTGGTAGGGAAACCACATTTGGTGGGCGATCTTGACCACAGAGGGCTATATTTCCATAAAGCACAGTGTGATCTTCCTTTATATCCAGAGAATCTAGGTGAGGCACGGTGGAGACAGGCCTCTAAGGTAATGGGCCTGCAACAAGGATGCTCAGTGGGGTTTTGTCTGCTCATCCCAAAGATCAGATCGCTGTAGAACATCTGGAGAGAATAATAGGAATGTGGCCCTGGGTCTACTGGTAACCCAAAGTCAGAATTGCCCTGCTGTCACCACAGAACTGTGAAAATTAAGGAAAATGGAGTTAGTGTCACTGCAGGATAGAAAGCCTTTGACAAAGGAGAAAATTATGATATGAGTAGTGTATATATAGATTCATATATAAAGATATATGTATATGTGTGTATAGTGTATATAGACATGATTCACATAAATATTATTCCCATACAGGGAACTGCATCCTAATATAAGAACCAAAAGGAAAACATTTGCTACTAAACTTTGTGCAAGACTATATAAATGCAGTTTTTCTTTAAACAGTAGAAACAGGGGAAAATACACAATGTATAAAAAAACAAGACACTCCTTTAGCTTTACCTTTGGTATTGACTATAATTAAAGCCCCACATACAAGCATTTAAGAGAGGAGGAAAGTTTAGGGAATTTAGCCTTTCTTATATTTTTCAGGTAAAAAAAGTATAAATCTGGAGCTTGTGTGTAATAGATACTGGATTTTTGCTGAGTATTGTTGGTAAATTCTTCAGTCAAACGTCTAGTATGTGTGCGAGTTGATAAAATTTTATCATATAAATTTTTGTAATAGAATTGAAGAAACAAAAAATAATAGCACATGAAACTTTTAGAAAATAAATAGTACAAAGGCTGAGTTCCTTACAACTTAATGCACTCAAGAATTACCCAGAGAATATATTTTAAATTCAGATTGATTGCCATTCCCCAGAAATTCTGATTGACTAGGCCTGGTGGGGCCCAGGAAGCTGCAGGTTTAACATGCCTTAGCTTTAGATCAGAATAGCTGAGGAGCCACACTTTGAGCCCCTGTGCCCTGGGGTGCTGGCCTTAAATAGGCCACTTTGGATGATTGGAGGGGTCAAGAAATTGCCCTACCAAAAAAAAATCCATACTGAATCAATCATAATTATGAAATACCCGTGATTAGCTTTATCTCTTTGAATTCAAGTGTTTCATTCGATTCGGACCACCCTGGAGGTTACCTACAATTGGTAAAACCCTAGGACTATTCCTGGCAATTTAACCTGCACAGGTGGTAGGAAGCATGGCCCAGTTCTGAGGAAATGAGGCTCTGAAGAGAAAGTTTAATGATGAGAGGACAAGGAGGACAGGAATATTGAGAATACAGGAGCTGAAATGTGGAATCCAAAGAAGCTAAGGGCAAAATAAAAGCACTAAGTTGTTGGGCAGAGAAGAGCAACTGATTGATCAAAATGGGAGAATAAAGGAAGCGCCAAAAAGAGAAGGAAGAGACGCAGAGAGGGTGGAGGATGGGAAACCCAGAGCACCACCTTCGGGGAAAACTGAACAAAACACAGTCTACGCTGAGTTTATCCTACTTATAAATTTTTCTTGGCTTAATTTAATTTGTATAATTTTATAATGTTGTTGCTGAAAAAGATTTTACAGAGTCTTTCCATCAACCCTCTGAATTTTTTTTTTTTTTTTTTTTTTTTTTTTTTTTTGAGGCAGAGTCTCGCTCTGTCTCCCAGGCTGGAGTGCAGTGGCGTGGTCTCGGCTCACTTCAAGCTCTGCCTCCCGGGTTCACACCATTCTCCTGCCTCAGCCTCCCGAGTAGCTGGGACTACAGGCGCCCACCACCATGCCCGGCTAATTTTTTGTATTTTTAATAGAGATGGGGTTTCACCTTGTTAGCCAGGATGGTCTCGATCTCCTGACCTCGTGATCCGCCCGCCTCAGCCTCCCAAAGTGCTGGTATTACAGGCGTGAGCCACTGCCCCCGGCCAACCCTCTGATTTTACAAAGAAGCAAATGAAAGATACAAAGCTGATCAGGGAATACCTTTAGGTAAAATAAAACAATCTATTGGGGGAAAGTGTCCAAATTACTGAGAAGTGAAAAGAGAAGATCCCTATGTTACATGAGTTCATTGTTAACCAGAAGAAGAGGGGAGAAGGTGGGGGAAGAAAGCGAGCGTAGCCGAAAGAGAACTGGTCTAGATTTTAGTTACCTAAGTACTCATTATGATATTGAAGGCTATTAGCCATGTAAGCTTGTGGAACTTAACCTTTAGCTTCCTACCTGTAAAGTAGAAAGAGTAATACCTTCTGCAAGTGTTGTGAGAATCAAATGAGTTAGTTAACATAAAGCATTTACCACCAAATCTGGTACTTTTTACTTTTATTATGTTCCTTTCCCCTTTCTCTTAACTCAAGAGGATTGGCTGCCATTTTGTGATTGTCTTCATTCATTCTTTATTGAAAACATTCCTGGAACTTCCATTATCTGCTGCAAAGCAGGATATGCAAATGGGATAGGCCACAGTGGTTACCTTCAAAGAGCTCACTGTCTCGTGAGAAAGACCAACACATAGATAGACAATTATAAATTAATAGGGTACACCAGTACAGCCAAAATGTAACATGAGCCAGGAGAGGGACACATAACCCAATAGAAAGGACAGGAATGGGCAGTACCAAGAAGTGACACCTGAGTTGAGCCTTAGTGGTTGAGTAGGAATCCTAAAAGGCACCTGTTGTCTTGCTGTGCCCAACATCTTTCCACTCTTATTGAAGGAATATTACTCCTTCCTTTGGAGATTTCCTTTTCTGCTCCAATTAGATTTTGTGTGGCTGTCAATCATTTTGTGGGACTGTCAATCACTGAGCCTGGGGGTGGGCTCATGACCTAGGAATAGCCAATCATAGGGCCCCTTCCCCAACCACAGTAATTAGTCTAAGCAGGGACCAGAGATCCAAGTTAAGCCCATAATAGTCCTTGCTAGGCGTTTTCATGGTAACACTGAAAGGGAAAGTTACCTTTTTCTTTTTTCCTTTGGAATTAGTAAACTGGAGTGACATAAAATTGAGACAAACTCCCTCCATTCCCCTCTCCTGCTCCTACTACTGGCTGGAGTTCCACTTCTATAGAAGGAGAAAATTAAACCATTGCACCGGGAGCTGAAAATATACAGAGAAAGCTGAGAATGCAAGAGTCGCTGGCTTCCATGCCCATCGGCAGTGCCCTATCACTCCCTTTATCCTGAATGTTAATGTGTATTGGAATTCTGTCACTTGCAACTGAATGAGCCCAGTTCAATATAAAAATTAATCAGGAAAAGAGCAGGCCTATGAGAAGGCTTCAGGCAAAGGAAGACATGGAATATGTATGAATGGTGGCAAGCGGCAGGAGGAGCATTTCCTTTTGTTGGAGTCCTGGGTGGTCTCCCTAGCTCCCTAACACATGCTAAACCCAAACACATTTGCAGTCTTAGCCTGGTATGCAGGGGATGGGGGATTACCATCTAGATTTCCAGGCCATGATCAGACATCTTCTATGTCTAGTTTTGCACTGGTTCTCCTGCCAGACTCCAGTTGGCTATTGGAACTGGAATGTGCCCTAAATCGCAGCCTATTTGGCAAGAGCCCTAACCCTCAGTGTAGCTCTGCAGCTTCCTTGCCCAGAGGCAAGGTTCGGGTTCCTGGACACACCCTTGCAATTCACTTGCAAGAAGATACACCCCTCTAGCCTGGATTGTGCATCCTCCTGCTCCAGTGCAACTCATCCGACAGGAAGGCTGGATGAGGTCAGCTCAATGTTTCTGATGCCCCTCTGGAAGGCTGACTCTAAACTGTCAGCTGATTTCTAAGGGATCTGGTGTCTCTATGGCCCATTCCCCCACCCCCCTCCCTGCTTCCGGGACTCCTCCCTCTGGGCACTGCCTCTCTGTATTGAGGAGAGATGGCCAACATGACTTACACCTGCGCCTGACCAAGTTATGGTATTAATCAGCTGGCCCTGCCTTATCAACCATTATTTCCTTCTAGAAAACTCTCATAGTTTTTAGATGGATGCCAAATTCTTCTGCGTTCTTACTCTGCCTTTCAAACACGTGGCCAGGTGCAGGGACTCATGCCTCTAATCCCAGCACTTTGGGAGGCCGAGGCAGGGGGGATCACTTGAGCCCAGTAGTTAGAGACTAGCCTGGGCAACATATTGAGACTCTGTCTCTACCAAAAAATAAAAAATAAAACAATACAAATTAGCCCGGCGTGGTGGCACAGGCCTGTAGACCCAGCTACTTAGGAGGCTGAGGTGGGAGGATCGGTTGAGCCTGGGAGTTCGAGGTTGCAGTGAGCAGTGATGATGCCACTGCACTCCGGCCTCGGTGACAGGCTGAGACCCTGTCTCAAATAAACATGAGTTTCCCATCTTAAATCGAGGGCCTGGAGGGGCAGGACCAGACACTATGTGGATTTCTTCTCTGGGGAACTAGCAAGGGGCTCCAATGCACTGATAAGTGCCTCCCAGTGATTACTGGGCATTTCTAGCTATATGAGCCTAGGGGAAATCCCAAGCAGTCCATTGCAGTAAAAGAGGAAAATATTGGGACAATCTATTGGAGTCATGCAGACAATTTTAAAATATTGATTATTTTAACAAAGTCAACTATTTTGTTTTACAAAATTAGGTCACATTGCTTTTCAGTATACTTCAAATTACCACAGACCTCAAACTGGTGGCCATCTGCCCGAGAATGAAATGGTATTGCCACATCAAATGTACCCTTCTTCCAATAGGCAGCTTTATTCGCCTAGTATTTGCTCTTACTTTGTGAAGAAAATCCAGGAAAAGGTGCTTTTCATTTCTGTAATTCTACATAAGTACATACTATTTTCCTGCTTTGATAAAACGGTCACCTTCTCCAGGAAAGCTTCCCAGAGAGCTAAGGACCGACTGGTGTCACCAGTCAACTCATGTGGGCAGCACAAAACATTCCTCAGAAAATATGTTTAAATTAAAAGAAGAGCAAAATTCTTTTTCACATTTATGATCCCCTTGGCGTCATGAAGTTGTGTCATATTTGTTAGAGACTAATATAATAAGAACAGATGCAGGCTCAGTAGGTAAAAGATGCATTCTTGCTAAGTCATGCTTGTATGGCAACAAACCTTGCTATCTGAAAAATGGTTTCTCTGTGTTTCAAATTCAGGGAGAGATGGACAAATTTGTCTCTCATGCAACACATTGTAGCAGATGGATGAAGAGCTTGAAAGAACCCATGACACAGCAATAAGCATCATATTCATATTTAGAGCAGCAATTCTGCTCCATTAAAATAATCTGTCACATTAAATTTATGTAGTTAATTTGAATTAAATATGTGCTTTTGTTGTATTGGTTTTTTTGTCTTATATAAATGGACAAGAGCTATAAGTATAAATAGTGCAAGCTTGTTTGTACACATTTCTTTCTTTCTTTTTTTTTTTTTTTTCGAGACTGAGTCTCGCTCAGTCGCCCAGGCTGGAGTGCAGTGACACGATCTCGGCTCACTGCAAGCTCCATCTCCCAGGTTCACACTGTTCTCCTGCCTCAATCTCCCGAGTAGCTGGGACTACAGGTGCCCGCCACTACGCCCAGCTAATTTTTTGTATTTTTAGTAGAGACGGGGTTTCACTGTGTAAACCAGGATGGTCTCGATCTCCTGACCTCGTGATCTGCCCACCTCGGCCTCTCAAAGTGCTGGGATTACAAGCGTGAGCCACCACGCCCGGCCGCCTGTTTGTACACATTTAAATAACGTTGTAATTAAAATAATGTAATTCAGCCCAGGAATCTATAGATTTCATTTTTCCTTAAGAAGGGTTAGAACATTACTCAAGTTTGCAAAACATTGGGTTAATGCAATAGCTGTGTGATATAGTTTGGATATTTGTTCCCTCCAAATGTCATGTTAAAATTTGATCCCCAATGTTGGAGTCTGATGGGAGTTGTTGTGTTTGAGTTCATGGGGGAGGATCCCTCATGAAGCACTTGGTACAGTCCTTGAGGTAATAAGTGAGTTTTCACTCAGTTAGTTCCCTTGAAAACTGCTTGTTAAAAAGAGCCTGTAATCCCAGCACTTTGAGAGGCTGAGGCAGGAGGATCACCTGACGTCGACAGTTCGAGACCACCCTGACCAACATGGAGAAACCCCGTCTCTACTAAAAACACAAAATTAGCCAGTCGTGGAGGTGCACACCTGTAATCCCAGCTACTCAGGAGGCAGAGGCAGGAGAATCTCTTGAACCCAGGAAGTGGAGGTTGCAGTGAGCTGAGATTGTGCCATTGCACTCTAGCCTGGGCAACAAGAGCGAAACTCCGTCTCAAAAAAAAAACCCAAAAGAACCAAGCCTGGCATCTCCCTCCCACCCTCTGTCTTCTCCTCTTTGGCCAGGTGATCTGCCCACTCTGGCTGCCTTTCCCCTTCCGTCATGAGTAGAAGCAGCCTGAGTCCCTCAGCAGAAGCAGATGCTGGTGCTTTCTGTACAACCTTCAGAACTGCAAGCCAAGTAGACCTTTTTTCTTTATAAATTACCCAGCCTTGGGTACTCCTTTATAGCAACACAAGAGGAGAAAAAACACTGTGTTAAGACTGGCCAGATGATCGTAGATGCTTATAAAATGTTATCCAAAATTTCAAAAGCCCCATAAGTTATTGTATTTATATAAAAAACTAAATACTCAATTTTTTTTTTTTTTTTTTGAGACAGGGTCTCTGGCGCCCAGGCTGGAGTGCAGTGTCGCGATCACTGCTCACTGTGGCCTCCACCTCTTAGGCTCAAGTGATCCTCCCACCTCAGTCTCCCAAGCAGCTGGGAATACAGGCATGGGCCACCACACCTGGCTAATTTTTGTATGTTTTGTAGAGACAGGGTTTCACTTTGTTCACCCAAAGTGCTGGGATTATAGTCCTGAGCCACCTCTCCTGGCCTTCTAACCTTTTTTTTATCTTTGAGACAGGGTATCCCTCTGTCGCCCAGGTTGATGGGCGGTGGCATGATCTCACCTTACTGCAACCTCCACCTCCTGGGTTTGAGTGATCCTAATGCTTCAGCCTCCAGAGTAGCTGGGACTACCCGCCACCACGCCTGGCTAATTTTTTTATTTTTTTGTAGAGGCTGGGTTTCGCCATGTTGCCCTGGCAACAAGAGGCTGTTCAAACTCTTTATAATCAAAAACTCAATTGCAGTGACTTCCAGGTAAAGATGGAGATTGAACTCTCTTTGCTTCTTCCCAAACCCTACCGAAACTACACCAAAATGACTTATTTTAAGGCATAGAACTCCAAGGAGAGGGAGATAATGACAACAACACCTTTGAAGGAGGAAAGAACATGGCCAAATGGAAATTGACTTTGCAGGCCTGAAAAAGCCTAATCCTAAGTTAGCAGCAAGGGCAGCTAAGAAAAATACATATATAATTTCCACTGAAATGTCAGGCAAAAGCCCAGGAATTGAAGGCACCAAGTACCCTGAAAGTGGAGGGTGGTGGGGACAGGATCAAAAGGATTGGTTGAAAGAAATAGTTAGATTCCTCAATTCCTTGACCCACCCTACAAAACTAGGCAGCTGCAACCCCAGAAGAAGATTAGAACTGTGTTTTTGGAACAGAGAAACCAGAGGATCTCTAGACCAGGGAACCAAGTCAAGGTAGGGGAACTGTACCAAAAACAAGGAGGATCAACACCACCTGCCTCCTCTCCCAGTATGACAACCAGAATACAGGCAGCCAGGCCTTCCCCATTCATACAGGAGGCTGAAGGTGCCTTCTATGGGGAATCTGAACAGCCCAAGAAGAAACACCGTAAGATAGACAGTGGAGGTTCCAAGCCAAAATAGCTACCCATGTCAGTGAAGTAATGAAAGCCACCCATGTAGGGAGAGCTTCTCCTCGGCTGTGTATTGTGATACCCTTAATCATAAGCAGACAGTCAAGAATTATCAGACATCCGAGGATAGCCTCTCGCACAAATGTTGAAATAAAATACATAAACAGCAAAAGGCAACTTGAAAGTAACAAAGACTAGGTTGTCAGGAAAAAAAAATTTAAACTTCTTTTAAAATTAGTATTAATATCTATAGAGAGGAGTCCAGCAAGGTGGCACATGCCTGTAGTCCCAGCTATGCAGAAGCATCACTTGAGCCCAGGAGTTAGAAGCCAGCCTGGACACCACAGCAAGACCCCTGATATCGTTAGGCTGTGCCCCCATTCAAATCTCAACTTGAATTGTATCTCCAAAATTCCCACGTGTTGTGGGAGGAACCTTGGAGGAGGTAATTGAATCATGGGGGCCGGTCTTTCCTGTGCTATTCTCGTGATAGTAAATAAGTCTCATGAGATATGATGGGTTTATGAGGGGTTTCCACTTTTGCTTCTTCTCTCATTTTCTCTTGCTGCAGCCATGTAAGAAGTACCTTTCACCTTCTGCCATGATTCTGAGGCCTCCCCAGCCACGTGAAACTCTAAGTCCAATTAAACCTCTTTTTGTTCCCAGTTTCGGGTTTGTCTTTATCAGCAGTGTGAAAACGAACTAATGCAACCTCCTATCTTTTTTTTTTTTATTTATTTTATTTTTTTATTTTTGAGACGGAGTCTGGCTCTGTCACCCAAGCTGCAGTGCAGTGGTGCGATCTTGGCTCATTGCAACCTCCACCTCCTGGTTCAAGCAATTCTCCTGCCTCAGCCTCCCTAGTAGCTGGGATTACAGGTGCCCACCACCATTCCTGGCTAATTTTTTGTATTTTTAGTAAAGATGGGGTTTCACCATGTTGGCCAGTCTGGTCTCGAACTCCTGACCTCAGGTGATCTCCCTGCCTCAGCCTCCCAAAGTGCTGGGATTACAGGAGTGAGCCACTGTGCCCGACCCCCACTTTTTTTTTTTCAAGACAGGGTCTTGCTGTGTTGCCCAGGCTGGAGTGCAGTGGTGTGATCTCAGCTCACTGCAACTCCACTTCCTGGGCTCAAGCAATCCTCCCACCTCCGCCTCCCAAGTAGCTGAAACTACAGGTGTGTATCACCATGAGTAGCAATTTTTTTGCATTTTTTGTAGACACAGGGTTTCGTCATGTAGCCCAGGCTGGTCTTGAACTCCTGAGCTCAAGCAATCCACTCACCTTAGCCTCCCAAAGTGCTGGGATTACAGACAAGAGCCACTGTGCCTGGCTGTTTCCCCCCATCTTTCAATAATAATAATAATAATAATAATAATAATAATAATAATAGAGAGAGAGAGGTATTCGAAGATTTAAAATTAATGAAACAAAAATTAATGAAACAAAATAAATTTACAGAGAACAAAAAATAAATTTAAACGTTGTAAAAATGAAAACTCAATAGATGGATTGGAAGAGAAGGTTGAAGACATCTCCCAGAAAGAAAGAAAACAGCATGTAAAATAACAGGTAAAACATAGGCAAATTAAAAGGCCAGTCCTGAAGAAGTTCCTCAAAGATAGATTAGAAAAAGCAATTATTTCATCAATGAAATAATTTAAGATTTCTGAAAATTGAAGGATACATGTCTGCAGTGTGAAAGGGTTCACTGAGTATCCAGCAATGAAAATATATCCACACTAAGACACATAACAGAGCTAGTTCAGAACACAGGACCTAGGGACAGAATGTTGATGTCTCCCCCACCCCCAGTTTATATGTTGAAATCCTAACCCCCAATGTGATAGTATTAGGAGGTGGGTCCTTCGAGAAGTAATTAGGTCTTGAGGGTGGAGCTTCATGAGTGGAATAAGTGTCCTTATAAAAGGAGACCCCACAGAACTCTTTCCCTCTTTCTGCCAAGTCAGGATACAACAAGAAGAAGGCCACCTGCAACCTAGAAGAAGGCCCTCACCAGAACCTGACCATGCTGGCTCTCTGATCTTGAACTTCCAGCCTCCAGAGCTGTGAGACAAAAATTTGTGTTGTGTATACGCCAATTAGTCTATGGTACTTTGTTCTAGCAACCCAAACTGACTAAGACAATGGGGTCGATGAGAAGATTTTACAAGTTTCCTGGTGGGTGGGGGAAGGAAGATTGCATACAAAGTATCAGAAATCAAAAGGGCTCTGAACTTCTCAGCAGCAACACAGAAAGTTACAAGAAAATGGGGTAACGCATTCAAAATTCCGAAGGGAAATAATTTCTAAATAGTATTAAATATCTAGCCAATTTCTTTTTTTTATTTTTTTCCTTTAACTTTGATTTTAAGTTCAGGGGTAAATGTGCAGGATGTGCAGGTTTGTTACATAGGTAAACATGTGCCATGGTGGTTTGCTGCACAGATCATCCCATCACCTAGGTATTAAGCCCAGCATCCATTAGCTATTCTTCCTGATGCCCTACCTCTCCCCATACCCACCCCACCTTGACAGGCCCCAGTGTGTGTTGTTTCCTGCCATGTGTACATGTGTTCTCATTATTCAGCTCCCAGTTATAAGTGAGAACATGTGGTGTTTGGTTTTCTGTTCTGGCGTTGGTTTGCTGAGGATAATGGCTCTCAACTCCATCCATGTCCCTGCAAAGGACACGATCTCATTGTTATTTATGGCTGCATAGTATTCCATGGGTATGCATATACCATATTTTCTTTATCCAGTCTATCATCGATGGGCATTTGGGTTGCCTCCCGGGTTCAGGCAATTCTCCTCAGCCTCCTGAGTAGCTGGGATTATAGGATTATAGGCGCGTGCCACCACACCCGGCTAATTTTGTATTTTTAGTAGAAATGGGGTTTTGACATGTTGGTCAGGCTGGTCTCCAACTCCTGACCTCAGGTGATCCACCTGCCTCGGCCTCCCAAACTGCTGGGATTACAGGCGTGAGCCACCGCACCCGGCTTACATTTAAGTCTTTAATCCATCTTGAGTTAATTTTTGTATAAGGTGTAAGGAAGGGGTTCAGTGTCAGTTTCTGCATATGGCTAGCTGGTTCTCCCAGCACCATTTATTAAATAGGGAATCCTTTCCCCATTGCTTGTTTTTGTCAGATTTGTCAAAGATCTGGTGGCTGTAGGTGTGCAGTCTTATTTCTGAGTTCTCTATTCAGTTCCATTGGTCTAAATGTCTATTCTTGTACCAGTACCATGCTGTTTTGGTTACTGTAGCCTTGTAGTATAGTTTGAAGTCAGGTAGTAGGATGCCTCCAGCTTTGTTCTTTTTTGCTTAGGATTGTCTTAAATATCTGTCCAACTTCTGAACTAAGTGTGAGGGTGCATATCTTTTAGTCAAAAATTTTAGGCCGGGCACAGTGGCTCATGCCTGTAATTCCAGCACTCTGGGAGGCTGAAGTGGGCTGATCACGAGGTCAGGAGATCAAGACCATCCTGGCTAACATGGTGAAACCCCATCTCTACTAAAAAATACAAAACATTAGCCGGGTGTGGTAGTGGGCACCTGTTGTCCCAGCTACTCGGGAAGCTGAGGCAGGAGAATGGCGTGAACCTGGGAGGCGGAGCTTGCAGTGAGCCAAGATGGGGCCACTGCACTCCAGCATGGGCAACAGAGCCAGACTCTGACTAAAAAAAAAAAAAAAAAAATTTACCCCTCTCCCATACACATATTTTTCTGAGGGAGTTACTGCAGGATGTGCACCACCAAAATAATGGAGTAAGTCTAGAAAAATGAACACAAGAGTTACAGGGTAAAACAGATGTAACATAGAAGAAATGCAAAAGGAATTCCCACACTTACTCAGGATGATGCACCAAGCATGGGGGCAACCCATCTGGAGACTTTTACTCCTAAGTGCTCCAGAAGAAACTTAAGACAATAAAACTGAGATAACACCCAACATTAATGAATGTATCAAGAAAAGATTTAACCATCTGGTGAGGAGTATGGATTAGGGATAAATGTGTACAAAGAAAATTGGGCAAATGAGAAAACATGACAATTCTTAACTGAGGAAAAACTACAAGTTGTACAGTCAAGAAAATGTCATCATAGTTGCCCATATGGCTGGACACTGAATAGCCTACAGAGTCACAGCAATGTTAACCCTGAACACTGAGTTATTCAGAAATAAGATAAATCTAAATAAGGAGAATGAATAGCTTAGAAGTATCTATGACTTTATTTGGTAAGGGTGGAGGACAAAAGATACATAAATCCTCATCTTCATGAAGGGAAGTCAATAGGTAATGTCTAAACCTAAAAAAAAAAAAGTAACATTACAAGTGTCTTATGTAGAGAAATGGAGTTACATAACAGATGAAGCATGTTTAAAAGTTAAAAATAGATACCTCTGGGAAAAGGGATATGGAAAATAAGGGGTTGGGAGACAATTTTCTTTGCAAACTTTGTGGAACTTGGTGATAATTAAAATTATGTTTATGGGCCGGGCACGGTGGCTCATGCCTGTAATCCCAGCACTTTGAGAGGCAAGGAGGGGGGTGGGGGGTGATCACCTGAGGTCGGGAGTTCGAGACCAGCCTGACCAAAATGGAGAAACCCCATCTCTACTAAAACTACAAAATTAGCTGGGCATGGTGGTGCATGCCTGTAATCCCAGCTACTTGGGAGGCTGAGGCAAGAGAATCGCTTGAATCCGGGAGATGGAGGTTGCAGTGAGCCAAGATTGCACCATTGCACTCTAGCCTGGGCAACAAGAGTGAAACTCTGTCTCAAAAAAAAAAAAAAAAAAAAAAAAAAAAAAAAAAAATATATATATATATATATATATATATATATGTTTAAATATATTTTAATAAAAATTGGAAAAAACAGGCTCACAGAATTTATACATGTATGCAGAATAATGCAAAAAGCCATGGTTTTATGGTTAGAATTGGAGAGGGTTTAAGTATAGGAGGCAGGGCTGCATTATGACTGTCATGAGGCCTAGGCACTTTGACTATGTGGGCCCCTCACACTGTAACATTAATATTAAAATTTATTTTTGATATAACTTTAAATATTTCAATTTTTTTCCTTCTCAGGCAAAATTTAGTAGAATTTCATAGGCCTCTTAAAAGTATCATGATCCCTAGGCATTATGCCTACTGTGGCAGTCAATAAGTCCTTCCTGGTAAGAGAAAGAAAGGAGGAAAACTACAGAGTCCTGTTTACTTCATAGTTAACAAAGCTCCCTTTGCTTTGTGGCTCAACATTTCTAGGTCACAATAGTGGAAAATTAAGTGACTTTATAAACAATGAAGCTTCATTTGATCTGATCCCAACACTGTTAGTACGCAACCATCTTACACAATATTTTCTAAATTTATTTCATACGAAAAACATCAGGTTGAAATGTTTAAACCCAGCAGCTTAACATAAAACAATCATAAGTTTGTTGACTGCATTTTTCATTTCCCATAGGAATATTCTCAATTGAATAGAGTACTCAAAGCTTTTATGTCTCCAATTATTTCTCCATTATTATAAAGTAAAAGTGACATTTTGTAAGCTTTGAGTTACAAGCCTTAAACTTCTGTATGAAGAGTATGTCATACATTGTGATCAACTTAATCCTTCCCATCTCAGCTGGTTAAGCTGGTGAGACCAATACTGTTGAAACTGTGCCCAAAGATGCAGATAAAAACCAAAAGCATTTGTTGAAAAATGTTTTGAATAGTCATGCCTTGCAGTTGTACAGCTCTATACATTTTTTAAAGGACTTTCTCTTTTCTGCTTGGATGTCTATTTTTTCCGTATTGGCATATCTAAAACTGAACTTCCCTTCCATATTATTTCCCTCGCTTCACTTACCCAATCCATTCAACTGGAACCACATTTCTCATCACTCCAGCTTGAACCTAGTATTCCTGCCTCTCCTCCTCACACTCAAAATCTAATTGATTAAAAAGTTCTTTTTTTTTTTGATACGGAGTCTTGCTTTGTTGCCCAGGCTGGAGTGCAGTGGCACGGTCTTGGCTCACTGCAAGCTCCGCCTCCCGGGTCCAAGCAATTCTCCTGCCTCAGCCTCCTGAGTAGCTGGGACTACAGGTGCGTGCCACCACGCCCGGCTAATTTTACGTATTTTTAGTAGAGACGAGGTTTCACCATGTTAGCCAGGATGGTCTCAATCTCTGACCTCGTGATCTGCCTGCCTCCGCCTCCCAAAGTGCTGGGATTACAGGCGCGAGCCACCGCACCCGGCAATTAAAAAGTTCTATTGATTGTTCATTATATATTTTTTACATATCTACATTATCAATGTCCAATCCTACCACTGTACTTGAACTTGCCTTTGTACTTGAACTGTTGTATTGGCGTCTTAACTAGCCTCACTCAAACAACTCTTCCTCCTTCAATCCATCCTACACTTTGCCATCAAATCAACTTGTAAACATGGTAATCATGTTATTCAAAAATCTTCAATGGCTCCCAATTGCTTACAAGATAAAACTGGCCATTTATCTAATATCTAATAATATCAGTGTGTAATGGCCATTTATCTATAGTCTAATACCAACCCATGCTGGATACTCTGAGACTTTTCTAGTCACTTTTTGTTGAACATCTTTTACAGCTCACCCCCATGTCACTCTGTTCTTTCATCTGGAGTGCCTGCTCATATTAATGTAGCGCAAGTCTACCTTCTCGTTGAAGCTTTTCCTGAGTACTCATCTCATAATGATTGTGTCCTTTGGATTCTTCACACTTACTGTGAGTACCATCATTTAAAACATATCAGATACTGCCTTTTATAGTTGTCTTCTGTTTATATATTGAGTCTCCTAAACAAATGATAAGCTCCTTGAGGGCCCAGAGGCTGTCTGATCCCACCATGTAGAGTCACGTGGTATGTGTCCATTAAATAACTGACTGATAATGGGAAAGACTTTTTTTTTTTTTGAGACGGAGTTTTGCTCATGTCACCCAGGCTGGATTGCAGTGGCACAATCTCAGCTTGCTGCAACCTGTGCCTCCCAGGTTCAAATGATTCTCCTGCCTCAGCCTCCCAATTAGCTGGGATTACAGGTGCCTGCCACCACAACCAGATAATTTTTGCATTTTTAGTAGAAATGGGTTTTCACGATGTTGGCCAGGCTGGTCTTGAACTCCTGACCTTGTGATCTGCCTGTCTCGGCCTTCCAAAGTGCTGGGATTACAGGCGTGAGCCACCGCGCCAGGCCCAGGGGAAGACATTTTTCACTGACCCTTTCAATTGCCATGTAGATACTCAGCATTTAAATATATGTACATGGGGGTGGGGGGTGAACAATAAAAGACTCAAATTGGATTCAGTGTATACTGCTCGGGAGATGGGTGCACCAAAGTCCCACAAATCACCACTAAAGAACTTACTCACGTAACCAAATACCACCTGTTCCTCAAAAACCTATAGAAATAAAAAATTTTAAAGGAAATAAAAAACAAAAAACCAAAGGTATGTGTTTTGTTCAGGAGGGTAAAACATTGATTAACTTAAGACTTTATTAAATTACACACTTCATTAAAGTACACACATATATACATGCGTATATATATGTATGTGTGTGTATATACATTTTTATATATATGCTATAAATTCTAGGACATCCCATAAAATATAAAAAACAAAGATATAAGTTCTAAACTAGTAAAAGAAAAAAATAGAATAAGAAAAAATAAAACATGAAATGTAATCCAAAAAAGTAAAGAAGGAATATAAAAGAATGTAGAAAAGGCGGAACAATAGAATGCATAAAATAAAATGGTAGAAATGGAATCCAAATTAAATATATATATAATAATGTGAATTTACTTAATGCTGCTGTATCGTACATTTAAAAATGGGTAAGATGATAAATTTTATGTCATGTGTATTTTACTACAGTTAAAATTTAAATATATGTGCCAAAGTTTATGTTTTATATCTGAAAATTTTAATGTAATTTTGATTTGGATAACCAACTATAAATGAGTTGGAAGAAAATACTGGGTTTTCTGAGCTAACAGAGTCCTAGCTCTGTCAGAGGCCATTTATGTGACCTTAGGCAAGTTGCTTAACTTTTTGAGCCTCCACTGCCTGGCCTGTAGGATGAGTGGATGGATCCACTAGAAGACCTCCCAAGGCCCACCGAGTTCTAATAGTCTGTAATGTTACATCTCTCCGGAGAGCACACGTCATCTTTAAGAATTATGGGAGAAAATCCTCTACCTGGCTCCTGTCCCAGAATTGCAAACTGAGCCACACTAAGTGAACAGAACCTGTTCCACTCCCAGCCCTGCGGCTTCTAAAAACAGTTTTGAAACTGGTAGCAGCTGTGAATTTGGAGGACTCTGCTTCTGCCCCACCCCAGCTGTGCCTCTGTTTTGGGAATTCCGGCTGAGCTTGTACTCAGCCAGCATCCTGTCCTAGTAGCACTAACTGTACCTAGGCTTACTGGAAAGGGATAACCCTTTCGGGAGTCCACTTACCAAGTCTCTATTTCCAGCTCCTCCTGCTGGATGGGGGAGGGGTGGGAAAAAGAGCCTTTTCTTCCTTCAACTTCAAGACAACAGGGAGTGTTTGGGGAACAGGTCTAATTAATTAGCTCAGCAAGATTTTTGAGCCGTTTATTAACTTCAGATTTTAAGAGTTGGGACATTTGTCTGTTCTGCAGTTCCAAAATCTTTTAAAATATATATATTTTTCAATTTTCCCACTTTGGGGAAAAAATACTGTTCTGATGGTTGTTCTTTGAAATTAATTATGAAAGCTGAGATTGTTGGGGGTTTTTGTTTGTTTGTTTTTTGTTTTTTTGCTTTTTTCCAAAGTAAGAGCAGTTTTTGCATATTTGCAAAAATCTCTAGTTCATTTTTTAGCTCAGGGTAGTTATAATAACTACCCTGATATACAAATTTATCAACCAAAAAGGCAGTTAATATGAATAGTCTTTAAGAGTGCTAGCACACTGTAAAATCCCAAAGGCCCAACTTCTAAATGCAAAGGAGGGGGGTGGGGATTGTCATCTTAATTGTAGATCACTCGCCTACCAAGGCTTACCCGGAGTCCTGAACAATGGGGAAAGCCAAATACTTTAGGCCTGAGATCACCCGACTGTCAACCAACCTTCGTTTAAAAAGAGAAGCGAAAGAGGAAGATAGAAAAAATTTCTTCTGTCATTTTCTTAATAAGTATTTAAGTGTTTAGTGACCTGCTGATTTCTCTATGGGATTTAAGGCTATTTATATAAAGATTAAATAACATTGAAACTAAGTGAATGAGAAAACCTGTGCTAAAGAAAAATTATAGATTGGAAAGAAAAGAGATTAAGACACAAAAATATATGAGGAAATTTTTGCATATTTCTTTGGTGAGAATAAATACTCATTTAATCATCACTAAATGTTATTTGTTACCAGGACGGTACTAGTAAAAGGCTCTTCAAGAGCTATTCTGTTACGTGGCCCACTCCAGCTGTGTCAGAGCCCTGCATATTTTGCTTATCTTCCTTTGGCTCACGATAAGGTAATGAATACCAGAGTGTAGTTTGTTTAATATTAACCTGAGGGGTCGATGCCATTAACAGAGCCAAGATTCCAGGGACAAACCCCTTTAAATTCTAGAAGTTGCAATTTTCATTTTTCTTTGTGATCGGTTAACTGTCTCCAGTTGGCTGGGTGAATAGTATGGTTTCTACATGGTACCTTCCTGAACTTGACCTCCAGCCTCTCAGTGGTTACCTTGAGAAGCCAAGTGTTTGGATCCTGCCAGTGATCCAGTGGTTGCATTCATTTTTCTGGTTCTGTTGAAAGGAGGTTTTTCTGTCAGAGCTTTTGTTTCTAATATCACTTGTATAGTTTTGTGATGACGCTGCAGTTTCTTTAGAACACTTCAATACCATCTTGAGTTTTTCCCACAAATTCCATAACCAACACATGACACATTTTTAACATATTAAGAGTAGAACTGATTTTCTTTAATCTAGAAAATGTTCCTAAAAAGGAAACTCAATCCCAGCTTGTCTATCAGTTTCCCCTAAAACTAAGCTTTTCTCTGTTTAAGCATGATGTTCCTTCAGTGTTCAAGCTGGGATGTAGGTGGGAAAGTGTGCCGAAGAATTCTTCCAGAGGAGAGAGTATAAATGTTTCTACAGCCCTTTGACTAATCAGAGATAGAAAACCAGGGGCTGGGTGACAGCTCATACACTAAAGAATTCTAGCACTGGAAAAGAATGCTGCCCTCCGGCCAGTGCTTTCACAGCTACGTTTCCTCCCTCAAAGTTGGCCTTGGGTAAACATGGAGGAATAGGCATCAAGAGTGGAAGGCTGACATCAAAGAAGGAAGAGAGAGGCAAGAAAGAGAATTCGACTCCGGGGTTCTTTTTTGGCCACCTTGTCCCATTGTAAGAGCATGTATTCCAATTTTTACTCAGCAGAGAAGGTGACCATAAAGGTGAAAAACAGATTTCTCTCCTTCTATTTTAAGTAGAGCATTTCTCTCCTATTAGAGGAATCTCTCCTAAGGATTCCTCTCCTACTAGAGGAATCTCTCCTAAGTAGGAGGATTTCTCTCCTACTATTTTAAGTAGAAATCCATTTAAATTTATTTTGTGAACATTTAAGTAATTGTTTGCATATTTCTGTCTAAACAGAAGAGACCACAGACCACCTCAGAGCGCATGCCCTGGCTCTAGGTTCCGCTCCCATTTGCCAGTTGTGACATCAGGAAAATATTCAACCTCTCAGTTTTCATCATACCTACTTCATAAGAGTGATGGAGGATTAAACGAATATAATACATAAACCCATTTAGCATAACTCTGAAGACATAGTATTCAATAAGTGATTTTCATTCTTAACATTTTATTCAAAAGTACCTGATACATAGTCAATACCTATTTTGAATGTTTTCCTTTGGTTTTATTATGAGCCTGGGCTAATGCCTATAAACATCTTATTTCATTCTCAAACCTTATAAATAGGTGTGATACGTATTTTGCAGATAAAGAAACTGAATCTTAGTGCAATGCACTGAATGTTTGTGTCTCTCCAAATTCAATGTTGAGGCCTTAATCCCCAATGGGATGGTATTTGGAGGTGGGACCCTTTGGGAAGTGTTAGGTTTAAATGAAGTCATAATGTTACTAGAGGAGGGTGCCCAGGTTCTTGGCACCTTGCACAAAGAATTGGACAAAACGCACCAACAAAGCAGGGAAAGAATGAAGAAATTTATTGAAAATGAAAGTGCACTCCACAGTGTGGGAGCGGGCCCAAGCATAGGGGCTCTAGGGCACCATTACAGAATTTGTAGGGGTTTAAATACCCTCCAGAGGATTCCATTGTTTACTTGGTGTACACCTCATGTAAATGGACAGGATGAAATAAAGTTACAAAGTCGTTTGCTCAGCGAATGCCCTGTGGAGAGGATATTTCCTGTCACAGCTGAAGTGTGAATCGGCCTTATGTTCCGTGCCTCCAGACCCTAATTTCCTGCCTCAATATGGGTGGGGCCCTCATGATGGAATTAGTGCCCTTATAAAAGAGGGAGAGACCAGAGACCAGAGCCCTTTCTTTCCCCGATATGTGAGGATATAGCAAGAAGGTGTCTGTCTTCAAACTAGAAAGAAGCCCTTCACCAGGTACCAAATTGGCCAGCACTTTGGTCTTGGACTTCCTAACCTCCAGATCTGTGAGAAATAAATTTCTGATGTTTAAGCCACCCAACCTATGGTATTTTGCTATGGCAGCTTGAGCTGATGAAGACACCTAGCAAGGTGAAGGAAGGTCACCTGAGTTGACATAGCTAGTGAGTGGTTGTGCCAGACCTTGAATAAGTGTCTCATGCCAATGCCTTAGCCTTTTTGCATAAAACCGCGCTGCCACCCAATGTTAGAGGGAAGCAACTTGGGTTTCTCCAGACAGAAAGTTTCCCTAAGCCAGCCTGAATCTAGCTGGTATACTTTGCTATGCGTGATACTGTTGTCATATGTAAGTTACTTCGCTTCTCTTTGCCTTGGTTTCTTCATCTGTAAAATGGGGCTAATAGTCATACTGTATCCCACAGCACTGTAAAGAGTCTTATATGAAGATATGAAATTTTGAAATCAGTGTTTGACGTATGGTAAATTATAGTATTATTAACTTTATCATTGTGATTACTATTTATAATCCTGGGGTCAAACCAGATTAGCTTTTGGGAGATAGGAGGAAAGAACAACAAATATTATATTTTCAGCACAGGTTGTAAAACTTCATGTAGTGCAATACTTGTACAGGTAGTACAAGTGTATTACTTGTGGCTATTACCTATGTTTCCTGAAATCATCCCTGAGCATTTTAGAGTAGAACATGACTGGTCCCCCAGCAGAATCATGATTGGAGCTTTTAGAAAACACATCTCAATCCACACTCCTATCCCTAACCCCAGTCCCACCTACCTCCACCCCATTCCCATCCCAGACCACTAATCAGAATCTGAATTTTAAAAGTATCTCAAATTATTAAGATGTCAGATGTTAAACCTTTTTTTTCTTTTTTTCTTTTTTTGAGAGAGGGTCATGCTCTGTCACCCAGGCTAAAGTGCAGTGGCACAATCATGGGTCACCGCAGCTTCAACCTGTCTGGCTCAATTGATCCTCCCCCCTCAGCCTCCCAAGTTGCTGGGACTACAGGCACAAGTCACCATGCTTGGCTAATTTTTTTTTTTTTTTTTTTTGAGACAGTCTTGCTCTGTTGCCCAGCCTGGAGTGCAGTGGTGTAATCTCGGCTCACTGAAACCTCTGCCTCCTAGGTTCAAGCAATTCTCCTGCCTCAGCCTCCCAAGTAGCTGGGACTACAGGTGCATGCCACCATGCTTGCCTAATTTTTGTATTTTTAGTAGAGATGGTGTTTCACCATGTTGGCCAATGCCTGGCGAATTTTTAAATTTTTTTGTAGAGACAGGGTCTTGCTATGTTGCCCAGGTTGGTCTCAAACTCCTAGCCTCAGCCTCCCAAAGTGCTGAGATTACAGGTATGAACGAACATGCCTTCTAATTCAGTCCATTAAAAAAACAAACAAACAAACAAACAAACAAAACAAGAAGAGACAGAGAAATTAAGAGATTTTCCCATTTCCCAGGGTTCAGTGCTTTTTTTTTCTTTTTTTTTCTTTTTTTTTTGGAGACAGGGTCTCCCTCTGTCACTTAGCCTGGAGTGCAGTGGTGTGATCATGGCTCATAGCCTCTACCTTCTCAGGTTCAGGTGATCCTCCTGCCTCAGCCTCCTGAATAGCTGAGACACAGGCACGTGCCGTGAAACCTGGCTAATTTTTAAATATTTTTATAGAAAAGGAGTTTTGCCATGTTGCCCAGGCTGGTTTGGAATTCCTGGACTCATGCAATCTGCCAGTTTCGGCTTCCCAAAGTGCTGGGATTACAGGCATGAGCTAACCGTGCCTGGCCAGTTCAGGGCTCTTTCTACCATAAGGAGTTGACATTCACTCAAATGCACAGCCTGATTATTCCAGGTCTATTGTCTTTTTTCCTTGTCAGTCAAAATATGTATGAATTCTATAGAAATGCTAACTTAGTCTCACAGATTCTTCCCTTTATAGCAGGGATGTTAGGAGGCTGGGTTTGGGGGAAGACTTGAGTGCCAAAACCCACTCCCCTCTTCTGTGAACGAGGGTGACAGAAAAAAAGGAACTCACATAAATGGGCTGGTCTCTGGGCCTGTCATAAATACTATTAGGATTCTCCATGTAAATCTGTAACTTATCTTATTTTTGGCCTAGTCCTGGTTAAAAGATAATGCTAGGTTACCCTTTTGAGCTGCTGTTAACACTGGGGTTGAGGTTGGCCCATTGATTCTATGGAAGATATCAAGTCATTCATTTACTTATTCCCTGTCAGGCTGAACTGTGCTTGTAGATCCACCAGATGACTTTCATAGCAAAAATGCTTTTGTACTGTTGACTTGTAAACATGGCCTTAGAGTCAACAGGGTCTTTTCTCTAAGAGCTCCCAGGCATTTCAAGAAATCTAAGACCAACAAATTCTCTTCAAGTCTCTCATGAAACCCATTTGTAGATATGACCTAACAACTGCCTTAACTATTATTTAAAAACTAAGAATGCAATCATTTTTTGAGGTTGTTTCTAAGTATCTCCCAAACAGTAATAGTTTATAAAATGTGAAGAACAGCTATAGCCACCTAGAAAAAACTAACAGAATTGTTATAAATACCTAATCTTATGAGTGAGCAGCTGTAAGTTAGAAATATGCCTCATGCTAAAAGGGATGTTTCTATTTTCTTAAAAAGGAAGAAAAAATTATTCATAGGGACTTGTTTCTATTTCTTAATACAGATACTCCCTATGTGAAATCTTTCTTTTGGGTTGCCAGGAGTAGGAAATTAGAGAGGAAATACAGTCATATTTTTTAACCCAGTGGTTTATTCTCCTGAAGCCCAGAGGGAAAAGAAATATTCCCATAACAAACATTCTAAATCCCTTTTATTGTAATACTCATCAACCTTATAATTGCTTCTTCAATATCCATCTTCCCAGTTAGACTATAAATTCCACAAGAGTGACTACGTTTTTCCCATTCACTATTCTGTGTCTGGTATAGAGCCTTGGCACATAGTTTGATGTGCAATTAATAATATCTTTTGAATAAAAACGTTGAATAAATTACATTGAAGCAATAGTCTTCAACAGGAATAATGGGAGACATTGAGATTTAAATTGCAGATGAAGCCACTGTGTGGAGTTGGAGTTACTTTATGTGTTCAAAGTGATATAGTTTATAATGGGAATAATTAGATGAAAGAAAGGGAATTTCTGGTTTTCAAAGCAAAAACAGAGAAGAACCTGACACTGGTAATCATTAAGAACCAAAGAGAAAAATGTATTTCACATTGCACCTAAGTCTAATTGTCTTGAAATATTTTTGTTATCTATTATACAGTACACAGTAGTGTTTTAGGTTTCATTTGTTTTAACAAAGAGGGGTTTTAGATTTTTTTTAAGTGCTACTGTAAAAGTAGTCACATCTGTGGTTTAGACTGTATAATTTCAACAACACAATTAGCATCCTAAAGCCATCTGAGGTAGTGTAACATCATTGCTGGTTTTATTGTTGATAAATAAAGCTCTTGAAAAATAAATCTCTGAAGTTAAACATATGAATATCTACAATAATGTTATAAATGCTATCTTTTTAAAAAATTAAGAGAACAGTATCATTTCATACTACAACCTTTTTTGGTGGGATGAATACTTGAAAACGTGACGATGAAAAAGTCAAGTTGAAAAATAGTTGCGAGCATATCTCTTCGTCAAACTTCAGTCCCTTGATAATGCTGCTTCTTCTACAGAAAAGTGAGAATAATTGACTCAAAATTACAATAGCAGATCGGTACCAACATTTGAGAGCTATGAACATGTAAAGTAAAGGAGACAAATATACCCACACTGAATTCTTAAAGAATTTTGAATGACTACACTTAGAATTAAAAGATCATTGAGGGCCGGACATGGTGGCTCAAGCCTGTAATCCAAGCACTTTGGGAGGTCACAGCAGGAGGATCACTTGAGCCTAGAAATTTGAGGTCAGCCTGGGCAACACAGAGAAACCCTGTCTCTACAATACATTTTTAAAAATTCGCCAGGCATGATGGTGCGCACCTATAGTCCCAGCCACTTGGGAGGCTGAGGCCGGAGGATCACGTGAGACAGGGAGGTTGAGGCCGCAGTGAGCCATGATCACACCACTGCACTCCAGCCTGGGTGACAGAATAAGATCCTGTCACAGAAAAAAAAAAAAAAAGGAATATAGCATAAAATTTACCATCTTAGGGAAATAATAATAAAGATTAGAGCAGAGATAAGTAAAATTGAGAATAGAAAAATTATTTTAAAAATCGATGAAGCTAAGATCAATGAAGCTAAGAGCTGAAAAGATTAATAAAATTGAGAAACCCTTACCTAGATTAACTAAGGAAAAAAAGAGAGAAGATTCAAATAATTAAAATCAGAAGTGAAATAGGAGATTTTTTCTTTTTCTTTGTTTTTTTGAGATGGAGTCTCGCTCTGTTGCCCAGACTGGAGTTCAGTGGCACCATCTCAGCTCACTGCAAGATCCGCCTCCTGAGTTCACGCCATTCTCCCGCCTCAGCCTCCTGAGTAGCTGGGACTACAGGTGCCCGCCACCACACCTGGCTAATTTTTTTTTTTGTATTTTTAGTAGAGATGGGGTTTCACTGTGTTAGCCAGGATGGTCTCGATCTCCTGACCTCGTGATCTGCCCGCCTCGGCCTCCCAAAGTGCTGGGATTACAGGCGTGAGCCACCGAGCCTGGCCTAAATAGGAGATAATACAACAGATGCCACAGAAATAAAATGGGTTATAAGAGTGCTGTGGTTTCACTGTGTCCCCCAAGAGTTCAGGTGTTGGGACCTTAATTCCTTAATGCACAGTATTGGGAGGTGGGTACTAGTAGGAGGTGTTTGGGTCGCAGGGGTGGAGCCCTCATGAATGGATTAATGCTATTCTCTAGGAACTTGGTTAGTTACCTCAAAAGCAAGTAGATATAAAGCCAGCCCCAGCCCAGCCCTTTGTACTTGTCTCTGTTCACATGGCTTTCTTCCCCTTCCCCTTAATCTGCCATGCTATGCAGCAGCTCAAGGCCCTCACCAGATGTGGCCACCATCTTGGACTTTCCTGCTTCCAAAGCCATGAGCTAAAGAAACTTTTTTTCTTTATAAATGACCCAGCCTCAGGTGTTCTATTATAGCCATGAAAGACAGACTAAGACAAAATGAATACTATGAACAACTGTATGCCAATAAATTGGATAACCTAGAAGAAATGGAAATATTCCTAGAAACACACAACCTGCCAAGACTGAATCATAAAGAAAAAGAAAATCTGAACAGACCAATAACTAGTGAGGAGGTTGAATCAGTAATTAAACACCTCCCAACAGATCCTCTGGCTTGAGGCTGTCCAGGCTAGAGCATCAGAAAAAGACAAAAGATTGGATTGTAAGAAAAGAAAGCAGAAGTCATGTTTTGAAGATCTGTATTGCAGATGCTTCATCAGTTTGTAAGACATGAGTCCAAAATATCCAGCAGTTTGGTTTTTGAAAGATCTCTGAATCATGTGCAGTTACTTTGGCAAGTGGGCCAAGACCCTGTGATTTAATAGTTGGGGGAAAAAAAATCTAGTCACCACATTTTCTCTGCCCACAAATGAGATATGGCAATCAAGGGAAAGTGAGGTATACGAAATGGGTGCTTAGATGGGTTAATTTACTTGTTAATATTAGGGAAATAATGTACAGTACTAAAGAGCTAATTAGGAAGATGATTATTAGGGTATGACCATGAAAGGAAAGGAGTTTTTCTATAATAGGTGACGTAGTGTCTTGAAATCCTAGCTGAAATGGATACGCCAGTCAAAAGTCAACACGGCGCAGAACATCAGTATTCCTACCCAGCCTGAGAGGTGTGGCACATCAGTATATGAAAAAGAGGTCTAGAATTTATGTGGGAAGGAAGTAAACTATGGTGAATACTTGGATACAAATAACATGAGGCAGCAATCATAGCTGATAACATTATATTTCTGAGGGACCAGACAAAAGAGAAGGCGTAGAGTGGCCATTGTTTGGTACAGTCTCACTTCCAAATCATGTACAATCTTTATAGTTTCTAAGGACAAGATTTAAAATATTCTTAAAAAAAAAAAAAAAAAAAAGCAGGGTTGGGTGCAGTGGCTCATGCCTGTAATCCCAGCACTTTGAGAGGCCAAGATGGGAAGATCACTTGAGTCTAGGAGTTTGAGACCAACATGGCTGATGTGGTGAAACCCCATCTCTACTAAAAATGCAAAAATTAGCTGAGCATGGTGGTGAGCACCTGTAATCCCAGCTACTTGGGAGGCTGAGGCACGAGAATCACTTGAACCCAGGAGGCAGAGGTTGCAGTGAGTTGAGATTGCACCACTGCACTCCAGCCTGGGTGACAGAGTGAGACTCTCTCAGAAACAAAAATGAAAACAAAAAAACCCACAACAACCCCAATAAGGAAAAGCCCAGGATCAGATGACTTCACCGAATAATTCTATCAAGCATTTGAAAAATAATCAACAACAATCCTCCTCCAACTTTTTCTTTAAAAATTTAAAGAGAAGGAACACATCCAAGCTCATTTTATGAGGCCAATATTATTAACCTGATTCCAAAGACTGGTAAAGACACCATAAAAAAAGAAAACTAAAGACCAATATCCCTGATGAATATTAATGCAATGATCCTTAACAAAATACTAGCAAACTGAATTCAATAGCATATTAAAAGGATAATGTACCATAACCAAAGGATGTTTTTATTTCTAGAATACACTATGGCTCAATATATGATAATCAATAAATGTAATACAACTCATTAACGGAATAAAGGACAAAATCACATGATTATCTCAATTGATGCAAAAAAAACCCCATTTGGCAAGATCGACAAACTTTCATGATAAAATCACTCATTGAAATAAGAATAAATGAAACTACCTCAATATAACAAAGGCCAGATATGAAAATTTCATCATTAATATCCTATTCAAGGGTGAAAGACTGAAAGCTTTTCCTCTAAGATCAGGAACAAGACAAGGATGCTTGTTCCTGTTGTTTCCATTCAACATAGTATTGGAAGTTTTAGCCAGTGTGATTAGGCAAGAAAAAGAAACAAAATAAATAAGTAATTAGAGGCTGGGCTTGGTGGCTCATACCTATAGTTCCAACTACTTGGGAAGCTGAGATGGGAGGATTCCTTGAGCTTAGGAGTTCAAGGCCCCAGTGAGGTATGATCATACCACTACACTCCAGCCTGGGCAACAGAGTAAGACCCTGTCTCAAACAAAAAAAAAAAAAGTTGGACTTTTATCTTATACCATATACAAAAATTAACTCAAAATGGATTAAAGACCTAAATGTAATACCTAAACCTATAAAGCTCCTAGGAGAAAACACAGGGAAAATTTTTATGACATTGGAGTTGGTAATGATTTCTTTGATATGAAATCATTTTAACACCCAAAGCACACACAACAAAAGGAAAACAAATAGGGATACATCAGGCTTAAAGATTTTTGTTCATTAGAAGACACAATCAAGGCTGGGCACAGTGGCTCATTCCTGTAATCCCAGAATTTTGGTATGCTGAGGCAAGAGGATCTCATGAGCCCAGAAGTTTGAGATTGCAGTGAGCCATGATTGTGCCACTGCACTCCAGCCTGGGAAACACAGTGAGAATCTGGTCAAAAAAAAAAAAAAAAAAACACACACACACACACACACAATTAACAGAAGGAAAAGGCAACCTATGGAATGCGAGAAAATATTTGCAAAGCATATATGTCTGATAAGGTGTTAATATCCAGAATATATAAAGATCTCCTACAATGTAACAACAACAAAAAAATCAAATAACCCAATTAACAAACAGGTAAAATTTCTCCAAAGATCATATACAAATGTCCAATAAGCATATGAAAAGATGGTTAATATCAATAATTATCAGAGAAATACAAATTAAAACACAACGCAATATCATCTCACACTCTTTAGGACGGCTACTATAAAAAAAAAAAACAGAAAATAACAGGTGTTGGCAGAGATGTGGAGAAGGTGAAACCCCTGTGCATGGTTACTATGGTTGTAAAATGGTGCTTTGGAAAACAGTATAGTTGTTACTAAAACAAATAAAAATAGAACCATTGTGTGATGCAGCAAACCCACTTCTGTGTATATATCCAAAAGAACTGAAAGCAGAATCTCAAAGACATTTACACATCCAGGTTCATAGCATCATTATTCATCATATTCAATAATGAGTATGACCATTACATCAGGTTCTTCAAGCCAAAAGGTTGAAAGAACCCAAATGTCCATTGACACATGAATGAATAAACAAAATGTGGAATATACATACAATGGAATATGATGCCACCTTAATAAAGAAGGAAATTCTGACACATGCTACAACATGAATGAACCTTGAGGATATTATGCTAAGTTATATAAGCCAGTCACAAAAGAACAAATACTGCATGATTCCACTTACATGAAGTATCTGAAATATTCAAATTCAGGCCAGTGTGGTGGCTCACACCTGTAATCCCAGCACTTGGGGAGGCTGAGGCAGGTGAATCACCTGAGGTCAGGAGTTCGAGACCAGCCTGGCCAACATGGCAAAACCCCATCTCTACTAAAAATACAAAACTTAGTCAGGCATGGTGGCGGACACCTGTAATCCCAGCCACTCAGGAGGCTGAGGCGGGAGAATCGCTTGAATCTAGGAGGCAGAGGTTGCAGTGAGCTGAGATCACGCCACTGCACTCCAGCCTGGGCGACAGAGTGAGACTCCCTCTCAAAAATAAATAAATAAATAAATAAATAAAGTATTCAAATTCTTACAGACAGAAAGAATGATAGTTGCCAGGGGCTGGGGAGAGGGAACAAAGTGGAAGCTGTTATTTAATATATAGAGAGGTTCAGATTTGCAAGATGAGGAAGTTCTAGAGATGTGTTTCACAACAACGTGAGTATACTTAACGCTATTGGACAGTACCCTTAAAAATGGTTAAGATAATAAATTTTAGGAGTGTTTTAATTCACAATAAAAATTTCTGTAAATAAGTGAGTAAATAAATAAATAAAACTCACCACACCAAGTGTTGACATGGATGTAGAAGAATTGGAAACTTCATACACTGCCAGTGAGAATGTACAACAGTACATCCACTTTGGAAACCACTTTGTCAGTTTCTTAAAAACTAAACATATATCTCCCATGCCACACTAGGTATCTATCCAAGAAAAATTAAGGCATACATCTGTACAAACTTGAACAAGGATGTTCATAGTAGCTTTATGAGTAATAGTCAAAATCTAGAAACAATCCAAACATACATCAACAGTGTCAAAAGACAACATTATAACACATTTAGCTATAGATCTAATTGGCTTTTATTCTTGACTTACGAATCAGGGTAACCTTCATTCTACGAAATAGAATGAGAGCTCCACTGAGCAACAGTGGGGGTTGCAAGGTGAGAGCAAGAAAACAGAAAAGAAAAAAAAAATCGTTTTTTTGGTAAGGATTAAAGCAGAGGGGACTTCCTTATTATGCTGGCTCAGCTAGACTGGAATCTCCTGTTTTCAGGAAAACTGGTTTGTTTTGGGATCTATCTGCTTCCTTTAAGTTTCAACTTGATTATGTAGCATTTAGTATGAGTGACTCCATTTTGGTTTGATCTGGTCTGTTGGAGTCTAGTTCAGGAGCTCAGTCCAAATTAATGGCCTCCACAATTTTCGTTTAACAAAAGTGAATAAAGAAATTGTGTATATCCATACAATGAAATATTAATCACAAAATAAGTATACTTTTTACATATAATTTACTGAGTTTTTATTATGTACCAAGCATTCTGCCAAATGCTTTAAACAGGTAATCAAACAACTCAGTGAGGTAGAAATAACTAACCTTATTACACAGGTGGTGAGGCTGAGTTTTGTAGAAGTTTAATAACACATACAAGGTTACACAGCCAAGCTGTGTCAAAATCAGAGTTTAAACTTAGGTCTAGAGTAATGGCAAAAATAAGAGTGTTTAATCCCTACACTGTATTTCTTGAATTCTAACAGGAGTTGTACACTCCTGATGATAGTAAACATCCTATACACTACTGATGATAGGCTGATGCTAGTAAACATCTCAGTTGACGAATTTCTTAGAAAACAAAGCTCTGGCTGTTTGCTGGTCATGTTATCTGCCACTATAGTGCAATGGTTGAGAATGTGAACTGTAAATGTCAACAACACAGGTGTGGATTCCTACTGCTACCACTTTCCAGTTGTGAGAGCTATTTAATCTTTCTGTTCTGTTATCTCTAAAATGGAGATAATAGAATCTGTCTCATTCTCTGATTGAACTTCAAACAATTTCTGACACATGATAAAACATTACCCATCTTTCTTTTAACTTTAAATGCTGCTTGTCTCTGTCAAGAAAGATAAGCCACTTTTTAAAAAAATTATTTAATTTAATGTGTTAAAACCTGTTATATGCAATGTCCTGGACATTGTTAGGGATACAAAGATGAGTCAGATGGGAGTATCTCAGATGGGAGAATCCCTGTCCCCAGGAATTTTGCAATCTATTAAGCAAAAGCCATGCTCAGCCAATTCAATACTCTTAATATTCATGTGACCTGTGCCTTGTGGTTGGTTGAACTTTATATTTAAATTTTTGACTTTGCAACATTCTAACATATTTTGCATTATGAAATACTGTGTCTGAGCCTATTCTCATTTAGGCCTTCTTAAATTATTAGCCCTTCCTCCTTCTTGATAGCAACATTTATTGATGATAGTATTTCATTTTTTTACTGCAAAAACTTAGTGAAACTTACCAAGCTTATCCCATTTTGAAATAATTTTTGTAAAGTCTTTTAAGTATTATCAAATTAATATGTAGGTATTGTAATATTATACACAGTAATGGCCTGACTCTTTAGTGAGGGACAGACAGAATTACAGGTTATGACAGCTTAAAGCAAACCAAGCTTTTCATGTTGTGCAGGTGACCTCTTTTGCTTTCATGATTGACTGAATCTACTGAAGACAGAAACCAGCTTCAATTTTGGTAACCCTGTATGTGTTACTGAACTCCAAAACTCAGCTTCACCACCTGTATAATAAGGCTAGTTATTCCTACCTCATTGAGTTGTTGTGATTACATGTTTAAAACATTTGGCACAATGCTTGGTACATAATAAAAACTCAATAAATTATATGTAAAAGTGTACTCACTTTGTAATATTTCCTTGTATGGATATACAGAACTTGTGTATTCATTTTTGTTAAACAAAAATTGTGGAGACCATTATTTTGAACTGAGCTCCTGAACTTGTCTAAATTGATCATTTAACCCCTCTGCAGTGTTGCCTTTAGGATAAGGCAAATAGGAAAACTACATCAGGTTCCCTGGTTTAGGGATCAGCATTGTGATAGAAGCTACACAGTAGAATGTTAGAGACTGAATTGTGTTTTCTCAAAGTCCATATGCTGAAGTCCTAATGCCCAGCGCCTCAGAATGTGACCTTATTTGGAAATGGGGTTGTTGCATATGTGATTAGTTAAGATAAAGTCAGTAGGGTGGGCCTCTAAGCCAATATGGCTGATGTATTTATAAAAACGGGAGATATGAACACAGAGATTCACACATAGAAATTGCCACATGAAGACTGGCATTATGCTGCCACAAACCAAGGAACTACAAGAAACCAGGAGATACCTGGAACAGATACCTCTCCAGTGTCCTCAGAGGGAGCATGGAGCAGCTGACATCTTGATTTCACACTTGAAGCCTCCAGAACTGCAAGACAATACATTTCTGGTGTTTAAGCCACTCGGTCGGGAGTACTTTGTTACAGCAGCCCTGGGAAACTTATGCAAGATGGGAGGGGAATTCTGTTTTCTTCTTTTGTTCTTTTCTCCATTATGATACACAAATGCAAGCGCTCTTCTGCAACTTGATTTTTTTTTTTTTAATTTAAGGATACAAAGATATAATACTTCCTCCATGTTGCTTAAGGCCTACTACGGGAGATAAAACAGATCAACTGGGAGGTCATCGCTTGAATCTAGGCTCCGTCACTTTATTCTGTAGTTCCAGGCAAGTTACTTAGCTTCCCCAAATTTCAGTTTCTTTATCTATGATATGTAGATAATAATATAACCTACCAGTGTTATTGAATAGTTTGAGATAATGTGGGTAAACAGTGTGTGCTCACAAAATGCACCCACATCACAAGGCAACTGCAGTTTAAGGCAGAATGATCTAGACAGGAATGGAAGTATAGCAGGTGCTTTGGGAGCTCAGTGGGGAGAGATTTCACATATGCTGGGAAACCTGGGTGAAAGTGATGGCATTTAGGTTGGTCTTTAAATAATTGCAAATTGAATCAGTGAGAAGCCACTCATGGTGAAAGAAACAGCATGAATGAAGGCAGTAGGTCTCCCAAACACAGGGCACATTCAACAAGTAGTGTGGCTTAGGCTGGAGTATTGGATATGAATTTCAGTTTAACTGTCTTCCTGGAAGAGCTCTCTTGATGACGCTGGTTTAGTTTCAAACCTCCTCCCCATCCCTCTCCAGCACATCGCTGTATTTATTTCCTTCTTAACATGTATCACATGTGGAGTCCTAATTAGGGAGGGGGAGTTGGGCTGGCAGGACCTAGGGAAAGCAAAAGGAGAAGGCAGATAAGCTATAAGCCTGCCTTTCTTCATGTGCAGGACACATAGCCCTCCTGTGCAAATAATTCACAATCTTCTTGCACCTAGCGACCCTTGGGTGATAGAAGAAGTCAAGTTAGCTCACTGCAACCTTGGCATTATCGATACTGCACAAAGCCGTCTTCAGCACACAGCACAAACACCATTCTATAAAATCCCCGGCAAGCCTTTGTCTCTTTGCAGTCAATTCCTTTTTGCTGACCTGCCCATTGCACCCTTGCAACAGATTTTTGTGCTTTCTCTAATAAATTTGCTTTTCTTTACCTACAACTGTCTTGGTAAATTCTTCTTATTGCCATGCCTCCAGCCCCAAATAGTCGCTAATTACCAGCAACGTCACAAACTGTAATTCTCCTGTTTATCTGCCTATTTACTTGACTATTGTCTGTTTCCCCTACTAGACAAGGGCAGGGACTAGCGCTTTTATTCAGAACTGTCCCAGCGTTTAACGCAGGAGATGCCCAACAAATATTGAGCAAGGAAAAAAAGGAAGGAAGAAAAGGAGAGGAGTGGGAGGTAGGAGAACAGAGGAGGAAACTGCCTGGAGTAGCAGAGGAGTACCATAAAATCCGTTGAAGTACTAGCTTGGAACCAGAGGATGGAGGAGCTCTTGGAAGGAAGGGTTATTAAGAACCTCAGCTCAGGCTTCTGAATCAGAATTCCTAAGGGAATGATTTGGTAGTCTGCCTATATAACAACCACCCCAGGTGAATCAGCTTCAGGCAAATTTGGGAAATACTATATGGACCAGCAGTACCAGCGTCACCTGGGAATCCATTAGAAAAAAAACTTCTCAGGCCCAGTTCTCAACCTTCTGAATCAGGATCTGCATTTTAACACAAGGTCCCCAGGAGATTGAAATGTACTGAGAATTACGATCCTGCCTCTTACTGTAATGTCGTTAGATGCCACCCACCGCTTTGCTTCTTCCAGGCTTGAGTGGAGAATTGGGCTAAATGTGTTTTGAAATAATGGGAATCCTTGAGCAGAAATCAGGGATATAAATATTCCTACTCTATTTGGTGTCTATAGATAGATCTCAGCTTCAACCATGAGACTTCCTTAAAATTGCAACACAAAAAGAGTCTTTTAACCAGCAGTTATTCTGGGACATTCTAGTTTGAAGCCAAAAATGATCTCCCACCCAAGAAAGGAACTTGAAAGACTCATACCAGTAACATAAATCACCACAACTAGAAAAAAAAAAAAAAAAGACTACGCAGAACACATACACACACAAATAAACTCAGAGAAATAACGTCTCCATTCAGGAAAATACTGAAATCTGTTTGTGGGGAAATCTTTAGGATAACTACAGAGGACTAAAGGAATAGGAACAAACCAAAATCCTTTAATGAATCATGGAATCTGTAAATTGGTATCAGATGTTCTCCAAAGAGCTGCAGACAGCCCAAACAACACTCCAAATTCTTCCAAATAAGGTAGCCCCAGCTACTGCTCTTAAACACAATTTTGCTCTACCTGATTGTCTCTTTGGTTTAGAATGAACCAGTTGTTTTCAGAATTAAAGTGCATTTCTACATATAAGATTAGAAGGATTGTGAGGAGGGCTTCTTTAAACACACACTCACTTATTTACTGAGTCAGATTTTCCAGTGTGTCATTTAGAGAAAAGGGTAGCATAAATCCAAGAAGCTGTCTTTGGTTTCATTTGGTGGTCAGGGAGCAAGGGGGATTTGTTTTTCTGTTGTAGCGTAGCAACTTGATTTCAGGGCTGCTCCTCTGTTGTATGTGCAAAGGGAGATACCAAGAGAATTTTCCAGAAGGTGCAGAGATGGTCTTTAGCCAGCCTGTGAGCTCTCAGACATATATTCAAAAAGAAATTACTTCAAAGAAAGTGTTTGAAGCAGAAACTTAAAAGAGTTAATAGTATAGAACTATAGACTCATAGAAAGAACTCTTAATGGAACATTAATTGGGACATTTACCAGTGTGACAATATATCCATCTCCTCTGCCACAGGTGGGGTGGGGGTGCTGCCTGGGCTAGAGTTAACTCCCTTAGGCCAGTTAACTCACATGATGAGCAGCTGCCTTAGTTTACCCCAGTGTGCCAACAAATATAGTTCTGTGTGACAAGTTGTGAAAAGATTAGGAAGCGCTGGTGTGAATCACACCCATATTGTGGGCTTTCAGAATGTGTGAATAGATTGATGATTTCAGGCAGCACATAGGCATGATATTACAAACGTTGAATTGCTTAGTGAGATCATTTCCCATTCAATTGTCTTTCAATCCATTGGAACAGAGAAAGAGAAATGATCAGTGTGTTATCATAGCTTCAACTATTAAGTTCTCATTTAACAAAGAGAAACTAGATCACAGGTATATTTTTGCTATTTCGATATGAATAACTTTTTTTTTTTTTTTTTTTTTTCTGAGACGGAGTCTGGCTCTGTCATCAGGCTGGACTGCAGTGGCACAATCTCGGCTCACTGCAAGCTCCGCCTCCCAGGTTCAAGTGATTCTCCTGCCTCAGCCTCCTGAGTAGCTGGGACTACAGGCACGTACTACCATGCCCAGCTAATTTTTGTATTTTTAGTAGAGACAGGGTTTCACCATGTTAGCCAGGATGGTCTTGATCTCCTAATCTTGTGATCCGCCCGCCTCGGCCTCCCAAAGTGCTGGGATTGGAGGCATGAGCCACCGCGCCTGGCCCATTGTTTTATTTTATTTATTTTTGGTCATTGGTACTTGTTTTTCATTTACAGTAGTGATTTAAAGTTTCATCTTAAAATAAACTTACTTCGACATAAAAGGGAGCTGATGCAAAGAAAATATTAAACCAAAAGTGGTACAACTTGTGTCTTTATCATATGGCAAAAAATTGTGAAGTTCATATTCAAATAATTGAAGTTCCAAAAGCATCATCCATCGAGTTGCTTGAATCCACTCTGCAATATCTCTGATAAGTCACTTAAAACCCTTCTAGACAGAGCAGACGTATTATTAGTGCAATTTATTCCATTTTAGGAAACGTTAAACTGTTAAAATTTTAAGACTTAGTTGAAATCTGTTTTCAGGATCTTCCTATTATTAATTCCAATTTATCTCCCTGGAGCCCAATGGAACAAATCTAATCACTCTCTACACTGAAACCCTCTTACATATTGGAAAATAACTCTATGTTTAGTATCCACCCCCGCATCATTAACATTCTTTGTCTCTTGGGACACATACACACTAGACCTCCTTCCGTCAAGCCAAACAGCCTTCAATTTCCCCCCTCTGACACAATTCTGATCACACTCACCCCCTGGCCATTCTTTTCTGGGCTTGTTCTAATTTATCAGTATCTCTCTTAAACCGTGTGAATCAATTAAAACTATTTTGGTTGCATGTGACAGAAAACCTAGTTTAAGCTAGCTTGCACGGTTTAAATCTCCAGAGTAAGATTCATTGAAGGCATGATTTGATACAGGGGCTCACAGAAGACCCCCAGAATCAAGATTCATTGTCTCTTTTCTCTCTCAGCTCTGTTTTCTCCTAAGAAGGGTCTATATCTAGGCAGGCATTTCATTCAGCATAGCAAGATGGTTAAAGAGGTCCAGGCTTACCTTCTTACAACCTCAAGTCTAGTACAGAAGAATGGGAATCTCTCAGAAATCCCAGAAAAAGTCTCACTGCATCTCAGTAGCTCCGAATGTGTCACATGCTTTCTCCTGGACCAATCACTGTCAGCAAAGGAGTGCAATATCCTGATTGGTCAGAAGCAAGGAGTAAAGACAACTTTATCAGCAGCACAGAGCTTTACATGGGGATAAAATTCATGTCCCAGAGGGAGAGCAAGTTGTGTTTACTAGAAAAACTCATATAATGATGTCCAGATAAAAATTCAGTACCCCCGGTGAGGTATGACCAGAGAATAAAGTAAGACAATCACTTCCTTTATTATGAACTTTCTATGTCAACATGGGAGTAAGTGAGATAGCATATTCTCCATTCCAAAACTATCAGGGGCTGTTATTTCTATCCTCTGTCTGTGCTGGTAGCCTATACATGGTGGGGACATTGTATCAACATAAAACATTGTTTTTTGGTTTCCAGACCAAAGCATATAATTAAGATGAGCTGGTTTTAAAAAGAAGAGAGAATTGTATAATTGGCTACCCTAATAGCAACCAGGTATGGGAGCTCACAGCAAGAAAGGAAATAGAAAAGCCATACCAAGTGGTGGCTATGATTTAAAAAGCAAAAAGATAAAACAAAAACAAAATTTTCGACTTCAAAACATCATATAGAACTGCAGTAATCAAGGAAGAGGGCTGAACCACATGGTCAAATAGAAGCCTTTGTCCACCCTACAGGAATGCCAATTTAACAACTATCTACACACAAAAAGCACCAATTTAACAAATATCTACACACAAAAATCAGGTGGCAACCACAGAACCTGGTTTTAACTTTAAATTGCTGAAAGAGGCACTGAAGAGGGTAGGAAGGACAGTCTTGAATTGCTCACACCACCCTTTCCCCATCCCCTGGCAGGACTGCATGGCATGGAGAGAGAATCTGTGCGCCTGAAGGAGGGAGAGCACAGTGATTGTGGGACCCTGCTGTGAACTCAGTGCTGCCCTGTCACAGTGGAAAGCAAAACCAGTTTAAACTCTGTTGATACCTGCCTATGAAGGGAGAGTCTAGACCAGCCCTAGCCAGAGGGAAATCACCCATCCCAGCAGTCAGAACTTGACTTTGGCAAGCGTCAAGGGCTAAAATGCTCTGAGGTCCTAAATAAACTTGAAACGCAGTCTAGGCCACAAGAACTGCAATTCCTAGGCAAGTACTAGTGCTGTGCTGGACATAGAGCCAGTGGACCTGGAACACCAGTCAGGGTAGCTAAGGAAGTGCTTGCTCCACCCCTCCGGCAACCCCAGACAGCACAGCTTGCAGCAACAAAAGTGACTCCTTTCTTCTGCTTAAGAGAGGAAAGCAAAGAGAAAAGAGGATTTTGTCTTGTATCTTGGATACTAGCTCAGCCACTAAAGGATAGGGCAACAGGCAGAGTCATGAGGCCCCCATTCCAGGTCCTAGCTCGCAGACAATGTGTCTAGACACACCCTGGGACAGAAGGGAACCTGCTGCCTTGAAGGGAAGGACCCAGTCCTGGCAGGATTTATCACTTCCTGACTAAAGAGCCCTTGGGCTCTCAAAAACCAGCAGCAATACCCGGGTAGTAAGCCGTGAGCCTTGGGTGAGACTCAAAGATGTGCTGGCTTCAGGTATCAGCTCAACTACAGTGGGCTAGAGCACCAGGTAGGCTCTTGGGGTCCCCAATTCCAAGCCTTGGCTCTTGGACAGCATTTCCGACGTGCCCTGGACCAGAGGCAAACCCACTGCCCTGAAGGGTGAGTCCTAGACCTAGCAGCATTCATCAAAAGCTGATTGTATGCCTTGGTTGTTAAGTGAACATTGGTGGTAACTTGGCAGTACCCCCATGGGACTGTGGTGGTGGTGGCCACAGGGAGAGTGCCACCTGCCTGTGGAAAGGGGAGGCAATAGTGAGAAGGACCTTGGATGCTGGATGTCATCTCTGGACCTGCCTGGGACCTGAGAGAATTTGCCGCCCTGAAGAGTCGGACCCAAGCCTGGCTGGTTTCACCACCTGCTGATCATAGAACCCTAGGGCCTTGAACAGACACAGGCAGTAGCCAGGTAGGGGTTAAACCTGGCCTTGGGTGAGACCCAGTGCTGTGCTGGCTTCAGATCTGACCAAGCACAGTCCCAGTGGTGGTGGCCACAGGGGTGCTTGTGTCTCCCCACCCTCAACCCAGGCAGTTCAGCAGAGACAGAGAGAGAGAGAGCAAGAGAAAGAGAGAGGGAGAGACTCTGTCTGAGAGAAAGTAAGGGAAGAGAACAAGAGTTTCTTGCCTGGTAATCCAGAGAATACTTGATCTTATCCAAGACCACCAAGTCAGTACCTCTATGAGTCTGCAAGAACCACGGGATTATTGGGCTTGGGGACCAAGTCCCTTCAAATACCTGGGAAGCTTTCCCAAGAAAGACAGACACAAACAAGCCCAGAATACAAAGACTACAATAAGTACCAAACTTTTCAGTGCCCAGACTCCGATGAACATCCACAAGCACCAAGACAAATCCTGGAGAAACAGCTGTGTGACCTTTCAGACAGAGAAGTCAAAATAGCTGTTTTGAGGAAACTCAAAGAAATTCAAGATAATGCAGAGAAGAAATTCAGGATTCTATTATAAATTTAACAAACAGATTGAAATAATTTTAAAACAATCAAGCAGAAATCCTAGAGTTGAAAAAATGCAATTAACATACTGAAGAATGCATCTAAGTCTCTTAATAGCAAACTTGATCAAGCAGAAGAAAGAATTGATGAGCTTGAAGACAGGCTATTTGAAAATACACAGTCAGAGGAGACAAAAGAAAAAAGAATGAAAAAGAATGAAGCACACCTACAAGATCTAGAAAATAGCCTCAGAAGGGCAAATCTGAGAGTTATTGGTCTTAAAGAGAAGGTAGAGGAAGAGATAAAGAGATAAGGGTAGAAAGTTTATTCAAAGGGATAATAACAGAGAACTTCCCAAACTTAAGGAAAGATATCAACATTCAAGTACAAGAAGATTATAGAACACGAAGCAGATTTAACCCAAAGAAGACTATCTCAAGGCATTTAATATTCAAACTCCCAAAGGTCAAGGATAAAGAAAGGATCCTAAAAGCAGCAAGATAAAGGAAATAAATAACATACAAGGGAGCTCCAATATATCTGGCAGCAGACTTCTTAGTGGAAACCTTACAGGCCAGGAGAGAGTGGCTGAGAGAAAAAAACTTTTACCCTAGAGTAGTATATCTGGCAAAAAATATCCTTCAAACATGAAGGAGAAATAAAGACTTTTCCAGCCGGGTGCTGTGGCTCACGCCTGTAATCTCAGCACTTTGGGAGGCTGAGGTGGGTGGATCACCTGAGGTCAGGAGTTCGAGACCAGCCTGGCCAACATGGCGAAACCCTGTCTCTACTAAAAATACAAAAATTAGCTGGGCGTGATGGTGGGCACCTGTAATCCCAGCTACTTGGGAGGCTGACGAAGGAGAATCGCTTGAACCCAGGAGGCAGAGGTTGCAGTGAGCCAAGATCATGCCACTGCACTCCAGCCTGGGCAACAGAGCAAGACTCCGTCTCAAAAAGAAAAAAAAAAAGACTTTTCCAAACAAACAAAAGGTGAGGGATTTCATCAACACCAGACTTGTCCTTCAAGAAATGCTAAAGGAAGTTCTTCAATCCAAAACCTGAATAGAACAATAACAAGTAATGAGATTGAAGCCATAATACAAAGTCTGTTAGCAAACAAAAGTCTAGGATTCCATGGCTTCGCTTCCCTGCTGAATTCTACCAAACATTTAAAGAGGAACAAATACCAATCCTACTCAAACTATTCTAAAAAACAGAGGAGGGAATACTTTCTAATTCATTCTATGGTGCCAGTATGACCCTGATGCCAAAACCAGACAAAGACACATCAAAAAAGTAAAAGAAAAAAAAAAAAAGAAGGAAAAGAAAAGAAAGAAAGAAAACCATAGACCAATATCCCTGAAGAATATTGATGCAAAAATCCTCAGCAAAATACTAGCAAACCGAATTCAACAACACATTAAAAAGATCATTCATCATGACCAAATAGGATTTATCCCAGAGATTCAAGGATGGTTCAACATACACAAATTAATCAATGTGATATATCATATCAACAGAATAAAGGACAAAAATCATATGAACATTTCAATTGATGCTGAAAAAGCATATGATAAAATTCAACATCCTTTCATGATAAAAACCCTCAAAAAACTGGGGATAGAAGGAACATACCTCAACATAGTAAAGGACATATATGACAGACCCATAATTAGTATCACACTGAATGAGGAAAAACTGAAAAACTTTCCTCTAATATCTGGAACATGACAAGGATGCCCACTGTCACCACTGTTATTCAACATAATACTGGAAGTCCTAGCTACAGCAGTCGAACAAGAATAAGAAATAAAGGGCATCCAAATTGGAAAGGAAGAAATCGAATTATCCTTGTTTGCAGATGATATGATATTATATTTGAAAAAGCCTAAGGACTCCTCCAGAAAATTATTAGAATTGACAAACAAATTCAGTAAAGTTGTAGGATAGCAAATCAATAGAGTACAAGGTAGTACCAAATCAACATACAAAAATCAGTAGCATTTCTATTTGCCAACAGTGAACAATCTGAAAAAGAAATCAAGAAAGTAATCCCATTTACAATAAGTGCATATAAAATTAATTACCTAGGAATTAATTTAACCAAAGAAGTGAAAGATCTCTCAATGAAAACTATGAAACATTGATAAAAGAAATTGAAGAGGACACAAAATAATAGATATTCCATGTTCATGAACTGGAAGAATCAATATTGTTAAAATGTCTGTACTAGCCAAAGCAATCTACTGATTCAATGCAATACCTATAAAAATACCAATTACATTTTTCACAGAAATAGAAAAAAGAATCCTAAAATTTATATGGAACACAAAAGACCTAGATTAGCCAAAGCTATCCTGAGCAAAAAAAAAGAAAACTGGAAGAATCACATTACCTGACTTCAGATTATACCACAGAGCTATAGTAACCAAAACAGTGTAATACTAGAATGAAAACAGATACACAGACCAATTGAACAAGATGGAGAGCCCAGAAACAAATTCATACATCTTTGGTGAACTCATTTTCAACAAAGATGCCAAGAACATTGGTGAAAAGACAGTCTTCAATAAATAGTGCTGGGAAAACTGAATATCCATATGCAGAAGAACGAAACTAGACCCCTATCTCTCACCAAGATGGATTAAAGACCTAAATCTAGGACCTCAAACCACAAAACTACTAAAAGAAAACATTGAGAAAACTCTTAAATCTAGACTCAAATCTGGGACCTCAAATGATCAAACTATTAAAATAAAAACATTGGGGAGTGGACAAAGATTTCTTGAGTAATACCCCACAAGCACAGGCAACCAAAGCAAAAGTGGGCAAATGGGATCACATCAAGTTAAGAGCTTCTGCACCGCAAAAGATACCAACAACAAAGTGAAGAGGCAACCCACAGAATGAGAGAAAATATTTGCAAACTATCCATCTGATAAGGAATTAATAAGAATATATTGGGAGCTCAAACAACTTTATAGGAAATAATCTAATAATTCAATTAAAAATGAGAAAAAGATCTGAATAGATATTACTCAAAAGAAGACATAGAAATAGCAAACACGTTGTTGAAAAGGTGCTCAACATCATTGATCATCAGAGAAATGCAAAACAATACTACAATGAAATATTATTTCACCCCAGTTAAAATGGCTTTTATTCAAAAGACAGGCAATAACAAATGCTGGTGAGGATGTGGAGAAAAGGGAAAACTTGTACACTGTTGGTAGGAATGTAAATTAGTAAAACCACTATGGAGAACAGTTTGGAGGTTCCTCAAAAAACTTAAAATAGAGGTATCATACAATCCAGCAATCCTGTGGCTAAGCATATACCCCAAAGAAAGGAAATCAGTATATCAAAGATATATCTGCACTTTCATGTTTATTGCAGCACTATTCACAGTACCCAAGAGTTGGAAGTGTATTAGTCCATCCTCACACTGCTATGAAGAAATAACTGAGACTGGGTAATTTATAAAGAAAGAGGTTTAATTGACTCACAGTTCTACATGGCTGGGGAGGCCTCAGGAAACATACAATCATGGCACAAGGCAAAGGAGAAGCAGGCACCTTCTTCACAGGGCAGCAGGATGGAGTGAGTGCCACCAGGGGAAATGCCAGATGCACATGAGACTCACTCATTATCACGAGAACAGCATGGGGGAGACTGCCTCCATGATCCAATTACATCCACCTGGTCCTGCCCTTGACACATGGGGATTATTACAATTCAAGGTAAGACGTGGGTGGGGACACGGAGCCAAATTGTATCAGGAAGCAACCCAAGTTTTCATCAATAGATGAATGGATAAAGAAAATGTGGTACATATACACAATGGAGTATGATTCAGATCCTGTTATTTGCAGGAACGTGGATGGAACTGGAAGTCACTAAGTAAAATAACCCAGGCACAGAAGGACAAACTTTGCATGTTCTCACTTATTTGTGGGAGCTAAAAATAAAAAGAATTGAACTCATGGAGATAGAGGGTGGAAGGATGGTTACCAGAGGCTGGGAAGGATAGTGAAGGGATGGGGGGAAAATGGAGATTGTTAATGGGTACAAAAAACACTGAGAAAGAATGAATAAAATCTTGTATTTGGTAGTGCAACAGGTTGATTATAATCAATAATAACTTTATTGTATATTTTAAAATAACTCAAAGTGTATAATTGGTTTGTAACACAAAGAATAAATGCCTGAGATGATGGATACCCCACTTACTCTGATGTGATTTTTATGCATTACATGCCTGTATTAAAATGCCTCATGTACTCCATAAATATATATACCTACTATTTACCCACAAAAATTAAAAGTAAAAAATTATTTTGGCCAGGTGCGGTAGCTCACGCCTGTAATCCCAGCACTTTGGGAGGCCAAGACGGGTGGATCATGAGGTAAGGAGTTCAAGACCAGCTGGCCAATATGGTGAAACCTCGTCTCTACTAAGAATACAAAAATTAGCCAGGTGTGGTGGCTCGCACCTGTAGTCCCAGCTACTAGGCAGGCTGAAGCAGAAGAATCGCTTGAACCCGGGAGGCAGAGGTTGCAGTGAGCCAAGATTGCACCACTGCACTTCAGACTGAGCAACAGAGGGAGATTCTGTCTCAAAAAAAAAATAAGTAAATAAAAAAAGAAAGTCAAAACCTTCTTGCACTTCAAAAGACACCATTTAGAAAATGAAAAGGGCCAGGCTGTCTTGGCTCATGCCTGTAATCTCAGCACTTTGGGAGGCCTAGGAGAGAGAATGCTTAAGGCCAGCAGTTCAATATCATCCTAGGCAACATGGAGAGGACATGTCTCCACAAAAAATTTAAAATTAACCAGCCATAGCGGCATGTGCCTCAACTACTTGGGAAGCTGAGGCAGGAGGATCACTTTAGCCCAGGACTTCAAGGATACAGCAAGCTAAAAAGATGTCACTGTACTCCAGCCTGGGCAACAGAGTGAGACCTCACCTCTAAAAAATAAAATAAATGTTAAAATGTTTTTAAAAAGAAATTGAAAAGATAAGCCACAGAATGGAAGAAAATATTTTCAAGCCATATATTTAACAAATGACTAGTATCTAGAATATAAAAAGGAACTTCTTCAAATCAATAATTTAAAAAACTCAATTTTTTAAATAGACAAAAGAATGGATGGACATACCAGCAAAGAAAATATGCAAGTAGCTAATATTCACATGAAAAGATGGTCAACATCATTAGTTATTAGGAAAATGGAAATTAAAACCACAATGAGATACTACTTCACACCCACTAGAATGACTATAATCAAAAAGTCAGACAATACCAAGTGTGGGCAATAATGTGAAGAAAATGGAATTCTCTACACTGCTGATGGGAATTTTAAATGATAGGGCCATTTTTCAAAAGAGTCTGGCAGTTTTCTTTAAAAATTAAACATAAATTAACTGCCTGGTATGGTAGCTCATGCTTGTAATCCCAGCACTTTGGGACAATGAGGAGGGAGGATTGCTTGAGCCCAGGAGTTCAAGACTACAGTAGGCTATGATCTTGCCACTGCACCCGAGCCTGGGCAACAGAGTGAGACCCTGTCTCGAAAAACAATAACATAATTTTACCATACAATACAGCAATTCCACTTCTGGATATTGACCCAGGGAAATGATGATATATACCCACATGAAGACTTGCACATAAATGTTGACAGCAACACTATTTATAATAGTGAAGAAGCAGAAACCATTCACTCTTCCCTCAAGTGGTGAGTGAACAAATAAAATGTGGTGGTATATCCATACAATGAAAGACTATTCTGCAATGAAAAGGAAAAAATTACTTATAATGCTACAACATGAATGAGCCTCAAAAATATTACGTTAAGTGAAAGAAGTCAGTCACAAAAGACCAAATATTGTATAATTCCACTTAAATGATCCAGAAGAGTCAAATCTATGAAGACAGAAAAGAGACTAGTGGTAGACTCAGTCTCAAAACAACAATGTCGGGCACGGTAGCTCATGCCTGTAATCCCAACAGTTTGGGAGGCTGAGGCAAGCAGATCACCTGAGGTTGGGAGTTCTAGACCAGGCTGACCAACATGGAGAAACCCCGTCTCTACTGAAAATACAAAATTAGCTGGGTGTGGTGGCACACACCTATAATCCCAGCTACTTGGGAGGCTGAGGCAGGAGAATCGCTTGAACTCAGGAGGCGGAGGTTGCAGTGAGCCGAGATCATGCCATTGCACTCCAGCCTGGGCAACAAGAGTCAAACTCTGTCTCAAACAAAACAAAACAAAAACAACAACAACAAAAAATCAAAAAATACAAAAATTAGCCAGGCCTGATGGTGCACACCTGTAATTCCAACTACTCAGGAGGCTGAGGCAGGAAAATCGCTTCAATTCAGGAGGTGGAGGTTGCAGTGAGCTGACATTGTGCCACTGCAATCCAGTGGGTGACAGAGTGAGACTGCGGTCTCAAAATAAAAATAAAAAATAAAATAAAATAAATAAATAAATATATATATATATATATATATATATATATATATATATATATATATATATATAATATGAGTCAGTGAGTGTTTTTTGTTTTTGTTTTTTTGAAACAGAGTTATGCTCTATTGCCCAGGCTGGAGTGCAGTGGCACGATCTCAGCTCACTGCAACCTCCGCCTCCTGGATTCAAGCGATTCTCCTGCCTCAACCTCCCAAATCGCTGGGATTACAGGCATGGGACATCACACCTAGCTAATTTTTGTATTTTGGTAGAGATGGGGTTTCACCATGTTGGCCAGGGTGATCTCCAACTCCTGGCCTCAAGTGACCCGCCTGCCTCGGTCCCCCAAAGTGCTGGGATTACAGGTGTGAGCCACTGCCCCTGGCCTGAATTGTATACTTAAAATAGGTATGTAAATAATATCTTGTTAAAGTTGTTTTTAAAAGCAGAATGCTTACAGCCACCTAGAAACAAACTTTATAAGTAAAGAAAATATAGTTTTTTTTTTGAGGCAGGGTCTCTCTGTTGCTCAGGCTAGAGTGCAGTGGCATGATCATAGCTTAGTGCAGCCTCAAACTCCTGGGCTCAAGCAATCCTCCTGCCTCAGCCTCCTGAGTAGCTAGATCACCAGGTGCAAGCCACTACACCCAGCTAACTTTTACATTTTCTGTGGAGATGAGATCTTGCTATATTTCTCAGGCTGGTCTTGAATTCCTGGCCTCAAGTGATTCTCCTGCTTGGCTTCCCAAAATGCTGGGATTACAGGCATGATCTACCACACCTGGCCTAACAAAACATAATTAAGTTCCAACTAGGTGGTGGAATTATGAATGATTTTTATACTTTATGTTTTTCTGTATTTTACAAGTAAAAATATTTTTCATACCAGAAGAAACAATAATGATAATTTTAAAAATTATTCTCTGAGAGTCACACATAAACCCACTACATAACAAACCAGAGGAGAGCTGTGTAAAGTCACCTTGATAAAGAGACAGAATTACTCTCAGGCCTTATTTGGCAGTAACCTGATTAAAGTTAATGACATGTAAAGAATGAAGAATCAGGCTGAGTGCCATAGTTTACGCCTATAATCCCAGCACTTAAGGAGGCCAAGGTAGAAGAATCGCTTAAACTCGGGAGTTTCAGACCAGCCTGGGCAACATAGCGAAACCCCATCTCTATTAAAAATACAAAAAATTAGCCTGGCACGGTGGCACATGCCTGTAGTTCCAGCTACTTAGGAGGCTGAGGTGAGAGTATCACCGGAGCCCTGGAAGTTGAGGCTGCAGTGAGCTGCGATTGTGCCACTGCACTCCAGCCTGAGTGACAAGACTGAGACCCTGCCTCAAAAGAGAAAAGAAAGAAAGAGAGAGAGATAGAGAGAAAGGAAGGAAGCAATAAAGAGAGAGAGGAAGAAAGGGAGAAAGAAAGAAGAATCCATCAGCAGAGAACGTTCATCAATAAAGAAAGCAAAGAAAACAGACAGTTGCAGAGGCAAGCATTTCAGGGCTTAACCAATCCCATGCAGCAAGGTGAAGGCTGGTCACAGAGCAGGCATGTATAACCCCATGGTGGAGATGGACATCACAAGTCTTACAGAACTTTAGAACATTAGGCATTTTAAATGTGTGTCTTAGTCTATTCCTTCTGCTGTAACAAAAATACCATAAACCGTGTGGCTTATAAAAAACAGAAATTTATTTCCCACAGGTCTGGAGGCTGGGAAGTCCAAGATCAAGGCCACACACCTGCTTTCTAGCTCATGGACAGTTTCTCTCTGTGTCTTCTCGCAATGGAAGGGGTGAGGGGTCTCCTGGGCCTTAGGGTCAGCTCACCTTTCTTGGTAACAATCCAATTTTGAAAAGAACGTTTCATTCAATCTTCATATAAAGACATCCAAGACACCAAAATATATTAAAAGTATAATATGTTCAGCATATTTTATTTAAGAACCCACTCATTGGAAGAATTTAAATTCTTTAAATCTTGTACTTATTGGCCCCAGACCATCCAGCTATATCAATGAAAATTCTAGCACTAGCCAGTTCAATTTCACTCTAGTCATAAAACCCGTCCTGGTTAAACAGAGAGCTTCCTTCTAATGACTTCTGGTGGCGTCGATGCTAGAAAGAGCCTTTGGCTCTGTACCTAAGTCCTCTGCTTGTGGGACAATGGAGCATATCTGAGTGCTGAGCTATAGTGTCCTGCAATATATAGGCACTGACCTTTTGTCCTGGTCATAATTTCTATTCTTATTCCCATATGAGACTTTGAGGCCAAGACACTGTGCCTCATTCTGTCTGCCCTCTACCTCCTTTCATAAACCCCCATTCTAGCTGGACCCCAATGAAATCTCCGCTCTGATCCTGGATGGATCTTTTGATTGCGGCACTCATTGGATGCTCTGAACCACCTTTTCCTAGAATAGTGGTTCTCAAACTTGGTTGCTGTGATGCAGCAATTCAGTTCTAATGCTAATCACCCACAGTTAGCATCAGAATCCACAGGTTTACAGGAAGTCCTCAATAAGACCGCCCTCATTTCAGATGCCAGCTGCAAGTTCAGGAGTCCCCAGGTCACCTGCACTTCTGACCAACTGGCTACAAATTTGGGAGTTCCTACTACCTTTTCAGGTTCAACGATTTGCCAGAATGACTCAGAGAATTCAAGAAAGTACTATTCTTATGATTGCAGTTCTATTGCAAGCAACACAAATTGGGACCAGCCAGATGACAATACACATAAGGTGGGATCTAGGAGGGTCCCAAATGCAGAACTTCCATGCCATCTCCCCAAGGAGTCAGGATACGTCACTATCCCTGCACAGGAAGCTCCCCCAAGCCTTAGTGCCCAGAGTTTTAATTGAGGTCTCATTATGTAGACATGATTGATTGAATCATTGGCCACATGATTGAAGTCTCCAGCCCCCTTCCCCACCCTGGAGGTCAGGCTAATATCACTGTTATTCAAAGACCCAACCCTCTAGTCACATGACCGGTCTTCCCAGCATGCCTAGTTCCCATTCTGAGTGATTGCCTTAGAGTAAACTCAGGTGTGGTCCAAGGGGCCGCCATGAATAACAAAGACACTACTATCACTGGAGGGAATTCTAAGCATTTTAAAATCTCCCTCTCAGGAACTGGAGACAAATGCCAGCCAAATCCTTTCTTATAGAACAGTTGCATATTGCAATCACTTAAGAAGGTTTTTTAAAATGTTCACGCCTGGACCCCACCAGAAGAGTCTCATTTAATTGGTCTGGGGAACGACCTGAATATGAAGATCTTTAAAACCCCCAGATGATTCTAACATACTGCTTTGTTCCATTCAGGCTGCTGTTTTAAAATACTGTAAATTGCATGGCTTATAAACAGCAGACATTTATTTCTCACAGTTCTGGAGGCTGGGAAACTCAAGATACAGGCACCAGCAGATTTTGTGTCTGGTGAGGACCTACTTCTTAATTCATAGATAGCTGTCTTCTTGCTGGATCCTTAAACAGTAGAAAGGGCAACGGAGCTCTCCGGGACCTCTTTTATAAAGGTATTAATCCCATTTATGAGGACTACACCCTCATGACCTAATCACATCCCAAAGGCCTCATCTCCAAATATCACATTGGGTATTAGGATTTAACATATGAATTAGGGTGGGTACACAAACATTCAGTCTGTAGCACATACCCTATAAGCTGTGCTGCTGACTCTCCTTCATCCTCTTTGTATGAACTCCTAAGATCTGTGTGCTCCTTCAAATTAAATTGGAATTGTTAGTTTAGTTAATAGAGCTCACAACATGCCACTTGGCTGGGGCCAGACATCTTATGATCCAAGTTAAGTCTAGGGCCTCTGTGTTGCACAACTCCAGGGGGCTCTATTCATATTATACTCTGTGTAAATGGCGCCCCTGGATTTATGCAGTGTACACACTACACCATGTAATGGGGCAAAGTCTTGTTCAGTCACCACCCATCAAGTTTACACCAAGCAAATTTGCCAAATGACCAACTTATCAGGTTTATCAATTTTACTTACATATTTATTAGCCCTATCAGGAATATTTTCATAGTTCTATCAGCTTTAGATTTTAAGTTTAAGACCATCTAAAAGTAAATCAGAATTTAGCTAAAATGATCTTCTATATTAAGAAGAAAATATGGACTAAAGGATTCCCATAGGAGATGCTGAAATTTTGAAAAGTTGAACATCTTGTGAAAGCCCATAGTGAATTTAACATTCTTATTAAATTCACTATTAGCAAATTTTGTAAATTCATGTAAATCTGATATGTCAGATTATTCTATAAGTTAGCTTTCAGAAAACTGGCTTTCAGTGAGTGGGAATTCTTGAAATTGTTTTCTCAGCTTCTTCTTGTGAGAAAGAAGGATTTTTTTTAATTATCTAAAACAATTGCTTATGTGAGAATGAGTTATACCCTAGTATTTTCCACCAAGATTTCCTTGTATAGAATGCAATTTGGAGATTTCATTTTGAAAACATTTAAAATAGAAAGGGCAGGAATAAAGTGGATTAAAATATGAACCACTTGTGAGAACCAAGGCTTTTTCCCCAGGGCCTGGGAGGTGCTCCCCGGCAATGAAACAATAAACTTTTGCAGCAGAAAAAAAATTTAGCAAAACTTGGCAACTATGGTGGAGTAAGAGGTTGTACTCAACATTAAGGTCCCAATGCGATACATTTCCTAAGCATAAACAGTGATTGCCTTTATCCTTACAAAGTCAATTCAAGGTACTTATGTGGGGCATTTTTTGTTCATCTACCTGAGGAAAAAAAAAAATTAGAAAGCTCTTTCTACCTCATACTAGAATAGGAAATAATTTTTAGCAATCTTCCTTTTCTTTTTCCCCCCTTTTTTCAAGGAAAGAGGATTCAAATTTGTGGCTATGATTGTATTTTAAGCTACCTAAGAAAATTGCTCGTGAGAAAACAGTTGCCTTCTAAAAATAAACCAAAGCAACCTAATACAAACATCTCTAGCCCTGGCTTTGAAAGTTCTGTCTGAATTCCAAGCCTCTAGTTTTCAGTTTGTTTCTGAGTTTGTTGATGAACTAGCCAAGCCTAAGGATTGACATTGCAGGACTCCATAAAAATCCTTACAAATATACAGGTATGGTTGGTTGCTTTTGAAAAATAAAATTTCCCAGCTCATTCCACAATCTCAATGATCTCATACTGCTAGAGGATCTGGAAATACAGAGCCAAAGTTAAGGGTTCCAGCAGTCGGTTTCCAAAGCGTCATTGGAGTGGGCTAAAGGTGCACATTAGTTAGGCTTTTACACCTCCTGTTCCTTTTCAAGAGCGTGATTAATTACAGTGATTTATCTGTGAAAAGTGCAGCTTGGAGTTGGATGTGGGGAAGCCACAAAATGGTGTCAATGCTTCAGCCTGGAGTAAATGGTGAAATATATTTAGCAAGCAATAATGCCAGGCACTGAGAAACAGAAATAAATAGAAGAAACTGTCTTTACATGAATAGAGAACTTTACACAATACCATGTATTCACAAAAAGGAAATAATTATAGAAAATACAAACAGAGGGAAAAAAAAACAGAAAGTCTTCCAAGTTCCAAATTTCCATTCTGATTCTAGCTCCAAAACGGCAGGTCAGTTTCTCAGGAACTTTATTCCTTCCCATTTTCCAGCCTCTCTTCATGTGTCAGTGACAAATTCTAGATAAAATGAAAAAGTGGCTTAGATGATAATACCTTCCCGGGTCAAGGCCAATGTGAAGATTCAAGCCAGGGTTAAGATTGGAGTTAGTGATTCCCTTCCTTTTCCCAGATGCGCCTAAAGAAGGACTTTGGCAGGACTGTGGAGCCTGACATAAAGAAGGTTTTCCCTTCCAAAAAATGCTGCTTTCCTAGTTTTGCTTTTCTCTAACATAGATTGGGCTTGCACACAAGTATTAATTTACTTCAAAGGACTTGGAAAGTCTAATCAAACAACTGACTTTACAACTGACTTTGCCAAGGAATGCAAACAAAAGCCAGCCAAATTAGTTTGTGTGCAGAGATATATCCAAGGATATATCTAATATCACTTAAATGTGAGCTTTCTTGGCCTGGCAAGGTGGCTTACGCCTGTAATCCCAGCATTTTGGGAGGCAGAGGTGGGCAGATCACTTGAGATTAGGAGTTCAAGACCAGCCTGGTCAACATGGTGAAACCCTGTCTCTACTAAAAATACAAAAATTAGCCGGGCATGGTGGCACATGCCTGTAATACCAACTACTTGGGAGGCTGAGGCACGAGAATCGCCTGAACCTGGGAGGTGGAGATTGCAGTAAGCTGAGATCACGATGCCACTGCACTCCAGCCTGAGCGACAGAGTGAGACTCCATCTCAAAAATAAATGCACTTTCTGTAGTACTCTCAGAGACCCTCTTCTCACCATCCTCTCTTCTTGCATAATTGTATTCAGGCCTTTGCTTCCTTTGCCACCTATATATTGATGACTCCCATCTTATTACTCTCTCGAGTTTTAATCTCATACATTTGAGGATCTTTGGAGAAGCAGAGAATGAGGGATCCAGAGCCTTCAGTTTTAGAAACTCTTTTGCTCCTTCAATGTTCTAAAGAAACTTAAAAATAAATATACATACAAGCTGTTGTCTGCTCTGCTTGGCACCATAATGTTCATATTATTGGCTGTATTTTCAATTAGATACATTTTCTTCTAAGCTGATTGATATGGTTTGGGTCTGTGTCCCCACCCAAATCTCATGTCTAGTTGTAATCCCCAATGTTGGTGGTTGGGCCTCGTGGGAGGTGATTGGATCATGGGGGCGGGCGTCCGTTTTGGTGCTGTTCTCATGATAATAAGTGTGTTGTCACATGATCTGGTTGTTTAAAAGTGTGTAGCACCTCCCCACTCTCTCTTCTCTCCTGCTCCAGCCATGTCAGATGTGCCTGCTTCCCTTGGCTTTCCACTACGATTGAAAGTTTCCCGAGGCCTCCCCTGCCATGCTTCCTATACAGCCTGTGGAACCATAAGCCAACGAAACCTCTTCTCTTTATAAATTACCCAGTCTCGGGTAGTTCTTCATAGCAGTGCAAAAACAGACTAATAATTGATATTCAGATAGACAGGTTGGGAATCTGACAATTTCCTTAAACTGCAGGCCAGCATTTCAGAGCAGAATTGACAGGATGTGTAATAAAAAGAAAACGCTAAAGCACTGGTATGCAGTGGATGGTTAGTGACTTCTTTCTTATATTTTTAATACTAATACTAATATTTATATTGATTTGTATTAATATCAGGTTGGATTAACATTGGCTGCAGGTGAAAGAAGCCTTCACCAAATAACAGTTTATTTCTGCCTTCATGGATGCCTGAAGGTTGGTAATCCAGGGTTGGGATGGTTGTTTTGCTTTAAGAAGGCCTCAGGAAGAAGCTCTTTCTAGCTCTCTTGTCTTCCAACCCCAGGCTGTGGCCTCCGTCCTCATGGTGCAATGTGATGGTTGAAGCATCAGCCATCATATCCATGTTCCCAGGAACAGGAAATGGGCACACACATGGTGTCTTGAGGATGTTTTCCTGGAAGTTGTCCAATAACACTTCTACTTATAAGTCACTGGCCAGAACTTATTGCCATTGCTGTTCGCAGCAGAGAGAAAAGCTGGACAATGCAGCTTTATTCCAGGCAGCTTTGTGTCCAGTTCAGCATCGCGCTGCAATTTTTACAGAAGGAATGGAGAATAGATCGGGGGAGGGAGCAACCAGCAATCTTGGCAACATTGTTTTCTGAACACTAAATAAAACCACTAGAAAATATCTAGATTGATTGGATGACACCGGGATGGGACTGTTAGTTTCGCATGAAGATTTAGTGGAGAAACCATGTATTTGTATGGATGAAGTGAAATGAATGGCCTGGCAGGCTTCTTTTCAAGGGCTCTCATGCATGCTCAGCCTCAGATGCATCACATCGGTAGCATCCTGTGCACCATGAGGACTTAGGGACCCACGGGCCATTTTCCTGAGAGACAGCAGCCAGCCAGCCCTGACCGCAGGAGCTCAGACAGCCAGATAGCCCTAAGCAGCTGAGTCTGGTGGGCGAACTTTTCTGAGTGGCTGCCAGTTTGTGATGGTCCCCACAGAAGCGCCTCTGTTATTTTGTGCAGTGTGTCTCTAAGTATTCCAGTGAGGACACCCACCACTTCTCTTGAATGTACAGACTCCTCTGTGGGGGTTTTTCTCCCTGCTTGTCAGCTTCAGTCTTCTTTGTTCAGAATCTTCCCTCTTCCTCTGGACTTACCCCTTCAACACGACCACAACCTCAAGAATGTGATGTTTGCACTTACAACGTTCTATGAAATCCAGCAAAACAGCCTCAGTGGACAACTCTTCTACTTAAGGAGATTTTTGTTTTTCTCTTCTCTTGTTTAAATCTAGCATAGACACCTTTATCAAGTACACGGGTATGTCTTAAGTGACTTTTGTGGCATTTCTAAGCTTTAATGTGACTTAGATTAAAGGTGTTTAAAAAGGAGAAAACAAAGACAAATTTTGAACTCTCCTTCGAACTAAAAAATTGTGCTGAACTCCTTAATATTTGAAATATTGATATTCTGAGAGGTAAAAGAATGTTAAGTAAATATTTCACATGGACAAATAATTTACTGTCATAATCGTCTTTTAGAAATGCTTTGCTCGTAAAGAGACTCACAGCTGCCTTTCTAGTTTAGGTTTCAATCTGTACATCAAATGAGCAATTCAGCAGGACATCTTGGTACAGGGTTCAAGAAGCTGTTAAGAATGGTTGCTTGGGGAGGGTCATTTGAGCCCAGGAGTTCCAGGTTACAATGAGCCATGATCGCACCATTGCACTCCAGCCTGGGCGACAAAGCAAGACACTGTCTCATTAAATTAAAAAAAAAAAATAGAAAAAGAAAGAAAAGAAAAAGAATGGCTGCCTGTATACCCCCAGGGAACTGAAGCAGTGCCCTTGAGCATGCCTACAGGCCAAGACCTGCACTCTGACAATATCTCATTAAATTGGCATGAAATAAAAACAGAAAAAGGAGGACCTTTTTCCATCCCAATGAAAACAGATGGAAGGACTGTGGAAAGGGCAAGGTTTTAGCGATATATCAGCCTGGGTTCAAATTTCAGACCTTCACTTACTAACTACACTGTGAGCAAGTTACTTAACCCCTCTCATAAGAAAGCAATGAGTAGTAGAAGCCAGCATAGATTCATTAATAACATCTTAGGTCAAACCGACATAATATTTTTTATAAGGTTACTATGCATAGACAGAATGTAACTTAATTTTGGCACAGTATTAGAAAGCACATCTCCAGATATTCTTATGGTCACAATGAATAAATGCCAGATCAGGTAATCATTAAATATAAGTTTGGAGCCAGTAGAACAATGACATACAAAAAGTGTATATTAATGTATTAATTCCATCAGGAATTAATTCCAGTTGTCTTCAAGATTTGATCAACAACTTGAATACAAATTTATTAAATGTTTTGATAGCTCCAAACTAGGAGGGGCAGTGAATGCAGTGGATAACATAATCAAAATTCAAAATAATTACTTAAAATAGCTAAAATAAAGACTATTAAAAGCGATCTATCAAATTCAGCATTTAGATTATAGCTACTTGGGATCTGGGCATGGTCCAAAGTTGAGGATGGTGTTGGTTCAGTATGACCAGAGCAAGCCAACTGGACCCACTTGACCAGCAGGTGTGGAGTGAGCCAGGAAGAAGAGATGATCCATGTGACTGGAAATTGGTTACATACTGGGAGATTATGTGAATATGGTGGGGATAATGGAAGGCAGATTTCTCACTGTTGGAGAAAGTAGGTACAAATATCAAAGTGGAGAAAGTTAGAATTAACCCTGTGCAGTTGTACTGGAATTGGAGGTGTATGTATACATACATACACACATACATACATACATGTGTATGCATGTGTGTATGTATGCATACATAAATTTCATAGCTCTATCTGCTGAAAGGGACTAGAAGCAATAATATCCCAGTACCAATGAACATATTTGGTACCCAGATTTTGGTTTCTAAATACCATTTTCCTCTGAAGGAATCATCTCCTTGGAAATTGGGATGATTCAAGGCCACTGGAGGGAAACATTCTAGATGAGCCTAGAACACTTGTATCAGAAAGTAAGAAGTGTTCAATGAAAACTATTGAATGAATACAAGAACCAGCCTGAAGGAGCTCCTATTGGCCAAATCTGGAAATTTGAACAGCTAAATTTTAGTTAATGATTATAATGGATTAAAACTAACTGAATAAAATAGGAATCCATGAGCCAATATTGATATAAACAAATAAGTAATGTCAACTAGTAAATGTAGAAGGAATAATGGACATAGAAATCATCATTTGGTAAGAATCACAGTTTAAGAATAATTGTAAGGTAGGTAAGAATAATTCTTTCAGACAAAAATCATAAATGGATGCTCATACTAATGGAAGTACCAAAAATGTGGTAAATAATTTTACAGTGGAGAAACCTGTCCAGTATCATCTTATCTAAGTCGTAAAAATCAACATCACCAGAAATGGGACAAATTGACATCATGTGCCACCTGATATGATATACTAAGAAGAACATGGCAGCACGTTTGTGGTATTGCTGGATCTAGTTATAACAATGTGTGAGACAAACATAAATTGAAGAACATTCGACCAAAAGAACTGATCTGCACCTTCCAAAGAGTAAAGGTCATGAAAGTCAGTATGTAAATACTAGAGCATGATTATAAAAGACAGAGCCCATCAAGTCACAGGAATACAGCAGCTGCAAATGCACACTGATATGGATGTATTGAACTAGGGACTCAAATACCACGGCTGCTGTTGCTGTGAGTGATGTGACTTTCCAGTGTGGAAACTTTTTTTGTTTTTTGAGACAGAGTCTCACTTTGTCACCCACGCTGGAGTACAGTGGCATGATCTTGGCTCACTACAACCTCTGCCTCCCCTGTTCAAGTGATTGTCCTGCCTCAGCCTCCTGCATAGCTGGGACTACAGGCGTGCACCACCACACTAAGCTAATTTTTGTTTTAGTAGAGACCAACTTTCACCATGTTGGCCAGGTTGGTCTTGAACTCCCAACCTCATGTGATCTGCCCACCTGGGCCTCCCAAAGTGCTGGGATTACAGGCATGAGCCACTGCGCTCAGCCAGGAACTAACTCTTGATGAAATTCTGAGTAAAACAAAGTACAATTTTCCCTTAAGTTACATGGTAGCTGTAGTACTTGCAAAACTAACTGTATAATGAAAGCTTGCAAAAATATTTTGTGCTTAATATGAAATGCAGAGTTAGTCTGTGGGTCCAGATAAACAGCCCTTTAACCCACGGGAACATCCTGTTGAACATTCAAAAGTCTTGCAGGATGAAGGACGATTAGTTATTGTGTGGGACTCCCAGATATTGCAGCATGCCTAGCAGCCCTGGCTGTCCCTCATGGCAGAAGCCCCCACAAGCCAAGACAAGCCAAAAGTGCTCCCATACTTCCCCAAATGTCTCCCAGGGCCAGTGCCACCACTATTAAGAACCGCTGATTTAGAGACTACTTTGCCACTGTCGGAAGTGATCAGTGGGTTATTTCTGCTTTATTGGAAGATTTGTTCAAGTAAATCCCTTCCAACTCTTACATTCAACAAGCCCATGATTAAATCTCATGTAGCCATTACCTGTTTCCCTTCTGAAACACTGCAATTTTTTTTACTCCTTTGATGAAGATACTCAAATATATATCAATACTTTAAAAGGTATATTAGTTAGCCAGGACCCTTTCAGCTGCAAATAACAGAAACCAATACAAACTACTATCTATCTATACACGAGAGGAACTTACTGTCTTAAATTGGAAATGCAAGGATGGTGTTGATTCTACAACAATGTGATCCAGAAATTCAAGTGAGGTTTGGGAGGGGCACTCCCCACTTCCTTCCTTCCTCTTCCCCTTCTTTCTACCTTCTTCCTTTTTTCTTCTCTTTCCTTTTCCCCTTCTCTCCTTCCTTCCTTGTTTTTTTTGGAGACGGAGTCTCACTCTGTCACCAGGCTGTAGTGCAATGGTGTGATCTCGGCTCTCTGCAACCTCCGCCTCCAGGGTTCAAGCGATTCTCCTGCCTTAGCCTCCCAAGTAGCTGGGACTACGGATACACGCCACCATGCCCAGCTGATTTTTGTATTTTTAGTAGAGACAGGATTTCACCATGTTGGCCAGGATAGTCTCAATCTCTTGACCTCGTGATCAGCCTGCCTCAGCCTCCCAAAATGTTGGGATTATAGGTGTGAACCATTGCACCTGGCTCTTTTTTTTATTCTTTCTTTCTTTTCCTCTTTCTCTCTCTCTTCTCCCCCTCTTCCTCTCCCTCTTCCTTCTCTCTGCTTCCTCCTCCTTCTCCCTCTCCCTTGGCTGAATGCAGGCTGTCTCCCAGTGATAGGCAAATACTACTGGTTGTCCCTCATTCACATTCTATCACTTCTGTGAACAGCTTCTGCTTCTTCTCTACTGCTCTGAACTGTACCCCACAGTTCAAGGGGAGATCCACAAAATAACTATGAAATAATCAATTGTATGATTTTAGTTGTTTAACACCATGAAGGCAGAACCTTGTCTTTCTTATTCATTGCTATATCCCAGCTCCCAGCATAGGTGAGTGTGGCCATTCTGGCCACTTTCAAAATACTTATTGAGTTAATGAATTGCCTAGTTGGAACTAGAGGTTGCCAGCTTTCAGTGCTTGTATCTCTCTACAAGACTTTCCTACACATTTTGAAAAAAGTGGGTAAATGGCAGCAGTAAGCTATGTGTTCTGGAAGGAGACTTTAGGCTGGCTCACAGTGCTGAGATATAGAAGCAGAATAGAGAAATTCAGTGGGGAAAACACTTTTTACCCCAAATCCACCCAAGCCGGCTTCTCCACCCAGACTTACCCAAGTTCATCCTCATTTTACTTTCATCTGAGGGCCATTCACAGGAGACTAAAGAAATTGACTAATTGGGCCGGGCGCGGTAGCTCACACCTGTAATCCCAGCACTTTGGGAGGCCGAGGCGGGCGGATCACGAGGTCAGGATATCGAGACCATCCTGGCCAATACGGTGAAACCCCGTCTCTACTAAAAAAATACAAAAAATTAGCCGGGCATGGTGGCAGGCGCCTGTAGTCCCAGCTACTAGGGAGGCTGAGGCAGGAGAATGGCGTGAACCCGGGAGGCAGAGCTTGCAGTGAGCTGAGATCGCGCCATTGCACTCCAGTCTGGGCGAAAGAGCAAGACTCAGTCTCAAAGAAAAAAAAAAAAAAAAGAAAGAAAGAAATTGACTAATTGACTCAATTAATATAATGTTGAGGTCACTTTAACTCGTTAGGCCACTTTAAAACTTCATTTGTTATCTGCAGCTAAAAGAGTACATTTGTGCATGTTGTTCTTTGTAGAGCACTAATGGAATTAGGCATTACACTGAATCACAGTAAAAGAGCTTTATAATAATAGACTTCAATTCCACTTTATACTCTCTGGTGCACTTTTGCTGCTCTTAAAAGCAGGATATCATATATTATTTTGCACATCTTCCGAGTGTTACGGGTTTCTTATTTTTCTTATGTGGGATTAAAAACAATTTTTTTTAAGTCAGGTTGCATTTAAAAAGCTGAACTGGGTGGGTCCAAATTGCTAGTGTTTAAAAAATGTGAAAAACATCCTTAATATAGCTATTTGTGACTAACCCAGTGGGTGTGATACACAGGGAGAAACAATAAGTTCTCTTATTGTGCATTTGAAAAGTTAGAGTTTAGAACTCTGCTATTTCAGAAATTATTCAGGGAATTACCCAGACTTTTCTTTAAGAAGAGGCTGTTGATGATGAAAAATTAGACATTTCAAAACTTTTACATGAAAAAAGTTTAATAAGTCAGAAGAATGCAATCTATGTCCCTCTCCCAATTTTCTCTCTTTTAAAAATTATATCTGTTGCTGATGATCTCATTCTACTCTCCTGCAATTGCTGTGGCAAATACAATTGTCAACTGAAGAATGATGAGGTTCTTAAATTTGGAAAGGAGAGCTTTATTTCTCATAAAGAGTTCCAGCCTGCAGGATGGCCATTATGACAGGCGAGGAAATATAGCCTCTGGCCAGAAGCCAGAAACAGACACTTTGAGGAAGGGGCAAAGGGAATAGGAATTTATGCTGGGCAGGATGGTAAATATATAATACATATTTAATAAGCCAGAGGAGGACTCATGCATACTTATGAAAGGAGAAACATGTGCGTGAGCATTTGAGCTTCATGCCCCTTCATGAGTCCCAGGTACAAAAAATGGCGGTGTTAGCATGATCCCAGAATGCAGTTTTCAGCCCTCTGATGTCAAAAGATGAAGCAGAGGCCAGATGGGGTGGCTCATGCCTGTAATTTCAGCACATTGGGAAGCCAAAGCAGGAGGATCCCTTGAGCCAAGATTTTGATACCAGCCTGGGCAACATAGTGAGACTCTGTCTCTATGAAAAATAAGAAAAAGTTAGTTGGGCATGGTGGCTTGAGCCTGTCATCCCAGCTACTCTGGAGGCCAAGGTGGGAGGATTGCTTGAGCCCAGGAGTTTGAGGCTGCAATGAGCTATGATCACGCCACTGCACCCTAGCCTGGGCAACAGAGTGAGGCTCTTTGTCTCAGAGGAAAAAAAAGGGTGAAGCAGAGGACACAAAAACCTTTACAGTACCTCCTCCACAGACTGACAAGAACCACTCCATGCTTGGTAGTCTCTTATTAGGCAAAAAAGGAGGGGCAGTGTCAGGCAGTTGGTTGATGTCAGTGGTGGAGTCTTTTGAAAGGGCTGGTTTCTGTTTAGGCCTTAGGGAAGAAAGCCTGATCCTGGTTAGTGAGGGAGAGGATATAAGGAGGCATGTCTGACCTCTCACCTCACCATGAGTGACAACTTAGTTTTCAAGGTTACTCTGGGGTCCCCCTTGGTTAAGAGGAGGTCTGTTTAGTCAGTGGGGACTTAGAATTTTATTTTTAGTTTACACACACAATGTACATCCAACAGAATCAATTCCATGAGCAACTTTTGCCTTTATAGCAAAACTGATCTCACAGTCAATCCATATATACACTTTATGAGAATCACTAAAGTATAACAATAGGTTCATCTATTGATCATTTTATATGCCAGGCACTTTCTAAGCATTTTTTCAACTTTACGTTTATCTCTTACAATGAATTGTTTGGTGGGTACTATTATTGTCAACTCCATCTCATAGGCGAGAAAACAGGGACTTGGAGAAACTGAATAGCCAGTCTAAAGTCACATAGCTACCAAGGGTTGCAGCTAGGATTAAAAATTGAACTGGCAGACTCCTAATCACAGTTCTTGTGTTGCCTCATAGGACCTATGCTGTGTATTTCACAAACACACACAATTCTGTGTTTATATATACATTAAATTGTGGAATTGAGGCAAATATTCAACACTCTTTTAAATAATCCATCTTATCCATGCAACTTAAAAAAGTTACCTTATTCAGTAACTGCCAACCTTACCATGCTATGGCAGTGAACAAAATGGCTGAAAATACAACCTAAACCCAAAGATAAACTTAGAACTTGAATTGCACAAGTGTATTGTCTAGCCTACCCAGATAGAAATGACTCAATGACTCAAAAACTACTTAAGTGTTGCCTCTTTGGGCTTCTGAATGCTTTTTTTTTTTTTTTTTTTTAAACAGAGCCTCACTCTTTCATCAGGCTGGAGTGCAGTGGCGCCATCTCGCCTCACTGCGAGCCTCGACCTCCTGGGCTCAGGCAATCCTCTCGCTGCAATCCTCTCACGCAGCCTCCTGAGTAGCTAGGACTACAGGCATGCGCCACCACACCCAGCTAATTTTTGTATTTTTCGTAGGGATGGGGTTTTGCCATATTGCCTAGGCTGGTCTCAACTCCTGGGTGCAAGCTATCCGCCTGCCTCGGCCTCCCAAAGTGCTAGTATGTCAGGTGTGAGCCACTGCTCCCGGCTGACTTCTGAATCTTGATTAGTAAGGTCCACCCTAGCTGAACAAAGAAGAAGAGAGGGAAAAGAAGTAAAAGAAGTATGAGAATGCCTGAACCCACAGTGTATTAACTACATTTTTAAATGTTCTGTATTTTTAATGCTCTGGCATCTGGGGTCTTACTGATTGGGCAGAGATTGTCCCTCCCAAGGTCAGCTAATTCCTAGAGACAGGAGACAACTCAGAATAGCCCTTACACCTCAGAGCCTGCTGAAATTACTCAAACCAGCCAATCTTAAGCATGCTTACCCTTTCTTGCCCCCTTTTTTCCTGCAAAAGCCACAATAAAGGCTGTTTGTAAAAATCTTACTGTTTTTTCATTCTTATTTTAAAAAAATTTTATGGGTGCATAGAAGCTGTATATGTCTGTGGGTACATGAGATGTTTCGATACAGGCATACAATGTGAAATAATCACATCATGGAGAAGAGGGTATCCATGCCCTCAAGCATTTGTCCTTTGTGTTACAAACAATCCAATTACACTCTTAGTTTTATTATATTTTATTTTTTATTTTACTTTATTTTTGAGAAAGGGTGTTGCTCTGTCACCCAGGCTGTAATGCAGTGGTGTGATCACGGCTTACTGCAGCCTTGGCCTCCTGGGCTCAAGTTATCCTCCCACCTCGGCCTCCCGAGTAGCTGGGACTACAGGCGCACACCACCATACCTGGCTAATTTTTGTATTTTTCATAGAGATAGGATTTTACCATGTTGCACAGGCTGGTCTCGAATCCCTGGCCTCAAGTGATCCAACTACTTCGGCCTCCCAAAGTGCTGGAATTACACGCATGACCAGCTGCGCCCAGCCACACTGTTTATTTTAAAATGTTTAATGAAGTTGTTATTGAAAATAGTCACTCTGTGGTGTGATCGAATAGTATGTCTTATTCATTCTATTTTTTTTTTTTGGTACCCACAATAAAGGTTGTCACTCATGCTTTCCCTTCAATCTTTCTGCCACTGACTGATCCCACTCCTTCCCCATTTGGCCCTGCATGGTGTGGTGTGACTCCTGTGTCTAGGAATCTGCAACATAAGAATTGCTTCCTTCATGACAGTCATTTTTGTGTCCTGTCCTACTGTTCCTGATTAAAATAAATCCACAGTACATTTTAAAACACATACCCTGAATAAGGATTAATATGTGTACAACACACAAAATGAATTATGAATACTCAATGGATTTCAGGGTAGTTCACTTATTCAGCAGGTATTTGTTGAGTGCATGTAATGTACTGGAGACACTCTGCTGGACGAAGTTTTCATTTCAGTTCTGTAAGGACCCACTGCCGACCCTTGACTGGTGTGGCTAATGAGACAGTTCTGGCCCTGGCTGGCTTACATTCCACAGTCAGAGGTTGTCACTGCCCAATGCAGCCTGTTCACACTGGGACATCCACTTTTTGCTTCAGAGCCCTTAATATTGAGTTTGGCCTTTGCCACATACTAATCTACAACCTGGGATTCTGCCTCAATGTTATTTTCTTCTCAAATGATATAATAAACAACAAAAGAATCATTCTTCTCTGCCAGGCAGTCTGATAAATGGTTCAGAGGCATCAAAATCTATTTTGATGAAAATGAAACATAGGCTGGGCTGGTTCGCAATCACCCTTTATCCAGTAGCAGAGTAATGAGGCGATGCAAGGCACCTGGGATTATGTTCTCTGCCTCTTACACAATATCTTTGAACTAAACAGACTTATTAAAACATGGAGCATTACCATTTATCCCACTTGAACAATTAACATATGGGTGAGATTCATAGCATATATTGAATTTGTTCTTTAGCTAGCTGCAATTGTATTTGAAAGTAAAATGAAAAACAAGCAAAATAATTAAGGCTTCCAAATTCCAACTTCCTACTGAGGACCAAGAACGCTACTTGTTCAGGATCTCTCAAATTGGACATGACTTCTGTGTTTTAAAGCTGATGGCTAATCCAGATATCTATTATCCTTCAACTTCATAGCCAGATTTGGAATTGGAAAATGAACTGAAACAAACAAAGAAGATGCAGTGCAATAAAGCTTCTATTGATACAATGAAAATAATGTCTCGTGCAAGTTGTATCAGTGATTCAGGATTATTTTCAATGGCAGGTTTATCATTAATGATTACAAGAGAAAAAAGAAAGTCAATTTACTGGCTGACATAGATATAGCCTGAATCTGCTTCCAAACACAGTAACTGTGGAGCAAATTATCAGAATTCTATAGTCAGAACAAGGCAGACAGAATTTAACAAAAAATTTGCCTCAACTTAACCAGTAGGTGTCACTGCGTAAATACATTGGTAGCAGCTTTTCCTACAGAGATCTATGTAAAAGCCCAATAGAAAATAAACAATTTTGAATAACTTACAACTAGTTCAAACCCACAGAGAATGTTTATAAAGCCACACTGTTAATTTTTAATTCAAAGGATTGACTTAAGTTCTTTTTGTTAAAATAATTATTAGAAAATCATTATAAGTTTAGTGGCAGTATACAAATTTAATGATTCAAATTTAATTTAAACTAATGTAAATTTAATTCAAACTAAGTTAACGATTCAAATTTAACTTCAATATATTCGCTATGTTTTAAGAACTTTTGAAAATATATAAAGAATCTAATATAACAAATCTGCTTTTCAAGGAAAAAATCCTGGGCTTTTAAGGAGGAAGAGAAAGACTGAGCTCAGTCTAACTGGCTATTAACAGAATTAAACAATTTTTCCCCCAAAATATTTTCTACCAATTCAACATGCCCCCCATCCCAAGCCTATAAAGACAGACCAAGATTCTCTACATCGGTAGACACAGATACTTCCAAATGTAACACTTGTCAGGTTCCTTCTGTTGCAAATCCTTCAGGGCATCCTGGGCATCATACTTCACAGGGCCCCCAGATGGCTCCCACGTGGCTTACCCCACCTGTATCTGTCTCCCTCTCCCTCTTGCCCCTCCCTCATCCCTGCTTCTCTTCTTTCACCTCTCAACTAAAGCTGGCTCTCTGAGGAAGAGTCAGGCCTTCCCAAACCACTCCTTTAGCACCTTGGGCATAATTCATATTTTTTCATTACAAATGTGGCTTATTAAAATCTCTGTCTCTTGCTATCTGAGCTCACTGAGACAGAGGCCGGGTTATTTATCTGCACATCCCAAGTATCTAATAGTGAGTGGCTCAGAGCCTGTTCTCAGTTGCTGGCAGGATGTTTATTTCCAAAATATGTAGACACTCTTTTTCTCTTTCCTTTTTGAACAATTCAATTCTAAAGCCATTACATGAGCTTAAGCAATGTATAGATCTGCACTGGGGAGGCAGGAATTCAGGGAGTTACAAACATGGACAGGGAGACAAAATAGAACAAAGTCTATAGTGTTGGATCAGAATTGGAGGTATATATAAACTCCTTGATATACATAAAGATATATGAATAAATATAGATATATATTTATATAGATATACAAATAGATAAATATGCACACACACACACTCCTTAATTCTGTCTACCCAGAGGGCCTGGAAGTAGCAACACCTCAAAAGCAATGAGCACACCTAGCACTGAGACCTTGGTTTCTAGATACCATTCTCCACTAAAAGGAACCAAGGATCTTTAGAAAATGGCTGATTCTAGTACTGGGTCAGGAAAGCACAAGGTAAATCTGGACCATCTTGGAGTAGGAAGTAAGGAAGTGCTAAAGAATAATGCAGACAGGTCAAAAGTCAGCTTGAATGGGCTGTCACTGGCCCAATCTGAGACACTCTGAGCATCAAAATGAATGAATGGATTGTAACCATTAATTAAAATAGGGCACCATGGATACATACGTACATAACTTATAATTCCATAAATAATTGAATAAAATGAAAATTTGATAAGGCACCGGATATTACACAGCTTCAAAGCACTTCCCTCTAAAACAGGTACTAATCACAAAGGGAAAACAGTAACTTTACAGAGGAGAAGCCTGGCAGAGAAGCAGGCCACACGGAAATCATGCGACCTGAGAGGCTGCCGTGAGAACACTGCATGGCTTCTGTGGAAGTCCTGCTAAATAAACAGAGCCTGGATCTCATCAGGAGGAAACACCAGAAAACCTAGACTGACAAAGGGACATTCTACAAACCGGCTGGCTTGTCAGCAGAAGTGTCAAGATCATGAAAGTCAGCAGAGGCTGAGGAGCTGATCCACACGGAAGAAGCCGAAGGAGACAGGACAAGTAAATGCAACGCATCATTCTGAAGAGGAGCCTTTTGCTATAAAGAACATTCTTGCGACAACTGGTGACCGATTGCGCACCGAGGATTAGATGGTATTAAATCATCAATGTTAATTTCCTGATTTTAATAGTAGTACTTGGGCATCCACTAGGTATTTTACTTTTAAATGATTCAAGAGAGGAAAAAAAGTTATTTGCAGTGTACTTGCAACTTTTAAAAATTCTTAGATGGCTCTCATTAAACAAACAATTTTAAAGGGAGAAGAAGAAAAAAAAAACTTGACCACGCTGTATTTAAAAATTCTAAGCCGAACCCAAGTTGGAGTGCATTTTACATCTAGGATGATACAGTCTCCGCCTTCTAGGAGTTAATAGAAGAGTTGTGTGCACAAAATTAACATTGGCGGGGGAAAAAAAAGGGAGAGAGAGAGAAAGGGAAAAAAAAGAGAGATGCATTTTTCACTTTTTTGCAGAGGCAGTTTTAAAAATACCCTCCAGGTCACAGCCCTCCCCCTCCCGGCCGCCTCCCGCCCCGCAGCTGGGGAAGTGAGCAGAGCTCTGAGGGCCGCCGCCTGCGCGGTCTCTTGGTGGGAAGCAGGACTTTGCGTGTGAGCGTTGCGCTTCTCCCAGCCAGAAGTCGGAATTCTAATGTCCAAGGCGTGGTGTGTTCAGTGAGATTCGTATTTTTAAAAAATAAAATGATTTAAGAGAAAAACCTAAAGCTACCAGGAGTGGGGTTCGAACCCACGCGGACATATGTCCATTGGATCTTAAGTCCAACGCCTTAACCACTCGGCCATCCTGGTGCAGACGTTGAACCTTGTTTTTGCTCCGCTTACAAGGCATCCTCTACCTCCTCCTGCCCGCACCCTCCCTCCAGAACGCAGAGAGTTTTCGCCGCCACTGTCTCGGCTCTCTCAGCCCGGGCTGGGGCGGCCGCCACGCCGGTACCTCGGTTTCTCGCCGCCGCGGCTCACTGTTGCCCCCGGCCCGCTGCGGCAGTGAAGACAACTGCAGCGGAGCGGCGCGCTCTCGGTTGGGGTGGAGGCCGCGGCAGCGGCGCTCGCGGGCCTTTGGCTGGGGCGAGACTCCAGGCCCTCCAGTTGCGCTTTCAGTTTCGAGGTGCGCGGGCGCCGCAAACACACACCAGCAAACTTCTGGGTTCCTGGGAGCGCGTTCTGGAGGCGCCTGGTTGGTGGTGCAGGGACGCGGCCCACAGGGCGGCGTTTAGTTTGTGTTGTTCTAAGCAGAGTAGGTTTCAAGGAATGAGGTGCACGGGCAGCAGCAGAGTTCCTGGACCCCTGCCCCTAGGGGCCGCTTTTCTTCTTCGCACGTGCCACAAGTCACACGGGAGGGAGGCTTTGTAGAAATGCGCGTGTCGGCTGTGCCACGCCACATGCAGGGGAGCGTGGCAAAGTCGCCCTTCCTGGTGGCTGAAGGCACCATCGCCACTGCACAGTCTTGGATGCAGCGCAGTGGCCTCCTCTTTGCCCCCGCTACCCTACGATGCAATGAGATATTTCTGTTCCCCTTCCTTGTTTTGCAATGCTGTCCTTCCTTTCTGTGCACATGAGATTCAGTTTGTCCTGTTATCCCTTTTCCCAGGACTTCCACTCCATTCCCCACTACCCAGGACCTCATATCTACCACAGAACCCAGAGCCCAGGCTCTGTGTTGTGGAGTGGTAGGGGCCTGTGGCTGAGCTGGGATCTGGCAGCCACACGACTGTCCGGCCACGCCCTTGTTCATATGGTGCAGGCAGAGACTTCTTCATCAAGAACTTCTATCAGCCTGGAGACTGCACACACTAACCTCACTGTGCAAGACCTCACCAATGGCTCTCCTACTGGGTCACATTGTAAGAACTGTCTTGCCTCTTCCTGGAACTCCTGTGATCCCTGGGAACACGGGCTGTCACGAGCCTGCTGCCCTGGTTCTTGGAGTTTCCGCCAACTCTTAGAGAACTGCCCCTGCGAGAGGGCCTCAGGATAGTAACCGGGAGAATCACCCCCTTTACACTTTGCCACACAGCATTGTAAGCTGTCAGAGGCCTGCTCCTGTGTCCTGACCTCAACAGCACCCCTCCTTCTAAGCGCCAGGCCCGGCCCTCCGAAGTACACGACAGGAGCTCAGGCAAGAGCAGTTCCTCGGGCCTTGCCCTGCGGTGCTGAGAGAAGAAAGGGAACTTAGACTCTGCCAGGGTCAAGAGGCAGCCACGTGGTGATGACATGGGGTCACCAGAGTGCCACCTGCCACCTGCCACCCGCCATCTCCATTGTATGGCGCCAAATTGTCAGAGGCCACAGTCTTGATAAAAATGGCTTTCAAGGCACTGAAATGATAATAATAACACGGATTGAGAACATGTCACTATGTGACAAGCATTGCTCTAAGCTCTTTACATATATCTTCTCATTTAATTTTCAGCTGAGCGTCGTGTTGCGTTCCTGTAGTCCCAGCTACTCGGGAGGCTGAGGCCAGGGGATTGCTTGAGCTTGGGAGTTCAAGGCTGTGTCTGTCATAATTGTGCCTGTAAATAGCCACCACTGCACTCCAGCCTGGGCAACATAGTGAGATTCCATTTCTAAAATAAATGAATAAAAATTTCTCAACAACCCTGTAAAGTAGGTGTGTGAGGGACACATTCACACCACAGTACTATTTGAATGATATTTTTGTTAACCCCAGACTCAGCTTCCAACAAGCCCCTAGTATAAGACAGTTTGGAGTAACACAGCTGCATCGTAGGGTATCCCTTAGAAATGCACCTTCTGAAGCCTCAAAATTGTATTAAAATTTTCTGGCTGCTGTTTAAGGATGGGCCTGGTACAAGTTAGTTTATCGTTGGTCATCTTTGGAAAAATACAACCTGCCACACAGCAAAACTATACCAGTATCTCCCATTACTAATGTTTTTCTTCCAATGTGATTTTGACACCCCTCCCATTAATAGATGGAATGTGGGGGGAGGGGGAGGTTTGTGTTCTCATTCATTGAATCTGGAAAGGGGCTTGTGTCTATGGAGGAGTGATACTATGTGACTTCTGAGGCTAGGTCATAAAAGTTGCTGTACCTGTACTTCACTTTGTTTTTTTGAGATACTTGATCTTGGAACTGAGCCACCATGCTGTGAGGAAGCCCAAGTAGCCACATGTAGTTGTTTCAGGTGACTGCCCTCAAACAACAGGCAGTATTAACTGCTATAAATATGACTGCGTGAGCCTTCAGATGATTCCAGCCCCTAGCCATCAAGTGACTCCTCCCCCACAGCCACTGATTCCTTCTAGTTAATTGCCCCATATTATTATGTATGCAGCGTAGACAGTTTGTCCCCATAGTATCCTTTTCCAATTCCTGATTCACAAAATCTGTGGAAATAATAAAATAGCTATTATTTGTTCCACTGTTTGTTTGTTCGTTTGTTTAAGTGAAGCAATTGATAATGAAAATTCTGAGAATGATAAACTGGGAGTGCGGTGATGAGGCACTAGGAGCACTGGAAGAGACAGGCAATCTGAGAATAAAGCCGGCACGGGGGGAAGCAGAACCCCAAGATGGAGAGAGTCCAAGGTCTGATTCCATCATTGGAGACATTTACTCCATCCTTCCTAGAAACTGGATTCAGGGCCATGCTGCCATCTTCCAAATCTACATCGTACATGGAAGTGTCTGTGTGGAAGAACAGAAGTTCCATCCCTGGATGCTTGCTGCAAGGGTGGATAGGAAAGAAAGTTCTGGCTTCTGCCTCAGGAAGCAGTCTTGAAAATGGAAGAAATTCCCCAAACATAGGAAAAGTTGCCAAACTTGCTGGCAACTACAAGGCATGACAAATACCCACTTGAGTGTTGGAACAAAATGTGAAAAGCACTGTGCCATGGCATTTGTTATAACTGACAATATTAGAGAGTAAATGTCAATATTAGGACAGATTTTGTAACGTTGAAATGGCTTCACGTTCAAGAAACTGCATTTAACGTACTTCTTACAGGGAAATGTTCCACGCTATTTAAACTAGTTTTCAGTGTGTATATGTGCTTAGTTAAGCCATGATATTCTTCATACATTCTGCGATAGTTTTAAAAATATGTCCATAAATGCTTTCATACTTCTGTCTTCAACAGGGGAAGACTACCTTTCCTCCCCTTGAGTGCGGGCTGAATCTAGTGACTCCTTTCTAATGGACAGAATAAAATGAAAGTGGTCTGCAAACTTGGAGATCAAATCATCAACAGGCACTGCTGCTACCACTGTGGTTGTCCTGTCTTGGATCATTCACTCTGGAGGATGCCAGCTGTGATGTCCCACATGGAGGCTCTGAACGGAAGCCTCTAGTAACCACCACAAGGACCTGAGGTCTCACATGAGTGAGCTTGGAAATGAATCTTCCACCTCAGTCAAGCCTTCTGATGACTGTAACAAGAGGCAGCAACTTGACTGCAACCTCAGGAGAGACCCTGAGCCAGAACTACCCAGCTAAGCCCTGATTTCATGACCCTCAGAAACCAAGTGAGATAATGAATATTTGTTGCTTTAGGCTGCTAAATGTTGTGCTATTTTTTACACAGCTATGAGCACTAATACGTTAATATTAATATTCTATTAATACTATAATACACTAATTCTAATACTAATACTATAGCACTAATACTAGGCAAAGTTAGTTTCTCTAGCACTGATGATGTGCTCACAGCATGTATTTTGTTTCTTTACATCTATTTTATTTTATTTTATTATTTTCAGAGTTGTTTATATATATTTTATTTATTTATTTAGAGACAGAGTCTTTCTGTGTGGCCCAGGCTGGACTGCAGTGGCATGATCTCAGCTCACTGCAACCTCTGCCTCTGAGGTTCAAGCGATTCTCCTGCCTCAACCTCCTGAATAGCTGAGACTACAGGTGTGCACCACCATGCCCAGCTAATTTTTGTATTTTTAGTGGAGACTGGGTTTCACCATGTTGGCCGGGCTGACCTCAAGTGATCCAACTGCCTCAGCCTCCCAAAGTGCTGGGATTACAGGCGTGAGCCACCATGCATGGCCTGTTCATATATATTTTAAATTTTTCTTTCTTTTTTTGAAAAATTTTAGATTCAGAGGGTACATGTGTAGGTTTGTTACATGGATATATTACATGATACTCTGGTTAGGGCCTCTAATAAACCTGTTGCTCAAGTAGGGAACTTCGTACCTAATAGTCTTGCAACCCTTTTCCCCACTCTCTCACACCCCATTGTAATACCCCAGTGTTTATTGTTCCCATCTTTGCATCCGTGGGTTTCTACACATCTATTTTAAAAGAAAGAGTAATCCTGCTAACCTCCTTGCTAACATCCAACTTTCCTTCTTGCATTTGTTTTCAAATTCTTAAATAGATTGCCCTTACTTTCCAAGCCTACTCATTTGCTTTCTGTTTTTTTCCAGAATCCTCTGAAATGTAGCTTCTACACTTATCTTTCTCTCTCTTAATCTTTTCAGAATGAAAACATCTTTACAGAAACAGATTCAAGTTGTAAACGTTGTATGACATCCAAACAATGTAGAAATAAAGTAGAATGTGAAACCTCTCATTCACAACCGGTATAATCAAAATCATACTAAATTGGGGTCCCTTGTCTTTTGAAGATGCTAAACCATTTTCTGTCTCCTGCTTTTTCCCATGCCTGCTCTTCCCCGCCTAATTCTCTTCCAAGCCCCCCATAAATCCTATCTTCCCACCACACACACAGTTGTAAAGTTAAAGGAGTAAGAATAAGCTGCACTTACAAGTGTGAGTTTACAAAACTCAGGAAGCTCCAAATTACACTCTAGAAATATCCTTCTTGCTCTGCCTGGCCTTACTCATTATATAGTAGCCCCCATTAGCTGCAGTTTTACTTTCCTCAGTTTCAGTTACCCACAGTCAACTGCGCTTTGAAAATATTAAGTGGAAAATTTCAAAAGCAAACAATTCGTAAGTTTCCCATTGAGTATCGTTCTGAGTAGCGTGATGAAATCTCACGCATGGAACGTGAATCATCTCTTTTCCAGTATGTCCACTCTGTCTATTCTTCTCGCCTCTCAGTCACTTAGTAACCCTCCTGGTGGTCAGATCAAAGTATCATAGTGTATATCAGATTCAGTACTATCTGCAGTTTTAGGCATTTGCTGGGGGTCTTGGAATGTATCCTCAAGAATAAGGGGGCCCTACTGTAATAGAAATTACAGTTTGTGTTATCATTAGAAATATATTCTTTTTGGTGGCAGAATTTTCTCTTTATTTACTTGTAGAATTTAAATTTTTGTCTCAAACTTTTATGAAATAGAGTATACACATATCCTACATGGTAAGCAGGATATAAATTTGCCTTTTCGTCCATAACAGAGGGTTTTCATTATGATAACAATAATTTTTCTGAACTATAGATAAAATAAAAGGCAGCAGTGCATAGTAATGTAAATGTATTGTTTAAACTGTCAAGTCAGTAGAGCTAGTTCAAATCATAATTCTTTAGTAGCTGTATAGACAACTTACCAATTTCCTCAAGTCTCATCTGTAAAGTGGGAATAATCATTCCTACCTGAGAGAAATGTTGTGAGAATTAAGTGAAATATGCATGTAAAATATCTCTGCTGGTTGTCTGGCATTGAAACAGAACCCAGGTTTGCCACTTAAGCCAGACACAAGAAATGAGGGTTGATGGGAAGAAAAGCAGGTTTATTCAGAAAGCCGGCAAAACCGAGAAGATGGTGAACTGGCGTTCCAAAATACCATCTTAAGTCATTATAAATTTCAGGCTCTTTTTATGTTAAGGGCAAAGGGAGGAGGAGAGAGTTGAGACTAAGGGTTAACCAATGACTGAAGACACCTAGGTGGCAGCGAGGGTCTGAGGAGGTTAGGAAATTATTTGTCCTTGGTCATAATGCTTCTACAAATCTTTAACAAGGACCAACTAGACACAACCAGGTGGAACAGCTGCCACAGAGGAATGGAGGAACCAGGATAACTGGCACGCTCCTAATAGACCTTCAGAGGGAAGGCACCAAGAATGGATGCAGGGAAGACACAGAAGCTGGGCTGAAGGGGGAGGAAGCTGGGAACCCTGCATGAGGCTACCAAGCATCAGGGCTCGTTTCTGGCCCCCAGCAACTCTGGGGTAATGGGTGAGCTGAACTGGTAAGGAGCAACCTGCTTTTGTCACAGCCTCTGGAATCCCAGCAGGTTAGAGACCCCTCAACCACCATGGACGCCTGAATTGGCAAGGAGAGCTGCTTAGAGAACTGGTAGGGGCAGCCAGCTGATGCGCAGCCCAGAGTGTTTGGTGAGGGAGCATCTGTGGTGGAGCACAGCCAGGGATAGCCATCTCTGTAGGCCCCACTAGCTCCCACAGGAGACTTTAGTCCTAGGGGAACTGTCAGACTTGAACTCTGCAGGGTGGTCTTGCCCATTAGACTGGACTGGTCTGACCTGAATAATCCTTGGTCTTCTGGTCCCTTCTGGAACCCCAACCTGGCAATGTCTGCTTGCAGGGCAGCCTCGGGTGCCCTGGGGGCCCACTCTATAGCTTTTGCACTGGTGGACCATGCCTGACTAGTGGAGAGCTGCAGTGGGGTGGTCTCCATGGCCACACATCAGTCTACCCACTCCTTCCCTGCACTGTAGCTTCCTCTGGGCCCATGGCCACCCCCCACATTGCTTTGTCAGCATCTATGTGCACGAGCAGATTTTGCTTTCCTTGCCCCACCACCTTGTGTGTACACATGCACCCTGCTTCACCACTGCTGCTGGCAGGAGTGCATTTGACTCTACCAGCCTCCCTCCCCCGCCATACTGCCATTGCAGTCAGAGCCTTGGTGGGCATAGAGCCCACTAGCCCTATCCCTGCCAATGCCCTGCCCCTGCATCAACACTGCCACTAGAGTGAAAGTAGGCACAGAGAACAGCAGACCCTCCCCAGCCATCCCCACTTGCATGAACGTACACAGATGGCACACTCAGACCTGTGCTAATCAGCACCCCAACCCCATGCTAATACCACCACCAGCACAACTGCATGTACAGTTGCCAGTGGGGCCCTCCTCCTCCTCAAGCCATGCTGCCTCCACTGCAGCTGTGAATGTGCACAGGGAGGCAGGCACCCTGGCATCCGCTAGCACCCTGCTGCAGCCAAGAAGCATGCACCTCACCATGCTGCCACTGCTGCTGGCATGTGAGAACGAGGACCATCCTGCTGTCACCACACTGAAAACATTTTGGGTGACACCACCAACTGGAGTGTAGTGACCAGCCACCTGGGAGCATATCAGCCCCCCAGCACAGTGGATTCCTAACCTCGAGGAGACAGAGAACAAAGTTGAGGCTGATACAAGTCCCCTAGAGTTAGAGCATACAGTCCAGGAGTTGGAAGCTGAGCTTTGGCCCCCTAAAATCTTCCAGAAATGAAGCCAGTTGGCTGAACCCACCTTCCTCCACAATAAAATCATTAAGAGCATCAACTAAGATAAAAGGAAAAAAGCCCATCCAAAGAACAGCAGCTTCAAAAATTGAAGGAACATTAGCCTAGCAAGATGAGAAAGAACCAGTGACAACTCAAAAAGCCAGACTGCTTTCATTCCTCTAAACAACGTCACTACATTGCCAGGAAGGGCTCTGAACCAGGCTGAGATGGCTGAAATGACAGAAATCAATTTCAGAATACAGATAGGAACGAAGATCATTGAGATGAAAGAGTACATTGGAAACCAATCCAAGTATACTAAGAATCATGATGAAACAATGCAGGAACTGACAGACAAAATAGCCAGTATAGAAAACAATGTAGCCAACCTGATAGAGCTAAAAAACACACTACAATAATTTCATAATGCAATCACAAGTATTCAAAGCAGAATAGACCAAGCTGTGGAAAGAATCTCAGAGCTCAATGAATAGCTTTCTGAAATAAGACAGTCAGACAAGAAAAGATAAAAAAGAAGGAAAAGGAATGAACAAAACCTCTGAGAAATATGGGATTATGTAAAGAGATCAAATCTATGACTTATTGGTGTCCCGGAAAGAGAGGAGGAGAATGGAAGCAAGCTGGAAAACATATTTCAGGATGTCATTCATGAGAAATTCCCCAACTTATATAGAGAGGTCAATATTCAAATTCAGGAAATGAAGAGAACCCCAGTAAGATACTTCACAAGAAGATCACCTTCAAGACACATAATCATCAGAGTCTCTAAGGATGAAATGAAAGAAAATATGTTAAAGGCAGCTAGAGAGAGGTCAGGACACCTACAAAGGGAAGCCCATCAGACTAACAGTGAACTTCTTAGCAGAAACCCTGTAAGCCAGAAGAGGTTGGGGGCCAACATTCAAGATTCTTAAAGAAATTCCAACCAATAATTTCCTATGTGGCCAAACTAAGCTTCATAAGAAGAGGAGAAATAAGATCCTTTTCAAATAAGCAAGTGCCAAAGAATTTGTTACCACTAGACCTGCCTTACAAGGGCTCCTGAAGGAAGCACTAAACATGGAAAGGAAAGACCGTTACCAGCCACCACAAAAACACACTGAGGTACACAGACCAGTGACACTATAAAGCAACCACACAAGTCTGCATAATAACCAGCTAACATAATGATGACAGAATCAAATCCACATATTTCAACACTAACCTTGAATGTAAATGGGCTAAATGCTGATTGCACAGAGTGGCAAGCTGGATAATGAAGCAAGACCCAATGGTATGCTATCTTCAAGACACTCATCTCACATGCAATGACATACATAGGCTCAAAATAAAGGGATGGAGAAAAATCTACCAAGAAAATGGAAAACAGAGAGAAGTAGACATTTCAATCTGAATTTCAGACAAAACAGACTTTAAACCAACAAAAAAACAAAAGAAAAAAGAAGGACATTACATAATGGCAAAGGGTTTAATTTAACAAAAAGACCTAACTATCCTAAATATGCACCCAACACAGGAGCACCCAGATTCATAAAGCAAGTTCTTAGAGACTTTCAAAGAGACTTAGGCTCCCACACAATACTAATGGGAGACTTTAACACCCCACTGACAATATTAGACAGATATTGAGACAGAAAATTAACGAAGATATTCAGGACCTAAACTCAGCACTGGATCAAATGGACCTGACAGACATCTACAGAACTTTCCACCCCAAAACAACAGAATATACATTCTTCTCATTGCCACATGGCAATACTCTAAAATCAACCACATGACTGAACATAAAACACTACTCAGCAAATGCAGAATAACTGAAATCATAACAACCACAGCACCACAGTGCTATAAAAATGGAATTCAAGACTAAAAAGCATGCTTAAAACCATACATTTATATGGAAATTGAATAACTTGCTCCTGAATGACTTCTTGGTAAATAATGAAATTAAGGCAGAAATCAAGAAGCTTTTTGAAACTCATAAGAACACAGACACAACACACCAGAATCTCAGGAACACAGCTGATTCAGTGTTAAGAGGAAAATTTGCAGCACCAAACACTCACATCAGAAAGATCTCAATTTATCAACCTAACATTACAATGAAAAGAACTAGAGAACCAAGAGCAAACCAATCCCAAAACTTGTAGAAGACAAGAAATAACTAAAATCAGAACTGAACTGAAGGAGTCACACAAAAAACCATTAAAAGGATCAACGAATCCAGGAGTTGTTTTTATTTTTTTTGAAAAAAATAAAAAATAAAATGGTCAGCCTGCTAGGTAGAATAATAAAGAGAAAAGAGAGATGATCCAAATAAACACAAGTAGAAATGACAAAGGGGAGATTACCATTGACCCCACAGAAATACATATAACCATCACAGAATATTATGAACACCTCTCTGGACTCAAACTGGAAAATCTAGAAGAAATGGATAAACTCCTGGACATATACACCCTCCCAAGATTGAACCAGGAAGAAATTGAATCCCTCAACAGACCAATAATGAGCACTGAAATTGAATCAGTAATAAATAGCCTACCAATCCAAAAAAGCCAAGGACCAGATAGATTCATAGCCAAATTCTACCAGATGTACCAAGAAGAGCTGGTACCATTCCTATGCAAACAATTCTGAAAAATTGAGGAGGAAGGACTCCTCCCCAACTCACTCTATGAGGCCAGCACCATCCTAATACCAAAAGCTGGCAGAGACACAACAGAAAAAGAAAACTTCAAGCCAATATCCTTGATTACCATCAATGTAAAAATCCTCAACAAAATACTGGCAACTCAAATCCAGCAGCACATCAAAAAACTTCTCCACTACCAACAAGTAGGCTTTATCTCTGGGATGCAAAACTGATTCAACATACACAAATCAATAAATGTGATTCATTGCATAAATAAAACTAAGACAAAACCACATAATTATACCATACTTGCAGAAAAGGCTTTCAATAAAATTCAACACCCCTTTATGTTAAAAACTCTCAACAAACTAGGTATTGAAAGAACATACCACAAAATATTAAGAGTCACCTGTGACAAACCCACAGCCAACATCATACTGAATGGGCAAAAGCTGGAAGCATTCTCCTTGAAAACTAGCACAAGACAAGGATGTCCTCCTCTCTCACCACTCCTATTAAACATAGTGTTGGAGGTTATGGCCAGAGCAATCAGGAAAGAGAAAGAAATAGAGGACATCCAAATAAGAAGGGAGGAAGTCAAACTATACCTGTTTGCAGATAACATGATTCTATATCTAGAAAACCCCAGTCTCAGGCCAAAAGCTCTTTAAACTGATTATCAACTTCAGTGAAGTCTCAGAATACAAAATCAAAGTACAAAAATCACTAGCATTCCTATACACGAACAATCAAGCCGAGAGCCAAATCAGGAATGCAATCCCATTCACGATTGCCACAAAAAGAATAAAATGCCTAGGAATATAGCTAACCAGGAACTGAAAGATCTGTACAATGAGAACTATGGAACACTGCTCAAAGAAATCAGGGATGACGTGAACAAATGGAAAAATATTCCATGCTCATTGGTAAGAAGAATCAATATCATTAAAAATGGCCATACAGCCCCAAGCAATTTACAGGTTCAATACTATTCCTATCAAATTACCAATGATATATTCCATAGAACAAGAAAAAAACTATTTTAAAATTCATATGGAACCAAAAAAGAGCCCAAATAGCCAAGGCAACCGTAAGCATAAAGAACAAAGCTGAAGGTGTCACACTACCCAACTTCAAACTATCTATAGGGCTACAGTAACCAAAACAGTGTGATACTTGTACAAAAACAAACATAGACCAATGGAACAGAATAGAGAGCCCAGAAATAAGGCTGTACACCTACAACTACCAGATCTTTGACAAAGCTGACAAAAACAAGCAATGGGGAAAGGATTCTGTATTCAATAAATGGTGCTGGGATAACTGGCTAGCCATATATAGAAGACTGAAATTGGACCCCTCCCTTACACCACATACAAAAATCGACTCAAGATGGATTAAAGACTTAAAGGTAAAACCCAAATCTATAAAAACTCTGGAAGATAACCTAAGCAATACCATTCTGGACATAGAAACAGGCAAAGATTTCATGATGGAGATGCCAAAAGCAATTGCAACAAAAGCAAAAATTGACAAATGGGATCTAATTAAAGAGCTTCTGCACAGCAAAAGAAACCATCAACAGAGTAAATAGATAATCTACAGAATGGGAGAAAAATTTTGCAAACTATGCATCTGACAAAGGTCTAATATCCAGCATCTATAAGAAATTTAAACAAATTTACAAGAAGAAACAACCCCATTAAAAAGTGGGCAAAAGAACATGAACAGACACTTTTCAAAATAAGACATACCTGTGACTACAAACATATGACAAGAAGCTCAACATCACTGATCATTAGAGAAATGCAAATCAAAACTGCAATGAGATACCATCTCACACCAGTCAGAATGGCTACTGGTAAAAAGTCAAAAAATAACAGATGTTGGTGAGGTTGCAGAGAAAAAGGAATGCTTATACACTGTTGGTGAGAATGTAAATTAGTTCAACCATTGTGGTAAGCTGTATGCTGATCCCTCAAAGAGCTAAAAGCAGAACTACTATTCAATCCAGCAATTCCATTACTGGGCATATATACCCAAAGGATTATAAATAATTCGACCATAAAGACATATGCACGCCAACGTTCACTGCAGCATTATTCACTATAGCAAAGACATGGAATCAACCTAAACACCCATCAGTGGTAGACTGGATAAAGAAAATGTGGTTGTACCGTGAAATACACACCATGGAATACTAAGCAGCCATAAAAAAGAATGAGATTATGTGTTTTGTGGGAATGTGGCTGGAGGCCATTATCCTTAGTAAACTAAAGCAGGAACAGAAAACCAAATACTGCATGTTCTCATTTATAAGTGGGAGCTAAATTATGAGAAATCATGAACACAAAGAAGGCAACAATAGGTGCTGGGGTCTACTTGAGGGAGAAGGGAGGAGGGAGAGGATAAGGAAAAAATAACTAATGGGTAGTAGGTTTAATACCTGGGTGACAAAATAATCTGTACAACAAACCCCCATAACACGGGTTTACCTATATAACAAACCTATACATATAACCCTGAACTTAAAAGCAAAAAAATAATAATAAATATTAAACAAACCATAGTTATTTCCCCTTTAACCCCAGCCTTTACTGGCTGTTTTTGCATATTGGCTCAGTGCTCTAAAATTATCCTAGCCTATGTGTAAGAATGGGCAAAGCCCTCTTAAACAAAAGTGGAGTTACTTATGTCAGCTTTTTTGCTGTTTCACTGCTACAGCATGAGGTGGGCTCTTTTGGTAGCCATTGTTTCTTGCTTATCCAACAGCCATTCCTCACCTTTCTCCCTGATAAAGGAAATCTTATTTTATTCAGGCAGTGGGAAGAGACACCTTAATTTCAGGGAAGGTAGACTTATTCTCCAGCTCCAGGGAATGAATCATTATTAGTGTAAACCAGTAATTGTCATCTCAACCCTTTGGTCAATACAGTAATTGGTTGGGAGACAGTGGCAGAGTGGTGTGTGATCCAGTTCTGGCCAATGAGAGATAAGAAAAAGCTGGTTGGAAGTTCTGGAAAGGATTTTCTTTTTGGATTTAAAAAACAGAGTCTTGGGAAGTAAAAGCCTTGTGCTTGCTATTCCTTCCCATTTTCTTCCCTTTTTCTTCCTGCCTTGAATGGGATCATGTTAGAAGCAAAGCTCGGAGTTGCAAAGAAAATGAGCACTCAAACAAAAGATTTCTCAGCAAGGCAAATTTACTTCTGCAGAAGGGTGCTTCTCTCAGTTGCCATGAGAGCACACTGAACAAAGGAGGGAAAGGATTTTTATTCCTAACGCAGCTTGTCCCTACTACTATGTCCTGTCCCTGTTGGCTGGAGTTGGGCCACACAATCTAAACTGAACCCAATTGGCTGACTTGAAAGACAGCTTTGGCGGGAAGAGCTGTTACAGTGAGAGTGGTAAATTACAGAGTGAATAGCAGATGTGGGCTCTGTAGATAAGGACCAGTGGGAGAGTTGTTTACTGGAACCAGGAGCAGGGAGGCAAAAAGGATAAGGAAGTTGGACGTTGAAAGTAGAGAATAAGGAAACTAAACAAACTAAACTTTTGAAGAGGAACTTCTCTGGGATCTGACAATGTGAAGATAGAAGCCTTGGAACTGTGTTGGCTATGCTGTGACCACGGGGCCAGGATTGGGGGCAGGGAGGTCACATTTCTATGGATAATGTGCTAATACCCAAAGATGTCAGAACGGTAAATTAGAAAGAGATTTTGCCTTTAAAGACCTTATGGAGCCACAGCCAACCAGAAACCATCTACCTCCAGTCTTCTTATTGTACGAGAAAATTTACATGCTTTTAAATATAAGCCTGTGGCTCTCAAAGTGTGGTCCTCTGACCAACAGCATAAAGATTATCTGGGAACTTGTTGGAAATGCACATTCTCTGGCCCCACCCCAATGTCCTGAATCTGCATCTCAGAGTCCAGCGATACTGAAGCATGCTCAAGTTTTAGGGTCACTGTGATCACAGTACAGTTTCTGTCAAAGGCATTCCTAGCTGAATCTTCATACAAATATGTGTAGACCAGTGAAGGGATCTAAAGTATTCCCTAGAAGTTGCTTCCTTGACTGAGTGCCTGTTATTGCCTTGATTTCTTAATATTTATCTCTATTTTATAAGTAAGGCTATCTCCAGAGGGTGAACTTGCTGTCTTGTGTTGGGGGGTTATATATGAAATATATTTATAGATATATAGATTTTGTGTGTGCAAATATATATATATATATATAAATTGTGTGAACCTTAATGCTTCCTTTTCCTAAATTGTGTTCTTGTCCTTGATAGAACCTTCATTTTCACTTTACCAGAAATCTCTCGCTTGCTAGCATCATTCTAATACAATTTTATTTAAACATTAGTTAAATGCTTCCACTTTCAGGTGACTTTTAAATCCATTCTTTAAACAGATTATGAAGAAATATGGCCATCTCATAGATATTCAGAATATTATCACTAACTACCATTACTACTAGGACACATTTTTGCATCTAAGGGTGAGAATGGGAAGCCATCTGTGCTTACACTGAGGACTACCAAATACTTTCAGTGCACTTTTGGATCCCTGTGTGTGCTGTTCTTATGGATTCCAAAGAAAAGAGGTGGTGGCTGAGCAAGTGTGAAGTCAACGAATCCAGTTTGTGGTGAGGCTCTTTCAGACAGCTCTGGGTCCCCTCTGATGAATACCATAAAGAGATGCAAGGTTGCTGGGGACATGGGACGAGGGCAGAGGGGATAGGGACTTTGTATTCCTCTGTGCTTCCTATCTCCCAGCTATCCAGGACCCAACTCTAGAGAAAGCTAAATGAGAATTTTGCCAGACTCCTCGTTTGCTTTCACTAGGACTCTTCTCCTTCCTGCCCCCATTATCCTCTCATGTTTTATTTTCAAATTTTATAAAAGATAAATGTTGTTTTATGGAGCAATGTCTCAACATCACTTTACTGTGAGAAGCACTTTACATATATTATCTTATTTCATTTATTTTATCTAATTTCCCCCATTTCAATTTTACTTGTTTATTCTTTAAGTATTCTGCCTCTATTTTGTTTTTCCTACTTTGTCTTTATTTATATTTCCATTAAAAATAATACTTTCACATCCTTTTGAAATTATATTTATTCCTAGTTCAGCCTAGAATTTTTGTTTTTAATCCATATTTATATTTTTCATAAAAGACTAATGAATCTAGCTTTTTTTTTTCCCCGCTCGCTCCCCTCTCCACCTTAGCACCGCTCAGGCTGCACTGCGCTTGCTGCAAGCTTCAGGCTCCTGCTAAGCTAGTGCTGCATCGTCTCCCTTCAGCCGCCATCATGATTATCTACCGCGACCTCATCAGCCACGATGAGATGTTTTCCGACATCTACAAGATCTGGGAGATCATGGACGGGCTGTACCTGGAGGTGGAGGGGAAGATGGTCAGTAGGATAGAAGGTAACATTGATGACTCGCTCATTGGTGGTAATACCTCCGCTGAATGACCCTAGGGCGAAGGTACAGAAAGCACAGTAATCACTGGTGTTGATATTGTCATGAACCATCACCTGCAGGAAACAAGTTTCACAAAAGAAGCCTACAAGAAGTATATCAAAGATTACATGAAATCAATCAAAGCCAAACTTGAAGAACAGAGACCAGAAACAGTAAAACCTTTTATGACAGGGGCTGCAAAACAAATCAAGGACATCCTTGCTAATTTCAAAAACTACCAGTTCTTTAATTGTGAAAACATGAATCCAGATGGCATGGTTGCTCTATTGGACTACCGTGAAGATGGTGTGACCCCATATATGATTTTCTTTAAGGATGATTTAGAAATGGAAAAATGTTAACAAATTTGGCAATTACTTTGATCTATCACCTGTCATTGTAACTGGCTTCTGCTTGTCATCCACACAACACCAGGACTTAAGACAAATTGGGGCTGATGTCATCTTGAGCTCTTCATTTATTTTGACCGTGATTTATTTGGAGTGGAGGCATTGTTTTTAAGAAAAACATGTTATGTATGTTGTCGAAAAATAAAATGCATTTAAACTAAAAAAAAAAACTAATGAATCCAATTTGTATTTTTATTTTATTTTATATTTTATACCTTTTTATTTCCTTGATCATCAGTCTAATTGTTTTATCTTATAATCATTACATTCATATTTAATCTGTATTTTAATTTCAATATTTGTTTTTTTTTAAATTTTCTCTCTTTCTTGTATAATTTTACTTAAAATTTTTCTTTTTTCTTTTTTTTTTGAGACAGACTCTTGCTCTGTCATCCAGGCTGGAGTGCAGTGGTGTGATCTCAGCTCACTGTAACTTCCACCTCCTGGGTTCAAGCAATTCTCCTGCCTCAGCCTCTCAAGTAGCTGGGATTACAGGCTCTTGCCACCACACCTGGCTAATGTTTGTATTTTTAGTAGAGACAGGGTTTCACCATGTTGGCCAAGCTGATCTCGAACTCCTGACCTCAAGTGATCCACCTGCCTCGGCTTCCCAAAGTGCTGGGATTACAGGCGTGAGTCGCTGCACCTGGAAAATTTTTCTTTCTTCCTGAAGGATATTTATTTTACCTTGTGTTTTTTGCTAGCAAGAAATATGGGCTTGGGACCTGGCAGTGAAGAAAGCCCACATCCTCTGTCCCCACCTGCTCTATATCAAAGAGTGCGACAATCTAACGAAAGGAAGGGTCTTTCTGCAATTACTCAGGATGGGGTCTCAGACTAAACTGGTTAGAGATCCAAGGGCAGAGTGGACTTAGAAAATGTCAAACAATGGTATATCCAGATTACATATCATATATATGTTGGTTGACAATATAATTTTTATCACCTAAACACAAACACTCCTGAAGGTGAAATAGGTAGCTATTAAAAATCATTCTGGGACAACAGGTCTACAAGAAGCTGGTCCCAGGTACTTTACAAATGTGTAAGAAATATGTATGCAAGGTAGGACCAAAATTAATTAATATCAGTTCTGTGCAACAGACATTTATTAAAGGAGCAACCATTAACATTAAGGACTATGTAAATTTAAGTGTGAATCAAAACACAATTCTCTGATGTATAAACCACTTCCTTTTTGGGCCAATTAGAAAAATCCAGACAGGAAATTATAGTCGTCTTTACATCTCAGGTATCTGGTGTGCATTTTAGATGACATCAGCCGTGTAGTAGTCCACAGATATTAATTTTTTTTAGTATTGGCAATAATTCTTTAATTTCACTTGGCTATGAACAGAGATGATGCAAATGAAAGTGATTCTGATGTTTTTGCCTCTAGATAACTGGCAGAATGAAGAAGGCCTATAGGAGGCAAAACAGAATACTGAGTTTGAGGAACCTGTGGGCCATTCAAGAAGAGAGGTCAAGTAGACAGTAGGTTATGGATGATGCTCATGTAGTCTCTGATTATCCCATGCTATGTAATATGGTTTGGCTGTGTCCCCACCTAAATCTCATCTTGAATTGTAATCCCCATTATCCTCAGGTGTCATGGGAGGAACCTGGTGGGAAGTAATTGAATCATGGGGGCAGTTTCTCCCATGCTGTCCTCATGATAGTGAGTGAGTTCTCATGAGATCTGATGGTTTTATAAGTGTCTGGCTTTTCCTTGCTGGCGCTTCTCTCTCCTGCCACCATGTGAAGAAGGACATGTTTGCTTCCCCTTCTGCCATGATTGTAAGTTTCCTGAGGCCTCCCCAGCCACATGAAACTGTGAGTCAATTAAATCTCTTTCCTTTATAAATTACCCAGACCAGGGGCAGGTCTTTATAGCAGTGTGAGAGCAGACTAATACACTATGCTTGGGTAGGACCCAACTGGAGCCATTATGAGCTGACCCCTGCTACTCAAAACAATCTTTTACCAATGGTGAGAATGAGAGCAGTCGTGCACTTGAAGGAAGATGAGTCTAGCTTGGATGCCATCTGCCCAGGGACGTTGCCTACTCATGCTAACAGCACGTGGGAATCTTGGGTGATGTTGACACTCTGTCGGCTCCTTATCAGTCAAACTAAAGAGGGCTGCCAGAGTCATAAGCAGTCAACCATCTCTCCACAAAGGTTTGACAATTATCAGGATAAGGTAGCAAAGCCACAGGGTAGATGAGATCACTTAGAAAGATAGGAAAGAGTTAAGGGTAGAATCCCTTGCCATTTCACACTGCGGTGTGTGGGCTCACACATTTGACCCAATACCATGAATAATGGATGTGGTAACTGTGTTTTTATGCTACCAAACACTGGGTAGCAGTAAATTTTCCTGCTCTCCTTAAGCACATTTGATGACTTATTGCTGTGTAGTGTGCAGGTACAGCTAAGGAGGGGGAGAGCACTGTCAACCAAGTCCACACAGAGTATGTGGGCTATTGGCAAATCCCAGCCTCTTTCTCCTGTCAAGTAAATCAGAGAAGTTGCTAATATATATTTGAATGCATGGATGTTTCCTTTTGTTTGTTTTTTACAATAAAGTTTAAGAAGGAATTCAATTGCTTACTTGCTACATGGTATGTTTCTATTTCTCTGAATTTTCATTTGAGGTATAAAACACAGTATCTGCTTTGTTTTTAAGACTTTGTGACAATTTTGAAAATGGAAAAAAAATATATTCTTAAATTTTTCTTCCGAATAAAAAAGCAGAATAAGCAAATAAACAATAAACTAAATGGAATTAATAGCATTGTTCTCTCCCAGTTTTACCTATTAAAGAGTAATACAATAAGAAGATAAAGAAAAGAATTGCATTTGTATTTTATCAGACTGACAATGGGCAGGCCTTAAATTTTTTTTTTTTTAACAAAAGAAGTAAAAGAGGCCAAGCCTGGTGGCTCACAACTGCAATCCCAGCACTTTGGGAAATTGAGGCAGGCAGATCATGAGGTCAGGGGTTTGAGACCAGCCTGACCTACATGGTGAAACCCCGTCTCTACTAAAAATAGAAAAATTAGCTGGGCCTGGTGGCGTGCGCCTGTAATCCCAGTTACTCAGGAGGCTGAGGCAGGAGAATCGCTTGAACCCAGGAGGTGGAGGTTGCAGTGAGCCGAGATCATGCCATTGCACTCCAGCATGAGTGACAGAGCAAGACTCCGTCTCAAAAAAAAAAAAAAAGAGAAGTAAAGGAAAAATAAAATAACACACAGATTAATGCAAAGGTTTTGAGTTAGAAATCTGTAAATACCTTTAGTTGTTAGGAGAAATTTCCAAAATTTTCATCTCACTTACACTGAATTTAAGCCCAAACAATATTATGCCATAGACTATCATAATATATAATTTTACCAAATTATACTCACAGGGCATGCACAGAGGAAAATGAAAACAACTTACCAACTTCTAGTTGTAACTGTTGTCCCTTTTGACAAGATCAGCCAAGAGAGTTGTTTACTTACTCTTTCTGTTTGTTGGTATACAGATGTAAAGAAACTGAACTAGTTCACAGGAGAGTCTGTGTTTTGTATTTTCAGCTTCCACTTTCTAAGTTTTGGTCCACTCGGCCATGCCCTCTCTTCTTGGTCTGCCCTTCTGAGTGCACAAGTTTTTGCTTTCTGACTTACTTTTTTTATTTTTTATTTTTATTTTTATTTTTTTGAGATGGAGTTTCCCTCTTGTTGCCTAGGCTGGAGTGCAGTGGCACGATCTCGGCTCACTGCAACCTCCACCTCCCGGGTTCAAGCAATTCTCCCGCCTCAGCCTCCAGAGTAGCTGGGATTACAGGCATGTGCCACCACGCCCAGCTAATTTTTTTGTATTTTTAATAGAGATGGAGTTTCACTATGTTGGCCAGGCTAGCCTCGAACTCCTGACCTCAAAAGATCCACCCATCTCGGCCTCTCAAAGTGTTGGGATTACAGGTGTCAGCCACCACGCCCGGCCCTGACTTACTTTCTGTCTAGGAACAGGTCATCCTTCTTTCTTCCTTTCTTCTTTTTCATTTTATAACTCAAACTCATTCACATCACTGGATTATTTCTTCCAAAAATATTTATTTTAAGCCTTTTTGTCTCTTAGCAAGAAGGAAAGGATCTCTCCTTGCCACTCCCATACCCATAGTGCATTCTGCCAGGCCATTTTTTAATGTGGCACTGACACTCTTATCAGAGAAGAGAGATGCAAGTTTTTCTAATAAAGCTGTGGTTTCCTTTTGGAAATGAGAACTTCTTGCAAAGTCACTTCAAATATTGATAATGGCCAATGCAGGGAGCCAAAACAGGAGAAGCTACCCCTCCTGTGGAGTTGCAGCCTTAAAAAAATGGCCATGTCTTTCATCTTCCAGGCCGTTTACTTTCTCCTAGTAACTGCATGTCCTAACATCTTGCCACTAGGTAACGTTTCTTGTTTGACAGGTTTCTTCCATAAACCAGATGACAAGGCGTGGATGAAGATTATGAAAAGAAACCATGTTACCTCATCTATGCCCTTCTAAGGGTGCATGAGACCAGGGTAAACCACATAGCAGAGCCAAGGAATGAATTAGTTAAACATTCCTACCCACAAGAGAAATTCCTCTGTCATGTAGAATCTAAATAGTTTGTTTTTATCTGGGGGTAACATTCCTTTTATAGGCACTACCCCCCTGGAGATTCTTTGCTTGATTTGGTTCACAATCATGTGTTTTTTTGTTTGTTTTGTTTTTTGTTTATTTTTTTTTCTTAATTTTTTTTTTTTTTTGAGACAGTGTCTCACTCTGTTGCCCAGGCCAGGCTGGAGGACAGTGGCACGATCTTGGCTCACTGTAACAACCTCCACCTCCCAGGTTCAAGGGATTCTCCTGCCTCAGCCTCTCAAGTAGCTGGGATTACAGGCATGCGCCACCACACCGAGCTAATTTTTGTATTTTTAGTAGAGATGGGGTTTCACCATGTTGGCCAGGCTGGTCTCAAACACCTGCCCTCAGGTGATCCTCCTGCCTTGGCCTCCCAAAGTGTTGGGATTACAGGTGTGAGCCACCACACCTGGCCCAAATCCATGTTTTCAAAGAGTTGGCTGCTGGTGGCTGAGAGGCACTTCAGGCCCAAGCAGCAGTCGACCTGCAGGGTCAGCTTCAGCAGGGAGAGAACTTGCAGCTCCAAGCAAGGGCAGTTTAGGGTCCTCCATTCTCTCCTTGGTCTTCAACGCTTGTAGGAAAAGAAGACCCTTGCTGTTACTGTTCTGCACAATCCACAGGCTGTTAGACATTTTTGTATTGAGTAAGTATTATGGATTCATAAGCAGTCTGGATGTGTGTGGGGTGGGGGGTGGTGGGATTCCCTGACATATTCAGAGGCACAGACTGAGGCATCTCAGACCATTACCATACCATGGCGACTTCAGTGGCTGAGGGCGTTTTAGGACTGAAGCCGAAAGCTGCCACACAGCCCTGTGTGACTAGGAGCAGGGAGCTAAGTACTTTGCACAAATTACCCTACTGGATGCCATGTTAGATGGAAATATGTCCAGCTGAAACTCAAGCCAACACATTTTGTCCAAAATTAAAAAAAAAGAAAACTTTGTTTTACATGCTTTGAAGAATAAAAAGAAAAAGAAAATCACTTCCAGATAAAATGTAGTTTTACAACTTTCTTTGCATCCAAATTGAGTCTGTACCTTGACTAAGCTATTTCTTCCAGGCTCTGCCACACAGCACCCAATCCCAGCCTCTGTTTGCTCCCAGTTCTGCTGGCTTCAGTGCCCGTGACTCAGAACTTCATTCTCTCTCCACTCACCTTTTCAGACTGACCGTTCTCCTGCATGATCTGCTTCTTCCCAAGCAGTCTTTCTCCAGTCCCATGTCCCCTCCCCTCACCAAGTCCCACCCCCCTTCTCAGGACACTGCGCCCCCAACCGCATCCTGGCCTCACTCAGCACCCGACACAGATCCTCCGGGAGGAGAAACTAGATACCGTGCTTTATGCTGTAAAATATGCATCTTCAAAAAGCTATACAAAAAGTCACTCATAGCAGAAAACAAATTCTGAATATCTCTATTTCTGCATGTAGAACACAAATACCCAAATGCCTATAAAAGATACTATGCAAAGTGCTAAGATCCCAAAACAAGTAAGATGTTATTGGTTGTCCTTAAAAATAAAAAAGCAGTTTAGTAACAGAAGCACACATAACACCGTGAAGATGGGGGCGATGCAGTCCTTAAATATGCACTTCACGGAGCTCCTACGCAACAATGGAACTGAGTGGGTGGGTGCAGTGCTTTGAAGTAGCCAGGGTGGTGTCTCGTGTCTGTGGTCCCAGCGACTCAGGAGGCTGAGGTGAGAAGATCGCTTGAACCTGGGAATTTGAGGCTGCAGTGAGCTATAATTGTGCCACTGCACTCCGGCCTAGGCAAGACCCTCTCTCTAAAAGAGAGAGAGAGAAGAAATAAAAGAAAGAAAGAAGAAAGAAAGAGAAAGAAGAAAGAAAAGAAAGAAAGAAAAAGAAATAAAAGAAAGAAAGAAAAAGAGAGAGAAAGAAAGAAAGAAGGAAGGAAAGCAAGCAAGCAATGAAAGGTGTCAGGGATGAAGCTGAAAGTAAGCGGGGCCTGGCTCCTTCAGGGCCTTGAAGAACCTCACTAAGGAGATGAGATTTTATCCCAACAGCAATCAGCAGCCATTACAGAGTTTTAAGCAGTTGAACGGCACTATTCACAGCAGCCAAAAAGTGGGAGCAACCTGTGTCCATTGACAGGTGAATGACTAAACAAAATGTACTCTATAAATACGATGGCATATTACTGAGCTTTAAAATCTGACACGCACTACAACATGGATGAAGCTTGAGGACATAATGCTAAGTGAAATAAGCCAGACACGACAGGACAAATACTATATTATTCCAGTTCAATGCAGTATCTAGAGCAGTCAAGCTCATAGAGATAGAAAGCAGAATGGTGGTTGCCAGGGGCTGGAGGGATGAGCAGTTTTTGTTTATTGAGTATAGAGTTCAGTTTTGAAAGATGAAAAGAATCCTGGAGACTGGTTGCACAACAATATGAGTGTACTTAGCAGTATGGGAACTGATATAGTTTGGCTCTGTGTCCCCACCCAAATCTCATGTTGAATTATAATTCCCAATGTTGGGGAAGGGAGCTGCTGGGAGATGATTGGATCATGGGAGCAGATTTCCCCCTTGCTGTTCTTGTGACACTGAGTGAGTTCTCATGAGATCTGATGGTTTAAAAGTGTGTGGCACTTCTCCCTTTGCTCTGTCTCTCTCTCTCTCTCTCTCTCTCTCTCTTTCCTGTCACCATGTGAAGATGTACTTGCTTCCACTTCACCTTCTGCCATGATTGTAAGTTTCCTGAGGCCTCCCTGGCCATGCCTCCTGTACAGCCTATGGAACTGTGAGTCAATTAAACATTTTCTCTTTATAAACTACCCAGTCTCAGATAGTTCTTTATAGCAATGTGAGAACCAACCAATACATGAAATGTATATTTAAGAATGGTTAGGATGGTAAGTTTAAGTCATGTATATAATACTGCAATTAAAAACAACAGCGTAATGACAACAACAACAAAAAGGCACTGTGGCTGTACTATAGCATTGTACAGAGATTAGACTGGAGAGGATAAGACTAGAGGCCAGAGGCCAATTAAAAGCTGCTGAAGTAATGGAAGCAAGAGAGGATAATTGTCTGACCTGGGCAGGTGGCAGTTGATTGATCCTGCCATTTGCAAGTTAAGATAGACAGAAGGAGCAGGGGATGGGGACGATGGTAGATTCTGTGTGTGTGTGTGTGTGTGTGTGTGTGTGTGTGTGTATACTCTGTTATTTTTACCCTCTATCAAACATTATGGGATGCTGAGATACAGAAGAGTGGATATGTCTAAAGAGTTGGCTATAGGACCATGAAAATATAGAAATATAGACTAAGAAAAATAGAAGAGGTCCAAGAAGTGTCTATAGATGCTTCAAATAGAATATAAAATGTAACTTAAAAAGAAACATCAGGAATTAAAAAATATAGTGTTGGGGACTTGTCTCTCAATCCTCATTTTGCAGGGCATCACTGGTTTTATTGTTGTTGTTTGCTTGTTTTTTGAGACAGGGTCTCACTCTGTTGCCAAGGCTAGAGTGCAGTGGTGCGATCTCAGTTCACTGCAACCTCTGCCTCCTTGGTTCAAGTGATCCTCGTGCTTCAGCCTCCAGGGTAGCTGGGATTACAGGCATGCACTGCCATGCCCAGCTAATTTTTGTATTTTCAGTAGAGAAGGGGTTTCACCATGTTGGCCAGGCTGGTCTCGAACTCTTGGCCTCAAGTGATCTGCCTGCCTTGGCCTCCGAAAGTGCTGGGAGTATAGGTGGGAACCACCATGCCCGGCCAGATATCACTCGTTTTAAAGCATCCTTTGTAGTCTCACTCAGAACATCAGTTCCGAAAATCTTTATTATCAATAGACACATGACTTTACAAAAGCTTCTAGTATATAAGGACATCTTGCCCATTCTTAATAACGTGTTGATAACAAAGACACTCATCATTTATATGATGAAGTTACATTCTAGATCCTATTCGTTTTCCATTTCTAATAGCCCCATTTTATTAATTGCAATGATTTTCAACTCCGCTATCAAAAGGAAGTCAACTGTTGCTCTGATTACAATTGGGTGTTTCAAACTATCGTCTTGATTACAAATGAATGAGTTGCATGCTGCAGTTGGAGATACTTCGCATACTTCAAAGAAAGGAGTAGAAATATGTCTGATGGTAAAATATAGAATGATAGAATTTATACATAAAAATCAAGACTATAGTTACCCTATTTTTTTTTTTAAGCTGTACACAATCTTCAGTAGTTTCCTGTCAAGTTAGGAACTTTATATGTTAGAGCCTGAACATATCTGCATATGACATTTAACTATAAAGCATTAGGACTGTTTTTAAATAAATGTAAAGGCATTGATATAAAAAGAGTACTGTTCTCTTTTTAAGTTGTTACCTTAAAAGGCCATAAAATTACTTCTGTGATGTCACAGTTCAAATATTTTTGAATGACTGACATTTTTAAAATTCTAACTCATATTATCCTGGATACCGATGCATACTAGATGAGCACCTTTCCTAGTTAGGACATTTCTGGAGTTGTTACCACCTATAATCTGTGGCTTGGTGGTAGTTGTAAAATTTGATATTTGGCTAGTAGAAAGTAGTCACTGTATATGTTAAAATAGCTATAAAAGATTCTTACCTTCAGCTCCTGAAGGATCTATTGTTCTTTGTGATTTGTTCTTTCATTTTGTACCCTAAAAGATATGAGTGTATAAAATTTGCAGAATTGCCACAAGGTCTTCTTGGCCAAAGTCACCTTTCAGAGTTGCCAAGCAAGCATCATGAGATTGGTAAAGCCAGCTCTACAGCATCTCTTGGTGGCACTAGAACACAATTTCTTAAGGAAAAAGCCAGCATTTCACCCACTGCCTGGTGTGGCAGTCAGAGCCAGGAAGGGCTTTGGTGAATAGGCCAGGACGTGCAGTGGGCCAAATGATGCCTTCTCTTAGGTCAGTGACCCAGCCTCTACAACTTCCTACAACTCCTTCCAGGACTTTCTGACTCACAGCTTGGGAAGAATTAGGAAAGAACACCTGCCAAGCTGAGCAGAACAGCTGCTTCCTGCTTACGTGTTTTTGGTGGAACATCTCATTTCTTCTTCAGGACATGTTTGGATATACACAGGGATAGAAATGCCATAGTGAAAACATCTTTATGACTGTCAAAAAAAAAAAAGCCCTAATATTCACAGAAGATGGGGTCTTGGTTTCTTTATTCCATTTTATTATTTATTAAGACTGTTAACAAAAAATAGGCTTTATTTTTCCTCTGTACTTAAAAACTATAAATTTACTTGGGTCACTAACAGTGCTCTCAGTCTGAGAGAAAATTACATAATAACAACAATAATGAACAAAGCACTTAGCATGTGCCAGGCACTGTTCTAGGTGCTTTTACATATTCAGTCATCACTTTTCACAACAGCTCTATGAGGTAAGTACTGTTATCTCCGTTTTACAGATGAGGAAACTGAAGCACAGAAAAACCAAGGTTCAGTCAGACAGCTAGTATGTGGCAGAGTCAAGATTTAAATCTAAGAAACAGGATCTGGAATCTGTACTCCTAACCATTACGCCACACTGAGATGGTTCCCAAACAGCAGGAAGAAGAAGTGTTCTTTCCCTATAGGTAACAGTTCACTCATTCTTTTGGTGCAGTAATGGACAGTCTGTACCGAACTCTCCAATATAAAACGTGAGGAATTAAAATGTATATAGAGCCTGAAAACTCACTTACTTTTATAATGGTTCCAAGCAAAGAAAATGCTTTATGGGTTCAAACATGTCAAATTTATGAACTCTTCGTTTTTTTGTGGAAACTGGCTGGCAGTCTCTATTTACAATATCTCTCCTCTATTATAAAAAACATTGCAGTGGAGCTATGTGAACATTTTTTCCCCTTTCCCTTAGAGAAAGCAAATTAAGTCAAAGGTGATACATATCCTTGGAGTTGGCTGAAAAAGAAATTGGGAGAAATATGAGAATAGCCTTGTGGAACTTGGTTTCCACAATTCTCAAATTTAACCATGAAATTAAAATTAGATACAGGGGATAGATTTTCCTGGTCATAAGCAAGTCAGGCAGTGAGCTCCAAAGAATTCACATACTCCTCCTTCTAATTCTTTTAAAATTCCAGCTTCTAAAGGACCTGAGAAATATGATCACTACTAAACTCACTCATGTATTAAATAATGATTAGGAAGAGCTAAGAGTTGACACAGAGGAAGGCCAGGAAACATGGTAAATGTGGGTAAGGGCATTAAGAAGTTTGCAGACTACACCATATCTCTAAAGCCTCATGATTTTGCTAAAGTATTGTAACTCAGGAGAGAAAGCAAGACACCCTCATGGGAATTCTTTTGAGTTTTTCATTCTTTTCCCCCTCCACTCAGTTCCATCCAGATGTGGCAGCCTCAGTAGCTAGTAGAAAAAAAATTTGGCCAGGGTCAGTGGCTCAGGCCTGTAATCTCAGCACTTTGGGAGGCCAAGGTGGGCGGATTGCTCAAGCTCACAAGTTTGAGACCAGCCTGGGCCACATGGCAAACCCTGTCTCTACAGAAAATACAAAAATTAGCCGGGCATGGTGGCACATATCTGTAGTCTCAGCTATTTGTAGGCTGAGGTGGGAGGATCACTTGAGCCTGGGAGTTTAAGGCTGCAGTAAGCCATGATTATGCCACTGCACTTCAGCCTGGGTGACAAAGGGAGACCCTGTCTCAAAAGGGGGGAAAAAAGGCCAGGCATGGTGGCTCACACCTGTAATCCCAGCACTATGGGAGGCTGAGGCGGGCGGATCACGAGGTCAGGAGATCAAGACCATCCTGGCTAACACGGTGAAACACCGTCTTTACTAAAAACATAAAAAATTAGCCAGACATTGTGGCACGCGCCCAGAGTCCCAACTTCTCAGGAGGCTGAGTCAGGAGAATCGCTCGAACCTGGGAGACAGAGGTTGCAATGAGCCAAGATCCTGCCACTGCACTCCAGCCTGGGCAACACAGTGAGACTCCATCTCAAAAAAAAAAAAAAAAAAAGGAAAAAGAAAAATTTTAACAATAATTGAGAAAGTAAACTAAATGGTCAAGCCAGAAATGTATAAAAATATGTGTATAATGTAATGTTTATTAAGCTTGCTTGAAAAACAGAATTCTTTTACTTTGAATTTCTCCATTTCAATGCATGGAAGGAATGGTCCACAGTAAAACAAAAGCAGTATTTCCAAGAATGTTAGTTGTCTCTAGCTCCGTATACATTTTCTACCGCCATATGTCTACCGCCATAACCAATGCAGAGTTGTTTAACATGAAGTTTGACCCAAACTGGACTAGGAAGGGGCAAACTGGAGTGAAACAAACTCAAAACAAGCAAACCAATACCAAGAGCCAGAAAAGTGTTCGTCTTGAAATTTATATACCATACTTACATAAAAGAAGTTAAACCAATTGATCATTATGTACATATATTAGTGAATATTAGTATTTTACATTTACATACATGTGCATATGTAATCAAGTAAAAATATAAATGTTAAATAATTTTTATCAGCGAAAAATACACAAAACATGACTGATACTTCAATTTGAGTGCTTGTTCGATATTCAGTGCTTAAAAATGTTTGGAAAAATAATACCAAAATATAACCTGGTGAAAGATATTTAAAAAGTGAAAGAGATAAGAAAATAGTAAGTGTTTGGTGTGATTTTAATAAGTAGGGGAAATGAGCAGAAATAAGATCTATATTTGGGGAGGAATTGCATAGCGTAGACCGGATGAAGAATCGGAAAGGAAGAACGTGGTTTTTCCCAAGGCCAATTTCGCTCAAAATGGAACAGAACCAGGGAATTTTCAGGACAAAGTAAATGAACTGAAGTTTCCATCATGAGTTCATTCTATTAGCAGATGCCCAATTGACTTCCTCCTTGAGTCTTTATTAGGAGGCAGGCCTCAGACATTCACCCTACAGTCAGATACAACTTCAGTTCCTTACTTGGCTTCTGTCAAGACGGTAAGAGTGCAAGGTGTCATATAATGACATTGCACAACTTTGTGGGAATCTATCTTTACTGAAGAATCATCGGACGGTATCAACTAACCATCTTTCCAAGCACAGGCTGGTTTGCAATTCTTGAACCTGGCGTTTCTTTTCTAAAGACTGAGTTCCGGAAAGGGTTGGGGCAACTCCCTGCAGGGCAGAGCTCCCGGCTTTGGTGCGTCCTTCCCAGCGCGCTCCATGGTCTGGGATGGGCGGTGGCGGCCCGGGCCGGCCTGCTACTTGAGGCAGGGACAGCAGAAGCAGCAGAGGGTCCGGCAGGGGTTCTTCTCCTCGTACTGCACGGCCTTCCGCACCTGCGCCTTGGCCTGGCCGGTGTAGTCGACCGTCTTTTGTACGTTGAGCTCGATGACGTTCAGGGTGTCGGCCTGCTTCTCCACCAGCACCGCCATCTGCAAGAAGAGCTCGTGTACGTCGCGGATGCGGCTCTCCAGGCGCAGCAGTTCGCGGTGGCGGCTCTCGATCTCGTTGAGGGCGGCCCGCGCGCCCTTCACGTCGGCCAGCAAGTTCTCGGAAAACACGTCCCACTTACCCTGCTCGAACATGTCCTCGATCTGGTCGCCCGAGACTTCCTTGCCCATGATCTCCAGCTGGCGCTGGATGCGGATCTTGCAGTTGTCGCGCTGCTTCATCTCGGCCTGGTTGTAGTCGTGCATGGCGCGCTGGAAGGTGAGGGTGAGCGCGTTGTACTGCGCCCGCGAAATGCGCGCCACTGCCGAGTGCGGGCCGTGCTGGGCCTCAGCCGCCTCGCTCAGCTCCTTCATGGCGCGCAGCTTGCAGTGGATGACCTCGCCCCGGGCCTTGATGGCCTTGGCGATGGAGTTGGTGTCGCGCTTGATGCTGCTGAGGCGCCGCATGGACGTGAGGAAGCGGGCGTTCTGCTTTCCCAGCCGCTTCACGTCGGCCACCAGCAGCTGGTTTTCATCCTGAATGTCCCGGATGTCTCGGTACAGGGACTCCAGGATGTGGTCCGTCTCGAACACGATGTCCTCGTGGGGCGAGTCAAACTCATCGTCCCCGTCTGGGAACTGCTGGTCATATTGCTTGGACAAGTCCAGAAGTTCTGCTAGCCGGTCTTTCATTTTGCCTGCAAGTAGAGATAATGAAGTTAAATTTCTCTATTGAGAGTCAAATATTTGCCTTCAAGGGATTGAAACTTAAACATTTTACTCAGCAGTCCCAATTTTGTATTCCTCGGTGTGGGCAATAAGTGCACTAAAGGAGCTAAATGTTCTGACATTTTGCTTACAAGGAAAGAAATAAGATGACTGAACAACATGAAACAGTTGTGTTTTAAGGCCTATAGGCACCTGCAGTTCAATATCATAGCCGCGCAGAACTCAATGAGCAATTTAAAATTTTATTTATTTATTTATTTATTTATATATATTTTATTATACTTTAAGTTCTAGGGTACATGTGCACAACGTGCAGGTTTGTTACATATGTATACCTGTGCCATGTTGGTGTGCTGCACCCATTAACTCATCATTTACATTAGGTATATCTCCTAATGCTATCCCTCCCCCCTCCCCCCACCCCACAACAGGCCCTGGTGTGTGAAAATTTTAGATTGCATTGGGAAACCATCTCTTTTCATTGCTTTATGTTTTCCAATCATTGCAAATTAAAACAGACACAGAAAAAAAAAAAAAGAAAAAAGAAGAAGAAAGACTTGCAAACTTAAGTATTTTTAATTGAGGATAATCTACAAGGCTTTGGGGCCAACATCTAAATGTTGCCTATTTTGTGTCTATTTCGGCACTGGGAAGCATCCCCTCCTGTACACACTAACAACTCTTAAAACAGTTACCATGCAAATCATGATTTAAATTTTTTTCTCTTGAAGATGTTGTAAAAGTAAAACATGCTTGAAGTAAAATGACAACAAAATACAGAAATCTAAGTGTAAAATTTAGAAGTTGAGGTTTCCTTACTCCTCTTCTCAATATCATTCCCTAATGATAAGCATCGTAAATAACACTGCTTTTTAAAATGCTTTTATGTGGAAAATTCCAATCATACGTGGCCTAGTAGCAATACTACAACACACTCCCATTCATTCATCATGTAGCAGCAATGTTTGCCCACTTTTAATAGCTTTTTGAAACAAGTTGGCAGCTCAAGCAGAATGTTCATGTTTTTACAAGGATGGTTCTGGTAATTCCTCTGCTTAGTAAGGCAAAGTAATAGTCTCTATGTTCATATTGCTTTTCAGTGAAGTGAAAAACTTTCATTTTTAGTAGCATGTATATATGCTAATATAGGGAATATCTTGTGTTTATACACAAGACTTCATGATGAGAAAGATTCTTTTTCTACTACACAATTTGCAGCAAAGAGGGGAAAAGTAGTAACACTTAATGGTTACGCAATCTATCAGGGTTCTTGGTCTCAAATTAAAAGCTTCTTTCAAGTTGAAGTAATTAATTTTATATCACCACTAATGGAATGCTGACAAGTTGGATTTGGTGGTAAATGGAAAATGGTGAAATATTAACCACGGCCTTTCATCTACCATGATCATTATTTACATAAATTAAGCAGAAGTTTTATTCTATGATGGTGATTTTTAATGTAACAATGTAAGCTGCTTAAAGTGCCATTTCTGATATCTGGTGGCTATAATCAATACCAGACCTTCTCACGGATGGGGAAGGTGATTCTCCTAGCAGTATGGTTGACAGGCAGAAAAAAGATCCACCCTGGACCAAAACTATGCCTTCACCTGGTCTGAATTTCTTGATATTCAACTGTTTCCTCACTTTGAACAAAATTGAAAGACAAACCACCAACTGGGGAGAAATTATAATATATGACAGACAAGAGGTTAAGATACTTAATATATATATTTCTAAGCTACCAAAAAATCTACTTACCCAAAGACAGTGAAGCAATTCAGAGAAGATGTAAATGACAGAGAACATAAACGTATGTTATATATGCCTGATATTTTCTAGGCATCTTTCATGTGATACCCTCTTTAGTCTTCATACAGATTCTATGAGTAGGTACTGCCATTATCAGAGTTGGTGTGAGCATAGGGAGATCAAGGAATTTACTCAAGGTCATCAGTAAGTGAACACTCAGGCGTTAGAATAGCACCACTTAACCAATGCACTAAATAATCTTTAGCAAAAGTATAAAAATATAGTCACAAAAGACTTCTGTATTAAACAAGGAAATGCAAATTAAACTGCTGAGAATTTTCTTGCCCATAAAGTTAGCAGGAATTTTTTAAAAACAATACTTTTTCAAATGGGTAAGGATTCTGGGAACTCTCAAAACATACTGGTAATTCCATCTCATGCCAGTCAGAATGGTGACTATTAAAATGTCAAGAAACAACAGATGCTGATGGTGGTTGTGAAGAAATAGGAATGCTTTTACACTGTTGGTGGGAATGTGAATTAGTTCAACCATTGTGGAAGACAGTGTGGCAATTCCTCAAAGATTTAGAACTGGAAACACCATTTGAGCCAGCGATCCCATTACTGGGTATATACCCAAAGGAATATAAATCATTCTATTATAAAGACACATGCATGTCAATGTTCACTGCAGCCCTATTCACAATAGCAAAGACACGGAACCAACCCAAATGCCCATCAATGTTAGACTGTACTATACAGCCATAAAGAGGAATGAGATCATGTTCTTTGCAGGGACATGGATGAAGCTGGAAGCCATTATCCTCAGCAAACTAATGCAGGAACAGAAAACCAAACACTGCATGTTCTCACTTATAAGTGGGAGGTGAACAATGAGAACACCTGGACACAGGGAGGGGAATAATGCACAGTGGGGCCTGTCGGGGAAGTGCGGGGGAGGGGAGAGCATTAGGGAAAAGAGCTGATGCATGCTGAGCTTAAAACCTAGGTGATGGGATGATCTGTGCAGCAAACCACCATGGCACATGTTTACCTCTGTAACAAACCTGCGCATCTTGCACGTGTACCCCGGAACTTAAAAACATAAAATAAGATAAAATAATAAAATCAGTATTATTGTTCAGGGTCTTGAGACCTCTCTCAGCTTCTGCTGAACTAAGCAAGTACATTAAATTTTTTTTCTAGATTAAAAAAAAGTCTAATTTAAAACTCCTGTGGTGTCTTTGTTTTTGCAACTTAATGATTTTGCAAACAAAGTCTATTCATTATTTTAAAAAATTGGTAATTGATAGAATCTTTCTGGAAGTCAGTTTAGTAATATGTATCAAAAGCTTTTCAAGTGTGCATTTGTTTTGACATATGTGCATTTATTCTAAAGATATAATGCAAAAGTGTATGAAACTCATTGCTCAAAATATTTTCATCACCACCTTGTTTTTGCAGAAATTCAGAAATAAGTTAAATGCACAATAATGAGGTCCTGGCTTCTACATAAGTCACAGAGTTTAGAAGGCTATCTAATGGCATGAAAAGCATATATACTCTGTTAGGCATAAAAAGTAGTTATGGAGAAAGAGAATGTGCAGCATTCTGAAACAGAAACTTGAGTAATACACATCAAAGTGTTAATTATAGTTTTCTTTGAGTTGTGGAATTATACATGGTTTAAATTGCTTCCTTTTGCTTTTCTGTATTTTCCAAAATTTTTATAATGTCCACACACATTTCATAATTTAAAAACCCCCATAAAACAATAAATACTATTCGTTTAAAGGACTAACTCCTTAGCAACTTTTAAAAGTCTATGCATGGCAATCAAGTTAACATTTTATGCTACCTGGGGAAAGCACATTAGCTAGTTTGCGTAGAGTTGAGCTGTACCCATCTGCTTAAGTTAGTACCCAATATAGTCTACCATGCAACAAGTGGATGAGATGGAATGGATGCATTTTGATGAACAAGGCAAGAATAGGTGAGAGATGCCTTCCTTCCTTACATGTTGGCCAAGCCTTACAAGGCACTTCAATGGAAGGAAATGGGTAGATAAGGGACTGTACCACGCCCTGGGACACTAGGGATCATTTGTATGTATCCTGCTTATCCTAGACAGGTCCTGTGCTCTGTATTGCTCTCCTACAGCCATTAAAAAGCTATTGGGGGAAATCATCTCATCACAATAAGAAGAGTCAAGTACAATTCAATCATATAGAAAATGGTTTTGGAAGATGTCCAGGGACAGTCATTCCTTCTCAAGATTGAACAACCATAAAGTCATAGATAGCAAATTATAAATCAGGTAAGGGCCCAAGCTCATGTGAAGGCGCAAGTCCATAATGTGCTAATAAGAGAAAAAGAAAGGGTACAGGAGACATAAAGATTCTCTATTGAGGTGTGGTAAAGGAGGGAAGGGGGCCTTCACCTGGCCTTCCTGCCCACCTCTCTTGGCTCAGCCAGCCTTGGATGAGTTGTCTCCACTGACATAGAAGGTCTCCTGGTCACCAGGGAGCAAACATTAGGAAAACTACAACAGAAAGTCAACGAAGAGACTGCTATTCCTAAGAATGTCTCCAAAAAGGTTAAAAGTGTATACACTACTGAAGTTATACAAAAATATAGAAGTGGGCACAAATAGAGAATCAAAATAACCTATATATCCCATAGCTTGATTCTGTACTATGAGTTCCTAGAAAGAGAACTATGGTAAATGAGAAAGAAAAATCAGACAATTCCACTGACCTTCCTGTCTTATTGTAATAAAAGATAATGTAATAAACTTTGGTAAATTGCATTCATCAAGTTGCTAAAAATAAGTCCTGCTTCAATTTGCATGGAGGTGAAGAATTCAAAAGAAAATTGACAACCAACTACCAAAAATCTGCTTCTGCTTTCTAATTTTCTTTTCAGGCATGCATATAATCTGTACTGAAAACCAGATCCAATAAGGAAGGAAGGGGGTATTGCTTAAGCCTTTTTTCATTGAGCAATAAAGTTTTGTGTAAGAGAAAACAAAGGAACAAAGAGATGATGGTAGCTCAGTGGTCCTCGGTCTGCAAGAGGTGACAGAATCTTCTGGAGAGCTTCAAAGATTACAGATGCCTGGGCACCTAGAGTTTCTGATTCGGTAGGCCTAGGATGATCTCCAGGTGATTATAATGCATACTCAAATTTGTGACCCATTCCATAGATACCTACCATGTCAGCTTTTTTTTTTTTTTTTTTTTTTTTTGAGGTGGTCTTGCTCTGTTGCCCAGGCTGGAGTGCAGTGGTACTATCTCGGCTCACTGTAACCTCTGCCTCCCGGGTTCAAGTGATTCTCCTGCCTCAGCCTCCCATGTAGCTTGAATTACAGGCATGCACCACCACGCCCAGCTAAGTTTTGTATTTTTAGTAGAGATGGGGTTTCACCATGTTGGCCAAGCTGGTCTCAAACTCTTGATCTCAGGTGATCCACCTGCCTCAGCCTCCCAAAGTTCTGGGATTACAGGCATGAGCCACTGCACCTGGCCCATGTCAGCTTTTTATTCATAATTATCATGCAATTCTGGAGAACTTATAATAATTCCTAGCTTGGGGGCAATCTCGATGAGCAAAAACCTGATAGAGAAGGAAAAGGGGTAGCTACTGGCCTCTCTCCCCCACTGGAAAGATGGTGGCTTTCATAAGCACTGCCTTCTGGCTCCCTGGTATGGAGGCTAAATAAGAAAGTCAGCTGAAAACTCACTTTCATAAAAACAATCTCTGAAGCTCAAAAGGAAAAGGAATCAAGAATGTTTGAAATAGTTTATTCTGATCCCTTCATTTTATGATGGAAAATTATAATTGTTGCAGGCATGGGAGTATGAATAAAATTGAAGACTGAGCTTACTATGATGAGGCACCCTCAGGTACATGAATAAATACTCTGATAGCATTCACAGGGAACAAGGAAGGATGGTGATATTCTATTAGTTAAATATTCTAGCCATTGAGACCTAGATCCTGCTTTGAATAGCCTACTATATTTGGCACATAGAATCTTAAAATTTTCTGTCATATCAGGAAGGAACAATTCAGAAAGCAGGTTTCCACCTACCTCAGCAGACCAAAGAGTGGAGGTGACAATCACATTGTATTAGTCCATTTTCACACTGCTGATAAAGACATACCCAAGACTGGGAAGAAAAGAGGTTTAATTGGACTTATAGTACCACATGGCTGGGGAGGCCCCAGAGTCATAGTGGGAGGTGAAAGGCACTTCTTACATTGTGGTGGCAAGAGAAAATGAGGAAGGAGCAAAAGCAGAAACCCCTGATAAACCCATCAGATCTCATGAGACTTATTCACTATCACGAGAATAGCACAGGGAAGACCAATCCCCAGGATTCAATTACCTTCCCCTGGGTCCCTCCCACAACACATGGGAATTCTGGGAGATACAATTCAAGTTGAGATTTGGTGGGGACACAGCCAAACCATATCACACATAAATAACCAAGACACTGGATGCTACAAAGAACAATTGTGAAAGTCATTGTTCCCAACATGCCTCTAAGGGAATTATTTAAAGTGACATACATAGTATCTCTCTGATAATAAAGGAGAAGCTTTATTAGGCAGCCCCAAAAGACTAATATATGCATTAAGCAAATTTTGCCAAAACCAGGAAACAAAACCTTTTCCTGTTTCACAGCAAGATGTTAAAGTATTTTTACAAGTAGTGAGAAATTTTCAGACATGGGAATATGCAATACAGAGCAGCTCAAGGCACACAGCAAACCTTGTGAAGCTTATTATGGAGATCAGCTTGTAGATACACACACACACAGAAAGAGAAAGAGAAAGAAAAAGAGAGTCTTTGCAAATGGAATTCGGCTATTTCAGAAGCAAAACAGACCCTGTCCCCAAGATATACACTCCATACAGGACTTACGCACAGTACCCAAGTTCTGATTTTCAGATTCTATGACATACCTCCTATGTCCTAATTTTATACCAATTGTAAACATATGATTAAAGTGATTATTACAAATCAGAAGGTCCACTATTGGTCTATAGGGTGCCTTAATGAGGTTTTGTGTTGGGCTTATATAGTATCTTTGTGAAAGCTAGGAAAGGGCCCTTTCTCTGGGTGGATAAAGCCCTGCCCAAGGGCATGCATCCTGGTGAGCTGAGCATGGTTGGATTGCCAGTCTCTCTCATCTGTGGTGAGATCACAACCTGCACAGCCCCATGGGGTCACCCTGTGTACCCCTTTCTCAACCACCTCATCCAGTCCCTCCTGCCCACACATCCCCGCTACCAGAGGCACCTAGAAATTCCACAGGTAGAGTGTCACTGTAATTTAGCAGTTCCTTTCTAGCATACCCCATAGTAACACAGCCCTTAAAGAACAACAAATGGACTTTCCCCAACAGGTTCATAAACAATAATTTCACTCAACTGAGTAAAACCAGTGTTCTGTTTCTTGATTTTTAAAATGACACATCTAAGAGGGTGATATGGTTTGGCTCTATGTCCCCACCCAAATCTCATCTTGAATGGTACTCCCATAATTCCCACACGTTGTGCGAGGGATCCGGTGGGAGATAACTGAATCATGGGGGCGGTTTCCCCCATGCTGTTCTGGTGGTAGTGAATAAGTGTCATGAGATCTGATGGTTTTATTAGAGGTTTCTGCTTTTGCATCCTCTTCATTCTCTTTTTGTCTGCCACCATCCACATAAGATGTGACTTGCCCCTCCTTGCATTCACCATGCCTCACCATTGCCTCACCATGATTGTAAGTTCTCCCCAGCCACGTGGAACTGTAAGTCCATTAAACCTCTTTCTTTTGTAAATTGCCCAGTCTCAGATATGTCTTTATCAGCAGCATGAAAACAGACTAATACAGAGGGAAACACTATTCTTTGAACATCAAAACATTACAGGTTAAAACTAAAAAGTTCCTAATGAATAGCTCTAATTTTCTTGCTGCTCCGAAGTTAATTTAAAAAAAAAAAAGCTTGTATCGTATCTTAAAGTGCATTGGGCAAGAACGCATTTAATATTGTCTTAGGGCTCATTCAAAGCAAAATTTGAAAGGCTGAAGAGTATTAATTGAAATGGTTTATAACGATAAAAGTCTGAGGCTAGAAGAAATAATTTTTAAATGTCTCTTGTTTTCTCTTTGCTCTAAAGCAGAAAGCAGGTAGGAGTTATTCAAACCACTGCTGGAGGAGACAGCCTCTACTTTTCAATCACTTTACTCATTTGATGCCCTCTGACATAATTCGCTTTTCAGTTTCCTCAATCAGAATTTTCTGCCAGTGTGTGAAGAGAAAAAGGCAGTTTGATATGCACAGTTGATAAACAGCCAGTGGGTAGCTGGGATTTCACTTTTAGCAATATGCTTTCAGATGCTTTCTGTAGAAATGCACGGGAAATCAAAGCAGCTACTCCTGTGTAGGTTTCATACATTCTGCTCTACAGTGAACATTTATTAAGCATTTGTAAAATGCCAAATGCGGTACTCAGCAATGGGCAGGTATTAACCCATTTATTCCTTATGAGGTATTATCATCATCCCCAGTCTACAGGTTTGAGGCCTAATGAGTTTAAGCAGTTTGCCTAAAGTCATACAGTTATGGAGTTGAGATATAAATCCCAAAAGTGTGACTACTTGAGAATCCATCCGTAATCCACAAAGCTACACTAGCTTCTTTTTCCTAAACTCCCCACAAGAAGGCTTCTTTTAAAATCGTTAGTCTAATAGGAAACGTATTCCCTAATTGAGCTTTTCTATTAGGAACAATTATTAGCATCTAATTCTTAGAACTGGATTAACACATGGAAATACTGTCACCATTAGAATCACTACTTTCTTTCCCACACAAATTTCTTCATATCAGAGTTTCCCCAACATTGCAACACTTCAGTTGTTACAGTCCTAAAAACAGGGAGTAAGTCACCACAACTTTAAAAAAAATCCATAAAATTATTAACTCTCTGAAATAACAGAATACAGACACTTGGAGATGTAAATTTTACAGTCAGGTGCATAGAAGCCACAGCAGGAAAGGACAGTAGATGAGCTTTCTTTCTTCTTTTTTTTGAGACGGAGTCTCCCTCTGTCACCCAGGCTGGAGTGCAGTGGTGCAATCTTGGCTCACCGCAACCTTTGCCTCCCGGGTTCAAGCAATTCTCCTGCCTCAGCCTCCTGAGTAGCTGGGATTACAGGTGTGCACCACCACACCCGGCTAATTTTTTGTGTGTTTTTAGTAGAGATGGGGTTTCACTATATTGGCCAGGTTGGTCTCAAACTCCTGACCTTGTGATCCGCCTGCCTCAGCCTCCCAAAGTGCTGGGATTACAGGCGTGAGCCACCGCTCCCAGCCAGTAGATGAGCTAAGGGAGAAAGTAAAGACAGGAGCACTCAAGGGTCAAGGCCTCAAGGCTCAAGTCATCTGTGCAAATTTTTCCACTTGTATCTCTATTAGTATTTACAAACTAAAACAGTTGTTGTAACTCTTACATCTGATTTCCCTTTGGCCCTAGAATGTGAAGCAAAACTTTGCCTGGAAAATACAGCAAAGATCTATGTTTAAAAAATGATGGGGAATAGATTTTGAGTCCAGTTGGAAAACATATATGCCTTTAAGTAATTCCTTTATATTTTGTAACTATTCCATGAAGTATCTTTGAAAGGGAGAAATCCATGGAGTTTCCAGAATCATCAATGACCTTTTCTTTTCCAACTCGTAACACCAGTTAAGAATTTTTACATTCCTTTATCTGTTCCTCTTTCTTGTAAACAGTGTCCTTTGGGCCACTTATTCTAGTCTCATTGCCTGGTTACTCCTGTTAAATTCTCCCAGAAAAAATATTCTTATATATGGCTGATATCTTTTACACAAGGTACGGAAATATCTGAGTTATCCAACATCATCAATGCATGAGGGTTTTCCATGTAAGTAACCTTTACAGTAACTGAAGTTTCTCCCTTCAAATGTCAAAGGCATCTACTTATCTTTGTTGGAAATCCTCTTCTAAAATGCCTGGACACACTTCCTTGCTTTTTAAAAAACAGGGCATTAGACACAATTTATTGATGACTCAAATGGCCATTATTAACATCTTTCAACCATGTGTTCAAAGATCAGCTTGATTTGATTTAAAATGTTTCTCTTTCCTGGGAGTTAAAATAGCAAACCCTTCCTCAGTTATCTCCACTCACCACTGACAGTCTTCTCACTCCCTTTAGAGACTGTGGCAAGCAAAGACATTCGAGAAGCAAACATTCTATAATAGTAACTTTCTGCGTGTGTCTGCAGCCCTCTAGAATCAAGCCCACTCCGTAAAGCAAGGAAGGAAAAACGAATCTCAGTGACAGACTGTGTGCACCCCAAACCAGTCATTGTGCTTGAGAACTGATATAAAATCCACCACAATCCTCACAATAACCTTGGGAGGAGGGTAACATCATTTTCGATTTACTAATAACTGGGTCTCGGAGAAGTTAAGTTCACCCAGTGAGTAAGAGAGAAGTCTGGGATTTAAACTCACATCTGTCCAGGTCCTGAGTTCATGCCCTTTCCACTTAATCATGCACTGAAGCTGTTGGGGGAGTTAGGGTGGGAGGCGCTAGTGTGGGGAGGTACTAGGTCGGGAGGCGCTAGTGTTGTTAAGGAGCAATATTCTCTGCTCTGTTTCTTCCCTTCTCTGGCATCCCTCTCCACCTCCTCCTGCAAAGGGGCATGGAGTTGCTTATCTAATTAGTGAATCTAAAAGAAGAACCTGTCTGCAGTAGCCCAGCCACTTCTTTCTTTTTCCTAAAAGTGGGTTTAGCAGAGAACCTGTGTTGTCTCTGCACTACCCCTGGGTGGGGTGGGTGAAATCAGCTGTGGCCAGGGAGGGTAAATCCAGCTAATGCTGGCTTCAAGATCAGAATGCACAGTCCCACAGATGTAAGCCACATCTTCCAACCTTGTCTTTATCGGTCACTAACGAGACCCTTTGGCCTCTGACTGCTTTTCCTTTCTTATTTCTCCACGGGTGTGGAAGTCAGGTGGGTAAGGAGCAGCTACTTACTGTGTTCCTTCCTTAATCAACCCAACCACCATGTTAAGTAAAATCAAAGAAGGTGAGAGCAGAAAAAGCCTGTAATGACTAGCTTGCACAGTGCCTTCACTGTAAAGATGAGGAAAGAGAGGCTCATTGTATTCACATACAAATAATGATTAAAAGAGTGTTATTAAGGCTGGGCGCGGTGGCTCATGCCTGTAATCCCAGCACTTTGAGAGGCCGAAGTGTGTGGATCACCTAAGTTCAGGAGTTCAAGACCAGCCTGGTCAACATGGTGAAACCCCATCTCTACTGAAAATACAAAAATCAGCTGGGCGTGGTGGCATATACCTGTAGTCCCAGCTACTCGGGAGGATGAGGCAGAAGAAAAAACAATGTTATTAGCAAAGTGGAAAAAAACTCTTATGTAATTGCCATTTCCATTTACAGCAATAAAATTCTAACATGTATAAAGCATTTTCATGAGAGTAGCATATATTGAGACTTCAACAAATGATAACTACTAATTTTACTATATTATCATTATTATTATTGTTTGACACAGGGTCTCGCTCTGTTGCCCAGGCTGGAGTACAGTGGCACAATCATGGCTCACTGCAGCCTCTGCCTCCTATGTTTAGCAATGCCTAAGCCTCCTGAGTAGCTGAAACTACAGGCATGTGTCACCATGCTCAGCTAATGTCTGGCATTGTTAGTAGAGACAGGGTTTCATTACATTGGCCAGGTTGGTCTCGAACTCTTGGCCTCAAGTGATCCACCCGCCTCAGCCTCCCGAGTAGCTGGGACTGCGGGCTAATTTTTATATCTTTTGTAGAGATGGGGTTTTGCCTGTTGCCCAGGCTGGTCTCAAACTCTGGAGCACAAGTGATCCCCTCTGCCTCAACCTCCCAAAGTGCTGTAATTACAGATGTGTGCCACTGTGCCTGGCCTAATGTTAGTATTGTAGTACCAGATAGTATCAGAACCATGAATACATCAACCAATTAGATTATTTCCATGACGTGGTGAGCATCTGTTCTCATCCCACATTCTTGATCTGACCTCCTAGGTGGCCCCATTCTTTCCCCTTGAATTTGTACATACTCTTTGTGAAAGGGTGCAAAAAAAACTTTTCTGGCCAGGCACAGGGACTCATATCTGTAATCCTGGCTTGGGAGGCCAAGGCGGGTGGATCGCTTGTGCCCAGGAGTTCAAGACCAGCCTGGGTAACAGGGCAAAATCCAGCTCTACAAAAACACAAAAATTAGCCGGGTGTGGTGGTGCACACCTGCAGTCCCAGCTACTCGGGAGGCTAAGGCTGGAAGATCGCTTGAACCTGGGATGCAGAGGTTGCAGTAAGCTAAGATCACACCACTGCACTCCAGCCTGGATGACAGCGTGACCCTGTCTCAAAATAAAAATAAAATAAAAATAAAAATCTTCTTACTACAAATTCTTTGCAGCTTCTCTGATCAAGAGGTACAGACTATTTCTCAACTCCTTGAGTCTGAGGGTGGCTATGAGACTGAGATTTGCTTTGACCATTGAGACATTAGCAAATATGATGCAAGCAGAGGTTTGAAAAGCATTTGTGCAAAAGGGCTTGCTATTGGGTAGCTTAATTCCACTATATGACGAAGCCTGGGCTAGCCTGCAGGAAGATGATGCCCAGCTGAGCAGTACTCGAGGCTGAGCACAACCACCAGCTAACCTAACAAAAGACTGAAAATGAAGGAGCCGCGGAGAGCCCAACAGAAGACTGCTCAGCCAATCAACAGGATAGTGAGAAATAATAAATCGTTGTGTTTGAAACCACCAAAACGGGTAGCAGCTTCTTACATAGCATAAGCTAAATGACAGAAAAATTGGTACCTAGAAGTGGCATGCTGCCAGAACAGAAACCTAAAACATTCCACCTTGGCTTTGGCACCAGATAGCAGGTGAAAAGCAGTGATGTAACTGTTAAGTAAAACTGGAAAGATGGCATGCAGACTGTCAGAGGAGGGTGGAAGTGGTGAGGAAACTGCGAGAGCAGTCAGGGGAAAAGGCAGCCCATATCATAGGCAGCCAAACACTTGGCAACACTGTTGCCTATGGCAGCTCCAAAGGCTGAAAATGTTGGTATGAATTTTGCATCTCGCTGCAAAGATCTCCAGACAATGTTGAAAGTGTTTTGAGTGTGTCTATAACTACATAGAAGTTCTGCACGATAGAGACAAACTAAAAATTGAATCATCTAGTTTGCAAGCATTATTTAGAGAAAATAGAGAGAAACCAGAACTCACAAGATAGGAAAATAAAAACTTTTTATCTCTCCAGTCTCTTCAACTGGAAGAAACAATTCTAAGTAAGAAATGGCCTTAGACCTCGGTAAAATTGAATAAGCTGCCTCGCAGACCTTCTCAGCTAGACAAAGTGAGCTCTAAGACTCTAAGTGTGTTGTCTCAAACAACCTGATCCTCAGCCTGAAGTAGACAGAGGTCTAACATGAAAACAATTATGAACATAGGTTTTAGGGGCATGGAGCCTAATTAGAGTATTTGGAAATCCACAAAGTTTTTAAGAGAATTTTACTAAAAAGCACACACACAACCTTGGCCTAAAAATACAAAGACTTTTCAAAGGAAAAGAGGCCTCTGGGTCCCCAACTTTTTATGATCAGGATCTAGGCCAATGAAGCTATTTAGGAGCAAAAATAAGCCATTTGTTGTGGGAAAAGAAGAGTTTCAGAGGGTAGAGCCAAGAGCAGTGGAGGAATATAAACCAAGAAACCACTTCTGAAAAGCAGAGCTGGGTCCTAATCAAGGAACATGGCCTAGCCCAGGATCAGGGGCACCTGGTAACATGTGCTTGGACAGAACTGCTATGGACCAGTGGTTGTCATATGTATCCTGTTAATGGCTCTTTTTTTTTTTTAAATGGGGTGTCTACTTTTGTTATCCTTTTCCTATCTCATCATTATATGTTGGATGTGTATGGGAAAGACAGCCTGTTCATTGTCTTGGGATCAAGAGGATCAGCATAAGAAGAGCTATCTCTGAGGAGTCTGAACTGTATCTAGATCTCATGCAGATCAGGCATAAGTCTCTAGACTTCGAGGCTAATACTATAATCTGATGAGACTTCGGGGAATCCTGGGATGGGAGGGAGCATATTTTTCTTGCAAAAGAAATGTGAATAATTTTTGTCAGAGACAGACTATACTTGATTACAACAAATGGCAACAAATTCTTAGCAGCACGTCCCATCAAGAAGTGGTGTCGGTCTCTCTACCCTTTGAATCAGTTTCTCTACCCTTGGCCATGAGACTTGCTTTGACCAAGAGGATGGGAGGAAACATGGAGCAAGCAGAGGCTTCAACAGCACTAGCACCTTGGGGCTTATCTGCTCTGGGAACACTGAAACCATTATGTGAGAAAGCTCAGACTAGCCTCCTGGAGGGTGAAGACCGCACGGAGAGCTAGGCCAGCCCCCAGCTGACCCACCTCTACAGCTGCATGACTGAGTCCAGGTGAGATCCGTAGAAGAATCACAGGTGCTTACTATCTGCCAGAGACTGTTGTGGAAGGTTTACATGGATTATCTCATTTAATCCTTGCACCCATGAGAAATAGAAAATTGTTATTTGGGGGTGGCTTGTTATACTGACAAAGCTACCTGATACACCTCTCCTTGGGTTTCTCCATGCTCCTTAAGGTGTATTCTTCTTTAAAGAAGACATGGAGGCTGCTGTGAATCATGGATAAATTATAATTTCTGGAAAGTAAATTCTCGTGCATTTAAAACAAAAGTTTATTGTTATGATTTTAAAACACAAACATAAGCAACGTGAACCAAACAGTTGTCCTTATGAAGTATGTCACCTATCCAATAATTGTGACTTAAGGTATATATTAATATCTTGATTTTAATTCAGTAGACCTTTGTGATATTCTACTCATATTGTATGTAAAAGTTAATATAAAGCGTACACATTTTTTAAAAGCACATGTTTCTTAACATGTCTGAAGACAGCGCTTCTTTTTTGTTTGTTTGTTTTTTGAAGACTGTGGTCATACTTACGGTGAGGAGAAAAAAAAAAGATGCTAAAAAAAAGATTATCTCACACACACACAGCTTCCACACAAAGACTCTGCAAAAGCTGTTCGATAATACAGTGTGCTAAATAGGAGTCCTTGAGCAGTGGGGTCAGGAAAGTAGAGAGATACTTGGCAGTTTTAACCTTGGCTGAGTTTCAGTCTGATAAGAGGTTTTGAGAACTTGAAGAGCCAGTTTTTAAATGGAAGTGGATAGTTTGAAGTGTATCACAAGTCTATCATTCAGCTCACCAAAATAAACAGTATGTAGGCACAGTGCAACTTCCCAAAAAACACAACTCCACTGCCACATCCCAAAGTTTCCTTCATCATCAAAGACTGGACCAGAGAAGTTTCCTGATGCCATGCTAAAAAGAGCAAAAATTAGTGGGATGTGAACTAGGTTTCTAAGGAATTTCAGAAGCTTATTATGGCCTTACTGACCCCCTTCAAAATGTTAATGGCAATCAGGACACTTCTTTTCAGAGCTGTAGAATCAGTTTAGAACTCCACATCTACTCAGGGACGTATAGGAGGGGGGCTAAGTGTTCAAGCCTGGGGAATTATGTGGAGACATATCCAGATCTCAGCTCTCCCGCTACTGGGTCTTGCCTGGGTTTCCTCACTGGTTTCAGGGTTCTCAGCAGTTAGGGCAATTCTGAACAGATGAGTGCAATTCTTAATCGAAGAGTGCTTTTCAAGCCTCTGCTATGTTCTGTATTGTTGTAGGCCATCTTCTCTATACCTGGTCTTCTCCATGTATAAATAATTACCTCATAGGATAGTAGAGGGGATTAAATGAGGTAAGCCATGTAAAGCTCTTAAGACTAGCACCTGGCAGAGAGTGAGCACTTTGTATATGTTACCTATGGTCATGTATTCCTGTGATTTAAATTCCCTCAAATAACTAATGTAGATTCAGTAACTATTTGTATAAATGATGCCATTTGTTAATTACACTACTAACAGTTTATTTTCTGTCTCATCTATGATCATAAGTGAACACTAATACCTGTGCATTACTCAATTACTTGAGGTTTTAAATATCTTTCTTCCAACTATTTTATTGTAAAATATCTCCTTCTGATTATGAAAGCAACCCATGCTCTTTGTAAAATATAATAATAATAATACAGATTGAGCATTCCTAATCTGAAAATCTGAAATCTGAAATGCTCCAAAATCTAAAACTTTTTGAGCATTGGCCACAAGGGGACTATTCCACACTTGACCTCCTGTGACAAGTCGCAGTCAAAACACAAGTACATAACACACAATTTACTCAGTGTCCCCAAGGCAAAAAAGACCCTCCCATCCCCCTTCAGCTGCAATACATCTTTTCTGCACATGTCCAGATTCCCCTTCCCACGCACACACACAGACAAAAGGTAATAAAATGGCATGTGTGCAGCAGGCTGGATGCACCAATAGCAGATTCTCCACCATGCTCCACATAGCACCAAGAACTTCAGGTATTAATCACTATGACTCTTTGCTTATACTCTGCTCTGACATTTTTGAAAATTTCAAAAAGGCCTGCAGATACTTCTATGAGTAACAGTGACAAGAAAAAGGGGAAGCGTTTATGTTTATCTGTAGCAAAGAAAATCAAGCTATTGGAGAAACCAGACAGAAAAATATGGTGTTGGAATGACCACCTTATATGACCTGAAGAAACAAAAAGATAAATTGTTGAAGTTCCATCCTGAAAATGATGAACAGAAGTTAAGTTAAAAAATAGTAAACACTCCATGCATGGTGGCTCACACCTGTAATCTCAGTGTGTTGGGAGGCCAAGGCAGGAGGATCACTTGAGCCCAGGAGTTCAATACTAGCAACATAGTGAGACTATGGCTCTACAAAAAACAAACAAAAGCCAGGTGTGGTGGTGTGTGCCTGTAGTCCTAGCTACTCAAGAGGATGAGGTCAGAGTATCACTTGAGCCCAGGAGTTTGAGGCTGCAGTGAGCTATGATTGTGCCACTGCACTCCAGCCTGGGTGACAGAGCAAGACCTCATAGGTAGGAAGGAAAGAAAGAAGGAAGGAAGGAAGGAAGGAAGGGAGGGAGGGAGGGAAAAGAAAAGGAGAGAAAAAAGGAAGGGGAGGAGGGAGGAAAACACTGTATAAAGCTAGAAATGAAGATCTTGATCATGTATTGAAAGGGTGGATCCATCAGCCTTACACTGAACACATGCCATTTAATGGTATGCTGGCCATAAACATGCTAGATCTATCACAGTGAACTGAAAATTGAAGGAAACTGTAAATAATCAAAAGGCTGGTTACGGAAATTTTAGAAAAGACACAGCATCAAATTTTCAAAGATGTGTGGTGATGAAGCATCTGCTGATCACAAAGCAGCAGAGAAATTAATTGATGAATTTGCCAAGGTCATTGCTGATGAAAATTTGACTCCACAACAAGTTTGCAATGCTGATAAAACATCACCGTTTTGGTGTTATTGCCCCGGAAAGACACTGACTAGAGCTGAGACAGCCTCTACAGGAATTAAGGATGCCAAGGACAGAACAACTGTGCAGGGATGTGCTGATGCAGCAGGCATGCATAAGTGTAATCTGGCTATGACAGGCAAAAGCTTGTGTCTTTGCTGTTTCCAAGGAGTGAATTTCTTACCAATCCATTATGCTAATAAAAAGGCTTAGATCACCAGGGGTGTCTTTTCTGATTAGTTTCATAAGCACTTGGTACCAGGAGCTTGTGTTCACTGCAGGGAAGTTGCACTGGATGACAGTTGCAAGAATTTGTTATTCCTTCACATCTGTCCTGCTCATCCTCCAGTGGAAATTCTCATCAAAAATAATGTTTATGCCACGTACTTTCCCTAAAATGTGACTACTCTACTTCACCCATGTGACAAGGTATCCTTAGATCAATGAGGATTAAATAATGCTTTCTTAAACAGCATGCTAGCAGCAGTGAAGAGAGGCATAAGTGTAGAAGATTTTCAAAAGGAGTTTAGCATGAGGGATGCCATATATGCTGTTGCCAATGTTTAGAACACATGACTAAAGATACAGTTGTGCATACCTGGCACAAGCTCTGGTGGGTTCAGTGATGATGATGAACAACGTGGTGACTTTGAAGGATTCCGTATATCAGATGAGAGAAAAAATGATGTATGACCTCCTTACATATGCAAAAAATATACCTTCAGAGTCAGTAAGCTGGAAGACATCAATGAAGTTTTTTTTAACATCAACAAAGAGGCTACAGTTCTTCATTCATTGACTGCTGATGAAAAAGCTGAAATGGTTGTCAATGAAAATGATTGTGATAATAGTGACAAGGAAGATACCATTAACACTGCAGAAAAAGTGCCTATAGATGACATAGTGGATGTGTGATGAGCTTATTGAAGGACTAGAGCAGCGTGCATGTATAACAGAATAAGAAATGATGTCAGTTTATAAAATCAAAGAGACTTCTAAGACAAACACCATTGTTAATGAGGCAGATGACTCTGGAGGAAATATTTGAAAAGGCCATCCAGCAGAATGCCTCCTCATCCTCAGAGGACCCACTTTCTGGTCCCTCAACTATTACTGATGTTTCTTCTCACCTACAAAAAATACAGTGTACAGTAACTTTTTAATCAGAATACATAATTTGCACATACAGACTGAAAGCCTGCCATTGTTGTTGCTGTTAACAGTGGGTATAGGTATTTGGTGATGCTACTGGGCTTAGTTGCCCTGAACACATTATTTTTTTCACTGTATTAATGGTATGTTATTTTTTTTACCATAAGTACTTATGTGTGAATAAGTCTAAGAACATGACTGTAGTGAGGCATGGTGGTTCACACCTGTAATCCTAGCACTTTGGGAGGCTTAGGCAGGCAGGCTGTTTGAGTCAAGGAGTTCAAGACCAGCCATGGATAACATGGTGAAACCCCACCTCTACAACAAACTACAATAATTAGCCGAGAGCAGTGGTGTACACCTGTATTCCCAGCTGCTTGGGAGGCTGAGATGGGATGATCACCTGAGCCCAGGAGGTTAAGGCTTCAGTGAGCTGTGATCGTGCCACTGCACTTTAACCTGAGCAACAGAGCAAGATCTTGTCTCAAAAAAAGAAAATAAAAAAGAAATGAAAAAAAGGAGAAGTGATTGCTTATCAGCAGCATGTAAATTCAGAGTCAGGAATGATGGTGATACCAAGCAAGCACAGATTGTCCACGTGGGTGCCTGAGATAGTGACACCTTTGTTTTCTGATGGTTCAATGTACATAAACTTTGTCATGCACAATATTATTAAAAACATTGTATACAATTATCTTCAGGCTATGTGTATAGGTATATATGAAACATAAATTTCGTGTTTAGATTTGGGTCTTATCCCCAAGATATCTCATGATGTATATGCAAATATTCCAAAATCCAAAAAAATCTGAAATCCAAAACACTTCTAGTACCAAGCATTTCAGATAAGAAATACTCAACTTGTAATAATAAATCAAATAAGACAGAATTGTTTAACATGAAAAGTAACAATTTTCCATCATCTAATACAACTATATATACTAATTCTATAAAATAACCAATGATAAAATATAATACATATTCTTCCAGATTCTTTTCTATACCAGAAGGTTGCCAACACTTAAGAGACAGTGTTCAGAAGAACCAATCCTGTTACTGTGAAATTTAGTTTGTTTCCCTGGAAAACTACAGGAGCTCTCTGGGGTTTCTTCTTCCCAGGGGCATCCCTCAGAGATGCAGGGCCACAGGGCAAGTCACACTGTACTTTCCATCAACAAAATTTTTGTGCAGGTGAAGTCAGGTAAAAAGAAAGAAAGAGAGAGGTAGACAAAAGGAAGGGAAGGGAAGGAGAGGGGAGGGGAGGGGAGGGAAGGGAAGGGGGAAAGGGGGAAGGTGGGGCCAGGCACTGTGGCTCATGGCTGTAATCCCAGCACTTTGGGAGGCCAAGGCGGGCGGATCACATCAGGTCAGGAGTTTGAGACCAGCCTGGCCAACGTGGTGAAATCCCGGGTCTACTAAAAATACAAAAATTAGCAGGGTGTGGTGGCACATGCCTGTAGTCCCAGCTACTTGGGAGGCTGAGGCAGAAGAATTGCTTGAACCTGGGAGGCAGAGGTTGCAGTGGGCTGAGATCACACCACTGCACTCCAGCTGGGCCGCAGAGTGAGACTCTTTCTCAAAAAAAAAAAAAAAAAAAGGAAAGAAAAGAAAAGAAACAGAAAGAAAGGAAGACTGAGGGAAACTTGCAAAAGAAAAGGAAATTTTAGAATGCAAGAAAATCCTCATGTGTGCTTTCATGTTTAAGAACCTCAAGGTGGTTACCCCAATTCCACACGTCCCAGAGATTGTGAAAATCTTGAAGCATCTAAGCCAATCTGAGGACTGATGTCTTTAAGACTTAATGTTTATAAAATTAGTGGCTAGGTTTTCTTTTGGGAACAAATTAACAATTTTAATGCATTACATATACGTTGAACATCTCTTCTTCATAAGTGTCTCAGAAAGGTAAGCTGTATTCCCCTCACCCCCACCACCAATTAATAAGGTTTCATTGTTAGTGGTGGTAGATTGTGTTAGGTTTTTCAGTTAGATTCAAGAACACGCAGTGAAAAGATCTTGTTCTTCATCTAACAGACAGAAGCCTTAAAAGTACTATTTCCAAACAAGAAGCAAAGGGTAGATACTCCTACGGCTGCTAATATCATTTGAAAAGCAAATGCCATGTAGGAGAAAGGGTACTTGGCCTGGTAAGCGAGGGCTTATTCCCATTTCCATCTCTAGCTGCGAGAAGTTGAGCAAGACAATTAACATCTGTCATTTCCTCATCTGTAAAATGGTAATAACTCTACTTACCTCACAAAGGTTACTTTTTGATTGTTAAGTTACGTAAGTTATGTACATGAGAGCACTTTGTTAACTTTAAAGTATTTTACAAACACAGTCTTAGGAGTTAGTATTTTGAACTACTACCATCCATAATCAGTTAATTTATCAGGTAGCTTATTGAAGATACTATAAGTACCACTCCTTTGGAAGCATGTGCAGATGATACGATCTAAAATGATTCTATAAAACCAAAGAATGATTCTATTATTAGTTTTTATATTACTCCTATAACTCAAGTTACAGCATATTAATGCTCTATTCAGCTCAAACTTCAGGAAGACAAGAGTTAGGTGCTTTGTACTCACTATATAAAAGGAGCTAAGAAAACAAACTCACTTATTGTAAAGAAAATTTTTCTTTTTTGTTTTTCTTTTTTTTTTTGAGACAGAGTTTCGTTCTTGTTGCCCAGGCTGGAGTGCAATGGCGCGATCTCTGCTCACCGCAACCTCCGCCTCCCGGGTTCAAGCAATTCTCCTGCCTCAGTCTCCCGAGTAGCTGGGATTACAGACATGCACCACCACGCCCCGCTAATTTTGTATTTTTTAGTAGAGACGGGGTTTCTCCATGTTGGTCAGGTTGGTCTCAAACTCCCAACCTCAGGTGATCTGCCCGCCTCAGCCTCCCAAAGTGCTGGGATTACAGGCGTGAGCCACCGCGCCCGGCCAAGAAAATTTTTCTTCAAAGTGAATATATTGCATTACACCTGTCAAAGAAGACAAATAACCAATATCTCCCTGCAAAACAAAACCAACTAAAAAGTAGTCGTAGATCAAATTTCTTACACATTTACCCCAATTGAAACTGTTCCATGTAGCAACTGTGCTCTTTTTAAGCTATATAGGCTGGGCATGGTGGTTCACACCTGTAATCCCAGCACTTTGGGAGGCCGAGGCAGGCGGATCACCTGAGGTCAGGAGTTTGAGACTAGCCTGGCCAACATGGTGAAACCGCAACTCTACTAAAAATAAAAAAAAAATTACCCAGGCATAGTGGCAGGTGCCTGTAATCCCAGCTACTTGGGATGCTGAAGCAGGAGAATCACTTGTACCCATGAGATGGAGGTTGCAGTGAGCCGAGATTGTGCCACTGCACTCCAGCCTAGGCAATAAGAGCAAAACTCTGTCTCAAAAAATGAAAAATAAAATAAAATAAAGCTATATAGAATCAACATCTACAGGTATTGAAAAAAATCTTAAACATCTTTTAATACCAACAGAATTTTAATTTTCCCTCATATGTGAGCTTCTAATTTGGATAAAAGAGATGCTGCATGTTTGCAGTGATACTGGTAATGTTTATCATGGGAATCAGTAGATATCTTTTTATATGTCCAAAACTGCAGAAAATTCTGTAGCTAAAGAATAATGTAATTTGTTCTCTTGTGAATAGACTATCAGTATCCATGCAGAATCATTCCCAGAAATCATGAAATGCATACAATTTTAAGTACCGTTAACTTTCACTTTTACTTATGTTGAGTATTCTTTATCATTTGATTTTAACATAATATTAAAATACCTCAATTCTATTAGCTAAAATATACACAACAGCATAGAAATAATGGCATCCATTAGCTTTATTTTATTTTTATAAACCAAGTTGGGAAGGCTTTTAACGAGATTTTAAGTAATATTCACAAGGCAGACTATGTGATTGATATTCTTATCCACATCTTTCAGGACACATGTTTGCACAGGCTACTCTGACAGGGACTTTCATGTGTTTATTCAACAAGTATTTATTGAGTATTTATGTGCCAGGCATGATATGATGAGGTCAGCTTGGTGAGCAAAACATAGGTGGTCCCAGTCCTTTTAAAGTATATTTTCTAGATAAGCAAAAAACAAAACTAACAAAAAAACTTAACATAAACCTTTTTATGAGAGAGAGAGAGACAAGGTCTTGCTCTGTTACCCAGGCTTGAGTGCAGTGGCACAATCATAGCTTTCTGCAGCCTCCATCCACTGGGCTCAAGCAATCCTCCCACCTCAGCCTCCTGGGTACTGGGACTACAAGCCATGTGCCACCACCCAGCTAATTTTTAAATTTTGGGGCCAGGCACAGTGGCTCACACCTGTAATACCAGCACTTTGGGAGGCTGAGGAGGGTGCATCACCTGAGGTCAGGAGTTCAAGACCAGCCTGGCCAACATGGAGAAACCCTGTCTCTACTAAGAAAAAAAATACAAAAATTAGCCAGGTGTGGTGGCAGGTGCCTGTTATCTCAGCTACTTGGGAGGCAGAGGCAGGGAGAATCACTTGAGCCCAGGAAGCAGAGGTTGCAGTGAGCTGAGATTGCGCCACTGCACTCCAGCCTGGATGACAGAGTAAGACTCTGTCTCAAAAAACAAAAATTAAAAAAAAAATTTTAAAAATAAAAAATTTTGTAGAGATGGTGTCTCACCATGGGCTAAGTTTTAAAATTTTTGTAGAGATGGGGTCTCGCTATGCTGCCTAAGATAGTCTCAAACTCATGGGCTCAAGCAATCCTCCTGCCTTGGCCTCCCAAAGTGCTGGAATTACAGGCATAAGCCATGACGCCTAGCCCATAAAGCATTTTTAAAAAAATAAATTAAAATGTTATAAATTTGACAGAAGGTAAGACTGATGAGATATTTTAAATGTAGACACAGTTGAAACCAAAACTGACTTACGCAACTTCCCCATTATCGACTATCTGACAGAGGTTCACAACACATTTAAAGACGGAACTATGAAGATCGTGGGAGAAATTCATCTTCAGTTTTCTATGTATTTACAATGAATTTATTAATTTCAATCACTGGTTTCAACTACGACACAAAGAATAGCTTAGTGTTTAAATAAGGATGCAGAATCGAATAAGCCTGTATGGGACTCCTAGCACTGAGCAAACTAGAATAAGACAATGAACCTCAAAAGGTATTTACACACAGTGAATGAATTCCCAACAAATGCAGGTATTTTCTTAGATAATACTTATGTTGTCACTCATGTTGGTAAACATACACACTTTCTATGAATATCAACAAGAAGATTTATAAATGATAGTTGAGTAATTTTTTACTTACTGCTCTTAGCCTGTCTTGGCCTACACAAACTCCACCATGGCAAACCACCTTATCCTGCCTTTCTTCTGGAGATGCCCTCCAACCAGAGATGTCCCTCAACCTTTCCCATCCCCTATCCAAATTCAAATTTGTCCATCAAAACATCCCATGCCTATGATCCATCCTCTATGTTTTAGGGCAGTAAACAACTGTTCTGATGAATGTATCTGCTTGTAAGTGCTAATAGCTTAATATACTGCTCCATCAAGAAAGCATATTTGCATTTTTGAAGACGCCTTCCACATTCTGGATAAAATAGCAAATTGAACATTACTTTTGCTCCCTTCCAAAACTCCACTAAAGGAACTTTCTAAAGGCATAAGCCAACTAGGATAAAGAATAAGAGAGAAGAAAACAGCAACACAATGTTGGAAATTATGAAGCAAATGGATAAATGATAATTGGTCTAGTAGATTTAAGAAAGTTAAATCCTCAGTGAACAATGGAGAAGTCCAAGAAGCAACCGAAGTTACACCATCAAATAAATTTCTAAAGACTCAGAACTCATAATAAAAGGCCGAGTATCTACGGGAAAGGGCGTGATGGTGGGGTAATAACAAGTTGGGTTTGGTCAGAAGCTTTTTAAAGAAGTGGGAGGGCCCTCCATCCTCTGTTCCACCCTGGCAGAAGAGTAGACAGATGACAGATTAGACTCTGAACAGGGTAAAAGAGAATCTAGAGTGCGGTAGAGGTAGCCAACTGAAAAGAGGAGGATTCAGTGAATATTTTTACATGGAATGTTGCACCTTCAAACCCTCCTCCTTCACCTACTTACCAGCACACTGAGCTATATCTTACAGGCAGAAAAATAGAAGATCTTTTTCTATAAAGAGAAAGAAAGAAAAAAGAGTTGAAAAAATAACAGAGTAAAGATAAGGAGCTTAGAGGTCCAGCCCCTTACATTCAAATTCCAAATAATAGGAATTTCAGAGAGAAAACATCCTACGAATGAAAATATGTATTGTGTTTGTGCTGCTGTTAACAGTGGTGGGTGCACGTATCTAGATGTCAACAGAAATACAAACTATCCATAGCACTTGAAGTTCCAGCAAAAGGCAGTTAATAACTTAAGAAATTTTCCGGCCGGGTGCGGTGGCTCATGCCTATAATCCCAGCACTTCGGGAGGCTGAGGTGGGTGGATCACCTGAGGTCAGGAGTTTGAGACCAGCCTGATCAACATGGTGAAAGCTCGTCTCTACTAAAAATACAAAAATTAGCTGGACGTGGTGGCGGGCGCCTGTAATCCTAGCTACTAGGGAGGCTGAGGCATGAGAATTGCTTGAACCTGGGAGGCGGGGGTTGCAGTGAGCTGAGATCATGCCACTGCACTCCAGCGTGGGCGACAGTGAGACTTTGTCTCAAAGGAGAAAAAAAGAAAATTTCCAATTAAAGAATCCAAAAATATGCTGACTAAACAGGATTTTCCTCCACTAACTGTTAATGTTTTCAGATGAAGTGACACTATTATAATTTTGATTCCTTAAGGAATACGTTTCATCCTCTAACGAGTTTACTTTCAAAAAGAGAAAATACTCCATTCTGCCATCATTGCTTCTTATTTAAAAATTCAAATTCTTCATGAAAATATAATAAATGGAGCTCATTTACAGTTAATTAAGTATTCAACTGGATTTACCGTGGCTAAAATCATTACCTACACTTCAGCAATGAACCAAGTTCAACCTATACAAAATGAAAAGTGCAAGAACAGATGTCTAGAATTATTTCTTTACCATTCATATGCTCCTTTTATATAATATTTATGGTAAAAGCAAGACAAAAAATGAGAACATGAATCAAGTTATACTTGAGATAAACCAAGGAATATGCCAAAGGGGGTGAGGAAAGATATGAAAATACATGGCAAATGGTCGTCATCACAGGACCTCACACATCCATTCACTTGAAGTCATACTTCAAGCCTGAGTTAAATGTTCACTTGCACTATAATTTATAGTTCCAGTTTTTTTGGTGTCTTTGTGGTCAAGATGCTGAATGGTGTGGATATGTTTATCCACTTGAATGGGACACAGCAGAGGATTACATAACTCCACCTACATCTAGTAAGTGCTGCTTTATGGTGAATTAATCCCTCCCTCCCTGCAATCAGCCAAATGTTTGGTATTCTTAGTACTTAATGTAGAGGTTCATAGGTTAAATATGCACATGTTAGCACTTGGCCTATTTGCTTTGTGATGTCAGGTTAAACAAGAAATAGGTTCTTACTAGAGAACGAATCTGGTACTTTTTCAACCCAAGATTTGCCTGTTAACTTATATATTAAACTTAAGGTCCTTTATCTATTGAATATAATAAATGTAAATAAATTGCAGCAGAAGAGCTGCAAAGCTTCAAAAGTTAAAAATCAGGAAGTCTCAAACCTTACCCTAAGCTTACAATTTATGGGGAGAAATAAGGAGGTACAAAAATAATTTTTAAAAAGGCCAGGCACAGTGGCTCACTCCTGTAATCCCAGCACTTTGGTAGGCTGAGGCAGGCGGTTCACCTGAGGTCAGGAGTTCGAGACCAGCCTGGCCAAATATAGTGAAACCCCGTCTCTACTAAAAAAATACAAAAATTAGCTGGGTGTGGTGGTGCACACCTGTAGTCCTAGCTACTTAGGAAGCTGAGGCAGGAGAATCACTTGAACCCGGGAGGCGGAGGTTACTGTGAGCAGAGATTGTGCCATTTCATTCCAGCCTGGGCGACAGAGTCTCTCAAAAATCATAATATTTTTTTAAAAAACAAGAACTGGCCAGAAAAGGAGAAAAAGGACCCAGCATGAGCCACCAAGCTGGGTGGAGGTTGCAAATTGCAACACTGGGGTTGTGGCCTCTTCACCCAGGGCATCAAAAGTGACCTGGAAAGATGAGAAACCTCAGTGGGCATGGACTTCTGGGGCAATGCACTTCACCCACTGTCTCCAACAAGACCCAAAAGCAAATCTGTCAAGCACCCTCCTAGGCCGTAGTAATCAGATCCTTGAGATTAATTTTTAAAAGGCTGTGATGTAAGTTCATGATTTTCAGAGCTTTACATTTATTTTCTTCCACTGTATATTACATATTAAAATATTAACAAAGTAACTTCTAGTAATGGTGCATTGAATGAGACACACAGAAACTTCCCTCTCCGTTCCTTGTTACCTATTTTACCTCATTAAATGAAGGCGTCATTTTCCTGTACTGTCTTTTTCCACATACTGGACGGACACACACACACACACACACAGAGTCAATTTTGAACTAGCTCAACCAAAAGATCTTCCTTTGTTAAAAAGTAGTCTCTTGTAACCAAAGCCAAATCCGTAACTTCTATTTTGATATAACTTATATTTCAGGAAAATGAGACACTTCCTCTGACCTTAGACTAGGCTGGGTTTCCAGCTCTATAATTTCACTTCGCTTTTTCTGGTACTCACCATATTTTATTGGTAGTTGTTTGATAACATATTCAATTGTTACTTATCTTCTCTGCTTGCCCATAAGCTTCATAGGGTCAGGAGCTGTACCTGTTGTGTCTGCACCATTTACTCCAGAGCACCCGGCATATAGGAAAGCCTCGATAAATAGTTGTTGAATAAATACGCTCACCAGAATCGTTATTTTTTTCACTCATTTTTGATGAGGCTAGGTCTCTCATACACAAAAATGAAAAAGACTGTTCTTGCTCTTACAGGCTGTTAGAGAGAATAATGATAATAAATGCCATAATAGAGGGATCTATGGGAATACTTTGAGAAGTCAGTCTGGCCACAGGGCAGGGAAGGTGGTGTCTGAGCTGATCCTAAAAGGTTTAAAAGGAGTTAGCTTGGTAGGGAGAAGGGAAAGGGACCCAGGCACAGACAACTTCAGCAAAGGCATGAAGCCTGGAAAGTGTAAGAAACACAGCAATTTGGTGTTTCAGGAGTAAAAATTGGTAGGCTTAAAAGTGCTTTTCCCTTTGAAGAAAAAATCATTGCCAATGTCAGTGAATCAGATAATATACCATCCTACATTTATGAATGCTTAACATTCTCCTGTAAGTTATCTCTGATCTCATTAGACAATTATTAAAGTTTTAAGAAAGCACCTCAAAGCTTCCTCTGGCATAAGATATCCTAAAACCTTCTTATTCTCCTAGAAATCCATCCTACATTTATGAATGCTTAACATTATCCTGTAAGTTATCTCTGATCTTATTAGACAATTATTAAAGTTTAAAAAAAAGCACCTCAAAGCTTCCTCTGGCATAAGATATCCTGAAACCTTCTTATTCTCCTAGAAAGTTTACTGATTCCTCTAAGTTCACTGATTCCCATCCCCCATCTGCAACTATTCAAAAAATTTGGCATCTCTCACTCTGCTATCTAAGATAGTATAAGGCCAAGCCAGGGACACCACTCTCCCTCTTGCAATCTTGGTCAGAAGCCAGCAAAGGAATTTGGGCTGTGCTGTCTGTTGGCCACATCAAGAATTTAAATGAAAAGCAAGGGATGACTCTCACTATACCAGGCCTGCTGGGACTAAGGCTCCGGTGCTCCTCTGCTGTCCCACGGTTCCCATGACTTCTGGATAATCTGAAAAAATCTCAATAGAGTTGGTCACCACGAAAGGCATAAGAGTTTAGGGTGAAGGTTCTCAAACTATAGCATGTATCAAAATCTTCTGGGGAAAATGTGTTGAAAATGTCAATTCATGGGTTCCACCCCTGGATTCTATTCCAGTGGATCTAGAATGGGGCCCTGGACTTTTATTTCTCTTTTCTTTTTTTTTTGTTTTTCCCCTGTTTTTTTTTTGTACTGAAATATCTTTGGTAATTCTGAAGGTTATAATCTACAGACTACACACTGGACTGGTTTGAGGACTTTCAAGGGCTTGAAAGAGAGAGCGAGAGAGAGAGCGGGGGGAACCCTAATATCACAAAATTGTTCAACATTTAACAATGTTAAAGCCTAGCATTACAGCAAGGACTGGTGTGTGTTATGCTTTTGTTCTGGGTCTGGATAGCCACAGCTGTTTGGGTGGCTGAGTTTAGCCACTCTGGGTGCCAGAGTTTAGCCTTCTTTGTTAAACACCACTACTGCCCTCACCACGGCCTACTCTCCCTGGCTCTTCTGCTCCTAATCTTCTTAGGATTAAGACTACTTTGTCTTCTTGCTCTCTGGTCAACTATTCTAAAATCCTTAAGGGCCTTGGAAAAAAATGACAACTTTCTGGGCTCCACTCTGCAAGGTGATGGTCTGGGCCATCAGACACAAACAAGGCTGTTGCAGAGGAGAATGCTCTCTTGGCTACAAATGTAGTAAATGATGTGGTATCCAGATCCCCTTCTGGACCAAGATCCTCAGTCCCCCAGGTACTAGGAAGGTTGGCTGCTGAAGGCTCCCAGTTCCAGAAATTGCCCTGGACTGAAGGGAGCTGCTGCCTGCATCCAATGATTAGTTGATGTAGGTACAAATGCTGAGCCTCTTGCCTCAGGAGGCAGAACAATTCTGAACAACAATCCCAGCTTCCAAGCTCCTCCCTGTTGAGGCCGCTGTTGTGCATGCCCCACAGTTCAGTCTCTCCCCCTGTGCAATCCCGTTTCCCTCTCTCCTACTGTGTATTGTGCCCAGAGCACTTCCCAATAAAAACCTCCTGTATGGAAATCTCAGAGTCTCAGGGTCTGTTTCCTGGCAACTTGACCTGAGACACTGAACTTGCGCCTTTCAGTCAAGTCCTGACAGCATCATGTAGCAGGCCTCTGCATTTAACTTCTTGGGCAATCTTGGGTGGTCACTTAATCTCTCCAGGTGTTTCCCACCTTATCTATAAAATGTGGATAATGGCAACAGCAACAATGAATCCTTATTTTTCCATTCTTTCTGGCTGTTATGAGAATTAACAGAAATAATATATATGACAGTACTTCATAAACAATAAACAGCTAAATAATATTATCAGCTGAATATCATTATATGTTGGTTTACCATGCAGTAGTCAAGGAAGAGGGGAGGAGGAGGTGGGAAATGTTGTATTATTACAGAATTTAGCTAATACACTATGTCCTACTTATCTCAAATCAACAGATTTGGGTCACTAATCAACATAACAAAGAACATAATAGAAAATTAGAAATATAACCGTGAAAAGAGATTGCTGCAATCCTGAAACTGAAACCGAAGACAGAACTACTTGCTTACTGTTTCCATAGGAAGATAAAAACAGAGCTATTTCACTATTCTGAAAAGCTGAAATTGACCTTATTACACAATAAGTTATGCAAGGAGTAATGGAATATCTCTTTGCAACTTTGAACAGGGAAACAAGTAAAACAAGTATACAAAATGGGAAATACTTTTCTAGATGACTTAGTATTTTCTGGATTATTGTGATGTCCTATCCACTGAAAAGAAGGAAATGAGGCCAGGTGCAGTGGCTCACGCCTATAATCCCAGCACTCAGGGAGGCCGAGGTGGGCTGATCGCCTGAGGTAGGGAGTTGGAGACCAGCCTGACCAACATGGAGAAATCCCATCTCTACTAAAAATGCAAAATTAGCCACGTGTGATGGTGCATCCCTGTAATTCCAGCTGCTTGGGAGACTGAGGCAGGAGAATTGCTTGAACCCGGGAGGTGGAGGTTGTGGTGAGCGGAGATCACACCATTGCACTCCCGCCTGTGCAATAAAAGGGAAAATCCTGAGGAGTGGGGAGGGGAGGGGAGGGGAGGGGAGGGGAAGGAAGGAAGGAAGGAAGGAAGGAGAGAAAGAGAGAAAGAAAGAAAGAAAGAAAGAAAGAAAGAAAGAAAGAAAGAAAGAAAGAAAGAAAGAAAGAAAGAAAGAAAGATTAAATTTTAAAACACATTTAATTAGCTCAAGAAGGGCAACTGAAAATTACCAATTCTACAACTCTACATCATTCTAAAAATTACCCAATTACTGAGCCTTACAAAGAAGTTGAATGAAATACACAGATAATGTCTGGTATCCATAAACTCAGAAGGAGTGGCCAAGAAATGACTTACTCTGACAGATGGTTTCATTATTAGTAAAAGACACAGAATGGTTATTAGGACGGGGAGGAGCCTTAGAGGTGGCTTAACAGAGCCCCCAACTCTAGCTATTCTCTTCTCTCAGGGAAACCACAGTTGAATTGAACAGCCAAGACAAACCGATATGAAATATTAGCCAAAACCCTTCCCTTTCTTGTGATCTGAGCACTGAATGAATTATAGGCAGGCACATAAAAGCTCAGGCCAAGGGGTAGACATGTGGGCTCTATTACCCTGCGAGGCTTCATGTCACTCTCATTTCATGGGCAACTATAAATATGTTGATTTCCCAATGAATCTGAAGAAATGCTGAACAAAACATTCAATGCATGTGTGGAGAAACTATTTTAAAACTTCAAGCTTTAGACATTTGAACATTCTCCCCCGCCCCTGCCGCTGCCCCCAGGCTCAAGCAATCCTCCTGCCTCAGCCTCCCAAAGTGGACATTTGAACATTTTAAAGCTTCAATAAGTGAGTTTGCTGATTCAGTTTGGGTACAACATTAATTGGGCGTTTTAAACCTTACATGGTCCAAAGTCGAGGTCTTTGAGGAAAAGATAACCAAGGCAGCTTTGTGGACATAATGGTTGAAGCTCTGGGAATCTTCAGACAGTCTCCATTAAAATGTAAATTCCCAGGAGAAAAGGTCTGATTATTCCAGTTTCTTCCTAGATCAATTCTTAGTCCCTGATTGCTGAACAAAAATCAGGATATTAATCCAAGTCAGGGTAGGTTGAATTATCAACAATGAGAACAGTTAAGAGTTGGGATCATTTTTTTGGAGGCGGTGGGGGCGGGTGGACAGGGTTGTTGGTCAAAATACTGCTGTTCAGACAAAAGAATCTACCCAGGTGCCCCAAATGGAAAGCAAGTTCTGAATGCAAGATACTTGAATCATTTTGCCAAGTTAAAATCAAGAGGACAGGAGACACAGCAGGACCAGACTCACTTAATAAAATTCTGGAAGTTAGAGGCAGGTAAGGCGCCTGCTTCAGGGTAAAACTAGAACAAAATAGGATTCAAAAGGCAGATCACAAGTCAGGAATGTAATATCTGGAGTTGTTATGTACCTGTCTGCATTTGTTAGTGGTTCTTCCACCATTTGACCCTGCTCTGTAGATTAATGCCTCCCTTGCTAGCCTTTCTGCTTCCCTATGGAAAATCTTAGCAACAAAACATTGAGTGCATCTGAGAAATATGAAAAGTTGAGCATTCAGTGTTTAGGAGGGGTGGTAACCAAGGCAGCTCTGTAGACACAATGATTGAAGCACTTGGAACCTTCAGACACTGTGAGTCTCCATTAAGATGTTTCAATTCCCAGGATAAAAATGTCTGATTATTCCAGGTTTCTTCCTAGATGAATCAGGTATTTCTTGGAGTGAAGGTAGGGGGTGGGATGTCATGTAGCACAGTAGGGACACTGAAGGCCCATCTTATGCATCAAGGCCATTCTTGGATAAGGAAGAATTGTTAGGGGCAGGAGAGTGACTTCAACCTGAGCTTACCACAAAGTCCAAAACCTCATTGATTCATTCATCAAGACAGCACATCACAGCAGGGTGCTTCAGAATGCAAGCTCTGGAACCAAGTGCTTGGGATCCATTTCTGGCTCTGTCAGTTACTAACACTGCACTTTCTTCACCAGTCAAAGCAGTTAATTTGAGTACCTATCTCACAGGATTGTACTGACGAGTAAAAGGCTTAACGCACATAGTGAGTCTAGGATAGTACATGGCCCTTAATAAGCACTCAATAAATTTTAGCTATTACTAGCATTCATTTGAAAAATCTTAATGAGCACTGATTATGTGCCAAGTACTGTGTGAGCTCCTCACCACCCTTTAGCCCAAACCTATTCTTCCACCGAGTAGGATATTCTTATCCTAGTCATTCATTAGAAACATGGGAGTCATCTCAACTGCTCCTACCTCCTCATTACACACACCCGACAGGGTTCCACCTATTAAACCTCTACCAGCCCCTTCCCTCTTTTCCCATCTGCATTGTCACTGCCCGATTCAGGCCTTCTTCAATGTCCCATCTGCAATATGACAACAGTTTCCACGGTGTCTTCCTAGGGTCAATGTCACTCTCATCTAATCTAAGATTTTTAAAATTCCAAGTTTTGTTATTATTTTTTAAACACATACCTGACAATATCATTCACTTGTTCAAAGGCTTCAGTACTATTAAACCCTCATGGGGCCTTTGTGATCTGGCCCTTCCTGTCTCCGTAGGCCTCCCTCTGTGCCGTCACTAAACAGGCTGGAGTTTCCTGAACGTCCAGTGCTGTTTCACTTCTCTATGGGTGCTGTTCCTTCTGCTGGGTCACCTACAGCAGACAATTCCACTTGCCTGACAATTCATCCTCCTACGTGAAGGTTCATTATTCCATCAATAAACACTTTCTAACACTTATCATGAGACAAGCCTGGGCCAAGTTCAGGGAGTACAATGCTGAATGACAAACTCGACCCTTTCTTTCTCATAGAAAAAGTAACTTTAGGGCTCTCAAAGGAGGAATAAAGTTTGGAAATTAAGGTAAAGTTGTCTGAAATTTAGCATTGTTGCCTTTACCAGTTGGATATCTTAGCAAACTGGGGAAACTTGGAAACCTTGATACTTGGGCATCCAGTTCAAAAGCATCTCAGCAGATTTCAATTGCAACAGTAAACTGTGATACGGTAGATTTATTCATTTTGGCTCACACGGCTATAATGTGATAAAAAACATTGATTTGAACTACAAAAACAATGATCATAAACTCGCTTCAATATAGTGTTACCAATGTATAAACTATTAGGCAGGGCATGGTGGCTCACATCTGCAATCCCAGCACTTTGGGAGGCCAAGGCAAGCAGATCACCTGAGGTCAGCAGTTCGAGACCAGCCTGGCCAACAGGGCCGAACCTTGTCCCTACTAAAAATACAAAAATTAGCCGGGTGTTGTGGTGGGTGTCTGTAGTCCCAGCTACTTGGGACGCTGAAGCACAAGAATTGCTTAAACGCAGGAGGTGGAGGTTGCAGTGAGCCAAGATTGCACCACCACACTCCAGCCTGGGGCAACAGAGTGAGACTCTGTCTCAAAAAACAAAACAAAACAAAACAACCTATTAATTAGTCACACCATTTCCTAAAAGTCATGCTGTTAACTAAAGGTGACTGCAATTGTCCAGGGGTGATAATCAGCTGAATTTCGTTTTACATGGTTATTAAATAACATGAAACATGGTTCATTCAAGCACTTTAAAAACCATACCTTTCAAATTCATACATTTTTAAATCATGTATCAAATGAAGAATAGGCTGCCTACAAAGACAAGTAAATGACTAAACTCAAAAGTTTCCTTGCTCTTCCAGCCATGACCCAGTCCATTCCAAATCCCAGATCTTCAGAAACATCAGTCATATTGGGACAGAAACTTTTCTCTGGGTATAGATTTACCCTAGCACCTATCTCATTATATTGAATTTTCCAGCATATTTAAATAAACTATTAATTAGTCACACTATTTCTTAAAAGTCACACTATCAACTAATCGTGACCGCAATTATCTAGGGGTGATAATCTGCTGAGTCTACTCTTTAAATACACTGGGACCCAGCATATTGAGTTATATTGGCACAGAAACTTCACTCTGGGTATAGATTTACCCTAGTACCTTGCCGGCAGGATCCTATTATTCATGGTTGTACAAGCAAGGTTCAGGGAAGAGGCTGGCACAGAGAAGGTACCTGGTAACTGTTGTTTGAGGCTGAATTCAGCTCAACTCAGCTCCAGTAGAGATGGTGTCCCCTTCTCTACCGTGTTGAGATAGTGTGCAGTCCCTTCCTAAGGGCTGTTACCCACCGCAATAGGACTTGTCAGCTTCAACTTTTAAATTTCTCTGCTCCCGCTGGGACCCACCCGCTTCAAAAATCATCATGTGGTTTTAGCACCAATTTAGTAAACACAAACTGTCTGAAATATTTTGATTTTAGAGAGTTACTTACAATCACCACATTAAATGATACCTTTCTCCCATGCAGTGAAAATGACAGCAAAATGGTCATTGAATAATGAAATTAATTTTCTCTTGGGCATCTGTGGCAAAGCACATGATTTCAATGGTTATCTTAGATCAGCCCAGTGACCTTTACTGGCATGTTGTAACATCAGGCGCCTTAGGAAACTGAAAACTCAATCGTCACTTCCCATACCACTGCCCCAGGTTGGCAGGGCAGGCATTTCACATCTAGAGTCTCATTTTAAAGCAAGCCTCGCTTTTCAAAAGTTCATTAACAAAGTCTCACAATTAAGAGAGCAGCCCTGTGACTCATTTTTGGATACCTGTAAATAACAGCTCCTCCCTCTGCTGAGAAACGGCTGAAACAAGTGCGTGAGAACCACAGGAAGTAATACAGATCTCAGCTGGTGTCAGCGGAGTCTAGAAAAAGGCAGAATTCCCTCTCAGGACGGCGTGGCTCTCGCAGGCATTGCCACTACTTCTCTCCATGTTTCTAAAACAAAGTCTTACGTGGGCTTCGAAGGGACTCCTCGAAGGCTCTATCAATTTCTCCGTCTTTCCTGGCTACTGAGTGACACCGCCAAGTTCAAGTCAAGAAGTACCCATTCTGGTGTTTTTGACACAGTCACCCTACTAGGAAGTGAAGAGGTGATAATAAAAAAACACTCCAGCCTTTCGATTTAAAATAAAAGTAGTCTTGGGTGGACACTTTATAAAGGCAGCCTACCAACAGGTATCCCTAAAATAATTCTTACGAAGCACTAAATCCTAAGTCCCTCAGCCTCTGAAATTAAAAGTAATTTTAAAAAATCATTCTGCTTTATATGAGAAACCCAATGCTGTGTTTCCGAAGGTGCCCAGAGGCGGCGTGAGGACCTGCGCCAGATCCAAAATCCCACCTAAGGCACAGCCGCGGGTCCCGAGCCTAGACAGTGCCCCCGCCCCGACCCGCCCTCCCCGATCTCTCCGCGCACGGGGAAAATAGTCAGGAAGAGAAATGGGGGCTCAGGAAGAGAAAAACAAACCTGGACTGGGAGCGAGAGTGCGAACCGAGAAGCCCCTCTCCCGGCAGGGCGCGCGTCCCCTGTGGGCGCAGCGATGGAGAAGGAAACCTGTTGCGCGACTCCCGGCGGCTCCGCTCCCGGCGCCTCCTGCGGCCGAGGCTGAGTTCCTCCACGGCCGCCCGAGCTCCGCGCCGCCGCGGCCGCATCTGGGCGCCGCCGGCTCAGCCCCCGCCGCTTAGGAAGCGACCACAGCTGGGGACCAGGCCCCGCCCCGGGATGACAGCGCTGGGGCGCGGCGGCAGCCGGCTCACAGAGCGCGGGTTCCCGCCCCACCCAGAGTCCATGCGCTCGGGACCGCCCGGAGCCGGGGACGCGCTCCAGCCCCTCCCGCAAGCCCAGGGGCGTTCCCGCGGGCTGCGCGGACCGGCGCGGGGAGTGGGATGTTTGCCGCCCAAGACACTTCCTCCGCTCGTCCTCTGGTCCCCAGGGCAGGGAGCGCGCTGGACTTCCCCCGGGAATCCCCGCTGCGCTGGTGACATTTGCAGTCCGGTGCGTTGCCGCGGCGAGGACGCTGGAAGCCGTCTCTGAGCGTGGGTGTGGCTGCGGAAGCTGCGGCAGGTCCTGCATCCCTGGGACCCTCGAGGACGCGGGCGAGGAGCCTGCGGTCACACGGAGGCCGAGCACCGCCTTCCCAGAACCCTGCCGACCAACCTCTCTCCAGTCGGCCTCAACACCCGCCGGGCTCATCATTCTCTGGATATCAACTGAGCGTCCCCTTGTGTGCCCACCGCGCTCAAAAATACTGCCAAGACCCACCCTCCAGGTCCCGGCACTTTAACGGGGAGGGATAAATAGAAAGTGTGGATTGTGCCAGGTGGTGGTAAAGCACCTTGAAAAACAAGGCTGAGGCTGAAAAGTAAGGAAGTGATACTCAAAAAAGGAAAAATCGGGCCGGGCGCGGTGGCTCACGCGCGTATTCCTAACACTTTGGGAGGCCGAAGGGGGAGGATCTCTTGAGCCCAGGAGTTTGAGACCAGCCTGAGCGATGTGGTGAAAGCCTATCTCTACAAAAAATAAAAAAATTAACTGGGCGTGGTGGCGCACGCTGTGATCCCAGCTGCTCGGGAGGCTAAGGTGGGAGGATCACTTGAGGCTGAGAGGTCAAGGATGCAGTGAGCCGAGATCGCGCCACTGTACTCCAGCCTGGGCGACAGAATGAGACGCTGTCTCAATTGAATGAGAAGAAAAAAAATAAAACTAAAGAACGAATCCTGCCTTGATGGCAGAATGTTTAGACACAGGAACCACCTGAAAGCTCCCAGTTGCCAAAGATGGAACCATTTGAGCAACGAAGTAAACTAAACAAGGTAGTATTGGATTACAAGCCAAAGTAAAAAAATCCATGAGTCTACACTGATATAAATAAATAATTGAATAAATAAATAAAAGGCGGAGAGGAGACAAATCTCCTATACAGAATAATTCCAAATAATTTATGTAGATCATGTACCCTAGGCTGTGCACAGTGACTTCCTCCAAAATAGTACAATGTGGAAAGGGAAAAACAGTAGGTTTACAATGGAGAAAGCCGACAGACACTACCCCAGCCAGATGTTCTAAGCCAACGTCAACAATCGTGACTCATTGATGGCATGTAGTCAATATGATGTGATGAATGTGGCATATTACATGTGTGGTCTCCCTCCTGGAAAACCATAACCTCAGTCTCATAATGAGAAAAATATCAAACAAATTCCAGTAGTGGAACATCCTACAAAATACCTGACCAATATTCCTCAAAGTTGTCAGGTTATCAAAAGTAAGGAAAGTACAGTCCAGACGTGGCTCACGCCTGTAATCCGTACACTTTGAGAGGCTGAAGCGAGAGGATTGCTTGAGGCCAGGAGTTCGAGGCCTGATCTGGCCGACATAGCCAGATGCTGTCTCTACAAAAAATAAAATAAAATAAGGAAAGTCTGAAAAACTGCCGCAGCCTAGAAGAAACTCAGGAGACGTGAAAACTAAATGTAATGTGGTATCCTGGATGGGATCCTGGGACAGAAAAAGGACTTGGGGAAAAACTAAGGAAATCTAAATAAAGCATGGACTTTCATTAGTAATAAGAATCAAGGTTGATTAATTAGTTGTGAGGAATGTAATGTAAGATGGTAATCATAGGGAAATCTGAAATGGAATTTATGGAAATTCTGTACTACCTTTGCAGTTGTTCTGTAAATCTAAAACGGTTCTAAAAAATACAGTTTATTTTAAAAGAAAGTAAAATAAGAGGGATGAGGTATGTTATATTTTTAAAAATGGGTATATTGCAAAGCCATCTAAGATAAGAGAATCATTGAGGGAGGAAACAATGCAGCTATTGGGATTAAGATCATTTCAAGCCTAGGAATCAGTGGATGTAAAGGCCCCGAGGCAGGAGCATGCTGGGCTTCTGGGAGAAATATCAGCGTGGGCAAAACAGAGTCCAGGAAGAGTGATGGTGGTGGGGCTAGGAGTGGGGAGTAGAGCATGTAGGGCATTGGTAGTCATGATAGTCTTTACATTTTACATTGATTGAGACAGGAAGACTGAAGAATGTTTATCAGAGAAGCTAAATGATGTTGCTGGTTGTTTTTTTAATCTACCGTTTTGTTGAGGACAGATTAAAGGACAAAGATTAAAACAGGCCAACGAGTTAGAAAGCTGTGATGGTTAATTTGATGTGTCAAATTTATTGGACCATGGGGTGCCCAGATATTTGGTAAAACATTATCCTGGGTGTGTCTGTGAGGGTGCTTGCTGATGACATTTTTAATTTTTTTGAGACAGCAGCTCACTCTGTTGCCCAAGCTGCAGTGCAGTGGCATGATCATGGTTCCCTGCAGCCTCGACCTCCCCTGCTCAAGTGATCCTCCCACCTTGGCCTCCCAAAGTGCTGGGTTAACAGGCATCAGTTACCATGCTCAGCTGAGATTAACCTTTGAATCCATGGAGAAGACTGCCTGAAAAAGTAAATTGTGGATGGGGAGGAAAGGTGAAGATTGCTGGGGATTAAGAGTGGCATTTTGGACACCTTCAGTTTGGAGTTGTCAAGTTGTCATGAAGGCAGTTGGTTAGGTGAGTCTGGGATGGTGGTATATATTTGGAGTTCTTTAGCATATAGATGGTGTGCAGACAGAATGGGGATGTCTGAAGTCTGAGTCCTGGCATGCTCCAAAGTTCAGAGGTTAGGAAGATAAAGAATCAAAAAAAGAGAATGAGAAGTTCTGATTAGTGAGATAGATAAACCAAGAGAGAGCACGTTTCAGGAGCCAAATTAAAAAAATTTTTGTAAAAAAGAACAATTAACTGTGAAATGCTGCTACAGTGTGTAAAATTAGGACGGAAAACTGAGGAATGGGCTTGGCCACATGGAGGTCAGTGGTGAGCTTGGTAAGAAGAGTTTTAGTGGGGGATGACCAAAGCCTGTTTGGAGTGAAAGAATAAAAACATCAGATGAAGACAAAGAAATGGAGTAGAAACAGGAAGGAACCATATAGTCAAAGCAGTTTTTTTTTTTTTTAATTAGAAGCTATACATGTTTGTTTGCTCACCAGCATGAACCAAAAGGAATGGAAAGAGGGATGATATGGGGGAGAAAAAATGGGTTACATGCTGGAGCAATGTTCTTGAGTAGATGAGCAGGTGTGCAATCCAATGCACACATGGAAATTTAGGGTAAAACAGAAGAAAGAGTTCATCCCTGGTAACAGGAGAGAACAACTCCAAACTGAATGTGTCCAAAATGCCACACTTAATCCCCAGCAATCTTCCCCTTCCCTCCCCATCCACAATTTACTTTTTCAGGCAGTCTTCCTCATGGATTCAAATGATAATCTCAGCTGTGTGGTAGCCTGTAAACCCAGCACTTTGGGAGGACAGGGTAGGAGGATCACTTGAGCCCGGGAGTTAGAGACCAGCCTGGGCAACATAGGGAGATCTTGTCTTTACTAAAAATCAAAGAATTAGCCGGGTGCGGTGGTGCATGCCTGTTGTCCCAGCTATTCAGAAAGTATGGCAGAGATGCTGGTAAATGTGGAGGCAAGAACATATTTTATCAATGAAATTAAAAGCAAGAGCTGGACGCCGTGGCTCAGGCCTGTAATCCCAGCACTTTGGGAGGCCGAGGCGGGCGAGTCACTTGAGGTTGGCAGTTCAAGACCAGCCTGACCAACATGGAGAAACCCCGTCTCTACTAAAAATACAAAATTAGCCGGGCATGGTGGCACATAATGACAGGGTTTAGAGTATGGCCAATCTGAATTATCTTCCGCAATTGATCTGCTCACACCCAGCTGAAACCCCAGATTATTCTTGTTTTATAAATTTCTCTGGAGACCTTGGCTCTCCCTTCCAGTCTGGAGTTTTTCAGAGATGATGACCGATAAGGACCTTAGGGTGAAGCTCAGATAAAACAGAGCAGGCACTGGGTGCGGGGCGTGGCAGTTGCATGGCGATCTGTCAGCCGTGGCCATCATCCTGCACGCTAGTGCCGTTCCTAATTTACAGAGCTCTAAACCCATTGAATCCCAGGGTTGGAAGGTCCTCTAGCACAGCCACCCTTCTGAGGTGCAACTCCTTCATGGCCCTCAGTCAAATAGTCATTGCGTATCCCTGTACCATGTAGTAACCAGCAACTACCATTTCTCTTTTTCATGCTAGTTCGAGAACTCTTTGCAGATAAAGAATGTGTTTAAACTTCTTATATGGTTGTGATAAAATATTTACAATATAGAATTTACCATTGTAACTATGTTAAAGTGTACAGTGGCATTAAATACAGGTACGTTCACATTGTGGTGTAACCATCACCACCATCCTGAACATTTTTATCTTCCCAACTAAAACTTTGCACCCATTAAACACTAACTCCCTGGTCTCTCCTCCCTCTCACCCTTAGCAACCACCATTCTACTTTTTTTTCTTTACTAACATCTCTCTAACTCAGTCCTTGATAACCACAGTTCTACTTCTACTTCTATGAGTTCAGTGTTTTTAGATTCCACATATAAGTGTCATCATGTGGTATTTGTTTTTCTGTGCCTGGCTTATTTCACTTAACATAATGTCCTCCAGGTTCATTCATGTTGTCACAATGACAAGATTTCCTTCTTCTGTAAGGCTGAAAGTACCTCGTTGTGTATATATATCACATTTTCTTTATCCATTCATCCACTGTTGAACACTTATGTTGATTCTATATCTTGGCTATTGTAAAGTGCTGCAATGAACAGGGACATGCAAAAATCTCATCACACTAATTTCATTTCCTTTGGATATATACCCAGTAGTGAAATTGCTAGATTCCACCATTTTACTTTCTGCCTCAATGAATTTGACTGCTCTAAGTATCTCATATAAGTGGAATCATACAATATTTGTCCTTCAGTGACCAGCTTATTTCACTTGGCATTATGACTTTAGTGTTTATCCATGCTGTATGTAGCATGTGTCAGTATTTCCTTCCTTTTTAAGGCTGAGTAATAACTCATTGTATGTATATACCAGATTTTGTTTATCCATTCACCTGTCAATGGACACTTGCGTTGCTTCCACCCTTTGGCTATTGTGACTAATGCTGCTATGAACATGAGTGTACAAATATCTCTTTGAGTCCCTGCTTTCATTTTTGGGGGGTATATACCCAGAAATGAATTTGCTGGGTCATATGGTAATTCTATGTTTAATTTTGTGTAGAATTATCATTACCATTTTTCACAACAGCCAAGACATTTTACATTTATACCTGCAATGCCCAAGGGTTCCAGTGTCTCCACCTCCTTGCCAACACTTATTCCCCTTAGACTATCTTTGATTTCTATTTCATACCCTGCAGGACACATGATAGTGTGTGAGTAAATTAATGACCGTTATTAACCCTGTCAAAAAGGAAATGAGGTTAAATGAAGCAGCTTGTGCTCAGCAAGTCTCAGCCAGTACACCTTGTTCTAGATTTACACTGTACTTTACCATAGCCACATATGGCTAATTAAATCTAAATTAATTAAAATTAAATAAAATTTAAAAATTCAGTTCCTCAGCCACATTAGCAACATTTTAAGTACTTAACAGCCACGATAACTAGTGTCTACTATTTTGGACAGTGCAGAATATAATATTTCCATTATTGTAGACAGTTATTAATATTTGGCTTCTATATTGGACAGCACTTTCTAGATTCTGGTAGCCACCTCTGCCTCATCTTACAAATAATATTTGAATAAGCTTTTCCAGAACTGGCCGGCTTTAAATTTAAGTTTAAGATCTTTCTTTCAGGAGAGAGAAAATATGCTGCTTAAAAGTCTGTGGCTTTTTTGTACCTCAATGGCTGCTCTGTGAACTCTCTAATTTTCATGTTTAAATATTGTATTTGGACACTCAGTGATCATGTGGTTCTGTTGCTCTTTATTAGCTCTGTGATTGCAGACTTACAAAACTAGTTAAAGCTTTGTCTACATCATTCAACTCACCTACTAAATCATAAGTTTCAAGAAGGCAAGGATCATGCCTGTTTCACTTACTCCTTTTTACCTAGAGCCTAGCACAATACCTAGAACATTAGAGACACTCAATAAATATTTGTTGAAAGATGAGTTAATGAATGACTGTAGTAAGCACTGAGTTGAAGGCCCTGATACAGCCTTTTAGAGGGAGGCACCTAGACATAACAAGACCTAGGAATATCTGTCTAGCTCTCATATATTAATGGTTAGAAAATATGTTTTTTTCTTACAGAGCATAGATTTTAAGCTAGGGTCTTTTCCCCATTATTTAAAAAGTAGCTTAAAATTTAATGCCTATAAGGATCTTGTCTAATGCATGTTTATAAAGCTACTACTCTGATTTGTAAACACCTGTTACCATAAGTGAACATAATAATGAGAGAAAATAAATTCTAGATTTGTATAGTATCAGCATGTGTCAGAGATCTCCTTTTGCCCCTCCAATCCACTTTCCACCTCCCTCCCACCCGTTCTCTGACTTGGGAGTCTGATCTGAATGGATTATTCTGACAGCTGCCTGTGCCCCATAGCTTTCCTGCAAATAGGAAAACTGGCAGGAGGACAGGGGCAGGGAATGAGGTCAGGAAATGTATTCCAAATAGAAGTTCGTGTATGCCCCTCAACAAAAGGCCCCAATTCCTCTAAGGTGGTCTTCTCTACACGTCTCTCTCTCCCTTCCTGGTTTCAGATACTTTTCCATACTTGTGATTCTCAGTCAAAGGTTCCATTACAGCTCCCCTCCACCCTGTCCATATCTTTATAATAGACCCCTTATTTAAAACCTCTGCTTGAATTATCCTAATTTGAATATGCTATCCATTTCCCTTTGGGACTTTAACTAATACAGTCTTCTTAATTAGTAGCTAGAGCATAGTCTCCAAATCCCATCTCTGAAAATTTTATAACTACAATCCTGACAGAAATGTTCCCTAGTGATATTATCATATCATTATTTCAATCCACTTATTAGCTTTATGGAGAAACCAGACTGTATGCCATATAAATTGTTCTCCAGTACACGCAGACTAGAAATATATTCCCAGATTCACAGGCAAATCTTTTTGCATATAGCTTTTCTACATAAAATGTAGAAATAAATTGATGGAAACATATAAATGAGAAATCTTTTAGTGTTTTGAATTGGTACATAATATTTTACATATTTGTGGGGTACATATGATATTTTGTTGCATGCATAGAATGTGTAAGGATCAAGTCCAGGTATTTGGGGTATCCCTCACCTTGAGTTATTAATCATTTCCATATGTTGGAAACATTTCAAGTTCCCTAGTTTAGCTAATTTGAAATAAACAATACATTGTTGCTAGCTATAGTTAGCAACAATGGAACAATAGAACTGTTATAAACATTAGAACTTACTTCTTTTATCCAACCGTAATTTGTACCCTTTGACCAGACTCTCTTCATCCCCCTTTCCACTCACACAACCTTCCCAGCATCTGGTATCTATCTATCATTCCACTCTCTACCTCCCATGAGTAAGAACATGTGAAATTTGCCTATGTCTGGCTTATTTTACTTAAAATAATAACCTTCAGTTCCATCCATTTTGCTGCAAATGACATGATTTCATTCTTTTATGGCGGAATAGTATTCCATTGTGTTTATATACCACATTTTCTTTATCCCATAAATGTAAATTTACAAAGTAAAATCAAGTTAATTGTTAAAGTTTTAAATATTTCAATATATAATAAGTTAAAGTTTTAAATATTTCAGTATGTAATAAGCATATCTTAAATTACTTCTAGATATGTGATGAAATCTGCAAAGGTTTCAGTACTGCAAACAAGTCATCATTACTCACATACAAGACAACACAGTTTTTATCCCTTGAAGCTTGTTTTAAATGTACAATTTTTAGCAAACATGAGATCATTAAAAAATATAAACCTAATAATGCTGATACCAATATTAAAGATAACCAATACTATTGTTTGGTTACAATGTGCTAAGCACCATATTCACATCGTCGTATATTATTTAATTTCTCATCACAAATTTGTGAAATGTGCACAACTCAACCCTATTTAAGAGAGGAATAGACTGAACCCTATAGCCTCCTGTCCACTGTCCAGGAAACAACAAGCAGAAGACTTCAGACTCAAATACTAGTGTGCAACACAAAAATCCAGGTTCTTCACCATTAATAATTCAAGAACAATGTTAGAGACCACAGAAGAGGCCGGGCGCAGTGGCTCTCGCCTGTAATCCCAGCACTTTAGGAGGCAGAGGTGGGCAGAGTGCTTGAGCCCAGAAGTTCAAAATGAGCTTGGGCAACATGGCAAAACCCCATCTCTACAAAAAAATACAAAGAAATTAGCCAGGTGTGGTGGTTGGTGTCTGTAGTCCCAGCTACTCGGGAGGCTGTGTTGGGAGAATCACCCAAGCCCAGTAATTCGAGGCTGCAGTGAGCCATTATTGCACAAGTGCACTCCAGCCTGGACAATGGAATGAGACCCTGTCTCAAAACAACAACAACAACAACAACAACAACAACAACAACAACAAAACTGAAAATAATGACTTTCCAAAGTAAATGATTTTTTTCATCTTGTTATCTGCACAAAAGGGCAATATGAACTTAAGGTAAGCTTAGAAAAAATACTAAAAAAAGAAAAGAATGCAACAGATAACTCTCACAGAAAAGCAAATTTCTTGTTGTTTACTAAGATCATTTCTTTTTCCAAGCTTGATACGCCAATAGGGGTAGAAAACATGTGGCGAAAAATCGTATTATTTTGGTATTTGTTAAATTGTGGTCCTGCCTATAATTCCTGAATTGACACTATTGCATCTTTACTTTAACCCAAATTTCAATTAAGTAAAAACTTTTCTTTGATATATTTGCTTACTTGTAAGAGGCCTGAAGTTTGATATGTACTGGTTGCTCTAACGTATACAAATAGAACAAAAGTTTTCTGTGAAGGAGAATGGGTTTTTAAAAAATCTGATCTAGAGATAATCTAGTTGATCCACTTAATAGCTCTTTATGGAAACCAATTTTTCTGCAACTGTGATTTTTGCATAACAAGTTGCAAAAGTATTTTAAGATCAGACTGTTACTCAATACTCATTTCTGGTAAACTCCTTTTTGCACCATTGCCTTCGTCTGCAGAACAGATAAAAGTGAAACGGAAAAGCACAAACAGAATATAACACATAAGCCATGCCTTTTACAGATATTAGTTTAGCCACAAGCCTTGAAATACTGGTTTTGAATGTGAATAATTAGTTTTCAACAAGTGTAATTTTCACAGATACATTAAACATTTGTATAGCCATATTCTGTTCATTTAGATGAATTTGTGTCATCTATTTAGAAACTCTATACTTCCATGCCAAGAAGCCTTACTTTGGGGCTGAGATCTGGCTTTCTTCTCTTCTTCCTCCCCTTCATCCATTTCATCCCCTTGAGGCTGCTCCATGTCTTTGTCTTACTTTTCCCTTTGGCACTCTTCAGATGGACCCATTCCTTCTTCACGGATGGTTTATAGTTTCTGTGAGTTCACAGACCACAGCCTGCTAGCAACCTTCCATGACCCTGAAGAAAATTTGAAAGTGCAATACTGGCACCAAAAAAAAACAAGTTGTTTCAAATGATGAATTGGGCCAGGCATGATGGTTCATGCCTGTAATCCCAGCACTTTGGGAGGCCAAGATGGGAGGATCACTTGAGGTCAGGATTTCAAGATCAGCCTGGCCAACACGGCGAAACCCCATCTCTACTAAAAATACAAAAATTAGCCAGGCGTGGTGGCGTGCGCCTGTAGTCCCAGCTATTCAGGAGGCTGAGGCAGGAGAATCGCTTGAACCCAAGAAGCAGAAGTTGCAGTGAGCCAAGATTGTGCCACTGCACTCCAGCCTGGGTGACAGAGTGAGATTCTTTCTCAAAAAATAAATAAATAAATATATATATATATATATATATATATATATATATATATATATATATGTGAATTGACCAAAAATGGCAGAGTAAACAGGTTGAAGTCTGAGCAGTGAACTCACCGATTCAAAGGACAGTCTTTCCTTGAGACATCTGCCTCTGTGGGTGATGATCTTTTTGAGACCTTGCAGAAGCTGACGGATGTTCCTGTCAGTCCCTCGCTCCTTTCCTTGTGTGCCCCAGGTGTGAGGAGTGATCTTTGGTAGGGTCTAACATGGCCTTGCCTCACTCAGGGTGTTGAAAGCAGGCTGCTGTAGCTGATTTCTTTAAACCCTATTTTTCTACAGTTTGGTGATGAAGAAAGGTGAATTATGAAACAGGAACTTTTGCCACAACCCTGTATCCCTAGTCACAAAGAAACATTTACAAAAGTCCACATGCAAACTGGAATTCATAATTGATTACAGTGCGAATGTGGGTGCTAGACTTATTCACACCTATTTCTTCCACAGACCTGGCACAGCATCTCTGCAAATTAATGAGTGGGCCCCTTTTCAAGAAAAAACCGATATGGCACCCAGTGTTGACAAATTATTTCTACCACAGTGTTACTTGAATGTAATATAAACACAGTGTTACTTAAACATAAACAAGCTATAAATTCCTTATGGCTGTAGACCCTTTAAAAAACTATAAAATCCAAACCAATTTGCACATTAAAAGCATAAAATTAATAATAATATTAAAGTAGACTGGGTACAGTGGCTTATGCCTATAATCCTAACACTTTGGGAGGCCAAGATGGGTGGATCTCTTGAGCCCAGGAGTTTGAGACCAGCTTGAGCAAGGCCCCGTCTCTACAAGAAAAAAAAAAAAAAGCAAAAATTAGCCAGGTGTGATGGTGCAAGCCTGTAGTCCCAGCTACTTGGGAGGCTGAGGTGGGAGGATCACCTGAGGTCAAGGCTGCAGTAAGCCATAATTGCACCACCAAACTCCAGCCAGAGCCACAGAATGAGACCAGACTCAGAATAATAATAATAATAAAACAGCATTGATTTAACATTGTTTTGATGAAACAAAACCACGGAAGTTTATTCTAAAAGTAGAAAAGGTCATTTGGGCGTTTTGTATTTCTCTTGTTAGCTATGTGATTCTCTTTATTTTGAATATATTTGAATATGAAAATATCCAAATATTTTGAATACCATTTATTTTGAATATAATAGACATGCATTTGAGGATCTCTCATTATCCCTGTTCTGATTTTCTCTTTTAAACTATACATATGTCCTGAATCGTCAATCCATGGTTCATTAATAAGACATCAATCTAAAATGCTCGCTAAAATAAAAGGCCAAAATATGAATTTAATTTAATGAAAATGTTTTTATTCAATATTTATGATCATATTTAGTCCTAATGAATTTAAATATTGGGTATGATGCATCTCCTTTGAAACACGAATGTGGTGGTAACTCAGGAGGTACAGGTGCTTCACGTTAGGCATGCTTGTGCTGCTAAAGACTGTATGATGACTCAGCTGTCCTATCATTTGCCTTCAGTGCTGCGGATCACCAAGATATCACCTGAGCTTTACTTGGAGCCAGGCTTTGATTTGTTGCCACACATATGTCAACCAGATGTAAATGGTGAGACTGCATACTTATAAAGTGGAGTATGCAGATAATCCTGAATTATAATTTTTTTAGCTTACCATCCAAATTCAATTTTGTAGAACAATTGGACCTCCTGCAAACATCAATAATAGTTCGAAATGCCGGGCAGGTAGTTATGGTTGTGCTATGTGGAAAAGCATGGTATAGAAAAAAGACTGGATTGAATGTCTGAATTCCAGGCCAACCATGGTTTGATCCCAATGCATCTGTCAGGAAGGCAGAATATCCTCACAGTCAGAAGTGCTGGTTCTGGAACCAGACTGCCTGAGTTTGTATCCTGCTTGTGTTTCTCCCTCTCAGGAAGGATCTGATGTGCAACTGCTAGAAATGAAGTCAGAAGGCACATCCAACTGTCAGAGCACTCCAGGCCTGACTTGGCTACAGAGAGCTGCTTCCTCTGAGGTTACACCTTCCCCCAGCAGCTTGTGTCCTGTGGGATAAAGCAGCTTGTGTCCTAGGGATAAAGCTGGGGCCATCTCAGCTCTGTGCAGGATACTCTGATGAGCACAGTATGCTACAGAGCTCCTGGCCAGGTTGACTGAGGCTTTGACAGGCCTCCATCCCAGTTTGACTTCTTCCTCTGCCCACTTCTGCCTCCAATATCTTCCTTTCATGGGTGCTGATGCCTAATAAACATCTTACATCCCAAACTCTGTCTCCGCAAATTCTTCTAGACAACCCAATCTGCAATACTGCATCACAAATTTTTGGTTGTTTGAATTTGGCTAACTAACCTGTCTGTGCCTCAGTTTCCTAATCTGTAACATGGAAATATTAAAATTATATTTCCTTTAATATAAGACACCTTTTCTTGTAAGATACACTTCTGTTTCATATGGCATTAAAAAAGAAAAAAATGGTTGGGTGCGGTGGCTCACGCCTGTAATCCTAGCACTTTGGGAGGCCGAGGCAGGCAGATTGCTTGAGCCCAGGAGTTCAAGACCAGCCTGGGCCACATGGTGTCTACAAAAAATACAAAAATTAGTCAGGTGTGGTGGCGCCCTACGGTAGTTCCAGTTACTTGTGAGGCTAAGGTAGGAGGATCTCTTGAGCCCAGGAGGCAGAGGTTGCAGTGAGCTGTGATCATGCCACTGCACTCCAGCCTGAGTGACAGACTGAGACCCTGTAAAAGAAAAGAAAAGAAAAGAAAGAAGAAAGAGAGAGAAAGAAAGACAGAGAAAGAAAAAAAGGAAATAAAGAAAGAGAGAGAGAAATAAAAAGAAAGAAAGAGAATTTACATGAAGGAGGCACTAACAGAAGATCTCCATACAGAACTGACACAAGGTGATATGGTTAGGCTGTGTCTCCACCCAAATCTCATCTTGAATTGTAATCCCCATGTGTCTAGGGAGGGAAGTGATTGGATTATGGGGGTGGTTTCCTCCATGCTGTTCTTGTGATAGTGCATTCTCGTGAGATCTCATGGTTTTATAAATGGTACCGCACTCTCACACTCACTCCCTCCAGCTGCCTTGTGAAGAATGTGTCTGCTTCTCCTTTTGCCTTGATTGTAAGTTTAAAATTGATATGGCCTCCCCAGCCATAGTGAACTGTGAGTCAATTAAACCTCTTTACTTCATAAATTACGCAGTCTTGGGTATTTATAGCAGTGTGAGAATAGATTAATATGCAGGGTAAGGAAGAAATAAAACTACAGAAAATGATAAGAAAACTTCTGTATCTTAATATTTTTTAATATGAAAAGAGATTTTATAATTATTATTTTTATGATATATCCATTAGTGAATATAACAGATTGCATTTTCACAAATGGCTAATGAAGCAAAGGATAACGTTTCTCTTTGATTCCCAGGAACCTCGAAATCATCTGTCTTTTGGAGGGTTCAGTTTTTTATGACACTGTGATACTGTCCATGAGGATATCAACAGTGCTTAGTGGTAACAAACATTTTGCTAAGCTGGTCTATCTGGGTCCTTGCTCAAGGTGCTCATATTCTTCTAATCTGGCTCTGAGCACCTGGTCATGTGTTTCTTAGTTATTATGCACAGGATCTGTTTAGAGGGATAGGTTTGGTGTGTTCATATGGAATGTCCACAGAACGGTGGTAGCATAATGTCATCCTGCCGTCAGATATCAAAGCAAGCTGTACTTTGCATTTACAGTCATCTGAAAGAGAAGAATACACGGAATTATTCAAATACTCAATTGATCCAAAAAAAGCAGAAAAAGAGGAAAAGGGGAACAAAGAACAGATGAAACAAACAGAAAACAAATGGCAAGATGTTAGATTTCAGCCTGACAAATAAATAATCACATTAAATATAAGTAGTCTAATCACTCCAACTAAAAGGCAAAGATGGTCAGACTGTACAAAAAAGAAAAATGCAACTATATACTGCTTACAGAAAAGATACTCATTAAATATAAAGACACAAGTGAAGTTATGAGAAAAGATACAGCATGTTAACACGAATAAAAAAAAGCTAGAGTGGCTATATTAATATCAGACAAAGTACATTTGAAAGCAAATTAGAAGTATTACTAGAGATAAAAAAGGTCATTTCATAATGATAAAGTGGTAAATTAATCAGAAAGAGGTAACAATTCTAAAGCTTACACATCTAATAATAGCTTCAAAATATATGAATTAATAAATTAATGAAATCCTGATCTATTTAAATAATTTTATTTTAAGTGTTTATGTTCATTAGTTATAATTTGTATTCTGCCTTTGCTTTAATTGACAGACTTTTGGGGAGGTCAGTTTTTGATTTATAAGAACAATTAAATAGAAAGTACAGAGAATTCCCACATACCCCCTCATCTTCTCTCATCTACACAAAGGGATAAATAAGAAAACTTTTGTGTCTTAATCTTTTTTAATATGAAAAGACATTTTATAAGTATTATTATTTTATGATATAACATATTAGTGAATATAATAGATTTCATTTTCTCAAATGGCAAATGAAGCAAAGGATAACATTTAAGTCTTTACATTCATTAGTCTCCCCTTTTAGTCACATCTTGTTTTAATGTGGTACATTTGTTACAATTGATGAGCCATATTGGTACATTCTTATTAACTAAAACCCACAGTTTACATTGGGGATCATTCTTTGTGTTATACATTCTATTGGGTTTGTATATGCGTATATGTGTGATTTTTCTCTAATTGGGTTTTGACAAATGTATAATGATTAGTATAGTATAGAAATGTGTAATCCACTCATACAGTATGATACGGAATAGTTTCAGTCCTAAAATATTCACTATGGGTTACCATACCCATAATTTTGTCTTTTCCAGAATATCATATAGTCAGAATCATATAGTGCATAGCTTTTCAAACGGACATCCTTCACTTAACAATATGTATTTAAGGTTCCCCCATTTTTTTGTGGTTTGATAGCTGAATTATTTTTTTCATGGAATAATATTCCATTGTATGGCTGTTCCACAGTTTGTTTATCCATTCACCTACTGAAGGACATCTTGGTTGCTTCCAAGTTTTAGCAATTATGAGTAAATTTGCCAAAAAATCTGTGTGCAGGTTTTTGTGTGGACATAAGTTTTCAACTCATTTGGGTAAACACCAAGGATCATATAGTAAGAGTATGTTTCATTTTGTAAGAAACTGCCAAACCATCGTCCAAAATGGCTGTGTCATCTTTCATTTCCATCAGCAATGAGTGAGAGTTCCTGTTGTTCCACATCCTTGCCAGCATTTGGTGTCATCAGTACTTTGGATTTTAGCCATTCTTATAGGCGTGTAGTGGTTTCTCATTGTTATTGTAATTCTTTTAATTTTAATAGATAATGTTAACATATTATTTGATATTTTGAGTCTTTTACATTTATTAGAATTTGTATTTTTTCAAAAGTAAATTCAAAGTGAGTTTTGAATATCATTATTGTTTATTTTTTAATTATTTAGATTGTTATGTCAACAGAATAAAACTATGTGAAATCTTACTATAACGATATAATATTTTGTTGAATGAATGTGAGAAAAACAAGTTATGAGGAATAAATGGGCCATAATGTATGAATTGTATATATTTTTTCTTATTCATCAAACATTGTTGGTCCATCAACACTCAACATATGCTCAGTAATAATTAAATTTAGTCACTTAAAAATATTTTCCCATTTGTAGTCACATATTTCTCAGTTTCATCATTGTGAGGTTATATTTGCCACCGTAGGATGAAGAACATATTTAACAGTTTCTTAGCTTGATTTATAATGTGAAAGTATTCATACATGTGGAATGTTGGCCTCTTTTTGGACTCCTGCCTTGGGATAGTCCTTTTGATAGAGGCAGGTCACAGTTTTTGGGAGTCATGAGAGGTTATGGATATTCTCAGTAGAAACTTGCACATACACAGATACAGACAAAGTTCTATGTACACCTCAGGGATTCACAGACTCCCTAACACTCATCGATGGACCCAAGGGATCCATTCACTGTAGATCGGCAGCCCCTGCTGTACAATTCTCTACGTGTTAGTGCCATTTTAATTTTCCTAATGCACAATCCTGAGATTGTCATCCTCCCATCTCTTCCTTCAAACTCCTCCAGGGGCTCCCATTTTTTTATCCAATATTTTCTTCATCCTACCATTTGAAGTATTCGGCAATCTCAACTCAACTGACCTGAACAGACTTATCTCCCTGTATCCCTTCATGTAGCCCAAGACTAAGCCATGACTAATTGGGACACTTACTGTTACCTGGATATATCTCCTGGCTTTCCAGTTTCTCTGACTTTGTTTATATAATTTTCTTCTTGAAATTTCCTTTTCTTCATCTGTGCTGACTAAAATTCTACCATTATTCACAGCTCTTTGTTGTAACCTTTTCTTCCTACCCCCACCCACCCTAAAACAATCTTTTATTTTCCTGACCTCTCAGAACATGTGTTTTTATATCCGTTTTTTCCTTTCGTTTCCTTTCCTTCCTTTGTTCCTTCCTCCCTCCATTCATTACTATCGAGCTATTCAATAAACTTTGCTGAGTGTGCACAGTACTGGGCAGTCTACTGGGACAAACTGTTACTACTCTGCAAGAGGTTCACAGATTAATGGGAGCACTTTCACGCAGGACCTGAAGAAGACCTTGGCTGGAGGGTGGTAAAATGCAGGGGTTGGGTTAGACTGCCTAGGCCCTGAGCCTGGCTCTGCCAATGCTAGCTGGGTGACCTGGGCCAAGTTACTTTACTTGCCTCTGTCTGTTTATTTATAAAATCAAGATAAGGGCACCTGCCTCACAGGGTCCATATGACGGTTAAGTGAGCTTACTGTGGAGAGATTTGAGAAGAGCACTTGTCAGGTAGTAAGAACCCAATAAATATTATTGTTATTATCAGTGTGAATGGAGGGAAAGTGGCAAGTTAGAGTAGATGTCCTTGCAAATATATGTTGGAGAAAACCTCACACTCTACTCTGCACGCTCCAGTGCTGGTTGAGGAAGATGAAACAGACAAACACAGACTTCGAGCAGGTCTCCTCTTCTGAGTTGATTTGGGAGTTTGTTACGCGTGTTTCAGGTGCATTTGTAATTTCTGTCCCTATAGCCAATTTATCTCTTGACCTGAAGAGTGGCTTTTAGAGGTCACCACTCCCTCATGAGTTTTTTGTTGTTGTTTTGATTTTTTTTTTTTTTACCACTGTGGAGCCAGTAAGTTTGCAAAAAGTTTTTAAAAATAAAAATGGCTGCTCACACATCTCCCCTAGCAAGCCAGGGCATTCATAGGAGTGAAGTCAGAAGATGGATTTTTAGGGCAGCTAGGTCATGGAAACTATGTATAGGTTACCCAGTCAGTAGGCAGGTAAATGGCCTTTTTAAGATATAATAAAGTATTTTATTGAAGTAGGGAGGAGTTGGAAGCAGGTAAACTGCTTTCGATTCATGGGTCATACTTTTCTAAACTGGAGAGAGTGGGCAAGTCATTCAAACTTTCTGGGCCTCAGTTTCATTATCTGCATTATGGAAATAATTCCTCTGTTCAGGATTAAATGGGAATGTACATGAAAGTGCTTGGAAGTGGAGAGAAAGAAGAAAGGAAGGAAGAGAGAGAGGGGAGGGGAGGGAAAGAAGGAAAGAAGAAAAGAAGGGAGAGAGGGGAGGGGAGGGAAAGAAGGAAAGAAGAAAGGAAGGGAGAGAGGGGAGGGGAGGGAAAGAAGGAAAGAAGAAAGGAAGGGAGAGAGGGGAGGGGAGGGAAAGAAGGAAAGAAGAAAGGAAGGGAGAGAGGGGAGGGGAGGGAAAGAAGGAAAGAAGAAAGGAAGGGAGAGAGGGGAGGGGAGGGAAAGAAGGAAAGAAGAAAGGAAGGGAGAGAGGGGAGGGGAGGGAAAGAAGGAAAGAAGAAAGGAAGGGAGAGAGGGGAGGGGAGGGAAAGAAGGAAGGAAGGAAGGAAAGAAGGGAGGGAGGGAGGAAGGAAGGAAGGAAGGAAAGAAGGAAGGAAGGAGGAAAGGGAGGGTGAAGCTCAAATATATTCCAAAGAAATAGCCGGAGATCTATGCTGTACATTTTAACTTTATTATTATTATTATTATTATTATTATTATTATTTTTTGAGAGACAGGTATCGCTCTGTCACCCAGGCGGGAGTGCAGTGGCGCAATCTCAGCTCACTGCAATCTCTGCCTCCCAAGCTCAAGTGATCGTCCCACCCCAGTCTCCTGAGTAGCTGGGACTACAGGTGCATGCCACCATACATGGATAATTTTTGTATTTTTGTATTTTTTATTTTTTGTAGAGATGGGGTTTTACCATGTTGCCCAGGCTGGTCTCGAACTCCTGAGCTCAAGTGATCCGCCCACCTCGGCCTCCCAAAGTGCTGGGATTACAGGTGTGAGCCACCATGTCCAGCCTTTTAAACTTATTATTAAGAGCAAGAGTGTACTTGGAGAGTGTTTTTTTATAGTATTGACTTCATGAGTTTTAACCACCAACTTTTTGAACTAAGTGCAGTTAGTGCTTTGACTATATTGAGCTGACAGCTTTCTTACGTTATTACATGAATGTCATATTAGTCCATTGTACACTTTCACCTTTAGAATAGTTGAACTGTATTTTCAGTGCCTAACTGTGAGTTACTGTGACCCAGAACACTTAGAGAAGTTGACTAACATTCAGAAAATTTATGAGTAATAGTGAGTAATTTATGAATGAGAACATGGCAGATTTCCATACATCACTTTTATTGAAAGTTGAGTCACTCTTTGTTATGAAAATAATTTATAGGGCAATGTTCCATTTGAGAAAAAAATGAAAAGTAATGGTATTTGTCAAAATGATGAATATGGTTTAACTTCAATGAGAAAGAGCAAATTTCACAGAAAATATAAACCCTACATCAGTTTATTTATTGTCATAACTATTTCAGGTTCTTCTGGTAAAACAGCAAGAGGTTTGGCTGAATTAGGTATCACTCGCACCAGCTATTTTCTGTCTTTCTAGATCCATTTTCGGCCATTCTCTCTGCTGCTTGGAGCCTCGGGAGGCTTTTGCAGGAGATCAGAAGGCACAATGAGGCTGGGTCAGGGTATTTCTCTACTCTTTCCAGGTGACACCAAGGTTCTGGCACCAGCAGGGTCCCTGCACACCACAGCTCCTTTTCGCTCCAGGCTGCACAGGACTCTGGGAGGGAAAGACTTCCTACTGTTGCTTCTTCCGATGCCCCAATTTTCCTTCTTGCTTTGCTTCACTCTGCCTTCATCTGTGTACATTTAACAGATTTTTATCAAAATTCCACCTGGGGAAGACTTGTTTTCTACTGAGATCTAGCCAGATAATATTTTCCAGTAAGTACAGTTGCTGAAACTCTTCTGGGGCATGGTTACCACAATAAACCAGATCTAAAGCAACCAGATATGCATGCTGCTTTTTACAGATGGTTTTCAGCCTGCCTTCCTTCCTTCTTTTTTCTTTTCTTTTCTTCTTTCTTTCTCTCTCTCTCTCTTTCTCTCTCTTTCTCTTTCTCTCTTTCTCTCTCCTTCCTTCCTTCCTTCCTCCTTCCTTCCTCCTTTCTTTCTTTCTTTCTCTTTCTTTCCTTTTCTTTCTTTCTTTCTTTCTTTCTTTCTTTCTTTCTTTCTCTTTCTTTCTTTCTCTTTCTTTCTCTCTTTCTTTCTCTCTTTCTTTCTTTCTTTCTTTCTTTCTTTCTTTCTTTCTTTCTTTCTTTCTTTCTTTCTTTCTTTCTTTCTTTCTTTCTTTCGACAGGATCTTGCTCTGTCACCAAGGCTGGAATGCAGTGGTGCAATCATGGCTCACTGCAACCTCAACCTTCTGTCCTCAAGCAATCCTCCTGTCTCAGCTTCCGAGTACCTGGGACTATAGGTGCATGTTATCACACCCAGATATATATATTTTTTTAATTTTTGTGTAAAGACAAGATCTCACTATGTTGCCCAGGCTGGATTTGAAATCCTGGCCTTAAGTGATCATCCCACCTTGGCCTCCCAAAGTTCTGGGATTAGAGGAATGAGCCATCATGCCTGGCCATTTCCAGACATCTTTATCACCATGTCCACTTTATTAAAATTTTGCTAAAATAAACTGAAATATTACATGTGAGTGTAGAGCTCAATTACATTTCTACAAATTCTCCTCAGTGTGCATTTTTGATTAGGAAGGGTCACAGGGGAGATTCTTATGTGAGATCAGGAGGAAATGAAGCAGCAGACATTTTTGTAGCTCATACACATTGTCATTTATCATCTGGATCTCTTGTTGGTGGGAGACAGCAGCCAGGCCTTCAACTGCTCCACCTTCCCCAAGGTCCTCCTTCGCCTTTTCTGACTGCTGGCCCAGGCGTGTGTTTAGCTTCTTCATGAAGAATCTCAGATTCTGCAGGACACCCACACCACCAAGACCTGAGGCAACGGGAGCTGACATGGTTCCAGTTTGCTCTGTGAGCTCTAGCTTATTCTTGCTCTCCTTATCCTCCTTGGCAGCCATCTTTCTTCCCTGCATCAGCCACAGCCATCCCCACAGCGCTAGCATCGGCCTTAAGGACAGACATCAACCTTATAGAGTGTGCTTAACCAGCTCTGACTGTGGAAGGCCAACTCCCTGTGCATATAGGAAACGAAATATTCATTGTTCCTTTTGTAACTTCCTTTTCACACTTTAAAGATGCTATTCCAATGTATTCTGGCTTTAATATGATAATCTCATCCTTATATGTATTCAGCTCCTTTTTTTGACTTTTATTTTAGGTTTGGGGTACATGTGAAGGTTTGTTACATACATAAACACATGTCATGGGGGTTTGTTGTACAGATTATTTCATCACCCAGGTATTAAGCCCAGTACTCGATACTTATCTTTTCTGCTCTTCTCCGTCCTTCCACCCTCCTCCTTCAAGTAGACTCCAGTGCCTGTCATTTCATTCTCTGTGTTCACAAGTTCTTACCATTTTAGCTTTTTCTTTTCTTAGTTCCTTTAAGATTTTTCTCTATATCACTAACTTTCAGTGGATTATGATTATGATTTTGCTTTTGTGTTCTTGTATTTGAGACAGAGCTAGGCAAAGAGTTCTTAGACATGTCATCTAAAGCATGATCCATAAAAGAGAAAAATTAATAAATTAGCAAAATCTAAAACTTTTATACTGTGAAAGACCCTGTAAAGAGAAATGAAGAGACAAACTACAGTCTGAGAAAAAATATTTGTAAGCCTTATGTCTGATAAAGATCTTATATCTGGAATATAGAAAGAACTCTCAAAACTCAATAGTAAACAATCCAATTACAAAACAGGCAAAAGATATGAACAAATATTGCACCAAAAAGGAAATAATGATGGCATATAAGCACATGAAAAGATGTTCAACACTATTAGTCATTAAGGAAATACAAATTAAAACCACAATCAGGTATCACTACACACCTATTAGAACAACTAAAATTAAAAATAGTATTAACAGAAAAGGTCACACATTATAATTCCATTTACATGAAATGTCCAGAATAGGGAAATCTATAGAGACAGAAAGTCTACTGGTGGTTGCTAGGGGATGAGAGGAGGGACAGGGAATGGGGGATGACTGCCCGTGGATATGTTTTTGTGTGTGTGGGGGGGATGATTACAATATTCTGGAATTAGACAGTGGTCATACATGCACAGCTTTGTGCATATACTAAAAACAGCTGAATTACACATTTTAAAAGGGTCAGTTTTGTGGTGTGTGAATTTTATCACAAAAGGGTCAATTTTATGATGTGTGAATTTTATCACAATTTTTTAAAGTAGTGATAATGTGGCCAGGTGCCGTGGCTCACGCCTGTAATCCCAGCACTTTGGGGGGCTAGGCAGGTGGATCACGAGGTCAGGAGATCGAGACCATCCTGGCTAACACGGTGAAACCCCGTCTCTACTAAAAATACAAAATAATTAGCTGGGCGTGGTGGCACGTGCCTGTAGTCCCAGCTACTTGGGAGGCTGAGGCAGGAGAACCACTTGAACCCAGGAGGCAGAGGTTGCAGTAAGCCAAGATCGCGCCACTGACTCCAGCCTGGGTGACAGAACAAGACACCACATTAAAAAAAAAAAAAGTAATGATAATATTAAATGCTGCTAAGAATACAGAGAAACAGTGTCTCTCATACATTGCTGGTATAGCTACTCTGGAAAATAATTTGGCAATTTCTTATGAAACAAAGCATGCACTTACCATATAACCTGGCAGTTGCAATCTTAGGAATTTATCCCAGAGAAATGAAAACTTACACAAAAATCTGTACACCAATGTTCATAGCCATTTTATTTATAAATAGCAAAATATTGCAAACAACCCAAATGTCCTTGAATGAGTGAATGGTTGAATGAACTGCCAAATCCATACAACAGAAAGCTACTTACTAATGCAAAAAACATGAACTATTTTTTTTTTTTTTTTTTGAGACAGGGTCTTGCTCCATCACCCAGGCTGGAGTGCAGTGGCACAAGCTCAGCTCACTGCAACCTTTGACTCCTGGGTTCAAGTGATTCATCTGCCTCAGCCTCACAAGTAGCTGGGACCACAGGTGCAAGCCACCACACCCGGCTAATTTCTTGTATTTTTAGTAGAGATGGGGTTTCCTCTACTTGCCTAGGCTGGTCTTGAACTCCTGGCCTCAAGTGATCTGCCCACCTCAGCTTCCCAAAATGCTGGGATTACAGGCATGAGCCACCACGCCTAGCCAAAAAACATGCACTATTGGTACATGCAACAGCCTAGATGGACTTGAAGGGCAACATGCTCAGTGGAAAATGTCACTCTCAAAAAATTATGTACAGTAATGATTCTATTTATAAAGCATTCTCGAAATGACAAAAGGATAGAAATGGAGACAGGTTAGTTGTTGCCAGTACACAGAAAAGTGGGTGAACAGGTGGAAGAACGTGAGGGCCAGGTGCAAATATGAAGAAATAGGTAATGGAATCGTTCTGTTTCTCGATTGTGGTGGTGGTTACACGAATCTATATATTGGAATAAAATTGCATAGAACTATTCACACATCCATAATAGTGAATGAATGTTTTTTAAATGGTGAAAAATTGAATAGCTGTAGCTTATTTAACAGTAATTTGCCAATATCAATTTCCTAGTTTTGATATTGTAGTTATATAAGATGTCACCATTGCGAGGAAGGGAACACAGGACTCTGAGCTATTTGTGCAACTTCGTGTGAGTCTGTAATTATTCCAAAATAAATAGTTAGGGTCAGACATGGTGACTCATGCATGTAATCTCAGCACTTTGGGAGGCCAAGGTGGGAGGACTGCTTGAGGCCGGGAGTTCAAGACCAGTTTGGGCAGCATAGTAAGACCTTGTTTCTTAAAAAAAAAAAAAAATTATTAAAAATTATCCTAGCATGATGGCCCACACCAGTAGTCCTAGCTACTTGGGAGGCTGTGGCAGGGAGCTGGGAGGATTGCTTGAGCCCAGGAGCTCAAGGTTACAGTGAGCTATAATTTGCACTACTGCACTCCAGCCTCGGTGACACGGTGAGAGCTTGTCTTAAAAAAAACAAAAAAAAAAAGAGTATTAAAAACTCCACACAATTACAAGGTTATATTCCCAGGAATAATTTGAGTTTATAAAATCCCTATAGATACACACATATGCGAAATTAGTTTAAAATAAATGATTAATATAGTATTTCAAACCAGAGAGGGAAATAAGTACTATTATTTTTTCAGTAAATGGTATTAGAACAACTGGCTAATCTATGGAAAAATAAAATAAAACTGTGTTTTTTTCATTTTCTTCACCAAAATAAACTGTAGAATGCAAAGTTCAGAATTGGTATTCAGTAAGTATCTGTTAAGTTGGATCAGTGATTTAAATATATAAAAGACATAGAGTTTATTTGTTGTTGTTGAGAGTTGTGGCTAATACAGAAATCTGAAGACAACAGGTGTTAATGACCCCCTTTTGGAAGCCTCTAGCTCTAGGGGCAGCCACCTTTCCAATGGCCACTCGAGAGGCGCCAAGGCAGAAACAACACTATCAACAACAACATATCCCCTTGCCTATGTAGGATGACCAGGAGAGAGTGCTGCTTTTGAGGGAAGTCCAGCGTTCTTGGAGAGAAGCTACTCACCTCATAGAGATGTTTAGAGGCTTCAATAAGACAGTGCATATAAAGGGCGTAACAATCTGCCCAGTGCACAGTAAGTGCTCCATGATGTTTAGTTCTTGGAGTGCTTTGTCTGCCCAGGGAGTTTAACCAGGAAAGACACCATCGGATTTATATATGTGTTTGAGAGAGCATTAATAGCATGAACAAAGAAATGAGTGGACAAACTTTTGTAGGAAAACAAAACTCTGTGAGAATGCCGAAGATCATTTCAGGACTAGGTAGGTCTTGAAGGTGAGATCTTTCTAATCAGAAGGAATAGTAAGAGCAAAAACATGGGAGTTGTGAAAGGGCTGTGGGCATCTTCAGGGAATGATAGCCCCTTCCTGCTGCCTTATTTCAGTCCAGGTCCCCTCTCAAACCAGGTGGCTGCCGTGGTCTCCTAAGGTGTGTTGTTGCTTGAAGCATTGCGTGTCTGCAGTTCTTTCAAGACATGGCGGGCATAGAATCTCTTGCAATAGATGATATTCATCATTTCATTCCCCCGCATAAAACTTTTTGTGGCTCTTCACAGCTTATGGAAGGATAATGTAAAAATTAGGATTAGGATTAGCTACAAATGACAGAAAGACACCATAAAAATGGCTTAAGCAAGACAGAAGTTTATTTCTCTCAGATAAAGTTCCAAAGGGAATCAGTCCAGGTCCCATATGGCAAACCATGGTGTCAGGGAGTCAGGGTCCTTCTAGGTTGTGCTTGGCTTCCATCTTGAACTCACCTCACCACCCAAATGGCTGCTCCAGTTGTAGCCACCATGGCCAGCCTCCAACCATCAGAAAGGAGAAAAGATAAAGAAAAGTGAATCCCTTCCGTTAGGGTCATTCTGCAGAAGTTGCAGAGACTGCTTCCATTTATGTCTGCTAGCCAGACCTTAGACACATGACCCCATCTAACTGCCAAGGAGGCAGGGATTAATCTTTATGCCGAATGGAGATGCACCCAGTGAAAGGTGAGGGGGGTTATAAGTAAAGCAAGAAGGAACAAACAGACATTGGGAGACAACACAATATCTCCACCACAGGTGCCCATTTCTTCAAGGTCCTTTGAAATGTGACCTCCTCTCCCACCTAGACTATTTCTACAGCCACCGAACTAGTCTAACTGCCTCTACTTTCTAATTCTCCTTAGTCACTATCATAGCCATCAATTCAAAATACATACTGAATTGAATTACTCTCCTGTCCCACACTCTTCATTGGCTCCCTATTACTTACAGATGAAGTCCAAACCATTTGGCTTAATGGAGCATTAAGAGTCCCCGTAGTACCATTTCAGCTTGATCTTCTTCCTTCCTTCTCTTCTTTCCTCCTCTCCTCTGCTAGCTGTTCTCTGAACACACCATGAGCTTTCAGTTCTCCATTACCTGTTTCATGAAAGAAAGACCCTTCCCCAGAATGATCACCCTAAAGGGCCGTCACCAACTTCTGAAATGCTGCACAGACTTCTAAGCCTACCCCAAATATCATTTCTTTTATAAATTCCTTTTTCATCACATTAAAAGTAATCCACACCTTCACTGAATAGTCAGTTTTTATGCTGCCTTCCATTGTAATAAATTATACATTTTTCATATTCATTACCACAATTACATTGTAATTTACATAGTATTCACTACATCTTCTTCACATTTGTAGTCCTGGAAGCACCTAGTCACTGAATTTTTACCTAACAGCTGCATAATACATATTTATTAAATTGAATTTGTATGTAGGCCTTGAATTTATAGAAGGAAAGGAAAAAAAGCTCAAGTCAGCTCTCTTGGGGTAAAGCACTCATTTAAACTGGATTAAATGCTTTATCAACAATCTAGTATTATTTATTACACAATTCTCCCTAAGTCCCATTTGGAATTGTTTTGAGTGATTCGTGTTAATAATACAAAGCTTAATATGGATTTGCATCAGGAAGAACAATTTGTAAGAGCTGACTATTTTCAGCTCTAACAAGGAAGTGACAGTTTTTCAATTTTTTAGCAGAAGTGTTAAAACTTATCTCAGTCAAACACTTGCTGGGTCATTTGGTATGTCACTCACGTTATTTAACTTTCTATTTTAACCTCTCAGGCCTATATGGAAATAAGAAAAAAAATTATAGTTTTAATTGCTGCTAATTTTCTGGCAGAAGATAGAAATAAAAATAGTCTCAATGCTGAATAGTTAATGTGTTTTATGACCACAGGCCTTTTCCGTGTTAATTTTTGTCCATGTTGGCTAATTTTACTAGCTGTTTATTGAGTTCAGACAGGAAAAATAAGGCTATAATATTTGAAACGAAGAAAAAGCTCTCAATTAACATTAATAAATTGCCTGAAAATGAACCTCACATTGGCCTTATATAGACACCTCTTCCTGAAAAATAGGACTTCATGCTAGCTCTTTTGTAAGTTTAAGCTATTTGTTCCCGGGTCTGTTCCTCTTCTGTGGACTCTCTGACCTCTTCTTGTGCCCACAGTTCTTTTTACTGAGCTGATTATAATGATCTCATGCACTTTGTATTAACCTCAATTTTATGGGAAAAATTGGAACACCAATCAGAGCTCAGGATCACACATCACTCCAGCTGAATCCTAAGCCAGAAGAAAGTTTAGTGAAATATATGGGTGAAATGAAAATAAACTATCAATCAAGCCAATAGTTTTTCTAGTTGGGATGGACTTCAGGAGATTGTAAGAGCAGTGGCCCCTATTAAATCAAGTGGAGGTGCCAGAGTTGCCAGGCAGAGTGGAGGAAGGGATTGAAAGGCCCACCAAAGTGTACATGCTAAACAGGGTCTACTATGTGAAACTGGAAACTTATCAGCTAAATATGATTCTTGAAAGAGTATGGAGGACTTATGCATCAAGGCAATAAGGAAATTGCTGGTAGAGGACACCAGTGTCATTGAGGTGAGTGGTGGCTCTCCTCTGTAGACCAGAGTTGATGATAAGAGATGCTATTTCAGAACTAGGGTCCCTAGTAGTCATGGAGATGATAGGATTCCAGAGGCCACACAGTAGCATGCTACCACCAACAGTGAACAAGCAAAACCACCCTCAGATTTCTGACCACCAGAAACTCTGTGGGATAATTAAAAGTCCTAGCCAGAGCAATTAGGCAAGAGAAAGAAATAAAAGGCATCCAAATCAGAAAAAAATTGTCTCTGTTTGCAGGCAACGTAATCTTATACACCAAAAACCCTAAAGACACCACCAAGAAAAAGCTGTTGAACTAAAAAAAGTTTCAGTAAATTGCAGGATACAAAATCAATATACAAAAATTAGTAGTGTTTCTACACATTAACAATGAGCTATCTGAAAAAGAAATTAAAAAGACAATCCCATCTACAGTAGCATCAAAAAATAAAATAGGAGTAAATTTAGCCAAGGAGGTGAAAGATCTGTACACTGAAAACTATTAAACACTGATGAAAAAAATTGAAGGAGACACAAATAAATGGAAAGATATCTCACATTCCTGGATTAGAAGAATTAATATAGTTAAAATGTCCATACTACCCAGAGTGAATTACAGATTCAGTGAAATTCCTATCAAAATTCCAATGACATTTTTGAGAGAAATAGAAAAAAACAGTCCTAAAATTCATATGGAACCATGAAAGACCCCAAATAGCCAAAGAAATCCTGGGCAAAAAGAACAAAGCTGGAGGCATCATACTACCTGACTTCAAGATATACTACAAAGCTATAATAATCTAAACATCATGGTACTGGCATAAAAACAGACACTTAGACCAATGGAACAGAATGGAGAGCCCAGAAATAGATTCACACATTTACTCTCAATTGATTTTGGACAAAGATGCCAAGAAAACACAATGAAAAATGAACTGTCTCTTCAGTAAATGGCGTTGGGAAATATGGATACCTACATGCACAAGAATTAAATTAGACCCTTATCTCACACCATATGCAAAACATCAATTCAAAGTGGACTAAGGACTTAAACATATGGCCTGAAACTGTAAAACTACTAGAAGATACCAGAAGACAAAAGCTCCATGACATTGTTCTGGGCAATGATCTTTTGGCTATAACCTCCAAAGCAGGGGCAACAAAAGCAAAAATAGATCAATGAGATTACATCAAACTGAGAAGCTTCTGCACAGCAAAGAAAATATCAACAGTGTGGAGAGACAACCTACAGAATGGAAGAAAATATTTGCACACCATACATTTGATAAGGGGTTAATATGCAAAATATACAAGGAACTCAAACAATAGATGCTAAGAAACACCTCAAACAACTCAATACTAAGAAAACAAATAATCCAATTTAAAAATAGATAAAGGACCTGAACAGTCATTTCTCGTAAAAAAGTCATACACATGGCCAATAGATATATTTTTTAAAAACTCAATATCACTAATCATCATCACATTGAAATCACAATAAGATATCACCTCACATTTCTTAGAATGGCTGTTATCAAAAAAATGAAAGATAGGGAAACCCCCTTTGGGTCCCCTCCCTTTGTATGGGAGCTCTGTTTTCACTCTATTAAATCTTGCAACTGCACACTCTTCTGGTCCGTGTTTGTTACGGCTTGAGCTGAGCTTTCACTCACCATCCACCACTGCTGTTTGCCACTGTCGCAGACCCACCGCTGACTTCCACCCCTCCGGATCCAGCAGGGTTTCCGCTGTGCTTATGATCCAGCGAGACGCCCATTGCCACTCCCAATCTGGCTAAAAGCTTGCCATTGTTCCTGCACGGCTAAGTGCCCAGGTTCATTCTAAGCAAACTGAATAGTAGTTGCTGGGTTCTACGGTTCTCTTCCATAACCCACGGCTTCTAATAGAGCTATAACACTCACCACATGGCCCAAGATTCCATTCCTTGGAATCCGTGAGGCCAAGAACCCCAAGTCAGAGAACAAGAGGCTTGCTGCCATCTTGGAAGCGGCCTGCCACCATCTTGGGAGCTCTAAGAACAAGAACCCCCAGTAACTTTTTGGTGACCATGAAGGGACCTCCAAAGCAATGGGAAACTTTCCCCCCAAGGCAAAAATGCCCCTAAGATGTATTCTGGAGAATTGGGACCAATTTGACCCTCAGACGCTAAGAAAGAAAAAACTTATATTCTTCTGCAGTACCGCCTGGCCAAGATATTCTCTTCAAGGGGGAGAAATCTTGCCTCCTGAGGAAAGTATAAATTATAACACCATCTTACAGCTAGACCTCTTTTGTAGAAAAGAAGGCAAATAGAGTGAAGTGCCATATGTACAAACTTTCTTTTCATTAAGAGACAACTCGCAATTATGTAAAAAGTGTGATTTATGCCCTACAGGAAGCCCTCAGAGTCTACCTCCCTATCCCGGTGTCCCCCTGACTCCTTTCCCAACAAATAAGGACCCCCCTTCAACCCAAACGGTCCAAAAGAAGATAGACAAAGGGGTAAACAATGAACCAAAAAGTGCCAATATTCCCCAATTATGCCCCCTCCAAGTCGTGGGAGGAAGAGAATTCGGCCCAGCCGGAGTGCATGTACCTTTTTCTCTCTCAGATTTGAAGCAAATTAAAATAGACCTAGGTAAATTATCAGATAACCCTGATGGCTATATTGATGTTTTACAAAGGTACGACACTCCTTTGATCTGACATGGAGAGATATAATGTTACTGCTGGATCAGATACTAATCACAAATGAGAGAAGTGCCACCATAACTGCAGCCCGAGAGTTTGGCGATCTCTGATATCTCAGTCAGGTCAATGATAGGATGACAACAGAGGAAAGAACAATTCCCCACAGGCCAGCAGGCAGTTCTCAGTGTAGACCCTGACTGGGACACAGAATCAGAACATGGAGATTGGTGCCGCAGACATTTGTTAACTTGCATGCTAGAAGGACTAAGGAAAACTAGGAAAAAGCCTATAAATTATTCAATAATGTCCACTATAACACAGGGAGAGGAAGAAAATCCTACTGCCTTTCTGGAGAGACTAAGGGAGGCATTGAGGAAGCATACCTCTCTGTCATCTGACTCTATTGAAGGCCAACCTATCTTAAAGGATAAGTTTATCACTCAGTCAGCTGCAAACATTAGGAAAAAACTTCAAAAGTCCGCCTTAGGCCCAGAGCAAAACTTAGAAACCCTATTGAACTTGGCCACCTTGGTTTTTTATAATAGAGATCAGGAGGAGCAGGCAGAACGGGACAAACGGGATTAAAAAAAAGGCCACCGCTTTAGTCATGGCTCTCAGGCAAGAGGACTTTGGAGGCTCTAGAAAAGGGAAAAGCTGGGCAAATCAAATGCCTAATAGGGCTTGCTTCCAGTGTGGTCTACAAGGATGCTTTAAAAAAGATTGTCCAAATAAAAATAAGCCGCCCCCTCATTCATGCCCCTTATGTCAAGGGAATCACTGGAAGGCCCACTGCCCCAGAGGACGAAGGTCCTCTGAGTCAGAAGCCACTAACCAGATGATCCAGCAGCATGACTAAGGGTGGCCGGGGCAAGCGCCAGCCCATGCCATCACCATCACAGATCCCCAGGTATGCTTGACCATTGAGGGCCAGGAGGTTAACTGCCTCCTGGACACTGGCATGGACTTCTCAGTCTTATTCTCCTGTCCCAGACAACTGTCCTCCAGATCTGTCACCATCCGAGGGGTCCTAGGACAGCCAGTCACTAGATACTTCTCCCAGCCACTAAGTTGTGACTGGGGAACTTTACTCTTTTCACATGCTTTTCTAATTATGCCTGAAAGTCCCACTCCCTTGTTAGGGAGAGACATTCTAGCAAAAGCAGGGGCCAATATACACCTGAACATAGGAGAAGGAACACCCGTTTGTTGTCCCCTGCTTGAGGAAGGAATTAATCCTGAAGTCTAGGCAACAGAAGGACAATATGGACGAGCAAAGAATGCCTGTCCTGTTCAAGTTAAACTAAAGGATTCCGCCTCCTTTCCCTACAAAAGGCAGTACCCCCTTAGACCCAAGGCCCAGCAAGGACTCCAAAAGATTGTTAAGGACCTAAAAGCCCAAGGCCTAGTAAAACCATGCAATAGCCCCTGCAATACTCCAATTTAAGGAGTACAGAAACCCAACAGACAGTGGAGGTTAGTGCAAGATCTCAGGATCATCAATGAGGCTGTTGTCCCTCTATACCAAGCTGTACGTAACCCTTATACTCTGCTTTCCCAAATACCAGAGGAAACAGGGTGGTTTACAGTCCTGGACCTTAAGGATGCCCTTTTCTGCATCGCTGTACATCCTGACTCTCAATTCTTGCTTGCCTTTGAAGATCCTTTGAACCCAACGTCTCAACTCACCTGGACTGTTTTACCCCAAGGGTTCAGGGATAGCCCCCATCTATTTGGCCAGGCATTAGCCCAAGACTTGAGCCAGTTCTCATACCTGGACACTCTTGTCCTTCGGTACGTGGATGATTTACTTTTAGCCGCCCCTTCAGAAACCTTGTGCCATCAAGCCACCCAAGTACTCTTAAATTTCCTCGCCACCTGTGGCTACAAGGTTTCCAAACTAAAGGCTCAGATCTGCTCACAGCAGGTTAAATACTTAGGGCTAAAACTATCCAAAGGCACCAGGGCCCTCAGTGAGGAACGTATCCAGCCTATATTGGCTTATCCTCATCCTAAAACCCGAAAACAACTAAGAGGGCTCCTTGGCATCACAGGCTTCTGCCAAATATGGATTCCCAGGTACAGCGAAATAGCCAGGCCATTACATACACTAATTAAGAAAACTCAGAAAGCCAATACCCATTTAGTAAGATGGACACCTGAAGCAGAAGCAGCTTTTCAGGTCTTAAAGAAGGCCCTAACCCAAGCCCCAGTGTTAAGCTTGCCAACGGGGCAAGACTTTTTCCTTATATGTCACAGAAAAAACAGGAATAGCTCTAGGAGTCCTTACACAGGTCCAAGGGACGAGCTTGCAACCCGTGGCATACCTGAGAAAGGAAAGTGATGTGGTGGCAAAGGGTTGGCCTCATTGTTTACAGGTAGTGGCAGCAGTAGCAGTCTTAGTATCTGAAGCAGTTAAAATAATACAGGGAAGAGATCTTACTGTGTGGACATCTCATGATGTAAAATCACATACTCACTGATAAAGGAGACTTGTGGCTGTCAGACAACCATTTGCTTAAATATCAGGCTCTATTACTTGAAGGGCCAGTGCTGTGACTGCACACTTGTGCAACTCTTAACCCAGCCACATTTCTTCCAGACAATGAAGAAGAGATAGAACATAACTGTCAACAGGTGATTGCTCAAACCTATGCCACTCGAGGGGACCATCTAGAGGTTCCTTGACTGATCCTGCCCTCAACTTGTATATTGATGGAAGTTCCTCTGTAGAAAAAGGACTTTGAAAAGTGGGGTATGCAGTGGTCAGTGATAATGGAATACTTGAAAGTAATCCCCTCACTCCAGGAACTAGCGCTCAGCTGGCGGAACTAATAGCCCTTATTTGGGCACTAGAATTAGGGGAAGGAAAAAGGGTAAATATATAAACAGACTCTAAGTATGCTTACCTAGTCCTCCATGCCCACACAGCACTATGGAGAGGAAAGGAATTCCTGACTTCCGACGGAATACCTATCAAACATCAGGAAGCCATTAGGAGATTATTATTGGCTGTACAGAAACCTAAAGAGGTGGCAGTCTTACACTGCCAGGGTCATCAGAAAGGAAAGGAAAGGGAAATAGAAGGGAACCGCCAAGTGGATATTGAAGCCGAAAAAGCTGCAACGCAGGACCCTCCATTAGAACTGCTTATAGAAGGACCCCTAGTATGGGGTAATCCCCTCTGGGAAACCAAACCCCAGTATGCAACAGGAGAAATAGAATGGGGAACCCCACGAGGACATAGTTTTCTCCCCTCAGGATGGCTAGCCACCAAAGAAGGAAAAATACTTTTGCCCTCAGCTAACCAATGGAAATTACTTAAAACCCTTCACCAAACCTTCCACTTAGGCATTGATAGCACCCATCAGATGGCCAAATTATTATTTACTAGACCAGGCCTTTTCAAAACTATCAAGCAGATAGTCAGGGCCTGTGAAGTGTGCCAAAGAAATAATCCCCTGCACTGCCGGCCATACATTCCTATCCCTGTGTCTTTAACCTCCTTGTTAAGTTTATGTCTTCCAGAATCGAAGCTGTAAGACTACAAATTGTTCTTCAAATGGAGCCCCAGATGCAGTCCATGACTAAGATCTACCACGGACCCCTGGACTGGCCTGCTAGACCGTGCTCCAATGTTAATGACATGGAAGGCACCCCTCCTGAGGAAATCTCAACTGCACGACCCCTACTATGCCTCAATTCAGCAGGAAGCAGTTAAGAGCGGTTGTCGGCCAATCTCCCTAATAGCACTTGGGTTTTCCTGTTGAGAAGGGGGACTGAGAGTCAGGACTAGCTGGATTTCCTAGGCCGACTAAGAATCCCTAAGCCTAGCTGGGAAGGTGACCACATCCACCTTTAAACACGGGGCTTGCAACTTAGCTCACACCTGACCAATCAGGTAGTAAAGAGAGCTCACTAAAATGCTAATTAGGGTAAAACAGGAGGTAAAGAAATGGCCAATCATCTATCACCTGAGAGCACAGGGGGAGGGACAATGATTGGGATATAAACCCAGGCATTCGAGCAGGGAGCAGCAACCCCCTTGGGGTCCCCTCCCTTTGTATGAGAGCTCTGTTTTCACTCTATTAAATCTTGCAACTGCAAAAAAAAAAAAAAAAAGATGAAAGATAAGTGTTGGTGAGGATATGGAAAAAAGGGAACCCTTTTACATTGTTTGTGGGAATGTAAATTAGTACAGCCATTATGAAAAACAGTAGAGAGGTTTCTCAAAAAATTAAAAATAGAGCTACCATATGATCCAGCAATCTCGCTACTGGGAATATATCCAAAGGCAATGAAATCAGTATGTCGAAGAGCTAATCTGCACTCCCATGTTGATTGCGGCACTAATAACAATAACCAAGATATTCAATCAAGCTAAGTGTCCACCAACTGATGAATAGATAAAGAAAATGTGGTGTATGCCTATGCACAGTGGAATACTATTCTGCCATAAAAAAAAAATCCTGTCATTTGGGACAACATGGAAAAACCCAGAGGATTATGTTAGGTGAAATAAGCCAGGGACAGAGACAAATACTGCCTGACCTCACTCATATGTAGAATCTAAAGAAGTTGATCTCATTGAAGTTGAATAATGGTTCCCAGAGGCCAGGAGGGTAGTGAGGAGGAGTGGGGATGGGGAATGTTGGTCAACAGGTATAATGTTACAGCTAGATAGGATGAATAAGTTCTGGTGTTCTACTGCACAACAGAGTGATTATAGTTAACAATAATGTATTGTATATTTCAAAATAGCTAGAAGAGAGGATTGTGAATGTTTTCACAACAAAAAAAGATAGATATGTAAGGTGATGGATATGCTACTTACCCTGATTTGAACTTTTCACAATGTATACATGTATCAAAACATATTATTGTACTCCATAAATAATACGTATAATTACGTGTCAATTGAAAATGAAATAAAACTTTAAAAGGAAAATATGGTATGTATACACCTGCACACACACATATACACACAGACACACAAACTGGAATATTATTCAGCCTTGAAAAAGAAAGAAATTTGCCACAACATGGATCAACCTGGAAGACATTATGTTAAGTGAAATAAACCAGAAAGAAAGAAACACAAATATCACACGAAACACTTGTATGTGGAATTTTTAAAAGTTGAACTCACAGAAGCAGAGAATAGAATGGTGATTATCAGGAACTAGCATGGAGAGGGCTGAGGATTGAGGAGATATTGGGCAAAGAATATAAAATTTCAGCCAGTCAGGAAGAACAAGTTCAAGATATCTATTGTACAATAAGATAACTATAGTTAATAACAATGTATGATATATTTGAAAATTGCTAACAGAGTAAATGTTAAGTGTTCTCACTGCAAATAAATGGTATGTGAGGCAATGCATTTATTAATTAGCTTGATTTAGCCATTTTACAACCCATTCATATTTCAAAACATCATATTGTACACCATAAATATATGTAATTTTAATTTGCCAATTTAAAAATAAAAAAGAAGAAAGCTCATTTTGATCACCCCCAAAGGATGCCTTATGCCCCAGTAAGTCCCCAGCCACAGAGGCAATCATTTTTCTGATTTATTTTACCAATAATTAGTTTTGCCTAATCTAAAAATTCATATAAATTGAATAGCTCATTTTAAAAAATAGAATAAAATGTTCTAAGGGATAAGATAGATGTGCAGCCATCAAGGATATTGCTCAATATATATAAAATCAAAAGAAAAACCAAGAGTAGATGAGCGGAAGACTGTGGTCAGCTACTCCAATAGAAAGTCAGGATTCCTTGCCCAGTTTACAAACCTCAGGTAGTTTTCAAACCCACTACAGAACATTCCCCTTGACTGAAAGAGAGGCCAGGTCCACATGAAGAAGGACACTGCAACACCAGGACAAATGTATACAGTAGCGATTCCTCTAGCTATTCCCCAAAAGGTCTTTGGCTATACACTAGGGTATCATGCTCTGGAAATGGGAATACATAGCTTTTATGAGGACTGTTAGATATACGGTCTGAATTGATGCAGATACCTAGAGAACAAAAGCATCTTCATGGACTTCTTGGTAGAGCAGAAGTATATGAGGTTCAAGTAATTAATGGAGTCCTAGCTGGACACATGTGTCCTCTGGTCTACAGATTCACACAGAGATCATTTTCCCAGTTTCTGAATGTATAATTGGAACAGACATATTAGGATTTTACAGAACCTTCATATTATTTCATTGACTTATAGAGTAAGAGCTATTGTAGTAGGAATGGCAAGTAGAAGCCCCTAAAACTACATTCTCACCCCATTGCCAAGACTATAAATCAAAAGCAACGTTGCATCCCAGGAGTGACATGGCAGAGTTTAGCATCACCCTGAGAAATTTAAAGGATATAGGGGTGCTGGATTTCATTATAAACCCATATAATTCACCATTCGGCCCCCTAGAAAATCAGGTGAATCAGAGCATATGACCTTGAACTACTACAAACTTCTCCAAGTAGTAACTTCAATAACATCTTCTGTATTCGATGTGACATCTTTACTATAGCAGATTAACACTACTGCTTGTGTGGTTAGTGGCTATTGATCTGCTTCCATTTTGCTCTCTATCATTCAGAAGGACAAGAAACACACACGGGATGGCTAACAGTTACACACTCACGGTCTTGTCCAAGCACTATGTCAATTCTCTAGATCTCTGCCGTGATAGTGCAAAGGGTTCTGGGCCATCTGAACAGTCCACAGAACTTCACTTGGGGTCACTAAGTGGGTGACATCATGTTATTTGGACCTTAGGAGCAAGAAATGGCGATTATTCTGGACGTCTTATTAAGACACGTAATCTAAACGGAGGAAGAAAAACACTACAAAGATTCAGCAGCCATACACTTCAATAAAGTTTTTAGGCATCCACATGCTGGAATATGCTGAGACATCCCTTCCAAGGTAAACGACAAGTTTCTATACATCACACCTTCCTTTACAGGCCATTTTGGAGGCAAAATATATAAAACACTTGGGAATACTCTTCAACAAACTGTTGGAATAATCTGGAAACTGTTAATTTTGACTTGGGCCAAGAACGAAAAAGACTCTGAAGCAGGTTCCTGCTGTGTTCCAAGCAACCCTGAAGCTTGGGTCCAACAATATAAACTCTGTCTCACCATGGCTGATCTACCTACTGTTGCTGCTAGATGTCTAAACTTTCAGCAACAAAGATCACTCCCGAGTACTTGATATGGTACCATTCCTTCTTTTTCCCCTCACCCTTATAGAGGTATACCTGACACATAAAAATTTTATGTATCTAAGGTGTCCATGTGGAGATCTGATGTACATACACACTGTGTAATGATGATCACAATCAAGCTAATTAATACACCTATCATCTCTACCTTTTCATGGTAGAAAAACGCTTAAGTAGATCTTAGCAATCTTGAAAGCAAATTTCAAGTATAAAATACAGTATCAATTATAGTCACCATGCTGTATATCAGATCCCTAGAACTTACTTTTCTTATTGGTATTCTTCCTTCAGATGACCAACTAGTCATTCGGCGGCCTATTGTTTATATCAGTTCCATTCAACTCTGGAAAAAAAAATTTATCTTGAATGGGATTGACACATATTCCAGATATGTTTTTACTTTTCCTGCCTGTAGTGCCTCAGCTATCTCCACTGTGTGCAAGCTCATAAAGTGTATGACCTACTGACCTGGGATGGCGCCTAACATTGTCTTTGAACCACGAGACTGTCTTCATAGCAACTGAGGTATGGCATTGGGCATGTGGTTGTGGATCATGCACCATCTAGAAACTGCCATCATGAAAGAGTAGTGAAATTGCCTCTTGAAGTTACAGCTAAAGTGCTGGCTGGGAGATGACACCCTGCAAAAGATAGGGCACTATCCTCAGGTTACAGAACAGACCTTCAAGCATCTGCCACTGTATGTGGTGCTATATTCCCAGTATATAGAATACATGGAGCTGGGAATGAAGTGAAAGTTGGAATGGTTCCACCATCACTCCCAGTGACCTATTTGGGGAATTACTTGTAAAGATCCTGATTCCCAGAGGAGTGATGCTTCCTCCAAGCAACACAGTAAAATAATCCCAAATTGTTTTCCAAAGTGACTGTACAGGTCAGGTGCGGTGGCTGTGTCTGTAATCCCAGCACTTTGGGAGGCCGAGGCTGGCAGATTGCTTGAGTCCGGGAATTCAAGACCAGCCTGGCCAACATGGTGAAACCCCGTCCCTATTAAAAATACAAAAATTAGCCAGGCATGGTGGCATGCTCCTGCAGTCCCAGCTACTTGGGAGGCTGAGATGGGAAAAACACTTGAACCTGAGAGGCAGAGATTAAAGTGAGCTGAGATTGTGCCACTGCACTCCAGCCTGGGTGACAGAGTGAGACCCTGTCTCAAAAAACAAAACAAAACAACAAAAAGAAACTGGCTGTACAAGTTACAGTATATTCCCACCAAAAATTAGAACTCTTCATCAACACTTGATATTATGAAACTTTAAAAAGTTTGCTAATACAGTAGGTACTCAGTGACATCTTATTTTAATTAGCATTTCTCTGTTTATTAATTATGTGAAGAACACTTTTCCATGTTTAGTAACCATTTGGATTTTCTCTATTGTGAAATGCATAATCAAGTCGTTTGCCTAGTTTTAGTTAGGGTTTCTGCCTTTTTTCTTACCAAATTACCAAAGGAGTTCTTTATATGATTGGAAACAAGTTTTGTTGTTGATAGTTGGTTACCTAAGTTGCAAATATCTCCTGCCAGTCTATGGCTTGTATTTTTATTCTTTTAATGGCATTTTTGTGGAACAGAAGTGTTTTGTTTTCATGTAATTTATTGTACTAATCTATACTTTTACGGTTAGTGTTTTTGTGTCTCATTTAAGAAACCTTTCGCCACCCTCCCAGGTCACGAAGATATTCTTCTGTATTAATCATTGGATAACTTAACAATTTGTAACATATTAGATCTCATATTCACCTGGAATTGACTTTTGTGTGAGTTAGGAGTTCAATTTCTTCTTTTTCCAGCATGGTACGCAATTGTCCTAGTGCCACTTATTGGAAAGACTTTTTTCTCCCGCTGCCCTGCAGTGCACCTTTATTGTACATCAAGCATTCATTTATGTGTGGACCATTTTATTTTCTTGTTGCTGGAATATAGAAGAAGCATTACTTTCTAATATTGACTTTGTATACAGCAAACCCCCTTAAATATTTTAAACTGCATTAATGGGCTTAATATATTTGATTTATTTTTAGCATTTCAAATGCCTGAACAAGCAAGCCCCGATCTTGTTTTTAAAACCTTCCACAGCACTTCAAAGGCTCTCGTAAATCTCAAGTAATAAATTTGATAAATCCATTTCTCTTAAATATTATGCCACTTACACTTTTGCTCATATTCTTACTTTTTAAAATTTGAAATTATGTAAATTACATGTTTTAAATAAATGGAATCACAAGACATCTGTAAGGTAGTCTAATACGGCAAATTCTTTTAAATATTATAAACACTTCAAAGAAAATAATAAAAAGATTATTCCTAAGCCTAACATGAAAGTATTCATACGGGTGGCATGATATAATTTACCAGCTTTGCATTTAATTATAAATCTTCGATTTGAAAAGTCACTTGCTTAGTAAAGGAAGCAGCTTTAACATCACAAGTTAAAGAAGCTTTAATATCACAAGATCAGATGTTCTATTTCAAAAGAACTGAGGTTACCACCTGGAGCAAGTCATTGTTAATAAATATACAATTTATGACCATAAGGTTACTTACCAGTATGACATTTGAGACTGGAATGGCAACATGGGAGACATTTAGGTACAAGATCATCTTTTCTGAACCAAAGATGGACACCTGAGTCCTTTAAAAAATCATCTCTAAGTTACGAGGGAGCTCTAAGCCCAAACTCTTCAGATGGAATTTCTCAACCTGCCTCTCCGAGTTCACGAGTCGAACACCCCAGCCAAGAGCCATTCCCTAGGCACACTGCAGGCCCAGTGCTATGCACCTGAGCAGCAAAGTGAGCCTTTGGGAGGGCAGATGCAGGAAAGAAACCTGCGCAAAGCCCTGGATGTGGGCTTGGGACTATTCATACTTGGAATTTCTGTTTCCAAATTTAATCTGTGTGAGTCCAAGCCAGGGATTGAGGGAGTGGGGAGCATGGGGGTGTGGACCTAGGTGGGAATGTCCCCTTGACCCGTAGACTCTGCAGCTCATGCGAGGGTGAAGCTCACAGAGGAGTCCAAACAGGTCCCTCTAAAGTGAGGGGCGCGGGGAAAGCCCCACTCTTGCCTTGGTCTTAGGGCAGAACCGCACTAAAACTAGGACAAAATTCCATGTGCTTTTCTTGCCTTTTTAAGTAAAGTGATTAAGCGGATAGAAAGACCGTCTAGCAAATCAAGAGATCCAAAAATAGAGATGAAGGGTATGAAGCCAAAGCAGAATTTCTCTATCTTGAGGACCCTGAAGACGGGGCTTTGACTGAAAGTATTTTTACGTTTCTGACAGAATAAATATGTTCCTCAGACAACTAAAGCAACTAACTCACTGAAGCTCATTATTTAGGCGGTCCTCAGCAGCCTGCTGGAATGTCTTTATAAGAGGGATTTAGAAGCAAACATCCACTTAGAAGGAGGGAGACTTGAAACTGCTTTGCATAGTGGCTTACATAAGCTGAAGAAAATGTCAAAAGAATGGGTGGGGAAATAGCACCATGGACACCGATAAAGATTTTTTTTTTTTTTTTCTGAGACGGAGTTTCGCTCTTGTTGCCCAGGCTGGAGTGCAGTGTCATGATCTCAGCTCACTGCAACCTCCGCCTCCCAGGTTCAAGCGATTCTCCTGCCTCAGCCTCCCGAGTGGCTGGGATTACAGGCACGTGCCACCATGCCAGGCTGATTTTGTATTTTTAGTAGAGATGGGGTTTCTCCATGTTGGCCAGGCTGGTCTTGAACTCCTGACCCAAGTGCCGGGATTACAGGCTTGAGCCACCGTGCCTGGTTGACAAAGATTCTTTAATCAGGTTTCTGAACTTTCTCCTGGGCCCATCTGTGCACTTCCTTGTAAAATCCAGCTTTAGCAAAAGAACTCTGCTAAGTCAATTTCACCAGAACCCCCATCCTCAATAATCTGATCATCCTTGATATCTGATCAGGTTCCTCGTCTCCATCCTCCCCCAGATGATGTCTGATCATCCTGGCCTGTCTTCAGCAAGAATCCTGTTAGGTTGATTTAGCCAGAATCCCCTTTACCCCTGATATTTCCTCCTAGTAATTTTCCATTCACTGACCCCCACCCTGCTCCTTGGTTATAAATTCCCACTTGTCCAGGCTGTATTGGAAGTTAAGCCCAATCTCTCTCCCCTACTGCAACACACTGTTGCAGTCATCCCTGTACCTACCTTGATGGTTCTGAATAAATTCTTCCCTACTATGTTTCAACAAGTATCACTGAATAATTTTTTTCTTTAATAGTAGTTAGCTGGCCAGGCGCAGTGGCTGATGCCTGCAATCCCAGCACTTTGGGAGGCCAAGGAGGGCAGATCAAGAGGTCAGGAGTTCGAGACCAGCCTGGCCAATATGGTGAAACCCTGTCTCTACTAAAAATACAAAAATTAGCCAGGCATGGTAGCATGTGCCTGTAGTCCCAGCTACTTGGGAGGCTGAGGCAGGAGAATTGCTTGAACCCAGGAGGCAGAGGTTGCAGTGAGCCGAGATTGTACCATTGCACTCCAGCCTGGGGGACAGAGAGCAAGACTCCGTCTCAAAAAAAAAAAAAGGTAGTTAGCTATGGCTGTGAGTGTCAATCTGCTCCACCCCCAAATTCTTTTTTGGTCTTAAGCTACCACAAACAAATGAACAGCAAAAAAATAAAAAAAATAAAAATAAAAAAATAAAAAGGTTAGGCTTGCTTCTGCGTCATGGTCTTTTCGGGTCACTGAAGACAATATATTAAACACAGATCCTTAGGGGCTTCTAAGTTAGGAAGCACTCATAGGTGAATGTGAAGAAAATATGATAGAAATAAATAACATTGCAAAAATTTACATGGAGATTTTAAAATGTGGTTCTGTTTTATGAAAGTAAGTGCAATTTGTGAAAAATGAAAGAAACCATACATTAATAAGGATGCACCTGTCATCACTTCTATACACATACCTGTTCTAAAAAGTGAAAATGTAACAACTACCCCATGTCGATTGAGAAGTGGCATTAAACTTTCCCTAGGGACCAGACAATTCTTACACTTGCTCAAATTCGGATAAAAAGAAAAGTATAAGCTCAGCTCCTTTCTTATGGGTTCACCTGCAACTTTTCCCCTGGGTAGACTGTAATGAATGACATCTTTAGTTAGAAACCTGAAGTGTTCAATATTTGCACAGAAGGTCAGTCCCATCCATTTCACCTCTTATTTTTAGACTCCAGATTCTAATTTGTAATTATTGCTGTTCAAGGACCTTAGCTGAACTGACTCAGCTAGGAAAGACTGTTCCATGTAATCCTCTTAGATAAGTCACTGAAGCAACTCAAAAACAATAAAAAATTAGTATATTCATAATTTTGTAAAGCCTTGTCTTGGGTCTTTTTCTCTGATGTTAATTCTATAGAATAAAATTTCCCCCCAAATCCACATCTCTTAGGCTTAAGATAAAGGATGGTTGAGATGTTGAGGTGACTAGTTTTAATTCCTGGGGGATCCTTTGAGATTTTGGTTATCTCCTGCCTACCCCATTATGATAGCAATATTCTAATACTGTCAATATTTTACATTTTAATCCATGCTGGTAGGTTTGGAGTAGAATCACATTTTGGTTTTAAATAACGTTTGTTTGTTCTATTTTTCTCTTTTTATGTCAAAGGTAATGCATGATTCAAACCAAATCCCCCTTAATCACCCATCTCATTCCCCCAAGGCAAATGGTTAATATTTCCTTCAATACTTTTCCTATGATGATACAAATGTGTGTGTGTGTGCACGTGTGTGTGGTGTGTGTTTGAAAGACAGGATCATATAACTTCTATAACTTCCTTTTCCCATTTAATATAAAATGGATGTCTTTTTATGCCTATTTATATCTACTAGGTATGGGCCTCTTAAAAGCTACATATTATGATTATACCATAATTGATGTAATTATTCCTTTTTGTTAACACTCAATTTGTTTCCAGTCCTTTGCTATCACTCAAAAGGCCATCATGAACATTTCTTCCTTCATTTATTCCATCAACATTAATTTAGTACTTAATCACTGAACTTCATGCTGCGGACAGAGCCATGAACCAAACACAAAAGTCCTTGTCTTCACGGAGCTTATATTCTATGTAAGGAGACAGACAATAAGCATGATAAATAAAACATTATTTATGTATTTACATGTAGTTAAACATGTATGCTAGCAATAAGTGGTAAGGGGAAAATAAAGGAAATAGGGGTAGGAAACATTGGTAATGGAGGGACAGGTTTACAATTTTAGATAATTTGGCCAGAAAAGGACTCATTTAAAAAGTGACATTGTGAGCAAAGGCCTAAAAGAACCAAGGTCCTTTGCCACATGGACATCTGGAGACAGTGCATTTCAGGCAGAGGAAATAAAAAGGAAAAATGCCTCTGAGATAGAAACATGCCTGGCCAGTGTGTTTGGAGCAATGGCGAGGCAAGAGATGGTTGAAGTGACAGGGCAGTCTTGTACATGCATCTTTACACAGATTGTGATTGTGGCTGTATTTAGCTCACTCTCTTCTTCCCTCCCAAAGCCCCCGTTCTGCACATGAGGGTTTCATAGTGCTCCCCTGGCTTCAAACTTTTTTTTGCTTCCCAATAGACTAAAAATTCAAACAAGACTGTAAATTACCTGGCCACTGCTTCCATGTCCAACTTCATCTAATGTAACTATTTCTCTGTCACTAGGCTCCAACCGTCTAGTGGTTCCTAGAGTCCTTCAAACTTCTCCCCACTTCAGTGCCTTTGTTCTATGCCTGGAATGCTCTTCCAGAGTTCTTGGCATAGCTGGCTTGTTGTCATTCCTCAGGACACATGCAAGTGTTACCTCTCTAGAGTGGCCTCCCCTCAATCACCTTCTCCTCAGTGCCCCCCTCCTTCTTCCCCATTATTCTTTATCATAGCACCCTGTTTATTCCTTTTACTGAAGTTACAAAAAATCTTCAGTTAAATCTTTTTTTTAGACCTCAAACCTCTTCTCACCATATATTTAAAGATGACTTCCCTCTCTTAGGTAAACTGTGAAAATGACAAATTGTGACTCTTAACTATTTCCTGTGGTTTAAATGCTTGTGTCTCCCCAAAATTCATTTGTTGACATTTCAACTCCAAGATGGTGGTTTTAGAAGGTGCGGCCTTTGGGAGGTTAGCTCATGAAAGGAGAGCTGTCATGAATGGGATTAGTGCCTTCATAAAAGAGGCCCAAGAGAGCTCCCATGCTCCTTCAGGCACATGAGGACACAGAGAAGGGACGTCTGTCTATTAACCAGGAAGCAGACCCTCACCAGACACCAAATCTTCTGGAACTTAATCTTGGACTTCCCAGCCTCTAGAACTCTGATGAATAAATTTCTGTTAAGTTACCCAATTTATGGCATTTGTGATAGCAGCCTGAACTAAGACACTTGTTCTCATAAAAATACTATTATAAGAGTAAATTTCATATTACTGTAACAAATGGAACATGCATACAGTGCTTCAATGTTTCTTTGTAAAATTTCTCCATTGAGAAATTGTTTAAAAATTGCACTGGCCTGTGATTTAATGTTATCACTAAGGAACAGAAAGGAACCAGCCTATTAAATCTTATGAGTTGTAGAATGGAGGCCCATGGCAATCATATCTGTCCCAAGAGAAGTTATATGAAAAGTACATAAAATTTAACCCTTGTAGTATATCCCCAATTAGGGGCAAAACCCTTAAAAAATGGAGAGTTCTAGATCTGCCCAGATATATGAAACCCACAATGGTTGGAAAAAGAAAAGTAGAAGATAAAGACATTTTCAATCACAGAAAAATAAGATTATAACTAGCAAATTTATTTTAAAAATTCTCTAAATTCCATATCACCTAAATTCCACATCACCACTTATTGTGTAATGCCCCCAAAGTATAAGGGAATGGTTGCTTCCTTTTCTCCTAAATTATCAAAGTCTTAGTTGCCTTTAAAAATACAGCACACCAAAGTATTATTTTTAGCATCTCATTCACAAGGCACCGTTCCTGCTTACTGTGATTGAGAAGCTCAAGGGTGCCTCATTATAAAAATGTTCTCAACCATTGTTCCATTTGTTGGCCTTAAATACTGTTTTGGCGACCCCTAGTGTGAAACATTATTTCAACATCTGGACATATTGAAAGTCCTCCTAATACTTGCTTACAGACAGAAATGATATCTAAAATAATTTTTCACCAAGGGAAATGTGACTTCAGTTAATTTCTACTTAAAGTTCATGTCTTTCTTAGATCATAATAAAATTTGAATATAATTTCTGGTGATCCAAGACATTTGAAAATCACCGAAAAGCACTATGGTTAGAAATTCATGATTGCGTTAAGTGTGTGCACAACAGTAGTTTCATTGTCTTTAATAATGCTCTAATTCCACTACTAGGAATTCACCCTACGAATATACTTGTACATGTGCAATATAACATATGTACAGTATTAGTCATTGCAGCAAGGTTATTCATTGCAGCAGTGGAAACAACATAAAGGGTAATCAATAAAAGGGTGGTTACTGGGAGTATGATACACTCATACAAGGGAATATTATGTGGCAATAATACAAGGAAAAAAAGAATGAGAAAACTCTTTTATGTATTAATATGCGATGATCTCTATGATGTATCAAAGAACATAGAACAGAATTAAACAACCAACACAAAAAACCAAGGTAGAGAATTATGGTGAGTATTTTGCTACCATATGAATTTTAAACGGGGGTAAAATACTATACATATTTGTGTTTGCTTATACATCCATGAATGTAATCTCCCAAAGGATACACAAGAAACTAATACAGTGTGGTTACTCATTAAAGATGGGGGTGAGAAATGGTATAAGTTAGATACTGCGTTCCTTGTTATAGTTCTCTATGTGTGGATTATGCCTTTGCTAGTCAAAATGTTAAATGGCTTCTTAAAAAATTTAAAGCCTGCAGCACAAGGCCAAGAAAGACAAGGAAGACTTTGCTTCAAAAACAGATCCAACAGAATATAATTTTCTGTCTTAAAACATATGTAATTTTTCTTTATACATTTTAAATTCTATACACTTTTCTAATGGAATCTTTTATTGCATATTTTTCCTTACTCAAATGCTGAACTGTAAGACAGCATTTGTAAAATTTTATTTTTAAGATTTCTGTTTACTTTTTTTCCTTCCCCAAAGTCACCTAGTAAAGACAACATTTGATAGTTACATAAAGTAACCTAACAGGTGGGATTGACTTGAGGTAATATCTTCGGTTAGGAAATTCTCACAGCTCTCCTGGCATGTCTTGCCAATAAGATTGCTGGTTCCAGACCAAAATTCTTTATTGTCAACAAGTGTAAGAAATTGTAATATTCCTTATTAGGTCATAATTTAAAATTCATGTGTAATATAAGTATACATGGCAGATACCCAGGAATAAACTTAACAGAATATGGTAAAGATATGAATGGAGAAAATTATACCAGCTTTATTTTACATTAAGAAAAGTAGACTTAGGCAGGTTGCGGTGGCTGACGCCTGTAATCCCTGCACTTTGGGAGGCCGAGGTGGCCTTGAGGCCAGGAGTTCAAGACCGGCCTGGCCAATATGGTGACCCCTGTCTCTACTAAAAACACAAAAAAATTAGCCAGGCATGGGGGCACATGCCTGTAATCCCAGCCACTCGGGAGGCTGAGGCATGAGAAATTGCTTGAATCTGGGAGGTGGAGGTTGCAGCGAGCCGAGATCATATCACTACACTCCAGCCTGAGCAACAGAGCAAGACTCTGTCAAAGGAAAGGAAAGGAAAGGAAAGGAAAGGAAAGGAAAGGAAAGGAAAGGAAAGGAAAGGAAAGGAAAGGGAAAGGAAAGGAAAGGAAAGGAAAGGAAAGGAAAGGAAGAAGACAAAGAAAGAAAGAAGTAAATAAATGAAAAAATATACCATGTGCATCAATGAGAAAATTCAACATAGTTAAGATGACAACTCTCTCCAAGTTAAAAATTAAATATAATTACAATTAAAAATTGCAGCACGGTTTTCATACTATTTGAAAGCTGACTTCATTAAATGTGAGGCTTTGTAGTGCCTTTAAGGATCATCTGGGGGAATGTAGAAACTACTATTCAGGCATTTATTTAGGTTTTAAAAGCTGATGCTCCCTCTGCTAAACTTATAAATTGAAAAACTACCTGTTCCCTTAAGCTTTTAACTTCAGCTAAAAATCCTAATCTATTTCTAAGTTTAGCAAATTTTAGCGATCGTTTTAAAGGGGACTTTGAATAAAATTTAGTTCTACTCCAAAGTTTAACTATTTTAAACACTTTAAATCATAGTTAATTTTTTTCCTTTTTTTTTTTTGAGACAGGGTCTCACTGTCACCCAGGCTGGAGGGCAGTGGTAAGATCTCAGCTCACTGCAGCCTCAACCTCCCAGGCTCAAGCAATCCTCCCATCTCAGCCTCCCGAGTAGCTGGGACTACAGGCACGTGCCACCAGCCTCAGCTAATTTTTGTATTTGTAGTAGAGACGGGGTTTCACCATGTTGCCCAGGCTTGTCTCCAACTCCTGGACTCAAGAGATCCTCCTGCCTTGGCCTCCCAAAGTGCTGGGATTACAGGCGTGAGCTGTCACGCCAGGCCTAAACCATAGTTATTAATATATTTTATGCTCCTTGTAAGTATTGCAATTATCTGATTTAATAAATAAAATCTTTTCAAGTATTTCAATTATTTTCATAAATCTAATTAAATTCACAAATATGTAAAAAGCAAGTTATTTTATGTATTCCATGTCACTGTATATAACTATTATGGCTGAATTGTGTCCCTCTAAAATTCACATGTTAAAATCCTACAGCCTGGCCAACATAATGAAACCCCAAGTCTACTAAAAATACAAAAATTAACCGGGCATGGTGGTGCATGTCTGTAATCCAGCTACTTGGGAGGCTGAGGCAGGAGAATTGCTTGAACCTAGGAGGTGGAGGTTGCAGTGAGCTGAGATCACGCCACTGCACTCCTGTCTGGGTGACAGAGCAAGACTCCATCTCAAAAAAAAAAAAAAAAAAATCCTAACCCCCAGCACCTTGGAATGGGACTGTATTTGGAGACAGTACCTTTAAGAGGTAATTAAGTTAAAATGAGGTTATATGAGTGAGTCCTAATCCAATATGACTGGTGTCTTTATAAGAGATTAGAACACAAACAGGCACGGAAGGAAAGCTTTGTGAAGACACAGAGAGCCAAGGAGAGATACCTCAGAATGAAACCAGCCATGCCAACACCTTGCTCTTGGATGTCTAGCTCTAGAACTGTGAGAAAATAAATTTCTGTTGTTTAAACGACCAGTGGTACTTCTGTTACGGCAGCATTAGCAAACTAATATATCTTGATTCTTAATTAATACACATAAGGGCATTTTCCATTTACCTCTAAAGGCTTTTGAATTTGAGGAATTCTCTCATATCTTAGAATCATTCTTAATGATATAGAAATAGTATTAAATTAATTTTCACGGCTTTGTTCTACTCTATCACAATTGCCATAAGGATTCTGCCAATTCTAAATTCATGTGGAAAAGCAAAAGATCAAGAATAGTCAATAAATTTATGAAAGAAAAAAATTGTACAGGCTTTCATCCTATCAGATATCAAGACCTATTATAAGGGTTCAGTAATTAAGACCCTGTGCTACTGTTGAAGGTATAGACAGATAGACTAAAGGAATAGAATGCCCAGCTCTATAAATAAGTAATAGAAGCACTAAATGAGTAGAAAAAAAGATGCACTATTTAATAAATGATTGGTTATCACTGGTAACTAGAAAGCCAAATAGGAAAATACTAAAAATTAGATCCATAAATCAAAACAAAACGAAACGAAAGCTTCCAGGTGGATTAAAGTTGTAAACATGAAAAACAAAAATTCTAAAACTTTTAGAAGACAATAAAGGAAACTCTTTTTGTGGCCCTTTGGCAGGAAAGGGCTTTGATTGATTTCATTTTCTAAACCAAATACAAAAAGCACAAACCATAAAGAAGGGCTGATAAATCTGACTACTTTAAACTTAACTTCTCTACAACAAAAGATATCCTAAAGAAAGGGTAAAGAAAAGCTATAGACTGGGAAAAGATACTTTCATTGCTTATAACCGCAAGCCTAGTATCCTGAATATGTAAAGAGCTCCTAGGCCAGGCACAGTGGCTCACGCCTGTAATCCCAACACTTTGGGAGGCCGAGGTGGGTGGATCACTTGAGGCCAGGAGTTTGAGACCAGCCTGGTCCACATGGCAAAACCTGGTCTCTACTAAAAATACAAAAATTAGCCAAGAGTGGTGGTGGGTGCATGTAATCCCAGTTACTTGGGAGGCCAAGGCAGGAGAATTGCTTGAGAGATAGAAGTTGCAGTGAGCTGAGATCATGCCACGGCACTCCAGCCTGGATGACAGAGCGAGACTCCGTCTCAAAAAAAAAAAAAAAAAAAAAAAAAAAAAAAAAAAAAAAAGAGCTCCTGAAGATTAGTAAGAAAAATACAAACATCCAGTAGGAAATGGGCAAAGTATATGAATATGCAATTCACAGAAGCAGAAATATAATAGATCAATAAACAAAAAGATCTCCAGCCTCCCTATTTAATCAGCGATATGCAAATTAAAGCCAAATTGAAATTCCATTCCATCCAACAGATTTGAAAAATTAAAAAATATCTGACAGCGCCAAGTATTGAAAAGTATGTGGAGCCAAAGGAATTCTCATTCTGCTGGTGGAAGAACCAATTGGTACAATCACTTTGGAAAGCAATTTGGCAACATTTAGCAAAGCTGGAAGACACTCATCCCTAAGTCTCAACAATTTTATTCCTATGTATATGCCCTAGAGCAGGGGTCCACAACCCCTGGAACTGGGCCAAACAGCAGGAGGTGAGCAGTGAGCAAGCAAGCAAAGCTTCATCCGTATTTACAGACACTCCCCATCACTGGCACTACTGCCTGAGCTTCGCCTCCCGTCAGATAAGCAGTGGCATTAGATTCTCATAGGAGCTTGAACCCTATTGTGAACTATGCATGTGAGGGATCTAGGTGGTGCACTCCTTATAAGAATCTAATGCCTGATGATCTGAGGTGGAGCTGAGGTGTTTATTGCAGCTTGCACTGGGAAGCAGCTGCAAATATAGATTAACGTTAGCAGAGGTTTGACTACACAGAGACCATAATAAATCAATTGCTTCCAGACTCATATCAAAACCCTGTCAATGAGTGGTAAGTAGCAATTAAGCTGCATCTGGTGGCAGGCTTTATAGTGGCAAGTGAATTGATGTACTTCAGTTATACAGCTGCATCTGGTGGCAGGCTTTAAGTCACAATTCAACACTTATTTTAGTCTGTGGATGGCCCACCCATTATTTACCACTTCCATCCATGCTTCTTTCCAGCACTTGTCTCAGCCACTGTTTTGGTAAGCACACAAGCTAACCCCAGCCAAAATAAGTAAAAAACAAACATCACTAGAGAGCTTCTTTGAAAAAGGAGAAAGACCCAATGATGAGATAGAAGACTCTAAGACTGACAGTGAAAAGAAAGCTGCATTTAAAAGAAAACACCGAGGGTCCTACTTAAATTACTCTTTGCAACAAGTAATTCACATTCTCCAAGCTCATTTTGTAGAATACTTGGTAACTCTCTATCCACCGAAACTATGAAAGCCTCAAAACCGCTTTACCACATGGAGACCAAGCAACTTGCATTAAAAGACGAGGTTTTGGAGTTTTTCAAAAGAAAAAAACATGAACACAAACAGAAGCAATTATTGAAGGCCACTACCGCATCAAGTGTGTCTGTACTGAGAACATCAGTCAATGGCTAACCACATTGCTAAAGCTAAGAAGCCCTTTACTGTTGGTGAAGAGTTGATCCTCCCTGCTGCTAAGGACATCTGTTGTGAACTTTTAGGAGAGGCTGCAGTTCAAAAGAAGGCACACATTCCTCTTTGGCTAGCACCACAACTAGACAAACTGATGTAATAGCAGAGGATATTGAGGCATAATTGTTAGAGAGGATTAATAAGTCACCATGGTACACAATCCAGGTTGACGAGTCTACCAATCCTGACAACAAGGCAACAACGCTTGTTTTTGTGAATATATTTTCAGGAGGATGTGCAAGAGGCTATGTTATGTGTACTTTTGTTGCCAGCCAACACCACAGCTGCAGAACTATTCAAGTCTTTAAATGACTACAAATCAAGAAAACTGAATTGGTCATTTTGTGTTGGTATAAGCATGGGTGGAGCAACTGCCATGACTGGACAGCTTTCTGGTTTCACTACTTGGGTCAAAGAGGTTGCTTCTGAATGTGTCTGTGCACTGTGTCGTCCATGGGGAAATGCTGGCTAGCTGAAAAATGTCACCTGAACTTCACAACGTTTTGCAGGATGTGATTAAAATTATCAGCTATATTGAAGTACATGCCCTTAACTCACGTCTGTTTGCACAGCTCTGTGAGGAGATGGACACAGAGCGCATTCATCTTTCTTATACACAGAGGTGAGATGGCTTTCTAAAGGTAGATCACTGGCCAGAGTTTTTGAGTTAGGAGGGCTGCTACAGAGATTTCTTTTAGAAAAATAGTCACCACTGGAAGCACATTTCAGTGACACAGGATAGGTGGCAAAACTTGCTTACTTGTGTGACATATTCAACCTGCTCAGAGAATTCAATCTGTCACTTTAGAGGAGAACAACTGTGTTCAAGTTGGCAGATAAAGTGGCTGCATTCAAATCCAACTGGAATTATGGGGGTTACAAGTCAACACCGGGATTTTTGACATTTCAAACATTAGTAGAGATTTTGAAAGAGACTGAGCCAGGGCCTTCTTTCTCCCAGCCGGTGCATGATCACCTGTCTTACATTCAATAGAGTTTGGGCATTACTTCCCAATTACAAAAGACCTCTGAACTGGGAAGGAATGGATCTATGACGCATTTGTGAAAAAACCAGGTGAATCAACTTTGCCCGTGCTAGAAGATCAACTGCTTGAGACTGCAAATAATGGTGGCTTAAAAGTATGTTTGAGACAACTTCAAATCTCCGTATGTTCTGGATTAGAGTCAAGGTGGAATATCCTCAGATTGGCACCAAAGCACAGAAAAGTCTGCTTCCATTTCCAACATCCTATCTATGTGAATGAGGGTTTTCTGCAGTGATAGCAACCAAAACGAGATTACAGAGTAGACTGGACATAAGCAACATACTTTTGGTGTCACTATCCCCCATCACCCCCAGATGGGACTGTCTAGTTGCAAGAAAATAAGCTCAGGGCTCCCAATGATTCTACATTATGGTGAGTTGTACAATTATTTCATTATATGTTACAATGTAATAATAATAGAAATAAAGTGCACAATAAATGTAATGCACCTGAATCATCCCGAAACCATTGCCATAACCCCTGTCCGTGGAAAAATTGTCTTCCACGAAACCAGTCCCTGGTGCCAAAAAGGTTGAGGACCACTGCCCTGGAGAAACACCTTCACATGTATAAGAATATTTATTTCGGCATTGTTTCTAATAACAAAAATACGAAAATAAATGCCCATCATTGAGAGAGTGGACATGTTATGTTATACTAATTAAGTGACATACTGTATAGCAGTAAACAATGAACTAAAGTTACATAACATGTAACATGAATACTGACAAGGGCAAAAAGCAACTTTTATAACAATATAGACGGAGTGTTATTTATATAGAGCTTTAAAACTTGCATAACAAAAACAACTATTGTGCATGGATACACACTTTCAGCAATCAAAAAAACAGGCTCCATAGAAAAATGGCAAAATGTTAAGGTTTGATACATCTCCCACAAGTATGCCTGGCAAAATTCTTTACATTTTAGGAGTGAAACATTTGTTATAACGAAGTTTAAACAGCAGAATAAAATTATTTTCAAGTTATCTCCTTCCCAGTAAAGTTTTCCTTCTCTTCGGTTGTAATAATTTATCCATTTATCAAATTTTTGTTTTGGACTTTTTTTTTTTAAAAAAAGGATCTTTTTTTCAAGTAGCTTCTACCCATGTAAGGAAGTTATTAAACCAAACAGTAGGACATAAAGCAATAATAAGGAAGAGACGTATAACTTGCAAAGAGGAAAGAGAGTTTACATCTGTCTGGAGCAGCCAGAGAAAACTCTAAGGAGATGCATTTGAGCTGCCTTTAAAGGGAGATGCGTTCACCAAGGGAACAGACATTCCACGTAGAGGGAATAGCTTGTACAAGGAAATGGGGATGGACACAACAGGTAACATGGAGAAATACAGTTGTCCCTCAGTATTCGTGAGTGATTTGTTCCAGGACCCCCATGGATACCAAAACTAGAGGATGCTCAAGTCCCTGATATAAAACGGCTTGTATTTGCATATACGCACATCCTCCTGTATAGTTTGTCTCTAGATTATTTAACATACCTAATACAATGTAAATGCTATGTAAATAGTTGTTATACTGTATTGTTTAGGGAATAATAACCTTAAAAAGTCTGCATTTCGGTACAGACTGATATTTTCCCCCAATATTTTCAATCAGGTTGGTTGAATCCACAAAACCCACTGAATGGAAGAGCCAAGTAGGGTGAGGTGAGGCCTTGGAGGGAGGATATCAAAATAAGTGGCTAGAGAGGAAGGAGGAGCTTGAGGTGGAAGCCGGAATGTGTGGGAACTGGTGCTGTACTTGCTCACCAAGCACCCTGGTTAGAGCTGAAATAACTCTTTTATGCCACAAACTCCTAAGAGACATAGTTGGGACCAGAACTGGCGCCTGCTGACTTCTGGGTAATCCATCCCCGGTTGTGAAGGGACGGCCGTGCCGCCACGACGGCTCCGAAATACACCAAGAGTTTATTTTCGGGGCTGCTCGTAGTCCAGTCATTCTTGGGTTTCCCATTTCCTATCAGCCCCAAGCCACCCACGGATGCTCCCCACCTCCAGACATCGCCCTCCACTAGGTCCCCAGATCACTTTTAAAACGCGACCAGGGGCCGGGCGCGGTGGCTCACGCCTGTAATCCCAGCACTTTGGGAGTCCGAGGCGGGCGGATCACGAGGTCAGGGGTTCGAGACCAGTGAAACCCCGTCTTTACTAAAAATACAAAAAAACTAGCCGGGCGTGGTGGTGTGCAACTGTCATCCCAGCTACTCGGGAGGCTGAAGCAGGAGAATCGCGTGAACCCAGGAGGCGGAGGTTGCAGTGAGCCGAGATCGCGCCATTGCATTGCAGCCCGGGCAACAGTGCAAGACTCCGTCTTAAACAAACAAACAAACAAACAACAGAACGCGACCAGGAGTCCCGGAAGCCTGCGTGCACGAACTCCCAAGACCACAAGTCCCAGCATGCAACGCTCCTTGTTGGAAAAGGGCCTCCCTTAGCCACTAAGTGGACCATCATGCAACATTCTCTGATGGGGCGGGGATCTCCATGGAGGGGGGAGGCACACTTGTTGCGTCGCCTCAGCAACTCCAATTGCGTGACAGAATGTGCTTCCGCTTCCGCCTCTGAGCCCTATGAGCGAGAGTTACGCTACTTAGTCGTTGTGACGCCATTCTTCTGCGACGGCGCGGACCTGGAGCTTCCGCGCGGTGGCTTCACTCTCCTGTAAAACGCTAGAGCGGCGAGTTGTTACCTGCGTCCTCTGACCTGAGAGCGAAGGGGAAAGCGGCGAGATGACTGACCGCTACACCATCCATAGCCAGCTGGAGCACCTGCAGTCCAAGTACATCGGCACGGGCCACGCCGACACCACCAAGTGGGAGTGGCTGGTGAACCAACACCGCGACTCGTACTGCTCCTACATGGGCCACTTCGACCTTCTCAACTACTTCGCCATTGCGGAGAATGAGAGCAAAGCGCGAGTCCGCTTCAACTTGATGGAAAAGATGCTTCAGCCTTGTGGACCGCCAGCCGACAAGCCCGAGGAGAACTGAGACTCTGCCTTACCACCGCAGTGCGGGGCACCTCTCCCAGCGTTTCTCCGGTTTGCCAATCCTCTTAAGTATTCCTGTCTCCAAAGGACCGGCTCTCCATGGCTCCTGCGCCTCGTGCTTTCCGCGTACAGAAGTGCTTGCCCGGGGAGTCCCGCCTGACCTGCCTTCATGTGGACCCTTAGAACAGCACTGGGAGACCAGCAGGACTCCTGAGAACTGTGCTGGTGGAGAGGTCCTAGAGCCGGCGAGCGTTTGAGAAGAGGGCATGGCGCTGGAGTGAGATGGGATTTGGCGTCTCGTTTTTGGCTAATTGATTGTCATTGGCTTTTTCCATAAAGTTTAGAAATCGTTCAGTCTCTTGGTGTGAACTTTCTGTGTTAGGGTGGAAGGCTCCGGAAAGAGCTGAGCGGGAAGTGGGTTTGGGTGAGGGAGCGCATGCCAGTGTCCATGGCCAGGCACTTAGATCCGCCGTGTCTACCTTTATAATTAATTCCCCGACTGCCACTTTTCCCAAGAGCGTTATTTTCAGGCCCACAATGCCTTCAGTATTGAAATTTGTGGTTATTGTATCCCATCTTCTTTTTCTCCTGTTTTAAAACTCTTTGCAGTCTTTGCTGTCATTGTCCTCCCTAGCCTCTTTAAAATGCATCCTTTTTTTTTTCTTGGGAATTTGTGGCCATGTCTCCAGAAATGACAAGCTGGCAAGCGAGTTCATCCATTCTACATTCAACAAATATTTGTTGAGCTCTATGTGACAGGCATTTTCCCGTGTTCTTGGGGCTTACATTATGCTGGTGGTGGAGAAAGGAGGTCAAACACTAGATGTAATAAGCAAATGTTAGAAGATGCTGCGGGGAGGGGAGAACAATGTATGTGGTGCGGGTGGGAGTAGCTGGTAGGGCTGTAATCTTAAATATGATGCACAAGTTACTGAGATGGTGACATTTGAGCAAAGACTTCAGGAAAATGAGGGAAATGGCCATGCGGAAAACTGGAGAAATTGCTTTCCATGAAGAGGGAACTGCCAGTGCAATGGTACTAACGCTGGGAGTATGTATGGTTTATTGGAGGAACTTCAAAGAGGCAAGCATGGCTGGAGGGAGTGAGTAAGGGGAAAAGTAGAGGGACAGGTAATGGAGGGGAAAACAGAGTAGAGTCTTGTAGGACAATATATGAACCTCTGAGGAGCCATTGGAAGGTTGTGGTTTTTTTTAATTTTAGTTTTTAAAAACACGAGATGGATCTTGATATGTTGGCCAGGTTGGTCTTGAACTCTTGGCCTCAAGCAGTCCTCCCACTTCAGCTTCCCAAAGTGCTACGATTACAGGTGTGAGCCACCACTGCAGACCATTGGAAGGTTTTTACGCAGAGAAGTCACGTGACCTGGCATAGCTTAGCTCAGTGGTGGCTTTGGAACTCCAGGCTGGAGTGCAGTGGCACGATCATGGCCCACTGCAGCCTCAACTTCCAAGGCTCAAGCAATCCTCCCACCTCAGCCTCCCAAGTAGTTGGTACTACAGGTACGTGCCACCATGCCCGGCTAATTTTTGCATTTCTTAGTTTTTTTGTAGAGATGAGGGTCTCATGTTTCCCGGGCTGCTCTTGAACTCCTGGCTCAAGCAATCCACCCACCTCAGCCTCCCAAAGTGCTGGGATTACAGGGGTGAGTCATTGCTCCTAACTTTTCGTTACACTAGAAAATTGTAGAAGACACCAAAGAGCCTCTGTTTATGTGGATTGTGGCTATTGATATTCACCACCATAGAAATGAAAACAAAAGTTTTAATTCATTGAAAAATAATGAAAATTCTCAGAAAGGTCAATGGTAAAAATAATGATAATAAAACCATTTCATGTTAACAAAAACTTTTTTTGTTTTATGAAAAATGGCAATTTACCAAGACATAATTTAGTGAGAAGAATGGCTTTTAAGAAAAACCGGTTTTTCAGAGGTCTTCTGTGTTTGGCTTAATAGAGGACAGCTTGATTCCCATATTTGCTTTTGCATTCAAACTGTTGGGATATGAAATTTTTGTCGAAGTATGAAAAAATCCACTTCTCATAAATATTTAGTATAGGAGCAATATTTAACTTTTTCAAATAGATGTACATATACTTCTTTGATATTATACTAAAACCCAACAAGTGGTAGTTTCTTAAAGGTTAGTTACAACATGGAATCTGAAACTGGTTTAATGAACTTTTTATTCTGTTCCATTAAAATTCATTCATGTATGTTGAGCTTTGAATGGATCTTTTACCCATACCTGATTTGGAACATCATGCATCAGTCATCTGAAAAGTAATGGGTTACTGAGTTATACAGACCTTCCAAATGTTGTTACATTCATTATACATATCAAAAATCACATTGAGTAATATCATCCCTGTCTCAGGAAGGTTTTATAGTATTGGGAAACTGAAAGACCTACTGTGAAGGTATAAGTTTTCCACAAGTTTAAGTTTTTACTTGATAGCTTGAACTTGATCAAGCTATCAAGCATGAGGTTGATAGCAAATATTATTGTTTTCCTTTAAGTGAAAGGCCCACTTGGTTCATTTTCAAGAAAATGTCTGCCAAATACATACCCAATACATACCCAAGTCTGAGTAACAAGATACAGTTTGTCATTTTTTTCTTGTAAATATGTGCCTTGAGAAAAAAAAAAAAAAGGCAGCCAATTCAATTTGCAACTCAAATAATAAAAAGTGTTTTTCCTTGAGAAAACTATTGTCCTTTGGTAGGCAGCAGAAATGCTTTATGCATATTATGAATTTCATCACACAGAATATTAAAAGACATCTTAAGGGCTAAGATTTCATAAAGTTAGCAATTTTTACTGCTTCATCAAGCACATTCTTAAGTGAAACTGAGGTTTTTTGTTTTTGTTTTTACTGAGGGTGCATGGCAATGAAGTATACAATGACTAGCAATACATTTTTGTGCCCCTCCATTGATTCATGCTAAGTGCTGGTAGTTTTATCACTATTGCTTTTGCACCATCTGTGCAAATGTTAATGGTAAGAAAGGCAAGTAAAATCTTACTTTTATGAAAATAGTTTTGGCTTCAGTTTCCCTGGGATTTCTTTCTTACCATTTTTACTGGAAAGAATGACTATAGGAGATTAAACTATGGTTGTTTACACTTGGGTATCTGGCAGATATTTTATCAAAAATGGATGAAATTGCCGGGCGTGGTGGCTTATGCCTGTAATCCCAGCACTTTGGGAGGCTGAGGCGGGTGGATCACAAGGTCAGGATATTGAGACCATCCTGGCTAACACAGTGAAACCCCATCTCTACTAAAAATACAAAAATTACCTGGGCGTAGCGGCGTGCACCTGTAGCCCCAGCTGCTGGGGAGGCTAAGGCAGGAGAATGGTGTCAACCCGGGAGGCGGAGCTTGCAGTGAGCCGAGATCGTGCCACTGCATTCCAGCCTGGGCGACAGAACGAGACTCCATCTCAAAAAAACAAAAACAAAAACAAAAAAAGAATGAAATGGGCCATCGCTTCAAGAAAAACAGTTGAACTGTGGTTTCAGATGATCCCTCTGGCTGCTGTGTTGAGAACAGACTGGGGTAATGTAAAAGAAAATAGATTGTAATAATTGGCAATTAAATAAAAATGTCAACACTAATTTTTTTTCCTCTTTAAAGAGTAGCAGAGTCAAACTAAGTCACCATCCTTACAAAACTTGATAAAGGTATACAAAGTGTCATTAGAGTGAGCTCCTGTCCCCAATTCAAGGCTGTAGCAGTAGAACAAGAGAGATGACAGCCTGCATTGGAGATAGAGAGGAAAGGACTGGATATATGGTATGGGATAGCATATGTAAAGAAATGAGTAACATGTACAGTAAGAATTTAGAAGGAAGTCAGTAACTTAAAGACCTCCATGAAGAGTGAGGTTTCACAAAGGCAAGGATTTTGGTCTTTTTTACAAACCAATATATCCTAAGTATCTAGAATGATGTCTAACACATCCCAGGTGTCCAATAAATCTTGAGTGTTGAATATCAAAGGACAGGGCTTAATCCAGGTGATATATTGGGCCCATGCTAATTCATGTTCTTAGGCAGTCTTTAACTTTACCATAATAGGTAATACCAAAGAAGAGCCATTTGAAAGCATGTTTCCTATAGTATTAATAACAGCTAACATATTGAGCATTTTTATGGTGTGCTAAGTGTTTTGTGTGATCTTTGGGAGGTACTGTCTTCATTTTGCAAATGAAACAGGTTCAGAAAAGTAATTTGCACAAGATCGCACAACTAGTAACCAGGTTTTTCTAGTTTCGAAGTACAGAGTCTTGTACTGTTGCCCAAGTAGGTCTAGTATACAAAAATAGTATTAGAATAATTTGAAATAAGTTGTCTCAGATTTTTTAAATGGAAATACTAAAAGTTTAGTAGATTATATTGAAAGAATATCAGACCAATATGAAAGATCTCATATAACTCTAAGTAAAAAATGTAATTTGAAATATATTGAATAAAGATTGAAGAAAAATAATCTTAGTAGGCAGCACAATTGTTTTGTGTGGAAACACATTTCAAGTATCTGAAAGTAAAAGTGCCGTCCAAATAAATTTAATTGAGCTATTCTGTTTTTGTTGTTCTCATCTGAGAGAATATTTGTGTCAAACACAGGAGGGCAGCAGATGATACTCAGATGGAAATTACTTTCAGAAAAAGATCTAAACTTGTAGATTCCTGATAACTTCGGAGAAAAATAAGCGGTTCCTATATTTATTTAGAGTGATGTAATTAGCCACTTTGTAAACTATAAAGAATTGGGCACGTTTTTCATTTGACAAATTTTAGTGATCATTTTACAGGTGACTGTATTATGCTTAAAAGTATGGGACAAGATGTGGGCATGCTTTGAAAGCATGCTAGTTGGAGAAATAAATATAGCAGCACATAAATAACTTTAATATGTAGTAGCAAGTGATAAATGCTAAAAAAGAAATTTAGAAAAAAAAGGCTACAGAAGTGTACAGGAAGAAATTATTGCAAACCGCCAATGAGGTACTGCATGAGGGCATTGAGAAAGGCATTTGGGCAGGGCCTTGGCTAATGAAACTTACACTTTTTTTTTTTTTTTTTTTTTTTGAGATTGAGTCTTGCACTGTTGCCCAGGCTGGAGTGCAGTGGCGCGATCTCGGCTCACTGCAATCTCCGCCTCCCAGGTTCAAGTGATTCTCCTTGCCTCAGCCTCCCAAGTAGCTGGGATTACAGGCACCCGCCACCCGGCCCGGCTAATTTTTTTGTATTTTTAGTAGAGACGGGGTTTCACTATGTTGGCCAAGCTGGTCTTGAACTCCTGACCTCATGACCCGCCTACCTCGGCCTCCCCAAGAGCTGGGATTACAGGTGTGAGCCACCACACCCAGCCAAAACTTACACATTTAAGACAAGGGCAAGGTTTCTTAGCTGCCCTTGAAGGGAAGGATAATTCAAATCCCTTTTCTCTATTAAAACCTTTTCCAGGCTGGGCATGGTGGTTCATGCCTGTAATCCCAGCACTTTGGGAGGCCGAGGCAGGTGGATCACGAGGTCAGGAGTTCGAGACCAGCCTGACCAACATGGTGAAACCCCGTCTCTACTAAAAATACAAAAATTAGCTGGGCGTGGTAGTGTGTGCCTGTAATCCCAGCTACTCATGAGGCTGAGTCAGGGGAATTGCTTGAACCAGGGAGGCGGAGGTTGCAGTGAGCCGGGATTACACCACTGTACTGAAGCCCGGGCAACAGAGTGAGACTCCGTCTCAAAAAAAAAACCAAAAAAAACCCCACAAAAAACAAAACCATCTCCATTTCTTCCATTAACTTCTTATGGCTTACAAGACCTCCCACCCTTTGGCCCCTGCTTCCCTGCTTTCATAAAGCTGGAAAACCAGGATCTACATCCTAGGTTGATAACAATAACATAACAATTACTATTTACTATGTGCACACTATGTGCCAAAGACCAACATCAACATCTCAGTTTTCATGACAAACTTGAGAAAGTTATTATCCCATTATACTAATAAGCAAAAATATTAGGAAAATTTAAAGGTTTTGCCCAATATCACTTAGCAAGTAAGAGCTAGAGCAGGGACTTAAACTAGCATCCAGTCTCTTCGTGGGGTCGATGAGGGTTTCCAGAAATGTGTTTTACAGAATTCTGATTTTCATTGAAAAATTATCAATGGTTTTTTGGGGTTTTTTGGTTTTGTTTTGGTTTTGGTTTTTAGGGATATGGTGGGGGGACTATCTTGGTGAAATAAGTTTCAGAAATGCCATATACCTTGGAGAGTCATGCTTCAGATTATTTAAAGTTTTATAGTAAGAAATTTTGCTTGACCATCATTTCCTACATTTATTTAATCCTGGAATTTATTTTCTCAAGAAATACAAAGATAATTCTGAGAAAAATATTTGAGGGATACTGCTTTTGATAATGAAAACAGTTTAGAATACAGAAGTGACGTATTCAACCCTGAACTCAAGGAAGATAAATTTGGCAGCAGTGTGTAGGTTGGAACTCATAGCCACGATAACTTTCCTTTCCTTGGGTTGTAATTCCATCGCTGAAAGCGAATACCTTTGTGAATGGAAATTCTTTGTTCTCAGCTCTGATTCTTTCCACCTCTCTTAGACTAGCAAATTAAAGATATTACAAAGAAAGGAGACATTAATTATATTGCACAAATTAGTTATGAAGCTATGTACAGCTCATTCTTTTTCAGGACAAGAGCAAGAAGAAAACCAATACATTTTGTTCCTTAATTTTATTAATGTCTGGAAGATGTGTACTGATGAGGCATCAGTACTGAATGATCTGGCAGCCAACAGTTGATCTGCTTTGGAGAGATGACAATTTGTTCTTAACTGGCTTTTCATTTCACGTCGCACATTTCTTCAGCTCTCTCTGTCCTGCATCTTCTTTATGTGTGATACACACATGTGCTCTATCACGCCTGCCCACTCAACCCTGAAATACCGAAACCTGGAGCTGGGGAAGTGCTGGTAGGAAACCAAGACATTGAAGAGTCCATCTCATCTCTCACACTACACAAAGGGTCTGGTACAAATGGCTCTTTGAAGCGCTATCTGTGATCTGTGTTAGCTCAGAATCCTTCCTAGTCGTTAGCTCAGAATCCTTCCTCGTCGTTAGCTCAGAATCCTTCCTCGTCTCCACTTCCTTCATTTCCTAGCCACTGTTCTCAGTTGTTATCTTGTCCTCTAGGCGTCCCTCTTATCACTCTGTCCTCCTACTTCAGTGAACCTTATCCTTGCTTCCTCCATGTCTCCTCTAAAAACAGTGGCCTTTAAAGCAGAAGTGTCTTCGTAACATTACAAACGAAGGGAAAATACAGTAGGTGATTTGAGGCCCTGTGGTACAGCATCAAAGCGTTTAGGGTGTTCACCACCTCAGCCTCCCTCTCCTCACCTCCAAGCCCTGGACCAGCAGACTAGGGCACTCATCTCTGGTTCTGGCCCACTGCTGTCTGTTTCAGAATTCTGCCTTTAAAACGATATCATTGGTATTAATACTATCTCATTCATCAGTTTTGATATGAGAATCGAATGATGTGTACCTTGCAGAAAAGTTTGTCTCTTTCTAATTAAACAAAAAAAAGTACACAGAATAATATAACATGGAGATACTTCTACCTCAAATTTTGTCCAATTTCCTTCCCTTTTTTCTATTTTTAAAACAATTTGCAAATTATGTATCTATGCCCCTTTTTAAAACTGAAAGGAAGCGTTGCAGGTAAAACTATTGTCTCCTTTGACCATTTGTAGCCCAGTCTCTCCTGTGTCCTCATGTCCAACCCTACCCCCACCACCAAAGTAATCACTTCTATGAGTAAGTTCTTCCCTTATAGCCATTAGATTTTATAAACATATATTCGTATCCAGGAACCATATGTAGAAGTGTTATTGTGTTTTTAAAAATCTATGTGTATATGCATACATACACATATGTATAGATACATATATGTGCATATGTATGCATATGTGTATATACATATGTATATGTATGCATATGTACATATGTATATACATATGTATATATACCCATATGTACATATGTATATACATATGTATATATACGCATATGTACATATGTATATACACGCATATGTATGCATATATGTGTATATACATCTATATACATGCACACAAATGAAACTATCTGGCAGTTTCTCAAAAAGCTAGACATAGAATTATCATATGATTCAACAATTCCATTTCTAGGTATATAACCAAAGGGATTGAAAGCAAGGACTGGAATAGATATTTGTATGCCAGTGTCCAATGCAGCATTATCTACAATAGCCAAAAGGTGGAAGAAATCCACAGGTCCACTAACAGATGAATGGATAAACAAAATGTGGCATATACCCACAATGCAATATTATTCTGCCATAAAAAAGGAATGAAGTTCTGATACATGCTATATAGATGAACTTGAAGATATTATGCTAAATGACATAAGCAAAACACAAAAAAGACAAATGTGGTATAATATCATTTATATGATGTACCTAGAATAGCCAAATTCATCAGGACTGAAAGTAATAGAGGTTGTTAGAAGTTTGGGGTAGAAGCAATGACATATTATTGCTTAATGGTTACAGAATTTTTGTTTAGGGGTAATGGAAAATTATTTCCAAAATAATCACAACATAGTAGTGATGGTTGTACAATACTGTGAATTAATGCAACTGAATTAATTGTACACTTAAATAATTAAAATGGCAAATTATATGTTATGTATTTTTACTGCAATTTTAAAAATTAATAATACATTTACCAAAACCTATTGAATTGTTCATTTTATTTTTAAGTTTATTTCATTTTGTTTTCCTAGAGACAGAGTTTTGCTATGTCGCCTAGGCCAGAATGCAGTGACTATTCACGGGCGCAGCCATGGCGCACTGCAGCCTTGAACTTCTGGGATCAAGCAATCCTTCTGCTTCAGCCTCTGGAGTAGCTGGGACTACAGGTGTGTGCCACTGTGCCCTGCTGAACTGTTCACTTTAAATGGATGAATTGTACAGGATGTAAATTATATCTCAATAAAGCTGTTTAAAGTAGATATATATGGTATTATATACATCTGGGTTATATACGTATTATACATATACATATATGGTATTATGCATATAATTGATATAATATACCAATGTATTATACATATAATTGTATTACAGTATATACAGATATGGTATTATACATATAATTGAATTATACATGATATTATATATTTTGGTATTATATAGTATGGTATTGCACACATAATTTAATTAAATATATATAGTTTTTTGTTTTTTGTTTTGAGACAAGGGTCTCACTCTGTCACCCAGGCTGGAGTGCAGTGGTGCGATCACAGCTCACTGCAGAGTCAGCCTCCTGGGTTCAAGCAATCCTCCTGACTCAGCCTCTCACTTAGCTGGGACCACAGATGCATGCCACCACACCTGGCTAATTCTTTTTATTACTGGTAGAGCCAGGATCTCCACATGTCACGCAGGCTGATTCCAAACTCCTGGGCTCAGGCGATTCTCCCACCTTAGCCTCCCAAAGTGCTGGGATTACAGGCGTGAGCTACTGTGCCTGGCCCACACGTTATATTTTTGAGATCTATCCAAGTTGAGAGCTATAGTTATGTAGTTCATTCCTTTTTAACGCTATGTCATAGGAATATACTACACAATTTATATGTGCATTCTCTAATTAAGGGCACTTAGAATGCTTCCAGCATTTTATTATTTCAGACAGTGCTGCAACAAACATTCTCATATACGTCTCCTCAGATGCGGGCAAAATGTCCTCAGTATATAGGTGTGTGTCATGTGTTTTCAAAGATTTAATGTATTATATGAATGTAGGCTTCTTATTTTTAGAACCTTTACTCTTAGCCATTTATTTAACACACGTTTATTGAACCTGCACTGGGGCAAATGGGGTCACGGCCTCTGTGGATCTCACAGTCTGCAGCAAAGGAGGCATGTAATCAATTGGTTAGTATAAGAGGTGATGGACTCTTGAACACTTCAATCTCTACAAAGCAGCTCCTTCCACTCTGTTTTTCATCTGGACCCACCTCAGCTTCTCCCCCTTCCTTTCCTCTGCTTGACCCCTTTTCCTCCCACCATTTCCAGTTGTTATCTAAACTCCTCAACCAGTCTTCTAATTTTCTCAGCCTCTCTTTCAAGAGAGGTTCTTTAATCTTACTTCGTCCATCTCACCTTGCAAAAAAGTGTATCAGCCTTAGAATAAATTTTTCTAAAAATCAGTTTAAAAGAAAGAGCAAAATGTGTATTTTCCTATGAAATTTAGGAGCTGAACATCTCTCATTTCTTGTGTTTTTCTGCTAGGTTAACTTGGACTTTGTATCAACAGTCCCCAACCTTTTTGGCCCCAGGGACCAGTTTCATGGAAGACAATTTTTCCATGAACCAGGGTTGGGGAATTGGAGGATTGGAGGGTTGAGGGGGTGGGTGTGGGAGGTTCGGGATGAAACTATTCTGCCTCAGAGTCTCATAAGGAGCGTGCAACCTAGATCCCTCACATGCCAGTTCACAATAGGGTTCAAGCTCCCATGAGAATCTAATGCTGTCACTGACCTGACAGGAGGTGGAGCTGAGGCAGTAATGCTCACTCACCCACCGCTCACCTCCTGCTGTGCTGCCCAGTTCCTAACAGGCCACAGACCAGTACGGGTCTGCAGCAAGGGTTAGGGACCCCTGCTTTAAATGATAAAATCTCATAAAGCAAGAACAACAATTTTAGCTGATGCTATTCATCATGTAGCTTAGCATTTAATGCACTATAGACACTTTAAAAATATTTGAAAAATATTTGTTGACTGACAATACTAGTCAGACCATGTAATGCACAGTCCTAAGCACTAAAGAGTAATACAAAGATTATGAAAACAAGGTCCTGCACTCACAATTAATAAAGAAAATGAGGCTGGGCATGGTGGCTCCCACCTGTAATGCCAGCAGTATGGGAGGCCGAGGCAAGCAAATTGCTTCAGCTCCGGAGCTCAAGACCAGCCTGGGCAATATGTCGAAATGCCATCTCTACAAAAAAAAAAAAAAAAAAAAAAAATACAAAAATTAGCTGGGTGTGGTGGTGCGCACCTGTGGTCTCAGCTACTGAGGAGGCTGAGGTGGGAGGATCACTTGAGTCCAGGATGTCAAGGCTGCAGTGAGCCATGATTGTGCCACCACTGCACTTTAGCCTGGGTGACAGAATGAGACCCTTCCTCAAACAAACAAAAAAAGTAGTAGGCCAGGCAGGGTGGCTCATACCTGTAATCCTGGCACTTTGGGAGGCTGAGGTGGGCAGATCACTTCAGGTCAGGAGTTCAAGACCAGCCTGGCCAACATGGTGAAACCCCATCTCTACTAAAAATAAAAAATTAGCCAGGCGTGATGGCGTGCACCTGTATTCCCAGCTACTCGGGAGGCTGAGGTAGGAGGACCACTTCAACTTGGGAGGTGGAGGTTGCACCCAGCTGAGAACATGCCACTGCACTCCAGCCTGGGCAACAGAGTGAGACTCTGTCTCAAAAAAAAAAAAAAAAATGTAGTGCACCAATGCATCTCCAGATTCTAGAGTGGTGCATGACACAGAGTGGACACAATAACTGTTTGTTGAATGATGAGTAAGTGAATAAATAAATGAACAAACAAATTCATGAGGAACAATGAGGACTGGATACAGTTGAGATGGGACACAGAAAAATGCTAAACATAGATTGATTATGAATCTTTCTACCCTTTACGTTCAATGTGGAACTCTGATGTTTTCTGATGTGTTAACAACCTTACCTCAGTGAGTTTAGTTTTATCAAGTCTGACAAGCATCATAGGTTTTGGGGTTTTTTCCTAACCTCAACATCTTTCAAAGAAATACACACTTGTTTCTATCATCAGCATACAAATAAGCATGTGTGAAAAATATCAAATGTTCAAATAACTTGATAATTTCACATAAAATGAAAGTCTCAAGCCAAGTAAATCTCAAAATACATATTTGATTGAATAAAAAGTGACACAATACCCATTTTTATAGGATCACATGAAAATTCCTTTAGTTTCTTGAAGAAAAAATATATTGCTAAAACCAAAATGTTTCCCATATGCAGAGGAAAACAATTATTGATTTATGGAAGGTGAAATCTGAGGTAAATACATGTCAGTAAGGACTTTGGAGGTGATGACTATATCGTGGGAGCACAGGACTAAATATGCACGTTGTCTTTCAGTTCTTTTAAATAGACTTAAAATTTGTGGAAGGCAAATTGTGGAAAGCCAGCATGTTCACACTCATGAGGATGAAAGCTGATTAGACATTCATTTTTTTCCTCTAGCCCTTCAGCATGTTCTCTGGCTTTTGTTCTATCTCCCTTCCCACTTATCTCTTTCTTTTTTTTTTTTTCTTTTATTATTATACTTTAAGTTTTAGGGTACATGCGCACATTGTGCAGGTTAGTTACATATGTATACATGTGCCATGCTGGTGCGCCGCACCCACTAACTCATCATCTAGCATTAGGTATATCTCCCAATGCTATCCCTCCCCCCTCCCCCCACACCCACTTATCTCTTTCTTGCTGTTCTATGATAAGAAACAACACATGATTAGTATAGTGAAGCCAATACATCTTTAACCCTTTTCTCTCAGCCCTAGAACTTCTTTAAAATTCATATACTAAGACATGAAGTACTAATTACATTTCCCACACTCCAAAGATTGTGTCATGCAGATAGGAATTTTTAAGATGGTAAATAAGGCATATGTGCATGAAGGAGTTCTTCGTTTGATAACACAAGTTTATTTTGATAAAATGTACATTACTAATGGGAAACTGAATGCTAAATAATATGTATATACTGTTATGGGTACAGTAGAAAAAGATTGCAGAGGTTATTCGTTTGTTGTAGGAGCACCTGAGAATGCTTAATGTATGAACTGCATTTGAGCTGGTTATTCAGGCTTCTGTATCAAAAATCTGAAAAAAAAGTTTAAAGGTGATGAATTTATTTAATGAAAAGTATTTTTAAGGCCGGGAGCGGTGGCTCATGCCTATAATCCCAGCACTTTGGGAGGCTGAGGAGGGTGGATCACCTAACGTCAGGAATTCGAGAGCAGCCTGACTAACATGGTGAAACCCTGTGGCTACTAAAACCACGAAAATTAGCTGGGCGTGGTGGTGCATGTCTGTAATCCCAGCTACTCGGGAGACTGAGGCAGGAGAATCGCTTGAACCTGGGAGAGGGACCTTGTGGTGAGCCAAGATCACACCACTGCACTCCAGCATGGGCAATAAGAGCAGAAACTCTGTCAAAAAAAAAAAAAAAAAAAAGAGAGAGAGAGAGAAGTATTAAAACAAACCAAAAAAAACCCCAAAACCGAGACCATGTTTGTGGGTTTATTCACTCTTTAAGCCAGCAACTTTGATCACTCCAAATTCTATTTTTATTTTTTTTTTTTTAGAGAGTCTTCTTCTGTTACCCAGGCTGGAGTACAGTGGCATGATCTTGGCTCACTGCAACTCCACCTTCCAGGTTCAGGTGATTCTCCTGTCTCAGCCTCCTGAGTAGCTGGAATTACAGGCACATGCCACCACACCTGGCAATTTTTTTGTATTTTTAGTAGAAATGGGGTTTCGCCATGTTGGCTACACTGGCCTTGAGCTCCTGACCTCAAGTGATCTGCCCACCTCAGCCTCCCAAAGTGCTGGGATTACCTGTGTGAGCCACTGCACCCGGCCTGCTCACTACAAATTCTATAGTAAGATTCAAACAATATCCCTATCCAGGCCAGGACTCTTGGAATGTTTCTAGTGGGAAGTCAGATGGAACTCTCAGGATGCTATTCACAGAGAGCCAGTCAAAGGGCATGTCTTTTGGAGATGGAGTCTTGCTCTGTCTCCAAAAGAGTATAATGGCACAATCTCCACTCACTGCAACCTCCGCCTCCAGGGTTCAAGCGATTCACTTGCTTCAGCTTCCCGAGTAGCTGATTACAGGCAAGCGCCACCACACCTGACTAAGTTTTGTATTTCTAGTAGAGATGGGGTTTCACCATGTTGGCCAGGCTGGTCTTGAACTCCTGGCCTTGAGCGATCTGCCTGCCTCAGCCTTCCAAAGTGTTGGGATTACAGGCATGAGCCACTGCACCTGACTGGGCACGTCTTTCTGAAAGCATTATGGGCACTGTAAGGCCAAAGTGACCTCCTAACAGTCATTCTGTACATAGTCAAAATTTGAGTGGTGATGCATGTCACTGTTGTATTTCTGGAAAAGCTCTTTCCGTTTTTCAAAAAAGAGCCAATAATATATGCATAGTTATCACCATACAGAAAGTTTCTTTGATAGTCAAAGCCTGTAAAATTGCCTCACATTTGTTCTTTGTGAGATTATGGCTACCTCCTGCCTTCATGAAAGTTATATTCGGATCTATTCAATTTAGCCCTCCTCTACAAATGAAGAGTTTTCCCTGCACCCACATGGTCTTTAAGTCTCTCTCAATTCTAGTATATCATTTCTAATTTGTATAAGAGCTGTTTTTTGCCTCAGACACAAGGTCCTAGACAATTTGCATAATATAAATTGGCTTTCATATGCACATATTTATTAGGTTTCAAATATTCAAATATATTACACCTATATAAGACTCCTACTAAAATCCTGTGTTCCCACTTAGCATTTGATTTTTTAAATTCCCATTCATATTGATATTAACTAACTCATTTTTTCAAATATGCACTTGAGGATACTAATTTTTATGAGTTTTAAGTAGTATAATTTCTTCCAACCAGCTCTAAATTACTGAAATCTTTCAATGTCAGGCTGTTTATAGGAATGCTAAAATGCAATTTCAAATGCCCAGCATGTTAATAAGCAACATCATTTGGCTTATCTCTGCCATGTTAAGCAATGCAAGGAATATGGCATTTATTTGTACAGCAGGCATTATTTCCCAAGTGACACATCGTTTCTTATTCTTCAGCCTAAACTGCTGAATATTTTCTATTTTACCGAGTAACTGAAACTTGAATATCGGTAGTGCATGGTACATAGACCTAAAAAAGATTTAATTCAAACTACCCTCTACTGTCTCTGTGGATATCTTCAGTAACAACTTTCTTGGAACAGTGGTGCTTATTTTAAAAGATAATGTTAGGCTGGGTGAGGTAGCTCACACCTGTAATCCCAGCACTTTGGGAGTCTGTGCATGCTTTCAGTAACAGTTTCCTTGAAACAGCACTGCTTATTTTAAAAGATAGTATTAGACCGGGCGAGCTGGCTCACACCTGTAATCCCAGCACTTTGGGAGGCTGAGGTGGGCAGATTGCTTGTGTCAAGAAGTTCAAGACCAGCCTGGGCAACATGGCAAAACCCTCGTCTCTACAAAAAATACAAAAATCGGGCCGGGCGCGGTGGCTCATGCCTGTAATCCCACCACTTTGGGAGGCCAAGGTGGGTGGATCACGAGGTCAGAAGATGGGGACCACCTTGGCTAACACGGTGAAACCCCGTCTCTACTAAAAATACAAAAAATTAGCCGGGCATGGTGGCAGGCGCCTGTAGTCCCAGCTACTTGGGAGGCTGAGGCAGGAGAATGGCGTGAACCTGGGAGGCGGAGCTTGCAGTGAGCCGAGATCGCACCACTGCACTCCAGCCTGGGTGACAGAGCGAGACTCTGTCTCAAAAAAAAAAAAAAAAAAAAAAAAATTAGCTGGATGTGGTGATGTGTGCCTATAGTCCCAGCTACATTAGAGGCTGAGGTGGGAGGATCACTTGAGCCCAGGAGGTTGAGGCTGCAGTGAGCCATGATCACACCACTGCACATGATAAATTGGTATCATGTCTTAATTTTTTTCTTAAAAAAAATATTATGGCTATGGAAAAGATGGAGTTTCTCACAAATATGTGGTTAAGAAAAGTCCAAATTTTATCTGTTATATTGCAGACTTGTGGAAATTCCTCCTAATGAAGCCACTAATGCAAAATTAGTATTTATCATTTTCAGGGTGTGCAAAAGAGTTCAAGGAAAATGCCAAACTAACCTGCTCAAGGCTGGTGGAAAGATTTTTCTCTTCCAACCTAGGAAGCGCTTCAATGGAGCGACTATTTTATTCATTTTTATAGCCCAGGATGTAACACAGTGCCAGTATGCAGTAGACAGGCAATAAATATTTCTTGAATGTGTTTCTCTGCCTAGCGATTCATCTTCCCTTTTCTGATTCAAGATAATTTCAGTTGCAAAAGAAGGACATTGAAATCCACAGGCTGAAGCAAAAAGAGCTTAGGGCTCATGCCACCACTGAGTCCAGGAGCTTCAGTCTTGGTGCTTTAAGATCCACGATTTGAATATGTGACTGGGACTTTGTTGCTCTCTGTTAATTTCTCATTTCTGATTCCTCAGTACTGTTTCCACTTCCTGAAGCTGACAGTAGCTCCAAGAGCTATATACTTCAGGTTCAAATCCCAGATGATCCCTGGACCAATCATTCTGGCCAGGGACATCAACATGATTAATTTAGCCATGGGCATATGTTCCACCCCTGGATCACAGGCGAAGTCAATGCCTGCAGAAGTACTCAAGCCCACAGTAGTAAGGGGTTGGACCCATTGATAGAAAGAGGGGGACAGTTATCAGGAGAAGACTGAATGGATGCTGAACAAAACTAAGCCAGAGTTGTCCCTTAAAGATACTTACAGTATTTGTTAAGCATTCAGTCAGTCAGCTACATGCTATGTACTGCATTTGCTGTATTTTAAGATGTACATGTTTTCTCTTCACATCTTTATATCTCCAAAATCAGGCAGCATCATATAATCACTGTTGGCCCAATGGCAGTCATGACACGGCTTGACTGTGCTTACCCAAATATTAAAAACTCCAAAATCAAGACCTGTCCAAAGGGGTGTCAGCAGCTTGAGAAAAAATCCGGAGACAAATATGGGATCATTTTCTTAGCTCTCAGAACCCAAATTGTAATGGGAAGAGGGGTAGGGACAAGTAGTGAATCTGATATGTTTAGCAACATTTCTGAAGCAAGGGTCAAAAAGCTCTTGCTCTATACTTGCACAGTCAGCTCAACAGCTCAGCACCAATGGCTTTTAGTTCTTTTACGAAGTCTTTTAAGAAATGCTGTGTCATCAACACTCTTGATACCACAAAGAATATAAGAAAGCATTGTGCCTTCAGTTAAGCAGTCACATTTTTTCCTCCTACTGGTATATAAAATAATGGTGCATCCTACATCTGATAGCATTTTAGACTTGATGAAATAAAGTACCAGTTTTTGTCAGGATGGTAAGGATACAAAAATAAAAAAGAACATAGAAGTAAATCACATAAACCTTGCCTTTAAGGAATTTATACTCTAATTGAAAAGTGAAGGCATCTGTATTAGTCTGTTTTCACACTGCTGATAAAGACATACCTGCGACTGGATAATTTATAAAGAAAAAGAGGTTTAATGAACTCACAGTTCCACGTGGCTGGGGAGACCTCACAATCATGGTGGAAGGTGGAAGGTGAAAGGCGCATCTTACATGGCAGCAAGCAAGAGAGAAAGAGAGCCAAGCAAAAGGGGAAACCCCTTATAAAATCAACAGATCTCATGAGACTTATTCACTACCATGAAAACAGTATCGGGGAAACCGCTCATGTGATTCAATTATTTCCCACTGGATCCCTTCCACAAGATGTGAGAATTATGGGAGCTACAATTTAGGATGAGATTTGGGTGGGAGACACAGCCAAACCATATCAGCATCTATTTACTGTGTCTTATATACAGCATTTACTACAAGAGAGGAGATAAAAGAAGACAAGTGAATGGCTCAAGGTTTCTGAAGAGGTAGTGATAACTGGCAGAGAGCAGACCCCTAGAAATGAATAGGGACTCTCTTCTGAAAGAAGTAGTTCTTGAACTTGGCATTTAAGTAAGGATATGGCTCAGGTCAACAAAGATAAATGAGAGAGGGTATTCTAGAAAAAAGAGAATAGAAGGTAAGAAAAAGTGGAAGTATAAATATGTATCTTAGAAGAAAGCCAGTCAAGAGCAGAGCATTCTTAAGGGAAGCTCTGTTGGAGGCCAGATTGTAAAAGAGCCCAAAATGCCAACCCAAGAAGCCGAGACTCAATTCTGGGGGCAATGGGAATTTTTGTGCAGAGATTTACTTGTTCAACGTTGTGCCGCTACAAGTTTAACCCAGAATCAATGTGCAGAAAGAATTGGACAGACAGGAAAGGGCAAGGGCGGTGGAGGGGACAGGGGACAGAATGGAGGAGAAAATTCTGTCATTGAAAAATAAAAACACAGCCAATAATCTAAGAAATAAATAGAAATAAAAATAATAGAAGGAAATAGAAGAACAAAACATTAATTTCAACAACAAAAAATAGTGTTATGGGTTGAATTGTGCCCCCCCCTAAAAATAGTGTGAAGTCCTAACCCAGAGTACCTCACTTGGAATGTGACCCTATTTGGAAATAGGGTCTTTGCATTAATCCATTTTCTGTTGCTAATAAGAGAATACCTCAAACTGGGTAACTTACAAAGAAAGAAATATTTCTTATAGTTATGGAGGCTGAGAAGTTCAAAGCCAAGGGGCTGCATTTGGTAAGAACCTTCTTGCTTGTGGGGACTCTCTGCAGAGTCCTGAGGTGGTACAGGGCATCACATGATGAGGGGGCTGACTGTGCTACCTCAGGTCTCTCTTCCTCTTCTTATAAAGCCATCAGTTCTACTCTCATGATAACCCGTTAATCCATTAATCTATGAGTGGATTAATCCGCTAACCTATGAATTGATTAATCCATTCATGAGAGCATGGCCCTTATGACCCAATCACCTCTTATAGGCCCCACTTCTCAATACAGTCACATTGGGGATTAAGTTTCAACATGAGTTTTGGAGGGGACAAATACTCTAAACGTAATAGTCTTTAAGAAGCAATAAAGTTAAAACTGAGGTCATTAAGATGAATCTTAATACAATATGACTGGTGCCTTTATAAAGAGGAAATATTTGGCCACATAAACAGATGTGCACATAGGAAGAACACAATGTGAGCATGAAGATAGAGATTAGGTGATGCATCTACCAGCCAAGGGACACCAAAGATTGCCAGCAAACTATCAGAAGCTAACAGGCAGCTGTGGAACAGATTCTTCCTCCCAGGCCTCAGACAGAACCAACCCTGGCAACAGCTTGATCTCAGGCTTCTAGCCTCCAGAGCTGTGAGACAATAAGTGTTGGTTAATGTAAGCCACCAGGACTCTGTTCCAGCAGCCCTAGCAAACTAATACAAATAATCTCAGCAACAGTTTTCCGGGTGGTGTCGAGAGGTTTCAGATACAGAGAGGTGTTTTTGCAACAAAACAAAACCCAACCAATCCAATTGCAACTTTAATACAATGTCTTCTTAATCTAGAAGAGCTTTCTTTACAGAAGTCTTTGAAGATCTAAAATGAAATATTCAGCATGAAGGACAAAAAGGCCAAGTGTAACAAGCAACTTTTCACCTAAGTCATTTCACTCTAAGCTGATCTTCAAAATGCAAACTCCACTCTCTTTAGTGTTTTTGAAAGGCATGGTGGACCAAGATAATGTGGCTAAGCTTACACAGAGCTGGTCTAGATTCCTCCAAGGGCACTTATACCCATTATTTTGTGACCTGCTGCAGTTGCTATAAACTAATGGACTAGTTCCATCTGAAGAGACAAAAGAGGAAAATGCTAGACTCTTTCAAATCTCTTGATGGCAGGGGATTTCCACTGTTCTTCAACAGCTTTCTCGGGTCTATCCCACACTGCCCTATTTGGACGGGGATTCCCTAAAGCCCCTCTGTAACTGGAGAAGTTTCCTGGGGTCACTCTGGAAGTGGGCACTGGCCTACACAGGCTGAGACCTGATGAGTTGCTTCCGCCCACCTCCCCACTTAGCCTACTTTAATGCAAACTTTGCACAGCATGGAAATTAAGGGCAAAGACCAAGAGGGCTAAGCTACCTAGATTCAAATCCTGGACCTGAAAGCCCTTGGAAAAGGGACCTAACTGATTTTTGCCTCTGCTTCCTTATTAAACGAGAATAATTCTAAAGCCTATTTCATAGGATTTTTGTAAAGTCTAAAAGGCTTATTACATATAAAGAGTGTAAACATATAAATGGCATATTGTAGGTACTCAATAAATGTAATTATAATATCCTTTATGAAATTTTCATATTATTGAGTGTAGAGAAAATATTTAGAAACTGTATCTGTATAAAAAAGTTATATATATTTATGATAAAAATATGACTATAATATCTATATATACTTGGGAAATAAATCACCTTATTGAGCTTCAGTTTAAAACACAAGATTGCCCACATACACTATTAAGTATAACACGTCTGCACAGACATAAGTTAAAGCCCTCCAGTCACTCAAAAATAAGTGCTTCTTTACCTTTTTTTTTTTTTTTTTTGAGACAGAGCTTGGTCTGTCGCCCAGGCTGGAGTGCAGTGGCATGATCTTGGCTCACTGCAACCTCCACCTCCCAGGTACAAGTGATTCTCTTGCCTCAGCCTCCTGAGTAGCTGGGATTATAGGTGCCCGCTACCACGCCCAGCTAATGTTTGTATTTTTAGTAGGGACAGGGGTTTCACCATGTTGCCCAGGCTGGTCTCGAACTCATGACCTTAGGTGATCCACCCGCCTCAGCCTTTCAAAGTGCTGGGATTACAGGCATGAGCCACTGTGCCCGGCCTAGTGCTTCTTTACTTCTATAAACTTCAAAACCCAGCTCTCATGATCAAAAATGATAATTGATATGTGAAGGTATTTTATTTATTTTAAATGAGTAAATTTTGAAAAAGAGAATGTAGTAGAGAAAACTCTCTCTAACCACATTTTTCCTCTACTCTTACACAACAGTCAACACAGAAGACTCTGTGATCAAATGTGTGGGTTTTTTTTTTTTTTTTTCCCACACACCAAGTAATAGACACAACCTGGGTGTCCTCCAATCCAGTTCTGACACCATTTACCCTAAGACAGTGTCAGATCCCACAGGCTGAGGGCTGAGTCCCAAGATTGCCTCCCCTTACACACACATCAGTCGCAAGTTCCATGACCCTTTCTTTGGGTTCAATTAATTTGCTGGAGCCACTCACAGAACTCAGGAAAACACTTATTTACACTTACCAGTTTATTATAAAGGATACTGCAAAGAATATAGATGAAGAGGCATGTAGGGTGACGTATGGGGAAGGGACGTGGAGCGTCCATGCCCTCCCTGGAGGCCAACCTGCAGGCACCTCAGTGTGTTCAGCTACCTGGAAGCTCTCTGAACCCGTCCTCTTGGGTTTTTTATGAAAGCTTCAAAACATCAGCTTTCCTTACCCCAGGGTGTAGAGTGAGACCCTCTCCTGGGAGGGTTTTAAGACCCACCCACTATCAGACAGGCGGGGAAACAGGAGAGTGAAAGGAAGGCAGGAGAAAGGCAGAGGCCTATCCCTGAGGCCAAATACACCCAACATTAGAACAAAGACTGTAGCAAGGGCTTATGGGAGGTATGAACCAGGAACAGTGGACAAAAACCAATATATATATTTATATATATCTCATAATACCGCAGAGAATGTTCTTACAGTACCGCATACTGAATCAAAGAACTTAGCTATATAAAACAATTATAATCATTTCCTGAATTTTTCTAAAATAATTTTCTTTTATTCAACCCATGTTTATGTGTTGTCAGATCCCTTATTAATGCATCAATCTATTCTTAGGGAAATCATTAGAATATGACTAATTCATCATAATTGGTATCTATTGAAAGATTAAAACCCAACTGAGATGAATCCAGGAAAAAAGGCATCACTGAAAGATGTATTTTTTTGAGTGACTCACACGCAGTGGGAAAAATATACAAAATGCAAAAAACAAAACAGTGGCATCGGTTTACAGAAACGATGAGAATAGAGGAACAAGTTGTTAAACTGTACCACAAGGAAGTAAACAGACAAATGCAGAATGTGGGATGTTTGAATATTATGGATCTGGTTTCTTCCACAAGTTAATGGCATGGAAAATAAAAAGACTAAAAAGGAGTTATGAGCAATAACAACAAAATGCATTGGGTAGAACTTGTGTGGTCCCTGATTAAAATAAAACAAAACAATACCCCTCCCTCCCCAAAAAAAACAGTTGTAAGAACACATTTTTGAGACAATAGAGAAAATTTGAATACAGTATGGGTTTTATACAACACCAAGCTATGACCATCAATTTTGCTAGTGTTATGATCACATTATAACACTATTATATGCTTTATGTGCTAGTATGGATATGCTTATATGCTTCTATTATATACCACTATTATAATAGCATAAGAAAGTAAACAGGAATGAAATAAGCTGATGTCTGGGTTTTGCTTTAAATACTTTAACAAAAGAAAAGAAAAAATATATTAGGCACACATGGCAAAATATTGGTATTTATTGAATTGAGCAATGGTCATATGAGAGTTCATTTTACTACTTTCTCTTCTTTGTATGCTTAAACTTTTCACATGAAAATAAAATTACTTGGACAAATGACAGATATATAGTTTAAAAATGTTACTATTTTCTTCTAGTAGGCAAAAAGATAACTGCATGTAATTTTAGCCTGTAAAAATTAAATTATTAGAGGTAGAAGTTGAATTTTACATCTCGTACTTGTCAAGAGGTTATACAAAAGTACTTTTTTGTAGAATGAATAATATCATTGATACTAACTTAAGTATCTAAATACTACTATTTAAATTTCATTTCTTTTTATGGATTTTCCTTAAAACGGTCACATCTGTGTAATTCCCAAGAGAATAAGATAGGTATCATAAGAATACACATGCCAAGCTTACTCTAAGTGCACTTTTGATAGATTTGGGACATACAATACGGGGAGGGAAGGACAGAGAAGAAACAGAGGCACAAAGTTAGTTTTCAAATGTAGGCATCTGGGAGAATGGCAGTGCTGCTAGAATTATGAAAATTGAAATAAGAAACTAGTTATAGTGATAAGATGCTGAGTTCAGTTTGGAATGTTGAGTGAGAAAGTCTGGTGCGCACTGCAGGGCAAGATGTTCAGCAGGCAGTAAAAAAAAAAAAAAAAAAACAAAAAACAGGTATCTTGTGACTGGGGATCTTTCAGGGCTAGCGATTTGGAATCTGTATGCCTAGAAGTGATTTATTATGTGCTTCCCAAGAACATAAGTGGAAAGGAGAATGAGCGAAGATAAAGGGAAATGTTTCAAGCTAAAATATTGGAAGACCCCCACATTTAAGAAAAGAAAAGAGGAAAGAATGACGATAAAGAAATATTTTGAGTGTTAGGAGAGCCAGGAGATACAGAATCACTGAAGCAAACGGAGGAATTACTTTCTGCTAGGGCTGGCATTATTTCCTCAATGCAGAGATAACAGCTTTGAATGGACAGATAATTTCATGTAGGATTTCCTTTAATTTCTTGATAATTGCTTTGCCTCTGCTTAGGGTTATTAGCTATTTCCTTGGGGCTACTTAGAACCCTGTCCTCCTTCCCCAAGCAAATGCATAGACAGAAAAGATTGAGAGAATATATAAAATGTGTCTTACTCAGTTCAGGCTGCTGTAACAAAAATGCCATAGATGGCGTAGCTTATAGACAACGGAAATTTATTTACCATAGTTTTGGAGGCTGGAATTCCAAAACCAGGGTGCCAGCATGAGTGGGTTCTGGTGAGGGCCCTCTTCCAGGTCCCAGACTGCAGGATTCTCATTGTATCCTCACATGGAGGAAAGAGAGCAAGAGAGATCTCTGAAGTCGCTTCTAGAAGGGCACTAAGCCCATTCATGAAGGTGGCATCCTCATGATCTAATTACCTCCCAAAGGCCCCCACTTCCTAATACCATCACTTTGGGGATTAAGATTCAACATATACATTTTTGGGGGATGCAAACATTCAGCCTGCAACGATTCTACCTAATTTTGGATTATTGATGTATGACATGAGATGCTCAGGTGTCCGGCTTGTTTTGAAGTGTTCAAACTGGTAGACCGTCAAAGAAACTAAGACCACTAAATAGGAGTAATAACAGTAATTTAAATCACGAAGCTAATTTTAAAATCCCCTGTTTCCTTTTTTAAAAAAGAGCCTTTGGGAAGAGAATGTGAAGGGAGAGGCACAGATCAACCTGGTAAATGGTTCAGAACCATTTTTATGGTAAATCATTTGGAAAAGTTAAGATGCTAAAGACTGAGCCCAGTGGCTTGGCAGTTAGAAGACGTCACTGTTGATTGCAAAGAACGGGTAAAGCAGAGTGGTGAGGAAGCCAGATTGCAAGGTGTGGATACTAAGGGGTTCCACAGTGAGTAGGGACAAGAACCAATGGTAATGGGCAGAGACATGCATTGACAAAGTTCAGTGGTGTATTAGTCAGGGTTCTCTAGAGTGACAGAACTAATAGGATAGATGTATATATAAAGAGGAATTTATTAAGGAGTGTTGACTCTCACAATCACAAGGTGAGATCCCACAACAGGCTGTTGGCAAGCTGAGGAGCAAGGAAGCCAGTCTGAGCCCCAAAGCTAAAGAACTTGGAGTCTAATATTCAAGTGCAGGAAGCATCCAGCACAGGAGAAAGATGTAGGCCAGAAGATTAAACCAGTCTAGTCTTTCCACGTTCTTCTGCCTGCTTTTATTCTGGCGGCACTGGCAGCTGATTAGATGGTGCCCACCCAGATTGAGGGTGGGTCTGCCTCTCCCAGTCCACGGAATAAAATGTTAACCTCCTTTGGCAATGCCCTCACAGATACATCCAGAAATGATACTTTGCATCCTTCAATCCAATCAAGTTGACACTCAATATTAAACTTCAGAGGTAGTAAGGGAGCACTGAACTACAAGTCAATAGTTTCAGGAAGTGGCAACGCTGCTGGAAAATTTTATATTAATATTAATGATTATTATTTAAAGAATAATGAAGACATAAGCTTGAAAGCAGAGGCCCAAGAGTCAATAAAGTGGAGGACTCTGAAAATGCAAGTAAAATGTGACAACCAATAGTCTAATCCTGGAGAAGTTTGGGGTTTTGAGCTGAAGTCACAGGGATTAGCTTTTGCAAGGAGAACCATTTTCTCAGAGAAGAAAGAAGAAAAATAAATAATGGAAAGATGCAAAAATATTTGTGAAAGCTCCAGTGGGAAGTATTTCTACTTGAAGAAGAAGGCAATTCACTCTGTTGAGAATGAGGAGGAGGAAAAGTTGAGATCTTGGATGCAAAAGGTTTAGAATTGCAGAGGTAGAAAATGTAATAAAGAGATGATATGGTTTGCTGTATCCCACCCAAATTTCATCTTGAATTGTAGCTCCCATACTCCCCATGTGTCATGGGAGGGACCCAGTGGGAGGTAATTGAATCATAGGGGCAGGTTTTTCCCAGCTGTTCTCATGATAGTGAATAAGTCTCACAAGATCAGATGGCTTTATAAAGGGCAGTTTCCCTGCACACTTTCTCTTGTCTGCCACCATGTAAGACATGACTTTTCTCCTCCTTTGCCTCCCACCATGATTGTGAGGCCTTTCCAGCCACGTGGAGCTGTGAGTCCATTAAACTTCTTTTTCTTTCTTTGTTTTTTTTTTGAGACAGAGTCTCGCTCAGTCGCCCAGGCTGGAGTGCAATGGCACAATCTTGGCTCACTGCAACCTCCATCTCCTGAGTTCAAGCAATTCTCCTACCTCAGCCTCCCGAGTGGCTGGGATTACAGGCACCTGCCACCACACCCAATTAATTTTTGTACTTTTAGTAGAGACGGGGTTTCACCATGTTGGCCAGGCTGGTCTTGAACCCCTGGCCTCAGGTGATCTGACGGCCTTGGCCTCGCAAAGTGCTGGGATTACAGGCTTGAGCCACCGCACCTGGCCTAAACCTCTTTTTCTTTAGAAATTACCCAGTCTTGGGTATTTCTTCATAGCAGTATGAAAATGGACTAACACAAGAGATGATGAAAAAGATGCTAAAAAGCTGTATGTGCTCTTCTGAAATTATATTCAGAGTAGATCCAATCAACATACTCTTTTGATGTCCCAGTAGCACGTAACAATTTGAGAAAGTAACAAAACAAGTGAATGAGGGGAGATTTCTGACTGGAAATGGAGAGAAGTCAAGGAAATGAAGAGTCATGCTTATGGCGGTAAGGAAATAAGTGCACACACGTACACACAAAACCACAGCAACAAAAACTGACCTATAGTGAGTGGAGAGGTAAGGGAAGTCAGAATGGAGGTAATGAACTAAGAAAGTAGGAAGAGGTTCTAGGGATTAAAGGTCACAAAGACATTTTTTAAAATAGGAAGCAAGACAAGGTGGGCAGAATAAGAGGCTGTGGCAACAAAAGGGAATTCTATATCCTTGGAGTAATTTATTCATTAAGGTGGTCCCTTACATTGGTAACTAATGAGTTCCTGGAAATGTGTTTAAAGGCAAAAAACAAAACAAAAAAAAAAATAGAAAAAGAAAAAAACAACAAAACCTGTAGATGTTAGAAATATTTCTCATTACTAGAAAAAAATTTTGATTAGAAAATTTCTCATGATGGTCTCTGTAGGTCCTGGCTCCCTCAGGCTTGAGCGGCCAGGGCTGCCAGTGAGAGTTCTAGCCTGTCAGCCCTCACTCTGGAACCCAAGGCAGGGAGATGGCTGCTGGGGTCAGGCCACCCATGTCCCAGGCACCTGGGTCGATTAAACCCAACTACCAACATCATGCCGTTGTTTAGTTGGAACAGGGTAGGGGGTGAGGATCTTCATCTTCTGTACCTACAGAGGATTTGATTGTATTATTTCACCAAAGAATTGAGGCTGTGTCTGCTGGAACTAACCCCATTCCCCAACCCAGGAGAGCAGGTTCTAGGCACTGGGACATGACCCCTGAGCCTCCTTCATGAGTGCCGTCTGTGTGGAGGCAGAGGTCCAAGAACATGGTTCTTTGGCATGGGGTGGTGGGCGCTGGGACCACAAGCCCCCGGCGTCTGTGCTTCTTTTGATGAGTGGCTAACAGCAACACCCATCACTCAATGGTTGGTGTCATCTCTTAGATCATGACCCAAAATGGAATTTGGTGTATGAAAGGTAGTTGCAGGTTATGGGGCAGGGGGTGCGGTGTGTATTAATAAACAGTGCACAGCTGTACTGATGGTATATAACCAAAGATCTTGTACTTGAAAGTTAAGGACTGCTGGATGCGCTAGTGACATCTGCAAATGAGGGATGTTGTGACTAGGTATACAACTAAGGAAGGCTGTACTCTCAGTCTGGGATTGGGGAATGACTGCTTTAATCTTCAAGCTCAAGGGCCTCACATCTTCTGTAGGTCTTTTAAGAAAGCACCCACAGACCAAACGTGGTGGCTCATGACTGTAATCCAAGCACTTTAGGTGGCCGAGGTGGGCAGATCACCTGAGGTTAGGTGTTCAAGACCAGCCTGGCCAACATGGTGAAACCCCGTCTCTACTAAAAATACAAAAATTAGCTGGGCATGGTGGCATGTGCCTGTAATCCCAGCTACTCAGGAGGCTGAGGCAGGAGAATCGCTTGAACCCGAGAGACAGAGGTTGCAGTGAGCTGAGATTGCGCCACCAAACTCCAGCCTGAGTGATGGAGCAAGACTCCGTCTCACAAAAAAAAAAAAAAAAAAAATTGTTGGGTGTGGTGTCAGGTGCCTGTAATCCCAGCTACTCAGGAGGCTGAGGCAGGAGAATCACTTGAACCTGGGAGGTGGAGGTTGCAGTGAGTCGAGATGGCGCCATCGCACTCCAGCCTGGGTAACAAGAGTGAAACTCTTACTCAAAAAAAGAAAAAGAAGAAGAAAAAAAGTAATGTGAGTCCCTCCTCCCTCCTCGCTCTCACTTTCTGTTCTCCAGCCTGCCATTTCTAGATCAGTTGGTCTAAACCTGTTCTGCTGTGAAGTGCCCAATAGCATGGGCAAAAGAACATGGGCTCTGGTGTCAGCTTGCCTGAATAAGCACTAGAATGGTAGCTGTTATTCCTTTCATTAGAGCGATTTCCTTCCCTCCTCTAAACTTTGGAAAAACCATCTATTCCTTGAAAGTTGTATGTATCCTCCCTCTCTCACTTCCTTTATTGAATTTGTTTTTGAAAGTCTTTGAAAGTTCAATTCCTGCATGAAAGTTCACTACCTGCCTGAAGGAGAAGTAGTGAACTTGCCTTCTTTATCTAAATGTGCAATCTCCCATCTGCCTACCCCATCCGAGCCACAGCTGGACTCACATGTTGTGGGGTGGGAGTGTGCATGGGTGCAAGGTTTATTTTCTGTCTTAACAAAATATTGTTGCTTTTACAGTAATACAATAACAAACTATTTCACAATTTAGTTAGAAAATTTAATGCACTTTTGTAGTTTTATTCATGTTTCTGACAGATATAAAATCTTTCTCTCTGAAGAGGCAACGGAAAGGATGTGTCTCATTCTCCTTCTCCTTATTCCTATGATCCTTTTATTCTTCTCTGTCCTTTCCTGCTTCCACTCTCCTTTTGCTCCCCCTAAAAATTTGATTTGTCCCTTTTATTACCCAAGAGGGAGAACAAAAGTAGAGGGGGGAAAATCTCTTCACGATACTGGCATTTTATAAGAACTACATATTGAAAGGCTGTGACTTAAGAGGCACTACCAACGACCCAAAAGAATTTCACTAATTCTTTTATGAATTCATTCATTCATGCAACGAATGTCCTATTATGTGCCTGGCACTGTAGCAGGCACTCTCCCTTCCTCACCCTAAATAACTAAGTTGTGGATCTAAGCTTTCTGTTTAGTTCTCCTGCAATAGAAACTTAAAATAACGACTTACTTTTGATATACTCTTTTCTTCCACTTTGCAAAACATAAATGACTTCATGTATTTTATTTTATTTTATTTTATTTTATTTATTTTTTGTGAGATGGAGTCTCACTCTTGTTGCCCAGGCTGGAGTGCAATGGCCCTATCTCGGCTCATTGCAACCTCTGCCTCCCAGGTTCAAGCAATTCTCCTGCGTCAGCCTCCCGAGTAGCTGGAATTACAGGTGCCCACCAGCATGCCCAGCTCATTTTTTTGTATTTTTAGTAGAGAAGGGGTTTCACCATATTGGCCAGGCTGGTCTCAAACTTGCCAGCCTCAGCCTCCCAAAGTACTGGGATTACAGGCGTGAGCTACCGCGCCCAGCCTGACTTCATGCATTTAAAATAGTTTCTTCTCTTCTCCCCCAAAGTGCAGAAAAAAGAGCTAAGATTTAGAATCCAGGCAAATCAGGTGGGTTCAAATCCTGACTATCTGTGTGAACTTAGACAACTTAATCTACTTTTGAGTTTTCATTAGTTAATTGAGGGTATTACAACTACAGCATAGAGATTTTGAAATTCAATGAGAAAAAGAATGAAGTGCCTTGAACAGGAAAGTTCCTTTCCTTATGTTGTTGTCTTCGTTTATACGCCCTTTGGGGATAGATTATAAACTCATTCATCTGAAGTGCAGTAGTATTAATAACCAATATAAAAACTAAACACATAGTCCTAACAGAGCAAGCAAATGTGTAACCTGAACACATTTCAGTAAATTTGTTGATTTTCCAGGTATTTCATATGCAGGGCAAGTCTTCTTTGCTGTTGCATGAGCTGGGGAAATTTTGCACTGAAAATTCATTAACAATTCACTCATGGGGGAATTTCTTCTCTTGCCCAAACAACAAGTTATGGTAACATAGTTACATATTCATATTTGTGAGATGGAACTGTGGAAAAAGCGGGTCTTTGCAACGTGGCAGAATTGGGTTTTCGGTGAAACCATGAACAAGTTACGTGACTCCCTGAGCCTCGGTGTTCTGAGCTATAAAACTGGCATATTGCTTACGCACGCGTTGGCATATGAATTGAGTTTAACACGTATTCTAACACCTGGCACATAACTGACAATCAGCATTATTTCCTCCTCTCCCAAGTCCACCTGGCCAGTTACAGGGAAATGATCCCTATAAACAACACCTGCTGAGTGCGCCCCGCACTATGCTAGGCCCCGTTCGCGGCTCACCTCATTTAATTCTCGCACTTAATTAATCTCATGAAGAACATTGCAGAGGCAGTTTGAGACGTGAAGCTAATGAAGCTTAAGCTTCGGGCCCCCTCACGCGCACAGATGCTTGCTAATCCCAGAATCTCATTTTATACTTCCCTTGAAGATTCGCCACCTCTACTCACAGTTGTTTCAGTTTCAAGCCCCACAACACGTGGATTCGCCCCTGGATAGGAATTATTGTTATTATTATTATTAATTTCCCTCCTTTTGCAGAGGGGTAGAGTAGGTTACCTCAGATCACACACTCCTAAGTGGAGGAGCAAGATCTGAACTGAGGCAGCCCGACCCGGAGCCCCAACTCTTAACCGCGGGCGGCGATGACAAGAGTCTCGCGGAAGAGAGGCAAAGTCCCCAACGCGGGGGCGGATAATCATAGCGCAGAAGTTCCCAAGGCGGCTACCGCGGGCCGGCTGGGGTCGGAGGGGGATCGCCCCGCCGAGGCTCCCGCCCCTTCCTCCCCTTCCCCTTTTCCGCGCCGCCGAGTCGGAGCTGCGCCGCACGCCCAGCGGCCGCCCGGACCCGCCGGCCGGAGCTGACCCAGTGGGCCACGGGCTCCGGACTCCAGAACTTTCCAAGCGGGGGAAACTTGGCGGCGGGTAGGTAGGAAAGGCAGGTGAGGCAGGGGCGAGCGAGAGAACTGGCTGGCAGCGGGGCGGGGAGCCGGGGGCGCGGCGTTAAGGTGGGCGCGTGGGGCGGGGGCTCCAACCCGTGCCGCAGGTGCCCACGTGCCGCGCGGAGTCCGCGGGCCAGGCGAGGTAGCCTGGCCGAGGCTCCTGCCTGCGTCCTGCCGGGGATGGCGGTCGGTGCTTGGGACACCGGCGGCCACCTTTGTGCGGCTTGGGGCGCGCTTCCCTTTTCTCCGTCGTCTGCAGCTCTTCGCTTCTGCGCTGGGCGGAGGGCGGGCCGGGTGACGTGGGAGCTGAACAGCCGCCACCTAGCGCCCGCCCCGCCGGCCACTGTCCCCGCGCGGAGGCAGGTCGCCGCCTCCCGGGTCCTGTGCTCTCCGAGGCTGGGGGCGGGGCTGTCTGCGCAGACGGCGGGGTGATCATTGCTGAACCACCCCAACGGGAGAATCTCAAGTGCCAGCTTAGCCCGTCTCCCAGAGACTGAGTTAATGGGAACAAAGTGACCGAGTTGCGGCGGGGAGGTCCCCGCAGACTCCGGGAGAAAAGAGACCTGGGCCGTGGCGTCACCCCGGATTACCGGCGGCGCGCGGGATAATTTCGAGAGCAGGACTCCCCTGATGGGGGCGGGCAGGACACGCCCCGCCACGGTGGGCGTGGGCACTTTGGCGGGTGCACAGCCGTGTTGGGTTTGTAGGGCCCCTGCTGTGTCGAGGACAGAGATACCCCTGGGGCTTCCCGAGTGTTCATGGGTCTAGGAGCGCGGGACCTGTTCATTTTATTGAAAAAGCCAAGTGAAGTGACAACTATGGCAGTTATTCAAGGGTCGTGGCATTGAGCATCTGTGTGGCCACCGAAAGAACAGAACTCCGATGTATTCACGGAATAAATAATGATATGACAGGGTTTATGTTTTGTGCGTCGCTGCCTAACCCGAGGCGCCTCCCAGAAGCACCAGGAGAGCTTTTCAGAACACACCTATTGGGCCCACCCCAGATGTCCTGAATCACGTGAGGGGATAAAGCCCTGGCGTGAGACTTTTTGTAAAAGCTGCCCCGGGGATATGGCTGGGGACGCCTAGTTAGGCATCAGGAAGGAGAAGAACTGGGTTCCACTCATGTGACCTTAAACACATTTTCAGCCCAGTTTTATCATCTGTAAAGTGGCCCCAGAGAACTTGTAATAGAGGTGAAATAGGGTGTATGGAAGTGTGTGGAAAGGGGAGAAATTGGAATACTACAAAGTTCCGGTGCAGGTTGCAACAAATAAATTCATTCTTTGGTTCTGCAAGTGATCTTTGGGCTGAGTGAGAGGAGTGTGGCAGGATACCCTTGCCACGGGAAGGAAAGGAGGGCTGGTTTTCAGGTGATCAACTCTGTGACAACGTTGGTGTAAACTGTAACTCAGAAAATTGTCAGCAGGATGAAAAGTGAGCCAGCTCCAGCCGGTGGAGGATGGTTTGAAAAAGGCACCATTTCTGCTTCCTCTTCTCAAGAACCAAAGGCTTTAGATTATTTTCCTGCAAGCAAATTAAGAGCCAGTAATCGCCAATGTGTCCTGCCCTATGGTAACCCCGGTCTGTCTGAAGGCTGCATGTTTTTCTGCTAAATGTGAATTTCTGTTCCATCATTCAACAGACATGTGTTGGGGATCTTCATGTACCGGGCATTCTTGGAATATAAAGATGAATAAATGCTGTTTTTTTGCCCTAGCCCTCTCTGTTAAGTTGGGGAGACTAATGTGAAAACAGGCTGCAATATAACCCGGCTACGATGATAACTAAGGTAGAAAATGAACAAAGTGCTGCGTGGCCCAGAGAGAGGGGCAGCTCCCTAGGTTTGGGGGGAAAAGCATCCAAGGGAGGCAAAAACAGGGACGGGTAAACAGTGCCCTTCTGTACTAGCCACACATATAATTGAGGATTCACTGTATAGTCAAATCTGTGTTTTTTTTTTTTTTTTTTTTTTTTTGGTCTGATAACATTCTAGTGTAATTATGTGCTGATAATCTAAAAATGGAAATGACTTTGTTTCATGATGTCTCTCTCTTTTTTTTTTTTTGTTTGAGACGGAGTCTCACTCTGTCACCCAGGCTGGAGTGCGGTGGCGTGATCTTGGTTCACTGCAACCTCTGCCTCCTGGGTTCAAGTGATTCTCCTGCCTCAGCCTCCCAAGTAGCTGGGACTACAGGCGCGTGCCTCCTCACCTGGCTAAGTTTTTGTATTTTTAGTAGAGACAGGGTTTCACCGTGTTAGCCAGGATGGTCTCCATCTCATGACCTCGTGATCTGCCCGCCTTCATCTCCCATAGTTCTGGGATTATAGGCATGAGCCACCGTGCCCGGCCCATGATGTCTGTTTTTTAAGTTTGCTAAGCATTCTGTCATTTCATCTTCATAAAAGTCTCAGCTATGTCTAAAGTTAACCTAATAAAGGGGTGGTTAAAAAACAAAACAAACAAAAAAGAAAAAGCTCAAAATGGGTCCTACATTCATAGTAAATATAATTGATACATTGTTTTAATTGCATGCACTTTCAAGTTGTAGGGGTTTGTTCTCATGTTAATTACAGAAGGTTGGAATGACAACAGAGGAGAAGTGCACAAAAGGAAAATCGTAAGAGGAATTAAAAAAAGGAATAACTAGAAGAGGGAGATTGGGAGGAGGAAGGAACTTGATAAAATTGATGGTGGGAGGTGGGGAGTAGAAAAGGAATAAGTGAATCAAATCTGGCTGCCAACTTCTTCCTCAGGGACTTATTTTTTCATATACATTTTAATAAAACTGTATAGATTTGTAGTTTTAAAGTTATTTCAAAATATAGAGGGAGGCAGTATAATGTGGAAGTTAAACATGGGCTAAACAAGTTTGAATAACTTACTGGCTGGTGACCTTGAACAAGGTCCTCAATTAGCTGTGTCTGCTCATTGTACAATGGGGATATAATAATATGATCTACAGGAGACTTATGAGGATTAACAGCTACGATGTTTCAGAGGCACCTGGCTGTGAAAAGGCCACATTCAGGAGTGGCTGCTCTCTTGTTCTTACCTCACTTTGTTTGATCCTGGTGGAACTTGGTAGGTTGCACAGATAGACTGTCCTGTTCCAGTTGTAGAAAGAAATTGGAATTGGAAGAGACTGACTTGCTAACGTCATATGGCTGATGGGTAACTGAAGTGAAATGAGAGGCTCCCTTTTGGAATTTAGTCCTGCGTGTTTCTTCTGCTCCATGCTATGGTTGGCTCTCTTCTGGCTGTTGTGACTCTCCCTGGAGTGAAAAGGAACAAAGGCTGTAATCATGCATGTCTGTTACAACTCTTCTACTCACACTGTCACCCAGTACCTTTCCACTTCCAATTGTAAATTTCTTTGAAAATTACATTTTTCTTTCTGAGGCTTATAAGTGGAGGTCTCCTTTTGGGGGCAGGGGAGAGAAATGGTGGAAAAGCTATAAGGAAGTCATATATGGGAGAGCTTTAGAAGGGGGAACCCCTCTAACTTCCAATAACATACTGAAATATTACTAGAGAAATAGTCAGCTTTATTGTTTAGCAACTCAACTGCTTTTTTTCTGCAGCTGGTAGTTCTGGTGTCAGAAATAATATTTTCTTGCATATCCTTTCACATAGGTCTGATCTCTGAAGAGGTCGGGGAGGGGACCATGGATCTATATGGAGATGAGGGATGTGGGTCAAATTTTAATTAGAATGGTAATGGGTAATTTGGAATGGAAAAGTGTGAATAAGAATCTCTTCGTTGAAAAATAAGGACACAGGAAAGTGTAAAGAATGCTTTGGAGAATACTTCCCAGTGTTGGTTCATTTTTTTCTTGGGAAGAGGCAGATTTAATCTCCATAGATCACCACCTTTCTAGTTTTAGATGCACGTGGCCCCTACTTTCATGTCTTCCAATTCAGCATTTTTAACCTTCTCAATCAAGTAATCAAAAAATGTATAACATACCAGCCCTGTGTCTAGGATAATATTGGGTGCTATATGTAATACATGAAGGTGGAAAGTCAACATTTAACCTGGGGAGCAATGAGGAAACCAACTAGGTGAAATAAATATAAATGCTAAATGCTGTGACACAGGCTGGCCCAGTGGCTCATGCCTGTAATCCCAGCACTTTGGGAGGCCAAGGTGGATAGATTGCTTGAGCCCAAGAGTTTGAGACCAGCCTTGGCAACATGGTGAAACCCCACCTCTATTAAAAAATACAAAACTTAGCTGGGCATGGTGGACTACGCCTGTAGTCCCAGCTACTTGAGAGGCTGAGGTGGGAGTATTGCTTGAGTCTGGGAGGTCGAGGCTGCAGTGAGCTGTGATCACACCACTGCACTTCAGCCTGGGCAACAGAGTAAGACCCTATTTAAAAAAAAAAATGGTGTGGCACAACTTCCTGAAAGGAAGGGATCAGAGGGTTCTCATAAAATTTGAGAAAGCTTCGTGGAGGAGTAAGGAGGACTTGCTCTTGCTAGATGGGGGGAAATGACCTTTCAGACCCTTGGCCACCTGGGGACAGTGAAGTGGCATTAGGGACAGAGAAATAAACAGTAAAGGTACTAATAACCTTGAGGTTATCTCCCAAAATGGACCTCAAGGCTGATCTCTCAAAAAGGCCCTAGGTACCCCAAAAGACTAAAGCAGGTTTACTTGCAGGGCAGCCTCAGGGATGGAAAATATTATTAATGGCAAGACAAAGCTTAATGCAGCCAGTGACAAGACTCCCTTAAATTCACAATAGGTGATAGATTTAGTGAGTGGCTATGATGGGTGGTAGCTATTTGCTGAATAGTTTTGCTGAATACATTTCCTAAATATATTAAAAATATCTGGGAAAGTTACAATTAGAGTTAGGGCTGTGAGTAGTATTTATCAAAATATATGTGATTCTTCCCTATTATTGAGAAGGGAGGTTACAGAGCAGGAGGTCACAGGGTCCCCAGGAAAGGGAATTGAGAGGAGGTATCTGGAGAGGACTTTGATGCTTTGTTAACAGACACAAAGGCCCCTGAATCCTGCCCAGTTGGTGGAGGAACCTTAGCAAGACCTGTAGGTCTGAGTCACATTGTAGGCCCAGAGGCCTAGGAGGAAAGAATGGCTTAAAGGGCCAGGCCTGGGGCCCTGATGCCCTGCACCACCCTGGGAAGCTGCTCCTCACATTCCACTGCTCCAGTTCCAGTCTTGGTTCAAAGGGCCCCAGGTAGAGCTCCGGCTGTGGCTTTGGGGAGTGCAAGGTGCCATAAGCCTTAGCAGCTTCCTGTGGGTGCATGGAATGCAGGAATGAAGGAGGCTTGGCAGCTTCCACCTATATTTCCAATGACATATCAGAAAGCCTGAGTGTACAGGCAGAAGCCTGCTGTAGGGGTGGAGACCCTGAAGAGAAACTCTAGTAGGGCAATGTAGAGGGAAAATGTGGGGCTGGAGCCACCACACAGAGTACCCCCAGGGCACTACCTAGTGGAGTTGTGGGAAGGGGGCCACCACCCTCCAGACCCCAGAATGGTAGATCCACCAGCAGCTTGCACTCTTGCCTAGAAAAGATGCAGACACTCAACTCCAGCCTGTGAGAGCAGCTGCAGGGGCTGTACCATGCAAAGCTACAGGGGCAGAGCTTCCTAAGGTCTTGGGGGTCTACTCCTTGTACCCATGTGTCCTGGATGCAGGACATGGAGTCAAAAAAGATAATTTCCGAGCTTTAAGATTTAATAACTGCCCTGCTGGGTTTCAGACTTGCATGAAAATTACCCCTTTCTTTTGGCCAATATATCCCTTTAGAAATGGGAATGTTTACCCAGTGTCTGTACCACCATTGTATTTTGGAAGTAAATAATTTGTTTTGCTTTTATAGGCCCAAAAATGGAAGGTCATGAGTCTCAGATGAGACTTAGGGCTTTGGACTTGATGTTGGAATGAGTTAGGAATTTAATGGACTGTTGAGAAGGGATGATTGCACTTTGTAATGTGAGAAGGACATGAGATTTGGGGGGCTGGGGCAGAATGATGTGGTTTGAAAATTCGTCCCTCCAAATCTCATGTTGAAATGTAATCCTCAGTGTTGGATGTGGGGCCTGGTGAGAGATGATTGGATCATGGGGACGGATCCCTCAGGAATGCTTAGTGCCATCTTCCTGGTGATGAGTGAGCTCACCCAAGATCTGGTTGTTTAAAAAGTGTGTGATGCTGTGGCAACTCCCTCACCTTGCTCTTACTCTCATCATGTGACATGCTGGGTCCCTGTCACCTTCTGCCATGAGTAAGAGCTCCTTGAGCCCTCACCAGAAGCTGAGCATATGTCAGCACCATGCTTCTTGTACAGCCTACAGAAACATAAGCCAATTAAACCTCTTTTCTTTGTAAATTAACCAGTCTCAGTTATTCCTGTATAGTGATGCAAAGATGGCCTAGCACAAATGATATTTTGGAAATGACACCAATTTTAGCTTTAGTATAGGTGTATAAATTTGGAGTCAATCTTATTAGAGATGGTCAAGTATTCATTGGCTCAGCCTAATCTTGGTTTGAGATCTGGCTAAAGTTAAAACTGCAATAGTAATAATAAGTTCCTTCAGACATTAATTTGCATGAGTCCATGAACCTGAGGGCTTTGGGCTGAAAGAAGAGAGGAAGCATGTAGAGGTAAAAAAAAAAAAAAAAAAAATGGTGAGGCGTGGTGGTGTGGAAGGCATGGGATGGCATTTGCCACTTTCTCCAACAACCTTTTCTCTTCGGGCACAGCTACTTAGACTGGGCTTTTAGGGAGAGGAGCTAGAGACATGAGCTGATGAAGCTAATGGGTGTGGCATTTTCAGAGAAAGATTGAAGGGAATGTAGCATCTTTTATCAGCTTGTGGGTTTGGAATCTTTCGAGTACATTGGGAAATGGCACCAGTGCAGGGAAGGGTACGATTCTCTGGAGCACTGTATGCAGTATGCAGCATGCCACAGTGGCACGGGTGCTGGCACATGCTTCCTCCTGCCACTGATGGGCCAGCCCTTGGCCAGGTATACATGTAGGGTGCCTCTGGTGAGAAGAAAGGTGATTTTTAATATATTATTCAATACAGAGCAACATATTTATAAACAACTTGTTTAGGAGAAGTAAAAGCATTACATTTCTATCAAGCAAGGATAAATAGAATACTGCTGGTTATTAACGATTTGCAATGTGCAAAGTACCATGTGCCTTGTCTTTATATAGGTCTTCTCTTTAGTAAAAGTGAATGTGTCTTTGCAAGGAACTTTGGCAGTTTTTTATAAAACTATACATACTCTTAACCATATAATCCAGTGATTGCACTACTTGGTATTTACCCAAAGGAGTTGAAAACTGAAGTCTACACCAAGACCAGTATGAGGATGTTAACAGCAGCTTTATTCATAATTTCCAAAACTTGAAAGCAACCAATATATCCTTCAGTAGGTGAATGGATTAACAAACTGTGGTTCATCCAGCCAATGGGACATTATTTAGCACTAAAAAGAAATGAGAGTCAGGCATAGTGGCTCAGCACTTTGGGAGGCTGAGGCAGGAGGATTGCTTGAGCCTGGGAGTTTGAGAGCAGCCTGGGCAACACCTGGGCAGCATAAATAAAATTAAAAAAAATTAGCTTAGCATGGTGGCACACACCTGTAATCCCACCTACCTGAGAGGCTAATGTGGGAGGATTACTTGAGCCCAAGAGGTCATGGCTACAGTGAGTAGTGATTGTGCCACTGCACTCTGGCCTGGGCAGCAGCGATAACCTGTCTAAATTTAAAAAAACAAAAACAAAAACAAAGAGCTATCAAGCCATGAAAGGACATGGAGGAATCTTAAATGCATATTACTAAGTGAAAGAAGCCAACCTGAAAGGGCTACCTACTGTATGACATTCTAGAGAAGGCAGAACTATGGAGGCAATAAAAAGATCAGTGGCTGTCAAGGGCTAGGGGTGAAAGAGGGTTAAATAGACGGAGCACAGAGGAGTTTTGTTTAGAGCAGTGACACTACTCTGTATGGCACTATATTAGTAGATATATGCTGTTATAAATTTGTCCAAACACATAGAATGTATAACGTCAAGGTGAGCCCGAATGTGAACCATGGACGCTGGGTGATAATGGTGTGTCAGTGTGGATTGAACAGTTGGAACAAATGCGCCATCCTGGTGGGGATGCCGGTAATAGGGGAGGCTGTGCGTGTGTGGGGGATGGGACATGTAAGATGTCTCTTTCCTCCTCAATTTTGCTGTGAACATAAAACAGCTTTGAAAAATAGGCTTTTTTAAAAAAGCGAATGTGTTAAAAGATATAAAGCAGCGGTTCTCAAACTGATCCCTTGGAGGTCTAGATTTCTTCAGAGGTGGGGGTGGGATGGAGAAAGGGATGAGGGGAAAGAAAAGTGAGTCATCTTTTACCATGTTGAACTTCTCTGTGGTACTTCTGTCTTATATGTTGAACTTCTGATATATCATTATGAAAAGGGTGGATCTGCTTTCAAAAGTAAGAGCACTACTATTTTATGAGCTTTTGAAGGTTAAATTTTAGCCCAAATCACAGGGCTGTCATGTAGGTGGAACATGAATCTCTCTGTGTGTGTGAATGTAGTACCCAAAGAAAGACAGTGGCTGTGTATCGTTCATGGGGATGAGGTTCTTTCTTCCAGGACTTGTTATCGTTAATAATGTAAATGTAGCTTTCACTTTCCTAAAGGCACCTGTAGTTATGATTTATATCTCTGACAACTGTGGCTCCAGATCTGGAGATGAGCACATACATGTTTCCCTTCACTAAGACCCAAAACTTTGCTAAGGATGAAAGTGAAGGTCAGGGTTGGGGCAGAGCAGAGATGGACCAGCACAAGGGCCATCAATGGAAGAGACTGTTGAGATGAGACTGGAGGGAGGAGAAAGAATCACAGGCTTGAGGGTAGTTGGGGGTCCTACGATAGAGGCACCCAGGGCAACAAGAAGCTAGATTTGGGGACAAAAGCAATTTAACACAGATAAGAACCTCCATTTAAACCATAAGCCTCATCTGTATAATAAAATTCATCATGTTAAAGAATGCCAGTGTGGTTTTGTATAACAAGCACAGCAAGTCATGGTGGGTTGTGGTTCTGGTGCTGCTTCTGTTCTTGGCTTTGTGACCTTTGAGTCTGCTTCCTTATATGTAAAATGAAAGTGTTGAACTAAGCACTCGGTAAGCTTTCTTCTCTGTCGAACACACTGTGTTTCTGGGTAAGTGTGTTTTCATGAATATCTGTGGATATGAATATCTGTGGATATGCCTCTCCGTGCTCATTAGACATTTCTTTTTCAAAATATATGGCACTACTATATGTAAAGGGTGTTTTTCAATAGAAAGTTCTATTTTTTTGAGCTTCAATAACACTTGGATGGAATCCTTTATTATGACAATTCATGTTGAAAAGGTGCTGGGTTAATGCATTTTCCTCGTGTTTTAATTTGTACATGTCCAAACACTGACCTGTGTTAAGTACAGAATAAAATGGCATTAAATTTCTATTATTTATATGTTGCATTTCCTTTACAAATTTAAAGTTTAGGAAAGAAATAATTTTGCTAGAAATACTTTTGTAAGGAAAATAGCTCTAGTACACCTTACACATGAACACACACACACACACACACACACACACACACACACACACACACACTCTTTTTTAGTTTTTCTTTTTCTTTTATGCTCCGGGATACATGGGTACAACGTGCAGGTTTGTTACATAGGTATATGTGTGCCATGGTTTGCTGCACTATCAACCCGTCATCTAGGTTTTAAGCCCTGCATGCATTAGGTATTTGTCTTAATGCTCTCCCTCCCCTCGCCTCCGACCCCTGACAGGCCACAGTGTGTGTTGTTGCCCTCTCTCTGTCCATGTGTTCTTATTGTTCAGCTCCCACTTACAAGTGAGAACGTGCAGTTTTTGGTTTTCTGCTCCTGTGTTAGTTTGCTGAGGATAATGGCTTCCAGCTTCATCCATGCCCCTGCAAGGGACATGATATCATTCCTTTTTATGGCTGCATAGTATTCTATGGTATATATGTACCACATTTTCTTTATCCAGTCCATCATTAATGGTCATTTGGGTTGGTTCTATGTCTTTGCTATTGTAAATTGTGCTGCAATAAACATACGACACACACATTGTTTTTCTTGCATAAGTAAAAAGTAAGTTTGGAAAGATGTATACTAAACTTAATCTTGGCTAACTCTGAAGAATGGACTGTTGTAGGGGCTGGTAAACTTTCAGTTTTTACTTTATATACTTTTGTATTGTTTGTTAAGTGAGCATATATTTTATAATTTCATGCATGTGGTATGTTATAGAATGAGACTTTATAATTATAAAGCACTTTATTGGATTTATAGGTACAATTGTCATTTGACATAAGTAAGTTAAGACCTAGAGTTAAATAGTATCATTTGTTAGACCATATAGAGAAATGAATATCCCTTTCCTGATGGATTTTGAAGTTGATGGTGTTCTTCTTGGTATGTACTTTGACAGGATTCATGTGATAATTAATATAATCAAAGACTTTCCTGCAGCTTCTTAAAGAGGCTGAGCCCAGAGATGACAAATAAGTTTCATCATATTTTATTGTAGCTGCCTAGAAGGATGTGCTGATAAGGATCTCGAGGTTATAACTATGTTCACTGGGCAAGAATACCGTGATCAGTAACTGGCCTGACATAGTTACTAGAGGATGAGGAAGACAGCTGATCATTTTCCATGTATTTGCCATCCCCGAAGCCTAAACTTTTAGGTGGTAAGTTTCTTTATGAAGGTAGTATTTTCCTTTTTATCCAAATAAGTCCTGTAGGGACTTATTGTCTGTACTGTCCATCATATTTAATCAAATAGTATTTTGCACAGTTATTGAATAGTTTCATGATAAATCATGTTAAGATGGCAAGCACTGGGACCTTTTGTATCCCTCATAGGTGGTAGCAAGATGTTATACTTGAATGAACTACTCAAGAATTAATGACTAATTAGGCCGGGTGTGGTGGCTCACGCCTGTAACACCAGCAATTTGGGAGGCCATCGTGGCTGATCACCTGAGGTCAGGAGTTTCAGACCAGCCTGGCTAACATGGTGAAACCCTGTCTCCACTAAAAATACAAAAATTAGCTCGGCATGATGGTGCATGCCTGTAATCCCAGGTACTCAGGAGACTGAGGCAGGAGAATTGCTTGAACCCGGGAGGCAGAGGTTGCAGTAAGCCAAAATTGCGCCACTGCACTCCAGCCTGGGCGACAGAGTGAGACCATTTCAAAAAAAATGATTGATTGATTGATTTTGGCAATGTGTGGTTGTAGCTGATAAGGATGACCCAATATGGTTGAGCATCAGTTAAAATAAATAATTTCATCCTTGTTTATCAAAGCATTTACAAGTATTGGTGCTAACCTGAAAAAATATAGTATTGTGAGTATAATTTTTTTCTGTGACCCCCTTCAGTCTTCTCAGTTCATGATACCAAGAAAGAATTAAATGGCTTAAATGTTGAAACAAGGAGTAGTTCAATTTTTTACATTTTTGTTCTAAGAGGGCACCAATGTTGCATATATCCTGGATGTGGAGAATTTAAACACATTGTTGATAGAATTTCTTTTCATAAGAACTAGTTGTTGGAAAAGGAAAAATACAGAAAATCAGTCCCTCCACAACCCCCTCCCCCACATTTTTTTTTCTTTTTTTGGTTTAGTAGTTGTGGAAAGAGAAAAGTGCTTAATCAGCATAGTGTGAAGCTGCCAGCATATTGAGTCCCCAATTATTTCAGACTGAATTTTTAAAAATCAAGCATTTGTTTGACATCCTGTTTGCAACCATATGAACAAGATATATATTCATCCATTCATTTGTTTAACAACATCTATTAGATGTCAAGCACTGTTTAGGCTCTGGGAGTAGAGTGCTAGACAGGAGATAGAGTCCCTGCCCCATGTTCATTATGGATGAGAAAAATTAGATCTCTACAAAATGTCTTGCCCAAAGTGGTAGAACTGGGGCTTGAACTAAGTATCCACATTTTAAATTCAGTGCTCTATTCTTTGTATCACACTGCCTCACATAATTCTAAAGGACCCTTATTGAATATCAGCAAAAATGTTCTATCTGCCTTGGTTGATTGATTGATTGATTGATTGACTGATTGCTCCTTCTTTGGTGGTAGTCTTTTCCTTGCCATGTGCTCTTTTCCTTGCCATATTGAATGAAGGACATATATACTATCTGTCAGGATCACTTACCTTCTTTTCTGATCTTAGGACAAATATTTATTTTTCTGAATAGCAACCTAGGATCATGTCATTAAAAATAGTATCTGAGTAAAGTAATTGGAGCAGTATTTTTCAAACTCTTAAGTTTTAATTTGGTAAAATGAAACCAGTAAAAATAAAAATAAATCTCACAGTGCATCATGAGTGGTAAGGTAAATATTGTTAGATTAAACTGTAATTCATGAATATATGTGATATGGTTTGGCTGTGTCCCCACCCAAATTTCATCTTGAATTGTAACTCCCACAATTCCCACATGTCGTGGGAGTAACCCAGTGGGAGGTGATTAAATTATGGGGGAGGGTCTTTCCTGCACTATTCTCATGATAGTGAATGAGTCTCATGAGATCTGATGGTTTTAAAAATGAGAGTTCCCCTGCACAAGCTCTCTCTTGCCTGCCACCATTCATGTAAGACATGACTTGCTCCTCCTCGTTTTCTACCATGATTGTGAGGCCTCTCCAGCAATGTGGAACTGTAAGTCCATTAAACCTCTCTTTCTTCCCAGTCTTATCTATCATAGTTATGATATGTCTTTATCAGCAGCATGAAAGAGGACTAATACAATATGTTTGAACTTGGTTGCAACATGAAATGTTTTTCTTAGTGTTGGTTTGGTAAAAACATTTGAAACATATTGGTTTAAAGGGCATCCAATAAGATATCATTTGTGAAAAAAACAGGAGTAAATGATTGTCCTTAGTTGTTATTTGATTGTATGTGTGTGCCTCATGCATGGTGGGTGTTGTTTACCAAAAGGATTCAAAGCAATAAAGTAGAATTAGTGTGAGGAAAGTGCTAGGAGAAGCTGTTTGGCATCTAAATATATGCCTGAATGGATCTTTTTCCATTAAGCACATACATGTTGCAGTTATTGGTTTCCCTGTGTCCTGCACTTTTGCTTATTGTGGTTTCCTGTATTGAGTGGATTCATTGTTTTCTGAAATTTATTGTAATTTAATTGTGTGATATATAGAAAACTTAGAGAAAGTACGTAATTGAGGTGATTTCCTAGACATTATCTGATAGTCTGTAGGTGTCTAGATTTTAAGTTGTTACATATTACAAACTGTTAAAGCTGATTTAGAGTTGTTACATATCATGTACTGACTTATTTTAAAGCTGATTTAAGATTTTATTTTTACATTTAATTTATAAATGTTTGTCAGCAGATTTTGCCTGAAGATATTATTGGTAATAAAAGAGTAACAGATACAGTTCCCTAAGGTTTTTGGCTTTGTTTTGTTTTTGAGACAGGGTCTTGCTTTGTCACCTAGGTTGGAGTGTGGTGGCACAATTGTAGTTTACTACAGCCTGAAACTCACAGACTCAAGTGATCCTGCCACCTCAGCCTCTTGAGTAGCTGGGACAACAGGCATGTGCCACCACACCTGATTTACTTAAAAAAAAATTTTTTTTTGTAGAAACAGGGTCTCACTATGTTTCCCAGGTTGGTCTCAAACTCCTGGCCTCAAGTGATCCTCCTGCCTTGGCCTCCCAAAGTGCTGGGATTATAGACATGAGCCACTGCACCTGACACAGAGATGTGTATAAATATCATGTGCTTATTCTTTGCAAGGCAGGAATAAGATATTTATTCCCTAGAATAAGCCTATAATGTAATAATAGAGACATAAACATAGAGAAGAGACAGCCTTAAAAGAGTGTAGAAGAATCTTTCTCTCCTCAGACAGAAGAAAAGAGAATAACATATGAGCGATAAAAATGCTCTGAGAAGGGATTTGGGCAGGAAAGCCGAGCAAGCCCTGGTTGCTGGTATCAAAGACCTTCTGGCAGCATTGTGTTATGGACATATTTCACTTAGTTGAGTTCAGCAGTCGATTTCAAGGGGAAATAAAAGAACAATAATTAGCACAGGAGGTTGCCCCTAGCATGTCACACAGTGGGTGTATTGTCCTGGAATGAGTACGTTCTGGGCAATGTGAATCTCTTGTTCCCTTAGGTGGTCTCAATTTCCCTCAAAACTCACCAGACACATAAATATTTTGAGTTAAACTCAAAGTAAGCACCCTTACTTGCTTTCATGAAAAATAACTACTCTCCTACTTCATTCAAAAAGCCGAGGCTCTAAATTGTGAATGGCTTCCCTCCCATTCACCCTTTCCCCCTTCTGCCATTTTTCGCATCTGCACCTTTCCTCCCCTCCACTTCTCCAGCTTCGAAGGATCTTAGTCCAGACCTGTCTTGTGCACTGTTGGACCCTGCTTACTCAATTTATCCTCTCCCTCATGATCAGAAGCTACGCAGCACGAAGGATAAAAACCTTGGCTTTGGAGCCACCTTCTAAGTATGTCACACAGTTATCAAACCTCCATGTGTCTCAGTTTTTTATTTGAAAAATGGGACTAGTAATAGAGTGACATAATTAGGCTTTGTGTCCCCACCCAAATCTCATCTTGAAATTGTAATCCCCATAATCCCTACATGTCTAGGGAGAGACCTGGTGGGAGGCAATTAGATCATGGGGCCAGTTTTCCCCATGCTGTTCTCATGATAGTGAGTGAGTTCTCACAAGATCTGATGGTTTCATAAGAGGCTCTTTCCCCTTCACTCCTCACTCTTCCCCTGCTTCCATGTGAGAAGGTCCAAGCTTGCTTCCTCTTTGCTTTCCACCATGATTGTAAGTTTCCTGATGCCTCCCTAGCCGTGCAGAACTGTGAGTCAATTACATCTCTTTCCTTTATAAATTACCCATCTGAGGTATTTCTTTATAGCAAAGTGAAAACTGACTAACACAGTTAATTGATACCAAGGTAGTGGGGTATTGCTATAAAGATACTTAAAAATGAGGAAGCAACTTTGGAACTGGGTAACAGGCAGAGGTTGGAACAGATTGGAGGGCCCAGAAGAGGACAGGAAGTTGTGGGAAAGTTTGGAACTTTCTAGAGACTTGTTGAATGGTTTTGACCAAAATGCAGTTAATGATGTGGACAATGAAGTACAGGCTGAGGTGGTCTCAGATGAAGATAAGGAAAGTCTTGGGAACTGGAGCAAAGGTCACATTTGCTATGCTTTAGCAAAGAGACTGGTGGCATTTTGCCCCTGCCCTAGAGATCTGTGCAACTTTGAACTTGAGAGAGATTATTTAGGGTAACTGGCAAAAGAAATTTCTAAGCAGCAAAGCATTCAAGAGGTGACCTGGTTGATTTTGAAAGCATTCAATCTTATGCATTCACAAAGAGATGGTTTGAAATTGGAATTTGGATTTAAAAGGGAAGCAGAGCATAGAAGTTTGGAAAATATGCATCCCGACCTTGTAGTAGAAAAGAAAAACCTATTTTCTTAAGGAGGAATTCAAGCCAGCTGCAGAAATTTGCATGAGTAATGAGGAGCCACATATTAATAGCCAAGATGATGGGGAAAACATTTCAGGGCATGTTAGAGACCTTCTTGGCAGCCCCTCCCATAACAGACCTGGAGGCCTAGTGGGAAGAAATGGTTTCATGGGCCTGGCTTACAGCCCTGATGCTGCTCTGTGTAGCCTCAGGACTTGGCACCCTGTGTCCCAGCCATAGCTAAAAGGGGCCAACATACAGCTCAAGCCATTGCTTCAGAGACTGCAAGCTGTAAGCCTTGGAGGCTTCCATATAGTGTTGGGTCTGAGGGTGCACAGAAGTCAAGAATCAAGGTTTGGGAACCTCTGCCTAGACTTCAAAGGATGTATGGAAATGCCTGAATGTCCAGGCAGAAGTCTCCTGCAGGGGTGGAGCTCTCATGGAGAACCTCTGCTAGCGTAGTCCAGGAGGAAAATGTGGGGTTGGAGCCCCCACACAGAGTCCCCACTGGGGCACTGCCTAATGGAGCTGTGAGAAGAGGGCCACTGTCCTCCAGATCCCAGAATGCTAGATCCACTGACAGCTTGCACTGTGCACCTGGAAAAGCCACCAACACTCAATGCCAGCCCATGAAAGCAGCCAAGAGGGAGGCCGTACCCTGCAAAGCCACAGAGGCAGAGCTGCCCAAGACCGTGGGAGCCCACTTCTTGCATCAGCATACCCTGATGTGAGACATGGAATAAAAGGAGATTATGTTGGAGCTTTAAGATTTAATGACTGTCCCCTTGGATTTTGGACTTGCATGGAGCCTGTAGCCCTTTTGTTTTGACCAATTTCTCCCATTTGGAATGGGAGCATTTATCTAATGCTTGTACCCTCATTGTATCTGGGAAGTAGCTAACTTGGTTTTGATTTTACAGGCTCTTAGGAGGAAGGGAGTTGCCTTGTCTCAGAAGAGACTTTGGACTTGGACTTTTGAGTTAATGCTGAAATGAGAAGGCTTTGGGGAACTGTTGGGAAGGGCTGATTGGTTTTGAAATGTGAGGACATGAGATTTGGGGGTGTCAGGGGCAGAATGATATGGTTAGAATTTGTGTTCCCACCCAAATCTCATCTTGAATTGTAATCTCCATAATCCTCACAATCCCCACGTGTTGAGGGAGAGACCTGGTGTGGGGTGATTGGATCATGGGGATGGTTTTCCCCATGCTGTTCTTGTGATAGTGAGTGAGTTCCCATGATATCTGATGGTTTTATAAGGGAATTTTCCCTGCTCTTGCTCTCATTTTCTCATGCCACATAAGCCATGCCTCTTCCCCTTCTGCCATGATTGTAAGTTTCCTGAGGCCTCCCAGCCATGTGGAACTGTGAGTCAGTTAAACATCTTTACTTTAAAAATTACCCCATCTTGGGCAGATTTTTATAGCAATGTGAGAATGCACTAATAGATAGAGCTTACCTTATAATGTTGAGAGGATGCCGTGAGTTAAGGTAGGTAAATAGTTGGAATAATGGTCCGCTCCAAGATGGCCAAATAGGAACAGCTGTAGTCTGCAGCTCCCAGTGTGATCGATGCAGAAGACAGGTGATTTCTGCATTTCCAACCGAGGTACCTGGTTCATCTCACTGGGACTGGTTGGACAGTGGGTGCAGCCCATGGAGGGCAAGCTGAAGCAGGGTGGGGTGTTGCCTCACCCGGGAAGTGCAAGGGGTTGGGGGATTTGCCTTTCCTAGCCAAGGGAAGCTGTGACAGACTGTACCTGGAAAATCGGGACATTGCCACCCAAATACTGTGCTTTTCCAATGGTCTTAGCAAACGGCACACCAGGAGATCATATCCTGCTCCTGGCTCAGCGGGTCCCACGCCCACAGAGCCTTGTTCACTGCTAGCGCAGCAGTCTGAGATCGAACTGTGAGGTGGCAGCCTGGCTGGGGGAGGGGTGTCCGCTATTGCTGAGGCTTGAGTAGGTAAGCAAAGTGTCCAGGAAGCTAGAACTGGGTGGAGCCCACCCGCAGCTCAATGAGGCCTGCCTGCCTGCCTCTGTAGACTCCACCTTTGGGGGCAGGGCATAGCTGAACAAAAGGCAGCAGAAACATCTGCAGACTTAAACGTCCCTGTCTGACAGCTCTGAAGAGAGCAGTGGTTCTCCCAGCACAGTGTTTGAGCTTTGAGAACAGACACACTGCCTCCTCAAGTGGGTCCCTGACCCCCGTGTAGCCTAACTGGGAGACACCTCCCAGTAGGGGCCAACTAACACCTCATTTAGCCAGGTGCCCCTCTGAGACGAAGCTTCCAGAGGAAGGATCAGCCAGGAATATTTGCTCTTCTGCAGCCTCTGCTGGTGACACCCAGGCAAACAGGGTCTGGAGTAGACCTCCAGCAAACTCCAGCAGACCTGCAGCTGAGAGACCTGACTGTTAGAAGGAAAACTAACAAACAGAAAGGAATAGTATCAACATTAACAAAAAGGACATCCACACCAAAACCCCATCTGTAGGTCACCATCATCAAAGGCCAAAGGTAGATAAAACCACAAAGATGGGGAGAAACCAGAGCAGAAAAGCTGAAAATTCTAAAAACCAGAGCACCTTTTCTCCTCCAAAGGATCACAGCTCCTTGCCAGCAACAGAACAAAGCTGGACAGAGAATGACTTTGAGGAGTTGACAGAAGTAGGCTTCAGAAGATTGGCAATATCAAACTTCTCTGAGCTGAAGGAGGATGTTCAAACCCATTGCAAGGAAGCCAGAAACCTTGAAAAAAGATTAGATGAATGGCTCACTAGAACAAACAGTGTAGAGAAGAACTTAAATGACCTGATGGAGCTGAAAACCATGGCACAAGAACTATGTGACGCATGCACAAGCTTCAGTAGCCAATTCAATCAAGTGGAAGAAAGGGTATCAGTGATTGAAGATCAAATGAATGAAGTGAGAAGAGAAGTTTAGAGAAAAAAGAGTAAAAGAAATGAACAAAGCCTCCAAGAAATATGGGACTATGTGAAAAGACCAAATCTACGTTTGATTGGTGTACCTGAAAGTGATGGGGAGAATGGAACCAAGCTGGAAAACACTCTTCAGGATATTATCCAAGAGAACTTCCCCAACCTAGCAAGGCAGGCCAACATTCAAATTCAGGAAATACAGAGAACACCACAAAGATACTCCTTGAGAAGAGCAACCCCAAGACACATAACTGTCAGATTCATCAAGGTTGAAATGAAGGAAAAAATGTTAAGGGCAGCCAGAGAGAAAGGTCGGGTTACCCACAAAGGGAAGCCCATCAGACAAACAGTGGATCTCTCGCCAGAAACTCTACAAGCCAGAAGAGAGCAGGGGCCAATATTCAACATTCTCAAAGAAAAGAATTTTCAACCCAGAATTTCATATCCAGCCAAACTAAGCTTCTTCATAAGTGAAGGAGAAATAAAATCCTTTACAGACAAGCAAATGCTGAGAGATTTTTGTCACCACCAGGCCTGCCTTACAAGAGCTCCTGAAGGAAGCACTAAACGTGGAAAGGAACAACCAGTACCAGCCACTGCAAAAACATGCCCAATTGTAAAGACCATCGATACTAGGAAGAAGCTGCATCAATTAACAGGCAAAACAACCAGCTAACATCATAATGACAGGATCAAATTCACACATAACAATATTTACCTTAAATGTAAATGGGCTAAATTCCCCAATTAAAAGACACAGACTGGCAAATTGGATAAAGAGTCAAGACCCATCAGAGTGCTGTATTCAGGAGACCCATCTCACATGCAGAGACACACATAGGCTCAAAATAAAGGAATGGAGGAAGATCTACCAAGCAAATGGAAAGCCAAAAAAAAAAAAAAAAAAGCAGGGGTTGCAATCCTAGTCTCTGATAAAACAGACTTTAAACCAACAAAGATCAAAAGAGACAAAGAAGGCCATTACATAATGGTAAAGTGATCAATTCAACAAGAAGAGCTAACTATCCTAAATATAGATATGCATCCAATACAGGAGCACCCAGATTCATAAAACAATCCTTAGAGACCTAAAAAGAGACTTAGACTCCCACACAATAATGATGGGAGACATTAACACCGCACTGTCAATATTAGACAGATTGAGACAGAAGGTTAACAAGGATATCCAGGACTTGGACTCAGCTCTGCACCAAGCGGACCTAATAGACATCTACAGAACTCTTCACCACAAATCAACAGAATATACATTCTTCTCAGCACCACATTGCACTTATTCCAAAGTTGACCAGTTGGAAGTAAAACACTCCTCAGCAAATGTAAAAGGACAGAAATCACAACAAACTGTCTCTCAGACCACAGCGCAATCAAATTAGAACTCAGGATTAAGAAACTCACTCAAAACCACACCACTACATGGAAACTGAACAACCTGCTCCTGAATGACTACTGGGTGAATAACGAAATGGAAGCAGAAATAAAGATGTTCTTTGAAACCAATGAGAACAAAGACACAATGTACCAGAATCTCCGGGACACGTTTAAAGCAGTGTGTAGAGGGAAATTTATAGCGCTAAATGCCCACAAGACAAAGCAGGAAAGATCTAAAATTGACACCCTAACATCACAGTTAAAAGAATTAGAGAAGCAAGAGCAAACAAATTCAAAAGCTAGCAGAAGGCAAGAAATAACTAAGATCAGAGCAGAACTGAAGGAGATAGAGACACAAAAAACCCTTCAAAAAAATCAATGAATCCAGGACCTGGTTTTTGAAAAGATCGACAAAATTGATAGACCACTAGCAAGGCTAATAAAGAAGAAAAGAGAGAAGAATCAAATAGACACAATAAAAAATGATAAAGGGGATATCACCAATGATCCCACGGAAATACAAACTTCTATCAGAGAATACTATAACCACCTCTATGCAAATAAACTAGAAAACCTAGAAGAAATGGATAAATTCCTGGACACATACACCCTGCCAAGGCTAAACCAGGAAGAAGTTGAATCCCTGAATAGACCAATAACAGGCCCTGAAATTGAGGCAATAATTAACAGCCTACCAACCAAAAAAAGTCCAGGACCAGACGGATTCACAGCCAAATTCTACCAGAGTTACAAAGAGGAGCTGGTACCATTCCTTCTGAAACAATTCCAATCAATAGAAAAAGAGGGAATCCTCCCTAACTCATTTTATGAGGCCAGCATCATCCTGATACCAAAGCCTAGCAGAGACACAACAAAAAAAAAGAGAATTTTAGACCAATATCCCTGATGAACATCGATGCGAAAATCCTCAATAAAATACTGGCAAACCAAATCCAGCAGCACATCAAAAAGCTTATCCACCAAGATCAAATTGGTTTCATCCCTGGGATGCAAGGCTGATTCAAAATATGCAAATCGATAAACGTAATCTATCACATAAACAGAACCAAAGACAAAAACCATGTGATTATCTCAATAGATGCAGAAAAGGCCTTCAACAAAATTCAACAGCCCTTCATGCTAAAAACTCTCAGTAAACTAGGTATTGATGGGACATATCTCAAAATAATAAGAGCTATTTATGACAAACCCACAGCCAATATCATACTGAATGGGCAAAAACTGGAAGCATTCCCTTTGAATACTGGCACAAGACAGGGATGCCCTCTCTCACCACTTCAATTCAACATAGTGTTGGAAGTTCTGGCCAGGGCAATCAGGCAAAAGAAAGAAATAAAGGGTATTCAATTAGGAAGAGAAGAAGTCAAATTGTCCCTGTTTCCAGATGATATGATTGTATATTTAGAAAACCCCATTGTCTCAGCCCCAGATCTCCTTCAGCTGATAAGCAACTTCAGCAAAGTCTTAGGATACAAAATCAATGTGGAAAAATCACAAGCATTCCTATACACCAATAACAGACAAACAGAGAGCCAAATCATGAGTGAACTCCCATTCACAATTGCTACAAAAAGAATAAAATACCTGGGAATCCAACTTACAAGGGATGTGAAGGACCTCTTCAAGGAGAACTATAAACCACTGCTCAACAAAATAAAAGAGAACACAAACAAATGGAAGAACATTCCATGCTCATGGGTAGGAAGAATCAATATCATGAAAATGGCCATACTGCCCAAGGTAATTTATAGATTCAATGCCATCCGCATCAAGCTACCAATGACTTTCTTCACAGAATTGGAAAAAACCACTTTAAAGTTCATATGGAACCAAAAAAGAGCTTGCATTGCCAAGACAATCCTAAGCAAAAAGAACAAAGCTGGAGGCATCACGCTACCTGACTTCAAACTATACTATAAGGCTACAGTAACCAAAACAGCATGGTACTGGTACCAAAACAGATATATAAACCAGTGGAACAGAACAGAGGCCTCAGAAATAACAGCACACATCTACAACCATCTGGTCTTTGACAAACCTGACAAAAACAAGAAATGGGGAAAGGATTCCCTATTTAATAAATGGTGCTGGGAAAACTGGCTAGCCATATGGAGAAAGCTGAAACTGGATCCCTTCCTTTCACCTTATGCAAAAATTAATTCAAGATGGATTAAAGACTTAAATGTTAGACCTAAAACCATAAAAACCCTAGAAGAAAACCTAGGCAGTACATTCAGGACATAGGATGGGCAAGGACTTCATGACTAAAACACCAAAAGCAATGGCAACAAAAGCCAAAATAGACAAATGGGATCTAATTAAACGAAAGAGGTTCTGCACAGCAAAAGAAACTACCATCAGAGTGAACAGGTAACCTACAGAATGGGAGAAAATTTTTGCAATCTACCCATCTGACAAAGGGCTAACATCCAGAATCTACAAAGAACTCAAATTTACAAGAAAAAAACAACCCCATCAAAAAGTGGGCAAAGGATATGAACAGATACTTCTCAAAAGAAGACATTTATGCAGCCAACAGACACATGAAAAAATGCTCATCATCACTTGGTCATCAGAGAAATGCAAATCAAAACCACAATGAGATACCATCTCACACCAGTTAGAATGGTGATCATTAAAAAGTCAGGAACAGGTGCTGGAGACGATGCGGAGAAATAGGAATGCTTTTATGCCATTGTTGGGAGTGTAAACTAGTACAACCATTGTGGAAGACAGTGTGGCAATTCCTCAAGGATCTAGAACTAGAACTACCATTTGACCCAGTGATCCCATTACTGGGTATATACCCAAAGGATTATAAATCATGCTACTATGAAGACACATGCAGATATTGTATGTTTATTGCAGCACTATTCACAATAGCAAAGACTTGGAACCAAGCCAAATGTCCAACAATGATAGACTGGATTAAGAAAATGTGGCACATATACACCATGGAATACTATGCAGCCATAAAAAAGGATGAGTTCATGTCCTTTTTAGGGACATGGGTGAAGCTGGAAACCATCATTCTGAGCAAATTGTCACAGGGACAAAAAACCAAACACCGCATGTTCTCACTCATAGGTGGGAATTGCACAATGAGAACACTTGGACACAGGGTGGGGAACATCATACACTGGGGCCTGGTGTGGGGTGGGGGCATGGGGGAGGGATAGCATTAGGAGAAATACCTAATGTAAATGATGAGTTAATAGGTGCAGCAAACCAACATGGCACATGTATACATATGTAACAAACCTGCATGTTGTGCATATGTACCCTAGAACTTAAAGTATATATATATATAGAAAGTTGGAATAGTATCTGCCACAAGCTCTCAATAAATATTAGCTTTTACTATTCCTATTACTATGGCTACTACTACTGTTAACTTGCTACTCCCCATTGGTCTTCACCCCTCAGCTCATATGTCTGCAAAACATTTCCTGTTCTGGAAAAGAATAAAGCCGAACTGTCTCTTGACCACAGATCCCTTTCTAACTACTATATTCTCTCTTTTTCCCACCTAAGGGTTTTAAAGATTATTCAAGGTGGGCTATCTTTACTTCTTCATCTCCTATTACTTTGCTTTTTTGTTTTGTTTTTGTTTTTGTTTTTGAGACAGAGTCTCAGTCTGTCACCTGAGCTGGAGTGCAGTGGTCTGATCTCAGCTCACTGCATGCAACCTCCACCTCCCAGGTTCAAGCAATTCTCCTGTCTCAGCCTCCCAAGTAGCTGGGATTACAGGCATGTGCTACCACACAAATTTTTTTGTATTTTTAGTGGAGACAGGTTTTGCCATGTTGGCCAGACTGGTCTCGAACTCCTGGCCTCAAGTGATCTGACTGCCTTGGCCTCCCAAAGTGCTGGGATTACAGGTGTGAGCCACTGTGCCTGGCTACCTCCTAGTAGCTTTTATTTTTTTTTAGACATTGTTTTCTTTATTTTTATATTTCTTTATTTTTTGAGACTGAGTCTCCCTCTGTCACCCAGGCTAGAGTGTAGTGGTGTGATCTTGGCTCACCACAACCTCTGCCTCTCAGGTTCAAATGATTTGCCTGCCTCAGCCTCCTGAGTAGCTGGGATTACAAGCATGTGCCACCATGCCCAGCTAATTTTTGTTTTTTTAATAGAGCCAGGATTTCACTATGTTGCCCAGGCTAGTCTTGAACTCCCGGGTTTAAGCGATCCACCCGCCTCAGCCTCCCAAAGTGCTGGGATTACAGGTGTGAGCCACCGTGCCTGGCCTAGACCTTGTTTTAAGTAAGATATTAACTAGCTAAAACATTACTAAAATATTTTCTATTTTGAGTGCTTTGATTATGTATTTAGTACTTACCATGAACTTTGGAGTTCCCTGTAGGTCCCTCCCTAAGCCCTTCCTTCTTTTTTTCTCATTAAATGTTATCACTGTGCAGTATTTTTATATTAATCATTTTCTAACCTTGTTCATCATTTTCCCTGACATTTGTATATGTTTAGTTTTGCTTGTTGTTGAATGTTGTACATGGAATTATATGATATAAATTATCTGGAGGCTTGCCTTTTGAACCTAACTATAATTTCATCCATTTTTATTGGCATAAGGATGCCATTATGTGCCACAATGTATTAATTTTCTTGTTGATAGACCTTTTGGCCTTTTGCTACTACAAAGAGATTTGCTGTGAACATTCTTGCAGATATATCTTGGTGTACATATGCATAAATATGTCTAGGATTTATACCCAGGAATGGAATTTCTGTAGCATTTAGTATATACCCCTTTGTATTCACTGACTATTACAAATTATTGATCAAAGTGGTTGTGCTATTTAATACCCCTATCAGAAGTGTAAATCTCTCCTTGTCAACCTTTTCATTTTTGGGGTGTAAAATGGCATGTGATATTTTATTTGATTTTATTTTTGAGACACAGTCTCACTCTGTCACCCAGGCTGAAGTGAAGTGGCACAATCTTGGCTCACTGCAACCTCCACCTCCCAGGTTCAAGCAATTCTCGTGTCTCAGCCTCTTGAGTAGCTGGGATTACAAGCATGTGCCAACATGCCCAGCTAATTTTTGTATTTTTTTGTAGAGATGGGGTTTTGCCATGTTGGCCAGACTGGTTTCAAACTTTGGGCCTCTAATGATCCACCCACTTCTGCCTCCCAAAGTGTTGAGATTACAGGTGTGAGCCACTGCATCTGGCCAGCATGTGATATTTTAAAATTTCATTATCTGATGACTAATGAAGTCAACCATCTTTTCATTGGTTTCTGAGCCATTTCTGTTTATTCTTCAGTAAAACACCTGTTTATATGCCTTGCCCATTTTTCTTTTGGATTGTCTCTTCCTTATTTATTTGTAATCACTTTTTATAATTCTGGAATAGCAAACCTATCTCCCAAATTTGTGGCTTGTGTTTTTACTTTATGTCTTTCCCCTATCCCTGAGCTACTTCTGATATTTATTTTCTATATTACTGGCTCTCAGCAATTTTTATGATGTGTCTCTTGGCATGGTTTTCTTTTCTTTTTGTAAAAAACAACTTACTGAGATATAGTTCACATATCATACAATTCACCCATTTAAAATGGCTTTTAGTATATTCATAGAGTTGTGCATTTTCCACTATAATCAAGTTTATGACTTTTTCATTTAGTCATCATCCCCACTCCTTTCATCACTTTTAGCCCTAGGCAGTCACTAATCTACTTTCTGTCTCTCTAGATTTGGCTACTCTGGGCATTTCATATAAATGGGATCATATAATATGTGGTTCTTTGTGATTGATTTCTTCACACAGTATAATGTTTTCAAAGGCCACCCATGTTGTAGCATGTATCAGTACTTCATTTATTTTTATTTCCAAATATATTTCTTTGTTTGGACATGTCATTTTATTTATCCATTCATTGAAAAAAAACTATTCTTTCCCCATTGAATTGTCTTGGCATCCTTGTCAGAAATCTACTGGGTACAGACATATGGGTTTATTTATGGGTGCTTGATTCTATTCATTAATCTATAGCTAGCCTTAATGCCAGTACCTCATTGTCTTGATTACTGTAGCTTTGTAGTAAGTTTTGAAATTAGGGAGGATGGCCCCTTAACTTTGTTCTACTCTTTCAAGATTTTTTGGTAATTCTGGTTCCCTTGAATTTTCATATGAATTTTAGGAACAGCTTGTCAGTTTCTACAATGAAATTAACCAAAATCTTGATAGGGCAACCTTATGTAGTGAAGAAGCCTCACAAGTTCAAACAAACAAACAATAAGTAGATAAGTTTCAGTCGTATTACCGTCTTAACACATGTAGCTTTATTTTTTGTGCTTTGGAGTTTATTAAGATTCATAGATCTGCAGGCTTATCGCTTTCATCAGATGTGTAGCATTTTCAGCCATTATTTTGTCAAATGCTATTACTATCCTCCATCTGAGACTCCAACTACTATCTGTTAGACAACTTGATATTGTTCCCACAGATCTCAGAGACTTTGCTCATTTTTTTCAATTATTTTTCTCTTTGCATAGGTGGGAGTTAGTTCATTTTAGTATTACCATTTATTGGCGACAAGCGCTAACTTTTCTTACATTCTAAGGGGGGAAATTGTAGCCTGAACAATGAATCAAAGCAGTACTAAGTCTCAAGAGTACGTGCTTTTCATTGCAGAACCTTACTGTGTACATTTCTATGTACAATAGCACAACATCAAAAGCAGTAGTTTGGGTTTGGGTTTTTTTGTGAAAGTGACTATTTTGTAAACAAAGACAGTAAATATCTAAGAAAATATAGAAATAAAAAACATAGTTCATAATGTTGATATGCATTGTATTCCTTAAAAGAAATGAAACTGTCACCATCATGATCATTTTTCTTTAAAATATCTTCTAAAACTGCTTTGTTTTTGTTTTTTTTAGAAATGGAGTCTTGCTCTGTCACCCAGGCTCGAGTGCAGTGGCACAATCATATGATAGCTCACTGCAGTCTCGAACTTCTGGGCAAAAGCAATCCTCCCATCTCAGCCTCCTAAGTAGCTGGGACTACAGGTGCACACTGTCACACCCAGCTATTTTTTTTTTTTTTTTTTTTTTTTGGTAGAGATGGGGCTTCACCGTGTTGTCCAGGCTGGTCTGGAATTCCTGGGGTCAAGTTATTGTCCCACGTTGGCCTCCCAAAATATTGGGATTACAGATGTGAGCCACTGTGCCTGGCCTAAAACTGCATTCTGATATGACTTGTCACATGGCTTCTCATCTTTTTAAAACTTCTCTTTTAGGTAGTGATTAGCTCTGTTTTAGAGAGTTGTCTGTCATGGTGTCTTTCTGTTTAAATGGTTCAGTGGTCCTCTGGTCACAGCATAAAATTCAGTCTCAAAAATCAGTGTTGTATCAGGTGGACTCTTGCCTTTACATGTATACTTAATTAAAGCACTAAAATATCACATGCTTTTAGAGACACGCAGGCGTGCTCTGTGACAAGAGGCAAGCAGACTGTGCGAAGGAAAGATTTAAGATACTACCTTTAGTTTTCCTTTCCATGTGCAAATGAAGGTGGTGTAATCACTTTCTGCCTCTCTCCAGGGCATATAATTCATCACAGCAATGTCTGGTCCTTTTATGATTTGTCCAACACCAAGAACAAACCATTAGGGGATGGCCTTCATTTTATGCCAGAGTATTTCAAACCTGTTTAGTCAAATAGTGTCATAATGGGCATTTAGCAGGTCTGCCTTCTTGCTTGTCTTAGAGCAGTTTTCTGGAAGTTGCACAATTTCTGTTCTGTAGTTTCACTTTTTCCATTCTTTCCTCTTTCTTTCGTCCCTGAGTAGTGAAGAAGCCTCACAAGTTAAAACAAACAAAACAAAAAGCTATTCTGAATAAGAAACACATGTTCCTAGAGTTGGCCCCTAGATGTCTACCACGCTCTTTCCAGCATGTCACTTGCACCCGGTAGCAGCCCCAGGACTGGAGTCCTGTCACGCGGCAGTAATTGTCCTGTCACAAAGTGCTGAGGGTGTGGAGTTGTGTAGCGGGTCCCCTTGTCTGGGCAGGCTCGGCTGTGGAATTTTTGCCCATTTGGTGTGGAGCATGTGCCCCTTTGGTACTGGGCATGTGGGCTGGCTGTCTTCAGTCACTAAGACTGAAGCATTGCACACTTGCACCACTTCTCTGCACAAAGTCTGTGTATTTCACAGCTGATTTCCTCAGGATTGTGTTATAAGGCTTGTGTTTCCTAAAATGAAACTGGCAAAGATGAAATAGCCTAAATGGACTGTTCTTAGAGTCAGAGGAAGTGGTTGTCATTTCTGGGCATAAAAGACTTCTCCTCAGGCCCCTAAGCATTAGTGAGCATTGGAAGGAGTCATTCTGGAGGCAGAGCATAAAAGTCGGCTTGTAGCTGCCCTCTGGGTCCACCTGGGGTGTCCTTGAAGCACTTTCTTGGGGTTGGAGTCCTGCATTGAGGGTTTCCAGGCTAAGCCACACGTAATCAGATGGCCATCCAGGCACAATAAAACCCAGAAATGCCCCTGCTCCTCCACCTCCTTAAAGAAGTTTCTCACCAGCCCACTCCAGTGATCCCTGAACTGCGTTTCTTTGCCCCACCAGGTGGCTACCCTTGATTTGAGGGCCTCTAGTAGTGCCAGAAATGTTCTTGACATTGTCATTTTTCTCATCAACCATATGAGATCAGTAATGATCTACATTACACATATTAAAAAAATGAGGTATCATATCTAGAGGCAAAAAGAAGAAAAAACAAGAAAATGAGGTAATTTGAGTATTGGGCATTTTGTTCTAGTCTCACCACTCATAGCAACAGGGATTTGACACAAAGCCTCTTGCCCCCTGTGATGGTTAATATTGAATGTCAACTTGATTAGATTGAAGGATGCAAAGCATTGTTCCTGGGCATCTCTGTCAGAGTGTTGCCAAAGACGATTAACATTTGAGTCAGTGGACTGGGTGAGGAGACCCACCCTCAGTCTGGTTGGGCACCATCTAATCAGCTGCCAGCACGGCTAGAATAAAGCAGGCAGGAGAAGATGGGAGGGCAGATTTGCTGAGTCTTCCGGCCTTCATCTTTCTCCCGTGCTAGATGCTTGCTGCCCTTGAACATTAGACTCCAAGTACTTCAGCTTTTGGACTCTTGGACTTACACCAGTGGTTTTCCATGGGCTCTCGGGCCTTTGGCCATAGACTGAAGGCTGCACTGTGAGCTTCCCTATCTTTGAGTTTTTGGTGCTTGGATTGATCTACCACTGGCTTCCTTGCTCCTCAGCTTGCAGGAGGCCTATTGTATGACTTCACCTTGTGATTGTGTGAGTCAATTCTCCTTAATAAACTCCCTCTCATATATACATCTATCCTATTAGTTATGTGTCTCTAGATAACCCTAATATACCCCCAACCCCCTGAAACATTTTAGTATGAAAAACTTTGAAATGTACAGGAAAGTTGAATTTTACAGTGAATGCCCTTATACCCACCACTAGATTCTATCATTAACATTTAACTGTTCTCAATGTATTACATACCCATCCATCAATTTACCTTATTTCCAAGTTAATACTCAAAGATTTTTGTCCAAACCTGAAAGCCTTCAGCTGTAGTCCTAGATCAGGCTCTGGGAGGAGTATTAGTCTACTCAGTGATGTTAAACAAAGCTGATGCTTTGTTCCTGGTTCATCTACTTTGCTTAAAGCTTGCAAAACTCCACAAATCTGAAAATTACTGTCAGCTATGTAAGATGACAGTCCCCTCCAAGGAAGATTTTTTTTTTCAATCTTAAAAGCTAGGGGGAAAACCTGATTTTTAGAATAAAATAAACTCCAAAGTTAAGTTCCATGTTTGATATTGTAGATGAAATTTTGGCTGTCCAAGGTTCATTATTGCATAATGACAATTTGTCGGGGCCTCCCACTTTTCTTTGCTGGAGGACTGAATTAGCTGCACACTTCCTTTCTGGCAGATGATTTATTGAACCCCCTGAATGAGAGGAGGATACAAAGGAAACAAATAAGTGTTTTATTTTCTTGAAGAGAAACAAACACTAAAAGGACTTGAGGCTTACTTAGTTAACAGGAAAACTGGAGAGGCTTAAGTCACTGCCCTTGGGATGAGTGTGCAGTGAGCCCCGTCTTCCAGTCAGCCTGGGGGCTGTGTGCCCAGCAGCCTGAGTCAGCAATCTGGGGCCTAGAGGCTTCAGTCCAGAGGGTGTGGTGTGGTTGGGGGGTTGTCAGCCTGGGCCTTGGCAGCTAGAGAAAGATGGAAGAGCCCTGGAATGAGGCACCCCAGGAGGGAGGCTGGGGTTCGCTAAGCTGGGGCACCCCCTCCTCCAACAACGTGGTTTTACATGTAAACACAGGTCATTCTTTTCAGCCCTGCATGGAGATGTAATTAACAGTATAAAAGACTCCAGGAAAATTGAAGTCTGCAGTTTTATATGTACTACATGGAGACCATGTCTGTAGTGTAGTAAAAGCATCCATGTGTTTTTGATTTTGCATAGTGTATCTTTCATCTCTAGCAATTCTATTTGGGTTCTTCTACATTCTTGAGTGTTTGGAGCACATTTATAATAGCTGCTTTTATGTTCAAGTCTCATTACCTCAGACTTAGAAAAGACCATTTCTTTTGACAGATTTTTTTCTCTAGTTATGGGTCATATCTTCCTGCTTTTTTGCATGCCTGATAATTTTTTGATGTGAAGGTAGACCTTGTGATTTTACATTGTTTTATGCTGGATTTTGTTTTATTCCTTTAAATAGTGTTGGACTTTGTTCTGGCATGTAGTTAAGTTACCTGATCAGTTCTAAACTTGGACATCTCTTTAGCTAAATATCCCAGTCCACTGTTTACACTTCTGGCTTTCCACATAACTACAGGACACATTTCACTAAGCTTTCTACTAGTATATAACAAAGATCATCCTTACTGCAGTTTCTAGTAATGTGTTCCTCATTTCCTTCTGAACTCTCACTGGTACCACCTTTCCTGTCTGTATTTCAGTTTGCTGAAGACAATCTAGGTTTTTCCATCATGTTTCTCAGAATTCTTCCAGCTTCTACCCACTCCCCAATTCCAAGGCTTTCCACATTTTTAGATATTTGTTACAACAGCACACCACTTCCAGGCAGCAAAGTTCATATTAGTTTTCTATTGCTGCCCTGACAAATTACTACAAACTTAGTGGCTTAAACCTGGTATTTATTATGCCCTAGGTCTGTAGGTAAAAAGTCCAAGCTGACCCTGCAGTAGCTCTGACATCGTCTCTCACCATTCTTTGTATATTCCAGGCTTTAGCAATTACAGGCAGTAGTCCTCATGTCACTCACATATCTGCGCACTTCTTGTGGTATGACCTTTACCTAGCATGCTCTTCCCATTTTGTTTATTTGCTGATGTCCTGTTTTCTAAAATTCATCTAATGAATAATTTCTTCTAGAAACTTGGGCTCTACTACTGAGTTCAGCTAAGTGACCTAAATCTGTGTGTCCATAATAGCATGTGGTCCTTCATCATCACTTATCATGCCATATAGAATTATCTATCACATGTCTATTGCCCCGATATAGTGTCCCTCTTAATCTCTTACCTCTCAGGGTTTACTTAGTAATTGCCTGGAACATAGTAGCAACCAAAGAATGCTTAGAATTGAACTAGGTAGGCTGGGCATGGTGGTTCATGCCTGTAATCCCAGCACACTGGATCACTTGAGGTCAGGAGTTTGACCAGCCTGGCCAACATGGTGAAACCCTGTCTCTACTAAAAATACAAAAATTAGCCAGGCGTGTTGGCATACGCCTGTAATCCCAGCTACTTGGAAGGCTGAAGCAGGAGAATTGCTAGAGCCCAGGAGGCGGACGTTGCAGTGAGCCGAGACTGTGCCATTTGACTCCAGCCTGAGTGACAAACCAAGACTCCGTCTCAAAAAACAAACAAACAAAACCCCAAAAACACAACCAAAACTGAACTAGGAGGTAGAAGAAATTATGACACTATTTTACCACTTAGAACTTAAAATTTCTGCCAAGAAGCTAAAAATTAGAAGGCAGATAAAAACTGGCTTAAAAATTGCAATAAGTAGCTGGGCATGGTGGTTCACACCTGAAATCCCAGCACTTTGTGGGGCTGAGGTGGGAGGATCACTTGAGCCCAGGACTTTGAGACCAGCCTGGGCAACATAGTGAAACCTCATCTCCACCAAAAAAAAAAAAAAAAAAAGCCAGGTGTGGTGGCACATGCCTGGAGTCTCAGCTACTCAGGAGGCTGGGGCAGGAGGATCGCTTGAGCCCAGGAAGTTGAGGCTGCAGTGAGCTGTGATTGTGTCACTGCACTCCAGCCTGGGCAACAGAGAGATAGATACTCTGTCTCAAAAAAAAAAAAATGCAATAAGTTATAGGGAGAAACTTGATATACCATATATTTTATAAAAACCATTGTGCCCAAATAGGTAAAGGGGAAAAGGTCATCATGACTATGAAAGAAATCATAGATGACACAAAGAAATGGAAACACATCCCATGCTCATGCATAGGTAGAATTAATATTGTGAAATTGATCATACTACCAAAAGCAGTCTACAAATTCAATATAATTCCTGTCAAAATACCACCATCATTCTTCACAGAACTAGAAAAAACAATCCTAAAATTCATATGGAACCAAAAAAGAGCCTGCATAGCCAAAGCGAGACTAAGCAAAAAGAACAAATCTGGAGACATCACATTACCCAACGTCAAACTGTACTCTAAGGCCATAGTCACCAAAACAGCATGGTACTGGTATAAAAATAGGTACATAGACCAATGGAAAAGACTAGAGAACCCAGAAATAAAGCCAAATACTTACAGTCAACTGATCATTGACAAAGCAAACAAAAACATAAAGTGGGGAAAGGACACCCTATTCAACAAATGGTGCTGGGATAATTTGCAAGCCACATGTATGAGAATGAAATTGGATCCTCATCTCTCTTCTTATACAAAGATCAACTCAAGATGGATCAAAGACTTAAATCTAAGACCTGAAACTGTAAAAGTTCTAGAAGATAACATCAGAAAAATCCTTCTAGACCTTGGCTTAGACAAAGACTTCATGACCAAGAATCCAAGAGCAAAAGCAACAAAAACAAATATAAATAGATGGGACTTAATTAAACTAAAAAGCTTCCACATAGCAAAAGAAACAATTAGCAGAGTTGACAGACAACCCACAGAGTGGGAGAAAATTTTCACAACCTATATATCTGACAAAGAAAAATATCCAGAATCTACAAAGAACTCAAACAAATCAGCAAGAATAAAACAAACAATTCCATCAAAAAGCGGGCTAAGGATATCCATAGACAATTCTCAAAAGAAGATATACAAATGGCCAACAAGCATATGGAAAAATGCTCAACATCACTATCAGGGAAATGCAAATCAAAACCACAATGCGATATCACCTCATTTCTGCAAGAATGGCCATAATAAAAAAAAATACAGATGTTGGTGTGGATGCGGTGGAAAGGGAACACATATATTGTTGGCGGGAATGTAAACTAGTGCAACCACTTTGGAAAACACTGTGGAGATTCCTTAAAGAACTAAAAGTAGATCTACCATTTGAACTAAAAGTAGATCTACCATTTGATCCGCAATTCCACTACTGGGTATCTACCCAGAGGAAAAGAAGTCATTATACGATAAAGATACTTGCACACTCATGTTTATAGCAGCACAATTGCAAAAATATGGAACCAGCCCAAATGCCCATCAGTCAACAAGTGGATAAAGCAAATGTGGTGTATGTATACCATGGACTGCTACTCAGCCATAAAAAGGAATGAAGTAATGGCATTCACAGCAACCTGGATGGAATTGGAGACTATGATTCTAAGTGAAGTAACTCAGGAATGGAAAACCAAACATCGTATGTTCTCACTTATATGTGGAAGCTAAGCTATGAGGACAGAAAGGCTTAAGAATGATACATTGGACTTTGGGGACTTGGGGGAAAAGGTTGGGAGGTGGTGAGGGATAAAAGACTACACATTGGGTAAAGTGTACACTGCTCAGGTGATGGGTGCACCAAAATCTCAGAAATCACCACTAAAGAATTTATTCATGCAACCAAACACCACCTGCTCCCCAAAAACCTATTGAAATAAAAAAATTTTAAAAAGCTGTACCTTATTCCATTATATGAACTTATATCCATTGTATTAAAATTTACATCTTCTTTTTTTTTTTTTTTTTTTTTTTTTTTTTGAGACGGAGTCTCGCTCTGTCACCCAGGCTGGAGTGCAGTGGCGCAATCTCGGCTCACTGCAAGCTCCGCCTCCCAGGTTCACGCCATTCTCCTGCCTCAGCTTCCCAAATAGCTGGGACTACAGGCGCCTGCCACCACGCCCGGCTAATTTTTTTGTATTTTTTAGTGGAGACAGGGTTTCACCGTGTTAACCAGGATGGTCTCGATCTCCTGACCTCATGATCCTCCCGCCTCGGCCTCCCAAAGTGCTGGGATTACAGGCGTGAGCCACCGCGCCCAGTCAAAATTTATGTCTTCTATTATTGAACTTTTGCTATTAGAAATATAGCTTTATTGCCTAACCTTGTTCTTCCATCATATTGAACATGTTAGTTTATCTACAGGACATATTCTTAAAAGTGGAAATGTGAGATCAAACAGTGCACGTGTTTATACTTTTTATAGATTTTACCTTCCATAAGGTTGTACCAGTTTCTACTCCCATCAGCAATATGTGAGCAATATGTGAGGCAACTTCCATAAGGTTGCCTTCCATAAGGCTGTACCAGTTTCTACTCCGATCAGCAATATGTGAGAGATGAGAGTGCCTTTCTCCAAATGCTTGACAGCATAGTATGTGTTAAGATTTTTGAATCATTGCCAATCTGATAAGTGGAAAATCTCAGCATAGTTTTAATTTGCATTTCTCTTATGATGAGGAGTATCTTTTAATAGACTTAAGAGCTAGCTCTCTATTCTTCACGAAATGAGCTGTGTCTTTTCCTATTCTTTGTTCATTATTCTATTGAGTTAATCTTTTCCTTACTTATCTGTAGAAGCTTTCTCTATATTAAGGAAATTAGCCCTTTATTGTGAATCACAGTTACCCCTGCTCCCACCCCATCAGGTTGTTGTTGTCTTTTGACTTTGTTTATGGTATGTCTTATCATACAGAGAATCTGATTTTGTTACATGGTTGAATTTATTAATTTTTTTGTGGCTGTTGGGGTTTGTGCAAACTTGGAAATGCCTTCCTTACCACAGGAGATGATTTAAAATATGTTGAAAGATTTATATGTAAAGATGTTCATTCCATTCTTTATAAATTAAAAAAGATAATATAGAAGTTCAACAACTGAAGAATGGTGCTTTACTTGTGATATAGCTACATAATAGATTATTATGCAACTCGTATAAATAATATCTACAGGAAGTTCCTCAAAACATATAGTAATAAAATGTTTACAAATGAAGGTCATGGGATTATGTTTGTTCAAGTTGAGACCAGAATCAATACTGTAATTATTCCAGATCATCTCAATTACATAAAAAATGAGAAAAAATGGAAGGCAGATTAATTACTGTAATTTGGAAGTGATATTATTTTATTTAAAATGTTTCTATGGTCTCTGAAAACTTCTAAAACAAGCATGTATTTTTATAATAAGAAAAAAATACAGCATCATGGATGATATTGTAGTCCCAGCACGTAGATAACAAGCATTTGCTTTGGATCCACTTGCTTTGAGTATTTGACATTCTCTACACCCTCAGCAGCCAAAAGTAGAGCAAAGAAAACTGATCATTGTTTTGTCCTGAATAGAGCTAGTTTATCCAGATTTTCTTCTTTTATAGACGGATATCAGGATTGCAGGGAATGTACTCTTTTATGTATTTCACTGGGAGAAGGTGCAGCTCACTTTACAGCCATACCCTAAAATTAGCACTTAACAGTAAATCTTTATTTCTCCTTTTAAAATTATTAGTGATTTGACTTTCTTTTAAAATTAGGCCCCTTTCCCTGCTCCCCTCCCACCACATCTTCATCACACTTGACAGAGTCTTTTTTCCTCATCAGCTTTACTGAGTTACAGTTTACACACAGTAAAATGCAACCAGTCTCAATGCACAGCTTGAATTTTGACAAATGTGTTTACCCTTGGAGCTGTGACTACAATTAAGATAGAACATTTTCATAGGAGACTACAGAGAACTGACTTAAAATATATAATTTAAAAGATATAATGTGTTTTATACTAATATACTTTGGAACACTTACAAGAGTAATAGTTAATTTTAGACAGAGTATTCTAAAGGAATAAATGTTTGAAAAGTTAATGGCTTATATAATAACTGCATACAGTTAAATAATTAACCTCACAAAGGAAGCCTGCTTTGGTTATAGCATAAAATTATAGTAAGAGTGATAAAGAACCATATGAGCCATTATTTAAATTGTTTGAGGTGCTGAGACTTCAAAGGGACAATCCTGTGCATTTTTGGAGTTTTGAATTCTTTATATTTCCTTGTTCTCTCTCTTTTCAAAAACAAATGCTGCCAGGCATCTGTTTATTCTCATATCAAAATGAAAGACACTCTGAGAAAATTGGGGAGCATCAGCAAAATCCTTTCTTTAGGACCTTATATGTGAGTCTGTGCACATATTTGCAAGACTGGAGAAATGGAGATTATTAGAATGGATATATAATAGTAAGTTTAGCAAATATGATTAACATTTCCCTGACAGAGCGAAGTGTTTCCCACTAAAGAGACTTTTAAATATATAACCTCATTTCAAAACAAGAACACTTAAAGGAGCTTTCATCTGTTGGAGCAAGAGGTTATATTTGTGTAAATCAAAGCACTGTACAGTCTTAGAATTTGACTGTGGTGCTTTTATAGGTTCTTTTCCATGGGTGCAGTTGGTGCTGGAGGATGGTGGGAGGTGGAGGTTAGTGTTGTTATATTGGCTGTTTTTGTTCTACTCCCTCACTCTTGAGTGGTATCTGCATTCTCCTATTTCTCCTATTAACTGCTTCTCTATTTCTTCCTACTAGTTTGTCCTGTTTTCTCTTCTTCCCTAGCTGTTTCTCATGGGATTGTAGAAGAAACAAAAAGATCCTCACCTGCAGTTTTGCTTCTTATTCTGAATACTTACAGATTTCACTTCTTAAAGACATTGTACTTCAGATCAAATAACTTTCTTTCTTTCTTTCTTTCTTTCTTTCTTTCTTTCTTTCTTTCTTTCTTTCTTTCTTTCGTTCGTTCTTTGAGTTGGGGTCTTTCTCTGTCACCCAAGCTGGAGTGCAGTGGCATGATCATGGCTCTCCACAGCCTCAAACTCGTGGGCTCAGGTGATCCTCCCACCTCAGCCTCCTGAGTAGCTGGGATCACAGATGCATGCCACCGCGGCTGACTAATTTTTTTAATTTTGTTTTTGTAGAGTCGGGGGGTGGGGTCTTACTTTTTTACCCACACTGGTCTTGAACTCCTGGACTCAAGTGATCCTCCTGCCTCGGCCTTCCAAAGTGCTGTGATTACAGGTGTAAGCCACTGCACCTGGCCAAAATAATGCTAATACTAGGTTTTATTGATGAGCTTAATTTGCACTGAGAAGTCTAAGCAAACTGATCCAACCTGAAATTGAAAAGCTACCATTTTTTGTCTTTAGAAAGAAATGTTCCTATCTGCTTTGCCAGTAGTTACAGTGGTTTGCAGGGCATCCAAAGGATTAAGCACTAACAGATCTTGAGCAGTACTGTGTTCTTGTGAATGTAATCTAGAGATTGAAAATACATATTTATTCTAACTTGAAACAATAAGCAAAGAAATTTGGACAAGTCGGGCTTGGGTATAGATGAATTATTGGAAAACATGGGTTTCTATAAGAATATACCATCAGAAATTTTTTAGGCTATTTGTACAGAAGATTTATGTGGCAGTTGAACCACAGGTCTCTAAATTTCATAGCCAGGGATGACTATCTTAACTAGACAGCTGCTATAAATTCTTTCTGGAGATATGGTGGAATAAATTATAAATGAATAAGTGTAAATATGCCATGATACTTCTTAGGCTAAGATTTTGTGAGTTGGTTAATGCAGTACTATTTTTTAGTATAAACCATAGAAAACAGTTCTATTTTGCTATTGTTAAAGCAAAATCTTTTCTCTAAGATTTACTCACCTTTTTTCCTCTGCTAAACCGAAGCTCCTTGAGGCCAGGGACATAATTTATTATGGTAGATTTCAAACTCTTTTGGCTTTAAATCTGTATTAAGAATTGCATTTTATATCATAATCCAGGACACACACACATACACGAAACAACCTAATCTTTTATTATATAAGTTGGATTCTAATACTTTTTATTCTTTCATTTCAGTAGGAATAAATGCTTATTGAATATATGAATGAATGGGTTGGGAAAGTAATAAGGAGCTGGGATAAACTGGAGAAATTCTTTAGAGGTAGATTTTGTCCATTATTAGTTGTTACTTAGTATTCGTGTTATATATGTGGCAGTATTCCCAGACTGACTGAATCCAAATCTCTTCAGGTAGAACTTGGGCAAGTAGGTGTTATTTATTCATTTATTTATTTGAGATGGAGTCTTGCTCTGTCACCCAGGCTGGAGTGCAATGGTATGATCTCGGCTCACTGCAACCTCCACCTCCCGGGTTCAAGCGATTCTCCTGCCTCAGCCTCCTGAGTAGCTGGGATTACAGGTGCGTGCCACCACACCCAGCTAATTTTTTTTGTATTTTTAGTAGAGACAAGGTTTCACCATATTGGCCAGGCTGGTCTCTAACTCCTGACTTCAAGTTATCTACCCGCCTCAGCCTCCCAAAGTGCTAGGATTACAGGTGTGAGCCACTGTGCCCGTCCAGTAGGTGTTTTTTAAAAATATAGTTTTTACTTTAGAATAGTTTCAGATTTACAAAAAAGTTGCAAAGGCAGTACAGAGAGTTTCTAGATACCTAGCACCCAGTTTCCCCGAGCATTAACATCTTACATTTCTATGGTACATTTGTCACAATTAATGAACCAATAGTGATACATATTATTATTAAGTAAACCTCATACTTTGGATGGATTCCAGTCATTTTCCCCTAAGTCCTTTTTCTATTCCAGGATTCCTCATTACATTTAGTCACAAAGTCTCCTTAGGGACTTCTTGGCTGTGACAGTCTCTCACATTTTCCTTTTTTCTTTTGATGACCCTTATAGTTTTCAAGAGTGGTGATCAAATATTTTGTAGAAAGTCCCTCAATTTGGGTGTGTTTAATGTTTTTTCTTATGGTTAGACTGGGGTTTGAGGGAAGACTACAAAAGTAAAGGAAAAGGGTACAGCTGTGACTATGACTTGTCGCTGTTGACGTTGACCTTGATCACCTGGCTGAGGTGATGTTTGTCTGGTTTCTCCATGGCAAAGTCACCCCTCCCCCCTCTATAATGTACACTTTGGAAGGAGGGCTGTACATGCAGCCTATGCTTAAGGAATGGGGAGTTATGCCTCATCTCCTGGAGAGTGGAGTGTCTACATAAATTTGAAATTCCCCTGCACAGGATTTGTCTCTTCCTCCTCATTTATTTACTTATTCATTCAATTATTTGTATCAGTATGGGATCATACTGATATACATGGATATTTATTTTATACTTTGGGCTATAATTCAATACTACATGAATTATTTGGTTGCTCAGATGGTTTCAGTTTTGGTCACTAGGAACTCTTTCAGGTTGGCTCGTGTCCCTTTGACATACCACCATTATTGTTTTTATTTTTGAGCACTTCCTTACTTTCTGGTATTCAGGATGCTCAAGTGTATTAGTCTGTTCTCATGCTGCTAATAAAGACATACCTAAGACTACTTAATTTATAAAGGAAAGAGATTTAATTGACTCACAGTTCCACATGGCTAAGGAGGCCTCACAATAATGGCAGAAGTGCATGGAACGTCTTACATGGCGGCAGGCAAGAGAGCTTGTACAGAGAACTCCCATTTATAAAACCATCAGATCTCATGAGACTTATTCACTACCACAAGAACAGTATGGGGGAAACTGCCCCCATGACTCAATGATCTCCACCTGTCCCTGCTCTTGACACATGGGGATTATTACAATTCAAGGTGAGATTTTGGTGGGGACACAGCCAAACCATATCATCAAGGTACATCTTGTATATTCCCTGCCCACCCCTCACATGAATGCTTTCTCCAAGGGGCATGGTTCCTTTTATTGGAGAATAATATTAGACATGAAAATCTGACCAGGTGTGTTCACCATCAGCAGAGTGTCACTGCATGTAGGCCTTCTCAGTAGACAGAGCTAGGAAATATATAGGTGGATGCTAACCTGTGCATACACACATAGCTACAATTATTTATATATCCACATGTATCTTTCTAAAGCTGGTCAGGTGCAGTGGCTGAGGCCTGTAATCTCAGCACTTTGGGAGGGTGAGGCGGGCCAATTGCTTGAGGCCAGGGGTTCAAGACCAGTCTGGTCAACATGGTGAAACCCCGTGTCTACTAAAAATACAAAAATTAGCCAGGCATGGTTGTGCGTGCCTGTAATCCCAGCTACTCTGGAGGCTGAGGCACAACAATCACTTGAGCCTGGGAGGCGGAGGTTGCAGTAAGCCAAGATTGCACCACTGCACTCCAGTCTGGGCAACAGAACAAGACTCTGTCTCAAAAAAAAAAAAAAAAAAAAAAAAAAGCTAAATATGAGTTCATAATGATGTCCAACTCTAATCCAGTCCTATGTGGCTTATTCTAGCTTTCCCCTCTTGCTTATCTGTAATTTCCCTAACAGAGAAACCTAGCTCCCACCACCTACCATCTAATTACTTACTTGGCCATTCCCATTGTGCATGGACTGTGGTTTTGGAATTGTTAATTTGTACCCCCACGGGAAACAACTTTATCAATTAGAGTGTGGTGCTTATTTTTCGTGCAGTTCCTTTTTGTCTTTATGCATTTCCAAAGTTACTTAGATCAGCACCTTTTTTTCCCCAGCCCCCCTTCAATGAGTTTATGCCGTACATTAGTATTACAGTGAGATTCTTTTGTCGCTGTCTGCATTCCATCCTGGGATTTGCATATGGTAAGGTTTACCCTTTGTGCTATAAAATTCTGTAGGTTTTGTCAAATGCATATTGTTATGTATCCACCACTATGTTATCATACACAATAGCTTCACTATCCTAAAAAAAAATCCCCAAATCCTCTGTGTTCACCCAGTCAATCTACTTCCTTCCACAAACTCCTGGTGAGTTTGATTTGTTTTTCATGTTTATAGTGTTCTCTTTTTCAAAATATTATGTGAATGGAATCATACAGTATGTAGTCTTTTCAAACTTGCTCCTTTTTCTTAGCAGTATGCATTAAGTTTCTTCCATGGTGTTGCATGAATTAATAGCTCATTCCTTTAGATTGCTGAATAATATTCCACATTATGGATATATCATAGTTTGTCCATTCATCTATTGAGGGACATTGTGGTTGCTCCCAGTTTTTGGCAATTATGAGTAAAGCTGCTATAAATATTCATGTGCAGGTTTTTGTATGGATATGTTTTCAAATCAATTGGGTAAATACCAAGGAGTGTGATTGCTGGGTAGTATGGGAAGTCTGTGTGTATTAGTCTGTTCTCATGCTGCAATAAAGACATACCTGAGACTGCATAATTTATAAAGGAAAGAGGTTTAATTGACTCACAGTTCCACATGGCTGGGGAGGCCTCACAATCATGGTGGAAGAGCAAGAGACATCTTACATGGTGGCAGGCAAGAGAGCTTGTGCAAGGGAACTCCCTTTCATAAAACCATCAGATCTGGTGAAACTTATTCACTATTGTGAGAACAGCATGGGAAAGACCTGTCCCCATGATTCAATTACCAGCACCAGATCCCTCCCACAACACATGGGAATTATGGGAGCTACAATTCAAGATGAGATTTGGGTAGGGAAATAGCCAAACCATATCACTATGTTTAGCTTTGTAATAAATTGCCAAACTGTCTTCCAAAGTGGCTGTACCATTTTGCATTCCCATCACCAATGATGGATTGTTGCTCTGCATCCTTGTTAACATTTTGTATTGTCAACTTTTAAAAACAAATTTAGCCATTCTAGTAAGTATGTACTAGTATCTTGTTTTAATTTGGATTTTCCTAAAGACAAATGATGCTGAACATCTTTTCATATGCTTACATGCCATCTACATATCTCCTCTGGTGAGCTGTCTGTTCAGATCTTTGCCCATCTTTTAATTAGGTTGATTGTTTTTATTGGTTAGTTTTAAGTGTTCTTTGTATATTTAATATAAGTTATTTCTCAGATATGTGATTTGCAAATAATTCTACCAATCTGTGGTTTGTCTTTGGAATGTTGGTTTTTAAAAAATTCTTTTGGTGATTCTCAGCCTCTGGTTCAAAGCCCTGCAACTGCCTGAGGTAGGAGAGTTGGATCACCTCTTTTGAAGCTATCTTCTCCTCTCCTTTTTTATTTCTTTCTAGTCAGCCTTTCTGGGTTGCCTCATCTATAAAATAGGAATATTAAGTTACTTCCCAGAGAGCCAGTATCTTTCAGTTTTCAGTTCTATGATTCCATGACTACCTGACCATTTGAAACCTTTCTGGAATGCTACCAATGTATAGTTAGATCTCCTTACCTTTCTAATTGCTTTCACAAAGGAAAAGAACTGTATGGTCCATAATGACAGTCTTTAATTTCTTTGTGGAATTTCATTACTCCCACTGCCTAAAAGCTCAACTGTAATGATGGCCTTCCAGAATGAAATAAATCTGTCAGTGACTTTAAAATCACAATAGGAGAAAAATCAAATGGATATCAGAAATGACCTCCATGTTTACCATGTGTTACAAACTTTTGCACATTTGTAGGTAGGTGAGGAAACTATTTGGCATGTAGAATTTCTCTACATCCTTCCTCCATGTAGTTATTCCATCATTAAAAAGCAGGTCTCATTTCTATAAAAGTTGTTTTTCTCCGTGCAAAAATGTCCCCTAAAGGGCAGAACAGGAAAGCTGCCACATAATATTAGAAAGGTTCACAAAGTGTACAATACCTTAAAGATTATCTACAGATGGAATAATTTTGAAAAAGATGTTAATGTTAGCCCAATAACACAAAAATACAGTAATAATTGCTAAAATTTCCTGATGAAATAGAACTTGTAGAGACTCTTATCCTACTCTACAATGTTATCAAATAAATCCAGCATGTGAAGTCCTTTTTCAGCTTCAGCAAGTATAATATGTTATGAACTTGCTCAAACCGCATAGGTTTGACCTCTTACCCGTTTAGTTCTGTTTCTGTGCTCTACATTATGCCCAGTTGTCATGTCTCAATGATTTTGTGGGAGGAGCATAGTACAGGCTATGGAATCATAAAGAGAGTTTTAACTTTATTATTTACTGGCTGGAAGATTTTTGGCACATTCCCTAACCTCCCTAAACACTGTGTCCTCATGTGTACCATGTATGTCTTAACCAGCTCATATATACATATATTTGTTATATATATGTATTTTATATCTATAGTTTTATATTAAATATATTTATATTATAAATTATATAAATTATACTATATATTTTATATTATAGTAATTATATTTTATATATATTATATTATATATAATATAATATATAAATATATATAGTTATATGTTTGTTTTATATATATAGATATATAAAACAAATATATAGAGTGGGTGGTGGCCGGGTGCAGTGGCTCATACCTGTAATCCCAGCACCTCAGGAGGCTTAGGCAGGAGGATCACTTGAACTCAGGAGTTTGAATTCAGCCTGGGCAACATAGTAAGTCCTTGTCTCTAAAATAAATAAATGAATAAAATTAACATTAAAAACAAACAAAGGGCCGGGCGTGGTGGCTCATGCCTGTAATCCCAGCACTTTGGAAGGCCGAGGTGGGTGGATACAAGGTCAGGAGTTCGAGACCAGCCTGGCCAACATGGTGAAACTCCAACCCTACTAAAGATACAAAAAATTAACTGGGTGTGGTGACCCGCACCTGTAATCCCAGCTTCTCGGGAGGCTGAGGCAGGAGACTTGCTTGAACCTGAGAGGCGGAGGTTGCAGTGAGCCGAGATTGCACCATTGCACTCCAGCCTGGGTAACAGGGCGAGCGACTCCGTCTAAACAAACAAACAAACAAACAAACAAACAAGGAAGTGTCCATAGAGTAGGTGGCTAAAACAACATGAATTTATTTCCCACAGTCTGGGAGCTGGGAAGTGCAAGATTAGGGTGCTGTCAGATTCAGTGTGTGGTGAGGGCTCTCTTTCTAGTTCGTGGACAGCGGTCTTCTTGCTTCCTCACAGAGTGGAGAGAGGGAGAGAAGGAGGAAGTGAGCTCTCTGGTGTAAGGGTACTAATCCCATCATGAGGGCTCTATCTTCATGACCTAATTACCTCCCAAAGACCCCATCTTCAAATACAATCACATTGGGGATTATGATTTCAATATACTAATTTGCAGGGGGACACAAATATTCAGCTGGATTTCTGGTCAATATTAGGCATACCTTGGTTGGGAGCTATGCATTTCTACATTTGTGGGAGTTGTTCCAGCAGTTCCTACCAGCTTGAATAAAGGAACATCATAATCAGATGGCTGAATCTGAGCTGGAGGGTTTTCCTTTTTTTTTTTTTAAGTAACTTTTTTGTGGTTTTGAAATTTTTCAAAACAAAAAGCTGGAAGAACAGTACAATGTGCTCCCCTACCCCCCCACTTAGATTCAGTAATATAGAATGCCTACTTATTTTGCTGAACCGATTGAGGTTAAACTAGATTTATGATTGTTTAACTACATCAGCATTTGTCTCCTAGGAACAATGACATTCTCCTACATAACCACAGGACTATTATTACACTCAGGAAATTTAACATTAGTACAATATTATTATTCAATGTTGAGCCCATGTTCAAGTTTATCCAATTGTTCAATGTCTTTATAGCATTTTTTTTTCCTCAAGAGAGTCTCCCTCTCTCACCCAGGCTGGAGTGCAGTGGCGCCATATCGGCTCATTGCAACCTCCGCCTCCCAGGTTTGAGCAACTATCCTGCCTCAGCCTCCTGGGTAGCTGGGATTACAGGCGCCCACCACCATGCCTGGCCAATTTTTGTATTTTTAGTAGAGACGGTGTTTCACCATGTTGGCCAGGCTGATCTTGAACTCCTGACCTCGTGATCCACCCACTTGGCCTCCCAAAGTGCTGGGATTACAGGCATGAGCCACAGTGCCTGGCCTTTATAGCATTTTTTAAAAATCCAGGGATCACTTTAGAATGAAGTATTGCATTCAGTTTAGTGGTTGTAATCTCATTTAATCTGGAATCTCAGCGTTTGTCTTTATAACATTGATGTTTTTGCAACATAGTCTAGTTTGTTGTTGTTGTTGTTGTTTTAAATATAGGGTCTTTCTCTGTACCCCAGGCTGGAGTATAGTGGTGCGGTCATAACTCAGTGCAGCCTTGATCTCCTGGGCTCAAGTGATCCTCCCACCTTAGCTTCCCAAGTTGCTGGCATTACAGGCATGAGCCACTATGCCTCGCTCTTTATTAATGTCCCTCGACTTTGGTTCATCTAATTATTCCATCATTAAGATTTAATTTGTGCGTCTTTGGCAGGAATACTACATATGTGATGTGTCTTGATCAGTATATCACATTAGGAGGTACATGTCAATTTGTGGCATTACTGGTGATATTAACTTTTTTTAAAGTTCTTGCAGAGAGAATTTAGATGTTAGAGTGAACATCACTTTTAAAAAAATTATTTTTCTTTAAATTGATGAATAAAAATGATATATTTTATGGTGTCTAACATGTTTTTATATTTGTATGCCTTGCCAAATGGCTAGATCAAGCTAATTAACAAATCCCTGATGTCACATACTTATTTTTTGTGGTAAGAATACTTACTAAAATCTGCAATTTTCAAGTATACAATAAATTATATTAACGATAGTCACCATAGTGTACACTGGAAATCTTGAACTTATTCCTCCTTACTGAAACTTTGTGTCCTTTGACCAATACCCGCTACCCCATCCTCTCACCCCCGCCAGCCCCTGGTAACCAGCATTCTACTCTCTGTCTACTTCTATGAGTTTCACTTTTTTATACTCTACAGGTAAGAAAGATCATGCTGTGTTTGTCTTTGTGTCTGACTTATTTCACTTAACATAATGTCCTCCAGGCTCATGCATGTTGTTGTAAATGATAGGATTTCTTTCTTTAACTTTTTTGAGACTATATAGACTATATAAATATCCTATTCCTCTTCAATGTTCCCCGAAGTAGTTTTAGCATCCATTGATAATTCATGTATTCATTATTACTCTGATGGCTACAAAATGTAACTTTTTAAAATTATTCCTTCTGTGCTCATTCATTAGTGGGGCTGGAGCTTTGGAGTTTGGTTTGGTGCAAGGACAGGATGTCAAGATCTGGACAGTGGTGAGAAAATGATTACAATCTTGAACCTTGTGGTGTAGGCTGGCTAGGGAAGGAGTGGAAACAAGGAGGGAATCCAGTGAAGGAGACTGGAGAGTCTTACTGCAGTCAGAGTAAACATCCTGTGAGTGAGAGAGTGAGAAACCAGGAAGAGCAGGAAGTTATGATCAGAGGTGGGAATTTTGGAGTTGAAGATTTCCAGGGGAGAGCAGATCCTGGTTGTTGAAGTCTACGGGTTTGCCATGGATTCAGGGAACTGTTTAAATGGAGAGGAGGTTTTCCATTAGGAGGAAGTGAAGGAATTCTAAGACTAGGCTATTGAATAAATCACCCACATGGTTGTCTAATTGGCCCAGGATGATGGGGCAACTAGCAGAGGCATTTAACCACCCAGGTGCCAAAGTCCTCCCTTGAGCAGGCTCGATAATGAGTACATGGAAAAACTTTATCACGTAAAGTAGGACATTTTAGTAGAGGTGCCAGACTTCACCTTGTGAGTCTTCTATGTTGACTAAATGTCAGTCAGTTGAAGATAGAAATGGACATTAGTCAGTTTTGCTTGGGGAAAACTTCAAAGATGTTATCATGGGAGCCCTTGTTGGGGAAGTGATACCTAGATGGAGAAGTCATTGCAAATAGTGGCAAGAGGAGGGAAGGGGGCAGGAATCCTCTGAGCCAAGATTACAGTTTCAAAAAAAGGAGAAGAGACTTGAAGTTTGAGGATGGCCAGCAATAAGACCAGCAAGAGGTAGTTTGGCCAGAAGCGATGCGCTTTAAAAAAAAACTACATATGTATACAGGTTTTTAAGGGTTATTTATATTGTGATTAGAGAAAATTAAATCTAAGCATTTGTTGAATATCTGTTGAGTTGAACACACTAAAAGATTTTTTCGAGTTTTTATGGTGCACAATCTGTTTGAAGGACTGTAAATGCCATAATGAGGCTGTTCTCTGTGGCTGCTTACTATTATAAAAGAACACTGGATTAGGAGTCCAAGAGAAGGCTCTAGGTCAGGTTTCACCTCTGCCACTGACACCCTCACAGGTTAGAAAACAGACTGATAATGCACAAGAGAGTGCTAATGAAAAAGCTCACAACAAAAAAAACAGCAGAAGGTCAATTCTAATTCAAATTGCTGGTAATAGAGATAAAACCAATCTCATGTGATTTCTCCTCATCCTATCCAAATAAGAAAGGAAATAATTTAATGACACTTACTGAAGTATGATTTGCATGTAATCAAGTGGATGTATTTTAGGTGTATCATTCAGTGCAGTATGACAAATACATAGCCCCAATGCAATCTTCTTACTAACCAAGAGGTAGAACATTTCTATCACCTTGTAAAATTCTCCAACACCTCCCCTCCTTCCACTGTAGAAAACTATTGATCTGCTTTAGAAAGACTATAATTTTGTGTTTCTAAAATTTCCTATGAATGGGACCATGTGTCGTTTACATATTATGATGGTTAATACTGACTGTCACCTTGATTGGATTGAAAGATACAAAGTATTGATCCTAGGTGTGTCTGTGAGAGTGTTACCAAAAGAGATTAATATTTGAGTCAGTGGTCTGGGGAAGGCAGATCCACCCTTAATCTGGTGGGCATAATCTAGTCAGGTGCCAGCGAATGTAAGGCAGGCAGAAAAATGTGAAAAGGAGAGACTGGCCTAGCCTCCCAGCCTACATCTTTCTCCCATGCTGGATGCTTCCTGCCCTCTAACATCAGACTCCAAGTTCTTCAGTTTTGGGACTCGGACTGGCTCTCCTTTCTCCTCAGCTTGCAGACAGCCTATTGTGGGACCTTGTGATCATGTAAGTTAATACTTAATAAACTCATATGTATATGTGTGTGTATATATATATATACACATATGTATATCTCTTATTAGTTCTGTCCCTCTAGAGAACCCTGACTAATACAATATGATTTCTTTGACTCCGCACAGTGTTGTTGTTGTTTTGATTCATCTGTGTTGACAGTATCAGCAGTTTGCCCATTTTATTACTGATATTTGAGTTGTTTTCAGTTTGGAGAGAATATGAATATTTGCATTTAAGTCTTTCCACAGACATGTTATCATTTCTCTTGGATAAAATACCTAAGACTGAGATTGCTGGGTCATATAATAAGAGTATGTTTAACTTTATAAGAAACTTTCAAACTGTTTTCCAAAGTGGCTGTATCATTTTATATTTCTTCTAGCAATGTGCGAGAGTTCCAGTTTTTCCACATTGTCACCAACCCTTGGTATTTTCAGTCTTTTCAACTTTAGCCTTTCCAGTGGGTATGTAGCGGTATTTCACTGTAGTTTTGATTTGCATTAATCATTGGGGAAATGATGTTTAATGTCATTCTTGGACTTCTTGGCCCTTCACATGTCTTATTTAGTGAAGTGTATTGTTTATTGTATTATTGGGTTCTTCAAATATTTTAGTGCAAGTCCTATGTCAGATATATGCATTGTGAAGACTTTTTCCCATGTGGCTTAGATTTTTTTCCTTAATGGTCTCTTTTAAAGATCAGGTTTTATTTTAGTAAAATCCAATTGCCAGTTTATTCTTTTAGGGTCATTGCTTCTTGTGTCCTGTCCAGCCAGTCTCTGCCTATCCCTAGGTTTTCTTCTAAAACAGTGTTGTCAAACAGAAATATCATGTAAGCTAGATAGGTAATTTAAAATGTTCCAGTAGCCACGTTTTAAAAATAGTTTAAGTTACTTTGAATTATATGCAATATATCTAAAATATTATTTCAACATGTAATCAATATAAAAATTAATAGGATATTTTACATTTTTAAAAAATCCCAAGTCTTTGAAAGCCAGAGTATATTTTACACTTGTAGCACATTTCAGTTTGAACTAGCTACGTCATAGCCATACATGGCTTATGGGTACTGTATTGAACAAGGTGATTCCAGAAGTTTTATAGTTCCTGCTTTTTATTTAGGTCTGAGATTTCACTTGATTCGTTTTTTGTGAATGGCGTGAAATGCATGTAGAAGTTTATTTTTTTCTCTATATAGATAACCAGTTCCCACACCATTTATCTCTTTCCAATGGAATTATGTTATACCTCTGTCAAAATACCAATAGATCTAGGCTGGGGACAGTGGCTCACACCTGTAATCTCAGCACCTTGGGAGGCCGAGGTGCTCAGATCACTTGAGTCTAGGAGTTTGAGACCAGCCTGGGCAACGTGGCAAAACCCTGTCTCTACTAAAAATACAAAAATTAGCTGGGTGCCGTGGCATCTCTCTGTAGTCCGAGCTATTCTGGAGGCTGAGGCAGTAGAATCACTTGAAACTGGGAGGTGGAGGCTGCAGTGAGCCGAGATCATGTCACGGTACTCCAGCCTGGGCGACAGAGCCAGACTGTGTCTCCAAACAAACAAACAAACAAAACCCAATAGATCTTATGTGTGGGTCTATTTCTGGACTCAATACACTATTGTTTTTTCTTATGTCAGTACCCTGCTGTCTTTTGTCAGTACCCTACTGTCGGTACCCTTATGTCAGTACCCGACTGTCTTTTTTTTATTTTTATTTTTTTGAGACAGAGTCTTGCTCTGTCGCCTAGGCTGGAGTGCAGTGGTGCAATCTTGGCTCACTGCAACCTCCACCTTAAGGTTAAAGCAATTCTCCTGCCTTAGCCTCCTGAGTAGCTGGGATTACAGGTGTGCACCACTATGCCTGGCAAATTTTGCATTTTTAGTATTGATGGGGTTTTGCCATGTTGGCCAAGCTGGTCTTGAACTCCTGACCTCAAATGATCTGCCCGCCTCGGCCTCCCAAATTGCTGGGATACAGGTGTGAGCCACCATGCCCAGCCATTACCCTATTGTCTTGATTAGTCTAGCCTTATAGTAGGCGTAAAAATCAGATAGCATAAGCCTTCCAACTTTGTTTTTCTTTTTAAGATTATTTTTTCTCTTCTAGGTTCTTTTCATTTCCATATAAAGTTTAGAATCAGCTTGTCAATTTCTATAGCAAAGCTGACATGGATTTTGCCCATGTCAACTTTGACATGAGGACTGACTGATGACCCTCGAAAATATTTGTGTCCTAATCTCTGGAATCTCAGAATGTAACCTGAGTTGAATAAAAGGGTCTTTGCAGATGTGACTTAAGTTACGGATCTTGAAATGAGGAGACCACCTTCAGTTATTTCAGTGAGTCCTAAGTACAGTGACATCTACCCCTATAAGAGAGATACACACAGGAGAAAGCACATGGCACGCACAGAGAAGGCGTTGTGAAGATGGAGGCAGAGATTGGCATGCTGTGGCCGCAAGCCAAGGAAGCCGAGGAAGCCAGGGAATGGCAGTGGTCACCAAAAGCTGGAAGTTGTGAGGAAGGAATCTCCACTAGAGCCACTAGATGGCGCCTGCGGCCTTTGCTGATATCTTGATTTCAGACTTCTGGCCTTTCGGACTCAGAAAATAAATTTCATGTTTTATGCCACCAGTTTGTGGTAATTTGTTATGGCAGCTATAGGATAAAATATAGCCACTATCTGGCTAAGGAAGTTCCATTCCATTCCTAGTTGTCATTTTTTTCAGGATGGGGTGTAGTTGTCAAATGCTCTTTTTGCATCAATTGAAAATAACATTTTCCCCCTCCATTATTTTGTTAATGTGGGCATAATCTGTATGATTGTCTGCCCATGTGGTATTAATTTTAGCCCCATCATAGCTGTTACCCCTGGTAACACCTGTTCCTGAAAGTGTTGGGTCCTGACACATTGTATCAACCTATAGATGTGTCAGCATGAATTTTCTTGTTCTGCATTTGCTGAAGAAATGTTAAGAAGTCATTCAATAGTCTGCAGAATAAAATGGAATCTCCAAATACTTAGAGAAAAAGTGTGATTATGGAATTTGTCCTGAGGGGTTCTGTCTACTACAGTGACCACGCTGGCAACCCTTGGGTCCAGTTTGACCTGGAGAAATACTTCATGTGGCCTCTGCAGTGTTTCCAAAATTAGAAGATTTTATATTAAAATGTTAGATAGCATACTTCCCTTGAAAATTATGCAGATGTGGCAACCCTGCCCTGAGTTCAAACATGGCAGCCATTGGCCTGAGCTGAGCATCTGCCCCTTACACAAAGAATGTCCTTTTCACTTTACCACAGTCCCATTGTTCCTCACTGTTTTAAACTTTGTAGAGATTTGAGTTTGCAACCCCTGCTCCAGAAGCTTTGCTAGGGCATGCTGTAATGCCAAAGCATGCGTCATTGAGGGAAAGCTCAGGAGAAAAAGAGTGTGTCACAGCTACCAGGTCAACATAGTCATGTTCAAAGAGACCACTGTGGAAATAACCTAAAGATAAAAAAGGATTTCATATAGTTCATTACCAGTGAGAAAGAAAGACTGCTTGACTGACTTCTGGATAAAGATGGCACAAGGAAGCACTAAAAAAATCAAAATTAAAATACTAAATCATCCAGGCATGGTGGCTCACGTCTGTAATCCCAGCACTTTGGGAGACTGAGACAGGCGGATCACCTGAGGTCAGGAGTTTGAGACCAGCCTGGCTAACATGGCGAACTTCCCCCCAACCCAGCACCCCCATACCAGCCTCTACTAAAAATACAAAAATTAGCCGGTTGTGATGGTGCACGCCTATAATCCCAGCTACTCAGGAGGCTGAGACAGGAGAATTGCTTGAACCCGGGAGGCAGGTTGCGGTGAGCCAAGATCATGCCACTGTACTCCAGCTTGGGTGACAGAGCGAGACTCTGTCTCAAAAACAAAACAAAACACTAAATCACCCAAAGGAAAGAAAGCAACAAAAAACTTACATGCTGCAACCAAAGAAGAAAAAAGTACAACCTTATAATGTAAAATTTGAGAATTGATAGCAAAAACAAAGAGAACAGAAGATTCTATGGAGGCGTGCTTTGTCTCCAGATGAACCTATGTCTGCCCAGCCCTCCACCCACCGCTGCAAGACATGTTGAGGAAAAAGATGATCAGACCAAATCCTAAGAATTCTCACAAACGTCCCCCAATGTGGAAAGGCAGGGCACACCTGTGAGATGTTGAGGAACCTTTGCATACCACTGTTGGATCTTGCCAGAGGCAGGAAAGTTTCCCACTTTCTGGGATACTGTGCTGAACTGAGCAAATGAACTGAAACTCTGAGGCATGGGATGTTCCCTTGGCTAGCTTGAAGTCCAGCTGCCAGAGGACTTAAAGGAATCTCAGATGTGAAGGTTGAGTTCCTCCAGCAAGCTTTATACTCTGTCTGAGCTGAATTCCACACATCCCCTTTTCCCCCACCTCTCCTTGTCCGAAAAACCTTGGATCACAGAACAAGTAGATAGAAACAACATTCAGCCCTGAAAAAGCAGCGTATTCAGATATATAATATACATGGGACATTAGAAAAGAACATAATCTATAAATTGGAAGATCATACTGTATGCTGGGGGGAAAAATTGATCTAGAATAACTGACACAGAGGCATAGCCCAGATAAGAATACTAAAGGGTATATTAATGTTAAAGAATTCTTCAGGTATCCAAGCAGAAAAATCAAGCCACCTCCAAGGGGAAAATTACATGGGATTAAGATCTTTCCACAGAAATCTTTGAAGCATTTCTCTAATGACCAGTAATGATGAGCTTTTTTCATATGTTTGTTGGCCACATAAATGTCTTCTTTTGAGAAGTGTCTGTTCATATCCTTTGCCCACTTTTTGATGGAGTTGTTTTTTTCTTATAAATTTGTTTAAGTGCTTTGTAGATTCTGGATATTAGCCCTTTGTCAGATGGATAATTGCAAAAATTTTCTCCCATTCTGTAGGTTGCCTGTTCAGTCTGATGATAGTTTCTTTTGGTGTGCAGAAGCTCTTTAGTTTAATTAGATCCCAATTGTCAATTTTGGCTTTTGTTGCCATTGCTTTTGGTGTTTTAGTTATGAACTCTGCCCATGCCTATGTCCTGAATGGTATTGCCTAGGTTTTCTTCTAGGCTTTTTATGGTTTTAGGTCTGATGTTTTAAGTCTTTAGTCCATCTTGAGTTAATTTTTGTATAAGGTGTAACGAAGCGGTCCAGTTTCAGTTTTCTGCATATGGCTAACCAGTTTTTCCCAACACCATTTATTAACTAGGGAATCTTTTACCTATTGCTTGTTTTTGTCAGGTTTGTCACAGATCAGATGGTTGTAGATGTGTGGTGTTATTTCTGAGGACTCTGTTCTGTTCCATTGGTCCATATATCTGTTTTGGTACCAGTACCATGCAGTTTTGGTTACTGTAGCCTTGTAGTGTAGTTTGAAGTCAGGTAGTGTAATGCCTCCAGCTTTGTTCTTTTTGCTTAGGATTGTCTTGGCTATACGGGCTCTTTTTTGGTTCCATATGAAATTTAAAGTAGTTTCTTCTAATTCTGTGAAGAAAGTCAATGGTAGCTTGATGGGGATAGCATTGAATCTATAAATTACTTTGGGCAGTATGGCAATTTTCATGATAATTGATTCTTCCAATCCATGAGCATGGAATGTTTTTCCATTTGTTTGTGTCCTCTCTGATTTCCTTAAGCAGTGGTTTGTAGTTCTCCTTGAAGAGGTCCTTCACATCTCTTGTAAGTTGTATTCCTAGGTATTTTATTCTCTTTGTCGCCATTGTGAATCAGAGTTCACTCATGTGTTGGCTCTCTTATTTGTCTACTATTGGGGTATAGGAATGCTTGTGATTTTTGCACATTGATTTTGTATCCTGAGACTTTGCTGAAGTTGCTTATCAGGTAACATCTCATGCCAGTTAGAATGATAATCATTAAAAAGTCAGGAAACAACAGATGCTGGAGAGGATGTGGAGAAATAGGAACGCTTTTACGCTGTTGGTGGGAGTGTAAATTGGTTCAACCATCGTGGAAGACAGTGTGGCAATTCCTCAAGGATCTAGAACCAGAAATACCATTTGACCCAGCAATCTCATTACTGGGTATATACCCAAAGAATTATAAATCATTCTACTGTAAAGACACATGCACACGTATGTTTATTGAAGCACTATTCACAATAGCAAAGACTTGGAATCAACCCAAATGGCCATTGGTGATAGACTGGATTAAGAAAATGTGGCACATATACACCATGGAATACTATGCAGCCATAAAAAAGGATGAGTTCATGTCCTTTGTAGGGACATGGATGAAGCTGGAAACCATCATTCTCAGCAAACTAACACAGGAACAGAAAACTAAACACCGCATGTTCTCATTCATAAGTGGGAGTTGAACAATGAGAACACATGGACTCAGGGAGGGGAACATCACACACTGGGGCCTGTTGGGGAGTGGGGGGCTAGTGGGGTAGGGATAGCATTAGGAGAAATGCCTAATGTAGATGACGGGTTGATGAGTGCAGCAAACCACCATGGCATGTGTATACCTATGTAACAAACCTGCCCGTTCTGCACATGTATCCCAAAACTTAAAGTATAATAAAAAAATAAATAAAGCAATTGCCATCTTGTTCTGTTAGGTTTTGAAGGAAGGTGTGAATTGAAAATATTTACCCAACTCACTTTTTATTTATGTATAGAGAAAAACACCAGATCTTCTCAAACATGGCAGCACTCTATAAACCCTCCTTAGGAATATGACTTGAAAATGAAGGAAGTCCATCAAGAACTAAATAAAAATAAAAATTCAGGGATAGATAAGTTACAGTGAATATCAAATTCATTTAAAGATAGAATTAAGACAACATCTGGAAAAATAAAGTTGCAGAGCAATTGCAAATGTTCTCATTGCTAGGAAGCCGAAAGTAACAGAACTAATGGAAATTGAGAGGCAGGGTTACCCCCTAAAGGTAGGTGGAGGTGTATGATGCTAATTAACCTCATCTTTCAGAGCTATGAGACTTTCTAAACCCGAACATGTAGTGAGCTCCTTACACCTCTCTTAATCTTTTTACGTAATGCTTATAGGCCTTTTAAAAAGCACGTCTTTTAGGGAAGAAAGCAATAGAGATTCCCTTCAGTTTATTTTTCTTAAATTCCAGTAACATGAAAAATTTGAAATTATATGAAGCAGACGTAGTGTGATACCGTAATTAGAAAATTACTTCTGTCTACCCTTTCTGCGTCTTCGTTTCTTCAGCTGTGAGACGGGTATTTCTCCCAGTGTTGCTGTGAGGATTACACGTATTTACCTGCAAAGTGCTTAGGACAGTGCCTGGCTCACGGTCAGTGCTCACGTTTGGGCAGCTGCACTTGGGCGCTGCTGGCACAGGAGGTAAGTTAGTTTGGCCTATTGCAGCGTCCCAGCATCTGTCGCGTTTCTCATGTGTGATTGGGCTCTGGCGGCCCATCCTGGCGGAGACTTCGGCTAGCAGGCCCCGCTGCAGACCCCAGGCCGGCTCGGGTCTACCTGCGCCAGCGCTGTACCTGGGCGACCTTGGCTTTGCCCCCACCGGTGACCCGGCCCGCAGGACGTGTGGGTGCCGCTCAGCTCCCCCCGCCTCGGCCGCCGACCCCCAGCTCCCCGGCGGGGCCTCCTCCTGCCACGTGACGCCCCCGCCAGGGGCCCCAGCGCCCTCCTCGCGGCCGCGCCGTTCCGGCTCCCGAGCCCCGCCTGCGCGCGGCCTCCTCGGCGCAGCCATCCTCTTGGCTGCCGCGGGCGGCAAAGCCCACGGCATCTGCCATTTGTCATTCAGCCCGTCGGTACCGCCCCGAGCCTTGATTTAGACACGGCTGGGGCGTGCTCTGGCCTCACTCTCCGGGCGGGTGCTGGACGGACGGACGGACGGGGCAGCCGTGCTCACAGCTCAGCAGCGCGGGGCCTTGGCGCGCGGGGCGCTTCCCCGGGTCGCCGTCATGGCCGCGGAGGTGGCACGCCCGAGCGGCCTCGCCTGAGCTCCGGGGGTCGTCGCCCCGCAGGGTAGGTGTTTGGGTGCTCGCGGCTGCGGCGGGCGGGCTGGGGGCAGCGGTGGCCGTGCATTGCCGCGCTGCGAGGACGGCGCTGGGTTCGCGGCCGCGAGGAGGGTGTGCCTTTGCCGCGCCGCCTACGTGCGGGTCCGGGCTCCGCGGGGCCGGGTGCGGGACCCCGCAGATCGTCACCCGCAACCCAGGCAGCCCCACCGCGAGTGCCGCCGGACCCCCTGGACGCCGCTGCCAGAGGCGTTCGCGCCTATCTGGTATGAGGTCCACAGACCCGATTCTTACAACCTGGCGCTCTAACCTCGCCAACGGGCCAGGAAAAAAACAGAACAAGGAAAAGAAGAAAAAGTCTGTTCCAAGTAATAATGGGACTAGACAGTAACTGTTTGCACTTTCGTCTCTTATGGAAAATATGATTATTTTGATGCTTTAGTATTACAGACTGTATCAGACATACTCTTAAAAGTATTTAAAAACGTGGGGTCCTAAAAATTTCCTAGATCGGGACAGCTGATAATGCGACTTCTGTTAGTCTCCGCATCCAACTTTCAGGGCGGAATGGGGATTTCTACCTTTTACTGAATATACTCCTGTAATTTTGAATATTTTTTCTCATCAAATGTGTTACTTTCATGTTTTAGGAAACCAATAAAAATCAAAAATAGAAACACCCAGCTTAGGTCCTCCTTCTTCCAGGAATCCTCCTCTAACCCCTCCCTCCCAGGCAGGATCGGAGGCCCCTCCCGGGTGCTTTCTGGGGCCTCACTGAGGTCCTGGTCCCCTAAGTCCTCCCCCGCAGCCCCTCCGCGTATTAACCCACCGGTCTCGCTGGGCTCAGAGATTGCTTACTTAGCACATGGTAAGTGATTAATACTGTTTAATGACCGAGGGAAAAGATAAAATGTTCTCTGATGTTTCACGCTTTTCGCTCTGAAGTTAAATAGTGGTAAATTTATATGCGCTTAGATAAGAACATTTAACAGTTAAGGATCTGGAAAAGTTGACGACGTCCGATGTCCGTGTTTCCTGATCCAGCAGTTGCACGCCTGGGTATTCATCCTTAAGAACAATGTTTTTCAGAATTTGAAGTCCATTTTAGTGGGTCGTAAAGTCATTTAAATGGATGATCAGAATTTGTAAAACACAGACGGAGAATAGAACATCAGTGTCTCTCAGGTCATAGGGGTGTTCGCTTTATGAATCTCTCTCCCCCTCCTCAGTTTCATACATACACAAATGTGTGTCATGATGTAAAACGTCATTCCTTAGTATGAGTCATGGACAAAAAAGTTTGAAAGCCACTGCCCTAGATAAATTTTAATACATGTCCACAAGCAGACGTGTACAAGAAGGTTGACTGTAATGGCAGAAAACTGGATGCCGCCTTCATGCCTACCTGAAGGAGAAAGATAAATTATACACCACTCATAAAAAGGGCACACTGTACAGTGGCCAATGAAGTATTTTTGTGTTTCAACACAAATGCCTTTCAGTGTTGAACCAAAAAAAAAAAAAGTTGCCGGAGAATGCTGTGTGATATCTTCTATGTAAAATTCAGAACCTGGTGGAGCAAAGCTGTTGTTTAGGGATGCATGTATAGGCATTAAAAGTAGTAAAGAAAAAAAGTCAAGCTAATGGTCATCTCCTAGTGGGGAGGAGAGGGTCAGGGGCTCAGAGATGCTGGAAATGCTTTATCGCCTGACCTGTGCAATGGTTACATGGGTGTTTGCTTTGTAACTCTTTGTTAAATGATACACACTGGGTTTGAATGTTACATTTCCCCCCAAATATGTTAAAATATGGGTGTTGCAAACTGAAGAAGCCTGAGTCTAGGGCTCTCCGTCTGTTATTCTTATTTCCTGGCTTCTTTTTAGAAAAAAAAAATCTTGCTCAGGGAGGAGTACCTAGGGAATTTATCAGTAATGTTTTATTTCATAAATTCCATGGTGGACATACCAGTATTCATTAAATTATTCTTTATGTATTCTTATAACTTAATTTATAATATTTCAAAAAGCATTTAGGAGAAAACATCATTTGGTGTGTTTGCTTTCCCAAAAGTCACATTTACATGTTTTGTACACAACTGGAATATTTTATATAGTAATTTTAGCTAAAATCAAATTTTGTTATGAAAAACGAAATACTAAAAAGTATATAAAAATCACAGAACTTTACAGACTTTCAGCGTTTTAAAATGCTAACATATTGTATTTACCTCAATAATTTCTGTTCCTCAGTTCTTTCAGGCCACATTTTTAGTGCTCAATAGCCTCATATGACTTTAATATTTTATTATATTTTATTATGTTATATATTTTACATTATACATTATAGAACAGAATATTTCCATCATTGCAGAAATTTATATTGGAAAACATTCTGGATACAAATATTTGTTATATACTTGCAGATATTAAACTGTAGACATTAATCCTTATGCTTTTTGTCTTAAGATACTCTACTATTAATGAAATGTATTCTGAATATTTTTCTAAGAATTTTTAAGTTTATGTTTTGTCCACATTTTGTTCTTTAATTTACCTGAGACATGTATATATTGAGATGTATATATTTTATGTTATGAGATCAAGCTTAATTAATTTTCAGATTCCCACATGAAAAGGTAATTGTCCCAATATCAGTGATTAGCAGTGCCACTTCTGTCACATACAGTACCCAGATATGTTTGGGCTTATTTCCAGGCTGTTAATCCTGGTTTATTTGTCATTTGAAAATACTGCAGATTTTCATTTACTGCTGCTTTCTATGTAGTATATTGTTCAGTTCTAAGAATTTAAGATTTTTTCATTGTGATATTTTTTCTTCCCCTAAGAGATTTGTAGAAAGTAGTCTAGTTCCAATGTGGAAGGTTTTGTGAGTTATCCTTTTGTTACTGATTTCTAATTTGCACTGTAGTTAGCATACGTGTCAAGGCCAACAATTCTTTGAAATTCGAGAATTGCTTTATGGTTTTAACTGCTCCTTGTATCATCAAGAATAATTTGTACTCACAGACTTTTGAGGCAATGTATGTAGGTGTGTGTATATATATAATATATACACATACACTTTATATATAGATTATATATAATCTCTCTGTAGAGTTTATATAAAAATTAAATATATTTATATAAATGTATATATATATATGAATAAAATCTCCTGTCTCTAAGGTTTATGTTTCATTAATTCAGGAAAGTTTTGTCTTTTATCTCTTTATTTTCACACATTTTTGTCCTATTCTTTAGGAGCTATGATTAGACTTCTGTTAGACTTCCTCACTCTATCACCCACATCTTTTAAGGTAGATTTAATGTATTTAATATATTTTTTATCCATGTTGAATTCTACATATGTTTTTTAGTTCTATAATTTATGTACAACAAAAAAAAGTGTGTAGCTTGGTGAAATTTACATATGTGTATACCTTTGTGATTACTACCCAGATAAACATATAAAACATTTTCATTCCTTCTGCCCCTTCCTATCAATGGAGCCACTCGCTTCCCCCAGTCAACTACTGTCCCGATTTCTATGACCATGTATTATTTTCAAATGTTTTTAAACTTCATATAAACGGAGTCATACAGTTTATTCTTTTGTTCACATTGTATTCATCCATGTTGCATGTATAAGAATTTTTGTTTGTTTTTTATTTTTGCTTTGTATCAAGGGTTGGCAAACTATGGCCTGTGGGCCAATTCCAACCCACTGCATGTTTCTGTTTATAAAATTTTATTGGGCTGTGTTCCATGGCTCCTGTCTATAATTCCAGCCAGTCAAGAGGCTGAGGCAGGAGAATCTCTTGAGCTCAGGAGTTCGAGCTTACAGTGAACTACGATCATGCCACTGCACTGCAGCCTGGGTGACAGTGAGATGACCCCATCTTAAAAAAAAAAAAAATTACTGGAACATAGTTATCCCCATTTGGCAGAGTTGAGTAGTTGTTATAGAGGCCATATGGCCCACAAAGCCTAAACTATTTACCACGTGGCCATTTACAGAAAAAAATTTATTGACACCTCTTCTACGGTATTACATTATGTGGATATATAATATGAGCAATTTACTTATTCATTTTCTTGTCGATTAACATTTGAGTTGTTTTCATTGTTGGGCCATTAAGAATTGAATTGTGAGGAATGTTCTTCCAACTTCCGTTGGTAGACATATATCTCTCAGCTATATACCAAGGAGTTGAATTGATGGTTTTTGGTAGGTTGGTTGCATTTCCATAAACACTAATAATGTTGAACATCTTAAAATATCTTAATCAGCTATTTAGATTTCCTTTATCACCTGCCTATTGAAATATTTTGCCCATTTTTTAAAAATTAGGTTACCTTTTTGTTAATGATTTTTAGTTCCTAATATAATCTGGATAGGGAATCTTTCTTGGGTATATGTTTGCAGGAATTTTCTACCCTGAAGTTTGCCTATTTATTCTCTTTTTTTTTTTTTTTTGAGATGGAGTCTCACTTTATCACCCAGGCTGGAGTGCAGTGGCACGACCTCGGCTCACTGCAAACTCCGCCTCCCAGGTTCATGCCATTCTCCTGCCTCAGCCTCCCGAGTAGCTGGGACTACAGGCACCCACCACTATGCCTGGATAATTTTTTGTATTTTTAGTACAGACGGGGTTTCACCGCGTTGGCCAGGATGGTCTTGATCTCCTGACCTCGTGATCCACCCGCCTTGGCCTCCCAAAGTGCTGGGATTACAGGTGTGAGCCACCGCGCCCAGCCCACTCTCAAGATTTTGAAGACATTTGCCTTTGTTTTCCTCCAGAAACTTTATAGTTTTAGCTGTTGGATCTGTGATTATCACCAGTTGATTTTTGTGTATGGTGTGAGGGGGGGATCAAGATTTATTTTGTATATGGACATCCATCTACTCTACACATTTATTGAAAAAAACAACACCTTTCTTTTCCCATTGAATTGCGTGGGGACTTTGTTAATAAATGAATGGTCATATATTTGGGTCTGTTTCTGGACTCTGTTCTTTCCACTTGGACTAATTATCCATTCTTGCATCAGTACCATACTTTTTTAATTACTGTAGTTTATGGTAAGTCTTGACATGGTATTGTAAACCCTCCAGTTTTGTTCTTTTAAACAAATGTTTTGACTATTTAAGTGCTTTACATTTCCATATAAATTTTCAAATGTGCTTGTCAATGTCCATTAAAAAAAAAAAAAAAAGCCTACCAGAATTTTGATTGGGATTGCATTGACTCTACAGAGCAACTTTGGGAAAGTGAACATTTTAACAGAATTGAGTCTTTCCCTTCATTGCATAAGTTCTTCTACAGTTACTTTCAACATTGTTTTGTATATTCAGTATAGAGGACTTACACATTGTTCAATTTATTTCTAGACATTTAATGTTTTTTTGATGCTGTTGTAAGTGGTGGAGTTTTTTTTTTCCCCCAGTTTTATTTTCCAAACATCTTGCCTAGTGTATGGAAACAAAATTTATTTTTATATATTGATCTTGTATTTTGTGCGCTTGCTAAATTCACTTATAGTTTTGGCAGTATGCAGATTTGTTTTTGTTTTTGTTTTTGTTTTTAATGTGCTGTCATGCCATCTGGAAAAAAAATGGTTTAAATATGCCTTTACAATTCTATTCTCTTTTTCGCCTTTTCTTGCCTTATTGCACTGGCTGGGACCTCTAGAACAATATTTAACAGAAGTATTAACAAAGGATATCCTTGCCTTTTCCTCATCTTAAGGGGAGAATACCTCAATATTTCACTATTAAGGGTGATGTTTACTGTACTTTTTTTGTAGATGTTCTTTACCAGATTGAGGAAATTTTCTTCTGTTTCTAGTTCACTGAGAATTGCTTTCGCAAATGAGTATTGAATTTTCAAATTCATTTTATTCTGAAATAATTTTAAATTTACAAGAATTGCAAAGATAGTGCAGTGTTTTTGTATACCCTTCACCCAGCTTCCTCTCATGTTAACATCTTACATAACCCTTGTAAAGTACCAAAGTTAAGAAATTAACATTGGCACAATAGTATTAATGAAACTATACACTTTATTCAGATTACCACAGTTTTCCCTCTAATGTTCTTTTTTTTTAATTTCAGGATCCACCCCATATACCACATGGTGTTTAGTTTTCATGCCTCCCTCGTTTACTCCAATCTGTGACAGTTTCTCAGTCTTTCATATCTTGTCACTTTTGAAGAGTACTGGTTATGTGTTTTGTAAAATGCATCTCAATTTGGATTTATCTGATGTTTTCTCACAATTAGACTGAGATTATGGATTTTGAGAGAAGAATATCGCAGAGCTGTTGTGCCCTTCTCATTGTATCACATATGGCAGCATATGATAGCCACATCAACTGATGATAACTTTGATCACATGGCAAGATGGTGTCTGGCAAGGTTTCTTATTGTAATGTTACTTTTTCCCCCTTTCCATGGTCTATTTGTTAGGAGAAAGTCCACAGTCAAAGGAAGGGAGGGATATCAAATAATTTGTGGTCATATGTTAAAACCACCACAGTGATTAATAAATATTTTTGAGGTAGTACAAATATTCTATTTCTCTTTAAAGTTTTGTCCAATAATTTTAGTGTTCAATGGATCTTGCCTGCAGCAATTATTATTGTGGTATTCTAATGGTGATTTTCCATTTCCTTCCTTCTTTCTACATTTATTAATAGAAATTCTTCTCTAAGAAAGATTGGTCCCTTTTTTCCCATTGATTTATTATTGAGTCAGTTATTTATATCCATGTATATTGATGGATATTTATTTAGTCTTTGAGCTATTATCTAATACCATTTTTATATTGCTTAAATTGTTCCAGCTTTGGCATTGGGATTTTTTCAGGTTGGTACTTTTGTCCTTTTGAAATGTCCCCATTAAAAATTTTTATTTTTTTTTTTTTATCATTTCCTTACTGTCTGGCACTATGAGATGCTCCAGGCTCATTTAGTATTTTCCCTTCCCCAACCTTAGAATCAGCCATTTCTCCAAAATGTCTTGATTCCTTTTATTGGAGGATGGTATTAGAAACCAAAATCTGTGTGCTAGGTGTCCTTGCTTCTATTGAGATGATACTGTTTCTTGGCCCTCTGTGGACAGAGCTAGGAGTTATATGTACGTATACTCTATTTTTAATTTTGTCAAATGCTTTTTCTGCATCTATTGAGATTATGACTTTTCTTAGTTTGATGACATGAAGAATTACAAATATCTGACATTTTAAAGGATGTTTTTCCAGTATTTCTTAGAACTTTGCAAGTATTAAAAGGTTTGTTTTAGAATGTCTAGCTCTCCATATTTCCTGAACAAATCTTCCTAAGATAACTCTAATGATTTTGATATGTCATAGAGCAGAAGCCTTCTTTTGTTTTTCTGCTGAATTGTTTGGCAATTTTAGACCTTTCCCATTCCATATGAGTTTTAGTACCTGTTTATGAAGTTTCTTGAAAAGTCCTGTTGGGATTTTTATAGAAATGGCTTTGAATTTATAGATCAATATGAGAAGAATGGGTATATTTGCAATACTCAATTTTTTCATTTATCTCACATGTCCTTTTTGTGTCCTTCAATGATATGATATAAATAAAGGACTTGTACATATTTTGTTACATTTATTTCTAGATCCTGATGATTTTTGTTGCTACTGTGAATAGTTTCTCTTAGTTTCTTATTTTCTAACCAGCTAGTTACTACTTCATAAATAACATTATATTTCCATTTACATAAATACATAATTTGCAAGAAATGATTTTTTTCTTTTCCTTCTGATCTTCAAATCTCTTATTCTTTTGTTTATGTCTAATTTCACTGGCTAGGACAACCAGTACAATGAAGAATAGTGGTACTGATCATGGGCATTCTTATTTTGCTTCTGACTTACATAAGAATGCTTTTGTAGCACTGAAGCTTAGTGTGATGTTGTTGCGGGATATTTAAAGTTCTCTTCTTCTAGTTCTCTAAGAGTTTTATATCATGAATTGTATTGGATTTTATTAAGTATTTTTTCTGAATCTATTGGACTGTGAAGCCAGATTGCTTGCATTCAATTCCTAGTTCTGCTCCTCTGCTGCCATGTAGTATAATCTTGGGCAGTTACTTCTCTGTATCTCAATTTTCTCATCTTTAAATTTAGGTACAACTGTCTACCATATAAGGTTGTTGAGAGGATTAAATGAGTTAATACATAAAAAGGGGTAAGAATTGTGCTTAGCCCTAGGAAGTACTCGTTTTTTTCTTCATTACTTAGTGTTAGGTTATTTTAATTTAAATTATCATAATAAGTAAATTAATTACTAAATCATCTTGCACTCGAAAGTAACCTTACACATATTTATTCACATGATTTGGATTTAATTTACTGTTTTAATTTTTTCATGTAATATTCATGAGTCATAAAGTGACTGTTCTTTTGCTATAGCAAAGAATGATGGATTCCTAGAACAACATTACACAAGAGCTTAGCAACTGAGGTGGCAACATTCCCAACTTTCTGGAGCGATTTATATCTGAGTCTTTTGATAAGCTGGAGATAGAGATAGCTCTTGCATGAGCAAATTCAGAACTTGGCATATTGTGGAAAATGGTCACTAAACAAAAAGGAAAAGTGATTTTAGCTTTTCTGCGTGTTTTATATTGCATCATTAATACATTGTATTATTTGTGTATGGAGATTTCCATATTTGGAATATTTGGAGAGTCATTCACCAATGATGTACTGAGCACTTTCTATGTGCCAGGCAATGTGTTTTGTTGGCTTGGGGGCTTATGTTTGCTCTCGAGGAACTTAGGGGTCAATTAGGATCAATCCTGAAGTTGAAGGCAGGCCTATTTATATCATTCAGGGAAACTCAGTGATCATTTTTTTTAAATTAATAAAATTGAACTTTCTCTTCCATTTGCATTCTGAAATACAGGAAAAAAATTTGAACTTTCTAATATCTTTCCTTCCTGCTTCTTTCACTCCCCTCAGCACCTTGGTTTAGGCCCTTGTCACCCTATGCTATTTTTCCCTGTATTGACTTTTCTTCCCTTCCTATCATGTGTAGTGACCACTGGGGTCAGTTCCCTGAAAAAGTCCTTTAGTGGCATCCCAATACTTACAAGATTCTTGGCTTCTTAGCATGACAATGGTCCTTTTTTTTGTCTGGTCCTAACTTACTTTACTGGCCTTCTCCGATTTCTCAAAACTAATCCAGTGGCACAGGTGGTCCTAACCACGCATCAGCCCCTAAAGGTTTCACTCTCCTGCTTTTGCAGCTGTGTTCTTATTTGTGCCATTTCCCCTGCCTTAAATGTTTTCTCCCCAACTAATTTTCAACCATTTTTTTTCAAGCTCTGTTCAGAGAATACTCACTCTACAACCCTACTAGCTACATAGAAACCCTATAATTTATAATCTATAGCCCTTGTTAAATTCTTACCTTTCGTCACCAATCTTTATATCTAAATGTCTTTTCCAGATGGTCAGGTTCTTAGATAGGGTTCAAGTGGCTGACATGATACTTTGCATACAAAGAGCTATTGCCAAATAGCTACCACTACTAAGTACCTACTATAATTGTGCTACAATTTTGCAAAGTAAGTATTATTATCTCTTTTAAATTGTGAAGAAACTTAGTATCAAAGAGATTAGGAAACTTTCCTAACACCATATAGTTAGTAAGTGGCAAAACTGGTTTGTCTGAATCAAAGCTCTTGCTCTTTCTTCTATGCCATACTGCCCTTGTGCTAAAAATGAAGAAATAATTAAATAAAATTATGAACAGAAGCATTTATGGTAAAACACACACTGAAAATGACATACACAGTGAAAGCTTTGCTTTCATTGCCAATATACTATAGAATCTTCACTTTGGTGACCATGATAGTTGCTATGGATTAACTGGTGTACTCCTATTTTCTTTGGACTTTCCTTCCAAGTTTTTGTTGATACTAATGAATAAGGTTTGAATATTCTAATTTTGGCTTATTTGGGGGTAAGAAAAACTGTAAAGTTTAGCCACACTTTGCTTGGTGTTTGTTTTATTTTAAGTAGAAAATTTTACATTTGCCTAATAACCTTTGCTGGGCAATGGATAAGGTAAAAAGAGTCTAATTATCTTTCATAAAGTACTTTTTCTCTGCTTCTGTTGAGGCCTAAAATACATGGGGAAGAAAAACATATGAAATCTGCCATTCTTAAGTATATAGCTTGATGAGTTTATACACACACACACATACGCACACCTGTGTAACCACATTCAAGAGCAAGCTAGACAATATTACATCCATCGAGGATAAAATTCTCTCATTTACCTCCTGGTCAACACCTCCCCTATGGATCACACTCTTCTGATGTCCATCACTGTAGATTAGTTTTATCTATTCCTTCCCCGCCAGCCCCCTCCGCCCCAAGATGGTATCTCACTCTGCCACCCAGGCTGGAGTGTGATTGCATGATGACAGGATGACAGTTCACAGCAGCCTCAACCTCCCAGGCTCAAGCGATCCTCCCACCTGAGCCTCCCTGTTTTGTCTATTCTTGAATTTTAAGTATAACCAAACAGGATGTACTCTTTTGTGTCTGGCTTTTATTCAGCGTAAATTTTTTAGAGTCATCTGTGTTGATGCATCTATCAATAGGTAGTTCTTTTTGTATTTTTTCTGAGTAGGACTCCATTACCACAATTTGTTTATCCATTTTGTAAATAGCTATGTGGGTGTGTTCTAGTTTGGGTTCTTACAAATAGACCTGCTGTGAATACTCATTCACAAGTCTTTTGGTGGACATTTGCAGTATTTTGCCAAGGAACAAATCTGAGACTAGAATTGTTAGGCCATAGGGGAGCCAAACAGTTTACAAAACTGAATGCATATGTGTACACTTTTGCTAGCAATAGAGTTGTAGTTGGAGTGCACATTTTCATCAGCACTTGATATTAGTCTTTTTCGCTTTAAGCCCTCTGGTGGGTTTGAGGTGATATCTCATGGCTTCATGGTCTCATGGTTTTCATGTGCATTTCCTTGATGATTTCATGACTTTTCTATGTATCTTTTAATGCTGTCTTTTGGTGTCTTAATGAAATCCAGTTTATCGGGTTTTTAGTGGTTTGTCTTTTGTCCTGTTTAAGAAATCTTTGTCTATCCCTCAATCATGAAGATATCAATTTTATTTTTACATTTAGATCTGTGACCCATTCCATCATCTATCTCAAATTAATTTCTGTATGATGTGAGATAAGGGTCAAGGTTAATTTTTTTCAGGATCGAGATTTAATTGCTCTAGAATCTTTTGAGGAATTTTTCTTTCCCTCCATTGAATTGCATGGTGCCCTTGTTGAAAATCAAGTGCCTGAGTATGTGTGTCTGTTTTTGAACTCTAAGTTCTATATCCTTGTTCTGTTCGTCTACCTCATGATCGAAGATGGCTAGCCAAGTTCTAGCTATGATGTCTGTATTTCAGTCAGAAAAAAAAAAAAAAAAAAGGGAATAAATAAGACTCTGCTCCTGCTTCAAGGACAATTCCCAGAATTTGCACATGACATTTCTGCCTACATCTTGTCAGTAACGTGACAACCTTTATCTTCAAGGGACATTGGAAAATGTTTTCATTCTGGGGAGTCATGTGCCCATTTAAAATTCAGAGATTATATTACAAAGAAAGAAAGGAAGAATGGATATCAGAGAAAATTGGCAGTCTTTGCCATACTTTCTGTTTACAAGCGCTTTGTAGGTGCTTAATAAACGTTCATTTGATTCAATTTCATCTACTTCTCATTGAAGCCTTCTTGGTCAACTTTTGCTTGTAATCATACATGCAGACATCGCAGCTCTGTGATAGGATTCTCCCAGATCCACCTAATAAGAAGCGTGCCCTGTAGTAATGGGGTCAGCTACTTCCTAGTGAGAGAAATGTCCAGACCTTGTTAAAGTTCTCTCAAATCACCCCATGTTTCTTCTTTATGTGACACCATTGTGATCATAACAGTTCAGAGAAAATGAGACCCTAAATCAAGAAAATTTAAAGCACGATGTGGCTCAGCAGGTCACAAAATAGAGTGGACGATGGTGGGAGGGTGACCAGGTTAAACCGTTTTTGGTTTTGGTTGAGCTCCTGACCATCCTTTATCCTTGATATTTTTGGAAAAAAGATTAGAGGTCTAGATTTCAGTTCTTCTCTTTGCTTTAACTTTATGGCTGGCCACCATTAATATAGCCAGTAATGTAGGTATTTTATGGAAATACTTATTATTACTGGGCTTTGAAACAAAAACCTCTGTTTTATAATTAAGATTTGAGCCCATCAAGTGTTAAATTTTCTCTTTCATCCCTGGAAAATATATTATGAAACATGTAGAAAGGGTGATCTTTCTTCCTTTAGTCTTCAGGAAAAAAAAAATCCTTATATTTCAGATTTGAAACATTTTATATAAGCATATATATCATAATAGTGTTTGAATTTTAAGTGGTATGAGTATCTTATGACAGTATAGCTTTTAAAGCTATTTAACTTAGAAAACATTCATAAATTTATTCAACAAATATTTATAGGAGGTAAACATAATTTCAAACTTTGACTAAAATGGTTCGCACCTAAATACAAAGTATAGAAATCTGTTTAAATTATGTAGTTTAGAATCATGTTTCCTTGGCTTAACTTATTCCTCAAATTAGTTTAACATTTATCCCCTTTCCAAAGCAAAGCAAAAAAACCCCCAAAAAACCATAACAACAAAACAACAAAAGCCAAAAATTATGCATCATTTATTGAATGATATGAAAAGGGTAGCTTGATACGTGCATACAAATAATCTGCATAATACTGAAGTTTAAGCTTTTTATTAATTAACTTTAAGGATAAATTGAAAGGGACCTTGCTTTATTGTGAATATTTTCTGTGTTGACCACTTGTTGTGAATCATTTTATTTAATTGTTCCAACAACCTGAGAATAGTTTTATCTCCTTTGTACAAATAAGAAAATTTTGGCTGAGAAAGAATGAAGCCTTTCCCAATATCAGACAGTTAATAAGTAATACAGCAAGCATTTGACCTCTGATTACTTGGATTCTGAGCACAGGGTGCCTGCTCTTTGTGATGGTTCTATCTTATTGTCTCTTAATTGTTCCCATTAGATGATGACAAGATAGAGGCATCACTGAGAGATGTGACATAGTCCAATTACCTCCGTGAGTTCAGAAAATCTGAAATTAATGCAAATTTGCTAAGAGCAAACACATCAGAAACTGACATGTATTATAATGAGAATTTTAATTGGATTAAAGCCCCACTCTTAAGACATCATTTAACCTTAATTACCTCCCTGATGGCCCTATCTCCAAATACAGTCACATTAGGGTTTGGGTTTTCAACATTTGAATTTTGAGGACACATTTGAATCTGTAACAGTGGATTTTCCAGAAACGCAAGCAGGAATAAAATGTTGGGACCGAATATGAGCTGCTCCAGTGGTCACACTGCTGTCTCTCATCATCTTCCATACATTTTTTTGCGAATAATAGTAGTATTTATAATGCCATTAGTTTCATTTCGTTCCTACTTGAGATTTCAAGAGCTACTGTGAAGTAGGGCTGCCTTGTTAAATCTGTCCGCACTTCTGCAGAGTGTAAAATCAGTGTCATACGCTTTAATGGTAATACCTTGTCACATTCAGAGATGTTTAAAACTGCAATCTAGAAAATTGCTTTTAAACAGCGGAGGAAAGATGTTCATATTCTCAGATGACACAGTGCAGAACATGTGGACATCCCATGCACTGTGAAGTCTTAAAATTTACAATATATAGGAAAATTCCTCGTTTTTCTGACACCTTTCTGAGATTATTAAAATAATACAGATCCAAACCTAGTATTTCCCACATTGTAAGTTATAAATTTCACGAGTATACTTTAGGGAGTCCCTGGTCCATAACAATTTTGAAATCCTTCAAAACCTGGAGAGTAAAATGCTTCTTGATTAGGCCCTGATTCTACCTTCTTGTTCATCATTTTCAGAAGTACTGGCCTTGCCCCTAGGGAGTTCTTTTCTTTTTTTTTTTTTCCTTAGCCATATATGAAGTGAACATTTGAGAATTTGCCCTAGTTGGGAACTGAGCAAACCTTTCTATCCTGCATATAGAGTACTGGGGGCCAAAGGATCGTTTTAAGACTTCAGCTGATAGTCTTATTCTTTTCGGCAGCACAGTGCTCTCCAAAATTTGGAAGCTTTCTTATCTGTTTGTCTCCAGTCAATTCTGTGTGCTAGTAAACACAGCCCTAGAATTTTCTTTTGTCATGCATGAGTCCTGGTTTTCAGATTTGCTACATTGATTTGCATTCTCACTCCCATAGCTGTCTTTCTGGTCCTAAAGGAAGTTATCTTGGGACTGGCTGGCTTCTATTGGAAAGCTTTACTTTTAATCTGATCTATTCTCTCAGTCATTTTATCCACATGAAAAGATTTAACGGATATATTATCTATCCTTGTCCTGAGACAATTTAGTTTTTTTAAAAAAAAGTTTTCCTTGGCTAATGATCTTCAAAGTCTTACCTTTAACTGTTAGTGTAGGGGTGGAGAAGAAGTTAGTTTTTGTAGTTGCAAAATCTGAAATGTCTGCCGTCTCCTCACTCCCTTTCACTTCCTGGAAACCGGATAGTTCTTTTCTAAGCTCAGCTCTTTCTTGAAATACTTTGTCAAATGAAGCCAATAATAACCAATACACATGTCAATTGTGTGTGTGTGTGTGTGTGTGTGTGTGTGTGTGTGTGTTTTGTTTTGTTTTTTGTTTTTTTGTTTTCAGACAGAGTCTAGCTCTGTCACCTAGGCTGGAGTGCAGTGGCGCGATCTTGGCTCACTGCAAACTCTGCCTCCCTGGTCCAAGCAATTCTCCTGCCCCAGCCTCCTGAGTAGCTGGGATTACAGGCACCCACCACACCCAGCTAATTTTTCTATTTTTAGTAGAGGTGGGGTTTCACTGTGTTGGCCAGGCTGGACTCGAACTCCTGACCTCATGATCCTCCCGCCTTGGCCTCCCAAAGTGCTGGGATTACAAGCGTGAGCCACCGCACCCGGCCGTTTTCTGTTTTTTTCTGTGTGTGTGTTTGTTTGTTTGTTTTTTTGAGATGGAGTCTCACTCACTCTGTCACCCAGGCTGGAGTGCGGTGGCAGGATCTCGGCTCACTGCAACCTCCACCTCCCAGGTTCAAGTGATTCTTCTGCCTCAGCTTCCCGAGTAGCTGGGATTACAGGCACGCGCCACCACACCCAGCTAATTTTTGTGTTTTTAGTAGAGATGAGGTTTCACCATGTTGGCCAGGCTGGTCTTGAACTCCTGACCTCAAGTGATCCACCTGCCTTGGCCTCCCAAGGTGCTATGAGCCACCTCGCCCAACCATATTTCAATTGTTTTTTCTTACCTCTTCTCCTAGAGCTACAAGTAAATTTGACAGGAGATCTGCCTCCTGAACTAGCAGAGGCAAATGTTTTACCAGATATGTTGCCACTGTATAAAACACATCACTATCTTTCTGGCCCTTGAGATCACTTTCCTTGCTACCTGCTGACCGCTAAACCAAGGTCATATATTTTAGGTTTTTGCTAAAACATCCTACTTCTGGTACCAATTTCTATGTAGTCAGGATGGGCTAACATTATGTTGTGCTAACAAGCCATCCCCAAACCTCAGTGGCTTCATTCAAAAACAGTTTATTTTTTGCTTACAATAAACATCCACTGTGGACTTGCAGAAGACTATGCTTCACACAGAAAGACTCAAGCCTGTGATTGTACCACCTTTGTCATTGTACACTTTCTGGAACACTTGGCCTTCTCAGCCACTGTGGTTCAAAAAAAGAATATTCAATGGTTTTTCCTCAGTAATCAACTTTTTATTAAAGTCTAGAACTAATCTCATGCCCCTCCTAACTATACGGGGGTAGAGTTCAAGCCAGGATATAAATAGAAACACTTTTACCATACATCTAAATATTTATAAGTTATAAGTTATGCAGACCAACTAAGTTCAAAGCTAACCAACGAAGTCCAAAATATATCTTTCCTTGACCACTTTACCTCATATTTCCTGGAAAACCATGTTTGAATGTGGACTTTTTGGAGCCTGTACCTCTAGAACATGGCACTGGAGAGCAAGCTGGCTACTAGGCCCTGGCCTGTCTTCCCTTCTCTTAATGTTCTGGGATCACTCTGCCCACTATGTCCACATCTCCTGCAAACAGACACCCCTTGGCCACCCCTTGGGTCTAGGTACTGCATATAACAGGGCACAGTCTGCCCTTAAAAACACAGATCTAGGAAAGAGCCTGTGCAGTTCCTGGTTAGCAGGCTTGAAGCTCTTTGGACAAGGAATGCCATGGTTCTGGGAACCAGGAGCATAGCCTAGGAGAGGGAGTGTAGGCCTGGGTGGGCACCTTCCCCTTAGGCCTTTGGACTCCTCATGATAAAGGAAATGGTGCAGCTAGAGAAAGGCCAGAATGGAACATGGATCCTAAGGCAGAGCTCCACTCACCTGGGTTAAGGGCAGTGCTGAGCGAGTGCAATGTCTGAATACCTAGAAAACCAGACAGGTTATGGGATAAGCACATAACTCTGTTCCGCACCTCATGCTCACCAATTTGGCTTCCATGGTAGAACTAGGGAGGGAAGATGCCCTAATCACCAAAATTCAGTATCACGGCCCCCCAGTGCCATGTTCTAGAGGTACAGACTCCAAGAAGTCCACATTCAAACATGGTTTTCCAGGAAATATGAGGTAAATTGGTCAAGGAAAGATATATTTTGGACTTGGTTGGTTAGCTTTGAACTTAGTTGGTCTGCATAATTTATAACATAAATATTTAGATGTATGGTAAATTAAAATCCTCATCATAAAGTTCCATTATGATATATAAGTCAGTTTCTGAGGTGTTTCTTCATAGCAAATTTGCATCAGTTCTAGGTTTTCCAACCTTGTGGACATAATGGGACAATGTCACATCTGTCAGAGTGATGCCCCTATCTTGCCATCATCTAATGGAAACAACTAAGAAACAATGAAATGCTTATTATCTGTCTGATGTTGGGAAAGGTTTTATTCTTTCTCCGCCACAATTTTCTTATTTGTACAAAGGGGCTAAAGCCACCTATTCTCATGTGGTTGGAACAATTAAATAATTGACACCAAGTGGTCAACACAGAAAACATTCATAGGCAAAGCAAGGTCCTTTTTCTCAATTAAAAATAATGAAAAACAATGAGATATTCTAAGGAATGTGTCTGATATATAATGCAGCGGCATGACACAAGGGAGGAAAGAGGGGTTGGGTCCCGGGAAGATGAAGTCTTTAATATCCTGAAAAGAGTGCCTTGGGGCAGCTCTGGGCTCTTGCATATCTTGAAGGGAAGGTACGTTTTTACTATCTCAACCTAGTAATCTCTCTTGAGCCTCAGTGTCCTGGTTTTTAAAATGAGGATAATAAGAATTGCTTTGATGACCTTGATAAAGATCTTTTGATAGAGTGGTAGAGATAAGAGCCTGGGGAATGGGTTGGAAAGTGAGTGGGAGGTAAGGAAATGGGGATTATCTAAGTTTTCTGTTCTTTTCAGAAGTTTGTCTGAGAAAGGGTGGGAGTATAGTGGGACCAGGAGGTCAATGAAGGTTTTGTTCTTTAAAAATTGAGGAATATCAGCCGGGCACGATGGCTCACACCTGTAATCCCTGCACTTTGGGAGGCCAAGGCGGGCGGATCCCGAGGTCAGGGGATGGAGACCATCCTGGCCAACATGTTGAAACCCCGTCTCTAATAAAAATACAAAAATTAGCTGGGCATGGTGGCACATGCCTGTAATCCCAGCTACTTGGGAAGCTGAAGCAAGATAATCGCTTGAACCCGGTAGGCGGAGGTTGCAGTGAGCTGAGATCATGCCACTGCACTCCAGTCTGGCAACAGAGCGAGACTCCATCTCAAAAAAGAAAAAAAAAAAAATTGGGGAATATCAGAGCATAGTATGTGTCGATGACAAGTATCTTTAGTAAAAAGGGAGAAGATAATGTATAAGAAATTTTGAATAGAGAGGTGGAGTTGGCCTCTGGTTTTAGGGAGGGTGCATCCTCCTGTGGATATGGGGAAGTTTCTGAGTTTAGAGATAGAAGGCAGAGATGCCCTATCCAACAGCTTTTGTTTTCTCACAGAAGCATTAAGTAGGGATGTTAACAGAGAGATGTTATGTGTTAAGTATTAGGAGTGGGGAAGGCAATTGGAAGATAGGAGAGAAGGTGTGAAATGAAATGACCAAAGATTAGGGAAATGTTGCATAATTGTTGGGCAGTTTCTAGAACCCAAGTGAATTTGAGTTGGCAGAGTTAGAGTGTATGTATGTTTACCCATGGATACATATATGGAGAGAGAAAGAGAGATTGATTACAAAGAATTGACCCTGATGATTATGAAGGCTGAGAAATCCCACAGTCAACTGTCTGCAAGCTGGAGACTCGGGAAAGCTGGTGGTGTGATTCTGGTCCAAGGCTGAACGCCTGAGAAGCAGAGGAACCAGGGGTATAAATCCCAGTCCAAGGACAGGAGGAGACTGATGTCCCAGCTCAGGCAGGCAGGAAGAAAAGGGGGTGAATTCCTCCTCCTTCCACCTTTTTGTTCTATTCGGGCCCTCAGTGGATTGGATGATGCCAGCCCATATTTGGGAGGGTGGTATGCTCCGAACTCCACCAACACAAGTGTTGATTTCATCCAGAAATACCTGCATGGACGTAGCCAGAAATAATGTTTAACCTGGCACTTGTGGCACAGTCACGTTGACACAATTCACTGTCATATCACACTCTCCAGGGATGAGAACTCATCTCTGAGTCCTCCCTGCATTTCTACTGTAGTAGCCTTTCCACTCTATTGTTTCTGTGCGTTTTTAATGTCCCCTGGGGCACCCCCAGACACACTGAGCTGCCTATCTGGGCTTTCCAAGTTATCCCTGAGGTATGCATTATTATTTGGTTAGCGCTGTGATTACAAAAGTGCATAGGTTTTGAGTGGTCTACTCTGAATTTTTCTCCCTCTGTTATTTTTGGTGTGAGATTTTGCAGACCATGAGTTATTTCAAACATACGTGACCTGTCTTCATGTCTATGTAAGGGCATTGCAATGAACTGAATGTGTGTGTCCCCCCAAAAGCCATGTGTTGAAACCCTAATCCTAATGAAATGGTATTTGAAGGTGGGGCCTTAGGGAAGAAATTGGGCCATAAGGGTGGAGCCCTCAGGAATGGGATTAGTGCCTTTATAAGAAAAGGACAGAGAACTAGCTGGCTTTTCTTCCTACCTTGTGAGGATAGGAGAGCCAGCAGTAGACAGTTGGAGGAGGTTCCTCACCAAAACCTGCCCATGCTGGCACCATGATCTCAGACTTCTCCCCTCCAGAACTGTGAAAAATAAATGTGTCAGCCATCCAGTCTATGGCACTTTGTTATTACAACCTGAACTGACCAAGGCAGGCATGGTCAGTTTTTAGAATTTTCAAATGCTTTCATGTAAAACAATAAAGGATATCATCTTCCTGGCAGATAAATGCAATTCAAAGGAAAGTGCCCACAGTAGCCCCTGATGCCAGGTCTTGCCTTTCAGGGAAGATCTTGGTTTCCTCCTCCAGAACCTCTGATGAAGTGGAGCCAACCTACCATTAACTCTGCTGTGATTGTACTCATCACTGCCAAGGGCATTTATGGGATGTTCGTGCATGGCTATTATTTGTAAACTAAGTTATACAGATATAGTCTTTATCCTCTAAGAATTTAACAACTTAAAAACAGTGACATAAACATAAATGTTACAGCTGAGGTGATACACAAACTTGAAAAATTTAGTTAATCTTGTAGGATGTTCTAGAATGGTGAACCACTGAGGAACCATACAGGTCATACCGTACACCACCAGATGACTGTGTTTAGCCGCAGAGGAAGAGTGATGTTAGTTTAGGCATAATCGTTATTACTTACCAAGACTTACTGGACAAACATCACTGGGAATGGAAAAGTGTTTCTCAGTTTTTATCTTATATGTATGGGAAAAGCTTGGCAGACAAGATAGAAAGGTTATTCTAAATAAACAATATGCTTTTAGAAAGATATGAGAAACAAGTCATGTTAAACTTCAAGGAGGCTTTGTATATGTATTTCCCTGGGAGAAGAATTGGAGATAAATGAGGAATTCTGATTTTTCTTCATTCTTAGAACGTTGACATCTATTTTGTCCCATGTTTTAGACAGAGTTTTCAGAGAAAATTAAGGTTACCATCTGCCTTGTATTTACTTAAGAAGACCAGGACACAGTGTTTTCTTGAAATAATAATGCTTATAAAAGTCTTAACTCTAGGAGCCATTGAAAAGAGAGCTGTATCCAATGTCCCCTGAGTCTGTCACGCTGGCCCAGCCACGGACAGCTGGCTTCTTGGTGAAGAAGGGCAAACAGGCATCGTAGGGTGGTGTCTGAAAAGGAGAGGGTTTCCTTCACCCTGATCTTTTGCTTACCCACCTTTAAGAAAATGTGAGTTTTTACTTTGGGAGGCCAAGGTGGGAGAATCTCTTGGGCCCAGGAATTCAAGACTAGCCTGGGCAATATAGTGACACCTTGTCTCTACCAAAAAAAAAAAAAAAAAAAAAAAGCCAGTGTGGTGGCACATGCCAGATCTTGCCTTTCAGGGAAGATCTTGGTTTCCTCCTCCAGAACCTCTGATGAAGTAGAGCCAACCTGCCATTAACTCTGCTGTGTTCGGAGGCTGAGGTGGGAGGATCAATTAAGCCCACGAGATCAAGGTTGCAGTGAACCTTGATCACGTCACCACACTTCAGTCTGGGTGACAGAGACCCTGTCTCTAAATAAATAAATAAATAAATAAAAGCCTTGAGTAACTGGGGGAGATTATAAAGCTAGTTAAAATCAATTAATAGTGATTTCTAGAAATCTCGTAAGATGTAAGCATTTTAATTTAAAGGTTTCTTTTTAGCTACCTTTTAACTGAAAATGTTTTTAATATATTTCAGTGTTAACGAAGTAATGAATTAACTTCCCTCCCAGAAAGTCAAGAATAATAGCATGTATCTTCCTGTGGAAGATGAACTTCAGAGCTCCATTTCCCTAGTTCCTATGTATAACTTGGTTATACGCACACCAAACCATGCTAATAATGCATTCTCCTCCCCTGGCTGCCTCTTGAACTTAGATCATCCAGGAGACGTCTGTAAAATTAGCACTGTAAAGAAAGCCTCGCCAGGGTATTTGGGGCAGCATATCAATGGCTTATTGAGCAGGCGCCTTTTAAGCACTGTTGAATGATAGGCAAAACTGTCACAGCTATGCATAAATGTGCTGTGTAGTTTCACAGAAGAGAATATTAGTCCTCAGTAATAATGCTATATTATTAAGCTAATAAACCTACAGAAAGTTTGTCACAATAGGTGTCTGTCAAATTACTATAATCTGAACATGATCTTTGGAGTTTTAGATGTCTCTATTGGCTGAAGAGCCTAATTTTGAAGCTTTTATCTGTTCAAAAATTTCAGTTCTCCCATCATCATCTCTGCTCAATTGAATATGTCTTTTTCAAGAGTAATCTTGACTATGTATAAACTGCTGCCTGTCAATCCCCAACGAATGTTAAGACTATCTTTTTAGGGCTGGTGAACAGTTTGTTGCTATAATATAAAGTCTTTTCTGCATGTCCCAACCTTTGTTTTTGGCAATTTCCTATGATTTCATGCTTGAATAAAATACTCCTTCCATTTTACACATCATTGCTTTGGACATTTTCCTTGTTGAATTCTGGTATGTTAAAATGAAGCTTACCAATAATTAGGTGATTTATTTGTCATAGCAATGAATGATGACATCAAAACATCTTGACTTTATCATGGGTTTCCTTGAGGGATGGTAGAGTCTGGGTGCCCAGAGTCTGGTCCCAGGTTCCAGGATTTGCCACTTGCTAGTTGTTTGACTTCAGGCAACTTGTAAACCTCTTGGTGCCTCAATTTTCTCCTGGGCCAAACAGGGTCAATGTGCATACATCAAAGGTTTGGTAAAAGGATTAAATGATATATATATATATATATATATATATATAATTTTATATATATATAATTTGATATATATGTGTATATATATCTTTTATATATATGTGTGTGTATACACACACACACACACACACATAATAATATATAATATGTAGCTTGGCCGATGGTAAGCACTCAGAGGTTTCTTGTTAGTAATATATTGAAAATATGGAATCTGTGAGTGCAGACAACATTTCTGACTCCCTTACTTTTTGCGTTTTGATTTTTGAAATGAGTGATCTATGCCATGCTAACAATGAGAAAAACTTCTCCCTGGAGAAGGTATTCCTTAAACTAAACCTTTAATGCAGAAAACTAAAAGTATTCATTCAAGATTTGACATATAGGAAGTAGTAGTAGTAGTAGTAGACATAGAACTATGGACAAGGAATGAAATACTTTTTGTAAATGGCTGTTATTATTTTAGTGTTAAAAATAGATGTGCAATGGGTCAGGGGCAGAAAGAGATTTTGGCAAAGGAGGTGGTGTGTGATTGTAAAAGGGCAACATGATGGATCCTTGTGATGGAACTGTTCAATATTTTGACTAGTGGTAGATATGTGAGCCTACACATGTGATAAAACTATAAAACACACTAATACAATTAAATGGGAAATCGCGATAGACTAGTAGATGGTATTAATATAAACATATCGGTTGTGATATTGTACTGTTGTTTTGTGAAATGTTACTATTGTGGGAGACTGAGTAAAGCCTCTTTTAAAATTGCATATGAACCTACAGTGATCTCAAAATTATAATTAACAAATGCATGTGCAAATATTATACAAAACTAGTAATTTTTATTTTTGTTTGCAGATTGTTCCTGCCTGATTCATAAACATCGTGATTGGCTTTTGTAAGCTGATATTTCAGTTTCTTTTATCCTCTTCCCCCAATACCTTGTCTTCTCTAATAACTTGATAATGGTTTTTTAGAGCTCCTAGAGCAAAAATTGGAGCAAAACTTTTTTGTTATTTGGTTCTTAAATTATTTTAAAGTCTGTCTCACTTTTTCTGGTACTCTTAGATAATAGTTATTTTGATAATGATTTTTGAAGTACATGTCTTGGCCTAGGGGCATTTGTTTCCTTATAGTGACTTCTTATCAGAGTTATGGTTAGTGGGAGCAAAGGGCAGAGCTGAGGTTGTATATAGATGCAGACGTCCTGTTGGGCATTAGTCTTCCTCCAAAACATATTTATGTATCTTTGTTTTTAAATAGTCTATGAAGTGTCATTTTTACGGAGGAGAATTGAAATATACTAAACCAATTTTAAATACATCTTTGAGAAGTTATTTTCTGAGATGGTTTTGTTTTTCATCATCTTAGCAGGAGAGGAGAATATTGTTACAAAGTAACTTAACAAGGATTTGCATTCTCTGACAGATTCTAAGTCTGTATCTTGAATCTTGTTCTAGCAGGTTCTGTTTCACCTCTTTTGAAGCCACCAAGAAGACACGCACCTCTAATACAGTCTTCCCGATAGTACCTACCTTGGCATACTCATTCCTTAGGATGTTAACTGATATTATATGGAAAATGAGCATATGGTCATTTAAATTTGGGAAAAAAGCTGAGTTAAAATCAAATTAGACTTGTTTGTTTCCAACAAGTGATTATCGATGGCCTTTGGTCTGTGGTGTTTCTCCAGCATATTTCACCATACAACCCCTACCTCACCAAATATACCATTGAACTGGTGCTCCACAGAAAAGTTTGAGAAATTTTGCTTTAGAATTTAGGAAACTGATATAAATGACAGAATTAATTGTACATTTTTCAGAATGATAGTGAAAGAGAAGAAGGACATTTGAGCAGAACGCAAGTTGGACCATAAAAGGACAGTTGGATTAGCTTAAAACAGCTGACTTGGAGTTAGGCCTAAATCATTATTATAAATATAGTTATAAGACAACATAAAAATTTAAAATCTGGAAAGTAAAAATACATCATTGTTCCTTATTCCTTGAAGATTCAGGAGCTGTCCTTCCCTGTAAGACTAATGTGTCCTAATTCTTGGTGATTTTCAGGCTTCGTAGAGTCTTAACAGCCTGGCTTCTCGGTTTCTTGATTTCCTCTCCTTCAATGACCTTGTCTTCCAAACCACATTAGCAACTTTCTCCCATAGTCATACTGTGGGCCTAGTCATTAATAAGAACTGCTCTCACTCCATGATCTTGAGTCCCAGCACCCCATTCTCCATCTGTCCTCCCACTCCAACACATTTTTAACTCCACCTAGACATACAACTTTTACACTGCAGCACACTTCCTTCATATCTCACATCCTCCCTTACTCAACGTCAATAGCCTACCCTCTCATTAAAATCACTCATCCACTCATCTTCTCTGTCCCTCCCCTTTGCTTTGTTGTACTTAGCCATCTATATCCCAGTGCCTTTGTTTGCTGATTCCATGCCTGCAGCAGTGCAGCTGAACGTAGCTGGAGAAAGATACCCAGCCATGCTCAATTTAAAGCTTACCCTTGTACTTATATTCTTAGTCCCATCTCCTCTCACCTGCTCAAGGATATAGCTACAGTAGTTGTCCCTTCTCTCTCCTGCATCATGCATTCCCACCTCCCTGCTTTACTTAAAAAAATTATTTAACTCCCATTCCTCTCTACTTACTACCCCATTTAATGTCCCTGCTTCCTTTTACACAATTTCTCAGTTCTGTCTGGGCATTCCACCAAAGTTCTCAAGTGTCACCAGCGACCTTCATATTGCAAACTCAACCATTAATTCTCAGTCTGTATCTTCCTTGACCTGTCAGAAGCACTGACCCCACTGATCATGCTGCTCTGTGAAGTATGTTCTTCTCTTGTCTTCTGAGTCTGCACACTTTCCCAACTGCCTTCCTATTGCATGTGACTACTCTTATCTTTCTTGCAGTTACATCCTCATTGTCCTGACCTCCAAACATTGGCTGTCCCTGAGCACAGTCTCTGTACTTGTCCTCTGTCGATTCTCACTCCCTAGCTGCTCCCATTCATTTTTATGGCTTTAAATACATATATGCTGGCAGCTACTAAATTGTCTCCAGTATGGACCTCTTCTCTAAACTCCAGATTAAAATATCCAATTGCTGGATGTCTAATAGGCATATCAAACCTAACATGTCTGCACCTGAGCTCCTGAGTTCTTCTCTGTTCCCAACCAAACTTCCTTCATCCTAAGTAGCCATTTACCGAGATGAGGAAGACTCTTCTTCCAGTTGCACAGGCCAGGTGCCTTTGCAGCATCCTCATTTCGTCTCTCTCACCCTCTACACATTCAGCTGTCAGGAGATACTGTCAGCCCCACCTTCCATAAATCCAGAAGGTGACCACTTCTCCCCAGCTCTTCTGCTACTGCACTGGTGCACGCCTTCATCATCTCTTTATAAGAGTAGCCTTCTAACTGGTCTCCCTGGTTTCATACTTTCTCCCCTAGAATTCACTCTCCACACAACAGCCCGATAAATTATTTAAAACTGTTAAGTCTGATCGTGTTACTTTTCTGCTCCAGTGTCTCCAGTCCTTCCCATCTCGCTTACGGAGGCTTATCATCTCCTATGTGCTATGGGTCCCATTACTTCTGGCCTAATCTTTTACCGCTTCCCTTCACTGACTGCTTTAGCCATACCAGTTTTCTTGTTTCTGCATCGAGTTTTGCAATTATTGTACCCAGAAATAGCCACATGACTTACATCCTTACCTCCTTCAGATCCTCCCTAAATTGTCATCCTCTCACCCATGCCTTTTTCCCTGACCAGCCTGTTTTAAATTGACACTGTTTTCACTGCTAAATCTCTTAGCACTTCCTGTCTCTTCATTACTTTTTTTTTTAAAATCACCATCTGATACATATTTTACTTGAGCTTTGTTATGGGATACAGTTAAGCTACTAGAAACAATTAATTCAAAGATAAGCTTAATTCATTGGTGCGCTTCACAAGGGTAGGAATTTTTGCGTGTTTTGTTCACAGTGGTGAATCCCCAGCACCTAGAACAATGCCAGGAAAAACAACCACTCAATAAATGCTGGTTTAATGAAAAAGAAAAATCTTAAAAACCAAGTCCACCATATATATCCCACAAAGATAGGAAAGTGGGATTGGGGAAAGGGATGCTATAGTAGTTTGACTTTGCTTATTACACCCTTCTCTAGTTGCTGACTGATCATAGAATTGGGTAAATGGCTTGAGCTGGGACAATTTATTGTAAATATAAAGCACTAAGGCAAATATAAAGGATTGGAACTTCGTACTGAGAGGACCTCTGCTTCCAGCCATCTTGTAATAACAGGAACTGGAGTTATTCTCTCGCCTAAAATAGCCTAACAAACCGACACACACAAAAAGCCCATAAAACATATGAAACAAAGGCATTCCGACATTGGACAAGTGGCACGAGACAGTGAACCCTGAGAGAAGGAAAAAACAAATGATTTGCCCCAGGCTGCAGTGCAGGAAGGCAGAACCCAAACACAGCTTATCCTAGGTTGAGATGATGGAGTTAGGAATTCTGGGAGGCTGAGGCAGCTAGAATTTGAAGGACAGAGTACCAGAGAAGAGAGAGTTAGTTACACAGAGAGTGAGCTCCAGAGATCTTCAGAGGGCTCTCCTGGAGGCTTCAGCCGAGTGCTGATTAGTGCATATGCATAAGAGAACTACCCATGGATGAGGAAAGAGGCACTGGGAAGAAGAAAGTAGCTCATATAAGGCAGTGAAGAGTGTGTCCCCCCCACCCCACCCCCACCATTCAGAGTGGAAAAACCTTGTATATAAGTGGGATTAGATGGTGTACTCAGAAGACTAATGCTTCAGCGATGAGGCAAAATTAGCCCTAGACTAGTCTAATCTGATCCTGCCTAAAAAATCTTAAAAGTAAGCCATTCAAGACAGGTCATAAAACTGTTTTGTAAAGGGCCAGATGGAAAATATTTTAGGATATGTGGGCCATGTAGTCTCTGTTTTAACTACTCACTTCTGCCCTTCTAGTGTTAAAACAGCCATAAACAATTTGTAAGCAAATGTATTTACATGTATCAGAATGTATTCCAATAAAATTTTATTTATAGAAATAGGCAGTGGTCCAGATTTGGCCTGTGGGCCTAGTTTGCAGACACTTGGTTTGAAGGATCAAATTGTTTGAAGTAGCTTAACTGTATCCCAGAACAAAGCTCAAGGATATTTAAGGAAATACAAAATATCCAGCACCCATTAATAAAGTATGCAATATGTAGCATTCAGTCAGAATTTACCAGATGTGCAGAGAAGCAGGAAAATTCAACAGTGAAGAGAAAACTCAATCAATAGAAACAGACCCAGAAGTGACACACATCTAATAAGTGGAGGTACTAAAATAAATTAAATAGATTTAATAAGGATATTCAAATAGTTATTGTTACTATGTTCCATATACTCAAGATGGTAGTGGAAAGCATAAGGTGGTTAAGAAAAGATGGAAGCTATAAAAAGACCTAAATTGAACTTCTAGACCTCTAGACATTTTATAAACACCTGAGTTGAAAAATACACTGGATAGGATTAAAATCCCAAAATACACTGCATAGCAATTATACAAAATGAGATACTGAATGGAAAAAAAAAAAAAAAAACTAGAAAAAAGTGAATAGCACATCAGTGAGCTGTGGGACAACTTGAAATGACCAAATATGTATGTAATTGGAGTCCCCAAAGGAGGGAGAGGACAGAAAATAAAGATATAATGGCTGAAGCCTTGCCAAATTTGATGAAAACAATAAATCCACAAATCTAAGTTAAATAAATATCAAGCAAGCACAAAAACATGAAGAAAACTACACCAAGGGACACCGTAATCAAATAGTTTAAAACCAGTAGTAAAGACAGATTTTAAAGCAGAGAAGAAAAAACTATACATTCAGAGGAACAAACATGACAGAAGGCTTCCTGTCAGAAGGAATGTAATCCAGAAGACAGTGGAAAGACACCTTCCAAGTAGTGAAAGCTAAAACTGTTAATCTAGAAATCTATAGTTGTGACAATATCTTTCAAAAAAGGTGAAACATGCAAGCACTTTCTTTGGTAGGAAAATAACAGGTGAAATAAAGACTTTTTCAGATGTACTAAAGCTGAAAGAATTAATCACCAGTAGACCCACAGTGTAAGAAATACTAAAGGAAATCTTTTTTTTTAAACTCTCACATTTATTGTCAGTTGATTTAATAAAGAAGGAAAATAATGCCAGATAGCAGTAAAGAGCACCAGAAATGGCAACCACCTAGGTAAATAAATACATACGATGATGATTATTATTAATATTTTTTAAAAGATGGTTTAAACAAAAATAGCAAATGGGGTATATAACATATAAAAGCAAAAGTTACAACAATAATTGCACAAAGGTCAGGTGAGGAAAAATATAACTATAAAGTTTTTATACTCTACATGAACTGGTATATCCCTTGGAAGTACACCATGGTAAGTTAAAGATATAACTATAAACTCTACAGCAACCACGAAGATATCAAAACATAGTTATAAGCCAAAGGAGATAAAACTAGAGAAAAATAATCAATTCAAAAGAAGAAAGAAAAGGAACAAAGAATAATTGAGGCAATTAGACAACAAATAACAAGATCGTACATTTCAGCCTAATCATGTCAGTAAGCATGTTAAGCATAAATGGTCTAACTGTCATAATTAAAAGGCAAAGAATGTCAGATTTAATACACATATTGGCCAGTCTGAAGGTAATGAGTTACCTCAATTGATTGTTCACAGTCAGATTTAATACATACAAAACGCTTTGAGAACTAACTATATGCTGCCTACAAAAAAATGCACTTCATGTGTAAAGACACAAATAGATTATAAGCTAACGGATGAAAAAAATATCATTTTTAGCACTGATTTTTTAAAACTGTGGTGACTGTATTCATATTAGACAAAGTAGAAATTAGAACAAAGAATATTACCAGGGATAAATAGAGTTGTTTCATAATGATAAAGTGGTGAACTCATCAAGAATAAATGATCTTAAATGTTTATGCACCTAGTAAAATAATTTCAGTATACATGGGAAGAAATAGACAAATTCACAATTGTGGTCAGATTTCAGCACCCTTCCTTCAATAGATAATAGATCAAGTAGTTGGAAAACCAAGAAGGCTATAGAAGACTTGAACAGTGCTATCAACCACATTGACTTAATTGGCGTTTATAGAACGCTACTCAACAGCAAACTGCACACTTTTTCCAAGCATAGCCAGAACATTTTTCAAGATAGACCATATTCTGGGTGGGAAAATAAGTCAATTAATTCTGAAGGATTTAAATCATACAAAGAGTGTTCACTGACCATAATGGAATTAAATTAGAAAGGAATCTGGAAAAATATCTTGTAACTGAACATCACACTTCCAAATAACCCAGGGGCACATCCTGAGACATTGAAAACATCTTAACAAATTTAAAAGAATAGAAACCATACAAAATACTTTCTGAGACTACAGAATTAAACTAAAAGTTAATACTGAAAAAAGTGCTGGAAATTTTCCAAATATTTGGAAATTAAACAGTATGCTTCTAAATAACCCATGGATCAAAGAAAAATCTCAAGAAAAATGTTTAAATATTTTTAATTTTAATGAAAATACAGTTTATGAAACCATGTGGGATACAGCTGAAACAGTGCTTCAAAATTTGTAGCATTAAATGATGTATTAGAAAAGAAAAAGAACCTAAAATCAATAACCTCAGTTTCCACCTTTGGAAACTAGAAAAAGAGAAACAAATTAAACCTGCAGTGAGCAGAAGAAAGTAAATACTGAAAATTAGAGCGGAAATCAACAAAGTTGAAAACAGGAAAACAATGGAGAAAATCAACAAAATAAAAAGCTGGTTCTTTGAAAAGATCAGTAAAATGATAAATCTCTAGCCAGGCAACCAAGGAAAAATGAGTACACCAATTGCCAATATTAGGAATGAAAGAGGTGTTATTCTGCTAATCCCATGGATAAAATACAGGATTAGTAAGAGAATAGTATAAATAAGCTCTCACTCACATATTTGATAAATTAGATAAAATAGACTAGTTCCTTGAAATACACATATAAACTTAAAACAGCTTCTAGACAGCAGACCCAGATGGTTGTACTGGTGAATTCTACCAGCCAGCCAGTGTGACACAAACGAAATCAATCAGCACCAAAAAGAAATGAGCTGGCCGGGTGCAGTGGCTCACACCTATAACCCCAGCACCTTTGGAGGCCGAGATGGGTGGATCACTGAAAGTTGGGAGTTCGAGACCAGCCTGGCCAACATGGTGAAACTGTGTCTCTACTAAAAATACAAAAATTAGCCTGGCATGATGGTGGGCGCCTGTAATCTCAGGTATACAGACTATACCTGTAGTCCCAGCTACTCGGGAGGCTGAGGTGGAGAATTGCTTTAACCTGGGAGGTGGAGGTTACAGTGAGCCGAGATTGCCCTACTGCACCCCAGTCTGGGCGATTGAGCCAGACTCCATCTCAAAAAAAAAAAAAAAAAAAAAGAAGAAGAAGAAGAAAAAAATAAAAAAAAAAGAAGTGAGCTATCAAGCCATGAAAAGGCATGGAAGAAAATTAAATGTGTATTACTAAAGTAAAAGAAGCCAGTCTCAAAAGGCTGCATACTATATAATTTCAACTATATGACATTTTAGAAAATGCAAAACTAGACAGTAAAAAGATCGGCAAAACTTCTCTGTATGATGTTATAATGATGGAGAACTGTCATAAATTTTTTCAAACCCATAGAATGTACAACACCAAGAGTGAACTCTAAACCATGGATTCTGGGTGATAATGATGTGTCAATGGAAGTTTATCAGTTGTAACAAATGTACCACTCTAGTGGGGGATGTCGATAATGGAGAAGGCTAAGTGTGTTGGGGGGGGGGAAGGGAGTATATGGGAAATTGCTGTAACAGGCTCAATTTTGCTGTGAACATAAACTTCTCTAAAAAGTAGCCTATTTTAAAAAAATCGAACAGGAAATTAGAAAATATTTTGAACTGAATGAAAATGAAACCATATTTTCAAGTGACTAAGATGCAACTTATAGCAATGCTTAGACAGGAATTTGTAGCACTACATGTCTATGTTAGAAGAGAAGAATGGTCTCAAATTAATAACTCATCAGAGATTGTCATAATCATCTTCAAAATGTCTGAACATCTTTCATTAAAAAATGTGTTTCTTTCATGTTGTGAGAGAAGATAGAATTAGGGGTGGTTACTTACAAAAAGGAACCCGGCTCTTAGGATAGAAACAATTGTCATACTTCACCAGCTCTAGGCTGAGTTTCTTTAGCAAGACATATTCCTTTAGATATTCATAAGAGTTCTTTTAAACTGTTTCTGATATAAATGGTAATGAAGAAAATATTTTAAAATATTAACAGGAAGTAAATTGCACATTTCAAGTGATGTGTTGTATAGTAGGTAATGCAATATAAGAATAAGCAGTAATTTTAAAAGTCACAGAACTGTAGAATGAGAAGGTGCCTTAGGTATTGATATTATTAAGTCAAACAAGAGTGGCTTCAGCTCCTGCCTCTTTAATATCAAGGCCTTGGATGAAATTTTTAAAAGGAGGTGAGGACATCCATTTAGGTTTTCAAGTGAACAAAAAGCAGTATAAGGAGAACTAAATCACTAAGTGAGATATTCAGAATTCACCAAAAAAAAAAAAAAAAAGAAAAGAAATCTCAGGCTCAAGGGCGACCAGGAATATTCCAGAAGTACGTCTGTACTAGATAAAAGGTTGGATAAATGTCACCTTCTCTGCAAAGCCTTTTCTGGTTCTCTCAGTCTTAGTGGCCTCTGTCTTCCCACAGTATTCTGTACACTCTGTACTGTGGCATCTCTATGCCACCGCCCAGTAATAGGGTGTCATGAAAAAATGAGACAAGGAATAAAAAATAAGGTTTGCTGTTTACCACTGGCAGTCTTCTCTTGTGCTACATAATTAATCTGTTTTCTCTTAGTAATGTGAGGGTCAACGAAGTAAGATATGTGTTAGTTCTTTGAAAACATGAAAGCACTATCTACAGACAACAGATATCCCTGTGTGTATTTTTCTCTTCAAGTGGTAACAGTCTGTGAATTTCTTCTTTTACCAATACATTTCTACTCGAAATGGCTAAGTGGCAAGAAGTAAAGCTGAATTGTGCAGAAAAACCACACTGCTGCTTTATAGTAGCAAGGATTTGCCTCAATTAGCCTTTTAAAACGACACTTCAATTAGTGTTTCTGTTTTGTAAAGTAGCTTCTTTCTCTTTTATAATAGTTTGATCTTGGTTCATTAGTTGTCCCCCATAAAATCCTAGATTTGAAGGCTAAACTTTTAATGCAAGGAATCATGCAATCTAGAGACTGAATGTTAAATTTTATGTCTTTTTCTTTAAAAGAAATTTTTCCTTTTAACAAGTTTACACTGTTTTGATTTTCAGCATTGATAATAGCTATAATTATTGATCTTTCACTGTATGCCAATGCTGTTTTAGGAGCTTTATATTAGTTATCTAATTTGATCCTCCACAAACCCTGTGAGGTTATTATTCCTCTTTTACAAATAGGGAAACTAAGGTTCCAAAAATATTGTTAATTGCTTAATTTATAAAATTATTACAAAGTGACACTAAAATTTAAATACAGATCTGACTCCAGAGTCCATACTCTTAAGCAACTACCTCATTGAATGGAAGTGGTACAACCCATTGGCCTCAAAAACTAGGATGACTTATTTAATATAACCTTGGTGAGAGAACTCCAGTGAATGATTATATCCCCAGTACATGGTAGCTGGTGTAATGGAAACAGCATGAGACTCAAAGATAGAATACTTGAATTTAAAGTTTTAACTGCTGATTATTAGTTCTATGACTTTGGCAAGTCAATTTACCTCTCTTGAGCCTATTATCTCCTCATTCAAAAATAGATTAATAAAACCATCTCTCTCAGGTGGTTGTGGCAGAGATCCAATGGATAATGTTTCTCAGTGTTTTGTAAATGCTTTTGAAAGATACGTAAATGGATTGATAAGTGTTTTTGGTCATTTGCCAAAGACTTTCTTTCAGTAGTATTTTTCCTGAGTGCTTTTAAAAAACAATTTGATTTATAGAAATGTAGCAAGTTTCCAGAGAACCTCTACTGAGTTACAGGGTGATCATTATATAAGGAAGTTCTACTCATAAGCCTAGGTTTCTTTGATGAGATACATAGTTTTTGAGGAATGGTTATTTCATAGTACTGCGTCAAGGAATTCACAGATATTTCTGTCGTGATTTTGGAAGAGTGGGAAGACAGAGGGGTTAAATGTGTCCCCTAGGCCCAAAGCAAGTCAATGCCAGAGTTAGCTTTAAGGTTCCTAATTAATTGTCACACCATTTTTGTCACAAGCTACCTTTCCTGTGCAGTTGAGAGTTCTGTATATGCAAAGTCCATTTCTGTCCTAATTTGAATATAAGGGAATGTCTTTTCTCCTTGAGGGCTGTTCAGCTCTCTATACAAAATAGCATCTTTGACAGTCCAAGGTGAGTAATTGGTGAATAGATGGCCCTGGAGGTCACTGGTGACCTCCCCCGCAACCCCACCACCGAGATCAGTACTGATGCCTGTGGGCACGTGGGAAGGTTGTGTTCTGCCTCACCGAGTGGGTTCATACCTTTCGTTCCAATATTGTTTATTTTCTTTTTGGTTTCACAATTTTGAAACTTAACCCATCGATTCCCATGTGTACTCAGGATTAGTGACAAATGGAACGGAGCACAATGAAATGAAGGCATTTTGTTATAGGGTTCCATGAAGGTGTGAAATAAGCAATTCAGAATTCAATGGTGAATTTGGAAACCTCTTAGTTATATTTGTTCCGTGTAGGTAACCAGTCAGAGTAATTCATTTTCTTTCATAGTCCCTCTTGCTCTCTCCTCTCTCCTTGACTAACCATCCTCACCCCAACAAACACACAACTCATTTATACACAGGAGCTTGGATTACCCAGTTTGGGTGATTACCTGGATCCAAAAAAACCTGTTATATCTCTGTTCACACTTTTGTTGTACAAACAGAATTTATGCAAACTAACTCCATCTTTAAGTTGTGTTGCTTTCTCTGGAGATCACCCCTTAGGGTAACCCTAGAAACTGCAGCTCTGGAGATCACCCCTTACTAAGGTAACCCTAGAAACTGCAGCTCTGAATTCATCACGTTGTAGTAGCTTATTGGGTGTAGCCGACTGGCTTTAGCACAGCAGTGAACTAATAGAGGCTGCGTGTATAGCCATCTTCCTCTGGCTATTAGAACGAACCATTCGATTGAGAATAAAGTTTCCATATAGTTTGGGTACGGTGACATGAAAGAAGTTGCAGATTGTTCAGTGAGACTATCGCTTGTAGGGTTGTAGGATGGAGGAAGAAAGGGAGAGTGAGAGGGAGAAGTTTATTTATGGAATGTCAGGGGGCCATTGAAGCTCAGCAGGCCCTAGAAGCAGAGGACTTCCCCCCGTGCTTGTTTTCTCCCTCTGACCTTGGATGAACTAGCGAGCAGTATATTATGCTGGGTGATTGTGCTGGTTTGTCATGGTTAGCATTCTGAACTGTCACTGGAATGTAGGAAACGGATGAATTTGAATTAAACCATGAGGTGGTCTGCTGAGCCCTCTCCTTGTCTCAAGGAAACCTGTCGCTGTTTGTCTGGGCTGGGCCTAATGAAAGCAATGGAGGGAAAGAGAGGTGGGCCTTTGATCTCTTTGTTGCAGCTGCTCCCTGGGAACTCGCTGAAATCAATGCCCTGTTTTCCTGAAGGAATGAATGGCTCTGCCTAACTAGCTTTGTGAAGCCGTGGGGAATTCACTGCCTCTGTTTATTGACAGCTGAAAAGGAGCACATGGGGTGGAATGGACCTTCTTGTGAAAACCAGGCACAGGGAAAATTAGACCTCAATTTAACACAGAGGAATTGGGAAATTCACCCCAAAGGAGACGGGAGTTTCTCATGCTTACATTAGAATTACTCAAGTTTGGGGCTAGTGTGTAATGAACAATGGAGGTTTTGTCACAACTATGTTATAAGTAGGAATATGGTCTGCATAATAAATGATGTTAAGTAGAAGTTGATTCTCCACCCGCCCTCTTTTTTTAAACACAGAAGTAGAGTAAAACAAATATTAACCATGATACAATCAGGTGATTCTTTTATTTTTGCCTTGAGAGGAAAGAAAACAGTGATACAGTAAGCATTATTGATATTATATGAAACTCTCTAAAATCCATCTTTCATTCATTATATTTTAAAACATCTTTGAACTTGGAAGCTACGTTCCACTCAAGCCAGTGATTCATGCCATTCTGGATTGTGTGTATTGCATGGGAATATTACAATAATATATTTATTTTAAAATATTTATATTCTTGGGATATTGTAACTGGAAGTGTGTGTCAAACAGAAACTGGCTAGCAGACCAAGATTAGCGCCTGACATTATAATAGTTGATAAATCTTAAAATTACCACCTTTTTAGAACACACTAAAGAAAAAGTCTTGAGATTATCACAAGGAAACATCTCTGAGATACCTTCTTTCACATCTCCCCTCACTTGCTTGATTTCCCAGGAAGAATTTATGGCTTCTTCCTTTGGCCCCCAGCCCTTTGTGTACACCTCTATTATGGCACTTAACACATGGCCCTGTAGCTCTTTATTTAGGTGTATTCTTTTAGCTGGAAGTAAAGCAGCTGTGTTGTATTCATTTTTATATCTCAAGCCTAGCAGAGCTCTTGGCTCGGTAAATGCGAGCTGAATGAATGGGGATTGATGGCTCTGTCTACATTCCTTTGAAAGTAATTACTTATCACAGTTTCAACTGCAAATACTAAATTTTGGGAGAACCTGATTGGTCTGCTGTTACCTGATTGTTGCTATTGCTTTTTAAAATTCTTCCTCTGCAGAGAACTATTATGCCCTTTTTTGCTTTAGCAAGTTTGTCAGGCAGTCCACAGCCTCTAGAAGGAAGCATCACCAGTGTGTGGCATTTTTCTTTTCAGATCCAAGCTCTCTTCTCTGTTATTCTTTCCTAAAAATAAACCACAACGTAATGTTTAGATATTTCCATTAATGAGATGAAAAAACTTTTCATTTAGAATTTTGTAGACTTTTACTTGACCGAATTTAGTGATTGAGATGGATAAGGCTGCCATTTTACATGATTTAATTCTATGATGTAATGTTAAATAATAGCAAAAGTCAAAACCTCCCTTGACAATTTCTTTAACCAGATTTACTACCATTGCATGTTTTGAATTCCTTATCAGAAAAGGCAAACAAACAGCTTTGCTTCTTAGTGAAAAGTCTAAGGGAAATTTTGATTCTGAAGCACTGACTAGTCTGATTTCACAGAACACTGGGACAAACCCAATTTCTTAGCTATTCTCAACTTATAACCTATTTCTTTTTAAAGCCAGAGCTGGAAGTGGGAAATTGTTGTCAACATTTATTGGGAAAATAACATCTTAAAATCATAATGGAAATTTTTAGAAAGTGTTGTAGGAGGGAGTAAGTAAGCAGACAAGTACAGGAACGGGCTAATACTTTACTCTCCATGTTATTTTTGTTTTATGTTCACTACCAAGATTATTTTTAAGGAAACTTATTTGCACTTCTGTTTTGATTAATGGTAGAGGTAAAATTTAAAATAGAGGTTTACACATTTGTGAATTGCGGGAGGAATCTCGTAGAGGAAGGGGCATTTGTATGGGTTGTACAAATAACGTCGGGTCAGCGGGATGTGATTCTGAGATTTTAGATTTCTCATGAAACAGAAAAATTACCATGACTTTGATCATTGGTAGACTCTCACCCTCATAAGTATTAACTTGAAGATAAAAAAAAAAAGCATTAAGCATAGCACTTAGATTTCATAACTTGGCTGCTCAACCCTCCCAGTTTCTGGAAGTAATTTTGTGTGACATAATACCAAAGTAGGGAGAGGCAGAGAGTGGAGGGAAATGTAGGAAATCAAACTGCACTTTTCCATTTGATGTTTCAGCTTTCAGCAGTGAGGCATATCTTTGTCTACATTAATAAAAAAGAACTACAGACAGGCCAGGGAAGTAACTGCAGTTAAAAATTGTGGTCTTGCTATGCTTATAGAATCAGATAACTTCAACTATGTGATTCTTCAGAAAAGAGCCTTTTTCTTCAGACTGAAGACTGCTGTAATATCCAAGAAGAAGAATTTCAAGTAACTTAAGAGAAACCCTCAAAATAGGTTTGGGGATGGACATATGTTATGTCTCTGTGTTTACATGTGTGTTAATCTACGTAAGCTAACTTCCTAGTAGAAAAATACCAGATATTTCCCTCTTAGACAGTTTCCCGTCCACCCAGACTGACCAAATAAAGCAGCCCTAATAAACGTTTATCTAGCCGTTGAAAACAAGACATCCTCCTTACCCACTAGATTTAGTTGCAAGAAAGCTATTCTGAAATACAGAACTATCTAAAATTAAATAATGTGTCAGTTGTATAAGATCAGATATGACTATTATAAAGATCATCTGTAATAATTAGATACCTAATCATTTGTAGTTAATCATTTGTATGTTAATGAGGTTGTTAAAATACTTAGTATATTTTCAGTAGTTTAAATGTTTACTTTGCAACATTACATATTGCCTTCTTTAGTGAGACATTTTTCTGCAAGGAAAAACCTCAATTCAGGAGGAAAAACCCAAACTCAGCTTATACCTAAAAGTTTATGCCTTTTGCATTAGTAAGATTCAAATTGATATGGTTTCGTTATTTTAAAAACACATACAACAGCAGCCTTTTTGGTCAAGGCACAAATGTGGGCTACTCAGAGAAGGAGGTTACTTAGGGTTGGTGCTCAAGTATTCATCCAATTGGATTGCACTGCTAATCAGTAATGAATTTATATCTGTGGAGGTGAGGGTTGATGGGTTTAAGTTATTGATCTATTTCCTGTCTTCATTATTTTCACTGAAAGCTATATTTCCATCTCTTTTCAGTCTGTAAACATTTTGCTGCTGCCCTCTCATCATTTGCTGTCCAGTTTCTGTCCTTTTCCTTATCTCAAGGTGAATGATTGGGTCTGCACAGCAAATTCTTTTCTCCAGGCCTCTGCTGATAATAGTGGTCTTGACTTTAAAAAAAAAAAATTGAAGTTAAGCCAAAGTGGGGTGTTTTTTTCCCCCATATTTTGCCTTTTAGTGGCTTTTTCTTCCCTCCCCCTCTTCACCCTCATCCCTGCTGAGGTTCTTGTTTCCCTTACCCAAAGGAATAGTGTTCTTCTTAGTTGACGCTCTTAAAAAGGTTCTGACTTAAAAAAAAAATTTTTTTTTTTTTGGTAGAGATTGAGTCCTGCTATGTTGCCCAGGCTGGTCTCAAACTCCTGCCCTCAAGCATTCCTCTTGCCTTGGCCTCTCAAAATGCTGGGATTACAAGTGTGAGCCACTGTGCCCAGCCATGAGTATTTTGTAATTTCTGCTTGAGGCTGTATTTTTACTTGGGGTCTCTGAAAAATAAATACAAATACATGAATACTCCCTGCTTACCAGACAGTGTCAAGCATTTATCTCAAATTAGTTTATTTAATTCTCAAAAGGGTCTTGTGATGTGGGTGTAATCGTTATCTCCATTTTACAGGACAGGAAGCTGAGGTAGAGAGAGAAAACCAATTGCATGAGGTCTCTAAGTGGCTCCAGGTGGCACCAAGATTGGAATCTAAGCTTTCTGGCACCATACTGTGGTCTTAACCACATCACTGTATAGCCTCTCTAAAACTAAAGATCCCTTAAGGACTCAAATGGGTGCCTCTGGAATGCTGGGATATGGCATTATAGCATAGCATGTCGATGGAGAGAGATTTTTGACCCCTGGTATCCTTGAACTCATATTCTGATTAGGTAAATGTCAGCATTCATAGTACCAATGTGTTTTTTCTTGATGCTTTTTTTTTTTTTAAACTTTTGATATTGTTTTTCCTTTAGGATTGCTGTCACGTCTAATGTGGCTGCTGCCTCGTGTCACATCTGAAACTCATCTGTACCTCACTTAGAAAGGTAAATACGTCTATGCGGAACCCTCCAACTCCTGCCCCCCAGTGCTCCTGCCATCAGTCATGGCTCTGTATTCTTATTCTCTCCTCGCATTACAGCACAAACCAGAGCCTTCGCCTCCTCCATGGTAGAGGGGCTTATGTCCCAGAAAAGACTTTGTGAGAGAATTTACATTTGAGGAACTTCAGGCCTTGAGGGGGAAAATAAGGTTGGGGGATTAAGATGTGGACTTAATGAAAGCCTGTTTTTCACTCTAAAAATTCAAGAGGACACGCTAAGAACGATCATTGCTATTTATCTGTCTTAAATTAGAAATCATGGGCATTGTACAGTTGATTTTTACTTATCATGACTTGCTCACTAGAAACTTCGTGATCTCTTTCTGTTATATTTTAAAAAGATGTTTTTAAATGGTTTTATCTTAAAGAAATATTAGGAAAAAAAAAACTGAGGTAGGGTCCACCATTTAGAATCAGATATCTAGAATGTAACGTATGTTACAATTCAGAGTCTCTAAACCACTCTCCTAAAATCATAATATGAGATGATTCTCAGCTTGCCAAATTTTCTAGAGTTGTGAAATAGGTTATGTCACTCAACCAGTGTTTATTTGAGGGAATTCATGGTTGGCAGGGTCCCCATTATACATCAGAAGTTTTTATTTCTTATTTTCTATCACTCATGTAAAGATTAGGATTTGTTTGAACTGCCTATTTCAAGATAATGATTCCAAATCCCAGCCTTAAATTTCATATCTAACATGTTTGTTGTTTTTCCCTGTCCCATACATTAATTCTAGGTTCAAGGCCATGTCACCCTAAAGCAGCCCTCACTTCTTTTGCAGCTGCAGTGCTGTTGCTTAACCATAACTCTTGGCCTCTCTCCAGACTGTTTTTTTTTTTTTTTTTTTTTGCAAAATGTCCTTGATGGTCATAATGGTGTATTTTTTAAAAATTCCAGTTGTTTTTGTAAGTTTTCTTATATCCCATCTTACATTCAATTCCCCCTGCAAACCTCCCACTAGATAAACCACTTCCCGCTCTATTCTTTGTCTTGAGACTGACTTCTAGGAAGGCTGTCCACAGCTGCCTCAGGCCGAAGGCTAACTAGGAGAATATTAGGTCGTGTGCTTGGATTCCTGTTCTCCAAACGATTCTAATTAAAACTAGTCCACTACCCCCACCAACACGTTCAGAAGGAAAAAAATGTAGCAGAATCCCCAAATGCCCTCATCACTTCATTATACCATTTGGGTAGCTTTATGGCACCTGTAGGACTAGTTCATGCCAGGCCCATTTGTAACTGTTTTCTCTAGTTAAACATGATATTGCCATTAACAGCACATTAAATAGGATTACACTGCTTAAGAATCTAGGAATTTCTCAAATATATGAGAAAATGTGAAAGCACAGGGATAATAGAAATTTATTTTATAAACACATGCTAGGAGATGGAATTGTGTCATGATGATCCACATTAAAGAAACATGATTGAAGTGAATCCATTATTTATACTCTGACTTTCCATTATATATATATATTACTCCAAAAGAAGTTATTCATGTTTCCTAATTGTGAGCTTACCCATCGTGTAAAATTGGCCCTAACACTTATTCACAGGCCACATCTACTTCGTACATGTACTTTGCCTCTGTATGTACACGTGTAACGCATAACCGTATATCAGCTCTGCAAGATACATAGATATCCCCATTTTATGGTGACGGAGACTGAGGCTTAGAGAAGTTATGCAACTTACCTAAAGTTACACACCTTCCAAGCAGCAGAGCCAGCATTCGAACTTAGACCCATCTGACTCCAAAGCCAGTGCCCTCTACACTAGACCACACTGTCTTTCTTAGGTTGGATCTAAAAAAATACTACCAGCTGGTTGGTTTTTTAACTAACTGTAGGAACACAACCTAGTATTAAGTAGAGTATGCATGCTGCATAGTGGACTGAGGTAGAGTAAAACCCATTATTGTACCACTTTTAGGTAAGAAAATGTATTATCTAAGGAATATCATTAAAATTTCCTTACTTCCCTCCATGAACAAACAAAAAATTAAAATGAAAGCAGTGGGGGATGAAGGGAGGCGGGGATCATAACATAGGAGTGTTAAATATTAAAATTAGAAAAGAAAATAATTTCTCTATCAATGTTTAAAATGCTAGAAATTATGCATGCTTATACTATAACAAAGAATACTTTATTTGGGGAATAACTTAATTGATCCATGATGTGGCATTTACCAAGGTAATTTTTCCCTTTTTGTTCCAGCAGTAGGAATTAGAGGTGGTTCATAAAACACACAATCACCATGTAAATTGAAACCGCATTAAGATCATAGTCATCTTATGTTGTTTCCCTAAAATGGTTCTCATTTGCCCCACATATTCAAATCAGAGTGCACAAAGATGTTGTGCTGAGTCAGGGAAGATTTAGAATGCTCTGTGAACAGTTTTATACTGAACTTCAGAGTTCAGTTATTGTACTTATTTTTTGGTGTGTGTGTGTGCACAGTTGGGTTTTTTGTTTGTTTTGCTATTTGAATTACTGTTTGGCCATTTTAATGTATATAACTGATAAATCCAGGAGGATAATCTGTATGTCTGCTCTCTCAGTTTCTTTCTATAACACAAGCCTGAACATATTGCTCTCCTGATTAACAACTTTCAGTGGTTCTGATTAGACAAGACTTTTCGTTGCAGTCGACAGAAACCTAATGGGACCATTGAAGAATTCCAAACAGGCAAGTGACAGGAACATATTTGCATGTTAGAAGAATCAGCCTGGCAGCAGCATTGTGATTAGAATGAAGGGGAACCGTCCAAAAACAGACTGGGGAACCAATATGGATCTGCCTCTAGCATGCGGAAATATCTCTCTACACTGACCTAACTGACTCACTAAGCTTGTGGTTTGTTTAAAGGAAGCCACATGAAAATTGAGTTTGGGCCAATAGAGTGAACTCGTTCTCCATTCTCTAGCATCCCTCCCCATGCAACCACCCTATCCCTGCCAAGTTTCTGGGCACCACAGATTGGAAAGTAGCCTCCTGTAGGTATTTGCCCATGTTAAGTGGTGGGGTCTCTTTCTGTCTTCCCTTCTTGGTCTCACCTGTCTGGTGTGACAAGGGAAGCATGTGCCAACCAAGGCTAGACCCTTGTGAGACCAGAGCAGCCCCACTTTCGGTAAAGCAAGCAACCTCTGCTTACTTGCCCAACACACCCTAGCTTCCGTGTTCCTTGCCTTGTGAGTTATCTTCTTGGGTACAATTTAACACAGCGTTCCCACCTCCTTATAACTAAAATAGCTAGAGGGGGCTTTGTGCCTCAAACCCCAAGGAGACCATCTTGGCAATCTCTGCCTCTGCAACAGGGCACTTGCTCCCTGGGCAACTCCTTTCCCAGGTCATCTTCTCCCTTGACATGCCCATCAGATTTAATAGTGTGCCTATTTGGCAGAAAAATGGGGTCCCTTGGTTGCTGATTCTTAGGAATGTGAGGTTCTCCCAGCCAGAGCTCTCAGCACTAAAAGTTCTAGTCTCTGCGTAATGGCCGGCATATCTTTGGCGTATCTAAAATCCTCTTCAGTTTCCAGCAGGGTCTTTATAAGCTTCTTCTGAAGGTCTCAGACATTCAGCCACGGAACTCAAGTGGAATTTGTTTGGATAACGTGACTGATTTCAAAGCCCGGACCCCTTAGACGTGCCCATTTGGTGCTGCAAGTACTGACCATTACTACAACATCTTACAGTCAACAAATTTGACACATTAAAGATTTATATCCTTTCTTTTGGGTTAGGATCTTCTCTCCCCTAAAGCATCTCAGTTTCCAGCATGCAATCATTTCCATCTTATGGAAATCAGCCATCCCGCTCCGTGCCAGCATGCTACCCTGGGAGGCACATCCAGGCTTGGGAAACGGGGGTGTCCTGGATCTCATGACTCCAGCAGCACCAGCTGCTCTCTTTCCTCTTCCAAGTAGACTTCCGTTCCCCCCCCACTTGGGTGTTTTTGTTTGTTTTAGCAATTCAGAGCTCAAGATAAAGACCTTAAAGATAACTTTGTGTGTCTCTCCCTTTCTAGGTATTTGCATAGGAATCAGAGGAGTTAATCTTGTGAGTATACTCTAACATCTGCCCTTGTTTCCTTCCTTCCTTCTCTATCTGCCTCAGGGGTTTAAAGCATAAGCCTGCTGCCCTCCCCGCCACCCCGCCCCTCCACCCTAGGTCACCAGAGCGTATGCAGAGTCCATGGTCCTCTCTCTAACGAAGCGGTGGCCTTTTTTGAAAACTAGATTGGCTCCAGTTCCAGCAGTTGTAGCTAGTCTATAGCACAGATGTGCACTGTTCTAAGATTCTGCACTTTATTGAGGTGCCCCACAAGTCTGCATTTCACCTCAGAGTGTCAACTATGCAAGAAGCATTACTGTTTTCATTCCCCATAATGAAAACGGACTCCAGTCCCCATTCTGCCAACCTAGAGGAAAATTTCATGTCAGTAAGATTTAGGTGCTTCCCCTTCCCCCATGGAGTGTGTCCTAGGACCTGGAGATTTTCATGGCCTCTGGAAGATGAGGAACCCACCTCTGACCTTCAGTTTATCAAAGTAGTGATTTATTGAATCCTTGTAGCTGTCTGCCCCAGGGCCGCCAGTGAGGGCTGGAAACCTCCTGCCTCAGGTCTGGCCTCCCGAGGCACACTCTTCACGTAGCTGTCTTCTCAAGGATTCTACTCATTGCCTTAGGGAACAGAGGGGTGCCAGGGCCTCTATTGCTGGGGACTGACATACCTCCTTATCAGGCCCTGGGATGGGGGGTTGGCCATGGGGGGATGGAAGGGAGAGTGTCATTTTGGCAGCTTCTCCTCTGCTTCTCCTTCTCGCCTCCCAGAAGTCCAGCAGAATTTCTTCTCTGGGTTTAGATATTGTTAACAAAGACAGACTTCTTCAGAATGCTTCTGTCTTCAGCTGGATGAAAATACAAGGGATTACAAAGCCTGCCACCTGTTTTAAATGAGCTAGAAAGGAGAATCATTGGGAATTCAAACAAAGTAAAATTCTGGAGTTGTTGTGCTATGCTGATTTGGAGGCCCTAATAAAAGCAAAACATCACCCAAACAGCAGGTAGCTATGGGAATTAAGAGAAGGAAATAGATTTGAGAGACAATAAAGTTGTAAAGCTTAATCTCTGAGAACAATCTAGACTGCAGAGCTTCTAAGTTTGGAGAGGCTGGGAAGTGACATGGGAAGAGGTTGACTTTTGACACGCACCCTGGATTCTACAGCAAGCTTAACTGCTTGCTGGCTGTAGGATCATGGGCAAATCAGCATAACTTCTAAGCCTTACTTTCCCCATTAATCAAATAGGGTTAATGCTACCTACTCATGCGGTTGTTGAAGGTATTAGGTAAAGTTCTTAAAACAGTAGCCATCACCTGGTGAGGATCCGGGAGCTCTGATGGCTATTGCATAGCGGTGCCATTAGCTAGAACAGGCAGTGCTGGAGGAGGAGCAAGTCTGTGGGTTAACGTTTGAAGCCCCACCATGTGACCTTGAAGGGGCACTGCAAGGTATCCCGAGAGCTGCGGGAGGGAGGTAGATGTATTAGTCTGGAATTTGAAAGAAAGTTCAGGATTGAAGATAGAGATTTGGGAGGCTTCTGACTTCAAGGAGTAATTGTAACCTTGGGTTGTGCATGGGGTCCCCCAGGGAGATCATGTATTAATGTGAGAAGGTAGAAGACCAGCTGCCAGGCCCACAAATCTATTCCAACTTCCAGCAACCCCTTCATACCATGCCCCCCAGTGTCACCTTTAAAATGACATCATTGCCTGGAGGTGAATCTGAATATCCCACTCAGGCTTCATTTCAAAGAAATAATCTCATTGTTCACCATGATCCATCTTGCTGAAATAAGATTTAGTTGTCTGTAATCTACCAAATCAGGTGGGCTCCTTTCCATCTGGAAAATAAAATAAAACATATTCGAGAGGCTTTTCAAAAACAAACCTTGTACATCTTCAGCCTAGAGGATTCTTTCACTGAAAACCAGGGCAGACTTCCCAGTGTTTGAGGGTTGCCCAATTCTTTCCCACTCAAATCATTAGAAATAAAAAAGTCAGTTTGGAGAATTTGCTTAAGTAAAACCAGGAGTCGCTAGAAGTGAATGAGCTGAAACTGGAAGGAAATCCCTTTGTTCAATGTGGGTTTCAGTGAATGCCCAGCAGGCGGCTAAACCAGTTCATTAAGAGAGAAAAAGACGGGTTCTTAAATGCTGTTCTCAGAAGCAAATGCCTAGAAAAACATATTGTGACAGCAAAAACACATCCTGGAACTCATACACTCTATGAAACTTTGGTTTTTGTCATCAACGAATAAACAAACTTTCCAAAAAATATTTCCCCCTTCATTTAAAACAATTAACTAATCTGTTTACCATCTGCCAGTCTTCACTCCCACAAAAATGTGATTCTTCTTGTTACTCTGGAACTCGGAAACATTTATCTTTAGGATTGTTTAATTTTATAGGGTCATTTTTAACCACATACTTAAAAAAGAATAATTGACGTATGAAAACCCTTTTTTCCCTCTGCTTTAGAAATCTAAATTCTGACCTGAAAAGCAATCTGCAAGTAGCATCCTGTCAAACTGAGATGTGTTATTTTTCCTGTCTGTTCTCTGCTTTATTAAATCGTCATATACTGCACATGATTTTCCCCCCAGACCAGGCCTGCCTTGGGCTCTCTGTTGCATTGTTAACTATTTAAGCATTAGACTGGCGCAGAGATGGCAGGTGGGAAAAGCTGAGGGATTTGATCTCCTCCCTGCCAGAGTTCTCCTCTTTCACGAGTGCTGCTTACATTGAACAGCTTAAGAATAAGCTCCTGTGTGAGCCCTTGGAGGCCAAGGAGTATTGTTGAATTCAGAAAGGAATCGCTTTCTTTTTGTGATAATTTGAATATTTTGACAATGAAGCTAAGCTACTTCACTGCCTGGTTTGCGTACCTCACGTTATGTGCACCCTTTCCTGGGAAGCAGAAGAACCCCTGCCTCTTTGAATACATAAATTGGTATTGTCCGTTTGTGAGATGGGTAGGTGCAAAGGAAGAATCATCCGGAAGAATTTTACTCTTTTGCTTTAATGTCTTTTTAAAGCTCTTTCAAAAAAAATTTTATACAAGCCTTTGGAGACCACCCAATTAAACCAGCACAATAAATGTTGAGCATTTTGAGGAAAGAGATGGACCATAAAGATGATTTGTAAAGTGTTTATACAAGCAAAACAAGGAATATGTTGGAAACAATTTCCCTAAATGACTCAGGCAAATAACCTGCTCACCTCCAGTATTTTCCTGTATTGTGATGCATTAACGTTAAAAACAGTTGTCCCAAAATGGCCTTGGTTTTTCCATTTTTAACTTAAAAGGATGTTCTCATACAAAATAAATGGACATAGCCTTTTTGATCAAATTCACAGAAGAAAATAGGCAAGTGAATAAATCACTTAGGCGAGATATAAATTGGCTTTGTTCCATAGCAGATTTGCCTTTGTACTAGTTAAGAAAATCCTGAAAAGCTTTCCCTGTAAGAGGATCAGTTGGTTGGAATAGCCTTGGTAGGAAGAAGCCAAGTTTGATAATTACTTGGTGAACGGAAATGCTGGTTTCCAAATGCTCATCAGGGTTCAGTGGCACAAAGCTGGCTGTAGACTTGGCTTCTGTAGATTTGGTAAAAACGTAAATTCCTGGGGTCCCAGTGATGCTGTTTTAGTCTGTACTGATTTGCCCTGTGGCCACCCAGGAATCTGTATTTTTAAAAGTTTTCCATGCTGATTCTAATGCATAGCCAGGTTTAGTAACCATTTAATTCAGTATTCAACTTAGAGACTTCAACCTTCTTGCACTGCAAATTTGATAAATCTTTGTTTATATGAATCTCCTTTGTTGAGTGCCAACTGGTTATTTGCTGACTTTCTTTCAATTCAGAATTTGTTTTAGGTTCTGTTATTGCATAGATTTGCATACCTGTTTTATGGTATTTTAATACTGTTGGTTTTAAAAAATACCATTTCCTCTGAGTGCTGTTCTGAATATATTATGTAAGCAATTTTGTGTGTTCTTTTTTTTCCACTTGCATAAAGCAGGGGAAAAGTTGAGAGTTTTTCTTAATCCAGTTGCAAGTAGGACAAAGGATATGAGTGTTTAAAGATCATCTATTAAAATGCATGAAAAAACACTAGAAAATCTCCTGTGCACATCGCCAGTCGTGTGTGTGCTCTAGAAGTGAAGTTCAGGGGGTAACATAATGGAGGAATGTTTTCCTAGCTTCATTCCCTGACGATGTACAAGGTCTCTTCTCACAGGTTTGAATCTTCAGACAAACTTCTGGGAGGACTCGGTCCCTGCCTCGCAGCAGATGTTCCCTGTCACTCAGTAGGTGCGCATGTTTTAAGATTATTTCTAGTTGGGCATGTTTATTAACGATTGCTTGGAAACACATCATAGGCAAGAACATGCTGGAGGTTCAGGGTACTTCAAAAAGGTTCTAGTGGAAAATAAACACATTTCCTCCACAAACTGCAGAATACCCGAGAACAGGGTTCTTTTAGCCCTTTCATTTTTTAAAGCTCAGTGCACATGTGTTTCAGGGAATTGGATGATGCAGTTAGCAACTTTTCATGACCTCTGCTGTCCCACATCCACAGCCTAGTAATACACATAGATCTATGGAATTTTCTGCTGACAACCCTGTCAGTTCAAAAGAAGAAAGCTGCCCCTGCCAACACTCCTAACTTGTGTACATAAGATGTGTAAGAGGTTGTCCTGTCTTTGTGGCAGATGTCGACTGAAAGATAAGCCTGGGAAAGATGCTGGTCGCATCCCAGCCACATGAGGCAATCCAGCCATACTTCCTGAGGCTTTATTTGAAAACGCTGTTGTAAAGCAGTTGCTGAACTTCACTGCTCATGTAGACAGTGTGGCTAGAAGGGATGGCAAAGCGTAGGTTGAAAGAGCACTTGGCTTAGTTCAGAACACCTGGGAGCAACCTCTGTTCATCATCATTATCATCATCACCAGTAATGATATTAATAGAAGCTAATGCCTTTGGGGCACTCACTCTGTGCTAGGCGTTTTGCTTAGGACAGTGTATTACTTGCAGTATGTCATTAGTCCATGCTGATGGGCAGTAAACTTAAATCCTCTGAGCCTCAGTTTCCTCATTTGTGAAATGGGGACAATGATGCCCTTCTACCTATCTCTTAGGGCTATGAGATGGAAATTATTGGAATAGCATGAGAGAGCTTTATGAGCTCAACTGAAATAGTTTATTAAATAGTATTCCGACTCCTACTGAAATACAATATTGTCACTAAATATTTGGATTTATTGACCAAGAAATTGAAATTAATCCCAACAGGGCCAACATATCTACTAGGACCTAGCAGTTCTAGTTAGGGCTGGGAGTTGGGGTGGGGTGGGGGAGCGTCTTGCCTGTATCTTCTGTTTACAGTGTGCCTGACATTAGAAGACTAGGAGTGCTAGCCAGGAAGATCCTGGAATGTGTCTGCCGAAGTATTCAGTGGCGAGTCCATGGGCTGCGAACAGGTGGGGTGTGGCTAACACAGCAGGCCTTGTCTGTCTCAGGAGCTGAAGGGGGCCAGCCAAAGCAGGGTGGACAGTATGATTGCAAGGCAAGCAGGGGAGGAAGAGCCACTTGAGACATTGCTCTCAGCTGCTGGGGAGGAGCTGCGAGCAGGCAGCGGTGGGAAATTGAGGCTTATTGTGAGCAAGGTGCCGGCCTCCGGGGCGACGGGGAGCGCAGAGCAGCACATGAAAGCTGCCTGCGGATGAGCTGGGGGATGGACCACACATGTGGATTGCAAGGACAGCTACTCAGAGAGTTCACATTCCTCCCCCATTGAACTGGGTATGATTGTAATGGTTTGTTAAACAAACAAAGGACCTAAAGCTGTGAATGGGAGAGAAAAAAGACTTAAGGTGAAAAGGAGAAGAGGCCCTGCTTGCTAGTGTTCCACTCTTTTTAAGCTTTCTCCCCCATTTCCTTAACATTCCTTTCCCCTTTCAGAAAAGCCAGTGTTGTCGCTTGGAAAACTTGCCTTGTCTCTTCAGTGCCATTTTCTTTTAAAATGGAAACCTGATGAAATGTTAATCAGTTTAAAAAGAAAAAATCAAGAATCAGGATAATCTTAAAGGACCAGTGATAAATATTTTTATTTCTCAAATTAACTATTCCTGGATGAACAATTTGCTTTGCATCCTTTGAATTTATTGGACATGACATGGAAAGGCAAAGAGAAAATTCTCAAGCTTCTTGAAATAATTGTGTCTAATAAAGTACGGCCTGTGTCCCGAGAGGCAGACAGGCATGCTTCTGGAGGAAGTGGAGTGAGCTTGGGAACAGGTGCAGCAGCTTCACTTTTCTCACATAACCATGCATGTACACAGTTTACTATAAGTTCTGGATATTTCTACATCGAGCTTGAAAAGTTACTGCACGTTACTTTAAAACTGCCCATCAAATTTGTGTCTAGGGTAATCCGATTTGGTCTTGGGTTCATCTCATGTAAAAAGAACCAGTTAGCATTTCAGAACAGTACCTTTCAATCTGCTGTTCTCTCCAGGTAACTGAGTTACCCATGGGGGAGGGATAAGTGATTATATGTAACTTTTTCCTCTCTGCAATTCATCTGTAGATGGGACATCCTCACTTTCACTGGCTCCCAGTTCCCTGTAGGATAAACCCAGTGTCCCCTGCCAGGTGCACTATCCCTGTTATTGGTTTTCTGACACAGGCCCCTCTCCTGCCCATCCCAGCCAGGCTGCACCACGTGTTCCACATTGCCCTATGCTGCTTCATGACTCCGAGCTCTTCTCTGTTCTCCCCTCTGCCTCTGCAATATGCCTCCTCCATTTGTCAACCGGGTATACTCCTAGACTCAGCCTAAGTAGTCATTATCAAACTTTAGAAAGTGCAGATATTCAAAAAATAAACAATGAGGTCATCTATAAATCCAGTGTCAAGATACCCTGCTCCCATGTAGTTATCTGTACTTCAAGGCCTTTTTCTGTTTATTTAGTGATATGTTATTTTAGGATCAAACAGTCCACCCAAGTCTTGAGCATCCTTTCTAGATCTCAGATCCTTCAAGGTCATTCCGGTGATTTTCACTCACAAACCAGGCATCCCATGGTCAATGTAACTAATATGCTTTTCACATTTCTCTTCTCAATGTGAGCCTATATCCTCACACACTTCCTGAGAAAGAAAGAGGCTTTTCTTTCCCTTGAATGTTAACCTTATTGGAAAAATAATAGGTCCTGCTGCTAATTAGAGTTCTGGTTCCTCCATGTCCTACACTTAAGAGTCCCAGGAAAAGAGATCACCGCCATCAGCTATAGAAGCAGACCCTAAAAGGGCCTAAAGGCGAGACTCAAGGGTTTCTAGGGAGTGAGGAGGGGGATGTATTTTCAGCTATCATAAAGGAATGATCCCCATTCCTGACTGTAACAATTAGAAAATCTTCCCCTAATACCAAAGGCTCTTGTCTGGATTTTGGGAGTTGCTCTCCACCCCTCACCCCCCCACCAGACTCCTGAGAGTCTTCATTCATAAATAGTCCTCTTCAAACAAGGCAGTCCCATCTCAGCTTGAGAACCAGGCCTGGACTTAACCCTTGCCTTTCTCAATGCACACATCTATTTTACTTGTAGACATTTGTCTATTTTTTTGTGACTGTTTCTATTTAAAAATACAATGCATATGGTGGGGAGAGGTGAGGAGGCCTGTCAAAGATCCAAGAGTCTGCAACAATATTTCTTTTCCTCCGTTCCCCCTGGTGGGTACTATACTGGATGACCCATCTGGAAGAAGGCCTTTGGCCCTTTCGTGGGGATCCTGGCTGTCCCAGCCCCTTGCTTCCGTGCTATATGGATGAGGAAGGCCAGTGGTGGAAGGGGCCCCAGACCTGTGAGAGATGAAGCACTTCTGGGGTGACAGATCCCAGCTCCCTGCTCATCAGAGTCATCCCTTCCCCCTTGGTAGTTCAGCATCTCTCAGTCCTCTGTGGCTCTCCAAGGCTCACATTCATTGGCTTTTGCCTTTTCCATAGCTTCTCTGGACTTCTTCCTGTTTCAGTTGAGAACGTTTTATTGGCATCCTCTACCTCTACCACCTCACTCCATCTCCATGTAGATGCAGTCAGGGGCTAGGCTTGACTCAATAGGTTAGATATCTTCAATCTGCTAAATATAGCAAAGAAAAGCTCCCATCTATAAAAAGCCTACCTTCTTCTAGTAGAAGAGATAACCAAAAGATTTTTGTTTTGGGTTTGTTTGTTTGTTTGTTTATTAGGATCTTGTTTGTACTATCACCATCTAGAAGTTATTTACCAACATCAAGTTTTTGAACTCAGACTTAATTCTCATTTTGCTCATTTTTATCACCATAGGCCTATCAGTAGACCATCTTATCCAAGAGGAGCTGGGGGGATTTTGAGGCAGAAGGCTGCTTCTGTCTTTGGAGCTCTGAGAATTCCATGCCCCCACAAGGCTGCTTCCATCCGGGCTACAGTGCAGAGTAGATGACCTAAGGGAGTCTCAGTCTAGCTGCAGCCTGCCATAAAGAAAACAAATTCCTCCTTACCCCCAGGGCTAGCCCACTTGACCAAACCACTCTAGGAGGAAAACATTGGTGATCAAGGTTGAACACGTGAGTCACTGACAGGATATGAGGCCACCCATGGAAAGCTCAGAGTAACTTATAAAATCGCCTGTATAAGTTAGGTTCAGAAAGGCATCCGCTTCCCTAGACTAGAAGAGCTCCTGAGCCACTCCACGCTTCACGTCTCCTTGCTGGCCCGAATGCCCATTAGGCACCATTAAGCCCAGCATGTCTAAAAATGAACTCCTAACGCTTATTTTTTGCTGAGTTTTTCTTCTGGGATGCAGAAGAAAACCTCTCTCTGCCACCACCATTCCCTCTTTCCCCTAACCTCAGTCCTAATCCAGTTATTCTGTTTACAGAGTGTCACTGGAACCTGCCCTCTCTCCTTGTGCAGGCCTGTGTTCTCTCTTCTGAGATCTGGCAGAAGCCTAAATGATCTCATTATCCAGCCCACCACCCTCCAGCATGTCTTATACGTCCCTGCCAGAGTTACCATCAAAAAGTGAAATCTGGTGGCAAGTCCACTGCTTCTGATCGGTCCCCATTGCCCAGCTCCCTGGTGGTGAGCGCCTGGGTCGTCCTTTCCCCTTGGTAGTTTGGTTTTGTCAGTTTTCTGTGGCCCTTTGAGGCTCACAATCACAGGCTGAGGCTTTCCCCACTGCCTCTTCCCATTCCTCACAGCATTTTATTGGCATTCTCTACCTATTTCTACCTCTTCTCTTCCCGCCCTCCTCACTGCATCTCCACATAAATTCAAGAGTTTGTGGCTGGACTTGACTAAATAGATCAATCTGCTAAAAACAATTTATGACAAAAAAGCCCACCTTCCCCTTGTAGAGTGGACCCTTCACGATTCTCCATCTCTCTAGCCTGTTTTCTCCTTTGCCCACATCTGCACCTGTATTCCAGTCTTACTGAACCACTTATTCTCCAGGTGGTTGGATTCATTCCCTTGGCCTGAAATAGACCACCTCCCTCTTGAACACGTTGTAAACTTCTACGCTAGCTTCAACTTTTACTTCTCTGTGACACCTTTCTTGATCTCCCAAGCAAGAGATGGTCACTGCCTAGACAACCACCACCTCAAGTTTTAGTAATGATTTTCACTTCTATTTATCTGTTTTCATGCATATGTCATTATAGAGCAATGTAATTGTATTCTGTCCATTCATTCCTGAGGAAACACATCTTTGAATATATCCTGTCCATGATTCCAGTCTTGCATATTGTCTCTTTCCCTTTGGCTGGGCACTAGTTACCTGTCTTTATTTTCTGGCTAATATGATGGTATTTAAACTATATTTCTGTTTGTGGATATTTAGAAATGCAGCTGTTTGTGTAGTTTGATTTTTATAATCAAACACCTTGCCAGGCTTTCTAATCTTGTGTGTGGATTCTTTGGGATTTTCTATATCGACATTCCTCTGCAAATAAATAATTATTCCATTCCAATTTTATGCCTTTCATTAGTTTATTGTCTTACTGTATCGTATTATCCATGACTTCTAATACATGAATGTTTCATGCAAGCAATGATAATAGGTAACTTTGTCATGTGATGAAGATAGTATACTCTGTTTTGTTAGTTTAAAAATCATCTCCTCTCCTTTCATGTTTCTTGGTGAAATGATACATATTTTAACCATTTAGTCAATGAATGTTAGTCTCTGGATTATATTAGCTGAGTTATAAGAGGCTGCCTCATGGTGTTGACTCTCAGATGCTCTCTGGGTTCTCAAGTGTTCCCCTTGCAAGTTTGACTCAAATGCCTGTCCCAGCCCCTGGGGTCTTGCACTGCCACTGCCTTTTTGTTGGTGTTGTCCTCTTTAAAAAATAATATCCTGCTCTTCTTTTAAGGACCTCTGTTCTCTCTAGGATATTAATGATTATTATTTTTGAAGTTTCCTTCCCCCCGTAGTCTTTTTTTCCCCGTTACTTTTTGTGTCAGTTTTCCCTATTAAGTGCCTTCCTCTGATTTCTGGTGATCCTTGGCCTACTAATTTGTGAGTCAAGCCAGTAAAGAGCTGATGGGAGCTTTGTATACTTAGGTGGGGCTTGTCAGCTGGGGCCTTGTATAGGGTAAGGTGGCGACCCCTGGAGGAAACCCCCTTTGTCCTTATGGTTTGCTCTTTTCTCTTGGGCTGGTCAGCTTCCCAGGGAAGACTCCTCCATCCTCCTGCCCTGAGAGAGAGGACATTCACCCTGTGTCAGGCTACTCCCCCACTTTCATACAGTCTCCATAGCGAGCACTTGTGCTAGGGGAAGGAAGGGCAGGCACCCCACTGCAGGCATCAGGAGAGGTCAGGAGGGCTCAGTGCTTCACTAACAGACTTTCACCTGCTGCTTTCATACCTGTTTCCATCCTCACTTCCAGAAGTACCTACTGTACCAAATTGCAGAGACATATGGTAGATGCTTCAGGGTATAGCAGGTTGTTTTGTTGCCTCTTAATGCTGGCTTAAACTTTAGCTTTCTTAGGATGGCCAAGTCGATCACTGCTTGTTTACCTGCTTTTCAGCTTCCAAAATTTGTTGTTTTCTCCCTTTTATATTAGGCTGTGTTTTAGAAAAATCCCACTATTACTGTTTTAGTAGAATTTTCAGAGAGACTGGAGCTACATGCTTTTATTCAGTTGGCCATCTTTAACCAAATATTACACTATTTGTAAACAGAACACACCCTGTCCCTTTTCAGATGTTCTGGCTAGGATGTGGATTTGATGTTCCAAAGCTGTAGCATAATCATCTGGACAGCTTTCTCAATTTTTTCCCTGAATATTAGAGAAATAATTCACTTTGTCTTTCTTGTTTATCTTAAGCCTCATTTCTTAGAAAGTAAGAGCTTAGTCACTGGGTTAACAAAATTCAGTCTTTCAAGGTGACAGCTGAAAAGAATCTATAGGCAACAAACCTGATGGCTCAGCAGGTGGCTCTCTCAGAGCAGAATAGAAGGGCAGGTAGTGCTTCCTACAATGAGGATAAACTAGAGTGAAAGCTCTTCAAACATATTAAGGTGGAGATCTCTACTGGGCCATTGAGTAAACACCTCACCGTGTGGAGGAGGAACTCGTGCCTCTGCCTGGCAGTGACAGAGAAAAGTAGAAGTTTGCCAGGTAGACAAGGGTTCCCAGGACATTCCAGGAGGGAGAAAGCCAGAAGCGTGAGAGAAAGTAGCACTTTAAGGAAACAGCAAGTGGAGTGATCCTTGGCCTTGCCTTCCGGCCATGATGGGAGTGAGGTCTGCAGCCATGGCAGCCATGACTACCTGGAGGTTCTGGATATCATCTTTCTCCTGATGACATTTCTAAATAGCTTTTTTAAATTTGATAGAGACTGCTACCAAAGTCCTTCAAAGAACTGATATTGAGAAAAACACCCTTGTTGGAAGACCAAAAGTGGAAATTCACTTTCCTCTCAGAAATGGGCCTTGCATTGATTGTGTCACTGAGGACAATGGAAATAGATGCCAGAAGTCACAGTTTATTTTAAGAATGTTGTAAAGCAGTTGTGCCCCATTAGATGATGTGTTATGTAGCACTGGAGAAGTCCTGGAACTACAGTTGTGTTCTGACTCCCCCCTCCACCCTCGTATACCCCTGTCCCCTGGGAACACAGTCTTTCCTGGCTGTTACCATATATATATGTTCTTCTTCCCGTCTGATCCTCTCTCATCCCCAAAATAATCAACATGAGCAGAACGAAGCAGATGGCACAAGCCTTCTTTGGCATACTGGCAGATCTGTATCACTCAGTATTTTTAGAATCAAGGGGACTGAAAATTATGTCCTGAGATGTTTTGGGGTAAGACTTACTATCTTTCTAGGGTGACAGGTGTTGAAATAGCACCGTATTTAAGACTCAAATGCAATTTCTATGTCAAGTCACAGAACAGAATGACTCGCATCAGGACCATTGCTCTGTAAGTTCTGTTAGGATCGTTGGTGGCCTGCCAGATAATAGAAAGTTGTCATAAATTGTTTTAAGGATGTGGCCAGAAAGTGCATTGGGTTTCAACCAAAGATTGGACTCATCAGTAAACAGCCTTTGAACTGATCAAGTGCGTGGTGATGAGAGATGTTGTATATACCCACAGTTGTTGTTGTTGTTGTTGTCGTTTTTTAATAGCTAAGCTTTGACCCTCAGCCACAAAGCGTTTATAGTCTGTTGGGGTAGACAGTCTTGTTTTTACAGAAGTTTATTATTATATCATGAAAACAAATATTTGTATTCTAAGGCCCATATGGAAGAAATACATAGTTACGGTGATTAAAAATTATGAATTTGAGTTCATTAAGGACTCTCTGAAGAAATTAAAGAATGTTCACTATTATATAACTAACTTAGTTCTGAGGACCAACTTTGCAATTAGTATTAGGCTAGGTATATTAAACACACAGACCTGGAACTCAAAGCCTTGGGAAAAGATATTCATGAAATAAGCATAAAAACGAGAGACTTTGTGTTTTAGTCTTTGAGGGAAACTTGAAGTTGGAGGAAATGTGCCTCACCTTTAAACCATGGCCATGTCTAATGCTCAGATTGTCCCATTCATCTTTGAGGGCTCAGGGGAAATGTAGGCATGGGTGATGTCCATGACTGCTGGCCTTTTGAATCTTGGGAAGAAGTGGCTGGAAAGAGATCTGGAAAACCTCATTCAGTGCCAAAGGGCAAGTTTTTCAATTGAATAAGCTTTATTTTTTTCTTTGTACTCCTAGTGTGTTTGGTAAGCAATGAGTCAAGGTTTACATCTGCTGAGAAAGAATGCAGGCGTTTTACTTGCCACCTCTTGTGTCCTTTCTACACGTGTGTTGTCCACACTGCCACTTCTTTCCAGTATAATTGATATGGTGTAGTATCCATAGGGAGAGAATGTGTCTCTTTCCCATTACATCCATAGCTAAATGGTTAGAACATGAGCTGTACATTGACACATGGTTCTATAGTACTTTTAATTCCAGTGTTTCATAAATACTGCCTATTTGTAGGGTGTTTATTTAGGTTACAGTGTGCTTTCAGATCCATTTTGTCTCAGTCGATTGTCCCAGCAGCCTGTTTACATACATCAGGTAACTATCACAAATGAGGAAACTGAAACTCGACACAGATAACATGGGTAAGTTGGAATTTGAACTGGGGAATCTTTCCACTGGATTCACAGAACAAGTGCCTGGATTTATAGCTTCAGGGTAAACACCTGAGGCTCAATCAGTAGCACAGTTGTGTCCAAGGAAAGCACAGCCTTGCCTTCCTCTCCTTTGATGGGAATACCAAGAGTCTGCCTGTGCCGTCCAGGACAGCAGCCACTGGCACTATGTGGCAATTTAAATTAAAGTTAAATAAAGTAAAAGTTTCAGTTTCTCAGAGGCACATTTTGAGTGCTCAGTAGCCATCACATCTGTAACATTTCCATCATTGCAGAAAGTTCTGTTGGACATGCCAGTCATCTCATAAAGCAAGAATTGGGGAGAATCAACTTACTGAGATAAGTTGAGAAAAGTGTATATGCAGGGTGTTAAGTAGGTGAGAGAAATGTAAAACCTTCCCCAACAAAGCAGCTCCTTCTCTGAAGGGGCGAGTGGGACGAGTGCTATTTTGAGTTCAGCTATAAAGGGAATGAGAAAAAGATGCATTTTCAAACTTCATACTCTGTGTGTGTTAGTCTTTTTTAATAAACCTAGAAAGAACACAGAGCAATTCTAAGTGAATGAGTGTGTTTTATAGCTGGGCCGGTATTATGGCCAAACTTAGGCTGGGTGAGAAGTAGAACAGATCATGATACCTAGCAGAGCAAACTCGGCAGGCGGAATAGAATTCCTAGAAGGAGTTATTTTGTTTGTGACCAGGGCTGTTGAGGATTCCTCAAGATAGGGCCTCAGGCATGAACTAGAATACTGGAAGGGAACCAGGGGTTGGGGGAAAGGGGTTTGGGCAGAGCCGGGACAGGTAATTAGTTAAAGTCACACATAATTGCAGAGGTTGTGTGTGCTGCTAGAATCACAGCCGTCACAAAGAAGGTGTGGTGCCAAGGTGCTGGCCGAGGACTCCTGTGTGTCCCCTGGTTTGGATTAGCGCTGACCAAAAGTGCCCGAGTCAGCTTTCACGTTTCCAAGTGGGTGAGGCAGGATGGTGAGGGGTATTTGCTTGGTACCGCGAACTCTGTCCAGACACTGAAAACATCTACAACAGAAGATGAGGAACTCTACAAGTTTCCTGGAATTTTTGCTGGTTAGAAAAGGAATATGTGTTTGGTTATGTCCGTGTGCTACATAATGCTATATTTAAACATGTTTAAACTGTTATTACAATAAAGTTTCATCTAGTTAGACTCATACTTTCTGATCTGAAAGTAACCAAAAAGGTAAGTAAAAATTAACTTTTAACAATAAAGAGCAACTCTAGAGACATGGCAATAAATGACTGCAAGGAGCAGGGAGGGCTTTAAAGACTCACTGCAATTGGTCAGTTTACCATGAAGTGCCCTGCTTACTGGCAAAGTTCAGCAAATGCTGGCCTGTGGACAAAAGCTACTCAAGTGTACTTCACCTAAGCATACAGTACTCTTAATTTTTTTAAGTATTGGCACTTGAAAGGTGAGCATTTGCCCACCTGAAAATCTCTCTCTAGAATAGCACAGGGTGGTAGTGATCCAGGGCTTTACCCTGGCAGGTAGTGGCAGGTAGAGGCCGATTTGAAACCTGCTGTCAGAGTCCAGGGATGAAATGTGGGGGGTTGGTCCAGGTCCTGAGAGTGAAGCTAGGAGGAGACATCTCCAAGTGTAAATTTTTGGAACACAGTTTCTCAGCTTGGGTGGAAAGCCACCCTAGTAAGTGGAGTATTGTTCATGATGCAGGCTCAGACACTTCAGGTTCCTCCAATGATGGCCAATTGGTAGAAAAAGAAGAACCTGGTTTTTGGTGACTCTGGCTGAGTCAGAAGGATGATAATGATTTGGGTTTGAGACAAGTTGGGTTTGAGGAGGCAGTAGGCCCATCTCCTGGAGGTGGCCTACCAGCAGGTAGCTGGATGGGCCCTCCAGGGTAGGGCCAGGGAATGAAGAAAGGTCCATAAACAAAAAAGGAAGAGATTAGTAGAACTTACTAGAGGATGGTGCCTACAAATCTGAACGTGGCCTGGGCTGGTTCCTGAGCTATCAGCTTTGTGCCACCACATCAGTGCAACTAGACTAGACTAGCTTCATGCACATTCTGTTTATATCAGCCCTTCTGCAGAGTAATCTTACAAACAAATTGACTTAGGTGTATACAAATTATTTCTTATCCTCTGGAAGTTTAAACAGGTGTGATAAGCAACTAATGTTATGCCAACAATGAGTGATGAGGAAGAGCCCGTGGTTTGAGTAAGTGTGGGTGATTTTTGTTTATGGACCAGTAAAAACACTTGAACACACTGAGGGAGGGAGGTTTTTGTTTGTTGTTGTTGTTGTTGTTGTTGTTGTTTTTCTCTTTGGTCAATGGAGCTTCACACTGACCTGAAATAGATAATACTGGATCCGTGGAAAGAACTCTCCTTACCAGAGGGAAAGTGTGCTCCACTGGCCATCAGTGCTTGACTCCTCACCCTCTGAGAAGCCAAAAGTGTAGACTTGTATGCAGATGGCCCTCTCACATGGAGAACTGTGTTCCATGAGCACCATTTAAAGGAACGTGTTGATTGTGGGTAGTTGATTCTGAAGCGGTCAGGGAGGAAAAGCATTGTTTTCAAATGGCTAATGCAAGAAAACTGTTCCTCTTCTCTCCACAGCCAATCCGGGGGACCCAGGACATGCCCCAGCTATAGTGATGCAGATTACCTTTCTGCTCCTGAATCGCACCTGTGCCTCAGACTTTCTCCCCTCAGCTTGAGACTGCATGTAAACTGGGATGTGTGAAAGCAGGAAGCAAAGCTAGTGACAGCTGAGAGGTCCATGTCTGGGTAGAACCAGGCCCACGATGCTGCCTCTCCCGTGGTCTGGAGTTCAGCTGCAGGGACTCTGCTGATGTGCCCAGCACCATCGTTCTGTTTGTGCTTAAATGGCACAGCATTTGGTCAGCACATCTGAAAAGGAAGGTGTGAGAAGCAAAGCCCATGGCCACGTTCCCCTGCCAGTTATGTGGCAAGACGTTCCTCACCCTGGAGAAGTTCACGATTCACAATTATTCCCACTCCAGGGAGCGGCCGTACAAGTGTGTGCAGCCTGACTGTGGCAAAGCCTTTGTTTCCAGATATAAATTGATGAGGTGAGAGGCTTTGGCAAAGGTATGCACTTTTAGAAGTACGTTTAAATGGCTTTTCTAGCCCTCAGACCACACGATGCAAGGGGAAAGGGACACAGGATATGGATGCATTTTAGCCTTTGAGGGATTCTTGAAATCTGCATCCAGTGATTCCTGTGGTTTTATGTGACCGTCTTGTTGTGCAGTGTCAGTTCATTCTTTCAACAGAGATTTTTTATGCACCTACAATATACCAGGCCTCTCCCCATGGCTGGAGAAATAGGAAAAGACAATTAAAATGCAACCTCACTGCTTTGACAGAGCTATACAGGTGGTAGAAGTTGTTCTTCACTGCCTGATGAAACCTGGGACGGCTTCTCAGATGGGGACAATCTTTAAGCTGTGACACAATGAAAGAGGAGGAGGCAGAGAGGAGGTTCTGGGAAAGCCATAAGTCTTGGCCTTAAAGCACCCATGTGCAGAGGGTACTATCCGAGGAGGAGCAGATGAGGCTAAAAGTGCAGGCAGGAAGGAAGCCACGTATAGCAGGCCTTACCTCTGTCTGAGAGGGTTTGTCTCATTCAGGTGTATAAGTAGTGAAGAAATATGATTCGTTTAGTATCCTAGAAAGAGGACTCAGATAATAATTTGAAGAAGTGGCAGGAAGGCTGATTTGAAACCTGCTCTCAGAGTCCAGGGATGAAATGTGGGGGCTGATCCAGGTCCTGAGAGTAAAGCTAGGAGGAGACATCTCCAAGTTTAAATGTTTGGAACACAGTTTCTCAACTTGGGTGGAAAGCCACCCTAGTAAGTGGAGTTCAGGTGGGTATGCAGATGAGCAGCATGTGCATTTGATCAGTTTTAAAGGCACCCATGACACACCAAAGGATAAAAAGCACTGTTTTAGCAGATGAGTCTTTTTAAAAAATTACATTTAGTCTAAGTTATTTATTGAGTGCCTGTTAGGTACCTACTTCCATGAGGGAAATGAATACATTAGATATCGTTTCTGCCGCCAGTGGATCTTTTTAATATCACAGGAAAGACTCCATGTACATGCAGTGGCTGTGCTGCACGGTACTGGGACTGGTAATGAGCATGGTGTGTGTTGTGTCTGTGCACACTCAGAGCCACACACATAGTGCGTCCACTCACACGTGCTGCTTTTGATACTTGGTTAAGGGAAATGCACCATTTGCCCTTAATTTCATGAAATAAACTTTGAAGTTTCAACTTTGACTGTTCACATACAAACGCCTGGAGAGAGCCAGGCTTTAGCAAGTGAGATTTTCCATCTGACTGGTATTACCATAGACCACATTATGAAATCTTGGAGTGACCCTGGAGGAAGGCACTTGAAAGAATTGAAAAGATGGAAATTATGCTCCTGGCCCTTAAGAATACCACTGTTATACATAATGTAATGTAATAAGTTGGTTTTAAAAATTAGCCTGCAAATGCTTACATATTTTAAAATTCAAATGTCTTCTATACATGGGCCTCCCTCTAGCTGTCACGAGTAGAAGTATTGAATGCTGATCACGTGCATGAGTTTGTTGCAGAGGCTCCCTGTTTTGCATGAAGCTTCTTGCGTGTGCGGAGGGTAAGCGTCCTTACCCAAACATGAGAGCAGCGCTGGCTGCAACTGAGTCACAGTGAGGACACTAAAACTGCAGATAAAGACTGAGACACATAGAAGAGATCAATGTTTAGAAAAGAAGAATTAGTGGAGTAGAACTATTGGGATTACAGTTGACCCTTGAACAACATGAGTTTGAGCTGCACGGGTCCGCTTATACACAAATATTTTTCAACCAGATGCAGATTGAAAGTACAGTATTTGCAGGGTGTGAAACCTGTGTATACCGAAGGCTGACTTTTCATACACATGTGGTCCACAGGGTGGACCGCAGGACCTGAGTATATGTGTATTTGGGTATGACAGGGGTAGAATCAGTACCCCGCATGTTCCGAGAAATAATTTACTATGGTAAACTGCGCTGAAAAAGAAGTCTTAAGTCATGTTTAGAAGGTAGTTGTTCTTAGCAAGGAAAATGGCTTGTTCAGTTAAGGGTGTAAAGAGAGGCAAAAAGGGAAGCTGTCAGTGTACTTTATGCAAGAACCGCCTTCCCTGCCTCAGCCCCCAGCATTTCTTGCCTCTCGCCTCTCTTGCCTGAAGCAGTGATATAGTAAAGGACTGGAAGAGTGTGAGATGGCAGGATGCTTTCGGTTTTGCTTTTAAAAAAAAGATGATGCCTGTAATCCCAGCACTTTGGGAGGCCGAGGTGGGTGGATCATGAGGTCAACAGATCGAGATAATCCTGGCCACCATGGTGAAACCCCGTCTCTACTAAAAATACAAAAAATTAGCTGGGCGTGGTGGTACACGCCTGTAATCCCAGCTACTCGGGAGGCTGAGGTAGGAGGATCACTTGAACCCGGGAGGCAGAGGTTGCAGTGAGCTGACATCGAGCCACTGCACTTCAGCCTGGTGACAGGGTGGGACTGCATCTCAAAAAAAGGATGATGAGGCAACAGAGGTTGAAGGAAAAAATAACTGACTTGCTTAACCAGAAAACAGAATGTGGGTCCCAGTACAGCATATAATGAAACCAGTTAGAGACAATAACAGGCAAGAAAAGATGATTTGGCAAGGTTGGAGGTCCTAATGTGAGCAATCAACCTCTAAATAATTCTAAAATCACTGACATGATCCAGATGATACCCAAAGATGGTGGCATTGGGTACTGACTCTAGGACATACTAAAGCTGTTTTCATGGGTTATAAGGTAAGATGAAAAACTGAGGGAAAGAAACAAGTCGTTGAAGTAATTTCAGCTATAGGATGAGAATGTTCTAGATCAGGATTGTTGAGTAAGTAAGGGATAAATTAAAAGGGAAAGAAGTAGATGCCAGGCAAGGGAAAGAGTCAAGAAATTCAGAAATGTGGGAGCTAGTGAAGTCTGGAAGGCAGTGGTCTTGCTCAAGTACTACTGGGGTGTCAGACTGTGCCCCACTTACAGGTAGTACAGGTGTAGGACAGGAAAGAGTGCGTAGGAAATAACCAGGTGCAGTCGTTAACCTGGTATTGATCTACCCATGGGTGATAAATGAAATCAAATCAGATGAAAGTCCTCTATAATGAAAGAAAAGAGAGAGGCACAAACTGACCCAAGAGCTATGGGATCCTGTTCACCAGTACTGGGCCAGAAAAAAAAAAAAAAAGGTTTAAATACTGAGTGTGTAAGCCAGCTCCCCCCTTCATATGTATTCCTGCGATATATATATATATACATATGGATATCCTGCAGAACAACATGGCTATTTGCCCTCTAACATGCTCTAAAAACCCTTTCTCCAACCTGTGCATTTATTTAGATAGACCTAGAACGTGGAAACACCAGCACAATCTGGTTTCTCAGATGCCCATCGTATTGGTTCCTGTCCCTGCCTTACGGTACCCATCATGTTATCATTTATGTGCAAACAAGCTGTGGTGTACTGGAGGGAAGGGAAGGGATGCACACAGCAGGCCTTTTTTGTTTTTGTTTGTTTGTTTTGTGACAGAGGAAGGAGGTATGAGGTTGTACTTTATTTTTAAGAAAATGACAGTTCGATTCAGATTAGCTTTATATTTTTTGAACTGGCTTCCAGTTGGCCTCTAGGTGGGGGCCTCCACTCAACGGCTGCTATTGTAGACCCCTCCCCAATTCTGGCTCCACAAAAGGGGCAGGAATAAACAGTATAGGGCAGATGTTGGCTGAAAGGTGTAATTAAGTATACTTTTGACTTAAACATACTGTCTTAAAGAGATCCTATCTCTTTTACGGAATGAGTTGTTAGAAAATCTTCTGTATCTAACGTGAAAGCTCACAGGGTACAACTGCACTTAAATTGTCAGTTAGGACAAGCTTTAACCTCTCGTGACAAAACCCCTAAAGGAGGTATCTGCCCTGAGGGATATGAAGCTACAAGTTGTAATGAAGGATTCTGTTTCATAGGACATGCTAACATGTAATGCTCTGCATTTTAGTTATTAAAATGAACCTTTTTAAAGCTTAAGGATGACAAACTCAGGGTTTCCTTATACCACTGAGTTTTTAAAAGCCAGTGGTGAGTTTAGATGTTAGCAATTCAGTGGAACTATGAAAAAGATGGAATTGTGATGGCTTTCCATAACTAATTTCTGCTTCACAAATATAAAAGAGCTATTTTGAAATTCCAAATTGACTAGACAGACTACGGCTTGTCCCTGAAGCCATTGTTGAAGACAAACTTACAACTCTTATTAGAAGTAGCAGCTTCATATTTAAAGAAGAAAGTCTTTTTGAATTTTGCCAATTAAATTACCAGTGACCTTTAAGAAGTAAGTCAAAGGTGTCTTAGAGGGAAAATTTGAAGTAACAGAGACAGGCAGCAGCATCAGAGATAAGAGCTGATAGTCAAGCATTGAATGAAGGAAATCAAGACAGTGGTGAGATCTCACGGCAGGCAGAGGCTGAGGCTGAAAGCAAGGCAGTGGGCTGATGTTCAGGGTCCTATTAGACACTTTTCTGAGGTTAAGGATGGACTTTTTAAGAGGCTCCTAAGAGTTACATGTCCATGGCTTGAACTTTTTGTCTCAAACAACAGAAACATAGGAACTAGGAACAATAACCTAAAACTGGGGCTTTATGTGGTTCTGGGTAGCAGACAAATTGAGTCACTTGAATTTCCAGAGTACAAAAGACCCCTTTAACCCCTTCCTGAAAAAGATTTTTCATGGTCAGGTATTTTTAAGTACTTGCATACTTTGTTCAGAAATCTGTATACATTAAAAAAACATGTTCTCTTTAAGAATATTCTGGCCAGGCACGGTGACTCTTGTCTGTAATCCCAACACTTTTGGAGGCCAAGGCGGGAGGATCACTTGAGCCCAGGAGTTTGAGACCAGCGTGGGTATAGTGAGACCTTGTCTCAAAAAAAAAAAAAAAAAAATTAGCCAGGCCTGGTGGTGTGTGCCTGTAGTTCAGCTATTTGAGAGGCTAAGGTGGGAAGATTGCTTGAGCCCAGGACGTTGAGGCTGCAGTGAGCCATGATCGTGCCACTGCACTCCAGCCTGGGCAAAAGAGTCAGATCCTGTCTCAAAAAACGTTTTATAGGTGTGAAAAATGTATTATGGCTTTAGTATTGCTTGCTTTTCTTAATTATAAAAGTTTATATATTTGGAAAATATATGAAAGAATTTTGAAAATTATACCAAGACCCAGAGAAAACTATTAACATTTTGATATAATATTGTTGCTACACCTTTCTTCAGCTCTTAAAACAACTCTCTATTGTGAAATTTCTCCTTCTGCTCCTAGGCATATGGCTACCCATTCTCCCCAGAAATCTCACCAGTGTGCTCACTGTGAGAAGACGTTCAACCGGAAAGACCACCTGAAAAACCACCTCCAGACCCACGACCCCAACAAAATGGCCTTTGGGTGTGAGGAGTGTGGGAAGAAGTACAACACCATGCTGGGCTATAAGAGGCACCTGGCCCTCCATGCGGCCAGCAGTGGGGACCTCACCTGTGGGGTCTGTGCCCTGGAGCTAGGGAGCACCGAGGTGCTACTGGACCACCTCAAAGCCCATGCGGAAGAGAAGCCCCCTAGCGGAACCAAGGAAAAGAAGCACCAGTGCGACCACTGTGAAAGATGCTTCTACACCCGGAAGGATGTGCGACGCCACCTGGTGGTCCACACAGGATGCAAGGACTTCCTGTGCCAGTTCTGTGCCCAGAGATTTGGGCGCAAGGATCACCTCACCCGGCATACCAAGAAGACCCACTCACAGGAGCTGATGAAAGAGAGCTTGCAGACCGGAGACCTTCTGAGCACCTTCCACACCATCTCGCCTTCATTCCAACTGAAGGCTGCTGCCTTGCCTCCTTTCCCTTTAGGAGCTTCTGCCCAGAACGGGCTTGCAAGTAGCTTGCCAGCTGAGGTCCATAGCCTCACCCTCAGTCCCCCAGAACAAGCCGCCCAGCCTATGCAGCCGCTGCCAGAGTCCCTGGCCTCCCTCCACCCCTCGGTATCCCCTGGCTCTCCTCCGCCACCCCTTCCCAATCACAAGTACAACACCACTTCTACCTCATACTCCCCACTTGCAAGCCTGCCCCTCAAAGCAGATACTAAAGGTTTTTGCAATATCAGTTTGTTTGAGGACTTGCCTCTGCAAGAGCCTCAGTCACCTCAAAAGCTCAACCCAGGTTTTGATCTGGCTAAGGGAAATGCTGGTAAAGTAAACCTGCCCAAGGAGCTGCCTGCAGATGCTGTGAACCTAACAATACCTGCCTCTCTGGACCTGTCCCCCCTGTTGGGCTTCTGGCAGCTGCCCCCTCCTGCTACCCAAAATACCTTTGGGAATAGCACTCTTGCCCTGGGGCCTGGGGAATCTTTGCCCCACAGGTTAAGCTGTCTGGGGCAGCAGCAGCAAGAACCCCCACTTGCCATGGGCACTGTGAGCCTGGGCCAGCTCCCCCTGCCCCCCATCCCTCATGTGTTCTCAGCTGGCACTGGCTCTGCCATCCTGCCTCATTTCCATCATGCATTCAGATAATTGATTTTTAAAGTGTATTTTTCGTATTCTGGAAGATGTTTTAAGAAGCATTTTAAATGTCAGTTACAATATGAGAAAGATTTGGAAAACGAGACTGGGACTATGGCTTATTCAGTGATGACTGGCTTGAGATGATAAGAGAATTCTCGAACTGCATGTATTGTGCCAATCTGTCCTGAGTGTTCATGCTTTGTACCAAATTTAATGAACGCGTGTTCTGTAATCAAACTGCAAATATTGTCATAACCAACATCCAAAATGACGGCTGCTATATATAAGTGTTTGTCATATGGAATTTAATCGTAAGCCATGATCATAATGTTAACTAAATAACTTTATGTGGCACTGCCTAGTAAGGGAACTATGGAAAGGTTTGGATTTCTCCAAATCTGGGAGAATTTTCAAAATAAGAAAATAACCTTTATATGATATACTATGACTAGGCTGTGTATTTCTTTTCAGGGATTTTTCTACCTTCAGGGTTGGATGTAGTTTAGTTACTATTACCATAGCCAACCTGTAGTTTTACATATACATTTTCTTGTGGAGCAATAGAGTTCTCCATTTTACAGAAGCATTTTAAATGTAGTTTGAATATTTTCCACAAGATGCTGCAATGTGAGTTATCACTTCATTTATCTTAAAGAAAGACTAAACTGGTTGTCAGTTACATCTGACAGAAAAAAAAAAAAAATCACTGTGTAACCAGGTTAAGTGGTAAAATAATCCAGGCGTCAGTCAAAGGCATTTTGCTGACTTTAATATTGATTATATTTTTAACAGGAATTTAAGAAAATATTACTGGAATTAAAAATATATATATATTAAACAAGAATTTTCTTTGCTCTGTCTAGCTTAAACTACTACTCAAGCTGCTTAAGTTCTTAAGTATTGTTTGTAATCACCAATAAATAAGTGCATTTGTAATTCATCAGTCATTATTAGCTTTTATTAAAAGAAGATTACGTTTTACAATGTAACTATAATCTCTTGAATTTGGTATCTTATTAATGAGTTTTAAAGATGTAAAACCTAACCTTTTTTAAAGCTCCATTGTCTTATGTTTTTAGAGGCTTTTCCGTAAACATATATCTTACATATAATAAACTTTTCAAATCTTGCAATTTGGCTTGATTAATTTTTCATACAGCTCCACCTGTGTCAACAACATGAACTACATACACTCAGATCAAGACAGAAAACACTTCCGGCTCCACCTGGCTCCCTCATGCCCCCTCCTGGTCATTACTTCCCCCACAGAAACCACTGTTTTGACCTCTACTGAGCATCTATTAGAAACTTCACTTTTTTTGAGTAAAATAATTATGACTTAAGATGGAAGCTTGTATGCGTCCATTAAATTCACAGCACTAAGAGCTTATTATTTCTAAAAATGCAATATTTAAATCATTCTATAATGTGACATAATTTATTTCTAATGTATAGATCAGAATACTATCCACCAGAGTTTAGTCTAACCTGGGCTACCATGATCCACTTTTACAACGGTGTTTACCATTAATTTCTAGCCAAATTAGAAATAAATGTACTTATTTCTTATTGGGATTTTCTCAAGGTATTATGCCCCTTAAATCTGACAGGCCTATTTCTGTTTGTTTTACTGCTAAATAGGGTGGGGATAGGTAGAGAAAGGGAAGACGAGTTTGTCTGTCTATCCAAGAAGCCCACTGGTCAAATGTGAGAAAACCTGACCCACTCACAGTCCTTAACAATGATGCTGATTGATGACCACTTAAGGGGCAAACAGCTACCCAGGATTGGAACTGAGAAGGAAATTTAATCTATGAGACCCAGCTGCCAGACAGACCTGGGTCTTTAAACTACAATGAAACCCGCGGGGAGGAAATGAGACAAAGTGATGTAAGTTATTCCGTTAGTAGGAGTCCACTGCTTGGGGACGTTTAAGTCAGTTCCCATATCCCCTCTTTGTTCTCAGAGGGAAAGCAATCTCCCAGAGCAAAAGGGGAAAGCTAAAACCTCCTGATATCCATTTATAGAAGCTTCCACAGATACTTTTACATGGCTTACTACTGTCTCCTGTGAGTTCCACAACACATACTTGATTTTCCTGAACACAGAACATAACATTTGGAGTTTAGTCCCCAAAATACAGATCATAAGAATTTCAGATATTCCGCATTACAAGTCAGGGTAGGCTGGGATTCTCCTACTTAAATTTGGACAGAAAGAAATGGTTTAATTGTTCTAATTAAAATTTTACGAGGTTAAGAAAAAGTTCTTGGATTTAAAATTATGAATTAAGTATAACTGACTCTACAAAAAGAGGTCTATTGACCCTTAAGATTGCAAAGAGGCTGGGCACAGTGGCTCATGCCAGTAATCCCAGCACTTTGGGAGGCCAAGGCAGGCAGATGGCTTGAGCTCAAGAGTTCAAGACTAGCCTGGCCAACAGTGAAACCCCATCTCCACAAAAAATATAAAAAATTAGCCGGTTGTGGTGGCGCAAGCCTGTGGTCCCAGCTACCCGGGAGGCTGAGGTGGGAGGTACTGCTTGAGCCAAGATCGCACCACTGCAGCCTGGGTGACAGAGTGAGATCTTGTGTCCAAAAAAAAAAAAAAAAAAAGACTGCAAAGAGAAGAGTCACTTCTCAACAGAGCTCTGTATAAATCAGTGCTAAAGAAATGATTAGATAGCTTCTGATTTGGCCATGATAAATAAATGGCTTGAGGCCACTGAGAACATTCTTCCCACAGGATGGAAGATTTTGGTAATCTTTTCTCTTCCACTTCAGTGTTTCCTCCCAGATATGGTCTGTGTGATTGGTATGTGTCAGACACTTCTACACAGTATATACATAAACATTTAAAACAAATATAATAGCTATAATTTAATACTTACTAGATACCAATATCAAAACTGAGATTTCACAGCTAGTATATAAAATGAAGCCAGTTAAAGAAAGATTTTCCTAGTAAGTAAATAATGTTAGTATTCCAATTACTAGTCTACTAAAAAGGTTCTAATATCAAAGCAACATTGTCTTTAAAAACCCATCAAATGTCCAATTAAACTTCAAGTGAATTTGAATCATGCATTATACAGGTTGATGTGTTTAATGCTTTTGTTTTGAAAACTTCAAAGGGAGTAAATAAAAATCTGAAGCAAGTTTTACTTGTTCTAAGTGATGCTTCAAGAAGAATCAAGGGTGTAAAAACAGACATCACATCTACCGTTCCTTCCCCTTAGGTGGCATTCTCGGGTACGCAACCATCCAGGCTGATGGGTTTCAGGGAGGCAGTCTGAAAGCAGAAAGAAGAGGCATTTACTTTAGAATGTCATTGTTTCCACATTGAGAATGCTAAATAACATAGGCCTCTTCAGACTTTTAATTATTTTACAAACAATTCACACCCTCAGGGAACTATTCTTTGTGAGGGTAAGGTGCTTAGAAAAAGGGAAAAGGCAGTAACCTTTCAGGTCAAAAGTGAGGGATCATTCCCCTTTCCTATTAAGTCATGAATCAAAAACTGAATATCCTCTTTAAACTGTATGTTTAACAGCAGAGTCAGTTTCAAGAGCATACATTTTGTTAACCCAACTTGGAGTTTGTCCAGATGTCTCTTCAGTTTGCTTACTATGCATCCATTCTCTTAAAAGTCATTAACTGGTCAGCAACAGCTGGATTAGCGGTGATTTTTTTTTCTTACCTGGCTTCTAGGAGTTAATCTTTTTTAGAAGATTTACTAAATCCTTGTCTGAGTTTTGCTCCAGAAGCAGGGTCCATAGCTAATCCTTTGCAAACATAAACAGATTTGTTATTATGTCAAAGCAGAACATTACCAAGAAAAAAAGACATGATTGTGAAATCCCCACATGGGTTCAAAAGTTTCTATTCTTCCTTTTTTTTGGTGGGAGGTGGGGGAGTGTGGTGGGGAGGGCAATGAGGGTGGGGTAGCTACAGACAAATAACCAAATAAGGAAAACAGGGGCTACCTCAGGTGCCTTCTTTCCTCTGCCCCTAACCTCTGTTTATTCATGGACTTTGGACTGCACCTCAAGTGACCCACCCTTTATACACTAGGACTTTCGACATCCCCTCCGCTATTGCCCCAGCTTTCAAAATGGACCCTGATATTTTGGATCTTCAAATTATTTGCTAGCTCTCACATGAGAAGACTTTGCTAAGCCTTACGGAAGCATAAGCTGCCTTCCCTGCTTAGGGTTATCTACGTGACAATGGATTCATTCCACAAACAGTATTCTTTTCCCTTGAGCCCAGCAGTGTTGTTAGGTATGGAGATACACAAGTTTATGGATATGGGCACACCACACCATGGCTTAGTTTTGACCACATCGTAGGGGACAGGATTCTCAGAGGTTCTTTTTTTTGTTAAAAAATAAAAAAGGAACAAGTCCCCTCTGTCCTAAGAAGCCTCCTTTCTACTCAGTGTTTTATGAAGGAGCAATAACAAGGAAATTGTGAATCAAACTCTCAAAGGACATAGGAATAGAAAGAGCTTTCAGTGTTAGTTTTACTGAAACATAAACTGGTTTTACTTCTGCCAAAGAATCCACAACTGTGATGCTCAACAGGTTTGCTACACAACTAAATTAGGTAAAGAATGGAATGCTAGTGCAGGTAAAATGCTTAACTTGATAAAAATCCACTGGCTCCAGAAGTAAAGTAGAGCCCACACCAGCAAAGCTGTACAAATGCAATCCACTACTAAATATACAAAGCAATGCAGGTCTAGATCCCAGAACTACATGCTCATAGTGACATTAGTCTCTGTACGAAGATCTCAGAGAAGCAGCTTCTTGGCAGTACCTTCCAGTATATCCATCATTCATATAACAAAAGCCTCCAGAAAACAGCCATCAGTACATATTTGCTGACTAGGCTATACACTCATTCCCCATCTGAACATTAGAATCTTTTAGGAATGCGAGAAGAGCCACTTCTTTTTCTAAAATAATTTCCAAATATGTATCAATAGCCTTAATATTTATATTTTTGGACCCATTTTTCCCAAAACGTACAAAGCTCTGCTCCTTCCTATTAAATAGCTTGCCCATGTTGCTTAACCTCTCTGTGCTTTCCTCATCTGTAAAATAGAGATATGAATAGTACATCGACCTCCTCACGCTATTGTGAGAATTAAATGAGTTCATACGCCAGTTGCTTAACTGGCATGGTAACTTCACTTAATACCAGGTGCTCTTTTTGTATTAGAAGTTTTCCTGTGCATGCTATGTCTTCTCATAAGACTCTGGGATCAATAAGGCTGTTGACTTGTACACACATGTGTCTCCTCTGGTATGAATTTTAAAACTGTTATATGTGGGAGGTACAAGATACTAAATGCTTATTTTACTCAAGAGAGTTGAAGGATGAAAGCCCGAGTTTTAGGAGGCTAACTGCTATCTAGATGAAAGACAACAACTAGATTTATAATATATGATACCATAAGTAGATATTACTTAAAAAAGAAGACAGGGGCAGTGGCTCACACCTGTAATGCCAATACTTTGAGAGGCCAAGGCAGGAGGATTGCTTGAGCCTAGGAGTTCAAGACCAGTCTGGGAAACATAATACCTCACCTCTACAAATAAAAAAAATTATCTGGGTATGGTGGTACATGCCTGTCATCCCATATACTCAGGAGGCTGAGGTGAGAGGGTCACTTGTACCCAGGAAGTCAAGGCTGTAGAGAGCTTTGATCAAGCTACTGCACTATAGCCTGGGCGACAGAGAGATCCTGTCTCAAAAAAAAAAAAAAAAAAAAAAAAAAAAGAGTGATACCAAGTGGCCTAAACTACTGATTGTCAATCTGAATATATTAATAGCAATAACAAAAAACCCAACAACAACAATTTTTAAAGACCTTTATTTTTATATAGCATTGTATAATGAAAAGAAAAAAAAAGACCCTTATGAGCTGCCCTGACCCCTGCCACAGAAACCCATGCAAACCCTCACTGGGCCTGAGGACAGGGCCACCCACCCTGCTGGCACCAATGGACACTGACTGGGAGCCTGGAGATTGAGCAGCCCTGACCATCACAGCCTGTGCTTGTGCCCACCATTGGGAAGCTGATGACAGGCTTGACCCATGTGGTGTCATGCCCACCAGTGCTTCTGTGCATTGTTGGGGCCTGGGGATCAACCCACCCTGCCTGTGGTCAGCTCACCCTGCCTGTGGTCAGCTTCTACCCACCCCTACCAGGTGCCTGAGGGTGAGTCTGCTCAGCCTATTGGTACCTGCATACATCATCCATGGACTTGGAGATTGACCCACCACCACCAGCATCTGCAGCGTCCACATACTCCTCCTAGGGGACTAAGGATGGGGCCGCCCAGCTCACTACTGCCACCACTAGTACCCTATGGATACTGCCTAGGAGCCAGAGGGTTGGTCTACCACCATCAATGTTATTGGCAACCCCATGCATGCCACCCAGGAACCTGAAGAGCCACCCACCATCGCCACTGCTGGCACCTGAGCAAGCCATCTGGAGGTCCAAAGATTGGTCTGCCTGGACCTGCTAACACCAGTGCCCACGTATGCTACCTGGGGTCCCAAGGACAGGCAGGCTCAGTCTACTGCTGCCACCACTGAGGCCTGAAGACCAGCTCACCTTGTGTCCCCATCCCCAGCAAAGCCTCACCACAGCTTCCAATAACAACTGCAGTTTAAGTCACTAAGGAATTCATAGACACCACTGATAGTAATTACAGCCAAAAAATCATGGACACGCAATTACTGTATGCTCCAGTATCAAAGCTAAAGTGCCCTACCCAACTATCACTATAGATACATATGTAGGAAGAAGTCTTTCCTATGAAGGCCAATTCAAAAATTGGAAGAAGTGACTGTTACACCAGATGCAGAGATATTGGCATAGGAACACAAGAAACATAAAAATGCAAGAAAATATGACTCCTCCAAAGGAATACAATTCTCCAGCAACAGATTGCAACAAAAAAATTGATGAAATGCCAGAAAAGGAATTCAAAATCATAATATTAAAAAAGCATATTGAAAGAGAGGGAAGATGGCAGATAGGGGACAGGGCTGATAAGTAGCTCCCACTTGGATGGACAGAACAGCGTGTGGACACTCACTCTGTGGTCGTTTGCTCCAGGAACAACTGCAGGAGCATACCAGGAAAAACAAAAGAAATCACAGATCCTTTGAAAGAAGTGGCAGGCTATTGCAAATTCTGCAAGACAGGTGAAAATTCGTAAGTTCCCAAAGTCTGAGAGGGGACACATCTGCTTCCAAGCACACGTCCCCACTGAGGAACCTGAAAAATCCAGATTACGGGAGAAGAATTTAGCCTTACCTAGAGCTGAAATTGATTTGCTGTGAAATGTAAAAGTAGAAGCAGCAGTGGGACAAGCCTTGTAGGCAGTCCCATTCTCCAGCTCAAGCCCAGGGAAGCCATCCCTGACTCTATCTCACAAGAGCCCTCGGGGAAGGCAACTGGCAGAATTTGAGAGGGGTCACAGGGTGAAAGAAGCTTCCAACTGAACTTTGTAATAATTTTGACTGGGTGCAAACCCTCTTGAGAAGAATCTGGGGGCAAACAGGAACTGTTGCAGAAAGCACAGTGGAGATGCGGCTGACAGTGTGGCAGATTGGCAAAGGTGTGGCCTGAAAGCAGTGCTTGCTTCCTCAGTGGGGAAACTTAGAGCCTGGGACTAGATCTGAGTCCCAGGCTGCAGGCTGCCTAGAGATAAACTTGGCACGGTTAGCAGGGCACGGTGGGAGTGAGACTGGCCTTGCCAACTGTGTGGGAGCTGGGTGAGGCCTGTTGCTACCAGCTTTCGCCCACTTCCCTGGTGACAGAGGCAGCCATAATTCCCTCTGGAACATAACTCCATTGGCCCAAGAACCATCCCCTGATCTCCCCACAGTGGCCACAGCAACCCCCACCCAAGGAGAGTCTGAGCTCAAACCTACCTAATCCTGCCTGCACCTGATAGTATTTCTCTACCCGGTCCAATAGTGAATCACAAAAGACATAAACTCTTGGGAGCTTTATGATCCCATCCATCACCTGAGAAGCCTGAATACTTGTCCTGGCCAAATTAGAGCAAGCTTATATCCCCCTCTACTATTGCAGCTGGCTGGCGCACTCTCAAAAGCACCACCTCCTGGCTCAAGGTTAACCAACTCAGAACATTATAGCAACTCATAACAGAACAACCCTGCTCTAATGAAGGAAAAAACAGCAGCTAATTCCACTGCCTGAAACATCCTGGCTAACCAGTGGTCCCGAGTCTGTCCACATGACAACTTCGCTGCTAGCATAACCAGCATTCAAGAAAGACAACACAGTAAACATATTTACAACCAAGGACTCTCACAGAGTCTACCTGACTCCCCTGCCACCTCCATCAGAACAGGTGCTGGTATCCACGGCTGGTAGACCCGAAGACAAATTGCATCACAGGACTCGGCAGACATTCCCCAGAACCAGCCAATAGCCTGGTAGCCCTGCTGAGTGGCTAGACCTAGAATAGCAAGAACAATCACCACAATCTGGCTCCTAGGGAAAGGGGGAGGGTACCACATCAAGGGTTCACCCTGTGGGACAAAAGAATCTGAACAGCTGCCCTTGAGTTCCAGATTTTTCCACTGAAATAGTGTATCCAAATGAGAAAAAAATCAGAAAAGCAATTCTGGCAATATGACAAAACAAGGTTCTATAACACCCCCAAAAGACCACACCAGCTCCCCAGCAATGGATCCAAACCAAGAAGCAATCTCTGAACTGCCAGATAAAGAATTCAGAAGGCTGATTATTAAGCTACTCAAGGAGATACCAGAGAAAGGTAAAAGCCAACTTAAATAAATTTCAAAGACAATACAGGATATGGAGGAAAAATGCTTCAGAGAAACAGATATCATAAAGAAAAAACAATCACAACTTCTGGAAATGAAAGACACACTTAGAGAAATACAAAATGCACTGGAAAGTTTCCACAATAGAATCAAACAAGTAGAAGAAAGAACTTTAGAGCTTAAAGAAAAGGCTTTCAAAGTAACCCAATGAGACAAAGACAAAGAAAAAACATTTCTTTTAAATGATCAAAGCCTCCAAGAAGTTTGAGATTATGTTAAACAGCCAAACCTAAAATAATTGGTGTTCCTGGCGAAGAAGAGAAATCTTCTTGGAAGACATATTTGTGATGATAATTGAGGAAAACTTCCCTGAGCTCACTAGAGATCTAGACATCTAAATATGAAGTTCAAAGAGGCTAGGTGCAGTAGCTCACATCTGTAATCCCAGCACTTTGGGAGGCCAAGGTGTGAGGATCACCTGAGGTCAGGAGTTCGAGACCAGCCTGGCTAACATGGTGAAACACTGTTTCTACTAAAAATACTAAAAATTAGCTGGGTGTGGTGGTGCACACCTGTAGTGCCTGTAATCCTAGCTACTTGGGAGGCTGAAGCAGGAGAATCGCTTGAACCTGGGAGGTGGAGGTTGCAGTGAGCCGAGATCATGCCATTGCACTCCAGCTTTGGGCAACAAAAGTGAAACTCCGTTAAAAAAAAAAAAAAAAAAGAAGAAGAAGAAGAAGTTCAAAGAACACCTTGGAAATTCATCACAAAAAATAATCACCTAGGCAAACAGTCATCAGGTTATCAAAAGTCAAGACAAAGGAAAGAATCTTAAGAGCTCTGAGGCAAAAGCATCAGGTAACCTATAAAGGAAAAGATATCAGATTAACAACAGATTTTTCAGCAGAAACCCTATAAACCAGATGGGATTGGGGTATTATCTTTTGCCTCCTCAAACAAAATAATTGCCAGCCAAGACTTCTGTGTCCAGCAAAACTAAGCATCATAAATGAAGGAGAGATAAAGTCTTTTTCAGACAAACAAATGCTGAGAGAATTCACCACTACCATGCCAGCACTACAAGAACTGCTAAAAGGAGCTTTAAACCTTAAAACCTCCAAATACACCAAAATAGAACCTCTTTAAAGCATAAATCTCACAGGGCCTATAAAACAATAATGAAATGAAAAAAGCAAAACAAACAACAACAAAAAACCCACAAGGTATTTGGGCAACATCTAGCATGAAGAATAAAACAGTACCTGACATCTCAAAAATAATGCTGAATGTAAATGGCCTAAATGCTTCACTTAAAAGGTAAAGAATGGCAGAATGGACAAAAATCCACCGATGAAGTATCTGTTGTCTTCAAGAGACTCAGCTAATGCATAAAGACTCACATAGACTTAAGGTAAAGGAGTGGAAAAAGATATTCCATGCAAATGGAAACCAAAAGCAAGCAGGAGTAGCTATTCTCATATCAAACAAAACAGACTTTAAAACAAGAACAGTTAAAAAAGACAAAGAGAGACATTATATAATTATACAAGGACCAGTCCAATGGAAAATACCACAATCCTAAGAAAAGAGATGCATTACACTAATAGTGGGGACTTCAGCACTCTACTGACAGCACCAAACAGATCATCAAGACAGAAAAATCAACAGAGAAGCACTGGACTTAATCACTGTAGACCAAATGGACCTTACAGACATTTACAGAATATTCTACCCAATAACTGCAGAATATACATTATTCTCATCAGTGCATGGAACATTCTCCAAGATAGACAACATGTTATGCAACAAAATAAGCCTCAGTACATTTTAGAAATTGAAATCATATCAAGTATCTTCTGAGACCACAGTGGAATAAAACTATAAAGTGATTCCAAAAGAAACTCTCAAAACTGGCTGGGCGCGGTGGCTCACGCTTGTAATCCCAGCACTTTGGGAGGCCGAGGCAGGCAGATCACAAGGTCAGGAGATCGAGACCACGGTGAAATCCCGTCTCTACTAAAAATATAAAAAAAATTAGCCGGGCGTGGTGGCGGGCGCCTGTAGTCCCAGCTACTCGGAGAGGCTGAGGCAGGAGAATGGCATGAACCCAGGAGGCGGAGCTTGCAGTGAGCTGAGATCGCACCAATGCACTCCAGCCTGGGCGACAGAGCAAGACTCCGTCTCAGGAAAAAAAAAAAAAAAAAAAAGAAACTCTCAAAACTATACAAATACATGAAAGTTAAACAACCTGCTCCTGAATGATTTTTGGGTCAATGACAAAAGACAAAAATTTACATTTTTGAAACAAAAGGAAACAGAGACACAACATATCAAAACCTTTGACAAACAGCAAAAGCAGTATTAGCATTAAACACCTACATTAAAAAAAGAAAGATCCTGAATTAACATCATAATGTTACACATCAAGAAACAAAAGAAACAAACCAAACCCAAAGCTAGCAGAAGAAAAGAAATGACAAAGCTCAGAGCAGAACTAAATGAACTTGAGACCAAAAACACAATACAAAAGATCAACAAAACAAAAAGTTGTTCATTTGAAGAAATAAACAAGATTGGTAGACCACTAGGTCAACTAACCTAGGAAGGAAGAAAGAAGATTCAAATAAGCACAATCAGAAAAGAAAAAGGAGACATTACAACTGATACTACAGAAATGCAAAAGATCATCAGAGACTACTATGACTATTTATATGCTCACAAACTGGAAAATTTAGAGGAAGGGGATAAATTTGTGGAATCTATACAACCTCCCAAGATTGAACCAGGAAGAAATAGAAATCCTGAGCAGAACAATAATAAGTAGTGAGATATGATTAGTAATTTAAAAATATCTCCCCCAAATAACAACAACAACAACAACAAAAGAGCCCAGGAGCAGACAGATTCACAGCCAAATTTTATCAGACATAAAAGAAGTGCTACCAATCCAACTGAAACTGTCCCAAAACACTGAAGAGGAGGGACTCTTCCCTAATTCTACAAAGTATCACTTTGCTACCAACATCAGTAGAGAACACAACAAAAAAAGAAAATTACAGACTAATACCTTTCATGAACATAGGTGCAAAATTCCTTAACAAAATACAAGCAAACAAAATCATACAGCACATCAAAAAGATAATACAATATGATCAAGTGGGTTTTGCAAGGGATGCAAGGTTGGTACAACATATGCATATCAATAAATGTGATTCATCACATCAAGTGAATGAAAAACAAAAACCATATTATCATCTCAATAGATTAGAAAAAGCATTTGATAAAATTGACCATCCTATCATGATGCCCTCAACAAACAAGGCATAGAAGGAACATACCTCAAAACAATAAAAGCCATGTATAACAAACCCACAGCCAATAACACACTGGGAAAAAGTTGAAAGAATTTCCCTTAAGAACTAGAACAAGACAAGTATGTCCATGTTCACCACTGCTATTCAGCACAGTACAGGAGGTCCTAGCCAGAGCAATCAGGCAAGAGAAAAAAATAAAAGCCATCAAAATGGGAAAAGAGGAAGTCAGATTATCTTTGTTTGCTGATGAAATGATCTTATATCTAGAAAACCCTAAAGACTCCTCTCCAAAAGACTGCTAGATTTGATAAATGAATTCAGTAAAGTTCCAGGATACAAAATCGACAAAAATCAGTAGCATTTCTATACAGCAATAATAATCATGCTAAGAACCAAATCAAAAGTCAATCCCATTTCCAATAGTTAAAAAAAAAAGAACAAAAAAAAAAACCCTAGGAATACATTTAAACAAGGAGTGATAGATGTCTACAAGGAAAACTACAAAATACTGATGAAAGAGAGTTAAGAGGACACAAATAAATGGGAAAACATTCCATTCTCACAGATTAGAAGAATCAATGTTGTTAAAATGACCACATTGCCCAAAGCAATCTACAGACTTAACAGAATTCCTATCAAAATAGCAATGACATTTTTCACAGAATTAGAAAAAAAAAATCCTAAAATTCATATGGAACTGAAAAGAACCCAAATAGCAAAAGCAGGCATCACATTACCTAACTCCACATTATACTATAAGTCTATAGTAATCAAACAGCATGGTACTGGTATAAACATAGACATATAGATCAACAGAACAGAATAGAAGACCCAGAAATAAAGCCACATACCTATAGCCAACTGATATTCGACAAAGTTGACAAAAACATACATCAGAGAAAGGACACCCTACTCAATAAACGGTGCTGGGAAAATTGTATAGCCACATGCAAAAGAATGAACTGGATTTATCTGTCATCATATACAAAAATTAAGATGAGTTAAAGACTGAAATGTATGATGCGAAAACTAAAAATTCTACAAGAAAACCTAGGAACAACTCTTCTGGACATTGGCCTACACAAAGAATTCAAGACTAAGATTTCAAAGCTAATGCACCAATTACAAATATAGACAAATGGGACTTAATTAAACAAATGCTTCTGTAGAGTAAAAGAAATAGACAGACAAGAACAGACAACCTGCAGAATGGGAGAAAATATTTGCAAACTGTGCATCTGACAAGGGACTAATATCTGGAATCTACAAGGAATTCAAACAAGTCAACAACAACAAAAAGCATTAGGAAGTGAGCAAAGAACATAGACATTTTTCAAAAGTAAACATAAAAATGCCCAAAAAGCATATGAAAAAATATTCAACATCACTAATCATCAGAGAAATGCAAATTTAAACCATGAGGTGCCATCTTATACCAGTCAGAATGGCTACTGTTAAAAAGTCAAAAAATAACAGATGTTGGCAAAGATGCAGAGAAAAGGGAACACTTATAAATGTTGGTAGAAATGTAAATTAGACAACTTCTATGGAAAACAGTATAGAGATTTCTCAAAGAATTAAAAATAGAACTACCCTTTGATCCAGCAATCCAACTACTGGGCATATACTCAAAGGAAAAGAATCATTTTATCAAAAAGATACATGCACTCATGTTTATCACAGCACTAGTCATGACAGATACCGAATCAACCTAAATAACCATCAATGGATGATTGGATAAAGAAAATGTGGTAAATATATATATGGAATACTATGTATCCATGAAAAAAATAATATAATGTCTTTTGCAGCTACATGTATGGATTTGGAGGCCATTATCTCAAGTAAAATAACAAAAACAGAAAGCAAAATACTGCATGTTCTCACTTCTAAATGAAAGATAAATAGTATGCACACATGGACATACAGATTGGAATAACAGGTATTAGAGACTTGGAAAGGTGGGAAGGTGGGAGGCGGGTAAGGGATGAAAAATTACCTAATGGGTACAATAAACACTATTCAGGTGATGGTTACACTAAAAGCCCAGACCTCAACACTACGCAATATACCCATGTAACAAAGCTGTATTTGTACCCCCTAAATCTATTATAAATAAATAAACAAGGTCACCATATAATGATAAAGGGATTCGTTCGGTAAGAAGATACAATTCGGGCCGGGCGCGGTGGCTCACGCCTGTAATCCCAGCACTTTGGGAGGCCGAGGCGGGTGGATCATGAGGTCAGGAGATCGAGACCATCCTGGCTAACAAGGTGAAACCCCGTCTCTACTAAAAATACAAAAAATTAGCCGGGCGCCTGTAGTCCCAGCTACTCGGGAGGCTGAGGCAGGAGAATGGCGTGAACCCGGGAAGCGGAGCTTGCAGCGGCCTGGGCGACAGAGCGAGACTCCGTCTCAAAAAAAAAAAAAAAAAAAAAAAAAAGAAGATACAATTCTAAATATATATGAACTTAACACCAGAACATCCAGTTATATATAGCAAATATTATTAGATCTGAAGGGAGAGATAGACTCCAATACAATAATAGTTGAAGACTTCAACACCCTACTCTCTATATTAGACAGATCGTCAAGACAGAAAATCATCAAAGGAACATTAGATTTAAATTGCACTTCAGATCAACGTACCTAAAAGACATGCATGGAATATTTTATCCAATAGCAACAGAATATACATTCTTCTCATCAACACATGGAACATTCTCTAGTATAGACCATATGCTAGGCCACGAAGCAAGTCTAAATTTAAAAAAAAAATCAAAATCATATCAAATACCTTTCAGATCACAATAGGATAAAACTAGAAATCAATAACAACAGGAACTTTGGAAACTATACAAATACATGGAAATTAAATAACATGCTTAACAGCCATTGGGTCAATGAAGAAGACAGAAGGAAATAAACGTCTTGAGACAAATGAGAATGGAAACACAACATATCAAAACCCATGGGATGTAGCAAAAGAAGTGCTAAGAGGGAATTTCATAGCAATAAATGCGTATATCAAGAAGTAGAAACATTTCAAATAATCAAGCTAAGGATGCCCCCTCAATAACTAGAAAAGCAAGAGCAGACCAAATCCAAAATTAGCGGAAGGAAAGAAACAATAAAGATCAGAGCAGAACTAAATGTAATAGAGACTTTAAAAAAAAATACAAAGGTCAATGGAATGAAAAGTTAGTTTTTTGAAAAGATAAACAAAATTGATAAATCACTAGCTAGACTAACCAAGAAAATAAGAGAGAGGATGTGAATTAGCAAAATCACAAACAAAAAGGGAGACATTACAACTGATACCACAGAAATACAAGAAATCATCAGAGACTTATAAAGAACTATATGCTAACAAATTAGAAAAGCTAGAGGAAATGGATAAATTCCTGGACACATACAATCTACTAAGAATAAATCAGGGCTGGGCACCGTGGCTCATGCCTGTAATCCCAGCACTTTGGGAGGCCAAGGTGGGCTTCCTGAGGTCAGGAGTTCGAGACCAGCCTGACCAACATGGAGAAACCCCATCTCTACTAAAAATACAAAAAAATTAGCCTGGTGTGATGGCGCATGCCTATAATCCCAGCTACTCGGGAGACTGAGGCAGGAGAATTGCTTGAGCACGGGAGGCGGAGGTTGCGGCGAGACGAGATCGCGCCACTACACTTCAGCCTGGGCAACAAGAGCGAAACTCCGTCTCAAAAAAAAAAAAAAAAAGAAAAGAAAAGAATGAATAAGGAAGAAAGAGAAAACCTGAATAGACCAATAACAAGTAATGGGCTGGGAGCAGTGGCTCACACCTGTAATCTCAGCACTTTGGGAGGCCGTAGGCAGGCGGATCACGAAGTCAGGAGATCGAGACCATCCTGGCTAACAAAGTGAAACCCCGTCTCTACTAAAAATACAAAAAATTAGCCAGGCATGGTGGCGGGTGCCTATACTCCCAGCTGCTCGGGAGGCTGACGCAGGAGAATGGCGTGAACCCGGGAGGCGGAGCTTGCAGTGAGGGGAGATCGCACCACTGCACTCCAGCCTGGGCGACAGAGTGAGACTCTGTCTCAAAAAAAAAAAAAAAAAAAAAAAAAAAAGGAATGAGATTGAATCAGTAATAAAAAGTCTCCCAACAAAGAAAAGCTCAGCACCGGATGTCTTTACTTCCAAATGCTATCAAACTTGTAAAGAAAAACTAACACATATTCTTCTCAAACTATTTCAGAAAATTCAAAGGAGGAAATTCTTCCTTACTCATTCTGTGAGGCCAGTATTACCCTGATACCAAAACCAGACAAGGACATAATGGAAATAGAAAACTACAGGCCAATACCCCTGATGAACACAGACACAAAAAAGCTTCAACAAAATACTAGCAAAGTGAATCCAACAGCACCATAAAAGGATAATACATCAGATGAAAGGATGGTTCCACCCATGCAAGTCAATAAATGTGATACCTCACAACAACAGAATGAAAGACAAAAACAATATGATCATTTCAAGAGACAGAGAAAAGGAATTTTATAAAATTCAACTTCTTTTCATGATTAAAACTCTTAACAAATTAGGCATAGAAGAAACATGCCTCAGCATAGTAAAGGTCATATCTGACAAATGCATAGCTAACATAATACTGAGTGGGGAGAAGCTGAAAGACCTGTAACAAGACATTGGATACCCAGTTCCACCACTTCATTTTTATTATTTATTTAGAGATAGGGTCATCACTTTTATTCAACATAGTACTGGAAGTCCTTGCCAGAGCAATCAGGCAAGAGAAATAAATAAATGTCATCTAAATTGGAATAGAGGAAGTCAAACTGTCCCTCTTTGTAGATAACATGGATATATGTGTGTGTGTGTATTATATATACATGGATATATATATGTAATACATATATATATATATAAAACCTAAAGACTCCACCAAAAACACTCCTAGAATAAATGAATTTAGTAAAATTGCAGGATACAAAATCAACATATAAAAATCAGCAGCATTTCTATGTGCCAATAATAAACTGGCTAAAAAAGAAAACAATCTCATTTACAATAGCTACAAAAAATAAAATACTTAGGAATAAATTAAACCAAGAAAGTGAAAGACGCTTACGAGGAAAACTTCAAAACACTGATGAAAGAATGTTAAGAGGACACAAACAAATGGAAAGATATCCCATGCTCATGACTCAGAAGAATTACTATTGTTAAAATGACCATACTACCCAAAGCAATCTACAGATTCAATGTAATCCCTATCAAAACACCAATGACATTCTTTATATAAATACAAAAAAATCCTAAAATTTGTATAGAACCATTAAAGAGCTCAAATAGCCATAGTGTTCCTGAGTAAAAAAAAACAAAGCTGGAGGCATCACATACCTGATTTCAAAATATATTAAAAAGCTGTAGTAACTAAAACAGCAAGATATTGGTATAAAAACAGACACATAAACCAATGAAACAGAATAGACACTCCAGGAATACATGCATGTATTTACAGCTAACTGATTTTCAACAAAGCCATTAAGAATATAAATTGGGGAAAGGCATCCTCTTCAATAATGGTACAGGGAAAACTGGATATCCAAGTACAGAAAAATGAAACTAGATCCCTATGTCTCACAATATACAAAAATCAACCCAAAATTGATGAAAGACTTAAACATAAGACCCAAAACTATGAAACTACTAGAAGAAAATAGGGAAAATGCTCTCAGACATTGGTCTAGGCAAAAAATTTGTGGCCATGACTTCAAAAGCACAGGCAACAAAAATAAAATAAACAAATGGGACTATATAAACTAAAAAGCTTCTATGCAGCAAAGGAAGCAATCAACAGAGTGAGAAGGACAACATGCTAAATAGGAGAAAATATTTGCAAACCATTCATCTCCCAAGGAACTAATATTCAGAATAAGCAAGGAACTCAAACAACTTTTTGTGTTTTTTATCTAACACAACACATATACCTGAGGAATTCAAACAACTTAACAGCAAAAAAACTAATAATCCCATGAAAAAGTGGGCAAAGGATCTGAGTAGGCATTTCTCAAAAGAAGACATACCTCTCTCACCCCTGGTTACAGGGAAAAAAAAAAGGACTTAAAAATGGACAACAGGTATATGGAAAAAATGTTCAACATAATTAATTATCAGGGAAATGCCAATCCAAGACGCAATGAGACAAAATCTTACCCTTGTTAGAATGGCTCTTATCAAAAAGGCAAGAAATAACAGATGCTTGTGAGGATGCGGAGAAAAGGGAACTCTATATTATACACTGTTGGTTGGAAAGTAAATTAGTACAGCCCTTGCAGAAGACAGAATGAAGTTTCCTCAACAAACTAACAATACAACTAACACAAAATCTAGTAATCTCACTCTTGGGTATTTATTCAAAGGAAAGGAAATCAGTATATCAAAGGGATACCCATATCCTCTTGTTTATGGCAGGACTATTCACAATAGCAACATATGAAATCAATCTAAATGTTCATTAATGGATGAATGAATAAAACATGTGAATAAAATTTGAAAAAAAGAAAATGTGGTATATATACTCAGTGGAATACTATTCAGCCACAAAAAAAGAATGATATCCTGTCATTTGCAGCAATGTGTATGGAACTAGAGGTCATTATTGTTAAATGAATTAAGCCAGACACAGAAAGACAAATATCACATGTTCTCATTCATATGTGGGAGCTAAAAAAGTTGATTTCAGTGATGTAGGGAATAGAATGATAGTTACTAGAGGACGGGAAGGGTATGTGTGTGGCAGGGTGCTGGTGGAGAGGTTGGTTAGTAGGTACGAAATACAGTTAGATAGAAAGAATAAGTTCTAGTGTTTGATAGCACAGTAGGGTGACTGCAGTTAACAACAATATATTCCATATTTCAGAATAACTGGAAAAGAAGATTTGAAATGTTCCCAAGTCAAATAAATAATAAATGTTTGAGGTCATAGATATCTTAAATACCCTGATTTGATCATTACACATTTTATTCATGTATCAAAATACCACATGTATTCCATAAACATGTACAAATATTATATATCAACAAAAAGACCACATATTACAAGTAGACTAGTATCAGAACAGAACGAAGGAAATCTCACTAAGTGAGATTCTAACTAATGCATGGGCTTGTTTGTATCAACGAAAGGCATTTGGTACTTTTCTCCAAGTCCTTAAACACTTTAGAGATTCACCTTCACCCAGTATGCTTCTAATTCCTCCCCAGAATGGCTCCAAATTATATGTGACTAATTTAAAGACACATTAACCCTAGCAACTTTATTTTTATTTTTTTTAAGAGAAAAGGACTTACTTTGTCACCCAGACTGGTGTGCAGTGGCACGATCATAGCTCATTGCAGCCTTGAACACTTGTACTGGACTCAAGCAATCCTCCCACCTCAGTCTCCTGGGTAGCAAGAGCTACAAGTGGGTGCCACCACATGTAGCAAATTTTTAAATTTTTCTTGTAGAGACAGGGTCTTGCTATGTTGCCCAGGCTGGTCTTGAACTTCTGGCATCCAGTGATCCTCTGACTTTGGCCTCCCAAAGCACCGGGATTATAAATGTGAGCCACCACACCCAGCCAGCAATTATATTTTTTTACTTAAGCAAGTAGAGAGTAAGAAATTAAATTTAAAAAGCATCTTGAGCTTGAAATAAAACAAAGCTATCTCTTAAAGCTAATTAACATGATAATTCTATTCTATGATAATAATTTGAGTGTGAAATGATAGAATCAAGATTTCCACTTCTCCTCATACATTTCATTCAACAAGTATTTACTGAGTCCCTCTTGTGTGCCACAAACAACTCTAAAAAGTAGGGATATTCCAGTACAATAGAGAAAGATACAGTAGAGAATTCCCCTTTCTTGAAACTTATATTCCATTTCTTTTTGGTACATGAGAGACGAATGAGTTAAATATATATTGAATATTAGATGGTGATAAATGCTATGTGGAAATAATTACAAAGGAATTAGGGAAGGCTTGGTTAGTTTTAAATACAGAGGTTGGAGAAGTCTCACTGAGGCGACACTTTAGCAAAGAACTGAAGGAAGTGAATGAGTGAGCAGTGCAGATTACTGGGAGAGTGTTTTTGTTTTCAGCAGAGGGGGCAGCCAGTACAAAGGTCATGAGACAGGAGTGTGTATGGCTGCTATGGTCAAGGAACAACCTGGGGCCACTTGTAGCTGGAGCAGGATTAAGAAGAAACAGCATTGTATTACATTTGGGATTCGGTTTTTTTCAAAAAAGGAGAAATAGGAGAAGGTGAGCTCAGATGGTATTATGGAAACTAGTGTCAACCTTTTTTTTTTTTTTTTTTGAGACGGAGTCTCTCGCTGTGTTGTCAGGCTGGAGTGCAGTGGCGATCTTGGCTCACTGTAACCTCCGACTCCTGGGTTCAAGCGATTCTCCTGCCTCAGCCTCCCGAGTAGCTGGGATTACAGGCACGTCCCACCACACCTGGCTAATTTTTGTATTTTTAGTAGAGACGGGGTTTCACCATGTTGGCCAGGATGGTCTCGATCTCCTGACTTGTGATCTGCCTGCCTAGGCCTCCCAAAGTACTGGGATTACAGGTGTGAGCCACCACGCCCAGCCGTGTCAACCATTTTAAGAACTTTGCCTTTTACTTAGTGACATCACAGTACTTATAAATCCTCACTAACTAGTCAAGAGCAAACATAATACCATTTTGCTTATATTTACTGATCTACTAGTCTATTTTCTTATGTGTTAGAATGGTATCTTTATAATGTTCTGCTTAACATCACATACTAGGACACAGGACTTTTGATTCCTAATTTGGGACCTTTTCTCTTATGTCTTGTTGCTACTTTAAATAAATCAGTTCAAGGAAGGAAATTCTTTTCTGATTTTCAACACCGTAACTGACATGCTGTCTTTTCCCATTCACGATCTCTTTCCAAGTTTACTAAACAAGAGCTCAATGGTTCTAGACCCTCGTGTTGATTTGTTATCTAATCCTTATAACTTAAGAAATATTCCTTCTTGAGAAATAAAATTTGACCTCAAACTTAAAGGAGTGTTTTTTTCTCCTTTAAGCATTCTCATATGTATTATCTCTGGAAAATAAAAAAAAGAAACCATAATATAAAGAAATTGTTTTTTTATTTTTCTGAAGGACACTAAGCATTGTACTTTAGAAAAAAGCTTATTGGTAAAAGTTTTACCAAATGAATACACATACAATTTAAATTTTTTTTTCTTACTGAAAACTAGTATCTACCTCACTGTTAAGTTTTTCCCAAATGAGGAAAAAACTAATTACTTGTCAGAATTCTGGAAAGATAGAAGAGTAGGAAGCACCAGGAATTTGTCTCCCCTCCTAGATAACAATTGCGCTGGCACAATGTGTCCCATATAACTATTTTGGACTCTGGAGTCTATTGAAGACTTGCAACTTCCAGGGGAAGGCTTGAACAGTAAGATACAGTTAATTTCACCAATTTCAGATCTTAGCACAGCTACACATCCTCCACCCCTCAGCTGTGCTGTGTGGCAGAGCTCTGCACATATTCCTGGATCAATCTGGACATGGCCTGTGGGAGCCATGGTAGGCAAATAAGAACCCAAATAAGAATCTCTAACTATCAGAGATTTATGCTCTGATCACTGATTGTTGTTTCTGATCAAAGAGGTACAAAGAGGCAGGTGGCCATTGTTGTTGTACCTCCCATCATTGTTGTAAGCCCCTTCTGCTCTGGCTGAAGTAACTTCCAGGGGATTTAAAGGGACAGTGCCCTTCTCTCCTTTTATTTTTGTCTTTTCTCCCTTTTGGAAACTAGACATTAAAAACTACAATGTTTTTTTAAAAAACTACATATATGAGGAAATTAGAAGGTGAACATGACACACCCAGAGAAAGGCACAAGCTCAAAAATACTGAGAAGACCTTAAGTTGACACCTAAGACTGATCCTTGGCACAGAGACAGTCACATACACACACACACACACACACACACACACACACACACACACACACACACAGAGAATAGCAAACCCTGCAGAAGGGAGAATATCTAATTTCCACAGTTACATATTATTAGGTCCAAATGTCCAATTTACAACAAAGAAAATGACAAGCCAGACAAAGAAAAAGAAAAGTATAGCACCTTCAAAGAAAAAAAATCAACACAACTGTTCCCAAAAAAAGACCTGATGACAGATCTGCTAAACAGATCTATTAGACAAATACTTTTAAACAACTGAAGATGCTCAGGGAACTAAAAAAAGATGTGAAGAGACTCAAGAAAAAGATCTATGAACAAAATGGAAATATCCACGAAGATAAATCCTGAAAAGAAACCAAATAAAATTCTAGAACTGAAAAATAGAATAAATGAAATGAAAACTTTACTAGTAGGATTCAAGAATACATTTGAACAAACAGAGGAAAGACTCAGCAAACTTAAAGACAGGACAATGGAAATTATCAAGTCTGAGGAACAGAAAGAGAAAAACTTAAGGAAAGGTGAACAGAGCCTTAGGGACCTGTGGGACACTGTCAAACTGACCAACATATGCATTGTGGGAATACCTGAAGGAGCAGAGAGAGAAAAGAGCAGAGAGAAATAATGGCTGAAAACTTGCCAGATTTAACAAAAGACATGACTATAAACATTTAAGAATCATTCAAAAACTAAAAGTAAGACAAACTCAAAGAGACCAACACTGAGACACATTATAATCAAACTTTCAAAAGAAAAAGACAAAAAATAATCAGAGTAGCAAGAAAAAAAATGACCTGTCACAAACCAGGAATGTTCAATAAGATCAGCAGACTTCTCATCAGAAACCATGGAGGATGAAACACAGTGGGCCAACATATTCAAAGTGGTAAAAGAAAAAAACTGTCAACCAAAAATCTCATATACAGAAAAACTGTCCTTCAAAAAGTAAGGGAAGAGATGGGTACAGAGGTGCATGCCTCTAGTCTCAGCTACTCAGGAGGCTGGGGTAGGAGGATTGCTTGAGCCCAGGAGCTTGAGTTCAGCCTGGGCAACAAGTAAGATCCTGTCTCTTACCAAAAAAAGGCGAAGAAGAAATTAAGACATTCCCAGATAAACAAAAGCTGAGGAAGTTCATTATCATGAGACCTGCCCTGCAAGAAATACTCAAGGGAGTCCTGCAAGGTGAAGTGGGAGGATCCTAGACAGAAACTTGAAGCTGTATGAAGAAATCAAAATCTCAATAAAGGTAAATGCATGGACAATTATAAAAGCTAGTACTATTGTAATAATGGTTTGCAACTCCACTTTTTTGTTTTCTACATGATCGAAGAGACTAACACATTTTAAAAAACAATTATTAGTCTAAAAACTAGTACTGTAACTGGTTTGTAACTCCACGTTTTGTTTTATACATAATTTAAGAGACCAAATGTAGGAATTATTAGTTTACTATACAAAGCACAAATTAAGGATCCCTTATCTGAAATGCTTGGGACCAAAGTGTTGCAGATTTTTTTTTAAATTTTGGAATATTTGCATTATACTTACTGGTTGAACATCACTAATCCAAAAATCAATTGCATGTCATGTCAGTGCTCAAAAAGTTTCAGATGTTGGAGCATTTTAGATTTCAGATTTTTAGATTAGGAGCATTCAACCTGTATAAAGATGTAATTTTGTGACATCAATAACAAAATGGGTGGAAAAGACATTGCTGAAGGAGCAGTTATTGTATGTTATGAAGATAAGCTGGAATAAATTCAAATGAGAATGTGATAACATTAGGAAGTTAAATGTAGTCCCCATGGTAACTACTAAGAAAATAGTTATACATACAAAAGGAAATGAGGAAGGAATATAAATGTTTTGCTTCAAAAATCAACTAAAAACAAAAGAAGACGGTAGTATTAGTCTGTTTTCATGCTGCTGATAAAGACATATCCAAGACTGGGCAATTTACAAAAGAAAGAGGTTTATTGGACTTACAGTTCCATGTGGCTGGGAAGGCCTAACAATCACAGTGGAAGGTGAAAGGCACGTCTCACATGGCAGCAGACAAGAGAACAGAGAGCTTGTGCAGGGGAGCTCCTCTTTTTAAAGTCGTCAGATCTCATGAGACTTACTCACTATCACGAGAATAGCACAGGAAAGACTTGCCCCCATGATTCAGTTACCTCCCACTGGGTCCCTCCAAAAACACATGGGAATTCAAGATGATATTTGGGTAGGGACAGAGCCAAACTATATCATTTTGTCCCTGGCCCCTCCCAAATCTCATGTCTTCACATTTCAAAACCAATCATGCCTTCCCAACAGTCCCCCAAAGTCTTAACTCATTTCAGCATTAACGCAAAAGTCCACAATCCAAAGTCTCATCTGAGACAAGGCAAGACCCTTCCACCTATGAGCCTGTAAATCAAAAGCAAATTAGTTACTTCCTAGATACAATGGGGGTACAGGTGCTGGGTAAATACAGCCATTCCAAATGGGAGACATTGGCCAAACAAAGGGGCTATAGGCCCCACACAAATCTGAAACCCAGTGGGGCAGTCAAATCTTGAAGCTCCAAAATAATCTCCTTTGACTCCATATCTCACATCCAGGTCACTCTGATGCAAGAGGTGTACTCCCACAGCCTTGGGTAGCTCCACCCCTGGGGCTTTGTAGGATACAGCCCCTCCTGGCTGCTTTCGTGGGCTGGTGTTGAGTGTCTGCGGCTTTTCCAGGTGCACAGTGCACACTGTCAGTGGATCTACCATTGTGGGGTCTGGAGGACGGCAGCCAGCCCTCTTCTCACAGCTCCACTAGACGGTGCCCCAGTAGGGACTCTGTGTGGGGGCTCTGACCCCACATTTCCCTTCCACACTGCCCTAGCAGAGGTTCTCCATGAGGGCCCCACCCCTGCAGCAAACTTTAGCTTGGGCATCCAGGTGTTTCCATACATCTTCTGAAATCTAGACAGAGGTTCCCAAACCTCAGTTCTTGACTTCTGTGCACCCACAGGCTCAACACCACGTGGAAGCTGCCAAGGCTTGGGGCTTCCACCCTCTGAAGCAACAGCCTGAGCTGTACCTTGGCCCCTTTTAGTCAGGGCTGGAGCAGCTGGGACACAGGGCACCAAGTCCCTAGACTGCACACATCAGATGGATGCTGGGCTTGGCCCACAAAACCATTTTTTCCCCTTAAACCTCGGGCCTATGATGGGAGGTGCTGCCACAAAGGGCTCTGACATGCTGTGGAGACATTTTCCTCATTGTCTTGGGGACTAACATTCAGCTCCTCATTACCTATACAAATTTCTGCAGCCAGTTTGAATTTCTCCCCAGAAAATGGGATTTTCTTTTCTATTGCATTGTCAGGCTGCAACTTTTCCAAACTTTTATGCTCAGTTTCCCTTTTAAAACTGAATGCCTTTAACAGCACCCAAGTCACATATTGAATGCTTTGCTGCTTAGAAATTTATTCTGCCAGATACCCTAAGTCATCTCCCTGAAGTCCAAAGTTCCACACATCTCTATGGCAGGGGCAAAATGCCACCAGTCTCTTTGCTAAAACATAACAAGAGGAACCTTTGATCCAGTTCCCAACAAGTTCCTCATCTCCATCTGAGACCACTTCAGCCTGGATTTCATTGTCCGTATCACTATCAACATTTTGGTCAAAGCCATTCAACAAGTCTCTAGGAAGTTCCAAACTTTCTCACATTTTCCTGCCTTTTTCTGAGGCCTCCAAACTGTTCCAACCTCTGCCTGTTACCCTGTTCCAAAGTCACTTCCACATTTTCAGATATCTTTTCAGCAGCGCCCCACTCTACTGGTACCAATTTACTGTATTCGTCTGTTTTCATGCTGCCGAAAAAGACATACCCAAGGCTGGGCAATTTACAAAAGAAAGAAGTTTATTGGACTTACAGTTCCACATGGCTGGGAAGGCCACACAATCATGGTGGAAGGTGAAAGGCATATCTCACATGGCAGCAAAGAGACCACAGAGATTGTGCAGGGGAACTCCTCTTTTTAAAACCATCAGATCTCGTGAGACTTACTCATTGTCATAAGAATAGCACAGGGAAGACTTGCCCCCATGATTCAATTACTTCCCACTGGGTCCCTCCCACAACACGTGGGAATTCAAGATGAAATTTGGGTGAGGACACAGCCAAATCATATCAACAGTGATGCAGGAAACGAGGAACAAAAAAGCTGTAAGGCATATAGAAAACATATACCAGAATGACAAATGTCTCTCCTTATCAGTAATTACTTGAAATGTAAATCGATTAAACTGTCTAATCAATAGACAGAGATTGGCAGAATGAATAAAACTACATGCTGCCTATAAGATACTCATTTTAGATCCAAAGACAAAAATAGATTGAAATTGAAAGGATGGAAAAAGATATAGCATGCAAATAATAACCAGAGAGAGCAGAGGCCACTAATATTAGTGGCCACACTAATATTAGACAAAATAAACTTTAAGTCAAAAAAGATTACAAGACACAAAGAGGAACCTACTGACAGACCATCAAAATATATGAAGCAAAAATCAACAGAACTAAAGGGAGAAATAGACAGTTCTACAACAATAGTTGGAGACTTCAATACTCCACTCTCAACACCAACCAGATAAAGATACATAAGAAAATAGAAGATTTAATACAATAAACCAACTAGATCTAACAGACTTATTCAGAACACTCTACTCAAAAACAGCAATATATGTTTCTCAAGGGCACATGCAACATTTTCCAGAATGAACCACATGTTAGGCCACAAATTAAGTCTCAGTAAATTTAAAAAGACATATATCATATGAAGTGTCTTCTCCAACCACGGTGAGATAAAGCAGAAATAAAACTATAAAATTCATAAATTTGTGGAAATTAAACAACACACTCTTAAGCAACCAATGTTATCAAGGAAGAAATCACAAGAGAAATTAGAAAATATTTGGAGATGAATGAAGCTCAAGAAAAAACACACTGAAACTTATGGGACTTAGAAACAGCAGTGCTAAGGGGGAATTTACACCTATAAATGCTTACATTAAAAAAACAAAAAAGATCTCAAATCAACAATCCAATTTTGCAAATTAAGGAATGCGAGAAGAACAAATGAAATCAAAAGCTAGTGGAAGAAAGTAGATAATAAAGGTTAGACGGAGAGAAATGAAATCAAGAATAGAAAAATAGAGAAAAATCAATAAAACCAAAAGTTGGTTCTTTGAAAAGAATCAATAAATTGAAAAACCATTGGGAGAGGGGCCAAGATGGCCGATTAGAAGCAGCTGTGGTCCACAGCACTCACAGAAAGGAACAAAACAGGCAAGTGAATACAGCTTTCAACTGAAACATCCAGGTTCTCACACTGGGACTGATTAGGGAAACAACTCAATACACGGAGAATGAAGAAAAGTAGGGTGGCGCAATGGCCCACCAGGAGTGACATGGAGCCAAGGAAACACCCACCCCCAGCCAAGGGAAGCAATTAGTGACTATGTGACCCAGGAAACCATGCTTCTCCCATGAATCTTTGCAACCTGTGGATCAGGAGATCCCCTTGTGAGCCTATGCCACCAGAGCCTTGGATCTGTCACATAGAACTGGGTAGAGTCTTGGCAGAGCAACTGCTCAGGCACACACAGAAACCCAGGAGCTTTAAATACACCAGTCTTTCTGCAACACAGGCAAGGTAGGTGGTCTGCATATATCCCTAGGAAGGGGCAGAATCCAGGGAGCCAAGCAGCATCATTCTGTAGACCCCACTTCCACCACACCTGACAAGATAAGACCCACTGTCTTGGAATTCCAGTAAGCCATCAGCAACAGGGCGGAGCCTGCCTGAGACAGGATGGAGCCTCAAGGGGAGAGTGGTGGGCAACACCTCTGCTGTTTGGTCAATTCAGCTATTCCAGCCTGTGGACTCTGGAGAGTCGAAACCGTCCAGACAAGGAAGGGTTTCCCTAGAAGTACAACACAGCAGCTTTGCCAGATCACAGCCAGACTGCTTCTTCCTCACTGGGTAGAACCTTCTAGCTGGACACTCCAGCCACACCTGCCTGCACATATTAGGGACAGAGCTCTGATCTCTCCCTGGGATGAAGTGCCCAGAGGAGGGGAGGGCTGTCACCTGGGTTGGTTGGATGACTTAGCTGTTCTGGACTGTGGGCTTTGGAGAGACCAAGTTGACAGGGGCAGAGGCAGTTCATCACCACAGCACAGCTGTTTTGTTGAGGTATGGCCAGACTGCTTCTTTAAGCAAGACCCTGATCCACTCCTCCTTGGATCCTGGGGCAGGTACTCCCAGTCAGGTCCCACCCACAGGGGCCTCTGGTCACCCTGGCCTGTGTTGTCCCTGGGACAAAGTGCCTGAAGGGTGGGGCAGGCTGCCAACTTGGCCATTTGGCTTCTCAGCTTGTCCAGCCTGTGGGCCTTGGAGAGCCCAAACCGATCAGGGGCAGAAGGGATCTCCAATACAGCACAGCTGCTCTATCAAAAGCATCCAGACTGCTTCTTTAAGTGGGTTCCTGACCCTGACTGGGTAAGACCCCCCAACAGGAGTCTTCAGCCACCTCCTACAGGCAAATTTGGGCCAGCAATAGGTCAGTACCCCAGGATAGAGCTTCTAGAGGAAAAAAGTTGGCTGCCATCTTTGCTATTTCACAGCCTTCACAGGTGATACCTCAAGGTACAGAAAATAAACAAGAAAACTAAGGTTTAGAGTGGACCCCCAGCAAACCTTAGCAGCCCTATGGATGAGTTGCCAGGCTGTTAAAAGAAAAACAAACAAATAGAAAACAACAACAACAAAACCCATCCAAAAATCAGCAATGTAAAAAATCAAAGGTAGATAAGCCCACTAAGATGAGAAAGAAGCAATGCAAAAACACTGAAAACTCAAAAAGCCAGAGTGCCCCTTTTCCTTAAAATGACTGCAACACCTCTCCAGCAAGGGCTGAGAACTGGGCTGAGGCTGAGATGGTTGAAATGACAGAAGTAGGTTTCAGAAGGTGGGTAATAAACTTCGCTGAGATAAAAGAGCATGTTGTAAACCAATGCAAAGAAGCTAAGAATCATGATAAAACAATACAGGAGCCGAGAGCCCAAATAGCCAGTTTAAAGAGAAACATAACTAATCTGTTAGAGCTGAAAAGCACAGTACAGGACTTCACAATGCAATCACAAATATTAATAGCAGAATAGACTATGTGGAAGAAAGAATCTCAGAGCTTGAAGACTATCTTTCTGAAATAAGACAGGCTGACAAAAATAGAGAAAAAAGAATGAAAAAAAAGAACAAAACCTCTGAGAAACATGGGATTATGTAAAGAGACCAAATCTACAACTGATTGGGGTACCTGAAAGAGACAGAGAGAATGGAACCAAGTTGGAAAACACACTTTAGGATATAATCCAGCACTTCCCCAACCTAGCATGACAGGCCAATATTCAAATTCAGGAAATGTGGAGAACCCCAGTAAAATACTCCCTGAGAAGATCATCCCCAAGACACATAATAATCAGATTCTTCAAGATTGAAATGAAAGAAAAAATGGTTAAGGGCAGCCAGAGAGAAAGGCCAGGTCACCTACAAAGGCAAGCCATCAGACTAACAGTAGACCTCTCAGTGGAAACCCTAGAAGGTAGAAGAGACTGGGGGCCAAAATTCAACATTCTTAAAGAAAAGAATTTCCAACCCAGAATTTCATATCCAGTCAAACTAAGCTTCATAAGCAAAGGAGAAACAACATCCTTTTCAGACAAGCAAATGATGAGGGAATTTGTTACCACCAGACCTGCCTTGCAAGAGCTCCTGAAGGAAGCACTAAGTATGGAAAGGAAAAGCCATTACAAAAACACACTGAAATACACAGACCAGTGACACTATGAAGCAAACACAGAAAGAAGTCTACAAAATAACTAACTAGCATCATGATGACAGGATCTAATTCACACATAACAATACTAACCTTAAATTTAAATGGGCTAAATGCCCCAATTAAAAGATATAGAGCAGCAAACTGGATAAAGAACCAGGACCCATCAATATGCTGTCTTCAAGAGACCCATCTTACTTGCAAAGACATACATAGGCTCAAAATAAAGGGATGAAGGAAAATTTACCAAGCAAATGGAAAATATTGAAAAAAGCAGGGGTTGCAATCCTAGTTTCTGACAAAACAGGCTTTAAACCAACAAAGGGCTGGGCGCAGTGGCTCATGCCTGTAATCCTAGCACTTTGGGAGGCCGAGGCAGGTGAATAACCTGAGATTAGGAGTTTGAGACTACCCTGGCCAACATGGTTAAACCCCATCTCCACAAAAAGTACAAAAACCAGCTGGGCATGGTGGTGGGTGCCCGTAATCTCAGCTACTCGGGAAGCTGAGGCAGGAGAATCACTTGAACCAGGAGGTGGAGGTTGCAATGAGCCAAGATCGTGCCACTGCACTCCAGCCTGGGAGACAGAGCAAGACTCCATCTCAAAAATAAACAAACAAATAAACTAAAAAAGATCAAAAAAGACAAAAGAAGGGCATTACATAAAGGTAAAGGGTTCAATTCAACAAGAAGAGCTTACTATCCTAAATATATATGCACCCAATACAGGAGCATGTAGATTCATAAAGCAAGTTCTTAGAGGCTTTCAGAGACTTAGACTTGCAAATAGTAATAGTGGGAGACTTTAACACCACACCAACACTATTAGACAGATCATCAAGACAGAAAATTAACAAAGATATTCGGGACTTGAACTCAGCTCTGGATCAAGTGGGCCTGATAGATATCTAAAGAACTCTCCACCCCAAAACAACAGAATATACATTCTTCTCATTGCCACATGGCACTTAACTCTAAAATTGATCACATAATCAGAAGTAAAACACTCCTCAACAAAAGCAAAAGAGCTGAAATCATAACAACCAGTCTGTCAGACCACAGCACAATCAAATTAGAACTCAAGAGTAAGAAATTCACTCAAAAACACACATCACATGGAAACTGAACAACTCAAGATTAAGAAATTCATTCAAAACCACATCACTACATGGAAACTGAACACTACATGGAACCTGCTCCTGAATGACTTGTGGGCAAATAATGAAATCAAGGCCGAAATCAAGTTCTTTGAAATTAATGAGAACAAAGATACAGTGTACCAGAATCTCTGGGATGCAGCTAAAGCAGTGTTAAGAGGAAAATTTACAGCACTAAATGCCCACATCGAAAAGCTAGAAAGAGCTCAAATTGACAACTTAACTACTAAAAGAGCTACAGAACCAAGAGCAAATAAACCCAAAGCTAGTAGAAGACAAGAAATAATCAAGATCAGAGCTAAACTGAAGAAGGTAAAAACAAACAAAACAAAACCCTTCAAAAAATCAATGAATCCAATAACTGCTTTTTTAAGATTAATAAGACAGATAGACTGCTAGCTAGACTAGTAAAGAAGAAAAGAGAGAAGATTTATATAAACACAATCGGAAATGATAAGGGGGATATCACCACTGACCCCACAGAGATACAAACAACCATCAGAGAATACTATAAACAACCCTATGCACATACACTAGAAATTCTAGAAGAAATGGATAAATTCCTGGACACATACATCCTCCCAAGACTGAACAGGGAAGAAACAGAATGCCTGAATAGACCAATAACAAGTTCTGAAATTGAGGCAGAAATAAATAGCCTACCAGCCGGGAAAAAAAAAAAAAAAAAGCCCAGGACCAGAGAGATTCACAGATGAATTCAACTAAAGGTACAAAGAAGAGCTGGTACTATTTCTACTGAAACTATTCCAAAAAATTGAAAAGGAGGGGGAATCTTCCCTAACTTATTTTTTTTTCTTTTTTGAGATGGAGTCTAGCTCTGTCACCCAGGCTGGAGTGCAGTGGGTCAATCTCAGCTCACTGCAACCTCTGCCTCCCAGGTTCATGTGACTCTCATGCCTCAGCCTCCTGAGTAGCTGGGATTACAGGAGCCCACCACCAAAACCTGTCAGAGATACACAACCAACAACAAAAACTTCAGGCCAATACCCTTGATGAACATCAATGCAAAAATCCTCAACAAAATACTGGCAAACCAAATCCAGCAGCACATCAAAAAGCTTATCCACTACAATTCAGTAGGCTTCATCCCTGAGATGCAAGGTTGGTTCAATGTACACAAATCAATAAATGTGATACATTACATAAACAGATCTAAAGATATGAATTTCTTAATGGATACAGAAAGGACCTTCAATAAATTTCAACATCCCTTTATGTTAAAAACGCTCAATAAACTAGGTATTAAAGGAACACACTTCAAAATAATAAGTGTCACATATGACAAACCCACAGCCAATATCATACTGATTCGGCAAAAGCTGGAAGATTTCCCCTTGAAAACTGGCACAAGACAAAGAGGCCCTCTCTCACCACTCCTATTGAACATAGTACTGGAAGTTCTGTCCAGGGCAATCAGGCAAAACAAAGAAAGAAAGAAGATTCCAACAGGAAGAGAGGAAGTCAAACTATCTTTGTTTGCAGATGACAGGATCCTATATCTAGAAAACCCCATTGTCTCAGGCCAAAAGCTTCTTAAGTTGGTAAGCAACTTCAGCAAAGTCTCAAAATACAAAATCAATGTGCAAAAATTGCTAGCATTCCTATACACAAACAACAGGCAAGCTGAGAGCCAAATCATGAGTGAACCTCCATTCACAATTGTCACAGAAAGAATAAAATGCCCAGGAATACAGCTAACAAGGAAAGTGAAGAATCTCTTCAAAGAGAACTATAAACCACTGCTCAAAGAAATCAGAGATGACACAAACAAATGGAAAAATATACCATGCTCATGAATAGGAAGAATCAATATCATGAAAATTGACATACTGCTCAAAGCAATTTACAGATTCAATGCAATTTCCATTAAACTACCATTGACATTCTTCACAGAATTAGAAAAAACTATTTTAAAATTCATATGAAATCAAAACAGAGCCCAAATAGTCAAGACAATCCTAAGCAAAAAGAACAAAGCTGGAGCCATCACGCTACCCAACTTCAAACTACACTACAAGGCTACAGTAACCAAAACAGCATTACACTAGTACAAAAAGACTCAGAGACCAATGGAACAGAATAGAGAACCCAGAAATAAGATTGCACACCTAAAACCATCTGATCTTCAACAAACCTGACAAAAACAAGCAATGGGGAAAGAATTCTTTATTTAATAAATGGTGCTGGGATAACTGGCCAGCCATATGCAGAGAATTGAAACTGGATCCCTTCCTTACACCATCTGCAAAAATCAACTCAAGATGGATTAAGGACTTAAATGTAAAGCCCAAAAACTAGAAAAACCATAGAAGAAAATCTAGGCAATACCATTCAGAACATAGGCATGGGCAAAGATTTCATGATGAAGACACCAAAAGCAATTGCAACAAATGCAAAAATTGACAAATGGGATCTAGTTAAACTAAAGAACTTCTGTACAGCAAAAGAAACTACCAATAGAGTGAACACACAATTTACAGAATGGGAGAAAATGTTTGCAATCTATCCATCTGACAAAGGTCAAATATGTAGCATCTACAAGGAACTTATACAAATTTAAAAGATAAAAACAACTTCATTAAAATGTAGGCAAAGGACATGAACAGACACTTCTCAAAAGAAGACATACATGCAGCCAACAAACATATGAAAAGAGCTCAACATCACTGAACATTAGAGAAATGCAAATCAAAACCACAATGAGATACCATCTTACACCAATCAGAATAGCTATTATTAAAAAGTTAAAAAATAACAGATGCTGGCAAGGTTGTGGAGAAAAAGGAACACTGTACACTGTTGGTGGAACTATAAATTAGTTTAACCATTGTGGAAGACAGTGTGGTGATTCCTCAAAGATCTAGAGGCAGAAATACCATTTGACCCAGCAATCCCATTACTGGGTATATACCCAAAGGAATATAAATTATTCTATTATAAAGATACATGCACATGTATTTTCATTGCAGCACTATTCACAATAGCAAAGACATGGAATCAACCTAAATGTCCATCAGTGATAGACTGGATAAAGAAAATGTGGTACATATACACCATGGAATACCATACAGCCATAAAAAGGAATGAGATGGTGTCCTTTGCAGGGACGTGGATGGAGCTGGAGGCCATTATCTTCCACAAACTAATGCAGGAACAGAAAACCAAATCCCACATGTTCTCACTTATAAGTGGGAGCTGGATGATGAGAAAACATGGACACATAGTGGAGAACAACACACAATGGGGCCTGCTGGAGAATGGGGGGAAGGAGGGAGAGCATGAGGAAGAATAGCTCATGGATGCTCAGCTTAATACCTAGGATGATCTGGCAGCAAATCACCGTAGCACATGCTTACCTATGTAATAAACCTGCACATCCTGCACATGTACCCCTGAACTTAAAATGAAAAGAAAACCATTAGCTTGATAGACTAATAAAAAAAAAAAAAAGAGGGGCTGGGCACAGTGGCTAATGCCTGTAATCCCAGCACTTTGCAAGGCCAAGGCGGGAAGATCACTTGAGGCCATAATTTAGAGACCAGCCTAGCTAACATGGCAAAACTCTATCTCTATTAAAAATACAAAAATTAGCCAGGTGTGGTGGTGTGTGCCTGTGGTTCTAGCTACTGGAGAGGCTGAGACAGGAGAATCACCTGAAGCCAGGAGGTGGAGGTTGCAGTGAGCTAAGATTTCGCCACTGCAATCCAGCCTTGGCAACAGAGTGAGGCTCTCTCTCAAAACAAAACAAAAAAAAATTAAAATTAAAATTAAAAAAGAGAAAACACTCAAATTACTCAAATCAGAAAAGAAAATGGAGATATGACTACCAATGCTATAGAAATAAAAAAGGATTTCATGAGAGTATTATGAAAAAATATATACCAAAAAATTGGAGAACCTAGATGAAATGGATGAATTCCTAAAAAACACAACACCTACCTAGAGTAAATCATGAACGAATAGAATATTTGAATAGACTGATAACTAGTAAGGAGATAGAATTAATAATAAAAAATCTCATGACATTAAAATGCTCCGGACCTGAGGGCTTCACTGGCGAATTCCACCAAACATTTAAAGAAAAACTAACACCAACCCTTCTCAGACTTTTCCCAAATGTGTTGAAGAAGTAGGAACATTCCTAATTCATTCCATAAGGTGAAGGATACCCTGACTTCAAAGATGCTATAAGAAAACTACATCTCTTATGAACATTAATGCAAAAATCCTCAATAAAATACTAACAAATCAAGTTCAGTAGCATGTTAAAAGGATTATACACCATGACCATGTGAGATTTGTTCCTGGGATACAGGGATGGTTCAACACATGAAAATCGATCAATGTACACTACATTTACAGAATAAAGGACAAAAATTACATCATCATCTCAATTGATGCAAAAAAAACCATTTGAGAAAATTCAACACCCTTTCATGATAAAAACACTCAACAAACTAAGAATAGAAGGAAACTACCTCAACATAATAAAAACCATACATGTAAAACCCACAGAGATCACCATACTCAATGCTGAAAGACTGAAAACTTTCCCTCTGAGATCAAGAACAATGCAAGTGTGCTAATTTTCACCACTTCTATTTAATGAAGTACTAGAAGTTCCAACCAGAGCAATTAGGAAGAAAAAAATTAAAAGGCATCCAAATTGGAAAGGAGGAAGTAAAATTATCTCTGTTCACAGATGCTATGATCTTATAAGCAGAAAATCCTAAAGATATCACCAAAAAACTTATTAGAAGCAATAAATTAATTCAGCAAAGTAGAACAGAAAGTCAACACAGGAAAATTAGTTGTGTTTCTATATACTGACAATGAACAATCAAAAAAAATTATGAAGACAACTACATTTACAATAACATCAAAAAGAACACTTAGGAATGAACTTAAGCAATGAGGTGAAAGATTTGTACAATGAAAACTACAAAACATTGCTGAAAGAAATTAAAGAGGACATAAATAAACAGAAATATATTCCATGTTCATGGATTTGAAAACTTACTATTGTTAAGATGTCCATACTAACCAAAGCAATCTGCAGATTCAGTGCAATCACGGTTAAAATCTCAATGATGTTTCTTGCAGAAATAAAAAAGCCCAACCTAAAATTCACATGGAATCTCAAGGGATCCCAAATAGCCAAAACAATCTTGGCTGTACCTTGGAGGACTCACAGTTCCTGATGTCAAAACTTACTAAAAGCTATAGTAATCAAGGAAATATAATACTGGCATAAAGACAGACATATAAACCAATGAAATAGAATAGAGTCCAGAAATAAACCCTTGTATACATGGTCAAATGATTTTTGACAAGGGTGCAAGACCATTGGTTGAATGGGGAAACTGGACATCTACATTCAAAAGAATGAAGCTGGACTCTTACCTAACACCATATATTAAAAATTAACTCAAAATGGATCAAAGAACTAAAACGTAAGATCTAAAGCTAGCCTTAGCTTAGACAAAAACATAGGAGTAAACCTCTCTGACCCTGGATTAGGCAAGGATTAATCCAATTTCTTGGATTCCTTGGTCACCAGAGGCAACCAAAGAAAAACAGACAAATTGGACTTCACTAAAATTTTAAAAATTTATGAATCAAGAGAATATCAGCATAGTGAGAACTCATCTCTACGAAAAATTTAAAAATTATCTGGGCATGTTGGCACATGCGTATAGTCCTGGGTACTTGGGAGGCTGAGGTGGGAGGATCACTTGAGCCTGGCAGGTTGAAGCTGCAGTGAGCTATGATTGTGCCACTGCACTCCAGCCTGGGCAACAGAGACCCTGTCTCAAACAAACAAAAAACACACACAAAAAAGAATATCAACAGAGGAAAAAGGCAACCCATGGAATAGGAAAGAAAAGAATATTTATAAACCATATGGCTGATAAGGGATTAATATCCAGAATACATAGAGAATTCCTAAAAGTCAACAACAAAAACAACCAATCACACTGGTGATTAAGTTAGCAAAAACCAAAACAACAAAAACAATTCAAAAATGGGCAAAGGACTTGAGCAGACATTTTTTCAAAGAATATATACAAATGACCAATAAGCACTTGAAAAGAGGCTTAACCTCATAAGTCATTAGAGATATGCAAATTAAAACTAAAATGAGATACCACCTCATCCCCATTAGGATGGCTCCTATGGTTCTGCCTTGTTGCTACTTTGAAGAAATTACAGTCAGCCTCTGTTCCCATGGGTTCCACATCTGCAGATTTAACAACTACAGATGGAGAACATTTAAAAATAAATAAATAGATAAATAAAACCCAAGTGTACCAATAATAAAAAATAATACAACAATTTTAATATAGCATAACAACTACTTACATAGCATTTACATTGCCTTAGGTATTATAAGTAATCTGGAGATGATTTAGTGTATACAGGAGGATGTGCCTAGGTTATATACAAATTCTACGCCATTTTATATCAGGGACTTCAACATCTCAGGTTTTGGTACCCACTAGGGCCCTGGGACCAATCCCCTGTGGATACCGAGGGATGACTGTACAGAAATTCTTGACTTATGTTAGTTTGACATAAGATTTTTCAACTTTACATGGGTTAATTGGGATGTTAAATGCATTTTTGACTTATAATATTTCTATTTACAATGGGCTTATCAGGACATAGCCCCATCATAAATTGAGGAGGATCTGTATTTATTTCTAGAAAAGAAACTTTCCCCTTATTTTCAACACAAACATATGACACGTGGTCTTCTCCTATTTTCAATCTCTTCAATTTTACTAGACCGGAGAACAATGGTTTAGACTCCCATTGCAGTAATCGAATTTGACTTGTACATTGTGAAAGTTGTGTAATCCTGATAAATTAAGAAATATTCCCTTTTGGCAAATAAGCTTTAACCTCTAACCCAAATATCTTTGCATCCAAAAGCAACAGTGAATGTCTTAGAGCTTTTGCAGACTACCAGTGAATCCCAAACCCAACAGTGATCTCCTCTGACCCCCATCATTTGAGAGATGAAATGCGTGCTTTGACTCACCTGACTTGGTTGGGACTTCATTCGTGGCCACCAGGACCCTGTTCTGCAGCAAAGCTCCCACAGCACTGGTAACAGTTGGTTCTTTTTTTGGACCCATCTGAGCCCTACCCTACAGAGAGAGAAAGAAAGAGACAAAGAGAACACCTTCTGTATGTAACCTCAGGTGCCACATAGGAGGTACAGCTGTTCCCACTTAACCAGCAGCAGAATGGTATCATCTGCAGGGACTCCCTGAATCCAGGGGAAGGGGACAGACACACACCCTGCACTTCAGTTAGCCTGGTTCTTGTCCTCCCAGCTGGTGCTCAAAGCAATATCTGGGTTTTGAAGCTTCCCTTCCATAATTAAGCCCTTGGGGTTGGTGGTGGTATATTTATCCTATAAAATTAGTTGTATGGAGACATAAGAAATCACTTAATGTCAATAAAGGATATATTTAAAGAACATTTTATTTTTTTCATTACACTTGAAGACTATTTTGTTTTTTTTAACATGAACAAAGAAAAACAGATTGGCAGGCAGCAAATGTTTGAAGCATGAAATTCCAACATCCCTACACCATCCCCCTCCCTGCAGAGCAGCAGCAGCAGAATAGTTACATTAAAACGAAATAAGGACCAAAAGGTTTCTCACATGCTCCTTTTATCTTGCCACTGATCCCACCTCCAGTTCCACGGAACTGCAGGATAAAGATAACCTGTTACACCAAGTGAGAATTCTCACTTGGGCAAGAATGGCTGAGAGACTATAGGAGGCAGCTCATCCCCATTCACACAAATAAAGCTATTTTTAGAGGCCTATATTGGTCTCTTTTGGTTAAGAGTATGACACATTTTAAAAGTTGATTATGTTTAAAATAGAAACATATTTCGGCTGTGTTAACAGCCCTTCAAAACTGAAACAACCCCTCCTTTCTTGTTCCATTTTTGAATAAGCTTCACTATTAGACAAGGCCCCAAAGTGGTGAAGCTGGCACAAAGGAAACAAATACGGCTGTTCAGATATACTCTACAGTGAGTGAAGGAATTCACAAAGCAAGCAATTTTTCTTCTGTGTTCGCAATCACCACTCAGCTCTGGAAAACAAGGAGAGGAGTGGGGCCAAGTCACTGGTTACACTGACAGCCAGCTGGCCTTCTTCAGGAATAAAAACACTTCCGTTTGCTGCTTTCCTGTGCTCTCTTTGGCCCCACTAAAGCAGACTAACTCTGGAGACCAGTAAGAAGAACCATCTGCAGAAATGTAACTCACCCTTTACTGCTTTACAGACTGTAGGTAGACTTATACATACAAACTTTTCCATAATTAGGCTGTGTTCAAGCCCAAAGTAGTCATATTCCTCCAAAAGTGTCATGCCAATCGTATCAACTGGAAAAGGCTACTGGAGAAGGGGAGGGTGGGGTAATGTAGAGAGAGGAAAGGAGGAGCCCCTGTGTGCAAGACACTGAACCGGGCCCTTCACTTATCTATAAGTCCCCCAACAACTCAGCAAGGTACACATGATTAACCCCATTTTACAGATTAAAGTGAATCCCAAAGAATTTAAGTAACTCGGCCAAGTTTACCTAAATTATAGAATTAAAATTCAAACCCTGGCCGGGCACGGGGTCTCATGCCTGTAATCCCAGCACTTTGGGAGACCAAGGCAGGCAGATCACCTGAGGTCAGGAGTTCGAGACCAGCCTGGCCAACATGGTGAAACCTCGTCTCTACTAAAAATACAAAAGGTAGCCAGGCATGGTGGTGGGAGCCTGTAATCCAAGCTACTTGGAAGGCTGGGTCACAAGAATCGCTTGAACCCGGGAGGCGGAGGTTGCAGTGAGCCGAGATCACACCACTGCACTCCAGCCTGGGCAACAGAGTGAGACTCTGTCTCAAAAAAAAAAAAAAAAAAAAAAAAAAAGGAAGAAAGAAAGAAAGAAAGAAATTCAAACCCTGACTACTGACTGTAGAATCCTGGCTTTTTCTACATTGCACTTCTTTTCATGCTATCTCAGATGTCAAGACTGAATCTAGGCCGCGTGTGGTGGCTCATGCCTGTCATCCCAGCACTTTGGGAGGCTGAGGCAAGCGGATCACTTGAGGTCAGGGGTTTGTGACCAGCCTGGCCAACATGGTGAAACTCCATCTCTTCTGAACATACAAAAATTAGTCAGGCATGGTGGTGGGTGATTGTAATCCCAGCTACTTGGGAGGCTGAGGCCGGAGAATCGCTTGAACCCAGGAGGCGGAGGTTGCAGTGAGCCGAGATTGTGCCACTGCACTCAAGCCTGGGCAACAGAGTGAGACTCCATCTCAAAAACAAAAACAAAACAATCTATAAAACTGTATTTATTGTAACCACTGCCTCTCACCACCCATATGTCCTCCCTCCTGTGTTCTATTATCTACAGAGATTGTCTTCCTGTCTCTCCAGGCTCTGGAGCTGAAAACCTTATTGTCAACCCTGATTCCCTCTTTTATCCTATGTCTAATCATTTTCTCAGTCTCATCAATTATTTCTTAGATTCTCCCTCCCACACAACTCTATTAATCGTCCTATTCCAGGCCCTCATTCAAGGACCTGTTAATCAAGGACCTGTTAATCAAGGACCTGTCAATCAAGGACAGTCCTTGATTTTAGGGCATTTATTCAATCAATTCCTCTTTTCTTCCTCTCTCAACTGGCTTGAGTTAAAGCCCTTCTAGTTCTGGCTGCCTGTCTGCCTGTCTTGCCTGTCCCTGTACCTCTTTTTTCTTTTCTTTTTCTTTTTTTTTTTTTTTGAGACGGAGTTTTGCTCTTGTTGCCCAGGCTGGAGTGCAATGGCATGATCTTGGCTCACCACAACCTCTGCCTCCCCAGGTTCAAGCAATTCTCCTGCCTCAGCCTCACAAATAGCTGGGATTACAGGCATGTGACACCACACACGGCTGATTTTGTATTTTTAGTAGAGACGGGGTTTCTCCATGTTGGTCAGGCTGGTCTCAAACTCCCTACCTCAGGTGATCTGCCCACTTCAGCCCCCCAAAGTGCTGGGATTACAGGCGTGAGCCACCACACCCAGCACCCTGTACCTCTTTCGTAGGTACTCTATGCTTTCGCTCCCCAGATGGGTGCCTCAGGCCACAAGCTGGATGTTTTGTGCATAAAGCCCTTCCCAACCCCAACTCTAGGCTGGTGAACCCATTTTGATATTTAAGGGCAAAAAGTTTGCTTGCCTTTGAAGACTTCCAGGAATTGCAGTGACTTCTTCTTCCATAGCTCTCCTATATATGCCAACTGTACCAGCTCTAAGTCCCCCTCCATCTTTCAATGACAAATTCTTGATCAAACCAGTACCTAGCGCAGTTTCTGGTACATAGTTGATAGTCAATAACCTTCTAATGCTTAAGGGGATAGCGCTCAGGATCCACAGTCTGTGGGATCCGCTTTTGTTGGAAACGGTCCCACCCCATTACATACTGGATTTAACCAGAAGCTTTCTAAACAGGCTGTAGGGGCCAGGCACGATGCTCACACTTGTAGTTCTAGCACTTTGGGAGGCTGAAGAGGGCAGATTGCTTGGGCCCAGGAGTTTGAGACCAGCCTGAGCAACACAGTGAGACCCCATCTCTACTAAAAATACAAAAAATTAGCTGGGCGTGGTGCTATGCACCTGTAGTTCCAGCTACTCAGGAGGCCGAGGTGGGAGTATCACCTGCACCTGGGAGGTCAAAGCTGCAATGAGCCATGATTACACCATTGCACTCCAGCCTGGGCAACAGAGTGAGCCCCTGTCTCAAAAATAAATAAACAGTCTGTATACACTTAAAGTATCCAGACCAACTTTTCATGGCATCTAAGCCACGTCTATGAAACTAATAGTTTTTATGCTATATTGTAAGTATGTACCTGAGACCTTCGACTGTATGGTGCTGTTTGCTGGCTCCAGTTCTGTGGTTTATAAATCTACTGTCTTCCACTTCAGGTTGTTATTTTACTGATTTGCACCTAATGTTAACAGCTGCTTCCATTCATCCACATATCCCTTTAACTTGCTGATTCTGTGACTTTAAATAAAAGGTGAAGACCCCTCCTCTATAGAGCAAAACACATGACCTGTGGGGCAGTTGCCTTGGGACAGCCTGTCCCACTCAGGCAGTTTCACTTCAGGTTCGCAATTCTTTTCTGGGTGATTAAGGTTGATACTGTTGGATAAAGAGTTTTGCCATAATGCTATAGAAACACTATGTATTCAAGTCTTCACCCAAAGAAGCTTCAAATACTTTAGAAATATTTTTTTCTACAACACCCAAAGGTGCCTTAGCTGGAAAGCATTCTCCTGCAAAAGAAGTCAGCTCCCACAGGGGTGAGCAATCATGATCAGCTCTCTTCACGCTTACACTTCTTAGGATGGGTAACTGAGGTTCTCTAGGGAGTTCTACCGGCTCACCCCTAGGCATTCAAGGGCACAAGAGCCAACACCTGGGGAGAGATAGTTACCTGAGCTCTGGATGCCAATTTGGCTGCTGTCTGAGCTGGATTAAAGACTCGGCGAGAAGACTGATCCTTGCAGAAATTAGTATGTCGCTCAGCTGCGCTTTCATTAAACCTTCTCATACAATATGGACGTTGAATATAATCTGAATGTAAAGATAACAACAAATGGCAATTAGCACTTCAAAAACAACTATAGAATACTATAGAATTATAGAATGAACTACATGAAGTGAAATAAGGATATGATGGCTCATGCCAGTAATCCCAGCACTCTGTGAGGCTGAGGTGAGTGGACTGCTTGAGTCCAGGAGTTTGAGACCAGCCTGGGCAACACGGCAAAACCCCGTCCCTACAAAAAATTAGCCAGGTGTGGTGGTGTGTGCCTGTGGTTCCAGCCACTTGAGAGGATAGCTTGAGCCCAGAAGGTCAAGGCTGCAGTCAGCTGTGATCATGCCACAGCACTCCAGCCTGGGCAACAGAACAAGACCCTATTTCAAATAAGTAAATAAATAAATATGTAAGTAATGATATGAACTCTGCTCCAACATGAAAGAACAAGGTCCCAAACTCTGGTTTGAGACTATTCCAAAGGGCAAGACATGCAGGGCTCAACTAAAGGACATGGCATGGAAAAATGTCACAACCTGTGCATTCATTTCAATTGTCTGTCCTTGAAATGTTTAAGTGATGTACTTTTCCAGAAAAACAAAGAAAATTAATCTTAAGAACTTCTCAATGAAATGAATTATTTAGTAAATCCTGTGTAAAGAAAGTAGTTCTAGAATCACAGAATGTTAGTATTGATGGCACAGTAGGGCACAGAATATTCAAAAGCATAGGTTGTAGTGCTGGGTGGGTCTTAGAGAAGTTACAGAGTTACAGAGGGAGATGGGATGTTTCAAAATGTGGGTTTGGGAGATATGAATGGAAGTCAATGGGACTGTGTCACTGGCAGAAAGACATACTGCTTTTGCAGTGGCTAGATTTTTTTTTTCACTTAACTACTAAGTGAGCAGGCAATATATTCAGGAAGGAGATAGTAATAGGATAAAAGGTGAGGACTCAAAAAACAGAAAAGGGAAAGAAGGAGGGATGATAGGAAAGTTCACCGAAAACAGCTTCAGCTTCCAGAGATGCAATGGCCCAGGCAGCTCCTGTCGGCCCCAGGTTCTCTGTGGTTCTGTATAATATCTTTTTTTTCTTCTTTCATTTGCAATTAACAGACATAATTGGTTACGGAGAGAAATGAGAAGTGGGAAACAGGCAAGATCTTCTTAGAATGTGGAGCTGCTCATAGCAAAACTAGGTTGGCAACTACCCCTCTAAATCAAGCAGGGATTGGTGTTTGCTTTGTTTTGTTTCAGGCACCTTAAAGGGATAGCACACTAGATATCAGCAACATAAAATAATCCCACCGCCCCGACCCCAGGAAGGGTGTGAAACTGCATCAACCTCAAACTCAGTGTAGAACTTGTGTTAGTGTATAGTCAAAATTCCTACATGCGTGGATGGGTATTTCATGTAGTGATGTTAAGAATTTTTTGTAAGCCACCTTTTTAAGCAGTTTGGGGAGTTTCCTATTTGAACAAATCATTTCCTAAAATGTATATTCATAAGATGTAACAATTGTTAAGCACTTAGGAATTATCTGGTAGCCTTATCCTTTATTTCTTACTCCATCCAGAAGGCAGTACCTCATCATTAATTTAACACTGACTGAGCATCTACTTGGTGCCAGGTGCTGTCTTACACCTGGGGATGCAATGTCTCTGAAATCAAGGAGTAAGCATTCTAGCACAGAAACAAATAAATAAAAATTTCACACGGAGATAAATGCCTTGAAAAAAAATAGAACAGGACAGCATTGGGAAATGATAAAAAGCCCAGTGCTGGAGCTTGCCTGACTGGTTTTGAGCCTGAGTTCTTTACTTGCTATGTGTGTGAACTCGGGCAAGTTACCCAACCTCCTTAAGCTTCCATTTTCCCAGCACCTACATATCACCTGTTTCATCGGGTTGTTGTGAAAGTTAACTATGAAAATCCACATAAGGGCCTGGCACAGTGGGCGGGGTGGAACATACTAAATGTTTTGTAAATGCTAGCTATTGCTATAAGGAAACAGGTTCAGCAAGGTTGTGTTTCCAACTACCAAATAGAAGTGAAACTGCCTAGGAAAAAAGTACAATAGAAAGTGCCATTATCATTCAGAATTCATTTACAATGGTTTAGAAGAACCATCTAGAACATGGCTTTTAGCTTGGTGGTTATTTCTTCAATTTTGCCAGCTGGAAAGTGAAGTCTTACATAAGAAATGCTGCAACCATAAACCCTACTCACATTAGGCAAAGACAATGATCATGGCAATACTGAGTTGCTTCCTTAATCCCACTTGCTCATTCACTCACTGCCACCCTTCTGTGTTTGGTACTACATATCACCATGGAGACAGCAAAGTTGAAGTCTATTTCCCTGCCAATGAAAATCTCAGAGATGATTAGGCAAACAGACAATTACTGCTTGGTGGGATAAACTGTAGAAGAAGAGGCACTAGGGCCTCTGGGACCCTACAGAAGGAACATAAGGCCCCACCAGAGGGGCAGAGAGCAGGCAGGAGAGAGTCCTGTGGCTGAGCATTCAAGGTTGCTGATTTCTATTTATGTTGAACTTCACATATTTTGAGAATTGTTGTATTTTCTGCAACAATAATCTGAACCCAGCATAACTGAGCTACATGTTCTACACTCAGCTCAATCGGAGTCACCTCTCTTCCTCTATCAATAATGTTTTCATAAAATCACCATGTCCTATTTATTTCAATAGGTAATGATTTTAAAAGTCAGAGTCCAAATGAATTCTTTCGAGGAATATGGTGGCCAGATCTCAGAGAAAAGTGGAAAACCAAGCATTATTTTAAAATGCCAATATTGTGCTGTGTATCCGTGTCTATGTAGCTATGCAAAATGGTAACTGAATGTCCCAGGCCTCATAGAAAAATAACAATTATAAATATTCTATATCACTGTCCCCATAAACTGTCACAGTATCCTAGAAATTTAAATCATTGACAGACTTAGCTAAGTCACTAAAAAGTAGAATATAGGCATGTCTCAAAAACTGAATCATGAAAATAGGGAATCATGCTGAGGAAAAAAGGGAAATTACTGGCACATTCATGCATGTTAGGCCATGTTATATATAACTCTAGTTATATGTATATAAATTCTTTAGTACTGGCCGGGTGCAGTGGCTCATGCCTGTAATCCCAGCACTTTGGGAGGCCGAGGCATGTGCATTACCTGAGGTCAGGAGTTCAAGATCAGCCTGACCAATATGATGAAACCCCATCTCTACTAAAAATACAGAAATCAGCTGGGCGTGGTGGCGGGCGCCTGTAATCCCAGCTACTCAGGAGGCTGAAACAGGAGAATTGCTTGAACCTGGGAGGCGGAGTTTGCAGTGACCCGAGGTCCTGCCATTGCACTCCAGTCTGGGCAACAAGAGCAAAACTCTGTCTCAAAAACAACAACAACAACAAAAAACAAATAAATTCTCTAGAACTTAAGCCTGAGAATTCTGGGCTAATATAAAATCCTTGCACAAACAAAATCATCAAACCGTGGTGAAAATGTTGGGAGTGCATATAATCATTTGGTTTGTTGCATAAAATTATGTTAAGGACACAAGAAAGAAGTTAATTATAAAATTATGTGTTAGCATAGAAATACAAAGAAAAATAAATTGAACATTTGGTGAGGACTTACAAAAGGAATTTTTTTTAGAGAAACAATAATCCCCACATTTTAGATCCAAGTCACGGTTAGATCCAAGTTGGATCTAAAATGTGAGAGAAATTCACACAGCAGGACATCTGACATGGTTTCACTTATTCAATTAAAGAACCATAAGGTAGCCATCAACCCTGTAGTTTCTAATCTTAAAATGAATATATTTCTCATAAAAGATGTTTTTTGTTATATGAAACTTGTTGCCAAAGTACTTACATTATTACTAAAATCACAGCACAGATCTTTCTACTGAATATCTTAAGACAACACATTATTTCAAGATATATTTTCATTAGCACTCAATAAAAGGGAAGCAAATATGAGGATTATTTTCTGGTATAGAAGTTCAGATGACATATTTTTCAGATGATTTTATAGTATGACTACACTGTGGCTTTTTGTTTTTGCACTTTCTTAAATAGTCTTTTTGAGGAATAATTTACACACAACTAAATGCACCTATTTTACATGTACAGTTCAATGAGTTTTGACGAATGTATCCATTTTAACCACCTCAATTAAAATACAGAACATTTTCGTCACCCCAAAAAGTTCCCTCATGCCCCCTTTCAGTCAATATTTTGCAAAACCCAGTCTCAGGCAGCCAATTATCTATTTCCTATTACTATTCATAAGATTTCCCTGTCCTATAATTTCATATAATAGAACATCTATGTTGCTGCATGTATTTCCTCCTTATAGTTGAGTACTAGACCATTTTGTAAATATTCCACAATCTGTTTATCTATTCAATTGTTGATAGACATTTTCAGTTGTTTCCAGTTTACGCTATATGAATAAAGCTATGAACAATCATGTAAATCTTTTTTATGGACATGTTTTCATTTTTTGTATAAATATCAAGAAATGGAATTGCTTTATAGGCTAAGTGTATGTTTAACTTATTAAGAAAATACCAGTGCAGGCCGGGCGCGGTGGCTCACACCTGTAATCCCAACACTTTGGGAGGCTGAGGTGGGTGGATCACGAGGTCAGGAGATCAAGACCATCCTGGCTAACACGGTGAAATCCTGTCTCTACTGAAAATACAAAACATTAGCTGGGTGTGGTGGTGGGTGCCTGTAGTCCCAGCTACTTGGGAGGCTGAAGCAGGAGAATGGCGTGAACCTGGGAGGCGGAGCTTGCAGTGAGCCGAGATGGTGCCACTGCACTCCAGCCTGGGTGACAGAGCAAGACTCTGTCTCAAAAAGAAAAGAAAGAAAAGAAAATACCAGTGCAAAATGGTTGTACTGTTTTATACTTCTATCAGCAGTGTATGAGACTTCCAGTTGGTCCACATCATAGCAAACACTCATAGCGTCAGTCTTTTTCTTCTTTGTTTTTTGAGACAGTCTCACTCTGTCACCCAGGCTGGAGCGCATTAGCACAATCTCTGCTCACTGCAACCTCTGCCTCCAGGTTCAAATGATTTTCATGCCTCAGCCTCCCAAGTAGCTGGGATTACAGGAGTGAGCCACCATGCCTGGCTAATTTTTTTTGTATTTTTAGTAGAGACAGGGTTTTGCCATGTTGGCCGGGCTGGTCTCAAACTCCCGGCCTCAAGGGATCCGCCTACCTTGGCCTCCCAAAGTGCTGAGATTACAAGTGTTGTATTGTCAGAGTCTTTAATTTTAGCCACTGAAGTGGATGTGTAGTGGTATCTCATTATGGTTTTTAATTTGCATTTTCCTAATGAAAATGATGTTGAGTATCTTTTCGTGTGCTATTGGCTATTATTTTGTGATGTGTCTGTTCAAATAAATCTGTTTACCTTTTCTGATTGGGTTGTCTCCTTATTACTGAGTTTTAAGAGTTCTTTACATGTTCTTGATATGAGTTCTTTGTCAGATATACAAATTATGAATATTTTCTCCCAGTCTGTAACTTGCCTTTCCATTTTTTTTTTTCTTTATTCATCATTTCTTCAGACCAGATCCATTTTCTTAAGTCTTAAACTGAAATGTTTAATTTTGGTAAGGCTCAATTTACTAATTTCCTTTTTTTAAAAAAAAATTATTAGTGGATTTTGTGTCCTGCCTGGGAAATCTTTGTTGGCCTTTAGTTGTAACAATTATATTAGGTCAATGATCCTTTTTGAATGACTTTTTATATATGGTTGATATAGTTTAGATATTTGTCCTCTTCAAATCTCATGTTGAAATTTGATCTTCAGTGTCGGAGGCAGTCCTAGTGTGAGGTGTTTGGATCATGGGGGTGGATGTATTATGAACAAGCTTGGTACTGTCCTTTTGCTAAGGAGTAAGTTCTTGCTCTATTAGCTCCCATCATAACTTATTGTTAAGAAGAGCCTGGGCTGGGCGCAGTGGCTCACGCCTGTAATCCCAACACTTTGAGAGGCCGAGGCAGGCGGATTGCTTGAGTTCAGGAATTCAAGACCAGCCTGGGCAACATGGAGAAACCCCACCTCTACCAAAAATACAAAAAAATTAGCCAGGCACAGTGGCATACATCTGTGGTCCCAGCTACTCAGGAGGCTGAGGTGGGAGGATAGCTTGAGTGTGGGAGGCAGAGGTTGCAGTGAGCTGAGATCATGCCACTGCACTCCAGCCTGGGTGACATAGTGAGACTCCCTCTGAAAAAAAAAAAAAAAAGAGCCTGTCACTCCTCCTTCCCACCTCCTTCCCTTCCCTCTTGCTTTCTCTCTTGACATGTGATGCCTGCTCCCCTTCACCTTCCATCATGATTGGAGACTTCCTGAGATCCTCGAGAGAAGCAGATGCCAGTGCCATGCTTCTTGTACAACCTGCAGAACTGTGAGCCAAAAAACCCCCTTTTCTTTATAAATTACCCAGCCTCAGGTATTTCTTTATAGCAACACAAACAGATTAAGACAATGGTATAAGAATCAAGGTTCATTTTTCCATATGGATATCCAGTTGTTCTACCATCATTTGTTGATAAGACTAGCCTTTCACCCAGTGAATTACCTTGGCATCTTTTAAGAAAATCAATTACCCACAGATAGGGGGGTGTCTATATCTAGATTCTATTTTCTGTTAAATTGATACACCATACCAAGTTGTCATGATCACTGTACTGTTATAATAAGTCTTGACATCAGGTAATGTAAATACTCCAATTTTGTGCTTTTTAAAAACTATATTGCCTATTCCAGATCCTTTCCAGTTCCATAAAATCTTTGAATCAGCTAGTCAATTTCTTTTTTTTCTTTTTTCTTTCTTTTTTTTTTTTTTTGAGACAGAGTTTCGCTCTTGTCACCCAGACTGGAGTGCAGTGGTGCCATCTCTGCTCACTGCAACCTCTGCCTCCCGGATTCTCCTCCCTCAGTCTCCTGAGTAGCAGGGATTACAAATGCCCACCACCACATCCAGCTAATTTTTTGTGTTTTTAGTAGAGATGGGGTTTCACTGTGTTGACCAAGCTGGTCTCAAACTCTTGACCTCAAGTGATCCACCTGCCTCGGCCTCCCAAAGTGCTGGGATTATAGGTGTGAGCCACCACGCCTGGCCAGCTAGTCAATTTCTACTCAGCAAAAATAACTTCTAGGTATTTCTAGTGGAATTACATTGAATCCATAGGTTAATTTGGGTAGAATTGACATCATAACACAATCTTGAGTCTTCCAAACCAGAAAAATGGTAAATCTCATCATTTATTCTGGTCCTCTTTAATTTCTTGAAGGAATGCTATGAGATTTTCATTTTATAGGTTCTGCATATATTTTGTTAAATACACCCCTAAATATTTACTATTTTTATGTTATTATAAATTTATTAAATTTCTTTTTTTTTTTTTTTGAGATGGAGTCTTGCTCTGTCACCCAGGATAGACTGCAGTGGTGCGATCTCAGCTTACTGCAACCTCTGCCTCCTGGGTGCAAGTGATTCTCCTGCCTCAGCCTCCCGAGTAACTGGGATTACAGGTACCCACCACTGCACCCGGCTAATTTTTGTATTTTTTTTAGTAGAGACGGGGTTTCACCATCTTGGCCAGTCTGGTCTCGAACACCTGACCTCGTGATCCACCTGCCTCGGCCTCCCAAAGTGCTGGAATTACAGGTATGAGCCACTGCGCCCAGCCTTAAATTTCATTTTTTAATTGTTTATGCCTAGTATATAGAACTACAACTCACTTGTTTATACCTTATATCCTGAAATGTTGTTAAATTCACTTTAATTCCAGTAGCTTTTTTGTAGTTCCCTAGAATTTTCTATATTTACTCATTCACAATTATGTTGTCTGTGAATAAAGATAGTTTTACATCTTCTTCCCCAATTTACATGCTTTTTACATGTAAATATAATATTTTAATTCATTTCTTGCCTTATTACACTGAGCATTATCAATAGTACAGTGTTGAATAGAAGTGGTCAGAATGAATATCCTTGTTTTTTTCCTGATCTCAGTGGGAAAGTGTTCAGTTTTTCACTATTAAGTGTGATGTTAGCTGTAGATTTCTCAAGGATGACCTTTATGGAGGAAGTTCCTTTCTAATTCTATCTTGCTGAGAAGTTTTTTTTTTTTTTTTTGTATTGTATTGTTTTTAACATGTAAGGAATTACACTTTGTGGAAGGCTTTTTCTCTATTGAGATGATCATATGCTTTTAAAAATATTTTGTTAATTTGATGGATTACATCATTTTCTTCTTTTGACCTAATTTAGGTCTCATTTGCTCTTTTCCTAATCTTTTAAAGAGAAAGTTTAAGATAATTGAACTAAAACTTTTCTCTTTTCTATTATAAACATTTAAAGCTATAAAATTCCCTCTAAGAATGAATTAAGCTGCATCCCACAAAGTTAGATGTTTTCATTATCATTCAGTTAAAACTATTTTCTAATTTCTCTTGTGATTTCTTCTTAGATCCAAGGGTTATTTAGAAATGACTTGTTGATTTCCAAATATTCAGGAATTTTCCAGATATATTTTTGTCATACATTTCTAATTTAATTCTATTCTGATCAGAGAACATATTATGTATGATTTCAATTCTAAATTTGAGACCTACTTTGTGGTCCTGTAATGGTCTCTCTTAGGTGACTGTTCCACGTATACTTGAAAACACTGTCTTCTGCTGTGGCTATGTGTCATAGGATAAGTATAAATGTCAATTAGGTCAAATTGGTTACTGCTGCTCAACTCTTCTATATCTTTACTGATTTTCCTGCTGTGTATTCTATCAGTTACTAAGAGAAGAGTGATAAAATCTCCAAATATAATTGTGAATTTGTCTACTTCTCCTTCCAGTTTTGTCAGTTTTTGTTTCACATTCTTAGAAGCTCTGTTACTAGGTACATAAACATTTAAAACTGATAGGTCTTCTTGATGTATTTATCATTTGAATCATCATCTGTTAATACTTGCCCTGCAGTTAACTTTGTGCTATATTAATACAGTCATTCCAGCTTTATGATTATTGTCTGCATGTATATCTTTTCCCGTGCTCTTATTTGTGTCTTTATATCAATGTGTTTTTCTTATGGAATACTTATAGTTGGGTCTTGCTTTATTATTCAGTTTGACAATTTCTGTCTTTTATCTGGAATGTGTAGGCCATTAATATGCAATTATGCATATGGTTAGGTTTAAGTCTACCATCTTGTTATCTGTCTTTATCCCACCTTGCTCTTTGTGCCTTTTTCCCCCTTTGGATTGAATTTTTTTGCATTTTTTATCTCTACTCCATGTATTGTCTTATTAGCTAAATAGCAATATTTTTTAGTGGTTACTCTAGAGTTTACAATAGGTATCTTTACCATATGATAGTCTACCTTTAAATGACACTATACCTATTCATGTATAATATAAGAACCTTACAATATATGTCCATTTTCCTCACTCAACCTTGTGCTATTGTTTTCATACATTTCACTTCCATGTTATAATACCCATTATATGCTATTATTTATGCTTTAAAAAGTAACTAGTAACCCATAGTTGATATTATCCTCAATGGAAAACACAAGACAAGGATGTCTACTTTTGCCACTCCTATTCGATATAGTACGAAAAGTTCTAGCCAGAGGATTTAGGTTCGAAAAAGAAATAAAAGACATATCAATTGGGAAGGGGGAAGTAAACTTATCTCTGTTTCAGGTGACATAATCTTATTGTATAAAATCCTATAGATTCCACAAAAACACTATCAGCAATAATATTATAAATGAATTCAGCACAAGTTACAGGATACAAAGTCAACATACAAAGATCCATTATATTTTTATACACTAAAAATGAACAATATGAAAAGAAAGTTAACAACTCCATTTATAATAATGTCAAAATGAATAAAATACTTAGAAATAAATTTAACCAATGAGGTGAAAGACTTGTCCATTGAAAACTACAATATTTTGCTAAAAGAAATTAAAGAAGATGTAAATAATAGAAAGATATCCCATGTTCATGGATTGGAAAACTTAATATTGTTAAGATGACAATAGTACCCAAAACATTCTATATATTCAGTTCAATCCCTAAAAAATCTCATTATAATATTTTTACAGAAATAGAACAAAAATCCTAAAATTCATATGGACTCTCAAAGGACCTTGAATAGCAAAAACAAACTTGAGTATATTTTGCAGAACTCAAACTTCCTGATGTCAAAAATTACTAGAATACTACAGTATTCAAAACAGTTTGGTACTGGTGTAAAGACAGACATATAGACCAATGGAATAGAACAGAGAGCCCAGGAATAAATCCTCAAACATATGGTCAAGTGACTTTTGATAATGGTGCCAAGATTATTCAATGGGGAAGAAAAGTCTCTTTAACAAATGGTGCTGAGATAACTGGATATCCACATGCAAAAAAACGATGTTGGAAACTTATATTACACACAAAAATCGACTTAAAATAGATTTTAAAAAATCTAAACATAAGAGCTAAAACTAAAAGAAGAAAGCATGGGCAAGTTTCATGATGTAGGTTTGGTGATTAATTTCTGGATATGACATCAAAAGCACAGGCAACAAAAGAAAAAACAGATACACTGGACATCATCAAAATGAAAAACTTTTGTGTATTAAAGGCTATTATCAAGAGAGAGAGAAAAAGACAGTCCACAGAACTGGAGACAATATTTGCAAATCATGTATTGTATCTGATAAGATTAATATTGATATATTAATAATCTTATATTAATATTTATGCTAATCTCATTGAGATTCTAGCCCTAACTTTCAGTTTACATAAAGATGAGATAGAGGAAAAAATTTAACAATATGACTAAATAAGTGGAGAAATACAGAACATGAGACATTCTAAAAGGTGAATAGCCTGGTAGGGATATTGTTCAAGATTTAATAAAGACCGAAGAGATAACAAAAGGTAATATGTAAACTGTGATTGGATCCTGGGTTGTGGCTGAACATGGGTGAGAAGAGAGCTTTAAAAACCATTCTTAAGCTAATTGGGAAAACATATTAATATATATCAAGTGTGATAATAGTATTGTGATTATGCAGGAAAAGGAACTCATACTTAAGAGACGCATACTAAAATAGCTAAAGTATTAATGATGCTTGGAACTTACTTTTAAATGGTTCTGCCAAAGAAAAAAAGATAAAGGAGAAATTATGGCAACAGCGTCAACAATTGCCAAATTTCAGTGGAGGGCATGTGTACTATTCCTTCCTCTTTTCTGTAGATTTTTAAATTTTCAAATAAAATGTTTCCAGTAAAAAAAGCTGTGGGTACTAAATTGTACAGCTTCAAATGGTTAAAATGCTAAATTTCATGTTTTGGGAATTTTACCTGGAAAAAAAAAATTGCTGTGGGTATCTGACACGATGGGGCTGTTGCAGAGTTGGTTAGTTTGCTCTGCATAGCTCCATACCTATCGGCTAAGAGGTGTCTGGTGTTTCTTGGAGTCATGTAATACTACAGCACAGCTACAGTGGTGTTCCCACGTTGAGACAGAGTTAGAAGGAAACACAGAATCTTTATGCAGAATTGAAAAAAATAGGATGTTTACTTTTATATAATTAATAAAATTACTTCTATGTAATTGTTATTGTCAATTTCAGAGTGCATAGAGGGCATGATGATTTGGTCAAAAGTCAAGCATAGCCTCAAAAGCAACCCAAAATGTCTACACACCTGGGTTCAAGGATGGAGGGGGTGGAGGTGGGAGGGGTCGGCCTTCTTTAATGGCTAGCATACACTGCTTTGCTGATCGGATTGCATTAATAAAGTCTTCATGTTGTTGTCTCCAGTTAGACTTCCTCACAGGTGGAGACTGTAAAAAATAAAACCAACAAATAATACCCTAGACTATATACCTCTCCATTACAATTTTGTTTAAAGCTGGAATTTGAATTCACAGGAAACAGAACTGTGAAAATTGGGGAAAAGGAGAGTTTGTTTTTCAAAAGTACTCCTTAAAGAGGTTTGGAAAGTACAGTAATATAATTTGCAAGCCACAAGAGTGAGGGAAAACACAAAATAAAAATCAGAAAAATAAAGAAACTATAAAACTTTAAAGAAAAGCAAATGTAGATTAAAAGTGACTTTCTTCTCAGGTTAATTGCTAGATTTAAAGCCACTCTAATGAAAACATAAACAAGATTATTTTTTGCTACATCTGGAAAATATCTGAAGTATATCTGGAAATCTAAGTGAGCAAGATTATAAAGAAAAAAGTAAAGGTGGATTACAGTTACATTACATTACTGTATTATCAAGCAAAAATGAAACCAGAAATCCCAGAAATAGGCCTTACAGTACCGCAGAATGTAATAACAAACACTAAAGAAGATATCAGGAGTACCTTGGATTGTGGAGTCTTCTTCACAGTAGGAATGTCAGTGCCCTGTAATCTTTGCTTCAAAGAACTGAAAGGTTTACGCTTTCTGTTGAAGAGTTTCTTACATATTGGTCCATGCCTTTCCTAGAAAACGAAGAGTAGGGATTGGAATTTCTAAAGTGCACAATCAGTTTTTAATGCCTAGGTGTACCTAGACAGCCCCCACTCCAGGGACTATGTTTGCTCCTCAGAGCCTAGTTCATTCTCTAACAGGTCACAGCAGAGCAAATCCATCTGGCTCTTCTCATCCATGTTACATATAACTAGATATTGTGCTTGAGCAAAGACAATAAAATGCCTTTATAGCTAAAAGACTTACTTCAAATTTGGGTTTATATATTTAACTCAAATGTGGGCAGTATGTTCTTTACTCCAATCAGTAGTCCTTCAAGTATTCAACATTTCTGATACAAAAACTGAAGAGCTAACATGCAGAGCTTTCCCTGTGTACCACCTGTATAAAATGTGCTACTGTACCACTATGGGACCTTGGCCCTCTCCCTTCGTGGATGTGTGACACATAATAACCATCATTGACACAGTAGCTTTGTCAGACCCCACAAAATACAAGCTCTATAAAAATCACTGCACTGGCTAAGAACAAGCCATCCATTTTAAGCTAAAGGAGAGAGAAAGATCAAATCATTTGATCAATGCCCTCCATAGCCTAGAAATAGGCTTAGGAAATGAAACTCAAAAGTATCCAAGATGTACCTGACATTTAGAGATCCCTCTGCAAATGGAACCTCCCAGGTCTCAAACTAATTCTCAGGGGGTGTGGCTCCAGTCTGGCAAAGGCAGTGACACACACTGGTGGACTACAGGGCCACAACCAGCCCCGCAAGCTCTCCCTCTAGTTTCAGGAGGCTCTAACCACAGTTAACTAAAAGACAGCTATTTCATTTTTTAAATTCTCCAGAAAAATAAAACCTACAACCTCATTTTATAGTCTTTTGTCCAAAACATAGTCAGGCTTACAGTCCACATCCTTTAAGTTCCAGATAAGTCTCCTTTATCTAAAATGTCCCAACTGACAGCTGTATTATCATCTTAGATTTTCTTTTTGAAAAAAAATCATCTTTCTTGGGAACCCCTTTATAATATTGGGGCATACCATCTATTTGATTCCCTAATTTTGAAATAAATCAAGCTTTTATTCAACTTTATAGCCATCAATCGGGGACTTGACATGCCGTTAGCTTGAATCTGTACAACAATTAGATCTTGGAACAGGACTTACATCCATGTATCATTTTGTTCAAATGGTATAAAAACCCTCAAATTTGAAGGTTCTGTATACGTGGCAAAGCAGAAAACAGGAAGGTTAAAGGACTTGTCAGGATTAGTGACAAATTTGAGGCTAAAAGCCAGGTTTCCAGATGTCTAAAATTCAATGCTCATTCCTCTTGACTAGCTAATTTCCCTGGTGCTTTGGCCTTGAAATTTGAATTTTCGATGCTTAAAGAAAAGGTGGAAGAGCCAAAACCTCTTGAGGGATCATTGACGATGCCAAGAGACTTCCATCTGGCATCATTTCAGGAGGACCATGTTTAATAGGGTCGCTCTTGAATGAGGCAGCATCAATCTGCCTCAGTGTTCTCTGGGCCCACCAGCCATAGGTTATGTACTTTTCCTCTTCCCTTGCTTCCCCTCCACATCTGTCTTTAATCTTTGCACTGCCGCCTCCTCACTGACTTGACAGTTCATTTAAGTCCAATGAAACACATCTACAAAATGTCTTTATGTTTACCAGAACATCTGCTGCAAAACGTCTTCCACAGACTTCACAGGGAAACAATTCCTGATTGCCATCTGTGTAAAATTCAAGAGCACATTATGTTAGTTTCATGGAATTTCCTCGCTGAGAAGAAATGACTGACTGGAGGTGACCTCAATAGCTTGATATCCTCACTCTCTTTTCCCTCCCCACCAACTGCTTCTTCCCTTTGGGAAGACCCTGTGTAAACTAAACTCACCTGTGTTTTCCTTTCCTGATATAAACTCCTCACTTCACTAAACAAGTAAATTCCATATCCTTCAGGCAACCAGAGTATAATTATTTGATTTAATATTTAATATATTCTTACATGAAGTGCCTGATAACTTTGCTTGAGACATAAGCAAAAAAATACCTTAGTATAAGGTGGTATTTTTACCACCAGTGGTAACATCTTTGGGACTCCTACTAGAATGTAAGTTCTGTGAAAGCTGAGACTGTGCCTATTTTATGCCCAATGCAAGTACTTGACCCATAGTAAGGTACTCAAGGTATTGGTTGAATGCATGGGCCAAGCAAGAATTGAATTTCTAACATAGAAACATTCATTCGATAAATAGATATTGGCTATATGCAATTCTGTGGAAATATTGGGAGAAATCATACATGGGACCAGCACAGAAAAAAAGTATGCAGATAAATTAATGACATTGGAAAAGTATCATGAGAAAAGCAAAATATTATGAAATTCTGAAAAAAGGTTTTTTGTATTACTTCCTTTTGGTTCATCAGGAGTCAAATATGTAAAGATTTAAAAAGCACTTCTATCAAAGCTATGATGTCTTAGGTTAATAAAAAAAGCAGTTTGAGGTCTGAGCATAGACTTTATATTAGACCAGTCATCTGGGCTTTACTCTACATGCAAAGAAAGCAACAAGGGACATTAAGTTGGAAGAATTAAACAGAGCTGTGGAAGATAGATGTGAGAAAGGCAAGAAGGGGCAAATGGATTGCGAGTATAGTGGGAGAAGAGCGGAGTTTAGTGAAAAAGCTGCAGGTGGGTCAGGTGTGGTGGCTCACGCCTGTAATCCCAACACTATGGGAGGCTGAAGCAGGAGGATTGCTTGAGCCTAAGGATTCGAGACCAGCTTGGGCAACATAGGGAGATTGTGTCTCTACACAAAATAAAAAATTAGTTGGGCTTGGTGGCTCGCGCCTGTGGTCCCAGCTACTCAGGAGGCTGAGGTGAGAGGATCACTTGAGCCCAGGAGGCAGAAGTTGCAGTGAGCCATGATCATAACACTGCACTCCAGCCTGGGAGACAGAGCAAGATCCTGTCTCCCCCACTTACACACAAAAAAGCTGAAGGTGGAGGCCTGAAATGGAAAGGAAATAGGAGATGAGTGATTCTGTATCAAAGAGTCAACAGCCTGATTAGATTTGTGGGAGTTAGGAGGTGGCAAAGAGAAAAGAATGCTTGAGGACTATTCTACGTTTAGAGGCAGAAGGACTGAGAAGATGCTGGGAGTGTGGGATAGAAACAGGAAACTTGAAAAGAAGGGCCATCTTAGGAAGAAAAATGACTTCAGCTTTGGAAACACTGAGTTGAAATAGAGTTGTCCGGCCAGCAGGATGGAAATGAGGGAGGTCAGGGTTAGAGACACAGATGTAGGCTTTGAGAAATGAAGTAAAGGCATGATATTGCCAGGGAAGAAGTCATGGAAAGAGAAGTGCAGAGATGATCCTTAGGGAAACTTATATTTAAGGCCAAGAAAATGATGATGATAAGCCAGGAGGAGAAACAGGAGAGAACAGGGTCATGGAAATTGAAGGAAGACAGTTTGAAAAAGGAAGCCCTAGTTAACAGGAAGCAGATGGGTAGCCTGCTACAGACATTGTTGATTTAAATGATTTCTTGTCACATCTACTAATTGGTATTGTATTTTCAACACAGGCCATCCATCACAGCACACAGAAATACCTCTTGCCCTCCCTGTTCTTTTGGTGCAGTTTGTAAAACTTCATCTAAATATATATATATATATATATATATATATATATATAAAAAATATAAAATATGTATACATATTTTAAGCAAGGGTACCACAACCTGAAACTACTCATCTTGATTATAAAACTACTGCTGCTCTTTCTAAAACACTAGTGAAGGATAATCTATTTTTATGAATATTACAGTAACATTTGTGTGGTGTTTTCCTATGTTATCTCATGTGATCCTTACAGTGACCCTATAAGACAGGGTTAGTACTATTTCTATTTTACAAATGAGAAAACGGAGGCCCAAGTAGGCAACTTCTCTAAGACTGCAGGTAGTAAGTGGTAATACTGAGACTTGAATTTGAGTCTCTTTCCAAGTATTAAGACTGTTAATTCAACCGTCACTACAACTAGAGAGATGTTAGTACTCACCTGAAAACAACTAGAAGTCCCTAGAGGATCAATGACCTCTGGTTGAAATCAGTGAGTCAATGAATTTAAAATACTGACAGATACAAATGATATGATTCAATTCAATACTTGGATACAGATGGACCACCACCTTCTGAACCACATTCAACTCAGAAGCTTGAGTATAAGGAAGGAAGGGAACACTTACCTAGCCAGCTGAATCAAACAGGGAGATCAATGTGGTCTGCAGTGTTTGTTTCTGTGTATTGAATCACATGGAATATGTGATTGCTAGAACATTAAAAGAACCTTTTGAGACTTCTAAAATGCCTTTCAGTAGGTGAACGGTTAAACAAACTGTGGTACATCTATAGCCTGGAATACTGCTCAGCAATAAAAAGACCACTTTTTCTTTTTTTTTTTTTTTTTTTTTTTTTTTGAGACAGGGTCTCGGTCTTTCACCCAGGCTAGGGTACAGTGGGATGATCACGGCTCATTACAGCCTCTACTTTCTGGACTCAAGCAATCCTCCCACCTCAGCTTCTTGAGTAGCTAGGACAACAGGCATGTGCCACCACACCCAGCTAGCTTTTTTATTTTTTGTGGAGACGGGGTCTCACTATATTGCTTAGACTGGTCTCGAACTCTTGGGCTCAAGCAGTCCTCCCACCTTGGCCTCCCAAAGTATTGGGATTGCAGGTGTAAGCCACCGTGCCCAGCTGAAAAAGAACACCACTGATACATGCAATAATCTGGATGGATTTCAATGCTGGGTGAAACGAGCCCATCTTCAAAGGTCACATACTGTGTGATTTCACCTGCACAACTTATTAAAAAATGACAAAAATTAGAGAGATAGGACACAGATTAGAGACTGTAAAAGGATAAAGATGAGTGGGAGTGGGGTGGAAGGTGGTTGTGATTCTATGGGGTTAGAATGAGGGAGATCTCTGTGTGATGGAATAGTTGTGTATCTTCACTGTGAGGTGGTTCTGCGTGTTATCAAATGGTACAGACTCTGAACACACCATATACTAATGTTAGTTTCCTGGTTTTGATATTGTACTATAGTTATTTAAGATGTAACTTAGGGAAAACTGGGTAAATGGCATACAGCATCTCTCTGTGCTATTTTGTAACATTTTGTAAAACTATAATTACGGCAAAATAAAAAGTTTAAAAACAATATCTAGGGGTCAGCAAACTGTAGCCAGTGGGCCAAATCTGACGCCTTTTTTTTTTGTAAATAAAGTTTTATAGGAACACAGCCATGCTCATTTGTATACATAGCATTTATTGCTGCTTTCCTGCTCCAACAGCAGAGTTTAATACTTTCGATGAAGGCCATATGACCTGCAAAGCCAAAAATTATGCTACTTGGCCTCTGACAGAAATAGGTTGCCAAAAATTGCTGAACCATTTTTATATTAATTTAAAGGAATTTGTGGGAGAATAACATGGAAAAATATTAATGAAACATTTTGTTCACATATTTACTAATAAAGACTGGAAGGGCACACACAGAGTAATTACTTTGGGTATGAATAAAGATGAATATTACTTTTAGTTTTCTGTATTTCCAAACTTTTAATGAAAATTATGCATCACTATTTTAAAAATCAGAACAAATGAGTGCCTTTCAAAAAATAAAAAGAAACCCTTTGGAAGAAAATGTTCTAAAACAATGAGTATCACCTCAGAGATTTCTTTTTCCTCTCTATCTGGAATCATACTTGGTAAACTATTATAGTGGCTATTATTTTTAAACATTGGTTTATAATCTTTGAAAATGTTAAAAATGAGTAACAGAAAGTAATCTGGGAGTGATAAAGCTTTGTTTAACACATCAAAAATAAAACATAGGCCAGGAATGGTGGCTCACAACTGTAATCCCAGCATATTTGGGAGGCTAAGGTGAGAGGATTGCTTGAGCCCAGGAGTTCAATACCAGCCTGGGAAACACAGTGAGACTCTCATCTCTACAAAAAATTTTAAAAATTAGCCAGGCATGGTAGCATGCACTTGTGGTCCCAGTTACTCAGGAGGCTGAGGCCAAAGAATCACTTGAGTCCAGGAGGCTGAGGTTGCAGTGAGCCATGATTGATTGTGCCTGCTGGGCAACAGAGCTAGACCCTGTCTCAAAAAAAAAAAAAAAAAAAAAAAAATCAGGGACAACTTGAGCAGGAAAAAAAAAAAAACAAAAACAAACAAACATTACAAAGAAGCATGGAGAGAATTAGGGTTAGATTAAAATTGAAAAAGTTTTACTTTACTTTTGACCAGATATTCTCTTTCTTGAGCTGGAAGTTAAGAATGCTTTGTAGAGAACTAAGCTATTCACATTTTCTTAAAGGAGCATGGTAGAGAAGAAAAAAGGAAGACACTTTCTCATTCAGATGCCTGCAAATCACAGAACTCTTCAGTTCTTTGCAGTCCAGAACATGCAAATATTTAGCAATATCAACATCTTCCTAGGCCCTATGGCAAGGGGGTGGAATAACGGCCTCAACTTACCAATAAAATTTATCTCAGGAACATAAGTCATAAGATAAGAAAAAGAATTAAGACTCAGGATAGCAGATCCTATCTAATTTAGAGCTTCCCGTCTAATTTTGCTTTCTCCCTAAACCCCAATAAAGCTATAGTAAAGTGACAAAGGGACATAGAAACATAGGACAGGGAGGAAAGAAAACAAGAAACCTAAAATTTGGAAAGCTAATAGACATTGTAACTGACTTGGAGGACTTAAAGCAACACCAAACTCTACTTCCCAAACTAACAGTAAGGGAGAACTGAGAACCATCCAGATTCACACTACAGACTCTTAAAAGTCACAGCAACTCCTGGACAGCATGTACCTCTAAAACTGAGGCAGGCGAATGAGGAGGAAGAGACTGTCAAAATATGGAGGACCAAGGGGAAAGCTGTTTGAAAGAAGTTAAGATTCCTAGATCGCGCCCTGCCCCCAACCCCTGCCCCACACCGCAAGTCTCCTACTCCTTGGATAAATGCCCTTCCCTGTCTCTAGGTGATTCTACTTTCTGGAAAGGAAAAAATATGCAGTCTGTGCATTAGTCAATATAAGGCATGTCTGAAGGCATGAGTATACAGCAAACACAGATAGGTAGGTATAGATACAGACATACAGTCAATTCTCATTATTTTTGGTAGTTAAGTTCTATAAAGTCACTGTGAGCACTGAATTAGCAAATACTGAACTGTGGCTCCTAGGGGAAATATAGGGTTAGGTTCCTGTGAGTCTCTGGTCACAACATTTTTGTTAATGGATCAATACAAAACCTTGTTTTATGCATGTTTCTGTTTAAAGACACCTTCTTTATAGTGTTGATTCAGTAATGTTGAACTCATGCCAATAGTGCTGTAACTCATGACTGAATGTTTACCTAATGCACATATTTTCTCCTTAGGGCAAATCACAGCCTTGAGCTTAGGAACACTAGACAGCACTTCAGCAATGTTCTAGGCAGCCTTTCCCCTCCCCTTCCGCCTTTGAGACAAGGTCTTGCTCTGTCACCCAGGCTGGAGTACAGTGGTGCGATCTTGGCACACTGCAACCTCTGCCTCCTGGATTCAAGCGATCCTCCCACCTCAGCCTCCTGAGTAGCTGGGAGCACAGGCCCACACCACCACACCTGGCTAACATGGCCATTTTAAACAGTGAAATCACCAAAGAAAAAGCACAAAAATGTGGAAAATGTGGCACTAAATAGCCCATGGAAGGAACTTGAGTACATTATGAACACTAAAACAAGAAAGTAGAGTACTACCTTGTTCACCCTCAACTGGGAAAATGTGCTGAATGACTCAACTTTTTTATCACTATGTGCATGTCTGCAAATGACTGTAAAAGTGCCACAAGTACTGATGTTAGGGTTACAAGTAAGTTTTAGCAAGTAGGTAAATTTGCAAACAGGGAATCCATGAATAACAAGAATCAGCTATATATGTATGCATGTCTACATATACATGTATACAGGTACATATATACAATCTAGTGATTAATTTCATGAATAGTGATACTGAAAGCAGAGAATATCCACATGCCCATCTTCTTCTACTTGGCTTAGAGGACTCTGCTTGCCAAACCCTTACCCTCAGGGCAAAATGTAACTTCTCTGGGAATCAAATTATTCCACTAGCAAATATGTAAAGATACTGATATTGGGAGATTCCCAAACAGCTCACTCAGACCACCCTACAATACAGCTCAGTCATGAAATACTGCTCACTTGTTCATTATTTCCATTTTTTTCCTCTTCCAGTCTTAATGATGAGCAAACAGACAGGAATTTCCAAAGATCTGAAGAACGTCTCTAGCAGGTAAGTCCAAAACAGACAAAAAAAAAATTAAAGGAAAATTATAACTCTTAGAAATTAAAAAAGTCTTGCTGGGCACAGTGGCTCACGCCTGTAATCCCAGCACTTTGGGAGGCAGAGGCGGGCGGATCACCCGAGGTTGGTAGTTTGAGACCAGCCTGACCAACATGGAGAAACCCTGTCTCTACTAAAAATACAAAAATTAGCCAGGCGTGGTGGTACATGCCTGTAATTCCAGCTACTCAGGAGGCTGAGGCAGGAGAATAGCTTGAACCCAGGAGGTGGAGGTTTTGGTGAACTGAGATGGCGCCATTGCACTCCAGGCTGGGCAAAAAGAGCAAAACTCTGTCTCAAAAAAAAAAAAAAAAAAAAAAAAAAAGAAATTAAAAAAATCTTTAGGAGAAAAACTCAACAGAGAGTTGAAAGATAAAATTAGGAAAATCTCCCAGAAAATAAAGTAAAATGGCATAGAAATGGGAAAGAAACAAGCAAATTAGAATACCAGTCCAGACGGGTCTACTCCAAATAATACTTCAAGAGAGAAAAAGGAGAAAATACAAGGAAGAGAATAAAAATAATTTTTAATTATTTCCAAAAAAGAAGGACATAAACCTCCTGTGGTGGTTAATATTGAGTGTCAACTTGACTGAATTGAAGGATGCAAAGTATTCATCGTGGGTGTGTCTGTGAGGGTGTTGCCAAAGGAGATTAACACTTGAGTCAGTGGGCTGGGAAAGGCAGACCCACCCTCAATCTCAGTGGGCACCATCTAATCAGCTGCCAGCAAGGCTAGAATATAAAGCAGGCAGAAAAATACGAAAAAAACTAGACTGGCCTAACCTCCTAGCCTACACCTTTCTCCTGTGCTGGATGCTTCTAGCCCTTGAACATCAGACTCCAAGTTCTTCAGTTTTGGGACTCAGACTGGCTCTCCTTGCTCCTCAGCTTGCAGATGGCCTATTGTGGGACCTTGTGATCATGTGAGTTAATACTTAATACATTTCCCTTTATATATATATTCCCCTTATATATATTTCCTATTAGTTCTGTCTCTCTAGAGAACCCTGACTAATACAGATTTTTGTACCAGGAGTTCTAGAAGAACAGAATATTAAGAATGGGGTTCTTTCATTGGTTTTGGGGTTTCTGGAGTTGGCTGCTTAATATAATTAGACCCAAAAATGCTAATGACTCTACTTCTAATAGTATGCAGAACACTGATAGACTTTGGCATGAACTGTTTAGAGAGTTACACAAAATAAATGCATTTGACACTCCTGATTCATTGCTCATGAGAGGCAAGGAGTTTAGTTACTCTATACATAATACCTTTGACCACATGTGGAGAACCAAGGAACATAATGAAGCTGGTTGGTTGCTCCTAAGTTCAGGGGACAGAGTAATGAAAGAAAATGATGAATTCAGGGATTTTAACTCCCAGCTTCAGAAGCAGATACTAAGCCTCAAATCTCCTAAGATTGCCCTGAGTGAGAGTCTTATCTCCTGTAGAGAAAGAGCTGAAATTGTGGAAAAACAGATACAAGCTCTTATCATGCAAGTGGCTGACCTGCAATGAAAGGTGCATGCACAGCCTTGCCAAGTGTCTACTGTTAAAGTGAGGGAATTGATTAGAAAAGAATGGGACCCTGCAACTTTGAATGGGGACATATGGGAAGACCCTGATGAAGCTGGGGACACTGAGTTTGTAAACTCTGATGAGGCTTTTTTGCCAGAAGAAACAGCTTCCCCCTCCCCAGTGGTAGCAACATCCCTTCTCCGACCCGTGCTGCTGTCAGCCTTTCCACCTTTGTCTGAGGAGATAAACCCTGTGCTGCCTGAGGCAACAGTGATGGCCTCCCCTGAGACAGTTGCCAGGCAAGATAATGTTGATTCTCCTCAGAAACCACCTCCAACACCTCTGTTTGCTTCTAGATCTATAGACAAAATTCCTGTGGGGCCCTAGAGGTGAGGTTGAGAATGTGACCCATGAGGAGGTGCGATACACTCGAAAAGAATTGTTTTCTAACTTATATAAACAGAAATCTGGAGAACAGGCATGGGAATGGATATTAAGGGTGTGGTATAATGGTGGAAGGAACATAGAGTTGGATCGGGCTGAATTTATAGATTTGGGGACACTAGTAGAGACTCTGCATTTACTGTTGCAGCTCAGGGAGTTAAAAAAAATTCTAATAGTTTATTTGCTTGGTTAGCTGAAATATGGATTAAAAGATGGCCCACTGGGAGCAAGCTGGAAATGCCTGATCTCTCTTGGTTTAATGTAGAAGAAGGGATCCAAAGGCATAATGATGGTGGAGTGGATTAGTCACTTTAGACCTACTCATCCCATCAGGGAGGGTCCAGAAAATATACCCTTGACCAAGGCCTTGTAAAACAGATTTGTGAGGGCAGCACCTGCATCTCTGAAGATCCCTGTAATTGCCTTTCTCTGTATGTCACATCTAACAGTGGGATACACAGTCACTCAACTACAAAATTTAAAAACAATGGGAATAGGCCAGGTGCAGTGGTGGCTCATGCCTGTAATCTGAACACTCTGGAAAGCTGAGGTGGGCAGATCACTTGAGGTCAGGAGTTCGAGACCACCCTGGCCAATATGATGAAACCCTGTCTCTACTAAAAATACAAAAATTAGCTGGAAGTGGTGGTGAGCACCTGCAGTCCCACATACCCGGGGGGCTGAGGCGGGAGAATCCTTTGAACCTGGGAGGTGGTGGTTGCAGTGAGCTGAGATTTTGCCACTGCACTGCAGTCTGGGTAACAGAAAGAGACCTCATCTCAAAAACAAAAAATAAATAAAAGAATAAATAAATAAATTGATATGATTTGGTTCTGTCTCCACCAAACTCTCAACTTGAATTGTATCTCTGAGAATTACCACATGTTGTGGGAGGGACCCAGGGGAAGGTAATTGAATCATGGGGGCTGGTCTTTCCCATGCTGTTCTTGTGATAGTAAATGAGTCTCATGAGATCTGATGGGTTTTTCAGGGGTTTCCACTTTTGCTTCTTCCTCATTTTCTCTTGCTGCCACCATGTAAGAAATGCCTTTCACCTCCTGCCATGATTCTGAGTCCTCCCCAGCCATGTGGTACTGTAAGTCCAATTATACCTCTTTTTCTTCCCAGTCTCAGGTATGTCTTTATCAGCAGTGTGAAAACAGACTAATACAGTAAATTGGTACCAGTAGAGTGGGGTGTTCCTGAAAAGATACCCGAAAATGTGGAAGTGACTTTGGAACTGGGTAACAGGCAGAGGTTGGAACAGTTTGGAGGGCTCAGAAGAAGACAGGAAAATGTGGGAAAGCTTGGAACCTCCAAGAGACTTGTTGAATGGCTTTGACAAAATGCTGATGGTGATATGAACAATAAGGTCCAGGTTGAGGTGATCTCAGATGGAGATGAGGAACTTGTTGGGAACTGAAGCAAGGGTGACTCTTGTTATTTTTTATCAAAGAGACTGATGGCATTTCGCCCCGCCCTAGAGATTTGTGGAAATTTGAACTTGAGAGATATGACGTAGGGTACCTGGTGGAAGAAATTTCTAAGCAGGAAAGCATCAAAAGGTGACTTGGGTGCTGTTAAAAATATTCCATTTTAAAAGGGAAATAGACGATAAAAGTTCAGAAAATTTGCAACTTGATGATGCAGTAGAAAAGGAAAACCCATTTTTTGAGAAGAAATTAAAGCCAGCTGCAGAAATTTGCATAAGTAGCAAGGAGTCTAATGTTAATCCCCAAGACCATGGAAAAAATGTCTCCAGGCCATTTCAGAGACCTTCACAGCAGCCCCTCCCATCGAACGCCCAGAGGTCTAGGAGGAAAAAGTGGTTTCCTGGGGCAGGGCCCAGGGTACCCATGTACAGCCTAGGGACTTGGTGCCCTGTGTCCCAGCCACTTCAGCTGTGGCTGATTGGGGCCAATGTACAGCTCGGGCTATGCCTTCAGAGGGTGGAAGCCCCAAGCCTTGGCAGCTTCCATATGGTGTTGAGCTTGCGGGTGCACAGAAGTGAAGAATTGAGGTTTGGGAACTTCCCCCTAGATTTCAGAAGATGTATGGAAACGCCTGGATTCTCAGGCAAAAGTTTGCTGCAGGGGTGGGGTCCTCATGGAGAACCTCTGCTAGGGCAGTGAGGAAGGGAAATCTGGGGGTAGAGCCCCCACACAGAGTCCCTGGTGGAGCTGTGAGAAGAGGGCCACTGTCCTCCAGACCCCAGAATGGTAGATCCACTGACAGCTTGAACTGTGTGGCTCGAAAAGCCATGGACACTCAACACCAACCCATGAAAGCAGGCAGGAAGGAGGCTGTACCCTGCAAAGCCACAGAGGCAGAGCTGCCAAGACCTTGGGAACCCACCTCTTGCATCAGCATGACCTGGATGTGAGACATGGAGTCAAAGGAGATCATTTTGGAACTGTAAAATTTGACTGCCCTGCTGGATTTCACATTTGCATGGGCCCTGTAACCCCTTTGTTTTGGCCAGTTTCTCCCATTTGAAATGGCTGTATTTACCCAATACCTGCACCCTCATTTTATCTAGGAAGTAACTAGCTTGCTTTTGATTTTACAGTTCATAGGTGGAAGGGACTTGCCTTGTTTCAGATGAGACTTTGGACTGTGGAGTTTTGGATTAATGCTGAAATGAGTTAAGACTTTGGGAGACTGTTGGGGAGGCATGATTGGTTTTGAAATGTGAGGACATGAGATTTTCAGGGGCCAGGGGCAGAATGATATGGTTTGGTTGTGTCCCTACCCAAATCTCCACTTGAATTTTATCTCCCAGAATTCTTGTGTGTTGTGGGAGGGACCCAGAGGAAGATAACTAAATGGGGGCCGGTCTTTCCCATGCTATTCTTATGATAGTGATTGAGTCTCATGAGATCTGATGGATTTATGAGGGATTTCCACTTTTGCTTTTTCCTCATTTTCTCTTGCTGCCACCATGTAAGTAGTGCCTTTTGCCTTCTGCCATGATTCTGAGGCCTCCCCAGCCATGTGGAACTGTAAGTCTGATTAAACCTCTTTTTCTTCCCAGTCTCAGGTATGTCTTTATCAGCAGCATGAAAATAGACTAATACATAAATTTAAAAAATAAAAAATAAATATAGTGGGAATATTTGGATCCCGAGGTGGCAGGGGCCAAGTGGCAGCACTCAGCCATCAAAGGCAAGGTGGATGTAGCTACTGTAATGGACTGCAGAGGCAAAGTGGCAACAATCAGAATAGTCTGACACATATAGAGCTCTGGCACTGACTAATCACAGTGTTTCTAGAAGTGAAACTGAAAGGAAGCCTACTGTATTTTTACTTAATTTATATAAGCAGAAAACTTCTAGGTCAAATGGACAAAAGACTAATCTGAATTATAAAAACAGAGAATCATGGCCCCTTAATTTCCAGACTTGAGCCAGTTTACGAACCCAGAGCTGCTTGAATGAAGGGGAGGCCGGGTCCCCTTGAAAAAGGACTCCATTACACTACTGACAATTTATGCTGTTAATCTTTCTCCCATCCTTCCCCAAGAAGACCTCTGGCCTTGTACCAGGGTAACTATGCATTGGGGAAAAAGGAAATGATCAGACATTTCGGAAACTACTGGACACTGGCTCTGAGCTGATGTTGATTCCAGGGGACCCAAAACGTCATTATGGTCCTCCAGTTAACGTACGGGCTTATGGAGGTCAGGTAATAATGGAGTTTCAGCTCAGGTCCGAATTACAGTGGGTCCAGTGGATCCCTGGACTCATCCTGTGGTCATTTCCCCAGTGCCAGAATGCAAAATTGGCATAGACATACTTAGCAGCTGGCAGAACCCCCACATTGGCTCCCTGATTGGTCGGGTGAGGATTATTATGGTGAGAAAGGCCAAATGGAAGCCATAAGCACTGTCTTTACCTAGAAAAATAGTAAATCAAAAACAGTATCACATCCCTGCAGAGACTGTGGCGATTAGTACCACCATCAAGGACTTGAAAGACTCAGGGTGGTGATTCCTACCACATCCCTGTTCAACTCTCCCATTTGGCCTGTGCAGAAGACAGATGGATCTGGAAGAATGAGAGTGGATTATCATAAGCTTAACCAAGTGATGACTCCAACTGCAGCTGCTGTACCAGATGTGGTTTCATTGTTTGAGCCAATTAACACATTTCTTGGTACCTGGTATGCAGCCATTGACTTGGCAAATGCCCTTTTCTCCATTCCTGTCTGTAAGGCCCACCAGAAGCAATTTGCCTTCAGCTGGCAAGGCCAGCAATATACCTTTACTGTTCTACCTCAGAGGTATATTAACTGTTTGGCTTTGTGTCATAATCTTATTCAGAGAGACCTTGATCACTTTTTGCTTCCACAAGGTATCACACTGGTCCATTACATTGATGACATTATGCTGACTGGATCCAGTGAGCAAGAAGTAGTAAACACACTGGACTTATTGGTGAGATATTTGCGTGCCAGAGGATGGGAAATCTGATGAAAATTTAGGGAACTTCTTCCACAATAAAATTTCTAGGGGTCCAGTGGTATGGGTCCTGTTGAGATATTCCTTCTAAGATGAAGGATAAGTTGCTGCATTTGGCCCCTCCTACCACCAAGAAAGAGGCACAATGTCTAGTGGATCTATTTGGATTTTGGAGGCAACACATTTCTCATGTGGGTGTGTTAATCCGGCCCATTTATCAAGTGACCTGAAGCTGCCAGTTTTGAGTGGGGTCCAGAACAGGAGAAGGCTCTACAACAGGTCCAGGCTGCTGTGCAAGCTGCTCTGTCAATTGGGCCATATGACCCAGCAGATCCAATGGTACTTGAGGTGTCAGTGGCAGATGGCGATGCTGTTTGGAGCCTTTGGCAGGCCCCCAAAGGTGAATCACAGTGGAGGCCTCTAGGATTTTGGAGCAAGGCTCTGCCATCTTCTACAGATAATTACTCTTCTTTTGAGAGACAGCTCTTGGCCTGTTACTGGGCTTTGGTGGAAACTGAACGTTTGACTGTGGGTCATCAAGTCACCATGCAACCTGACCTGCCTATCATGAACTGAGTGCTTTCTGACCCATCTAGCCATAAAGTGGGTCATGCACAGCAGCATCCATCATCAAATGGAAGTGTATATACATGATTGGACTCAAGCAGGTCCTAAAGGCACAAGTAAGTTACATGAGGAAGTGGCTCAAATGCCCAAGGTGGAGACTCCTGCCACCTTGCCTTCTCTCCCCTAGCCTGCACCAATGGCCTCATGAGGAGTTCTCTATGATCAGTTGACAGAAAAAGAGAAGACTAGAGCCCGGTTCACAGATGGTTCTGCACAATATGGAGGCACCACCCAAAAGTGGACAGCTGCCTTTCTAGGACATCCCTGAAGGACAGCCCCTTCCTAGGACATCCCTGAAAGTGGTGAGGGAAAATTTTCCCAGTGGGCAGAACTTTGAACAGTGCACTTGCTTGTGCACTTTGCATGAAAGGAGAAATGGTCAGATGTGCAATTATATACTGATTCATGGGCTGTTGCCAGTAGTTTGGCTGGATAGTCAGGGACTTGGAAGAAGCATGATTGGAAAATTGGTGACAAAGAAATTTGGGGAAGAGGTATGTGGATGGACCTCTCTGAGTGGTCAAAAACTGGAAAGATATTTGTATCCCATGTGAATGCTCACCAACTGGTGACCTCAGCAGAGGAGGATTTTAATAATCAAGTGGATAGGATGACCCGTTCTGTGGACACCACTCAGCCTCTTTCCCCAGCCACCCCTGTTGTCGCCCAATGGGCCCATGAACAAAGTGGCCATGGTGGCAGGAATGAAGGTTATGCATGGACTCAGCAACATGGACTTCCACTCACCAAAGCTGACCTGACTACAGCCACTGCTGAGTGCCCAATTTGCCAGCAGCAGAGACCAACACTGAGACCTCGATATGGCACCACTTCTCAGGGTGATCAGCCAGCTACCTGCTGGCAGGTTGATTACATTGAACCTCTTCCATCATGGAAAAGGCAGAGGTTTCTCCTCACTGGAATAAACACTCACTCTGGATATGGGTTTGCCTATCCTCCATGCAATGCTTCTGCCAAGACTACCATCCATGGACTCATAGCATGCCTTATCCACTGTCATGGTATTCCACACAGCATTGCCTCTCTTTACAGAGAGAGAGGCACTCACTTTACAGATAAAGAAGTGCAGCAGTGGGCGCATGCTCATGGAATTCACTGGTCTCACCATGTTCTTCATCATCCTGAAGCAGTTGGATTGATATAACGGTGGGATGGCCTTTTGAAGTCACAATTACAACAACTAGGTGACAATACGTTGAAGGGCTGGGGTAAAGTTCTCCAGAAGATCGTGTATGCTCTACTACTCCACAACAGAGGTAAGGAAGAGTAGGCATGGAATACAGGAGATCTATTAGGGTGTCTCTTAGTATTACCATGTCCTGTGATTCAGGTCAATGGGAAACTACAACAGCCTAATCCAGGCAGGACTACAAATGGCCCAGACCCTTCAGGAATGAAGGTTTGGGTCACTCCACCAGGAAAAAACCATGACCTGCTGAGGTGCTTGCTGAAGAAAAAGGGAATACAGAATGGGTAGTAGAAGAATGTAGTCATCAATACCAGCTATGACCACGTGACCAGCTGCAGAAATGAGGACTGTAATTGTCATTAGTATTTCCTCCTTCTTTTGTTAAAAACATGTTTGTGCATGTACACACGTGTACTAAGAAGATATCTTCATTTTATTTACTTTTTCCTTCATCATGTGACATAAGATTTATTGACTTCGCATCAGCATTTAAGAATTGTTAACTTTATGTAATAGTATTTGGGTTGGGGATTGGTGCATTTCTGGTTGTATTAAGGATAGTTGTATTACGTTAGGCATAATTATGACCTTATTATTGTCTTTATTTGAAGATTATGTATGATCTCAGGAGATGGGTATGGGTTGAAGTTGACAAGAGGTAGACTTGTGATGGTTAATACTGAGTGTCAACCTGATTGGAAAGAAGGATGCAAAGTTATTGATCCTGGGTGTGTCTGAGAGGGTGTTACCAGAGGAGATTAACATTTGAGTTAGTGGGCTGGGGAAGGCAGACTCATCCTTAATCTGGGTGGGCACCACCTAGTCACCTGCCAGCGCAGATCGAATCTAAAGCAGGCAGAAAAAAAAAATGTGAAAAGACTAGACTGGCCTAGCCTCCCAGCCTACATCTTTCTCCTGTGCTGGATGCTTCCTGCCCTCAAACATTGAACTCCAAGTTCTTCAGTTTTGGCACTGTACTGGTTGTCCTTGCTCCTCAGCTTGCAGACGGCCTATTGTGGGACCTTGTGATTGTGAGTTAATACTTAATAAATTCCCCTTTATATACAGATCTAGCCTATTAGTTCCATCCCTCTAGAGAACCCTAATACACCTTCTGATTTAAAAGACTCAGTAAAATGGAAGTTTCAGAACAGTGAAGACAGATTCTACAGACTTCCAAAGAAAAATCAGATACAAATGATCAGCAATCAGGATGGCTTCAGATTCCCAAAAAGCAAAATTGGAAATGGAAACAAATGGAAGAAACCCTTTAAACTTCTGAGGTAAAATAATCTACAACCAAGAATTCTATATTCAGTCAAGCTGTCAATCCAACATAAGAGTAGAATATATTTCCAGACATCCAAGTTCCCAAAAAGTCTACATCCCCTGTACCCCATTTCATGAATTACTGGAGGACGTGATCCACAAGCATGTGAATGAGATATAGGAAAAGGCAATTATAGACTGGATAGAGAAAAGGGAATTCCCAGTATGATAGCTGGGCACAACAACCAAAGAGCAACCAGTCGAGGTTTGAGGTGTGTGATTAGAGACAGACGTGTTGACGGCTATCACGACTAAGATATTCACTGCCTTCATAATCTCAAGATAGTATATTCAAGGAAGTCTGGCTCCCATTTTGTTCTACACTTGTCATGTTTGGCTATATTCTAATAAAGTGCCTGCTCTCCCTTTTGTGTCCTGATCTCTAGATCAGTTGGAGACACTCATTTCACCCCATAGGAAGGTTCTGCATTGATCTTGAGAGGTCAGGGTGAGTTTAGAAGCAGAAAATATAAAACAAGAATGCAATCCTCTAAGCATATTTCTGCAGATCCTGGATGCCTAAACTGTGACTTGTTCCCTAAAACTCACTCATCACCTTGCTCACTGACATCTAAACATGGGTTCTTGTAAACTCTGGAAATGGAAGTCAGACCCAGGGACTGTTCACAGTTCATCTTCCCTAGGATGCTTTCATCTAATTGGTAGCAAACACTGACCTCAAAAAGCTAAGTTTGTTTATTTCAGTTGTTCAAAATGAAACAAGATGTTGTGTTTAAGGATACTATACAAGTGGCTTTAAAAAAGAAGGAAATACTTAATGCAGGTTAAGTATCCCTTATCCAAAATGCTTGGGACCAGAAGTGTTTCAGATTTTTTTTCAGACTTTGGAACAAGATATCATGGGGATGGGACCCAAGTCTAAACACTTTATTTCGTATGTCACCTTACACACACAGCCTGAAAGTAACTTTTTGCAATATTTTAAATACTTTTGTGCATGAAACAAAGCTTGTATTAAGTACTTATACACGGTATTTTCTATTTGTTGTCTCACATTGGCACTCAACGTTTTTGGATTTTGGATTAGAGATGTTCAACTTCTATGACAGCTGGATACTATGCAAGAATTACCTGAGGGGAAAGAGTGAAATGAAATCAAGGATGGATTCACAGGGGACTTCTATGTTCTATTTCTTAACTTGAACAGTGGCCCTGTGTTTGCTTTAAATATTCTCCTGTAAGTTTCACAATTAAAATGCAAGGCCATTAGAATTTCTACCTTCTCTGCCCTTTAACTGGAACAAGACTGATAAAGCATACCAATGTCAACCCACATGAAGAAGTAACATAAAATTATTGAAAATGTAACAGTAAAGTTACAAGAGGTTAGAGTTCTTTCAACTGAGGTGACTTGATGACATCAAAATGGAGATGTAGATACAGGGCATCACAGGTAATAGACACAAGCGGTAACTGCACTTCAGACACTTAGACTTGTAAAGTAACAGACAGTCCTCAACTTATGATGGTTCAAGTTAACAATTTTTCCATGATGGTGAGAAAGCATATGTATTCAGTAGAAAGTGGTACAATCCTCTCGTGATGCTGGGCAGCAGTGGTGAGCCACTGCTCCCAGTCAGCCATGTGATCACGAGGGCAAATTGATAACTCTACAGCGTGCTGTATTGCCAGATGGTTTTGCACAACTGTGGGCTAATGGAAAGTATTCTGAGCAAGTTTAAGGTAGGCTAGGCTGAGCTATGATGTTCAGTAGGTTAGGTGTAGTAAATGCATTTTTGGCTTACCATGTTTTCAGCTTATGGTGGGCTTATCAGGGCATAATCCCACCACGAGTCAAGGAGCATCTGTGGTACTATGATATCCAAGTGGTTTTACACCATTCACGGGCAGTGCTTAAACAAAATAGGTGGGCCGGGTGTTGGCGGCTCATGCCTGTAATCCCAGCACTTTGGGAGGCCGAGGCGGGCGGATCATAAGGTCAAGAGTTTTGAGACCAGCCTGGCCAACATGGCGAAACCCTGTCTCTACTAAGAATACAAAAATTAGCTGGGCATGGTGGTGCACACCTGTAATCCCAGCTACTCGGGAGGCTGAGGCAGGGGAATCGCCTGAACCCGGGAGTTGGAGGTTGCAGTGAGATGAGATCGCACTACTGCGCTCCAGCTCGGGCGCCAGAGCAAGACCTGTCTTGGCAAAAAAAAAAAGTTTAAGATACAAATTCTTCAAGATTTTGCCCCCTGCCTGGATCTCTTAGGCCTTTCTCTCCTCCCTAACCCCAGTGATTCTAGGCCCTGCTATGGTTCTATGTTTAATTCTTTTCTGAAATCTTTCCCATCTATCCATTCATTCATACACTACTTTGTGACTGTATACTGAATGCCAGGCACCCTTCCAGACCTAAGGATAAAGCAATAAATAAAACACTGTGCCTTCAGGGTTTGTCCTGCGAGAGGAGACTGAAAAACAGTCCTCTGCGTCAACAGATGTTGTGGAGAACATAAACCAGGGAAGGAGGGTCAAGGATGCAGGGGAGGGATGCGTGCAGGATTTTTAAATACAAGCTCAGGGAATAGCCTATAGTGAAGGTTACAGCTGAGCACCAACCATGAGGAAGGTCTGTCTGCAGTGAAAGCACTTCTGGGGGAACAGCAAGTACCAAGATTCTAATTACAAGTGGTACTTACCACGATAGTATTGCCAGTTACATTTCGCTGCACCTATCCTGCCTCCTCAGACCATGTGGCTCCTGAAGGCAAAAACCCTCTGATCTCTTGGGCTCCCAACATTTAGCATGGAGCTTTTATGTTCAGTTCCCAATCATCATTTATAGATTTTTAGAGAACCAAGATATCAGAAAATTCATTTAAAGTATCATGAATTTGTTCTTCAGAATAAAATTAAAATATTTAAGTTTGGAGTATAACCTGCCTAAATCACAATATGCTTCATCAAGACTCATGGCCTAGTCTTTTTCTCTTAATTGCAAAATATATAATATATGGATTTAAACACAGTGAAGTTAGCACCTCATAACACAGAATTTGAGTAACATGACAAAGAAACATCCAATGCCTATTAAGACTCTTGCTGTTTTTGAGAATCTTCAGTTGAGACAGCTATCAAAATAAATGGCCAATCCTTTTAGTACTTACATTCTCAATATTGACATAAACCATCATCTGACCCTTTACTTCACAGGTTGGCATTTAAATACATTCTCTCCAGTATCCTACTTCTGCAATGACAAGCTCTTCAGTCAAGATTTTTTTCTAGCCAATGTTGGTAGAATACCTAATGCCATCAGTTTTGACAACTCTTTAAAAATCCTACAATACTTAGATTTAAACGGATCACACATGGTAGAACAAGCTAATACCTACCAGCTTTGGAAAAGCCATAAATGAATGATTACAGATGAAGGCATTTTCTAATAATTTAGATATCAAGTGCAGCTCACCTGCCAAAAATGGTTCTGCCCCAGCCATTCTGTTCCTAACTCAGAGCAACAGTGTTCACAGATTTTTACAGCCCAGTCCAGATAACATCATACTAGTCAAGAACATAAACCAGGACCACTAATCTGTTGCAAGAAGTCATAGTTTACCAAATAATCAACAATTGTGATGATGTCATTGCCTAAACCTTGAAAAAGTTTAAATCAGTTAAAACAAAAATCAACTCATCAAAAACAGGGAAAGTTTTCAACGATGTATTTTAATCAAGTATGAATGGTTCCAAGCATTAACTGATGTTGAAAAGACAAACTCCCCAGTTTAAACTGAAATAAATATTTCTGATTTTGAACTAGGGACTCACTGAAGCCAAATAAGTTTTCTTATTTCCTTGACTATTCTGTTTCCTGCCTTCACTGTTCCTAAATCCCAAAAGCAAGTCATCCAGTAATATAACAGGAAATATGAATCTTAAGAACCTTAATATTCAGTTTTGCCACACTTTTGAAACAGTCCTTTGTATACAGCAAGGGAAAACTTAGCTTCCTAACAGTGGAACCTTCTCAGAAAAACTCATCTTACACTAAACAGAATAAAGTCAGCATTTCAAAATTGAGTTTAACCAGGCCACTTTTCTATTTACAGCAAATTAAACCATGTAATTCCTGAAAAGGCGTGGAGAGGATTCAAAGAAATATTTGAAAACATCTGCAAAAAACAACTATGACAACCATACAAATAAATGAATACACCAATTCCATTCACGTTATGAAGATATTTTCCTTTAATTTATCAAACATTTCACATTCATGAAGTCATTTACTTCAGAGCAAATGTAAGCTTATAATATTAAAAATTAAAGTATTACAATATTTACAAGATGGTTGGCAGGGGACACTTACTAGTATAAAAATAATACAAATATTGTATTTTCCTCTTATCTGCCAGTAAAAATGGCAAACAGTTTTGTCTTTCTGAAGTTTCTAGTCAATAACCAAAGATGAGGAGCCCCTAATAAAGTGCCTTGCCCTGTATGCTCCACTGTCTATAGCTTTAGACCCTCAACATTCTTCTTCAAGTTCAGCAGCTCTTTTTCTTGCCTTCTTTTCTCCAGTTTAAATGCTAATTTGTTAGCTTTCTTCTCCACTCTTCGTTCCTGTTATAAGTACAAGAATATACTTGTATTATTCACATCTTTAAACTGATACAGACTGCTTTTACAAAATTCCCCTAATTTCCCCTCCACCAGCTCTTTGTAAATCTCACATTTGAAAAATATATTTTACCTTGCGCTCTTCTTTTATAGCTTGCTTTCTTGCTCTTTTATCTTCTTTGCTTTCATTTTTAGAACGTGGCTGAGTTGATACTTTAGGAAGATCACTGCCATTAATCATCTGTATTCTTTCAGTTTGCTTTGCTGTGAGTCCTTTCTTTGGTAAGACATTGAGAGGTATTCCTGTTTTAGAAGATATTCGAATTTGTTTGGGCTGAAATACAGATAAAATGGTACTAGAGTTACTTCTCATTCCTATTAAAAAATAGCTCATTAATGACATACTGTTGATGCTTTTTCTAATATCACTCTAGCCATAAAGATAAAAAGTTATTGTGCGAAAATGTGCACTCTATTTTTTATGCACTGCATCCTTCAAATAGCTCAGCACACTAGGACTTACCTTTGGTTGATACTTGATAAGCTGTGGATGGTTATATAAATTTGAGTATGTACCTAAACAAACAAATAAAAGTCATGTATCAGTAAGCATGTTTTCAGTTCCACAAAGCATTACTGAATTCCTACTATATTTCTGACCTTGTGTTTTCATAGTGCAAAATAACACTGGAGTCTCTGATCAATGTTTTATAAATTGCTTACAACTCAGTATTGGAATATTACTCTTTCCAAATAATTTTTCACAAATTTCCTAAAAGCCTAACTCTTATTAAAATATATGTATTTTTTCAAAGTTGATATATGTTTTTTTTTAGACAGAGTTTTGCTCTTGTTGCCCAGGTTGGAGTGCAATGGCATGATCTCGGCTCATTGCAACCTCTGCCTCCCAGGTTCAAGCTATTCTCCTGCCTCAGCCTCTCGAGCAGCTGGGATTACAGTTGCCTGCCACCATACCTGGCTAATTTTTGTATTTTTTAGTAGACACGGGGTTTCACCATGTTGGCCAGGCTGGTCTTGAACTCCTGACATCAGGTGACCCACCCGCCTCGGCCTCCCAAAGTGCTGGGATTACTACAGGCGTGAGGCACCGCACCCAGCCTAAAGTTGATATACTTTAATACTTTAAAATTACTATCATAAAGTGAATATACTTACTACAAATAGATTCACAATCCCACTTCTCTTTGGCTTCTTCAAGGACTACAGTAATCATTTCTTCCTCCTCAGACTCATCAAGCTCATTCATTGGCAGGTCTTGATCCTCCAAGGGTTCAAGGGTATTCAATTTTACACAACTTTTAGACGAGTTTTTAAAAGTGAAGACCAAGAGGGGGAAAAATGACCTATTATTATACTATGTCACTAAAACTGCAATTTTTAGCTGTGGAAAAACCAATGTTTTAAATGCACATATTCCAGTGACCCATCCGTTATTTTCTGTCAAACTCTGTTCTACCCAGCCCTGCCTCTTCCCTCCAGTGAGTTTTGGACATTCACTCGGCTGATAGGAAGGTAACATCTAGCTGTGTCTTTCCAAGGCAGCTTCCTAAGAAAACAGGTTTTTAAAGCCTAAAAAAGCATAACTCATCTGTCTCTGCAAAGTATTCGAATATTTCACTCAACTATATAGCTTCTTTTTCTGCTATGGGATCTATATATTATAGTGATCATGGAACATCAGACCTTTCTAGCTGATTTGAACACTTCATCAGTTTCTCTCAGAGAAGAGTCACCTTGATGTGGATGCTGATTTGCCAAAATAACTGGCTGGTCAGTTCCGCTAATCCAGCTGGAGAGACAAATTCTTGTCTTTCCACGAGATGTAAATACCTACTTCTCAGAACACCTGGCATTTCAGAAAGATGAAAAAAGCGTATGCTTGGAATAATTCTTCAGCCCAAAAGACTAGAAACACGATCTTATTTTCCAAGGGGAATGTGTCCCTTTATTTCTTTTTTTTTTTTTGAGACAGAGTCTCGCCCTGTCACCCAGGCTGGAAGCAGTGGTGCTATCTCAGCTCACTGCAACCTCTGCCTTCCAGGTTCAAGTGATCCTGTCTCAGCCTCCCAAACAGCTGGGATTACAGGTGTACACCACCACGCCCAGCCTGTCCTTATATTTCACACCCTAATAATATTCATGCTTCTATCAAAACAAAACTTTTAAGCAAAATAAATAAAAGTTAAAAAAAAATTAAAAATTGGCCAGGCACAGTGGCTCAGACCTATAATCCCAGCACTTTGGGAGACCGAGGCAGGCATATTACATGAGGTCAAGAGTTTGAGACCAGCCTGGCCAACATGGTGGAACCCCATCTCTACTAAAAATACAAAAATTAGCTGGGCATGGTGGTGTGCACCTGTAATCACATCTGCTCAGGAGGCTGAGGCAGGAGAATCACCTGAACCTGGGAGGCGGAGGTTGCAGGTGAGCTGAGATCGCACCACTGCATTCCAGCCTGGGCAACAGAGCAAGACTCCGTCTCAAAAAAAAAAAAAAATTTAATAAACGAATACACATTCTACCATGACTCTTCTCCAGTCAAAGATACGGAGAAAGTGGCTCCTCGTATATTCCCATTACGTTCTACTTCAGAACATTTAACACCAAAATGTAGGCAAAACAATGAGCTATACATGACCCAAGTTTATGGAAAATGTACCACTTTCTTTTTTCCGCCCTATCTTTTTTTTTCCCCTTTTCTTTTTTCCTTTTTCATTTTCTCAATATGTATTTTGACTAGGTTAATTTTTTCCTCAATTCAGTTATACTATAGACCTTTCTTTGGAATTTTTTCTTTTTTAAAAAAAAGAACAGCTAAACAAGGAAGGAAAAGTCACTATACTTCTCTGCCTTCTCTTTATAGTAGTCATTCAAAACTTCCTGTAAGCGATTGCTGTCCACTTGAATAGAACCTTCCAATTCTGCATTATCCAGAGCTCCAATTTCATCATCATCATATTGCTCATAAAACTTGAATATAAACAGAGAAAAGATACCATGAAAAGCAAATGTACTCAGTAAGACTACACACTTAAAAATTTTTTTACATTAACTTTATTCTTACACAATAGTTATTCAGGTACTATCACAATTACCATTAAAATATCAGTAGGGATTTAATGCAACAATAGGATGTGGAAGATATTTCTGCTCAGTACTTTAAGACTTACATTTAGCCTAAAAATAGGCTTCCATTTAACATGTAAATGAAAGGCATTATTCCACTCAGCTTGGAGAACAAAATGCTAGGCAGCACAGATTACGTCAGAACATTTTTGAAGATACTTTTTCTTTTTTTTAAGTATCTCACTGTCTCCCAGCCTGGAGTACAGTGGCGTGATCATAGTTCACTGCAGCCTCAAACTCTCAGGCTCAAGCAATCTTCCCACCTCAGCCTCTCAAGCAGCTGGGACCACAGGCACATGCCACCATACCAGGCCATTTTATTTATTTTTTTAAATAGAAACAGGGTCTGCACTGCCCAAGACAGTCTCAAACTCCTAGGCTCAAGTGATCCATCTGCTTCGGCCTCCCACAGTTCTGAGATTATAGGCACGAGACACTACGCCTAGACTAAAGATATTTTCATATTCCTTAGTTATGCAAACTAAAAGATTGTGCAACTGAAAATTCACCTACTAATGTATATATTTGTTCTTGTTTAGACAATAATTACTATATTATGCAAATGGTGTTGACACTGTTAAGCTTTGACAAAGAGTAAATGGGGGGGATATATCTCCTGAAGAGTGAGATTTGTAGCAACAGTTTGTTTCTCCCTCAAGAGAAGAGGGAAAATAGTATTAGGTGAGAAGGTAGCAAGGTAACAGCCTTTATTTTAGATTCACCTGGATGGCAACTATTCCTTCATTCATTTATCATTTATGGAACACTTTAAACTTCTATTACATGCCAAGACACCATTTTAGGCTTTTGGATGTATCCGTGAGCAAAATACAAAGAACTCTCTGCCCTTGGGGAATTCACATTCTAATCTGAGACAAATCTATATATAACATACATAATAAAGCACAACATTAGAGATGATGTTAGGAGGTGTTATGTGCTACAGAACAAACAACAGGATAGGTGGGATTAAAAACCTGTATAAACAGTCTATAGGTTGGGATTATAAACCCTGGAGCTAATCTGTTACAACAGAACCAAATAGAGTATATGAAAATACAAGCTTTCAAAAGTGTCTTATACTCTACTTCCATTCTATTCCTCAGTGTTAGTTATGTCTGAAAACACCAGATGAGAAACGGAAAGAAATGGAATTTTGATGTGCTCAATCAGGCCAATACTTCAGAAATATAGCATCTTATGGATTACTGTTGGAGAAATTCAGAATCAGGATGTCAGAATTCAAGGGGGAAAATAAGAACGTTTGATCAGCCAACTCCTTTTGACCTACACACGTTCTTTCCAGAATCAAAACTAGGGTGACTGGCCTCATAGAATATGTAAAGGGAAAACGACAATAACTAAGGTGCTTTTATGCTCTGTTTTAATAAAGAGATACGCTGTTTTCAACACTCAAAAGTTTTAGCTTTGGGTCCCAATCTCTCTTTTTAAAAAATAAAAAAAGAAAAATAACAAAAAAAAACAAGGCACACAGCAAGGCGCCTAACATCTACTTAGCTCGCGGGCGGATCAGCTGACTTGGCCAGAGGATGTTCCAGTTTCCAGATCAACCTCAACCCGCTCGGCTTCGTCAAGGTCCTTGAGTGGACTGCTTCTATCTTTAGAGTCACCTTGAAGGAAACTATTCCTTCATTCATTTATCATTTATGGAACACTTTAAACTTCTACTACATGCCAAGACACCATTTTAGGCTTTCAGATGTATCGTGAGCAAAATATAAAAAACTCTCTGCCCTTGGGGGATTCACATTCTAATCTGAGACAAATCCATATATGACATACATAATAAAGAAGCACAACATTAGAGATGGTGAGGGTTTAAGGGCCACTTCTGGGGGTTTTAAGGGCCAAATAGAAACTCAAGTGAGTTGTCCTACCACAGTTAGTGAGAATAAAACTATTACAGCTACTTTTGGTTACCCATTCAGGTTGAATGAGGCATCATTTGAGCCACCTCCTGGTGTAAGCGTGTGATGTAAATTGGAAAAGTCACATCCTCCTAACCAATTACTCTTCTTCTGCACAGTTCTATGCTCCCTTTGCAGTCTTTGTGCTCCTGTACTGCACTGATACCCTTCTGCTTTATGCTGGCTACACGAACCTATAGCTGGATAGTTGTAAACTTCCTATGATTGACTTTGTGGTTGGTGAGCACTTCAACCTGGGCTAAAGCTGACAGGTATTAAAAAAAAAAATTTAACATAAGATAGTACTAAAGCATCCCTTATGTGGGGACCTTACCTTCTCAAACCTCTCATCATGTAGGGTCAGCTGTTCATTTCTCCTCATGACTGAGGAAGTCATCGAATACTCCGTGAAGCGACTCTTTGTTTCCTCACTCCAGAACAAGTGATCTGCTATAGCTCTGTGAGTTTTTCCGGGCACAGACATACAGTCTTCATCTGACAATAGGCCTGCAGAGTCATAGTCATCATTGCTATCTCCCTTCTCATCATCCACATCTTCCCACTCGCTGTCATCTTCATTCTCAGATTTCCTAAAGTAAAGGTCATAAATTACCTACCAAAACAACTTAAAAAGTAACAGAACAAAACCACTTTACACAAGTAAAATTGGAAGGTATTTCAGGAAGGGTTCTTGTCTAGGCAGGAAGAGTGAGGGTGTTTGATCAATCTGGTTTGGTAGGAAAAGCAATGAATCTCACATTTTCTGCTCTAAAATACAGAAGTCTCAGATTAAATGCTCTTGAAGGTCTCTTCCAACTGTAACGTTCTATGGTTACCATCCCACTGAAGCAGTAACACTTAGGTCATCATCTCTGCTTTGAAACAAACCACACATACTGTATATCCATTCCCTCTTCCTCTCCTGTTGCCTTATTGGCCTGAAGAATAAAGTCATCCTCAAGCAGATTATCTGGATCATCAAAGTCAAAATCATCATCAAGAGCTGCAACAATGTCAGGATCAAAATCCAGTCGAGGTCCTAGAAGGAAAACAAAAATTAAGCAGTAATTCCCAAGATAGCAACAATTCATTCACTTAACTCACAATATAAGGACCTATGATAGCAAGAGTCTATTAATATATTGAGGATAAAAGAACGATTAAGAACTAAGTTCAGTCTAGTGAAGAATAAAGAATGAACACTCCAAGACAAAAAAAGGAAACAAAATGCTGCCTCAGCCCCAGTCAGGACCTTATAAATAAAACTCCCATCTTCCTGGGACAGAGCACCTGGGGGAAGGGGCGGCTGTGGGCACAGCTTCAGCAGACTCAAACGTTCCTGCCTGCCGGCTCTGAAGAGAGCAGCGGATCTCCCGGCACAGTGCTCAAGCTCTGCTAAGGGACAGACTGCCTCCTCAAGTGGGTCCCTGACCCCTGTGCCTCCTGCCTAGGAGACACCTCCCATCAGGGGTCAATAGACACCTCATAGAGGAGAGCTCTGGTTGGCATCTGGCGGGTACCCCTCTGGGACAAAGCTTCCAGAGGAAGGAACAAGCAGCAATCTTTGCTGTTCTGCAGCCTCTGCTGGTGATACCCAGGCAAACAGGGACTGGACTGGACCTCCAGCAAACTCCAGCAGACCTACAGCAGAGGGGTCTGACTGTTAGAAATAAACCTAACAGAAAGGAATAGCATCAACATCAACAAATAGGACGTCCACACAGAAACCCCATCCAAAGGTCACCAACAACAATGACCAAAGGTAGATAAATCCAAGAAGATGAGGAAAAACCAGCACAAAAAGGCTGAAATTTCCAAAAACCAGAATGCCTCTTCTCTTCAAAGGATCACAACTCCTCGCCGGCAAGGGAACAAAACTGGACGGAGAATGCGTTTGATGAATTGACAGAAGTATGCTTCAGAAGGTGGGTAGTAACAAACTCCTTGGAGCTAAAGGAGCATGTTCTAACCCAACGCAAGGAAGCTAAAAACCTTGAAAAAAGGTTAGAGGAATTGCTAACTAGAATTACCAGTTTAGAGAAGAACATAAATGACCTGATGGAGCTGAAAAACACAGCAAGGGAACTTTGTGAAGCATACACAAGTATCAATAGCCGAATTGATCAAGTGGAAGAAAGGACATCAGCGATTGAAGATCAACTTAATGAAATAAAGCGTGAAGACAAGATTAGAGAAAAAAGAATGAAAAGGAACGAACAAAGCCTCCAACAAATATGGGACTATGTGAAAAGACCAAATCTCTATGTTTGATTGGTGTACCTGAAAGTGATAGGGAGAATGGAACCAAGTTGAAAAACACTCTTCAGGATATTATCCAGGAGAACTTACCCAACCTAGCAAGAGAGGCCAACATTCAAATTCAGGAACCACAAAGATACTCCTCGAGAAGAGCAACCCCAAGACACATAATCGTCAGATTCACGAAGGTTGAAATGAAGAAAAAAATGTTAAGGGCAGCCAGAGAGAAAGGTCGGGTTACCCACAAAGAGAAGCCCATCAGACTAACAGTGGATCTCTCAGCAGAAACCGTACAAGTCAGAAGAAAGTGGGGGCCAATACTCAACATCCTTAAAGTAAAGAATTTTCAACTTAGAATCTCATATCCAGCCAAATTAAGTTTTGTAAGTGAAGGAGAAATAAAATCCTTTCCAGATAAGCAAATGCTGAGAGATTTTGTCACCACCAGGCCTGCCTTACAAGAGCTCCTGAAGGAAGCACTAAATATGGAAAGGAAAAACTGGTACCAGCCACTGCAAAACGTACCAAACAGTAAAGACCATCGATACTAAGAAGAAACTGCATAAACTAATGGGCAAAATAACCAGCTAGCATCATAATGACAGAATCAAATAACACATTACAATATTAACCTTAAATGTAAATGGGATAAAAGCCCCAATTAAAAGACACAGATTGGCAAATTGGATAAAGAGTCAAGACCCATCAGTGTGCTGTATTCAGGAGACCTATCTCATGTGCAAAGACGCACACAGACTCAAAATAAAGGAATGGAGGATATTTACCAAGCAAATGGAAAGCAAAAACAGCAAGTGTTGCAATCCTAGTCTCTGATAAAACAGACTCTAAACCAACAAAGATCAAAAAACACAAAGAAGGGCATTACATAATAGTAAAGGGAACAATGCAACAAGAAGAGCTAACTACCCTAAATATATATGCACCTAATACAGGAGCACCCAGATTCATAAAGCAAGTTCTAAGAGACCTACAAAGAGACTTAGACTCCCACACAATAATAATGGGAGACTTTAACACCCCACTGTCAATATTAGACAGATCAACGAGACAGAAAATTCACAAGGATCTTCAGGACTTGAACTCAGCCCTGGACCAAGCAGACCTAATAGACAGTGACGTAACTCTCCACCCCAAATCAACAGAATATACATTCTTCTCAGCACCACATTGCACTTATCCTAAAATTGACCACATAATTGGAAGTAAAACACTCCTCAGCAAATGCAAAAGAATGGCAATCATAACAAACAGTCTCTCAGACCACACTGCAATCAAATTAGAACTCAGGTTTAAGAAATCCACTCAAAAATGCACAACTACTTGGAAACTGAACAACCTGCTCCTGAATGCCTACGGGGTAAATAACAAAAATAAGGTAGAAATAAATAAGTTCTTCGAAACCAATGAGAAAAAAGACACAACATACCAGAATCTCTGGGACACAGCTAAAGCAGTGTTTAAGGGGAAATTTATAGCACTAAATTCCCACAGGAGAAAGCAGGAAAGATCTAAAATCGACACCCTAACATCACAATTAAAAGAAGTAGAGAAACAAGAGCAAACAAATTCAAAACCTAGAAGACAAGACATAACTAAAACACAGCAGAACTGAAGGAGATAGAGACACGAAAACCCTTCAAAAAAACCAATGAATCCAGGAGCTAGTTTTTTGAAAAGATTAACAAAATAGATAGACTGCTAGCCAGACTAATAAAGAAGAAAAGAGAGAAGAATCAAATAGACACAATAAAAATTGATAAAGGGGATATCACCACCGATCCCACAGAAATACAAATTACCATCAGAGAATACTATAAACACCTCTATGAAAATAAACTAGAAAATCTAGAAGAAATGGATAAATTCCTGGACACATACACCCTCCCAAGGCTAAATCAGGAGGAAGTGGAATCCCTGAATAGACCAATAACATGTTCTGAAATAGAGGCAGCAATAGCCTACCAACCAAAAGAGAAGCCCAGGACCAGACAGATTCACAGCCAAATTCTACCAGAGGTACAGAGAGGAGCTGATACCACTCCTTCTGAAACTATTCCAAACAATAGAAAAAGAGGGACTCCTCTCTAACTCATTTTATGAGGCCAGCATCATCCTGATACCAAAACCTGGCAGAGACACAACAAAAAAAGAAAATTTCAGGCCAATATCCCTGATGAACATCAATGCGAAAATCGTCAATAAAAAACTGGCAAAACAAATCCAGCAGCACATCAAAAAGCTTATTCACCACAATCAAGTTGGCTTCATCCCTGGGATGCAAGGCTGGTTCAACGTAATCCATTACATAAACAGAACCAATGACAAAAACCACATGATTATCTCAATAGATGCAGAAAAGGCCTTTGATAAAATTCAACACCCCTTCATGCTAAAAACTCTCAATAAACTAGGTATTGATGGAACATATCTCAAAATAATAAGAGCTATTTATGACAAACCCTCAGCCAATATCATACTGAATGGGCAAAAGCTGGAAGCATTCCCTTTGAAAACCGGCACAAGACAAGGATGCCCTCTCTCACCAATCCTATTCAACACAGTATTGGAAGTTCTGGCCAGGGCAATCAGGCAAGAGAAAGAAATAAAGCGTATTCCAATAGGAAGAGAGGAAGTCAAATTGTCTCTGTTTGCAGATTAACATCACTGTCTATTTAGAAAACCCCATCATCTCAGCCCAAAATCTCCTTAAGCTGATAAGCAACTTCAGCAAAGTCTCAGGATACAAAATCAATGTGCAAAAATCACAAGCATTCCTATATACCAATAATAGACAAACAGAGAGCCAAATTGTGAGGGAACTCCCATTCACAATTGCTACAAAGAGAATAAAATACCTAGGAATCCAACTTACAAGGGATGTGAAGGACCTCTTCAAGGAGAACTACAAACCACTGCTCAAAGAAATCAGAGGGGACACAAACAAATGGAAAAACATTCCATGCTCATGGATAGGAAGAATCAATATCATAAAAATGGCCATACTGCCCAAAGTAATTTACAAGATAATCCTAAGCAGAAAGAACAAAGCTGGAGGCATCACACTACCTGACTTCAAACTATACTACATGGCTACAGTAATCAAAACAGCATGGTACTGGTACCAAAACAGATATATAGACCAATGGAACAAAACAGAGGCCTCAGAAATAACACCACACATCTACAGCCATCTGATCTTTGACAATCCTAACAAAAACAAGCAATGGGGAAAGGATTCCGTATTTAATAAATGGCATTGGGAAAACTGGCTAGCCATATGCAGAAAACTGAAATTGGACCCCTTCTTTACACCTTATACAAAAATTAACTCAAGATGGATTAAAGACTTCAACGTAAGACCTAAAACCATAAAAACTCTAGAAGAAAACCTAAGCAATACCATTCAGGATATAGGCATGGGCAAAGACTTCTTGACTAAAACATCAAAAGCAATGTCAACAAAAGCCAAAATTGACAAATGGGATCTAATTAAATTAAAGAGCTTCTGCAGAGCAAAAGAAACTATCATCAGAGTCAACAGGCAACCCACACAATGGGAGAAAATTTTTGCAATCAATCCATCTGACAAAGGGCTAATATCCAGAATCTACAAAGAACTTAAATTTACAAGAAAAAAACAAACAACCCCATTGAAAAGTGGGCAAAAGATAGGAACAGATATTTCTCAAATGAAGACATTTATGCAGCCAACAAACATGAAAAAAAGCTCATCATCACTGGTCATTATAGAAATGCAAATTAAAACCACAATGAGAAACTATCTCACGCCAGTTAGAATGGCAATCATTAAAAAGTCAGGAAACAACAGATTCTGGAGAGGATGTGGAGAAATAGGAACGCTTTTATGTTGTTGTTGGGAGTGTAAATTAGTTCAACCATTGTGGAAGACAGTGTGGCGATTCCTCAAGGATCTAGAACCAGAAATACCATTTGACCCAGCAATCCCATTACTGGGTACATACCCAAAGGATAATAAATCATTCTACTATAAAGACACATGCACACGTAGGTTTATTGTAGCACTGTTCACAATAGCAAAGACTTGGAACCAACTTAAATGCCCATCAATGACAGACTGGATAAAGAAAATGTGGCACATATACACCATGGAATACTATGCAGCCATAAAAAAGGACACGTTCATGTCCTCTGCAGGGACATGGATGAAGCTGGAAACCATCACTCTCAGCAAACTAACACAGGAACAGAAAACCAAACACCGCATGTTCTCACTCATAAGTGGGAGTTGAACAATGAGAACATATGGACACAGGGAGGGGAACATCACACACTGGGGCCTGTTGGGGGATGGGGGCCTAGGGGAGGGATAGCATTAGGAGAAATGCCTAATGTAGATGATGGGTTGATGGGTGCAGCAAACCACCATGACGTGTATACCTACATAACAAACCTGCACATTCTGCATATATATCCCAGGACTTAAAGTATAATTTAAAAAAAAAAATGAAAAAAGAAATGATGCTTCTCCTTTTAATATCCACTGGTGAAAATAATGTTCCATTAAACATCTATAATGTTTAACTTTGTCTAGCATAATTCAAAGCTTTTGTCTGCAAGAAGAAACTGGCCTTTAAATTCACCTGTTAAAAATAACTCGAACAATTTTTAGACTGTTATACTTTCAGTATTTTCTGACTTTGCGATTTTAATAAATACCTACCTGTTTCTTCAGATATGTTCTTCCATCTATAAATATACTAGGCTGACTCTGGGCACACTGCTTAGGACTTAGCCCTGCTCCACAAGGAGCAGAAAATGAAAACAAAAAACTCAAGTTCATGAAAAACTTTCAACTCCAAATTTATCATCTGACATGGCCTCCAACACCCTCTGCTACATGGCCATTACTTAACCCTCCAGCCTCATTTCTTTTTAATCCATACCCTTCCTTCTGGGCAGGCTAAAATGTGTATAGTTACCTATATTCACGTTCTCTTGCCTTAGGACATACAGTCCTCTGTCTGGAACATCCTCTGGTCCCCACCCCTCCCCCTCCTTCTTCCACCTACCTAACTTTTACTTAAGAAACAAACTAGATATCACCTTCTTTAGAAAGCCTTGCCCAACCCTGTGATGCTGGGTTTGGTGCTACTCACCCCACTATTAATATCCATCTATACTGTAATTTATCATTTATTGTTTATTTTTCCCAAATGAGGTAAATTCTTGGGTCAGAGACTATGCTTTATTCTGTTTTAACCCAAGGCCCTGCCACACAGACAGTGGCAACTCAAAAATCTGTACAATAAATTAATTAATGAATGCCACAGGACAGGTGTTAGTTAATAATTAAGGCAACTTGGGAGAAAATACCAACACCACTTCTGTAGACTTTTGTGTTTGTTCTGAAATACAGTGTTGGTACTACAAATTAAAAATAAAAAATTTCCCCCAATATATGTGTAGATGGCAAAATGAACTTCCATAAAAATACCTGTATGCTCTGGGGAGAAATTCTGAAAAACAGATTATTTTTCAAAATTACACTACAAGTAATGAATAATTAATACCACTATCTTTGCAAGAGGTTATGTGAAGGTTACAATTCCCCTAACTAGATTACCAAGAATAGTTTCCCCACTTTCCTCTCCAAACAGGAACTCAAAAGATATAAAGATTTGATGGTAGGAATACAAAAATACAAAGATCACATTCATCCCTTCCTAATAATCCCTGATCTGAATTCCAGACATATCTCAATTGTTTCAATACTTTACTGGGGATAGAAAAATCCTACATCATTTCTTTATGTTTTGCAAAATACATTTATCCATATGAAAAGATAAAGCAATTAAAAATACCTGAAACTGGAGCTGCTTTATTTAACAATCCAACATCTTCCTCAAACTCTGAAGCAAACACTGATGAAGGCAACTTAATTCCAGTGCTCTTGAAAAAGAAATTGCACAATGGTTAGGTTTATTTGGAAATTCTTCTTAACTAGTGTACCGGGTTGAAGTCCCCCCCAAATCAATGTCCATCCAGAACCTTAGACTGACCATATTTGAAATAGGGTCCTCTCAACTATAATAAGATGAGGTCTTACTGGACCATGGTCCTATAACGAGACCACATGAAGACAGAGACTCACAGGGGAGAATGCCATGTGCAGATGACAGCAGACTGGAGTGAGGCCTCTATAAGGCAAGGAATTCCAAGGAATGATCACCGGTAACCTTCGGAAGTTAGGAATGAGCCATTCAACAGCCTCTCCCTCTAAGCCCCCAAGAAAAAAACCAAACCTGCTGATACCTTCATCTCAAACTTCTGACCTCCAGAACCATGAAGGAAGAAATTTCTGTTGTTTTAAGTCACCTAGTTTGTGGTAATTTGTTACTGCAGTCCTAGGAAACTATTACAACTACATTCTGTGTTCTCTCACCTGTGCTCCAGGTTGTATATATGTTAAACATGTATATTCCATCATAAACCCAAAAGTAACTCTCTATAATACATCACAATGCCTTCTCTAGCAAATTATTCCATTTATCCCTCAGATCCCATGAGGTATCACCATGTTTTACCAAAAGAACAAAAACTAGGAAAGTTTAAATGGCCCACCTGCCTGAGAATGATCAGTAAGTGAGATTCTGGGATTCAAATCCCAGAGTTTCTTAACTCCACTTGCCTGAAATTTCAAACCAAAATTAAACATTTTCCTCTTAAACTAGAGATAATGTCCTAATCTCTAGTAATGGCACAGCCCTTGTATGAATTGGCAATCTTAAATCCTCGGGTGGTTATAAATCATTTTGCTCTGTCCTATGTCCCCTTGAAATCTCTTACATACAGTGATTTCACTCTATTCTTTGGGGCATCACCTCATTTATAGTTAACCAAAACATAAATGACTGCAACCGCTCATATAGCTAGTCTATATCTACTACAACCTTCATACCCATGGCGAGATTAAGCTCCTTTAATAGTTTTTCATGTGACCTTCTTGAGTTTCTGACAGGTCTCAATTTTTCACTCTGTATTTAAGGCCCTGGTTCTCAAGGACCTATAAAATCAAGGCCTACTCTGTGTATCCAAATTTCTCAGTTATTCTATATGACCATGCAAATCAAGTTCATTCCTCAGTCATGTAATAATGCAAAACACTTTACTTGGCGCGCATGTGCCTGACACGGAACCACAGTGCTCACTGTCTCGGCAGCCTGACTGAAAATGTTCCTTCTCCTGTCAACAGTACCCACCACTTGGTGGCCAGCTCGGTTCCTACCCTCCGACATGAAGCCCTTTCTGATCACTGTCCTAGAACTTCCCTTTGTGTGAACTTCCCGCCTTCTTCACACGCTGCAATCTACTCAAACATGTGCTTGCTAGCCTACATTCTCTGACTGGTTCTTATGCTTGTTTCCTCTCCTTGACCAAACAGTTCATAACGTGAGGACAACCGCCATGTGTTATTTATCTCTGTGCACCTCACCACCTGCCCTATCCTCAGCCCAGGAGGAGGCACAAAGCTGGAATGTGCATCCTCATTGGCTCACTGAGAAAGCTCTCTGAATTGGAAGCCTCTGAGGAGCATGAGTAAAGGCTACATATGGCAGTGTACACACAGCAAGATGTTATGGCTTCCAAAATGAGTTTCTCAGTAGCACAAACATGGGCAAAGATGTTATTTTGCTGTAGAGTATATTTTTAAGAAAACAGCTTTACTAAGACATCATTCACATACAATTCACCTAAAGTGTACAATTTAATGTTTTTTAAGGATATTACATTATTAATTACTTAAAATTGTAGTAAAATCTACATAGTCTTTTAGGTTTTTAAAAAGGTACCTTTGTGATATTTATCCTTAGAAGTTTGGGGTTAAACACAAGGTCAGTTTGTGTTAAATGAATTTACCTTTGTGAGATATTTTTCAAATCTTGAAAAGTAGTCAATCACATACACGATTAAGAGTTTAAAGAGAAATTACTCTGTTTTTAGAGGAGTGCTGTGTTTTCATTGGTTGCAGTAGTTCTCAACTACATGACATTTGCCCAGCTACTTTCCACAACAGCACCACCATCTTTCTTTCATGTCAAAATCAGGGCCTGCTCAAGCATCAATCATTTCTATACTGCCTTTTTACACTGTCTTACACTGTTTCTAGGGGTTATTCATTATTTCTAATCTACTCGAATTTGGTGGTGTGTTACAAATTAAAGTAAAAAAAGTATATGGGACTAATCCATATTTTTTCATAGCTCTTCAGAAAACCAACCACACTTCTGTTTTTAAATACAATTCAGCTGTCCCTGCAAAGGTCACTGAAGTGTCCATTTAAGAGCCTTATCCTGTTAAAAAGCCAATTAGTGATTGCTTTTACTCAAAATGAATTAAGGATTAAAAGTTAGTCTTATACGACCGGGCGCGGTGGCTCACGCCTGTAATCCCAGCACTTTGGGAGGCCGAGGCAGGCAGATCACCTGAAGTCGGGAGTTCAAGACCAGCCTGACCAACACGGAGAAACCCCGGCTCTACTAAAAATACAAAATTAGCCGGGCACAGTGCCACATGCCTGCAATCCCAGCTTCTAGGGAGGCTGAGGCAGGAGAATCGCTTGAACCCGGGAGGCGGAGGTTGCGGTGAGCCGAGATCGTGCCACTGCACTCCAGCCTGGGCAACAGGAGCAAAACTCCGTCTCAACAACAATAACAACAACAACAAAAGTTAGTCTTGTACTGGTCAATACAAGCCAGGCAAGACTTTACTAAGAATTTTCTCCCTTAGATAAACAAGTTGAGCCACTAAGGAACCCCTTCTCTCCTTCAATAGGTTATAGAAGCAAGTGAGCCAATAAGTCCCTACTACCAATAAAGCCTTGAGGAAGAAGGAATAAAGAAGTTGGTTCTCTATGACAGAGATGTGGTGGGATTTGGGGCGTTACAAAAGAGCCACAACCTACTTAGTGAACGAGCAGCTGCAGTTATTACCTTTCTTTGGGATGGTATCCTGAAACCTAACCTTTCTGAGTCTCCTTAAGCAACAAGCTATTGCCTATAAGAACTACAATCACATCTTCCCCAAGGAAAGGAATGCCTAGACCATGACAGAATTGGGGAATGAGGAGCAGGGTAAACTGGTGCCCTTTCTATCTCTTACCTTTTGCTTATAAACCTAATGAATGTCTCCTTTTTTTAAAGTGCTAGGTGATATAAAAGTTTCCCACAGGAAAATTTACTCTACATCAAATTAAAAATAAGGTCACGGAGGCATACAACATGGGCATTCTTAACATAAACAGGGGAGAAAACAGAACTTAGACTAACAGCACTAATTTCTTATAAACACGTACTATCATTTGTCCTGAAAGAGAAGGTATTAAAGTGGACCGAACATTTGTTTACAAGACAGGAATGTTATTATCATCCACTCATTCTGTTTGCTTATGAGTAGCCTGCAGCTTTTACAAAAGTGTTAAAGATCTGAATATTCCACAAAAGTTAAGTCCTATCTTAGAACAAGAGTTTATGATCCTGAAAACAGTTATGTTGTTAACATGTAGAATGTCAGCTGCTTTTCTCCTATTGAAAAGTGCTGTCTAACATGGCCATGTCTATCAATCAAAAGTTCTGAACCTATAAAAAGGCTGTTACTGTTGACACCTGCCACCAGAGAAGACGTGACCTATTCTCTCCTGATGGTATACACATGCATACACATATATAATTTTAAGTGGAGGCGTGGTCTATCTTTGTGCTCTTCATACGGACACCATTTCTTGCCCCAAACAGATATCTTGATTCAAAAATGATTTCTTCACCTCACTCCCACAATTAAATTGCTGAAAAGCCTTACTGGAATTACTAGCGTTTCTTCTTTCTCCTCTCTCCTGTTGTGTGCACTGAAGGTACTTGAGGGAATAAGCTCTGAAGGCCCAGATGGTTCCTTCAGGTGCTGCAGGTAGTCATAGTCGTCATCAAAGAACACTCCATACTTCCTCTGTTCTGCTCGCCTTTCTTCATTGTCTATCTATAAACGAAATGGAATTAGTACTTTCTTCACTATCTATAAACAAAATGGAATCAGTAAGCCTTCCAAGGATAAGGCATGGGAATATTACAATGAGTACAGCTTTCCAAGTAGGAGGCAGATGGCACATGAACATTTTGGCTGATGGGAAAAAGACAAAGAATTCTTGACAAACAGGAAATGTACAGCTTCAAAACCAGAGTGCTACGTAACATTAAAATGGAATGAAAACATTCATGCTTTTAAAAGGGCAATAAAAATAAATAACAATTGCTCCTTCCACTAGACATTTCTGTGCAACATTTTGAGTCAAGAAACAAACATACAATTTATTTTATCATCTATTTGGAGGGTTATAAGAAAAGACCTGGGGGGCCAGGTGCAGTGGCTCATGCCTATAATCCCAGCACTTTGGGATGCTGAGGTAGGAGGATCACTTGAGCCTTGGAGTTCAAGACCAGCCTGGGCAAAATAGTGAGACCTCGTTTCTACAAAATAATTTTAAAAATCAGCCAGGCCAGGTGGCGTGTGCCTGTAGTACCGGCTACTCTGGAGGCTAAGGTGGGAGGATCGCTTGAGCCCAAGAGGTAGAAGTTGCAGTGAGCTGAGATGGAGCCACTTTGCATGCCAGCCTGGGAAACAGAGATTTGGGCGCCTTGAAAGGTAAGTACAATTTCTTGTATTTATATGCAAAAAAACCCTTCTCAACATACAACAAAACTGGCTTTACTGAAAAGCTAAACGTGGCCCATGTCCCCCAGTACTCTGTTTCCCAACACTCTGTTTCATAATATCTACACTTAATAAGTGTTGTGTAACATTAAGAGTCTTAATAAGTAGAGTCTAACATTAAGTCAATCTTTACCAGGCTCCCTTGCAAAGTTCCCTGAGCTAACCAAGGAGCTCAGATATTTTACATTTCCTAAGATGAGCAAGCAGGAGGCAAAATGCAGTTTGCGGTTATGAAACGGCAGGATCTTAGAGAAAGCACAGTTTGAGCATATATCGGTGCCCTAAATAACATCATGCCGCATTGTAGCTGGTGCTTTGGTAAATATTTACCATTATTCTACAAGATTTGCTCGTTTAAACATCTCAAATAAAGATCTTTGTCTTCCCAATCAAAATAATGTGAATGATGTAAAAATCACCAATTGTACTGAAAATTAACTTATAGATTATTTCCCAGAATATCAGTTATCTGAGAATAACAGCTGGCTAACAATTTATTAAAAACTATTAACATAGCAAGGCGTGGTGGCTCATGCCTGTAATCCCAGCACTTTTGGAGGCCAAGCTGGGAGGACTGCTTAAGTCCAGGAGTTCGAGACCAGCCTGGGCAACGTGCTAAGACTCTATTTATTTAAAAAAAAAAAAAGAAAAAAAAAACTATTGTCTACCTACAAACTGACTGGCTAAAGAACAGGACCTACTTTTTGTGTGGGCAATAGAACCCTCTGGGGTGCACTCTCATCTGCTGCTAAAGGATCTCGTTGGCTCCGGTGGACCAAGTGAAAAGACACAGCTTTCTTCTTCTCTATAAAGGGCTTTTTCTTCCTGTGAGGCTTCAAAGGAACAAAATCACAACAATTAATTAAAACAGAACAAAAAGACGGAGAATAATTCCATAGTCCACACATGCATCTTTAGTAGTCATGTTAAAGATACTTTTTAAAAATCTACACTTCTAGGGCAGGCAACATCAGCTGTGTTCTGCAGAATCCATACTTAACCTTCCTTCAACAAACATTCCTTGAGCACCTACTTTGTGCCAGACCTTGTTATGGGAACTGAGAATACAGAAGTGGGAAAGTCAGATAAAGTCCCTGTTCTTAGCAAGAAAATCAAGATAATTTCCGGTGAAGAAAATATAAGACAGTGACGTGAAAATGCCTTAAAAGCTACTTTACACTGGCTGCTCAGGGAAGGCCCCTGGCCGACTGAACTAGAATGACAAGAAGCCTGCCACAACATAATCTGGAGTAGACAGCTCCACACAGAGCATCTACCAACCAGTAAATAAAATCACGACACAAACAGCTAAAGTTTAATAAGATCCATCACCTCTTTCTACATTCTTACTTCGCTATTCAATTTTGATTCTCTAAACTGGGAAACCAATTAAGTGGCTTTACTTTGGGCCCAACCTTATGCTCTCCCACAAGTTCCCTTTCTCAGAGGAAACAGACAGGCAGACACCTGCCACTCCAACGCTGAGGGAGACCAGCAGCTCCCTCTGCTCGACCCCAAGAAGCACAGGGTTGCGCGTTTGTGTCGGCAGTCACCAGCTTTTAGTTAACCGAAATCACGCAGGGCTGCAGGCTCCCAGGGATAAAACAAAAAGGCCATTCTCCTCTCCGGGCCACATCCCAGGGAGGCTCGGCGGTGGGAGACTGTAACTTGCAAAGAATGCCCACGGTGGTGACGTTGGCCCATTTCGGGGTACCGTGCCGCAAGCAGCCTCTGGCATGACCCAGACCCGGGCCGCAGTAGCCAAGGTATTACCGGAAGCAGCCTGGCCTCTGCAAAACCACAGCGCTCGGCCGCCGAAACAAGCAAGGCTTGCTCACCATGCTGCAGCCGCGCGGCGCTCACCCCCAACAGGGGCGGCGATGACACCCTCGAAGTCCGGCGGGGAGACCAAGGTCCAGCTGAAGGCCGCTTCTGTAGGCCTCACCACACGTGCAGCCCCAGGACCCGGCGATAACGTCACCCAGCCGGCCGTGGAAACGGACCAATCGCCGAGGAGCTGATGGGTCGCGACCGGAAGTTACATAGGCTCGCTGCGTCTCCACGATCGCGAGAAGCCACCGGGAGGTGGGGCTAGCTCGGCTCCCACCCCTGGGCGGGCTGTACTTTTCCGGCCTTTAGTCTCCCGCCGGGCAAAGGGAATCGTGGGGGTCCTTAACGTTGAGGCGCCACAGAGGGGTTTCTGCTTGTGGACGAACCTTTTATAGCTCCCTCTACGGAGACCAGAGGGGACGAATCTAGCATCCCCCTTGACTTGTGTCCCTTACCTATTCCCAACCATAAAAAACAAAGCCGCGGACACGGAAGGGAGGCGACCACCCCGCTGGGGTGCTGGGGTCGCCAAGTTTCAGGTTCCCTCTCCGGGTGGGGGCGGAGTCGGTTGCCGTAGCAACGGAGGCTGGGGCCTTGCCTTTATAGACTGCATCAGACTTGATCAGGTTATATTTTCCACTGTTTCATGAACTGCTTTCATCTGCCCTGTTAACCAAACCCCCGAGACTCTGTTAACTGTAGAGGCATTTGAACTAATAAAATATATTCAGAATCTCTGGTGTTTGAATGTTAACTTTCTCCCCCTGTTTAAACAAATAGGCTATAAGCACGCATTCTTAGGAAGATTTCAGGCCGGCGTTGGCGTACTCACATAGCTTTTCTTGGACGAAAGTGTGTGGTAAATGCAGTCACTTTCATCAGCAGACCTTTTTTTCAAATTTGTTTCCCCAACTTCCCAGTTTCTGGTGACCTCTCAATGAATGGCTTACCCTGGATTGTGTCTTTATGCCGTAGGCATTATCACTGTAAGTATTTGTGGAGTATTATTCTTTTATTACAGTAAAAATTATAGAAATAGGCCAGGCGCGGTGGCTCATGTCTGTCATCCCAGCACTTTGGGAGGCCGAAGCGGGTGGATCACCTGAGGTCAGGAGTTCAAGACCAGACTAGCCAACGTGGTGAAACCCCGTCTCTACTAAAAATACAAAACTTAGCCAGGTGTGATGGCAGGTGCCTGTAATCCCAACTACTTGGGAGGTTGAGGCAGGAGAATAGCTTGAACCCGGGAGGCAGAGGTTGCAGTGAGCTGAGATCATGCCATTGCACTCCAGCCTGGGCGACAAGAGCGAAACTCTGTCTCAAAAATATATATATATAGAAATAATTTAGGTTAGGACCATAAAACTTGTCTTAGGATATTGCTTTGTAACAGAGATAATACATAGCACTCCTATGTGCCAGAGATTCGTTGTTATTATTCATTATATAGAATTAAAAGATCCAAGGGGGCAGTTTTCATTTCCTTTCAATCAGTTGTACTTACTGCTGTATCATCAGGGGCCTGATGCATGGGGCATATATGCTCAGTAAGTATTTATTTAAATGAATTAATGTTCTGGCACTTTATCTGAATCATCTCATTTCATCCTCACTGCAACACTATGAAAGAGACGCAATTATCTTCAGCATCTTACAAATCCTAAAAATGAGGCAAGAGAAATACAAACTAAGTACTAAGCCCCCCAGCTGACTGAACGGACTCCCTTTTGGCCAAGGGGACCCAGAGTAACCTTGAAAACTGAGTTCTTGCTTTGCCTTGTTATATCCCCTCCCTCACTAACCAGGATCAGGCTTTCTTCCCTAAGGGATAAATAGAAACCATCCCTTTCAAAAGACTCCACCACTGATATCAGCCTGTTGCTGCCCTCCGTTTTGTGCGTAACAGACTACCCACTATGGAATGGTTCTGGCCAATCTACGGAGCAGGCACAGTAAGGGTTTTATTGGCCTCTACTTCACCTTTTGACATCAGAGGCTGAAAACTCTTCAGATCATGCTGATGCCCCATTGTTTGTACCTAGGACCCATGAAGGGGCAATGAAGCTCAATTGCACATGTACATGTTTCTCCTTTCATAAATATTCATGATTCCTCCTATAGCTTATTAAATATGTATATTCTGCCACCCTGCTTCCTCTCACTTTGTCCCTCCCTCAGAATGTATGTTTTTGGCTTCAGGCTGGAGGCTACGCTTCCCAGCCTGTCAGGCCACTCTGCAGGCTGAAACCCTTATGCACCTCATCGTTCTTTAGGTCAAAAGCATAAGAAAGTTACCTTCTGATATGGTTTGGCTGTGTCCCCACCTTGGTTTGGTTGTGTCGCCACCCAAATCTCATCTTGAATCATAGCTCTCATAATTCCCATGTGTTGTAAGAGGGACCCAGTGGGAGATAATTGAATCATGGGGGCAGTTTTCCCCATACTGTTCTCATGGAAGTGAATAAGTCTCATGAGGTCTGATGGTTTTGTAAGAGGTTTCCCCTTTCACTTGGCTCTCATTCTCTTTTGCCTGCTGCCATGTAAGACATGCCTTTCGCCTTCCACCATGATTGTGAGGCCTCCTTACCACTTGGAACTCTGAGTCCATTAAGCCTCTTTTTCTTTGTAAATTACCCAGCCTCCGGTATGTCTTTATCAGCAGTGTGGGAACGGACTGATACCCTTTCTTAAGGTCATATCACTAGTAAATGGCAGAGCAGAGATTTAAACCTAAGGAGCCTAACTAGAGCCTGGCCACCTAATCATGTTGCTTGTTTGTTTTTTTCTTCTGAGTAATATTCTGCTTTGTTTTTTCTGAGACAGGATCTTGCTCTGTCAACCAGGCTGGAGTGCAGCGGTGTAAACATGGCTCACTGCAGCTTGACCTCCTGGGCTCAAGCAATCCTCTAACCTCAGCCTGCTGAGTAGCTGGGACCACAGGTGTGTGCCACTATGCCCGGCTAATGTTTTTATTTTTTGTAGAGATAGGGGTCTCACTGTGTTGCCCAGACTAGTCTTGAACGCCTGGACTCAAGTGAGCCTCTCACCACAGCCTTCCAAAGTGTTGGGATTACAGGCCACTGTGGCCAGCCTGCTTACTTTATATATTTGTCATTCTAAACACTAAACACACAGTGCTAAGCACTTTTTATTCATGATGTCTAATTCCCTCAGCAAGCCAGTGAAGTACAATTAAATGACACTAAACCAATCTTGCAGATGTGAAATCTGAGGTTCAGAGAATTGAAGTTATTTACTTAAGGTCACACAGTAAGTAGAAAAGCCTAGAAGTGTAGTCCATCAGGCTTGTTTAGGAAGGCCATTCCCTTATCCATATACTATACTACCTCCCTGAGGCAGTCAACCAGCAAATTTTGTTCATCCTGCTTTCTAAATATCCACATGTATCACTTCGTTATTCATTTTATCAAATTTATCATTTTAAACTCAAGTCACTTTCCTGTATAAAATCCTTCGATGGGCCAGGCGTGGTGGCACACACCTGTAATCCCAGCACTTTGGGAGGCCAAGACAGGCGGATCACCTGAGGCCAGGAGTTCAAGATCAGCCTGGCCAACATAGCAAAACCCTGTCTCTACTAAAAAATACAAAAATTAGCCAGGCATGGTGGCACACACCTGTAGTTCCAACTACTTGGGAGTTTGAGGCAGGAAAATTGCTCGTACCCAGGAGGCAGAGGGTGCACTGAGTCAAGACCATGCCACTGCACTCCAGCTTGGGCAACAGAGCGAGACCCCATCTCAAAAAAAAAAAAAAATCCCTTGATGTCTACCCTTGGGCTTCAGGATAAACTATTTTTGCAGAGCAACCAAGATTTTATATCTTCTGGTCTCCAGCCATCAGTTTAACACTATGTCTCCTTACTCCCCCACATTCCACTCATGATCCAGCCCTGTGAAACTGTGCAGTTCCCAAATGTACCTGAAAGACATTGGCTCTCTCCTGCCCATCTAAAAGGCTCTTTCTTTCTCTCCTCTCCTTGTTTGCCAAGTCCTAGTTTAGCCATCTGTTTTTTCTGGCTGAACCCAAGTCTAGCTGAAGCTAAGTTGACCCAAAAGGGGTAGGAGGGGAATTCCTGTGAAGGACTGCCCCAAACCATCCCGAGATGGGGCTGGACAGAATTCCAAAGAAAGAAGCAATAAACGCTGGGGTGATCAGTCCAAAGCATTTATTAGAGAAGTTACATACAGAGTGCTTAAGTGGACAGGGCGAAAAGAGATGTTTCTACGTAGGTATGCCAGCAGTGAGAAGTCAGGTTATGGAGTTTGTGAGGGTTTAGGGAATTTGGCTTAGGGCTGGGGCTAGTTTCTATGTGTTTAGTAACATATTTTGATCTTTCAGTGTTTGAAGCAATAGCCTACACAACTTTATCAGTGCCTGGGAATGTTCAAGGCCCAGGCTTAACTTTAAGCCTACAGGGGGAAAAAAAAAACCCATGCAGCTGGCCAGGTCACAGAGTGGTCGAGGCACTCTATGTTAGTCAGGACACAGAAAGAAAGTGGGGGGCTCTGAGGGACCCTACACCATCTCTGCCTCTAGGAAACATTTTCATACTCTTCAAAACTGGGGATCATTCCGAATGTTCTCACTGTATCCTGTACACACTACTCTACTCAGTTATGCTGAATTGTGAATTCTTATTTTCATCTATCTCTAGAACCAGACTGCAGTCACCTACTCAAAAGCAAGGATCCTTGTCTTGCTGACTTGAACGTCTTTAGGGCCTAGCATAGTAAAGGCTCAATAATAATTGCACTGTTCCAAGTATTTTACCTACATTTACTCATTAAATCCTTATAGCAGATTTAAGTAGACATGCAATTACCCTTTTCTACTCAGCAGAGATTACAGAACAGAAAGTTAAGTGACTTTTGCCCCAGGGTACAAAGTCCATAAGTGAGGAAGCCAGAATGTGAACTCAGTTGTAGCTTCGGAGTCACACCCTACCATTACAGTACTGTACACCCCGTTTCAGAAAACCACCTTGTTACAAAATACTCCAACATATAACATGAGCTTATATGTGTCAGAGACTGTTCCGAGTGCTGTCTTAATGTAGAAAAATGTTATTCGCCTCCAGTGAAAGCAAAAATAATTGAAATATTATAGTAATGATAATAAATTCAAGCAATACTTCTACTCTTTTAGTATGCTCTAATTACTGGTGTCCATGTTAAAGTGATTAAACAGAATTTCTGGCTTAGTCTAGGCTTTGAATAAGTTTTTAAAAATTTTTTATATGGAACTAAGCCATTGAAATTATGGTTTTATTCGCATTCATATCACATTCACTGGTTCTCCCTCTTCCGTCAACATCACTCAAGGAGTCCCAAGCACCAGGAAGCCAATGTACACAGAAGTGCCGAGAAAACTAATTAGAACCTGAAGCAGTAACTTCTAGGAGTTATAAATTACATGTTTGAAAATCCTAATAAAGCTTATGGAGGTACTTATTTTATTTTTGTGTTTTGAGATGGAATCTTGCTCTGTTGCCCAGGCTGGAGTGCAGTTACATGATCTCGGCTCACTGCAACCTCCGCCTCCCTGGCTCAAGCGATTTTTGTGCCTCAGTCCCTCAAGTAGCTGGGACTACAAGTGTCCACCACCACACCTGGCTAATTTTTGTATTTTTAGTAAAGATGGGATGTCACCATATTGGCCAGGCTGGTCTCAGACTCCTGATCTCAAGTGATCTCCCCAACTCAGCTTCCCAAAGTGCTGTGATTACAGGTGTGAGCCACCGCACCCAGCCGGTACTTAGTTTATAAAAAGGAAAAGTGCAGCAAAATGGATGTACCAGGATGTTCAATGTAACGCTGCTGGTAAAAATAAAACAATTAAAATTTCATTAGTGAGCCCGTTGTGGTGCCCAGGAGTTTGAGTCCAGCCTAGGCAACATAGCAAGACTCTATATCTTAAAAAAAGAAAAATTTCGTTAGTAAAGGATTAATTAAAACAAACAAACAAACCAACCAACCATTCATACAACGAGCTACTGTGATGCTGGTTTAATTTAGATCAAGTTTTGTGTTTTTGAGATGGGGTCTTGCTATGTTGCCCAAGCTGGTTTCAAGCTCCTGGCCTCAATTGATCCTCTTGCCTCAGCCTCCCAAGTAGCTGGGACTATAAGCACATCACTGTGCCTGGCTTCTTTTTGTTAAAAATGTATGAAAAAAGAAAAATATGTTACAAAGAAATATCATAGTGCAGCCAGGCACGGTGGCTCACGCCTGTAATCCCAGCACTTTGGGAGGCCGAGGCGGGTGGATCACGAGGTCAGGAGATCGAGACCATCCTGGCTAACATGGTGAAACCCCGTCTCTACTGAAAACACAAAAAAATTAGCCAGGCGTGGTGGCGGGCGCCTGTAATCCCAGCTACTTGGGAGGCTGAGGCAGAAGAATGGTGTGAACCTGGGAGGCGGAGCTTGCAGTGAGCCGAGACTGCGCCAACGTGCTCCAGCCTGGGCAGCAGAGCAAGACTCTGTCTCAAAAAAAAAAAAAAAAAAGAAATATCATAGTGCAAGTGTAAAAAAAATCTGGGAGACTATGCACCAAATTGTCAACAACGATTATTCACAAAGAGCTGGGATGGGATTGCAGGGAACTTTCAGTGTCTATATGAGATATTTCTTCAATGTTTATGTGATTAGAGTGAAGACTTAAAGTATTACATTTGGTTTTATATGTATATATAAAGTAGCAATACTTAAAAATAAAAGGAAAGAGGCACTAATATAATTTGGTTCAATAAATATTGTTGAACGATAATGCTCTTCATAACTGGGGCTCATCCCGAATGTTCTCACTGTATCCTGTGATCACACTACCCTGCTCAGTTATGCTAAGTTGTAAATTCTTATTTTCATCTGTCTCTAGAACTAGACTTCAGTCACCTACTCAAAAGCAAGGATCTTTGTCTTGCTGACTTGACTTCTTCAGGGCCTAGCATATTGAAGGCTCAATAATAATCGCACTGTTCAAAGTGCTTTACATACATTTACCCATTAAATCCTTATAGCAGGATTTAATGTCATGGCTCTCATATATAAAGTGAGCACATGTTAAAGATCTTATTTTACACATGATTAATGAAGGAACCAGTAAGATGTTACAATTAGTTCAAAGGACAATCCAAAGAACAGAAACATTTATAGAGCAGGAATATTGTGAAGAATGTGCAAATGGAGACACAACTTACTTCTTCCACGATGAGGGAGGGAAGTGAGTTGAAATCTCTACTGGACAGAATTTATGTAGATGTTTAGAGACAAGAATTGTTTTGCATGACTGTCAGCTTTCTGAAATTTACAATGTTGTAAAATAGCTCAAAGATAAGGAGAGGCACAGAACCCTCATAAAATCAGAATCAAAAGGTGTGCTTGTCTCTACAATGCATCATTTCTCACGAAGCACAAATTTTCCCCTACAATATTAACTGATGACAGTAGTATGCATTGTATACTAGCTGGAAGTAGTCTCTGGCATTTGTTTCATTCGTATTATGCAACTCGGGCTAAATGGACCTCAGTTTACTTACCTGAATGTAAAATGGGAATGATATTAATACGTACCTTCCAGAGTTGTTGTTGGATTAAATGAGAGGATGGGTATGAAGTACTTGGACCTGTGCTTGGCTTCTAGTAAGCATTTGATGAACGTGAGCTACTGTCGTTTTCTCAGCTGAATGTAGTTATTCACCTCACTGCATTGTACTTCAGGACGATCGTTTCCTGAAACAGGACCTTCAGTATCTAGGATGCGTCAGGGGGCACGAGCTTTGCTTCAAATCAGGTTCACTTCATGAGAATCTGTTTGCTTGCACATTGAACCAACGTGCAAGCAATATAAGGCATTTTTAAATATAATTTTTGCTTTACAACTTACCCCCCTACATAATGTAGTATTCCATTTTATTTAAAGTTAAGCTATCCCATAAAACTCATTAAAATTAAGACAAACATCCTAAGCACTTAGATGATGAATAAATGATTTGATTTTGCAGCCTTGGAGACAAAACCCGGCAATGAGAGAATAGTTTATTAGATTTTTATTGTAGTAATTTCTTCATGGTCTTAAGCTACATTGTCTGTTGAAGAGGTTTATCCACTTCCACAGCTTCCATTACACGTGCTGCTGATTCTCAGCTTCCTATCTGTAGCCCAGACTTTTTTCCTGACTTTCAGACTCATATATCCAACTGACTACTGTACATCTATCCACATGTGGACGTCCTAACAGAAGGCAATTCAAACAAATTGAATTGCATTTCCAAATTTGAATGCCTCCCCTTTCTGTACTTCCTATGCTCTCTTGCTCTTCCCTGCCCTCCAATCTAGCCTCACATCAGCCTCAGCGCTGCTGTTTTCTATTTCAGCAAGTGGCATCACCACCATCCGCTCAAGCCAGTCACATGATAGGTATAATCTTAACTTTTCCATCTCCTCCATTTACCATATGGAACAATCATTTCCACTTCATAACTGTCCTTTGAGTCTGTTTATGTCTCTTCATTCCAATAGTTAATACCTTGTTTGGGGCCACCATCACCTCCCAACAAGATTATGGCAGTAGTAATGGCCACCATGCTTCCAATATTGCTTCCTCCGATCTAATCCATTCCTTCAATCCAATCCACTGTGGCCAGGATGATTAGGGCAAATCTGATGATGTTACCCCTGAGCTTAAAATACTTTGGTGAATCTCTATTGTCTCAAGGATAAGTTCTAAATTCTTTGACAAGGTTTCAAAGGACCCTCAAGATTTAGTCTTCGTTTATCTCTTTAGTCTCATTACAGCTTCTATCTTTGGCTCAGCTTTAATACTTAATTGTGCCATTCTGAGCACAACTATAGAGTTCTGGTCACAGGAAAAAATCTAGATTAGACATTGGTATGGGATAAATGTGCAATCTAATTAGATGCCATGGCTGGGTGTGGTGGCTCATGCTTGTAATCCCAACATTTTGGAAGGCCGAAGAGGAAGGATTGCTTGAGGCTAGTTGTTTGAGACCAGCCTGGGTAACCTAGTGAGACCTCTGTCTCTATAAGAAAGCTTTTTAAAAATTAAATGTCATTTAAATAAATTATGTCTAGTTGGAGAGAGAGAATATGGAAAAAATGCAAAGTCTCAAGTAGGCCAGTGAAAGATTGTTGAAGGAAATTAACTGCAACTTGAGAGTTCCTTCTACTTTTCTACATCTTGTTTTCTTTTTTCTTTTAGAGAAAGGGTCTCACTCTGTCACCCAGGCGAGAGTGCAGTGTTGTGACCATAGCTCACTGCAGCCTTGACCGCCTAGGTTCAAGCAATCTCCCTGCCTCAGCCTACCAAGTGGCTGGGACTATAGGTACGCCACCAGGCTTGGCTAACTTTTTAAATTATTTGTAGAGTCAGGGTCTTGCTATGTTGCCCAGGCTGGTCTCAAACTTCTGGACTCAGGCAATCCTCCTGCTTTGGCCTCACAAAGCACTGGGGTTATAGGCAGGAACCACTGTGCCAGCCAAACTTCCTTCTACCTATCAAAGAACTTTTTAGGATGCAGTTTGAATCAGGTATAACAAAACCAATTATTTCTGAAGGCTGTGAATTTGGAGACCCTCTAACGATATAAGGATTGAAAACTGGTTCCGAGTATGTCCCTGTGGTTGAAGTAGATTCTTCCCAGAAGTATGTAACGCTTAGGACGCATTTATCAGTCGTGGATTTTTTTTTCCCCATTAAGCAAATAGTGAATTGTCAATCTAGTAATCAGTTTGCTTGAGGTTTTAAAATCTGTTTTCTTAGTATCTGTTTCTACAAGCCCGGGAATTAAATATGGATATTAAATCAAAGTCAAGATAATACTTTTGTGTTACATTTAATTATATTTTATAATTATTAAGATAATCTATATGTACTTGGTATTAAAGCACTTACAATTTAAAAAAAACTGGAATATTGTAGAATCTGACTTATTGGCCATGCAATTCCAACTTAAACTATGTAACTAATTTTAGACTTGTAAAATTAAAGAGTATAAGAACATTTCTACATTTGTAAATAATACTGAAATATCTAAGAAAAGTAGATTTACTGCATATATAATGCATTAGATTTAAAAGTGTTGTTAAATGCTTGTTATAGTCACATTTGGGCATTTGAAATGATTATACAGAAAATAAAATCTGCCGAATTTATATATGCTATTTCAAGAAAAACTTTAAAGAAACTATAATGGAATAGCTAGAGAAGACATTTGCATTGTTCCCAGAAGGATGAGTTGGATATTAACACATAAAAAGCTCCAGTTGGAGGGAATGGCTTAATCAAAGTTGTGATTTGCAAAGAGTGCATCACATACTTGGGGAACAATGAGTTTCATTTGATTTGGTCCAAGTGTGAAATAAAGGAGTGTAATCTGGAACTGTGGCATGTGGTTAGACTATAGATTTTTTTTTTTTGAGACAGGGTCTCGCTTTGCAGTGGGGAGGTCTCAGCTTACTGTAACCTCCGCCTCCCGGGTTCAAGCAATTCTCGAGCCTCAGCCTCCTAAGTAGCTGGGACTACAGGTGCACACCACCACATCTGGCTAATTTTTGTATTTTTGGTAGAGACAGGGTTTCACCATGTTGGCCAGGCTGGTCTTGAACTCCTTGGCACAAAGGATCCACCGGCCTTGGCCTCCCAAAGTGCTGGTATTACAGGCTCGAGCCACTGTGCCTGGCTGTAACTACAGCTCTTGAGGGCTAGATTAAAGCACCTGGGAGTTATTCAGCAGGTACTGGACAATTCTAAGCAGGAATTAGATAAGAGTGTGCTTTAGGAAGATTAATGCCATTTGGGCACGGTGGCTCATGCCAGTGATCCCAGTACTTTGGGAGGTTGAGGTGGGAGGATTGCTTGAGTCCAGGAGTTCAAAACTAGCTGGGACAACAAAGAGAGCCCCATCTCTACAAAAAATACAAAAAACAACAAAAAAAGAATTAGCCAGGCATGGTGGAGCATGCCTGTAGTCCCAGCTATTTTGGAGGCTGAGGCAGGAGGACGGCTTGAGCCCCGGAGTTCCAGGATGCCGTGAGCCATGACTGTGCCACTGTACTCCAGCCTGTGTGACAGAGCAAGACCCTGTCTCCAAAAAAAAAAAAAAAAAAACAAAAACCAAAAAACCAAAAAAACCACACACAAAAAAACAAGGACTGACTGTGGGAAAAGATTTTGCAGCTCAGTTTGCTGCATACTGCTACCTGAAAAATTAGAGGCAAATTCTTGCCTTATGTTAAATACCCGCTTCTCTAGTTTGTCTGACCTGGGACAACCAAGGTCAAAAAGTCCATCCGAAATCAAATCATTGAGTAGACAAGCACTGAAAATGCTACTTCTCTCTTCCCTATGATATTCATCTAATTTCAAAAAGCTAACATCTGCAGCTTTTTTTTTAATTCAAATCCTTAGAAATGGTGTCTCTTTTTAACAAAAGAGCAAAAAAATCTTCACACGAACTTTAGGTTCTTAGCCTATCTCTAGATTTTACGTGTTCCACTATTAGAGACCACCCTTTAAAGAGCAAAGAGTTTAAAATTCACAAACTAAGTGAGGACTTGGGTGTCTGTGGGCAGCAGTGCTCATAGCAGCAACTCCATGCAGAAGTTTGAATTGAGGCTCATGACTAGTTCATTTGTTTTTCTATTTTTATTTTTTATAGAGATGGGGTTTCACTGTGTTGCCCAGGCTGGTCTCAAACTCTTGGGCTCAAGCAGTCTTCCCGCCTTGGCCTCCCAAAGTGCTGGAATTACAGTCATGAGCCACTGCACCTGGCCTTTTAAAATTTATGTTTCAATTTTTTAATTTTTATTTTTTCATTGAATAGTTAAATTACAATAAATCAGAGGTCACCATAGCATTGTGTAAAATGAAAAATTGCCCATTTCTTACCTCCATTGGGTTTTAGACAGTAATGTTTCTATGTAGAACTTGGTTTTGTCTGAGAAAGAAATAGAATTGCAACAACTACTATGCCTGCCTTGAAGATGTACCTCTCGTTTTCAATAGCATGCTTCGGACAAATTTTTCAAACCTACTTTTTAATTTTTTGGTTCCAATCCTCCGGTCTTCTGTCTAGGATACCAGCAAGCACGTTGCTTTCAAGTTTCCCCTTACATCTTTGACCTTGTCCTGGAGTGCGGGGAGGTAAAGTTACTATTTGTAACTGATGTTGAAAGTCACAAAAAGTATATTCCAATTCTTTTCATGGTCAAAATATGCTCCCAACCTCACTCCTTGCTTGTAATACATTAAATAGCAAGCATAATGAGGAAGTCTGTTTATTTTCTATATTATAAACTCTAAATGGACTATCTTTTATGTTTACATATAATAATGGCAATAAAAACATCAATATCAAATACCTCAGACATAAAAAGATAGCAAGTTAAAAAAAATACTGGAAGTTTCTTTTAAGAGCAGTAATTCTTTAGACAGACATTTTAAATAAAAAGTACCAGGCCTTACATGTCTCAAGACCTTACATACAAAGAGGTGTTAAAAACTTAGGTGAAGCTGAAATAACAGGCAATTAGGGAAGTTGTCTTACTCTTTTTTCTTTTTTCATTTAAAAAGGCTGAGCACTATCCAAATATAAGAGAAACTGGAACAAACTAAAACTGGGGATTTCCCAATGATTTTATTGAGGTAACTTTTCCCAATTTTATACATATATGCATTTATATATACTTAGGAAAGCTAAACAATGTTCTAAGGCACTTGGAATTGTGCACAGCAAAGTATCCTCTAATATTATACAACTAAATAGAGCAGAATTTTGCTTTTTAAATAACACAAATACCAGTACGGAATTAAAAAAGGGAATACATAGTCTTTCTTTCAGGTTACAATAGTGGAATACAAGTACATATGTGTGTATACTTGTAGATATTTATACCCACATACTATAATACAGTACAGATAAGAACAACAAAAGAGAAACTGTCATGTTAATCAGTGTACAGTTCCAGTTATTTACACTCACAGATATTACACCTGTGTAATACGTAGAACTAGATCACTCACTGGAAATCAGAAAGCATTCAGTCAGTCTGATAATGATCACAGTTTACCATTGTTATCACTTTAACTGAAGTGTGAAATAACAAAAGAATGCATATAGTCCGTTATTTAAAAATCCCTGTTACACAGAAAAAAAAAAAAAAAAAAGAAACTTGTTTGAATTTTTAATAGGTCCTAAATCTGGTGAAATTGGTGTAAATGTTTTGAACACACTGGCACATTTCTAAGCCACAGAAGAAATGTTTTTTTTAAAAAAAAGAAAAAGAAATATTAGTCCCTATATTTTAAGGGATGAAAGTGGTTTGACCCTTGAATCATTCTGATTATTTCTGAAGGCGAGTTAGCCCTGCAGTGGCAACTTCTCATTGTGGAGGCTCTCTAAACAACATAATGACATAGTCAAACTATAACAAAAGTATCCAGTAAGGGAAAAGCCCCTCCTCCCCCGAGTTGGCAAGTGGCACAAATATTACTGGCATTTTCATATACCATAAAATTGACCTGAGGGTAGAGTGGCATTCTGCCTTATTTGCTCCTTACAATTTATTCTTAAAAAAAAAATACTGCTATTTAAAAAGATAAGAATTCTTAAGCACCATCTAAAAGCTTACAATATAACCACCTTTATTGACTCTGCGTTACTCGGCCCCAAAAACAATTTAGAAACTTTAATGTTTTAAAAAATTATAGTGGCTAAGTTAATTCCATTTTGCTAGCCACAGTTCATCCAAGTAATGTCAAGACATATTTGCCATTCAGTTTTGGTGATAAAAAGCGACAAAGAGAATATGTTTCTGTATTGTTAGTACAGTTTAATAATGTTTCACCTAAGTAAAACTCATCTTGTTTTGTGTGTGACCATCACTGAAGTATGAACAACAGGCATGCAACCCACAGTTAATCCACATTTTCATCATGATGCAGCATTCACAAATCTTATTAGAAAAGTTGAATCGCATGACTACATTTATACAGGGGAAATTCAAGCATTTGTGTGTGAATTAAATGCTTCGTTAATAGGATAAGCAGGTGATTCATTTGGAACTTATGGGATGCAGCATAACCAGGTGAAATCTAATGGTGATTTATTTCCAAAGACCACCAGGTTTGTTCAAGTGCATTGCTAGTCTGTGTTTGTGTTTAACCCATGCAACAATCCTCATGACAGTAACAAGGATTATGACCAATAATGTGGTTCTAAAGAAAAGTTGTAAGGCAAAAAAAAAAAAAAAAAAAAAAGCTTTCTTCATGTATGATCTCTCCTTTAAGTATATATAGGGACTTTAAGTATATATATATAGGGACTAGGCCAAGTCCCCATGCCCACTGAATGGCCAAGGCTGCCCAGTAACCTCCTCCCTGAAGAACAGCTGCACTGAGAGAAAGGCTCGAAAAATGAAGGGAGAAAAACCATTCAGGGCCCAAAGAAATGCAAGGCAGCAGAGACAATGTTTGAGGATAGGCACTTTTTCTCCCTGTGTCCTCAAAATGCAGTAGACAGTGGCATTCAGGGGAGGTGATACCAACCTCCCAGGGAGGGCATTTGAACCTGGGGGAATGCTTTTTATTCTTGGTGTTTACAATGACTGAGAATGCTACTGACATTTAGTCAGCAGGGGCCTGGGATATTAAACATCTGGCAATGCATGGGATGATTCTGTACAGCAAAGACCTATCCAGCTCCAAATGCCAAGAGTACCCCCACTGAGAAACACAGACCAACAGTGCTTTGCTCATATGTGCAGCTGTGCTAGCAATGTGACAAGCTAAATGACATTTTTTGTGTGTGCAGTAAATCCTAGCATGGCTAAAAAATGACCCATCCTTATAGGGTTGGCTTTAGGTGGGAATAGCTGCCACAGGATCCTCCATTTCTTTGCCAGAAATTTTACAACATATACAATAGGATTTTTAAATTTGGGATGATACTGTCTTCAAAAAAGCATTGGTGGGTAAGGTTCCAGCTGCTTTCTAGAAATGCTAATGGTGCTTTGCATTTCCATACATAGCTTAAGCTTAATGATTACAAAAGGGAAATTGGAAGTGAAAATGGGAATGATTTGAGGGTACTCTACCTCTCTCCCCACCACCTCTTGGTCACTGCCTGCCTTTACAGTAGAGCCCAGTGCTACTTCTTTGAAACCTGGGTTTGAACTAACTGGGCATGTACTTTCTCTAGAAAGATGTTCCTATTAATTTGGTGATTACTCTGTCATTGCTTTTCCCTGGAGGACATATTTTATTTTATTTTATTCATTATTACTATTATTATTATTTTGAGATGGAGTCTTGCTCTGTCTCCCAGGCTGGAGTGGAGTGGCACGATCTGGGCCCACTGCAACCTCCACCTCCCGGGTTTAAGCGATTTCCCTGCCTCAGCCTCCCAAGTAGCTGGGATTACAGGCACAAGCCACCATGCCCAGATACTTTTTTTTTTTTGTATTTTCAGTAGAGACAGGGTTTCACCATGTTGGCCAGGCTGGTCTCGAACTCCTGACCTCAACTGATCCACCCACCTTGGCCTCCCAAAGTGCTGGTATTACAGGTGTAAGCCACCGCACCCAGCCAATATAGGACATATTTTAGTTATATAAGTTCATTCTGCTTTGTCCAGTAAAGCAATGTAATCTATCCTACCAGTAAGTAGAGACTACCTACACAGTAGTGAAAGATCTAGCCATTTCAAGAGGTCAAGGGACAATTCTGTAAATAAATTGCATCTAAGTAGTTCCTTACTACTCACAACATGCTCTAATAGTGTGAAGAAATTAATTCTTATCCCAAAGAATATACTTTTCCTAGTAATGATAGGCTTCATATAATTGGAATTTAAGAATGCTTTAACAATTCTACCATACTCAGGGGTAAATGACATGAATTCATATATATTGTACTAGTTTAATTTCATACCACCTACTCTGAGGAAGATTTCTTGCTCTGTTTGAAATTTGCAGCAAGGGGCACTTAAAAATAATAACAGACTGAAGAAATTTTTGGGCAGGAAAGGAAGAAAGTTTTCATTATTAAGTGTGGACATACTCCTCTGTGGTAGACAAGACTACCCTTTTCTATTGTGAATACAGTAAGATTTTTGAAAGTTGTGTCTGTCTGATTCTATGAAGCATAAATAAAATGCCTGTTATGTGTTAATATGGTACATATCAGAATATGCAATGTTAATGCAAATTTTTCCTCTTTTAAGTGTAAGCTACTGTATATATAATATACATATATATATATATATATATATATATATATATATATATATATATTTTCTTTTTTAATGCCAACGCAGCCCTGAATTAATTGCAGGCTGTAAAACTGGACCTTTTTTGACTCAGGTTTTAAGGACTCATCTCTTATTTTCAGTATTTGGTGACTTTTGAAGGGTGTATTGAATTCCTTTATTTCCTTAAATATATTTTCCCTTCAATTTCAGAACTTCCTACTAACAGAATATATTTACTAACATTAGAGAAAGATAAAGGACTACTCTCATTATGCTACTAAACAATATGAAGATGAAACCAGAAAGTCAGTTTTTCTGGGTAAAGCAAACAGATGTGTTTGCTTTTTCTCCATGTAAAATAGCTGTTCAAATGCCAAAATGGTTCTCTATTACAGATTTCAGTTAAGTAATTTAAGGAATTATAGCTAACATGTGAAAGTGCAAGACACTTCACATAACACAGGAAATTATCAGGCAAGCTGCCTTAAATGAATGCTGACTACCAGAGAACTATTTTGTCAGACTGATTGGTAATGACCATGAAGATTCTGATCAAGCTTGCTGAGCATCTTCTTAATACCCTAATATTAATGTTTTATTCTCCAATAAAAAAACTAAAATGGTCACTTTGGTTTCTACATCTGTCTAGTTCTTTCCTGCCTGGGATCTTCCTGGAGATGGGTTTGTTTTCTTCCTTAATCATATCTTGGGAACTCAGGAAAACCCACTTACTTCCTCGATGTCAGCCTAATGTCAAACTTTAAATAGCCAAAAACCTGGAATTGTGTTACAACAAAAGAAATCCAATTCCCACACACTTTTATTTTTCCTATACAGCATATGCTTACTGGTTGGATTGCTGAAACGCTGGTGGTGGACAGAGGTGCCTATGCACGGAGGGTGGGCCAGACCTCTGCATCCCTTTAGGGCCCCCAGGTAGGAGACCTCTGGCTGGGTGGCCGGTGGGGATATGTCTCATCTCTGCTCTACTAAAATAGAACCATATTCTGCAAAATACAGCTTAGCTCATAATCCTTTAATTCTTTCCACAGCTTTTTACTCAAGCCATCATTCTAATAAAATAATTGGTGATTCCGATTACCTAAACAGTAGACTAGCAGTGGCTAATTTTTTTTTTTTTTTACTTTTAAACTTGTCTCTAACTTAGAAAATTTTTTCTAAATGTATCGATTAGTGTAAAGAAAAAGTATGAGTAGTTAATAAATCTGACCTATTATACAAGAAATGCAATTTTGAAATACCAGATTTTCATTTTTTGTACTAAGTGTATCTCATTGTAGGCAATAAAAAATTGCATCACAGGCATCAAAAGTGGGAAAAAATTGTTCCTTTTATCAACCAAATAGAAACTTTCAATAACATACTTTGAGTGATAAAATGGTGATGTCTTACATTTACCATTATAGAGAGGTCTTGTGGTTAGAAATTTAAAAAGTGTTTAAAGATGATTAAGCATAGACAATTAAAAGAAACATTATATCTCTTGGTATTTTTCTCAAGACACTAAAATAATAAAATAAAAATATAATTAAGGAAAAGCATGACTTTGGGAAAAAAAAAATCACAAGTTAATTTTTATGGCTGGATTGAAACACTGTAAAATAGACAAAACCTCAGCCAGAGACAGACACCTGGGCATGCAGAAAAATTTTTTCAAAGCAAAAAATTTGTCTTATCCTATTAGTGAAATGACAACAGACTCTAGGTGTGTTTTATTAATGCACAGAGTCTAACAAGAGGTGCAGTAATGCTGGTTACTTTTCCTAATTCTAACATGGTCCTGGCTTTTTATAGTAGGCCAACTGGCATTAACATTTTTTATTTTTAAATAAAATGATCCGATTTCAAGTGGTTCTTTAAAATACCAATGAATGGCAGGATCTACATTTATTCACCGGGTTAAATGCTTACTTTTCGGTTGAAATAGAAAATGACAGTCTTGAACCAGAAACATCTTAGAAAATTGTAGTCCAAACTCTGAGAATAAAATAAACTCTATTTGGGTCTTGTTTTGTTATTCATTTCATGTGTTTTTAATTAAAGGGGCACAAAGCACTTGTGAAGAACAATGAAATGCAAGGTGGTATTTACATATGGTCATATGTATTTGGGAGCAGAAGTCATAGTGTGCCTGTGACTCCATGGAAAATAGCAACACAATAATAGAGAGTTTCTTAATGTAAACAATACAGACTGTAGGCTCATAGGGAAAACTTCCACTACTTTAACCTCACTGATTCTTTTGCATTGACAGTAAATACTGTACTGTATCTATGGATGCCATCTGCAGATTCTTAAAATACAAGATGAGGATTTCCTCACACACAACTTAGTGGGAACTTTCCATGTTCTGTTAAGCCTTTGGGTGTTTTTTTGATCTGTGTCCTTTTTTTTTTTTTAAATAGCAGCAATCCAACTTTAAAAAAATGCAGCACTAAAAAAATAACTAGTCCTTATTCCCATGCAGGACTAACTGCAGGCAGCACATTTGTATCTTGCTTAAGTTTTGACTTTGGATTCAAGTTTTTATTACAGGTGTCATGATTGCCAATACTGTCTTCTCTAGGTGAAGTATGGTTGCTTTGACTTTGGATCTAATCAAGATAGGGAAAGATCAAAAGATTTATTTCTGAAGCTTGCTACAGTTTTCTAGGGTCACATTACATCTGACTTTATTCCCAGTCCTCTTATCCTGTGAAGGCTGGTACACTAGGAAAGGGATATTTAAAAATGTCAAGTGTGCATAGCTAATGCTACTTAAAAGCATGCAACAAAATTTGGGTAAGCATGCTTGTTAAGAGTCAGTAGAAGCTCTTGCATTTAAGAAAAAGATGCATGAAAACATTCAGACTTATTTCTGGCAACTGGATTCACTGGCACAACATAAAATAATGGTACTATACTGTACCAACATAATGGTGAAACAAGAGTATTCTCCGATCAAGTCTTTGAGGAATCCACATCAGGAGGTTAAATTCCTAAATCCCTTAATAAGTTCTCAGCTACCGAATAACTACTTCAAAAATACATTTATGCTTCAATTTTCTCTTTTCTTCATTAACATAATGAAATATTTCTCTTTCTTTCTGATTTCCAACTCCCACCCCTTTTCAGTGCCCAGCAATTTTAATCTATATTTTTCTTTCACCCGCATTATAAAATTTGGCTTTCTGGTAACAGGGAGCCAGTGATTGTCTTCTGCTCATCTTCTTTGATTAAAGCTTCTGATGAAGAATATCCACGGTGTCTCTTACCATCGCTGTGCATTCTGGGCAGCAAGAGTCACTGCATCCTTCCTTTTGCTTGTTGGAGCCATCTGGGCCACACAGGTGAGGAGCACTTCCCAGCCAAGCTGAGTCACACACTTCCTTCACCACAAGTTAAACGGAAACACACACATTCAAATCCCAGTGCAATATCAGGTTTTCAGGAAGCAGGGCTTCCCCCAAAGATGATCAGTCTCTGTTTCCAAATAGTCTCACTCTTCGTTATGGACGATGAAACCTGGAGTAAGAAATAGAAACTATAAGCCTGTGGCCTAGGAGCACATTCTGCATGCAGTGAGCTGAATAAGGCGTGGTCATGTTTACAATGAAAAGGTACCCCAGATATCCCCCAACTGAATTACTGTTTACAAATTTCTGTCATAACAAAATACTGTTACAAATATTATTAAGGAAAGCATATATAAACGCTTTCCTTATATATATGTTTACATATAAGCATATAAGGAAACCTTATATAAAAGATGCTGGTTATAGTATTCAAGTTACACAGCAACCAAGACAGAAAACATCACTATTCTTGAGCATCGTGCTCTAACCTTTATCAAGCAGAGGGAGATGTTTCACAAAGGGATTTTGGTACACCTCGTCTGTATTATAAAAGCACAGTAACAAATAGACACTTTTTCATTAGCTTCAGCCTCTCATCATCTCCTGCTGACGACTCCAAATCTACTTTCTACACTTGAATTTCCAAAAGCCCACAGGGCGCTTCCCCCCAGATGTTCCACAGGTATATACTAAGCATGTCCACAACTATACAAAGCTTTCCTTGTTAACCTGCCTTTGCACTTTGTCTTATTTAATATTCTATCTTTAAAAATATTTTTGGTCTAGAAACCTCAGATTAGCAATTCATTTCTCTCCCTCATCCAGCATTTCCTATTAGTCACCAAGTCCTGCCTCAACTGCCTGTCTTGGAATCATTAAAGTTCCATCTTTTGCTGGCACTACTTTTACGGTATGCTTGTTAGCCAGCCAGCTGGCTTCCTTTCCCTCCTTGTGAGTTCCTGAACATTCCTTGCATTTTTGTAGCCCGGTGCTTTTGAACATGCTGTTCACTAATACTGCAATTCCTTCCCTTCATTTCCTATCTATGTTTTCATTTTCAAGATCAAGGTCAAAAGTTATCTTCTCCATAAAGCCTTAAGTGATCAAGCTCTTCAGCCTACTTCTGCAATTCCACATTTATGCAACTCTGCCTAGCATTTCACTCTGTCTTCTACAGTCGAATGCTCATCTGCTCTGGTCAGCCAGTCTCCTAATTGGTTTCCCTGTCCCAGGCTCTCTCCATCAAATCTATGCTCCTCACTGTTGCTCACACTATCCTTAAAAATACTGGTTCCATCATTTCAGTTCTTGGGGTTTTTAAAATCTTTTTTTATTTTTAATTAGATATGGGGGTCTCGCTATGTTACCTAGGCTGGTCTTGAACTCCTGGTCTCAAGCGATTTGCCCACCTTTGCCTTCCACAGTGCTGTGATTACAGGTACGAGCCACTGCGCCCAACCCAGTTCTTTCTCAAAAGGATCGTATTGTTCCCCATTACCTACAAAATAAAATTTAAGCTGGGCATGGTAGCATACACCTGTAATCCCAGCTGCTTGGGAGGTTGAGGTGGGAGGACAGCCTTGAGTCCAGGAGTTCAAGACAAGTCTGGGCACATAGTAAGACCCTGTCCCTTAACAAAATTAAAATAAGAAAGCCAACAAAATAAAATTTAAAGTTCCTGGAGTAGCAAGTAAGGCTTTTCAGAAAGTGGCCCAACTCATGGTTCTAGCTATATCTCTATCACTGCTTCCAAATACTCTCCATTTCAATCACTTGCCCCAAAAAGGCTTTTGCGCTAATGCCCTTTCCTCTACCTACTTTTTGCAGGGTGGGTTGGGGGGAGCTCCAGAGGGGGACAGGGTTTCACTCCTATTGCCCAGGCTGGAGTGCAGTGGTGCGATCTCAGCTCACTGCAGCTTCAACCTCCTGGGCTCAGGTGATTCTCCCACCTCAGCATCCAAGTAGCTGAAACTACAAGCATGCACCACCATGCCCAGCTAATATTTGTATTTTTAGTAGAAATGGGGTTTTGCTATGTTGCTCAGGCTGTTCTCAAACTCCTGCACTCAAGCAATCTGTCCTCGGCCTCCCAGCGTGCTGCGATTACAGGTTTGATCCACCACACCTGGCCTACTCTTTCTTCTACCTTTATCTCTCTTACCATCTGCGCTTTATGCAGTCTCACTCTGTGAGTTCTCCAAACTCTTTTCTCCACTGCTCAGGGAAGCACTAATTGCTCTCTTTCCTGTGTTCCCATAACCTTTGGCTTATGCCAGTTATTGCTTACATTATATAATCTTTGGATACATGTGCCTTTGCTATTGGATCATGAGAAGCTGAGGAAGGAAACTTTCTTATCCATTTTTACATACTCATTGAATACAATCTCCGGCACGTGATAGTACTTACTAAACGTCACTGTGTTGAATACAAGCATTACAAAATGAAAAACTAAAAAATAAGAGCAGGTGAAATGAGATGGGCCACGAATTGATAACTGAGGAGCTGCTAGTTGGATACGAGGGACTTATATTACTTCTGTGTTTGACAAAAGTCAAAAGAAAAATAAGATATACCAAGCTTTACAAAACTGGTAGGCAATTTATTACTAAAGCAGGAATGTGTCCACTTTGAGTTCTGTTCTTAGTCTATCCCTGACTGTAACCTTGGGCAGATGTGAGGACCGCCATGCCTGCATTTGATACACAGAGGCAACATCACTCTTTCACTTTTTCGAGGGCCAGGTCAAGGGCCCTGCTGCCTCGTGCAGCCTCAGGACATTGTTCCCTGCATCCCAGCCACTTTGGCTCCAGCCTTGGCGCAAAGGGCCCCAGATACAGCTCAGGCTTCTGCTTCAGAGGGTGCAAGCTGAAAGCCTTGACAGCTTCTACATGATGTTAAGCCTGCAGATGCACAGAATGCAAAAGTGATGGAAGCTTCAGACACTCCACCTAGATTTCAGGGGATACATGGAAAAGCCTGGGTGTCCAGGCAGAAGCCTACTGGAAGGGCACAGCCCCCACAGAGAACCTCTACTAGGGCAGTGTGGAAG